>NC_000013.11:63408106-65908106 GCF_000001405.40 Homo sapiens | reverse complement strand
TAAAAAATGAACAAAGTCTCTGAGAAATATGGGATTATGTAAAGCAACCAAATCTGTGAATTATTGCCATTCCTGAGACAGAAGGAGAAAAATAAACAATGTGGAAAATATATTTGAGGTAATGACTCAGGAAAATTTTTCTAGTCTCCCTAGAAACGTAGACATCTACACATAAGAAATTCAGACAACATCTACCAGATAGTACAAAACAGGGGTCCCCAACTCCCAGACCACAGACCAGTACTCATCTGTGGCCTGTTAGACCAGTGCTCTTCTGTGGCTGCACGGCAGGAGGTGAGCGGCAGATGAGCAAGCATTACTGCCTGAGCTCTACTTCCTGTCAGATTAGTGGTGGAAGTAGATTCTCATAGGATTGTGAACCTTCTTGTGAGCTGAGCATGCAAGAGGTCTAGGTTGTATATTCCTTATGAGAATGTAATGCCTGATGACCTGAATATAGTTACCAGACCCACTATGTCAACATTAAAGAAAAACATCTTAAAGACTGATAGACAAAAAGTTCAGATCACATACAAAAGGAAGCCCATTAGGCTAAGAGTGGGCTTCTCAGCAGAAATATTACAAGCCAGAAGGGGCTTATTTTCAGCATTCTGAAAGAAAAAAAACAAAAACAAAAACACCTCCAGCCAAAAATATCATATCCTGCCAAACTAAGCTACATATCTGAGATCATCTCACCCTCGTCTTCATTGTCCATGTCACTATCAGCATTTTGGTCAAAGCCATTCAAAAAGTCTCCAGGAAATTCCAAACTTTCCCACCTCGTCCTGTCTTCTGAGCCCTCCAAGTCTCTAGAAAGTTCCAAACTTTCCCCACATTTTCTTGTCTTCTTCTACGCCCTCCAAACTGTTTCAGCATCTGCCTGTTACCCAGTTCCGAAGTCACTTCCACATTTTCAGGTATCTTTACAGCAGCGTCCCACTCTCTGCAGTACCAATTTACTGTATTAGTCCCTTCTCACACTGCTAATAAAGACATACCTGAGACTGGGTAATTTATAAAGGAAAGAGGTTTAATTAACTCACAGTTCCACATGCCTGGGGAGGCCTCAAGAAACTTACAATCATGGCAGAAGGTATCTCTTCATCAGGTGGCAGTAGGGAGAATAAGAGCCAAGCAAAGGAAGAAGCCCCTTATAAAACCATCAGATATTGTGAGAACTTACTATAATGAGACTAGTATGGGAGAAACTGCCCCCATGCATGATTCAATTATGTTCCACTGGGTACCTCCAATGACATGTAGAGATTATGGGAACTACAATTCAAGATGAGATTTGGGTGGGGACACAGCCAAATTGTATCAGACCAATATCAAGTTCCAAAATTGAATCAGTTAGAAGAAGCCTACCAACCCCTCAAAAATATGCTAGACAGGACCAATTCAGAGCTGAATGCTGCCAGACATATGATGAAGAGGTGGTACCAATTCTACTGACACTATTCCAAAAAATAGAAGAAGAGGGACTCCTCCATAACTCATTCTACGAAGCCAGTGACACTCTGATAGCAAAATCTGACAAAGACATAACGAAAGATTTAAACTGCAGTCCAATATTACTAATGAACATAGACACAAAAATCCTCAAAAAAATACTAGGAAACTGAATCCAGCAGCACATTGAAGAGTTAATTGACCATGATCTTTAGGAATTATTCCAGAGGTCCAGAACTGGCTCAACATATGCAAATCAATAAATGCGATTTATCACATAAATAAAATTAAAACCAAGACCAGATGATCATCTCAATAGAAACAATAAAAACTATTGATAAAATCCCATATCACTTTATGATAAAAACTCTCAAAAAATTAGGCAATGAAGGAGTAGACATCAAAATAATAACAGCAATCTATGACAAACCTGTAGCCATCATCATACTGAATGAATAAAAGCTGAAAGCATTCCACTTAAGAACTGAAACAAGACACATATGCGCATTCTCCGTACTCCTAGTCAACATGGTACCAGAAGTTCTAGCCAAAGCAATCAGGCAAGAGAAAGACAAAAAAGGCATCCAATTTGGAAAATAAATTAAACAATCCATCTTCACTGATAATATGATTCTATACCTAGATAACCCTAACCTCATTAAAAAATGGGGAAAAACCGTAAACAGATTATCCTTAAAAGTAGGCATACAATCAGTCAACAAACATGAAAAAAATGCTTATGATCACTAATCATTAGAGAAATGCAAATAAAAACCACAATAAGATAGTATCCCACACCTGTCAGAATGGCTTTTATTAAAATGCCAAGAAATAACAGATGTTGATGAAGGTGTGGAAAAGATAAAATGCTTATATAATATTGGGGAGAATGTAAATTAGTTCAACTGCTATGGAAAGCAGTTTAGCGATTTCTCAAGGAACTTAGAACTACCATTCAACCCAGCAATCCCATTACTAGGTATTCGCCCAAAGGAAAATGAATTGTTTCACTAAAAAGACATTTGCACTTGTATGTTCATTGTAGCACTATTCACAATAGCAAAGACATGGAATCCACCTCGGTGACCATCAATGGGGGACTGGATAAAGAAAATGTGGTACATATACACCATGGAATATGAAGCAGCCTTAAAAAACGAACAAAACCATGTACTTTGCAGCAACATGTATGTAGCTGAAGGCCAGTATCATAAACAAATGATCACATAAATCAACAACCAAATACCAAAAGTTCTCACCTATAAATGGGAGCTAGACACTGAGTACACATAAACATAAAGGTGAAAAAAATAGATACATGGGACTACTAGATGGGGGAGGAAAAGAGAGGGGTTATGGCTGACAAACTATCTATCAGCTATTATCCACTCACTACCTGGGTGACAGGATAATGCACACCCCAAACCTCACTGACACACAATACAACCATGCAGCTAACGTGCCCATGTACCCGAGAACCTAAAATAAAAGTTGAAAAAATAAATAAATAATGGCTTTCAAAGCGGTATCAGTTACTCTTGGACAAAATTTTTGGGCCATACTCAACTACATGAGATTCTTCCAAAAAAATCAAATGTCCACCCAAAATAGTGTATATTTAAATTCTTAAGAACTGGCTGAAAAAAAAAATCAGCAAAGCCTGCTTTACACAGAGCCTTGTGGAGCACTTTCAACCTAAGTTCTACAATTATACTATGACAGAATTTTGAATGAAGATACAATGAACAGAGTTTTTGGATATCTGCAAATAAAGAGATTAAATTAATGATGGACTGATGCTTGGAGAAGGTTGTTTTGCCTTTTTGTGCTTTATTTTTAGAGAGTTGTAGGAAAGAGCTATTTAGCAAAGGCTTTTGTTTTTCATCCAGCTCAGATTGCTTTGGTGTTCTCCATGCCAATGTTTTTAACTGTTTCCAGTTGTGCTATTACAGTCATTTGCTTCTTGACTGTCACAGTGTTCTATAGTCAATGTTTATTATCATATGCTTTTTAAAAACCACTACTGGCAGTTTAACATTAACTCTCTATACATAGCGAGATGGGCATTATGAATACAATAAAAAATTATGGCTTCTGCATTATAAATTTGCAATTAACAATGTATAAGGACAGAAAATGTAAATAAAATCGAATTATGAAATGTTCTTTAACAATTAAATTGCAAAGCATTAACATTTCTATAAATTGTGTAATAACAATAACAATTGGAGTAAGAGAAAAATTAGCTCAGCAAAATTGCTTATTCTAATGTAACATATATGTAACTTAAAGAAGATATTTAAAATATCTTTCAGCTCCATTTTGAGTGGAAGCTTTTACTAGAACTAGCAATAATTTTTACTTGTCTCTGTTAACCTGTGAACCTTAGCCATATATAAAAGCTTAATGTACTTTTTTAGCTTACCTTGGCTTTTTGAATGGTGGTAAATTTAATGTGACTGATTTTCTGCTCCAGTTTCTTTATTTGTTCTATAAGCAGAAGATACAGAAAACTAATTTAAATGTGATTCTAGTTTAGAACTGTCTTTTAAGTTACCATATTGGATTTTACTTAATTTTAAGTAGTATTCCAAACCATATCTTTCTAAAATCTCAGTAATTTAATAAGCCTAAATCTATTAACTCAATTGAGTTTTTCAGACAATGTAATTTGAAGTATCATACATGAATGCAGCTCTCAAAAATATATCATATAAAAGCATTTTATTCTTGCCTGAGTCTGATTTGTTTCATGTAACCCTTTTGGGTTTGAAATAAATGTGTGTGCGCATGCACTCTATGTAGCTATATTGTTGCACACAAATTGACATGAAGACATTGTGTAATAACAATAATAACATGTTTATATAATAAGCACAATTGAAAATTAGTAGACGCAATATCGTTTACCTCTTGAAGAATGCACAGTATTTCCTTAATGTATGAACTTATGAGTGCTGTGTAAATAATAGAACATGGGTGTTCAACCTTTCTGCTTCCCTGGGCTACATTGAAAGAAGTATTGTCTTGGGCCACACATAAAATACAATAAGAATAACTATAACTGATAAGCTAAAAAAAAAGTCCATGCACAGTTTTTGTGATATCTGCCATCATAGATAAGCAAAAAATCCTCACATTCAAAGGGTTGAACACCATCTATTAATAGATTTTACTATTAATTTTCCTTTGATTATGAAAATATAAATCAAACCCAATTCTAACCAAAAAACATTTATTCAACAACTACTATTTTGCAAAACACTCTTCAAATGAAGAAGATACTCTTTAAATAGTTTCATACAGACACAAATTTGGGTACAACTGTATAGCCAGTATCTTTTTAGAATCTTCTATGTGTCAGGGCTAATGTTGAGAATTGGCAATAATATTAAGAACAAGAACATTATGAGTCCTAATCTTATGGAATTTATAATCTAGGAAATTATTATCCTTCAAAAGTTTCCATTTTAAAAGTAAAGTTAGCTAAAACAATATATTTGGCACATTAAAAATTTTAAGTAAATATTTAACTATGAAATAAAATTATTATGATGATTTCACTTTTGAATCCTAGTAAATATTGTGATGTTGCATGTTTTTACCGGTTAACACAAATACATGTTATAGTGAAAAACTGTTTTACTTTTTAATTTCAGCTTAGACAATAACATACACACGTAATAAAACATTGACTACAATTTGGACAAGATATATTAAAATTTTGCCTTTGATACATCAACTAAAATATTAGTTACTTACTTGGAAAGCAGTTAGAAGGCTCAGAGTTGTAAGGACTAGACGAATGTAGAGAAATCAGTAACCTCTTTCTTTTCTTATTACCTCAGAAAATTAGATCCACATTAATACAATGTTATTTTTTAAAGATTTTTATTATATGAGGTATGCCCCATATATATGCACAATACATACTACATATTTTTCTATCTCATTATCTGTTTCTCTGTTGATTCTGTATTATGATACACATGGTGAAATAATTACAGATAATAAAATATTTTTATTATACAAATAGTATAAAAATTTATTAAACCAATATATAACAAGTATTAAAGTGCACATAAGTCAACGTGGGGTACTTTTAAATGCATATTCCTAAGCAAAACTTCCAAAGTTTTTCATTCAGTAGTTTTCTCAGAAAGCTCCAAAAACAAACAAACAATTCAACAAAATGAGGAAAACAGTAAGCAACCAAAATGAAAAATTTAATAGAGAAATAGACATAATAAGTTAAAACATCAAACTGAAATCTTGATGCTAAAAATATAATGACCAAAATGAAAAATGCAATAGAGAACACCAACAGTAGAATTAATCAGCAGAAGTAAGACTCTGTGAACTCAAACACAGATTATTTGAAAATATACAGTCAGAAGAGAAAAAAAACTTAAAAAAGGGAAAGTGAAGAAAGCTTATGGGATTTATGGGACAGTGTCAAAGCAGCAATTGTTAGAGTTGTAGAGGCTCAAGAAGAGAAAGATACAGGGATAAAATTCTTACTTACAGAGACAATGGCACAAAACATTTCAAGCCTAGAGAAAGAGATAAACATCAGGTACAGGAAAGTCAAACATCTCTAATCATATTCAATCCATATAAGATTACCTCAAGACATATCATAATCAAATTGTCAAAAATAAAAGACAAAGAGGATCTTGAATGCAGTAAGAGAAAACAAGCAAATAACAGATAAGGGAGTTCTAGTATGCCTAAGAGGAAAATTCTCAGCAGGAACCTTACAGTCCTAAAGAGAGTGGCATAATGTATTCAAAGAGCTGAAAGAAAAAAAAATTCAACTAAGAATAATATACCCATCAAAGCTGTCCTTTAGATAAAGGTGAGATAAACACTTTCACAGACATACAAAAGCAGAGGGAATTTGTCACCACCAGACATGTCTTATAAGAAATGCTAAAGGAAATTCTTCAAGCTGAAAGAAAATAAGACACTGAGTAATGCAAAAACATCTGAATGTATAAAACTCACTAATAAAAGATAGTACACAATCAAATTGAGAATACTCTATTACTGTAATGGTGGTGTATAAATCACTTGTATCTTTTGTGTAAAGGATTCAAGACAAAATTATTATTTAAAAATATGGAATATTAATTTATTTTTATTTTTGTTTATTGTGACATCAGAAATTTAAAATATGTATGTAGGGAATGGAGTAAAAATGGAAAGTGTTTTATTTTATTTGCCATTAGAGTTAAGTTGTTTTTAGTTTAAAATAATCAGTTGTAACTATAAAAACTTTTGTCAGCCTTACGACAGCCACAAAGCAAAATCATCTAGTAGAAGCACAAAAAATAAAAGGAAGGGAACAATACATACCAGTGGTTGAATGGGTGAATCGATAATAAACAAGACTGAACTATATGCTGCCTATAAGAGACTCACTTTACTTGTAAGAAAAAACAGACTGAAAGTGAAGAGGTGAGAAAAGATATTCCACGGAAACAGAAACCATAAGAGAGCAGGAGTAGTTATACTTACATAAGATAAGTCAAAAACTATAAAAAGAGACAAAGAAGGTCATTATATAAAGTGCATAATTCATCAAGAGGATATAACAATTATAAATATATATATACCCAACATAGGAACACTTAAATATAGAAAACAAATGTTAATAGATCTGGGAGTGATAGACTACAATACAATGATATTAGGGCACTTCAACATGTTACTTTCAGCAAAGGACAGATTATTCAGACAGAAAATCAGTAAGAAAAAATTACAAAATACACATTCTTCTTAACTGCACATAGAACATTCTCCAGCATAGATCGTAAGTTAGGTCACAAAATGTATCTTAACTAGTTTAAGATGTATTAAAATCACATCAGGTAACTTCTCTTACCACAATGGTATAAATATAGAAATCAATAACAGGAGGAAATGTGGAAAGTTCACAAATACATGGAAATTAAACAGTAAGCCCCGAACAAACAATGGGTGAATGAATATATTAAAAGAGTTAGTATAATTTTTTTCAGAAAAATAAAAATGGAAAGACCACATAGAAAAACACATGGGATATAGGAGAAGCAGTTCTAAGAGTGAAGATTTAGCAATAAACATTTGCATCAAAAAAAAAAACAACAAAGATCTCAAACAACCTAATGATGCACCTCAAAAAGCTAGAAAATTAAGAACATATTGAGTCCAATGTTAGTAGAAGGAAGAAAATATTACAGCTAAGAGCAAATAAAATGAAATAGAGATGAGAAAAACAATAGGAAAGATCAAGAAAAGAGTTTTTTAAAAGATAAAAAAACAAACTTCTACTAACTAGGAATAAAGAAAAAGAATACTCAAATAAATAAATCAGAAATTAAAAAGTGGCATTGAAACTGATGCAACCAAAATGTAAAATATCATAAGACACTATTATAAAATAGTATATACCAACACATTGGATGACAATAGAAATAAATTTCTTGACACATACAACCTACCAAGACTGAATTATGGAGAAATGGAAACTATTAACAAACCAATAATGAGTAAGAAGATTGAATCAACAGTAAAATGTCTCCTATCGAAGAATAGCCAAGGAACTGATAGATTCACTGCTAAATTCCATTAAACATTTAATAACTAGTACTGATTTTCCTCAAATTCTTCCAAAAAATCAGAGAGGAAGGAATACTTTCAAACTTGTTTTACAAGGTGAGCCAATATCCCTGATAAACATAGATGCAAAAATCCTCAACAACAACAGCAAAAACTAGCAAACCAAATTCAAAAGCACATTACAAAGATCATTCACCATGGTCCAGTGGGACTCATCCCAGGAATGCAAGAACGGTTCAATATATAAAACTCAGTAAATGTGGTATATCACTTTAACAGAATGAAGAGCAAAAACCATAAAAGAATTTAAAAAAGAGTAAAACCACTTAAGCATTTCATTAGATATAGAAAAAGCATTTGACAAAATTCTACATCCCTTCATGATACAACATTTCAACATATTAGGTATAGAAAGAATAAACCTCAACATAATAAAGGCTACATCTGACAAGCCCACAGGTAACATCATGTTTAATGGGGAAAAGTTGAAAACTTTTCTTCTAAAACCTTGAACAAGACATGGATGCCCATTATTGCCATTTCTATTCAATAGAGTGTTGGAGGTTCTAGCCCGAGGGCTTAGGGGAAAGAATGCAATTAAAGACATCCAAATTGGAAGGGAAGAAGTTGAACTGTTTCTGTTTGCAGACAGGATCATATATTTTAAAAATCCCAAAGACTTCACCAGAACTCCATTAGAACTAATAGAAAAAATCAGTAAAGTTGCAAGATACCAAATCAACATACAAAAATCAGTCGCATTTCCATGATTAAAAACAATCTGAAAAAGAGATCAAGAAGTCATCCTATTTACAATTGCTAAAATAAAAATATAATACTTAGAAATAAATTTAATTGAGAAGTTGAAAGATCAGATCTCTACACTGAAAACTGTAACACATTGGTGAAAGAAATTGAAGAAGACACAAATATATGGAAAGGTACCTGGTGTTCATGAATTGGAATAATTAATACTGTTAAAATGTCCATTATACCAAAAATGATCTATAGATTCAATGTTATCTCTATCACGATATCAATTATATTCTTTACAGAAATAGACAAATAATCCTAAAATTTCTACAGAACTACAAAATTCTCCAAATAACCAAACCAATCTTAAGCAAAAGGAGCAAAACTGGAGGCATCACACTATCTCACTTCAAAATGTACTACAAAGCTCTAATAACTAAATACAAAGTACTCGCATAAAAACCAGATACATAGACAAATGTAACAGAATACAGAACCTAGAAGTAAATTTATGCATTTACAGCCAACCCTCATTTTTGACAGAGGTGTCAATCAATAATTGGTGTTGATAAAACTGGATATCTACATGCAGAAGAATTGAAATTTGGCCCTTGTCTCACACCATATACAAAAATCAACTCAAAGTGGATGAAAGACTTACTTGTATGACCTGAAATTATGAAACTGCTAGAAGAAATCATAAGGGAGAAGCACCATGATATCAATATAGGTAACAATTTTTCTGTATCACCTTGAAACCACAGGCAAAAAAATAAAGCAAATATACACATGTACAATTACATCAAGCTAAAAATCTTCTTTGCAACAAAGAAAACAATCAACAGACTGAGGATTCAATGTATAGAATGGAAGAAAACATTTGCAAACAATGCACATCTGATAAGGCGTTAATATCCAAAATATATAAGTAACTCAAACAATTTAATAGCCAGAAAAAAACCTAATGAGTTATAAAATGGGCAGAGAATCTGAATAGACATTTATAAAAAGCAGACATACAGAAGATCAACAGATATATTTAAAAATGCTTAACATTACTGATTGTCAGGGAAAAGTAAATTAAAACCATGATGAGATATAACTTCACACCTGTTAGAATGGCTGTTATCAAAAATACAAAAAATAAGTGTTGGCAAGGATGTGGAGAAAAGGGAACTTACACACTGTTGGTGGAAAGGTAAACTATACAGTCCTTTTAAAAAACAATATTCCTCAAAAATAGGTTTCTCATAAAAGTAAAAATAGAATAAAAATATGATCCAGCAATTCCACTACTGTGCATATGTGGAAAATATATCTTCATTTGCATGTTAATTGTTGGATTATTCACAATAGCAAAGATATAAAATCAACTTTCATGCCCATTTGTTAATGGATGAAAAAGGAAAATATGGTATATACACATGATTGAATAATTAAATACTATTCAGCCATAAAAAATAAGGCTACAACATGGATTAACCTAATGGACATTATTTGCTGCAATATCAATGAGCCCGGAGAGTACGTTGTTATGTTATGTTATGTTATGTTATGTTATGTTATGTTATGTTATGTTATGTTATGTTATGTTATGTTGTGTTATGTTGTGTTATGTTGTGTTATGTTGTGTTATGTTGTGTTATGTTGTTGTGTTGTGTTGTGTTGTGTTATGTTGTGTTATGTTATGTTAGGTGAAATAAGCCAGGCACAGAAAGACAAATATCACACTTAAAAAGTTGCTATCATAGACATGGAGAGTATGATGGTGGTTACCAGGGGCTGACATTGTTGGGGTTTGGGGTTTGTGGTTTAAAGAAATATTGGTGAAAAAATACAAATATTCAGTAAAGACAAATAAGTTTAAGAGATCTATTGCAAAAAATTATGACTATAGTTAACATTTACTATATTCTTGAAAAACGCTGAGAGTGGATATAAAGTGTTCTCACAACAAAAATGACAACTATGTGAAGTAAAGTATATGTTAGTTTGCTAGATTTAGCAAAAGGCTGGTATATATACACAATTGAATAATTGTGTAAGTAAATACTATACATGTTATTCATGAATTAAATACTATTTATGTTTATATCTTCACTTGCATTAATGTGCAAGTGAAGATACAAATATATTTTGCTATTTATTTAGACTAAATATATATATAGCAAATGCCATCAACATTTAAATAGTACAAAATTACTGGCATATATATGTGGATATATATCTTTATATAATATATACATACTATATACTGTATATAGTAAATACCATCAAACATTTAAATAACTAGTACAAAATAACTAGCATATATGTGTATACATATACATACATATACTTCAAGTATATATATAAATATATATATAATATACATATACTTCAAAACAGTTATGTTGTACACAATAAACACGTATACTCTTATCTGTCAATTTAAATAAACATTTTCACCATAAAAATAAATTTCCGTAGAACTCATGTAAAGGTCTTAGTACTCAAATATTATTTTGTAGCAACAAATTAGTGCAAAACCAAATGATAATCATACTATGAATATAAGCTGAATAGACATGAATACTGCTAGTTTCTCAGAAGTAAGTTTATATTAGAATTTAGTTTTTTAATTTCTCAACTACCGGGATACAGGTTCTAATGGACTCTGGTGAGGAAAAAAAAAAAGTGATTTTTATAACAGAAGCAATTAAACATGCTTTATAACTAGTTATAAATGAATTTGTAGAAAATGCACATTGTTAATAATTGGAGAATGAATTCACACATTCTTGGTAGGTCTTTTTTAACATGAACGTGTTTTAGAAGTCTTTGAGATATTACTTTGAATTTTGTTCGGGAGGCTACTACATCACAGTTATAGTTAGGACTCCAGGATCCGAAGTGAATAAATCCAGTTAAAAGCACATCATATAGAATTCTGTATCAGCAAGACATTTCTTAGGGTATGGTATAACTTATCATTCACTGTGAATTCATGGTTTCTTTTGCCCATTTCCTTTGGCAGCTGCCAAAAACAGCAACTGTGACTTCTGAGTGTAGAAAATCATATTAGTAATACATATTGTGATATTCTAGTCTAATATGCTTTTTCATTTTAATTAAAAAAGAGAGGCTAAAACAAAACACTTGGAATAATAGCCAGATCTTATTCTTCTCTATTCTCATTAATGAGCTACCCAGTTTCTTTTACAATGCATATAAGGACTTTTAAAAGATGAAACTGTATTATAATACAGTGATGTTTCATTTCATAGATGCCGTTTCCATTTCCCAGTATTTCTGACAACCAATGTGGAAAGATTATAAAATTGAAGTGATTTTAAGCCTGGTATCCACTCTATAATCTGTTTAATGATACATTTCTACTGAAAAACCAAACCATTAGTGTTTTTGAATGATATCTGAGTGCTTTTACTTTTAAAAATGGAATGATTTTTAGGAAAGAATGTATAAGTAAATGGAAAAAGGGTATTATACTGTATCAAATGTATCTGTATTATCACAGTTCTGGATCAGATACAGAAGAGCGATTTAATATTTATATCTACAGGACAGACTTATTCAGGAAGCCCTGAAAAATTATCCAGTTCCTGTTAGTCAGATGCCTTACAGGAGTGTGTCTAAGGAAGATTTGACAACCTAGAAGCCTCCACCTGATTATAGGGTGGGCTGTTTTCATTCCCTATGAATGAAACTCACTCTTGATGAATTTATGTCCTCCCAGTCAGACATTTTTTTTGTTTAAATTATAAATCCACGGAATCATTTCAAAAATCTCTGGGGAGAAGCTACACATGTTCCACATATAAATAGTCTCAGAGCATTGTGAAGTTAATGTATATTCTATATATAATCAAAATAAATGTTACTGTTATGATATCAGAATTTTGTAATACTATCCATGAACCATGATCTACTTTCTGCAATTCTGAAAAAAAGAAACTTGAAGACTATCAAACCAGTTAAGACGATAGCAAGGGTTTAGTTAGTACTCTTAAAATATTTACATGTCAACAGATCCCAGACATTATGTGGATGAAAAAAAAAATTACAGAGGGCAGAGAAAAGGAAGGGAAGTCGACTTCATATACCAATGTCATCTCTGTTTTCACCCAACTGATAACATTAATTCCAAATTATTTTCTATATTTATTATTCTTTTCTCTCTTATCTCTCTCTCTCTCTCTGTCTCTCTCTTTCTCTCTCTCTCCCTCTCCCTCTCCCTCTCCCTCTCCCTCTCCCCTCCCTAACCCCTCTGTCCACTATGGATTAAAAGATTAAAATATTCATTGCAATTGTCAATGATCAATGTTCAGATATTACAACTATGTATTGACTAGGTCAAATGATTAGCTGAAATTATTTGGCAACTGACAATTGCTCTAGAAATCTTTAGTTTTAGAGATAAAGAGCCATGTTATGAGTTCGTTTTTATTTTCTGTTCTTATTTTACATACTATATTATATATAGTGCATGCACACACAACACAAATGTATATGAACACACATACACACACATATAGATATTGCTCCCACAGAGAGTTCAGAAATAAATGTATATAAGAAGTATACCTTCCTTAATTATCAAAGCATTGATAAGACTATGTCATCTGCGCTGTGATCATTTTAGTAAACTATTAAGAAGCATACAGTTTGAATATACATTAGCCAAAATACTTGGGTCCGAAAGTGTTTCAATTTTTTTTTCAGATTTTGAAATATTTGCATTATGCTTACTGGCTCAGCATCTGTAATCCAAAAATTTAAAATCTGAAATACTCCAATAAGTATTTACCTTGAGTGTCATGGTGGCATTCCAAAAGTTTCTGGTTTTGGAGTATTTCAGATTTTGGACATTTAGATTTGGGATATTCAACACTTATACAATTTTTTGTACTGAATAAATTACATTTTATTTATAAATTTTCTTTCTCCAAGGCATGCCAAGCCAATCCTTCCTATTATAGTACCTAAGCTATTAATCACTACGTATATACTATTTTTTTACAATTGTTGACATAATTTTATGTGCCAGCAGGTTGGTTATCTATGTAGAGAATGCAATATTACACATTATTTACATAAATACTAATAGTCACAGGAACCACAAATTGAAATATAGAGCAGAAACTAAATACGTTAGTCAGTAAAAGAGCAATATTGTTAATTTTTCATTTAAGACCTACAACATATTTTGATATATGTATTGTTGTGAAATGATTCCCTCAATCAAGCTACCTAACATTTCCTCACATACTTACTTTTTCTTTTTATGAGAATTAAGATCTACTGGTCTTAGTAAATGTCAAGTATACAAGTTTATTATTAACTACATTCACCATGCTGAAACATTGCTAATTTAAAAATAAAGTGAAATATTGTACAATCCTGTACATTTTATTGTCTCTGATAAGGTTACAGGACCTGATACATTACATTTCACATTTACTTCAACTGTAGGAAGAATCTGTAAAAAGTTTGAAAATTATTTGCCATACCTTTTCTGGTTTTAGAATAGGAAGTTCAACAAGAATAGCAAAATGTAGTTAGCACTTAAATGTAAAGGATTCTAATTTTTGTTTTTGACTTACAATAAGCCCCCAGATTTTAATCAAACCCATTATTTGAGTGTCAAATAAAATTTCTGTTATTTTTCAATAACAGCTGTCAAGTATGTGTTGTCTCAGAGTATTTACTCCCAAAGGTAATCCTTTTCAACTGAGAAGGTCATTGGGGAATTAGGATCTGAGCTCCTATTAGACTAAACACGTTATCTATTTTTGCAGTATATTTTATTTGCTGTGATTATAGTGACTGCTCAGATAACATGTCTCCATTTTTATGCTCTGCTTAAACATCTATGTGTCATCTTCTCCATAGAATGTCAGTGGCTGAGCAATCAGAAACGGAGGAATAAACAATTTCCGACCGTTCTGATGTAGTATTAGTGACTGTAGAAGATTATGTTTGAACTTACTGATATGAATTCAGAGTAAGCAATAGAAAGCAGAAGATGCTGCCTTAGCTAGTGCTTTTCTAGCCTAAGATTTACACACATGGGTGGTCAAGCTGAATGTTAATGTCATACAATCCAAGATTCAGAAGTAAGGACACAGGATATGCTTAGGCTGGTACCATTAGATAAGAAAAAGTATAAAGAGAGTAGGCATCTGCTCTGTTCATTGTCCAGCTAGTTTTTTCTGCCAATATTTTTGTGAAACTTGAAGGAAACAACTTAGTATTTCCTGTAACACTTTGATTCCATGAGTCAGCTTCCATTATTGAAAGGAGAGTGACTATCATTTCCATGCTACTACATCTGTCATCATGAGGTCTCATTTTGAAAACTCAGAATGCACTATCCATGCCTTAATGTATTCATCATCAGAAAAAAAAAGTTTTAAAAAATAAAACTTTAATTTAAAACAATTGCAAATGAAAATCTTTTTTCTTGTTCTGTCAATGACAGTTGAGAAACATTTGCATGGAAATAGTAAACAATTAACCTCCCCACCACCCACCATCCATTTCACCCTGTTGCTTACAATCCTAGCTTTCTTTTCTATGTGCTTATGTGCATGTGCTTTTAGGATTATTTTATTATCCTTTCAAAATGGCCATTCTGAAAGTTTTCTCTCAGTGAACAATGAATAAAGTTTTCTTTCTTCTTTGAACAATGAAGGTGTTGTTTAGTATGACATGTAAGGATATAATTACAATGTTATATAATAGCAGTTATAGACAAATATTTAAAACAATTTAATAAATGTTGTTTCTTCTTAATAACTGAAACCATTTATATAATATAGCATCTGTAGTAGCTGGTTTGAGAACATATCTGGGCTTTTTTTTCCCCCCACTTGGAGCAATGGAAAAAATGTATGTAGTACAACCATGATTACTTTCAACTTCATGTTAAACTAGTCTATACATTAAAAATGTATAAACTACATCTTTCCCTTGAGGAAGAGATTATAGATTAGGGTTTTGTGCTATGTGGCACCTTAAATTCCTCAAGAAATCACTACTGCAAGATTTTCTACCAATTTGTAGGCTTCTGAATTTGCAGGTTAAGAGAGCCAGCTGGTTCTTTATACTTTGCTGTTTTCCGGCTCCTCCGTGCTGTGCGCATCTGTCATACTGTGCTGAGAAGAAGTGAAAGAGATAGCCCAATGGTGTGCCCACCTCTCCACATGCTTTCAGGAAAAAGGCAGGGGTCCTCCCAAACTCCCAATCTCCCTTCCTCTTTCCTCCTGTGTTTATTAGTAAAGAGATGTCCTCCAAGAGTTAAGTAAACTGGTTTCTAAGGGGGAGACACAGAACTGAAAAGTGGCTCCGTACTTTTGTATTTGTTACTATGCCAAAAAGTGGCCATTATTAGTGTAATAATTTGTGAAGAGTTTTTAGTGCAGAAAAGTTTTGTATTTGTTTATTAACTTAAAAGTTTCTTTTTTACACTCAGGTAATTTATCACCAGTAAGTACATATAGTTGAATATTATCATAGGTAGAAATGTTAGAAGAAAATAGAGAAGAAAAAACGTAGGTATAGAAGACATAGCATGTCAATATAGGAAGATAAATGTATAGGGGGTCCTGAAAAATATAGATATTTCTATATTTGCATGTATAAAATACATATAATTTTCAAAGCTCAGATAAAATGCTTCCTCTAACACTGAAATTTCCTTAATCCTTGATATTTTCTGTGCCATACCCATCTTTAACAGAGTGGAGAGAGGGAGGCAGAGGGAGAGAAAAGTAGCTTGTACTTCTCTGAATATTTACAACACTTATATTTTCTGGAATTGAAGTGAACTGTTGAATTATTATCATATTTCTGTCCAATTTGTCTTTGTGTTACTCAATGAACTTACGCCTTATTGCTCATAGCTAACGCCCATTCACTATAATAATTGTGCAACATATTTGTGAAAAATAATAAGCAAATCTTTACATTAGTGATATAAACCTTTTCTCTTAATAAATATTCAAAATATTTTTATTCTTTCAGGATTTATTTTAAACTATTATGATAAATTCTCAACTTTGCTGAAGACAGTGAATGTAATATACCTTCCCTCTCTGTGTAGTTTTCTCTCTTTCTTATCAACTTGAGAAATATTGTGGCCAATTATACACCATGGTTATATTGAGTGGGGGGAAAAGCAGGGAATCTTTTTACTTAACTCTGATTATGGAAGTTCGATCTTGGAAACTTGGAATATTTGATCTAAAAATCACCACTATACTTAGCTGTTAATGGGATGGAGTATATGAAATTATAATTTTCAAAGGAAATCCAATATGTATGTCACTATGTTTGCAATAGATGTCAACTTATCCCTCAAGGCTTCCATCATAAATAGGGGAGGCTGAGATGAAGATATGGCCACTTCACTTCAAGGTTATATGTAGTGGCATTGAATGAAAAAAATGTGCCTACAGATTATAATATCAAAATGGTATTACATTCTAATCTTGAATATGTACTAAGTGGTGGCATTTGAATGGAACTTTCACCTATTCCATTAAAACTAATGCATTTGACACATTCTGTTATATTTATTAAGTTACACTGAATATTTAGAACCCATAATTGTCCCCTAGTTCTGTCTTTTCACTGTGTAGTAGCCACTATTGGTGGTCTATCTTTGCTTTCTGAATAAAAGAATTGTGGAGTTTATTGTGGAGTTTGTTCAGATATTAGACAATAACCTCTAGAGAATGAACTCATTAATTTTACTAATGATCAGTTTAGGGATGTTCAAAAGTCCACACCTGGAAAAGAAATAGAATGCAGTTTTAACGATGGAAAATGTTAATCTACTTGATAAAAAGAGGAGATGCTCAGCAAGCTGTCTCACCACCCCTTCATATCAGTCCTTCTTTCTGGACAATTTTATGATGCTTAGCAATGCTATAAGCCATATTTTAATCATGAGAAGATCAAAAACTTTTCAGACAAGTGGGCTCAGATCCTTGACATTATTGAGCCACTGAACAAACCTTGGAGCTATCAACCTATGTCTATATATCAACCTATATGTGTGTGTGTGTGTGTATTATCCTAATGCTATATATACACACATATATACATACACATGTATACATATATGTATGTGCATATGTATATATTCATATATGTATATGTGTGTATATATATAGTTAGAATAATAAACTTTTATACTTAAAAAATTGGATTCTCTGCTATTTGTAGCCAAAACCATGATTAACATAAATTGAAATTTTAGTATGTCTTAGTCCTATAAATAATCATTGATTTAAAAGATACTTGATACTAATTGAGCTAATCTGCAGCCTCCTGGATGACAAAACTTTAGAAACAATAACTACTGTAGTACAAACAAGATATAATTGTTTATATCTTTAAATGTCAAAGCCAACTTTGTAAAATTGCTAGTTGTTATTTATGGCAGAGGATCACTTCACACTAATTCTTGATTTTCTTACCATTTTCAATAGAATTTCAAGCTCAATAGGCATGTGGTCTCTTTTCCAAGTTCGTAATGATGATGAGTTACCAAATAATTTGTCCTTATGAAATGCTTAACTTTCCAATCACTGATATCCACTTTCTCACACTGTCTACCCATTAAGCCAGTGCTGCATTTTATTTTTAAATTACAGATTCTCCCCACTGTGCTATCAACATTGATGATAGAAGACTGAACAGTCACAAAGAATTTGGAGAAAGGGATGACTCGTATCTTGCTGGTGGGAATGCATACTTGCTTAGCCATTCTGGAAAACAACATATTTGTTTCCTTAAGAACTAAATATACAACTTCTATTTAACCGAGCATCGCATCGTGGACATATATTCAAGAGAAGTTAAAACTTGCATTCACACAAAATCCTGTACATTAATGTTTATAGCAGCTTTGCACATAGTAACCACAGTGATTTTTCCAAAAACTGGAAACAACTCAGTCTTCAATGAGCACATGGTTAAACAAACAGCACTATAACCATACCCTGAAATACTACTGAGCAATGTAAAGGAACTATTAACATATACAACAACCTAGACAGATCTCCAGAGAATTATCCTAAATGAAAAGAGTCCATTTCAAAAGGTTGCATACCTGAAGTCGCAAAGACCATGTAAAACTCTTCACTTAAACTAATGACTCAGCACCACAGAAAAAACGAAAGACAATTGTTTCACATTAGAGCTTATTGTTAAAGATTTGAATCCTTTTTTCAGATTGCCTAAGGTATCCATCACAAAATTAAGAAGTGCGGAAAACATGATGTAAGGAAGCAAAAAATAATAAACCAGACTTTAAATCTATGTACAGAGAAAGACTTTGAGTAAGGTAACTGTATATAGAAAAGACATCATGAAAAAAATTATACACACCAAAGGATTTTTAAATTTGGAAATAGTTATCTATATGCAGGCAGTTGCAAACATGGTAGAAATAAGTCATATGCATTTTCATCTGGTTTGTTCCAATGGCATCTTGCATAATTATTGTGTACTCTCAAAGCCAAAATTTTGACATTAGTAAAATGTACTTGTATACTTCTATATCACTTTATCATAAATGTAGATTTGGGTAGTCACCACAATCAAAATAATAAGCTATTTCATTTTTAAATTACAGATTATTTCCAATATGCTATCAATATCGATGACAAAGCTATTCCTCATACTACCCCTTTATAGCCACACCAACCTTACTCCCTTATCACTAACAGTTGACAAACTTTGATTTGTTTTTCACCCTATAATTTCATAATTTCAAGAATGTTATATAAATAGAATCTTCAGGTATGCGACCTTTTGAAATAGACTCTTTTCATTTAGGATAATTCTCTGGAGATCTGTCTAGGATGTTGTGTGTTAATAGTTCCTTTACATTGCTCAGTAGTATTTCAGGGTATGGATATAGTGCTGTTTGTTTAACCGTGCACTCATTGAAGAATATCTGAGTTGTTTCCAGTTTTGGGAAAAATTATTGTGGTTACCATGTGCAAAGCTTCTATAAACATTAATGTACAGGATTTTGTGTGAATGTAAGTTTTAACTTCTCTTTAATATATGCCCACAATGCAATACTTGGTCAAATAGAATTTGTATATTTAGTTCTTAAGGAAACAAATATGCTGTTTTCCAGAATGGCTGTGCAAGTTCACATTCCCACCAGCCACCAGCAAGATATGAATGATTCCATTCTCCAAATTCTTAAAAGATTTTGGTGATGTCATTATTATTATTTTTATTTTTTTAAGTAGCCATCCCTACAGGTATACAATGATTTCTCATTGTGGTTTTAATCTTGCATTTCTCTAATGGCTATTAATGCTAAACATATTTCCAAGTGCTTATTTGTCATTTGCATGTGCTCCTTTGTGAAATGGTTCTTTATGTCTTTGCCCATTTCCTAATTGGATATTTTTTAACTGCTGAGTTTTGAGAATCTCTTATGTATTCTGTTTCCTTGTGCTTTGTTAACTTGTATGTGTGGCTTTCAAATATTTTCTCCCTGTGTGTAGCTTGACTTTCCATCCTCTCAACAAAGGTTTTCATAGAGCAAAAGTTTTAAATTTTGATGAAGCAAAATTATTGATTTTTTTATAGATTGTGTTTTTGGCATCAAATTTATTGTATTGTTCTCAGGACCTATACTTCCTAGCTAGTCTTTCTTCTTCTCTCCTCTTTCTTGTCTTGCAATGTGTATCTTGTAGGTAATGGACAGGGTTTTGTGCTGCACATAGTTAACAGGAGAAATAGAGAGAAGTATGTCTAGTGCGTCTTTTCAGAAGCAGAAATTAGTCTTTACCAATTTTAAGATAAATTCTCATGAAAGAAACTATATGCTTTTTTTTTTTTAAAGCCTTTGATTCTTTGGTAAACCTTAAAACGACTTGCAGAGGAGGCAGGCTAAGAAGCTACCTATTCTCCCCTGTGCCCAATTTAAATATGGACATAGAAAATAATACATGCCCAAGGTGTCAACCCAAGGATTACTAGAACTATGAAGGAGCTATTTTGTCTGGAAAAGAGTATCCATTTCTATTAATGGCATTTCAGTTTCCCTTTAGGGTGTTCCAGATGTCACGTGTATTATTTTGGGCTGATGTTATTAAGAAGTAAGCCCTACTATCCCCATGCTTGCTTACTTCTTAAATAGTGACTTTTGAAGACGCACAATAATGGAGACAGTTTGGTAAGAATCTGATTTTTGGGATTGTCTTATAGAAGGTTGCCTACCGAAAATCAGTACTGGCTGGGCACGATGGCTCATGTCTGTAATCCAGCACTTTGGAGGGCCGAGGCGGGTGGTTCACAAGGTCAGGAGTTCAAGACCAGCCTGGTCAAGATGGTAAAATCCCGTCTCTACTAAAAATACAAAAATTAGCCAGGTGTGGTGGCAGGTGCCTGTAATCCCAGCCAATGGGGAGGCTGAGGCAGAATTGCTTGAACCAAGACGGCAGAGGTTGCAGTGAGCCGAGATTGAACCACTGCACTCCAGCCTAGGCGACAGAGTGAGACTACGTTTCAAAAAAAGAAAAAAGAAAAAAAGAAAATCAGCATTGAACTGACACATGAGTGAGGAGGAAAATTCCCCTGGCATTTATATATTATAGTAGTCATCCTTATCCTAAGTATCACAATGTCTTCAGTAATTATTACAGTTAGTAGCCATTTAGTTCTAAAATTCTCTCTCTTTTTTGCTAATAAATCTGAAGCTCCAGAAAGTTGATGAGCACAGTAACAAAATAGCAAGCATAGTTTTTTAAATGTCTGATGTTTTCTGTCTCAGTAGTGTTTAAATTTTCTTGCAATGTCTTCTATTTCTTTTATAAAATAAGTAAGCTTTCTTCCCCAAAGACTATATATATGAAGCATTCGACTCACTTTTCTTAACCATGTGTGAATAATACATAAATACTAATACTAAATAGTACATAAATACTAGTAGCTAAATTAATAGGATAGAATTTTTTTAGTATGTCTCAAGAAAATACAGAATGTATTATCTTTCCTTCTAGAAAATAAAACAAATCACTGTTATTGTCTATCTAAATGTCATATCCCATACCAGTTGGCGAACCTGAAGTAAGGGAAAAGTATAACCACTCTAATCTATGGAGGGCTATTCTTGCCCAATATAGCCTGATGTTGAAATAGTTTATTTCATTCCCAGTTATTCAATATATGTGAATGGAAGCTATTTGTTTTGATATACTGGACTAATAATGTTAATATATAAATGGTGCATCTTTTATTCCTAAAATAAAGCTTCATTAATATCACCTTTGGTCATATTGTTTTAGTCTGTTTGGCTTGAGGCTTAGTGTGACAGTCCTGCATTGATTTACATAGTGAAGACTACTTTTTGCTGCTGCAGGGGACTAAAACTTCATGTTTAAACATAGGCTTTTTGCAAGGAATAAGAAAAAAAAATGAATAGGTAGATTCCATAGACTTCAAATGACTATTGGATATAAAATACGTTCATATGTATGAAGGTTTTGTCTTTGATTAAACAATACATATCAGGTGCTCCCTAATTGTCAGAGATCATCATTAAACTGACAGAGATTAAAAATTAATGTTCTTAAACTCCTTTAGGATTAGTAATATTTAACAACCAGCTCTCAGAAAGTGAAACCCAACAGAATTACTCATATGTCTTTTATAAAACGTTTCTTATGAGTAAAACATCTGTATTTAACATTAAATCATGGAAAATTTCAAACTGTGAAAAAATAGAATGACTAATATAAAAAATTCAAATTGCCATTACTTGTTAATAACAATGACCAATTCATGGCCAATCTTGTTTTATCTATATTCTCAATCATTTCTCCTTCTCCTGAACTAATTTGAAGCAAGTCTCAGATGTGAAGAAAATTTTTTAAATAAATGGCTTAAGTCGAATTATAATTATGGTGAAAAAAAGACCATTAGACATTTAAAAAGTTAAAAGTACCTATATTTATTTAAAAATACATATATTTCAGAACAATATCCAGTTGAATTTGTATACTGCTTCCCTTCCTTAGAATTTTAGTTAATTGGGAATAATTATCACTTGTCAATCTACTATAACTCTTTATCATTACTAACTTTATCCCAGCTGGGTATTAATATCATTAATATCCCAGCTGCATATTAATATCATATATATAATTAATATATTAGTATTAATATCATTAATATCATTAGTTGCAATATATTACAAGAAAACCTTTGCCCTTCTGGAAGTCCTTCTCATGGAGATATATATATATATATATATAATTTATTTTTTAAAGTGAATTATGCAACTTCTGAAAATAATTTTTAACTGAGTTTTTTTTTTTTTTTGACATTTTAAAACTGACTCCCTCGGCCAGGTGTGGTGGCTCACACCTGTAATCCCAGCACTTTGAGGGGGTCGAGGCAGGGCGGATCACTTGAGGTCAGGAGTTCAAGACCAGCCTGGCCAACATGGTGAAACCCTGTTTCTACTAAAAATACAAAAATTAGCTGGGCATGGTGGTGCACATTTGTAACCCCAGCTACTCTGGAGGCTGAGGCATGAGAATCACTTGAACCTGGGAGGTGGAGGTTGCAGTGAGCTGAGATCATGCCACTGCACTCCAGCCTCGGCGACAGAGTGAGACTCTGTCTCAAAGACAAACACCCCCAAAACTGATAACTCAATATCTGTTAATATAAGAGAACGTACAAACATGACAGAATGAAGAAGTGGTACATTAAAAATGGCTTCACATTCTTAAACACTTCTTCCAATAAAAAGTGGGGTCTGTAGCCTCTACTTTTCAATCTATTGAGGGCTCCATGACTAATTAACCAAAAAGAATACAGAGAATGTGACACTGTTTCTGGACTGATTCCACATGGTATTGACATCTTCTACTTTCTGTCTCTTAGAATACCAACTGTTGCAACTCACTCACTATCTTGTGAGGAATTTCAAGCAGCCTCATGAAGGGGCCGATGTGAAGGGGAACCCAATCCGTGCACTAGCACCAGCAAAGATTCCAGCTGGGCTGACTGCCCCAAATTACCTACAATGTGAATGAATTATCTCCTTAAATCCAAGTAGAGACACTACATCCCAAAATGAGTAAAGCTGACATGAATGCTCTTGAACTGAAGATTCAGAAGCAAAATAATTGACTTCTATTGTCTTAAGCCACTAAGTTTTGTTTGTTTATTTGAAGCCACTAAGTTAAGTATTGCATAATCTTAGAGGAATAAATCTCCTTATAATTTACTTAAGATTATAGATATCTTTTAGTGCAGAGCTATCTCTGAAGTTCACTCTTTATTCTCAATTACCATGGTCAGTAGAACATAAAAGTGCTTGTTGAATGATCTATACCTTCCTTGAGGCCTTCACTATTCAAAATACCTTATTCTTTTTCCTGTATAGCCTATATTTCTCTTGCTTTAGTGTTTAACAAAAGTCATAATATGTGGCTGTTATATTTTCAGACTCGTATAATATGGTGTGAAGTTCTCCTCTACACAGAATATACAATATTTGAAAATAAATATCATGTTTTTCATCTCTTGAAGGATAATATTTGTCACATAACCAATGTTTATTCTTGAATGAATGAATGATTTAAGCACTGCGTTTCTTAAAGCTCTTATTTGGTGAGTCTATAAAGCTTTCTTCCTACCTAAATATAGCTAACTGTCATAACTTTACGAACTCTAATCTGTCCTTTTCAAATGCAATCACTTACAAGTAGATGATAATTAAAATGATTCATTTTTGTACAAATGATATATATTGAAATAAAAACCAGTAGGGCACCTGTAAGACAGAGCTCCCTTTCCTGAGGAAAATAATACAAATCAATCCTATATTTCAGTGTTTTCTAAGAAAAACTATAAGAGCAGGTGAGTTCAGGAGAGACATAACTTCCAATTTTTATCTCCCTAGTTGCTTCCACATAACTACCAGTAGCTAGGAGCTAATAGCCTGAAATAAAAAAAAAGTATATACGGTAGGATCCAGACAGAACATCTGAGACAACTTCATTATTTTAACAGAAAATTATATATATATATGTGTGTGTATATATATGTGTATATATGTATATATGTGTATATATATACGTATATGTGTGTATATATATATACACACACACATATATATATATATATATATATATATATATAATTGGAGGAGTGAAAAGAAAAAGAAAAAAGAGAGACAGTGAGAGAACACACAGATAGTAACTGCAGGACTCAGCTACCACCACTAGGGTGGGAAGTAGTTGGAATTATTAAACCTTGACAAATTGGAGTAGGGGCTTGTGGAACTCAAGGCTGGATCTCTGAAAAAAAGGCTCAGCTTGTTCTTCTGAGGGGAAATATGGAGACTTATTCTAAAAATATAGGAGAAACCCGAATCGGAACCAACTGCCACTGTAGGAACGAACTGCCACTGTCAGGGTAAAGAAATGTTGCTGGTTCAAAGAAAATAGATTGTTTTTTTCTTTCTCTTCTAACATTTAGGTTTCCTTCAAGTGCTCTTTCTTGAGTCTAAAGGAGCATGAATAAAGGAGCTAGGGAAGTAGAAATGTGTTTTACAGCGCCCCAGCCCTAGCCTCACCTCACGCAGCAGAGTAGAGAAGGGATGTTTCGAAGCTGAGGGAAAAGAGCTTAAAAAACAAGCCAAATGAGTTAGCAATAAAAATCACGACATCGTTTTGTCCTCTTTACATTTTCATTTATCAGGGTCTCATTCTACATTTCTAGTCATTGAATGCACCTCCTTCAGAAGAAGGATTCTCACACAGGAAGGGAGTTGAATATTATTTTCCCATAAACAAAGAAAGAAGTCTGAATTACAGATTTAATGAGTAATTATTCAGTTATTCTATCTAGATTTGGCAAAATTCAGTAAGCTTGGAGTAAATTAATAAGAAATTTGGATGCAGAAATACAGATGAAACCACCTTTGCAAAAATTATAACAGAAAATTATTATGTGAAAGAGATCTCACCTCACTGACTCCATCTTGCTTCTAACCTCCAAAGTGTCCTTATCCATTCCTGGGCATATATCAAACTAACTTTGGGAGGAACCTAGTTTATAGTTTAATTCTGAAACAAGAACAATAACAGCCATTTCCCGAAACAAACCCTTTTCTTATCTGGGAACTAGGCTGCCTTTTCAGGACTAAGAAATTAGACACGAAATTAGAAATCATGGTTTAGGAGTAACTGCTATAAAACTTGCAATGGGTTTTTGAGATATTTTGCAGACTGCATTCTGAGGCACCAGCTGATGTCACCCCAATTGATAAACTGGTTCATCTGGTCTTGTGGCTCCCACCCAGGAACTGACTAACTGTAAAAGACAGCTTCAACTCCCTGTGATTTTATCTCTGACTCAATAATCACCACTCTCTACTTTCTGTCCCCCTGCCACCCAAATTATCCTTAAGAACCCTGATCCTCAAATTTTGGGGAGATTGATTTGAGGTGCAACTCTATCTCCCATGTGGTGTGGGGGGTCTCTCATCACTTGAAGTCTTTCTTTACTGCAATGTTGTGGTCTTTATTTGTGCAGCAGACAGGAGGAACCTATTGGGTGGTTACAAAGGCAGAATTATAGTTTTATGTGTATATGTTTTGTCTCGGATGAACTTGTGGCTAGAGTTTCCCCAAAAGCAGTGGTAGGGGAGTTCCCACAAGAGAGTAACCCAAATTGTCCTGAAATGGGGTCAATTTAGATTGCAAAGAAAAGCACACTGGACACCAGGGTAATCAGTCAAAGCATTTATTAAGAGAACCTACTTACAGAGTGCTGCAGCATCTCTTTGGGCAGACAACAAGAAAAAGAGATGCTCAACCTAGGGCATGTCTGCCACACGGGTGTCAGGATAGGGAGTTTATATGAGAGTTTAAGGAATTTGGCTCAGGGCTGGGGCTAGTTTCTTTCAGTGTTTTGGGAAACTACCTAAACACCTTCCTCGGTGCCCAGAAATGTTCAAGGCACTCTTTGTTTCTAGGTCAGGACAAGAGAAAAAGCCAGGGGACCTGGGAGATCCTACAACATGTGTGCTTATTTGCACTAGCTTACAATTACAGGTGGAGAAGCAATGCATAAAAAAGACAAAGGTAAAAAGTGAAATATATAAATAAAACCGTGATCAAGTAGGAATAAGAAGCAGATACAAGAAAGAAAAATTTAGATTAACAGATAAGTTAAAAAGAAAACAAGAAACCCAGTGCAGAATTGATTTGTAATCTAAGTGCAAAGCATATCCTTAGCCCAATGTAAATATATTTTAAAAAGTGAGAAGGTCTGGAAAAAGTATAATCACTCTAACTTCTTCAGGATATGTTTGGTACTCTACTTCTATTTCTCTATTCCCAGAGGCTCACTCAACTGTTTATACTTAGATTGTTGTAGCTTTGCATTCCTTCAATTTGGGCATGTATAAGTAAGAGCATGTCTTCAGTATTTTTGCTTTACAGCAAAAATCACATTACTGGTTTAGTGAAAGTTGTGTTTATTTACTTACAGAATTTTACTCAGTGTAAGAATGCAGTAGATTTGTAAATCCATTAGGTATTAGGATGTTATTAAAAAATGAGAAAGGCTAGAGCTGAGTATAGTGTAATTTCTGCAAATACCTGCCACAAATGAATAGTCCACTCTCCTACTCATCTATCTATCTATCTATCTATCTATCTATCTATCTATCTATCTATCTATCTCTATCTCTTCTATCTTCCTATCTATAGCCATCTTTATAGTTATATCAATTAAATTTATGTACAATAACTCTTCATGTCCTTTGAGGACTTTTCTGTAATTATAGTGAACTATCATAAATTCAGAAAATAATTATTTGTATTTCCTAATTAAATTTTCTAGGAAATCGACCATATGGCAGAGCATAGTCCTTAGATGCTCCTTATTCTGGTCTGGATAGTGGCTCAGGGAATAAGGGTTTGACTGGCAGGTAGTGCTAAAGCAACCTAGGTTTAAAGCAGCACATAATCTGCTTTGTAACATAACTCACTGTTTCCATTATCACTCATGAGTTTAGTTTGTCATTTGAAAAATTTGTTGCTATCCTTACTAATGTTTTTCTTAGTGTACGTTAATACCTTTCCTTATCTTAATTTTCCCACCTACAAATATTAAAATAATAATAAATCTGTGTCTCAGTTATTTTTCTTGGCCATATATACTTTGGAGTCTAGTGTCCGCCCCAAATGTGTAAAACAAGTACAATATCCCTTCTCTACTACATATTATAATTTTAGTCTATAAAGCAATTGTTGTGGTTTGAATATGTTTCAAAATTCAGATATTGTCAATGTGATTGCATTAAGAAGTGAGATGTTGAGCGGTAATTAGACCAGGAGGGCTTCTCCCTCGTGGATGTCTCAAAGGCCCTTATTAGAGAGGCTACAGGCCACCTTCAGTTAGCTTACCATTCTGTCTTCCTGGGAAGCAGATAGCAGCCCTTACCAGACAACAGAACCTACCAGCACCTTGATCTTGGACTTTTCAGCCTTCACTCTATGAAAAATACGTTTCTGCTCTTTATGAATTACCCAGTCTCAGGTGTTCTATTACAGTGGCAAAAACAGACTCAAACAGCACCCAAATAGTGTTTATGTTCTTTTGTGTTCAATTACCTTGGTACTTTGACAAGAGAGAGTAATTATTGTATCAGAAAAGTAGCCTTTTTCAACTTCAATATTTAGCCAATAGAAGTCCCCAACTTTATATAGCAGGTACTCAAATAACATTATTACATTCAGTGTCATTTTGTTATGATATTGATGAGGAAATAATTAATTCTTGGCTGAGGCTACTGTCTGAATAGAGTGCATATTCTCCCCATGTCTACCTGGGTTTTTCCAGGTACTCCAGTTTCCTCTTACATCCCAAGGTATACAAATTGGGTGAATTTGTGTGTCTAGATTGTCCCATCTGAGTGTCTGTAGGTGTATGTGTGAGTGCACCCCAAGATGAGTCAGTATCTGGTCCAGAGCTGGTGCCTGCCATGTACCCCAAGCTGCCTAGATGGGCTTAGGTGACCCTCAACCCTGAACTGGAGTAACTGGGTAAGTAATTATTATACTTGTTTTTATTAATCTTTCTTAAATGTATGTATACCTTACATTAGTTTCAATGTTTAATATTAAAAGTGTTTTGGGTCATTTTTTAGGGTTTGATGATTTTTTTGTGACCCAGATATGACATGAGAACTTAACTCTGATATATACCAATTGGCTTATGGTAAAATAGATTTTATTATAGTTTTCAAGAATCTGTCAACAATGTTAAGTGAGGAATTACTGTATTTATAATTTTAATTGGGGGAAATTCATTGTGTTAAATAGTGAAACATCATTCATAAATTTAGGCCAATTTTGCCTATTAGTTTGATATTTACAAAAAAGTATATAAAAGTATATATATTATGCACAAAATGCTCCATTACTTATCTTATTTGCATCTGAAATATTAAGATATTTCAGAAATATGAAGCTCCAAAACATTAGTTACTCCAATGAGGGAGATGAGAAAGAACCCTGAACAGGCATTTTTTTTTTTTTTTGCTTTCAAGTTTATATTTTAAATGAAAACACAAATAAACATTTGAAACACACACAAAAAAAAGAGACAGAAAAAAGAAAATGAGGCAATGGAGAAAAAAAGGAAAGGAAAGAAATAAATAGAAATAAAAAATAAGAAGACAGTGGAAGAAAGAAGAGGGAGAAGAGGTAGGGAAGGAAGAAAATTATGAGGGATTATAATAAAAATTATATTTCAATAGTGTCTAAGTTTATATGTGCCTCACTACTAAATAGAAACTCTAGAGAGTCATAGGAAACCCATTGGCTTAGAGGTAGATGTACTTCTTTTTTTATTACCGAATTTTCTAATTTTCTTAATCAGCATGTAATTTTTTGTGCATAAAGCCATTCTGGTATTTTGAAGAGCTTTATATAAGTATTTCTATTTTTTCCAGATTCTAAAATTTTACAAAAGCCTAGATTTTGCCACTTTTAAAACACTCAACACATTGTAAATTAATGCACCATTTTCTTGTTAAAATCAGCCTTGCATAAAATGATCTGTAGCTGAACAGGAGCAATAGCAAAGGTGTGAACTACTTCAAGGAAGTGCTAACTTCAGAGCCCAAATGAGAACATTTAAATGCTAAAATTTTTAGCAACAGCAAACAGATGTTTCTGCAAAATATCTTTTTTTTTCCTGTTTTCCAAACTCCTTTTTCTCCATACATTTACTTTTTCATTCTTCAAGCTTGGACTTTTCTGCCACTTTACCAATTTTCAGTGCCCATTCATCCTTGAAATGTTTCATTTTAACTTCTCCATCTCTCTTCCTCTGCAGTAATTGCAATGTAAGTTGGATGTATGGTTCTGCTCTAAAAAATGAATTCAGTATTAGTGACATGTACCAGGCTGATGGCACTGCAAACTGAAGGCCATTGTTTTAATCACAGCAACTCACACATCAAACAACACATATCACAGTTGCCTGAACAACTATTCTCAATTCTCAATGATTAACCCTTTGGCATAAAATTTAGTGTTAATTTTTAAAATGACTGCATGATATAGGTATATGCTTGACAATACATATTGTATTGATGATGACAATCAAATAGTCATTAGACACTATTGAATTTGAATGGCTCACAAAGGCAGAAGTCTACCTATTAATTGTAAATTCCAATTAAATTTGTGATTGCACAGAAATTAACTCTCAAAAAGAGCACAAACACGTGTCAAAGACAACTTAGATGATTCTAATATCATCATTAGCAAATTATATACTCTATAGCAAACATAAAGTTCTACTAATGTATCTCTTTAAATATAAATTGAAATAAAATTATCCTTTCTCATCCATAAGTGATTATTTGTATCGACAAGAAGTTAATAGAACTAAAATGGGCCTAAGTCTCAGGATGCCTGGATTTAAGTAAGGCACATCTTCTGAGTGAACTAAGTGTATGAACTTGTACAAATTTCTAAAGTTTTCTGGGCATTACTTCAGCCAACTGTAATGGTAAGGGAGGCGGAGCTTGCAGTGAGCCGAGATCGCGCCACTGCACTCCAGCCTGGGCGACAGAGCAAGACTCCGTCTCAAAACAAAAGCAAAAACAAAAACAAACACAAAACAAAACAAAACAAAAAAAGAGTGGTAAATAATCACAAAGATGCCATGCTGTCCTAATATTCTCTGACTAAAATGGCCATGGGCTTTGGTATCTGTAGCAAAATCCCTATGGATAATTAGAGAAATCTTGATAGTCTGTCTCAATATATCTTTAAAAGAATATGACCCTTTGTGAGTAGTTAGAATGAGGAACTTTCTCTGTGTTGTCATTTGATATAGCCCTGAACTGAGTCTCTTTCTAAATTATGATCACATCATAAAACTTCACCCCACCATTAGAGTTTACTTTGTACTTTAATGTGTTTTGCATATCAAGATTCTCCTTAGAAAGTAAATTACCTTAGGACATATCATACTTTATGTCCGCCATTAGCGAATATAGGAACGCAGATTGGTTTATAATCAAAACTTGCAAGATAGAACATAATATATACATAGGGCTAGAGCCTTGCCTTTAAGGAAGGGAAGGGGATCAAAGAAGGAAAGAACAATTCCTAGCTGCTAACTCAAGTGTTTGGTGGACTAAATAGATTACATTTATCAAGGATTAATGTGGTTATGAGATAACTTGAATTTTAATTATGTGAGGTAAACAATGACTGAAGGGAGATTTAATTTGAAGGGAAAAATAGTAGAGAATGGAGCTTGATATCATTAAATATTAGAATAACTATCATGAGATTGAGGGATTAATATCTAAGGATTATAATCGACACAAATGGGTAGAAATTACAGGAGGGAATTACAATGAAATGTTGGCATAAACTTCTTTATAGTTATTTGAAGACAGACTAGTGTTTATAAAGATAGCAGTGTCTTCATTCTTAGAAATTTTATATAAAGTTTGAAAAGTCATTGTCAGAATTTTTTGTAGACAAGATGCTTGCCTGAAATGAGCATTTCGATTAATATTCCATAAAAATAGTTTTTAACCTGGATCAAACTAATCATAACCCTTATTGGAGTATGATGTGGTAATTATAATTTAACATACTTTTACCTTTAATTTATAGTATTTTTTGCTAAACCATATCTCATAAATGAATTCCCAGCTTACCTATATGAAATACTGACTTTACCTTTATAGAAAGTTAAATTTAGTACAACCTTTGTCAGGAAAGCAATGTTCCTATTATAAATAAATATGAACTCTACTTGAATTATAGCAATTAATTATTTTAACAAACATAAGGGTGTACTATCATTGTTATTTTACAGATGAGAAAATATAGCATCAGAATTGAAATAACTTATCCAAGACTACAAATTTAGAAAACAGTTGTAGCCCAGTCTTTTATAACTTTAGAATCTTTGTCTGAAAATTCTTACCATTTCTTTCCTTATGATGTCAAATATGCATGGTGTTTCTTGAGCAAACTTTCAAGCAAAGATCTTTAAAAATAGAAGAGACAACAAGCTATCTAAAAGATTCAGTTACTTTTTTATATAAAAACACTGGGGTGGATAAATTATCCCTGAAATTTCTTTCTGCCTTTATGATGGTGAGATAAACTGAAAAAAAAATTAAATACAATGAAGAAATTTGCACACTGTTATTCGATGAAAAGGTTCTTGCAGTAACTTGTTATAGAAGTCTGTGAAAAGCAGAATTGATTTTTATCAGACTGATATTGCTCAGAGGAAATAGTCACTGCTTAACACAGAAGAATGAGCTAAATTGCCTCTAAGCTGCCTTCATCTATATGAATATAGAAGCCAAATTTTAACTACTTTTCCTGGAAAAGATACATATGATGAACATTAAAATAAAATACACATGGTCTTTTCAGAAATTTAACAATTTTCTTCAAGCCAGCAACTCTGCCAATTTGCTAAGAAACAAGAATTTTAAGAAATGTTAAGTTCTAAATACAAGGCTATGAGAAAAAGTCTAGCATTACCATACATATCTCAAGATGGTTTTGGATTGAGTATTTTAATTTTTTGAAATAGCCAACAGCTTGTTGGGAGATAACCTAAATTAAGAGTTGCTGCCATGAGAATAATTGCATTTTCCCACTCATTGACATTGTCTAACATTAAATCTGCATTCAATATGGACCAGTGAGATATGCAGTTTTAGTTATTTTTTTCTGATTATAGAAAAATAGTAGAAACTATTAAATGTAGACAGAAAAATTATACCCTCAATGGAATGAAGCACTAATAAATCACAGAGTAGTGTAGGCCTAGTTTCATCCACTTTTCAAATTTTTTGTTCTTTCACTAGTAGCTATTTCATATAAACCTTATGCTGTAATCACATTCAATAGAGTTTGGGGGACTATTGGATTAACTCAAGCTGTCTTTTCCAAAAAGTAAAACATAAAAATGCAGTGTCCATGGTCTTTAATAATTATGTGGTCAGATTCCACAAGTTAGGCCACTGAATTTCTCTTTCAATTTTCTTTGGTTTTCCTTTATATTATTGGAGAAAGTTCATATTGGCTTATAAATATGATTTGCAGGCACTGCAAAGCTCTTCAGTTTATTAAGGCTTTCTGGTAAATGCTCATGACTGACACTGGAAACTCATCATGTTGCTTCTTTCTGCTGCCTGAGTTCATGGAGATGTTCTGAGAGCATGGCATATACTTTCTGAACATTCCTAAGTGAAAGCTGCCTAAGCACCCTGAAGAAATACTTCCAAAATATTTTCTTTGTATGCTCTTCTTTCCTCCATTACTTTGTTTTGCATCTTAGAAATAGAACCAGTAAGTTGAAGCAGGAGAAAAAAATTGGAGATAACAATTTATATCACTCCTCTTCAAACTATGTAATGTGAATATTTAATATTTCCAGAATTCCTTAAAGTTAGAAAAAAATTAACTGGACAATCATATTATTGAAAAATCAGATAACTTCTTCCATCCTGCTTTAGTCACATTCAATAATAACTGAATACCTTCTTTTTCAAAATCTACAGTTTGAACTGAGATATTATGTCATTTAGGGGGTCAAGGCTGCAGTGAGCCGTGATCATGCCACTGCACTCCAACCAGGTCAACAGAGGACGACCCTGTCTCAAAAAAATGAATAAAATATAAAAATAAATAAATAAATATAAACAATGTTTTAATATATAATACATATTTGAATGTACCTTAGTGTTTTTCTTAGAATAAATATCAAATGATAATGCACAGTCTATAAATACATGACTGAATGCAGATAATGATAGTAATATCTTGATGGAGAAGAAATCACATTTTCTTTAAGCTTAACGTTTAAAAAACACAATTGTCCATCTAAAATTTAGAGAAAATAGAAACACTAGATAAATGTATACCATTAGAAGCTAAAGTCACTCTTTGGCTACTTAAAACAATGCCATAGATTCCAATAGCTGGACACATGTCAACAGAGACAAGGAACAGTTGATAATAGATGAGTCTCTCTATCCAGTTGTTTAGCATGTTAGATGAGAGCCACTTCATTGTAGGATATCATCTCTTGTTTATGTCATTCCTTCCTTCCTTTTTCCCTCAGTGCCTTTTCCCTTCCTTCTTTCCTTCCTTCCTTTCCTTCTTCATTGATGATAGCTATTTTATTACTAGGCCTTATACTAAGAAGCAAGATACAGTGGCAAATGCAATAGTTGTGACTCTGTTCTTCACAGAATTTAGAGTCTAAAGTGGGAGGCAGACAGCTATCAAATTTGCATACAAAAAACTCTACAATTTTGTACATTGTAAATTATATAATATTATGGTAAGTACGACAGAGCCAATGGCCAAATATTTTGAAATAGATTAATAGTAATAGCAAATACAGTAACAGCATTAGATAGGGTAAAAAAGGCTTCTCTAAGAAAGTAGCACTTAAATTGATACTTGAATAATGATGAATAGACATCCATAAAAAAGAATGTGGGTATGGGGGAGAATGATTCACGCAAGAGGACAACATAAACAAACAGAATCAAATACTCCAATAAGTGAAAGATGAGCAGTGTGGATAGATGGTTGTAAGAAGAAGAGTGAAATGACTTGAAGTTGCAGAAATAGGCATAGGCCCTATCAGGCAAGTCTTGCAATCTAAATTAAAGCATTTGAATTCTAGTCTAAGTGCAATGGAGAACAACTGAAATGCTAGGAAAAGGAGTTATAAGATCTATTTTATATTCATTTTAAATATCAATAAGTTTTGTACGGAAAGTGAGCAAGAATGAAAGGGAGAGACTAATTAGTGGCCTATTCAACTCATCCAGGTTGGTATCGGTGGCCAGGACTAGTAAAGCAGAGAGGAAACTGTGAAGAATGCAAGATCCATTTTAGAGGCACTTTGGCAGGATTAGTGATAAATGATATGGGTGTTTTTTTAAGAAGAAAGAGTAAATTCTTCAGTATGTAGCTTGTGTAACTCAGCAAAGCCATTCACTAAAATGAGGATGCCTGGTTGGGAGAGAGGCAAGTTGAACAGGGAAAATTAAAAATTTATTGTTGAGTATGTCAAATTTTAACATAGTTTTTTTGTTTCTTGGATTGTCTATACATTAAAAGGGAGACTTACATTGATGATATGCATTTAATTGGAATATAGTCTTGGGAAGGAAATGTTACTCTGTTAGCTTTCTTGGGCTGCCATAATAAATTACTATAAACTAGGGGACTCTAAAGAAACAGAAATTTATTCCCTCCCATCTTTGGAGGCTACATGTCCAAATTCAAGGAATTGGCAAGGCTGTGCTTCCTCTGAAGCCTCAAGTAGAAAGTCTTTCTTCCAGCTTCTGGTAGCACTAGATGTCCCTTGGTTTGTGGTAGCTTAACTACAATTTATTCCTCCATTCTTACATGGTCTGTGTGTTTCTGTGTCTTCATGTGACATTCTGCTCTATGTGTGTGTGTCTCTTTCCTTTTCTTGTGAGGACAGCACTAATATTGGATTAAGAGCCCACCTTACTCCAGTATGACCCCATCTTAATTATTAACATCGGCAGTGACACTACAGTGATGTTTCATTTAGTGATAGGGATACATTCTTAGAAATACAGTATTAGGTGATTTTTGTCATTGTGTGAACATGTTAAGTTCAGTATACAGTAACAGCATTAGATAGGGTAGTTAAAGAAGGCTTCTCTAAGAAAGTAGCACTTAAATTGAATACTTGAATAATGATGACAAGACATCCATGAAAAAGAATGATTGTGGGTATGGGGGAGAATGATTCACTCAAGAGAACAGCATAAACAAACAGAATCAAATACTCCAATATGTGAAAGATGAGCAGTGTGGATAGATGGTAGTGAGTAAGTAGAAGAGTGAATTGGCTCTTCTACAGTATAGTAGACTATAACGTCTATGTAGAGTCTACTTACATAGATGGTATAGTCTACTGCACACCTAGGCTGTATGGTATAGCCTATTGCTCCCAGGCTACAAACTTGTACAGCATGTTATTGTGCTGAATTCTGTAAGCAATTGTAACACAATGGTATTTGTGTCTCTAAACATAGGAAACATACAGTAAAAACATGGTATTATAATCTTAATGGACCACTGTTCTATATGAGATCTGTCATTGACCAAAATGTTGTTATGTGGTACACGATTTTATTTCCAAATAAGGCCACATTCTGAGGTACTGAGAGTCAGGGCTTCAACATTCTTTTCTGTGAGACACAATTCAACTCATAATAGAGCCACCTATCAAGAGAGCACAGAGAGAAAAGAAACAGAGCTTGGAAATGCACATTTGTGGAATTTCAATATATGGATTTCTTTTGGTGGAGACACTGATAAAGGTTGTGGAGTGTTAGCTAGAAGAAAGTCAGCCTGTATTTCCACCACATTAAAATAAGAGAATGATTTAAGGTAGGAATGGTAAAGAGCTTCAAGTCTATTGCAAGGAGTAAGAGGAAGGCAGTAATAGTCCTCAGCAAGAAATGTAACTCAACATTATTCAATAAAGCAAGAAAATGTGAAGTCTTTTAAAAAGATTAACAAAAAAATTATTATTAAAAATATTGTTATGTAATTTAGGTGTTGGTGTGCTCTGGACACTCAATAATGAGTAACAGCCGATTTCTAAGATTAAAGGGATCCTCTCTGGCTAATTAGTGCTCTGTTTTCTATGTATACTTTGGAATGGGGAAAGCCTCCATCCAGCTCACTCTGGAAGGAAATAAATTTGAACTTTGATTTTACATTATGAACAAAAATAAATTCTATCATCCCTAGTGACATAAATGTAGAAAATAAAGCAAATAAAAATGTGAAAATATAATATAAAAGCTTAACTTTATAATCTAGAGATTGAGGATTAAAAAAATACTGAAATGTTGAAAATTATATAAGAAAATATGGAAATATTTGAATATGTAAAAGGTATCCAAAATATGGCAAGAGATGTAAACAGCATCAAGAGTCAAAAAATTTGCCTTAGTATTTCTAATGCTAAAACTTACAATACATAAGAATTTCTACTAAACTAATTTTACAGTGATAAAAAATGAAAGGCTTAGAGCAGGAGTGGTATAAGGCCGAGAAAACAAGACAAATATGTATATTTTAAAAGTAATATCACGTTATTTTATATAAGTAAAAGCGTGTGTGTAGTATACATGCATATATATCTATAGAAAGAGAAACAGACAATTATAGTCTATGAATAGTACTTAATTTAGGGCAATAAGAACTTAAGTTTACTTTCTTTAACATATTAATATATGCAATTTGAAAATAAAGCAGAGAAAAGCAATACATGTTTTGTTGTGAAAAACTGAGCAGATCTAGCTTTTCCAGGTATTTTGTGGGGTGTTCAGTTCACTCTATCTTGTACTAGTTTTTTTTAATCTGCTAAACATTCATGACCATTCTCTGAGCTAGGGTTTAAAAATGAAAACTTTACTTGCTCTTATGAGACTTGTATTCTAATGGATAAAATAGATGGGAAAACAAACGCATTATTTTCTACTGTAATAAGCACCATAGGCCGGGTGCGGTGGCTCATGCCTGTAATCCCAGCACTTTGGGAGGCTGAGGCGGGCGGATCACCTAAGGTCAGGAGATCGAGACCATCCTGGCTAGCATGGTGAAACCCCCTCTCTACTAAAAATACAGAAAATTAGCCGGGCGTGGTGGCAGGCAACTACAAGTTGCTTGTAGTCCCAGCAACTTGGAGGTTGAGGCAGGAGAATGGCGTGAACCCGGGAGGCAGAGCTTGCAGTGAGCCGAGATTGTGCCACTGCTCTCCAGCCTGGGTGACAGAGAGAAACTCCATCTCAAAAAAAAATAAATAAAATAAATTAAAAAAAACCACCATAATGTGAATCAAGAACTTTAAAGATAAAGATTTTTTTATAACTCTCTTCTATCTTTTTTCAACTCACACACATTTTGGTCCTAGACAATTTTTATTTCTAAACTGCAAATCTTGTCTTAAAGTTAATAAAACAGGGAAATGTACAGGATATTTAAAGCTTGGATTAATAAATGAAAGCAGTAATAAGAATTAACTTTCATAAACGTGAATAAAACATGGAGATCACAAAAAGGTACGTATTTTAATTAATATATGCATTTTTCACTGTATTAAAAATGTAACTCCATGTTTCTCATGGTAGTGCATAAATATGGCTCAATTTAGTAATGATAAGATGTAACTCATTATAAGACAGGTCAGTGCAATGTTCTATGGAACCCAAGTTACAGTGTATGTCATTTATGTGCCTTGTTTGGGAGAGGAATAGCTCAAATTAGTTCCATAAGCAAATTGGGAAATTTCTCTAGCTCTCCAAAACTACCAAATGAAGAACGATATTCTACAGCATTGCTTTCTCTGTATTATATGCAATGAAATAAGCATAAAATTAATAAAAAACCATGACAAATATGGTTTCACGTTTATTCGGTATAGTTCTAAAATACTCCACAAGAAGATCTATGGAACTGAGGAAGTGGAAAATATTCTCCCATCACGTTCTTGCACTCTCTACATAAAGCTGGTTTGAAGGAGGAATTGCTCAGTAAATAGTTTCTACAGAAGCAGTTTAACCAGTTTCCTAGGGAGCATAGTTGCTTAGGAAACTCAGATATACTATGGCACAGAGGCTGTGACAAGACACCTGCTGGTGTACACAGTTTCAAGCTGCCATTTTTACCCATTTCTTCTCTCTCTCCTGGCTGTGCTCTCATATGGCAGAAGCGCAAAGTTGGGAAACCAGTGCAATTCTTGGCGCTGGGTGGCAGAAATAAAATTGCTCATCGGTTTACTATAAAGACCACCTTTGGTGGATAAATTTGTTTTTGAGAGTAGATTAGGCAACATGTTTTCTACCCTGCAAACACTTTCCATTGATCATTGGGATAATCTCTGAGGAATCAGCATAATTATATTCTTTGGAAGCCCTGGCACATTAAGAAATGGTAATTGAATTTCATGAGAGCCATTTTCAAATCTCTGCTCATTTGAGAAAATAAAATCAAGGGCGTAGGTATATAAGGTATATGATAAACCTCAGGCTAGTCAACTAAAAAGAAACATGTGTTTCCTTTGAAATATATAAGTCATAAATATAAAATATATGTCAGGGTACTCCTTTGAGATATTTCAGCCAACAAATAATTCTGGTGTTAAGTAACTTTTTATTTTTATATAAAATAAAAGTTGCGTAAGCATCAAGTTTTATATGTTTTTATCCTTCTATCTATATAAATAAATGGGCTTTATAATGGCTTTTGTAGATTGGCACCTCATTTTTAGCTGATATCCTTTTAAAATGTGAAATAATGATGGTAATGTGAGAACGTGTGCTGGAAACGTGACTTGTGGTCTCTGACACCAGGCTGCCACATTTAGCAGCTGTTCAGTAGACATGAGGAACTAAGCAACAGAACACAAGCCATTGGACTGGGGACCCCTAGATGACACAGCATTATAAAAAGAGACAAAAAAATAAACTTTTCAATTAACCAAGGGCAATCCCTTAGGTCTGAGGCTCAGCGTTATCCATGGCTTCTGCATTCTGTCTGTGAAGCTCTTAGAGACAGGCAATCACAACTTTGTCTGGCAAATGTTCTATGGTAGCAGATTATAGTAAAATTAGTGATATTTCAGCAGTCAACAATCTCAGATATTGAGAGAGTAGAAGAGAGAGAAAGAGTGGCCTAAAAACTGAGTTCACATTACTACAGAGTTAAAGTGGAGTTTAAATAGTTTTACTTAATGTTTAAATTTCCAATTAATTTTGTGTGCTTTGAAAGTTAATGGAATCCTGAGACCCTATTGTTACCACACTACTTGATTAGGATCCCATCAAACTTCTGATTTGCGTCTTCTTTTTATATTGAGGTTTCCCTGCACATAAAACACTCATGGGCATTTCCATCTTTCTAAAAAAAAAAAGCAAAGTTCTTACAGTGGCCTACATGCCCCTCGGCAATCTGGCCTCTCTTTCCCACCTCCCCTTTGCACCCTGCCCTGGCCTCCGCACTCTTTCCTTGTGTGCTCTGCGTGTTCCTGCCTCAGATCCTTTGCCTTTTTATTCTTTCTGTCTTGAAAACTCATCCCCAAATAGTTGATGGTTCACTTCCTCAGTTCCTTCAGGATGGTGTTGAAATGTCATCTTCTTAAGAATGCCTTTTTTTATTCCCTTGTCTAGATGCCAGTCCTCAGCCCTTTTTTTATCCCTTTTATCTCCCTTTACCTTTCTAATCATTTTCTTCTTAGCATGCATCATTACATGACATACACGCTTATTATTTTGTTCAATTTACCAAACAGAATATAAGTTGCAAGAAGTCAGAGGCTCTTTATCTTATCCACTGCTGTACTCTAAACATCCAGAAAACTTCCTGGAACCTAGCAGATGATCAAAATATTAGTGGTTTGGATGAATGAAGAGATCTCTATAAGTAACAAGCAGGATATTGTTCATAATCCTCTGGAGTTACCTTAGATAACCTACTTACTTTCTCAGATTTTCTTGCTGTCTCTTTTCATGAAAGAGAGCAGAGAACCGACTTCAAAGTATTCCTCAATAACAGATATTCATCTTTCAAGTGACCCCCCCATTGTATTAAAAAAGACAGTTTATCGATCCTTCTTGAGTACTTTAAAATTAAACATATGCAACTCTTTGTCTTATTAATTGACATCGAGGCCTTAAGGGAAAAAAGTGCTGAAAATAACCAAAGCATGCTAATCTATGTGTAATAGTCTATGCTATGGGACACGGTCTGCTTTGGTTGTTTGCTACTTTTAAAAATCAGTTGTTAGAAACAAATATATTACTCTTGTAATGATTTAAACAATACTAAATATGAGGTGGGGGGCGGAGGATAAAGTTTCTTGTCTTAGCTTGAATTTCCTCAAACATAGACTTGAGATGAGGCATTGTGTGCAAATAGTTTGAGAAGGGATGCCAGGGTGCAGAAGGGAAGAACTAGGGAGAGTGAGGCAGGGAGGAAGGAAACAACAATACCAACGTGCATTTTTTAATTTACTGTTATGGGCAACAGATGCTTCTAGGAAGCATATAGGATGCTTTTCAAGATTGTCCAATCCAATAATTTATTCATTAGCTTTCACTTCAATTGATCAAAAATTGCTTCTTCAGAGTGTTTATTCCTGTCTTTTTGAGTTGCACTTTCTGTGGGCCCTTCCTGCTTTGTCCTTGGCGGAAATCATGGGGGAGGGATGGAGGATGGACAGCTGGGATATTAGTAATAAAGGGATGAAAAGCGCACCCTGAACTCAATCCATATGCACCCTGCATTAAATCTTCTCAGTTACTTAGTCTTCATGGTCTCTACAAATGACGTAATATGCAGCGGTCAGCGAAATAAGCTACAGAAGCTACAATCATCTTTACTCCAACTAGCCCCCAGGTTGTTAGTGATATTTTTCAACTCACATTTCTACCACCAATTCTAGATATGCCAGCCCTTCAAGCAGCATTTCATCTGGTCTTCGTTGCTTGCCTGATGGAGTGATCCAGATCTTCATCTCTGAGAAGTCCAAGCCCTTGAGATCCTTAACCCTAACTTCAATTGCTCCAGCTGTTTTTCCCTATGATGCTAGGCATGGAAGACGACCAGAGGCCCAAGAGGATGTTCCCATGTCAACACATACTCCCTGCCACTATTATGTAATAGAGAACCCTGTTCTACTGTGTTCCCTACTACAAATGTTCTCACCTCTCATGCCTCAGAAACCAAGACATCTAATCCATCAGAGCCTAAGATTTCAGAGGAAGGAAGCATAAATTCCTCACAGGTGACTGGCAGTGGTGGTGAGAAAGGCCATTCTTCTTTCATCAATGAGCTTGTATGTTCTACCATTTGATTCAAATTTCATATTTCAAGAAATCATTTCAATGCATACACTGTATTCTTGCAGACAACACTGCAACCCTGAGGAGTGTTGGACATGGTACCATAGTTGAGTCTTTAATAAGACGTCCCATTATACCATTAGCCTGGTAATTCTGGATAATATGACCTGGGATAGAATCAGTGGATCTCATAATCATGTTCTCATTGTCACCCTGTCTTTTATATAAAATGGATCTTTTAAACTGAAATGTTGTCACATGTTATAAATCTTAGATGTTGGTGTTGTCAGTAAAACTATAGGCAGGGAAGGAAAATCAGTAATAAAGTAAGAGCTAATTCTGTTTTGGATGAAATGCTTCCCTCCAGGATACAAGGACTGGAAATAATTACCTTCTCATGAGCAACTGAATTAGTCTCCTTGGAGCCATTAGCACCATTTCACGGGCTCAGCATTGATATCTGTTTTGTAAACTTCAGACTTTCAAACATGAGTGGAAGATAGATCTTGTTTTCCGAAAAGAAGCTTAAACCACTGGACCCATGCATAGCTTTTCTTTCTACTGTCACACTTATTGTATTCATGGCTTCTTCCACAAACACTGGTAGTCAAGAACATAAGATGGCTGATGCCCACTTAATGGGCCATCCTGTCTATATGGTGTTTTTTTTTTGTTTTTTTTTTTAGATGAAATCTTGCTCTTGTTCCCCAGGATGGAGTGCAATGGCGTGATCTCGGCTCACTGCAACCTCCGCCTCCTGAGTTCAAGTGCTTCTCCTGCCTCAGCCTCCCGAGTAGCTGGGATTACAGGTGCTTGCCACCACATCTGGCTAATTTTTGTATTTTTAGTAGAGATGGGGTTTCACCATGTTGGCCAGGCTGGTCTCATACTCCTGACCTCAGGTGATCCACCCACCTCAGCCTCCCAAAGTGCTGTGATTACAGGCATGAGCCACCGCACCCTGCCAGTCTATATGGTTTTTGAATGTGTCCTGTGTGATGTATAAACTGTAGTGGTCATTAACCTGAGGCACAAAAATCTTTTTTTTTTTTTTTTGAGATGGAGTCTTGCTCTAATGCCTAGGCTAGTGTGCAGTGGCGCAATCTCGGCTCACTGCAACCTCTGCCTCCTAGGTTCGAGCAATTCTCCTGCCTCAGCCTCCCATATAGCTGGGAATACAGGCATGTGCCACCACGTCTGGCTAATTTTTGTGTTTTTAGTAGAGACAGGGTCTTGCCATGTTGGCCAGGCTTGTCTTGAACTTGTGACCTCAGGTGATCCGCCCCCCCTTGGCCTCCCAAAGTGTTAGGATTACAGGCATAAGCCACTGCTTCCAGCCTTGAGGCACAAAAATCTTAACCAGCATAAATCTGAGTACCGCTCCTCCAGGCCTCTTTGATTGTAAATTCCTCATCTCATTCCTTTCAAGGCCCTCACCAATTGGCTAGACAATTGAGTGACCAAGTTACTCCTCCAAGGTCTGCTCACAATGAGGATTCCCCTTGACACCAGCCTTTAGTGTCACTTCTTGTTGTGTGTTGAATTGTGTCTCCCCAAATTATTAGCTTGGTGCAAAAGTTATTGCAGTTTTTTCAATTACTTTCAATGACAAAAACCACAATTACTTTTGCACCAACCTATATATGCTGAAGTTGTAACTCTTGGGACCTGTGAATGTGACCCTAATCCAGTAACTGGTGTCTTTATAAAAGAAAGGAAAGAAAGGGTTGGATATGGAGACACACACAGGTATAACGCCATGTGACAACAGAGGCAGAGATTGGAGCAATGTAGCTGTAAGACAAGACATGCCAAGGATTTCTGACAGCCTCCAGAAGCCAGGATGAGGCAAGGAACCCTTGTTTTCTACAGATTTCAGAGGGAGAATGGCCCTGCTGATTACTTGATTTCAGAGATCTGGCTTCCAGAACAGTGAGAAAATAAATTTCTGCTGTTTCAAACCACCCAGACTATGGTACATTTTTACAAAAGCACTAGCAAACAAATAAACTCCTCATTGTTCTGTCTTGACGTGGTTTTACATTTTCAGCTTGTATTAATTTATCAGGCCAACCCATTTGTGAACTAAGCTTCTGTCAGCCATAAGGCCAGAGATATGAGCTGAGAAAGAGACTTTGTTCAACAGTACTGGGCTACCTGCTTATGTAACTTACTTGTGCCCTCTAGATGTTCTCTGGCCAGTTCCAGAAAGTATCATTTTAATTGCACAATGGATTACCTCTATGGCCACCTTACCTTATGATTTGGTAATGTTATAATACCAAGATAATGATGGGGATAGTCAAGTCATTGCCCAATATCTGGTGTTGGGCAGGGTTGCAGCCAATAGTCTGATTACATACTCACTTGCTTTTTCGTGATCAGGAATTTATTCACACAGCAGGAACTATTTTAAACACAAAGAATAATTATCTGTGACTGAAGACACGGCCTTGCTACAGTACGCTAGCATGAGTTGCAGCCTCAAATTGGAGCTTTCCAGAGACCTTATATAGCTTCTCTGTCTAATATAGATACCTTTAGCATCATTGCAAATACTGAGTCATGCAACCAAACTCAGGGCATCTTGTACAATATCTTAAAACTGTTTGCAAAGCCTTCTCTGCTTCTTGAGCTAAATTTTACTAAAAAGGATTTTTTTTAATCCTTTAAAGTCAAGAATTTATTCTTTTTCTAGAGCTCCATGCCTCTATATAGAAAACAGACCTATGAAAAGCTTCATTCATTGGGCAGTTTGGATTTTCAGGGTTAAGTTTCTTTCTCCCATTTTTCTAATTTTGCAGGCATGTGGGTCTATTCAAGTCAGGGCCTTCTTTGTAGATTACGCTATCTGTAGCCATTAGTTGTCTGATCACAGGTGTCCCAAAATACTGCTGAGAGATAGGGGACATTTTGCTGATTAGGAGTCCCATTCAACTTTTGATCATAATTCAGGAGCTCCGGTCAGACTTTTTCTGAATTTGTTGTTATACAGAGTATGTAAAAGCTGTTAATAAAGTGGTAGCTTAATTCATTCTCTGTAAATATTCCTTTTGAGTAAATCTCCATCCAGAGAAAGATGTTCTTGCATCTATGGACATAAACACCATAAAATCCCAAGAAAAGTGAAACTTTATCTTTAACAATGGAGTTCTATCTTCTCTTTCAAGATAAGTAAATGTCTAAAGTACTCTAAAGAGATGTATATGGTTTCCTGCAACAACTAGTTTTTTATCATGTAAATATATATATCATGTATAATCTGTATGTATATATATCATATATAATCATATATAATCTGTATATGTATATGAGGCAAATATTACATATTTGGTATCATTTCTCAGAAGAAAACCTTGAGGACTTTTTTTATAATTAGTTTTGAATTTGTAGTATATTAAATGCATTCATTTTGGCGACATGTTTTCCAAAAATTTCTGAAGTAATGATGAATAATTAAGTTCATATATGTATATGTTGGCATGGTTCCACTCTGAAAGGCAAATATGTATGACATGGAGGTTATATATATAAATGTACATATATATGTATACAATGTATACAAATATATGTATACAATGTATACAAATATATGTATACAATGTATACAAATATATGTGTACAATGTATACAAATATATGTATACATATATGTATATGTGTAAAAATAAATATATATTTATATTTATAATCCTTCATTAATCTACTAATTTGCCATTTAATGTCCCAGGGGTATTAGTTTAAATTCTCTAGCCCTAAGCAAATTTGCAGAAAAGGCTTCATTTCCTTTTATTAAGAAAAAGCATTTTTTTAAATTCCCATTTAATTCTTAGTCTTTTCATTCATATCTGCCCCAGCACAGTGCAACCCTCATGTCATATGTGCTTGCTGTTCAGAGTGGAATTATGCCAACAAATACTTATATGGACTTAAAGTTTCATCATTACTTCAGAGATTTTTGGGAAACATGCCCCCAAAATGAATGCATTTGGTATAATACAAAGTCAAAACTAATTATGAAAAAATTTTTCCTCAAGGTTTTTTTCTGAGAAATGATACCAAAAAATGCAATATTTGCTTCCAATCTATTTCTGCATATCACATTAAAATGCAAAACAAATATGTCTGTCATTTGTTAGTAAGAATCCCATGTTTTCTTCTAGAGTATGTAGGCAGTAGTTGGGCAAGGTGTGATGTTTCTAGAGTTTAAAAATAATGTTGCAAAAATTTCATGATGTAAGCTTTTAGGTTGAAAAAAGTATGAGCCTTCAATTTGGTTTTTAAATCATAATGAAGTATAGTTTCTTTTTGAATACTTTTCTCAATAATTTTCTATATAAATTGTATATATTTTAGCATTTTGGTTTTAGGTCACTTTCTTCATGTTTATTTTTCATCTCTTTTTATCTTTATTGCTGTCACCAGAAAATGTATTTCAAGTAGAGGGAAGGGTGTGGGGTACTTTTTGTCTTCAAATTCTCACCTTTGTCTTCCTTTCTCTCTCCCTTTACTTCCACCCCCCTTCATTTCTCTATTTAATTCTCTTAAAACACTATTTTTTATTGATTTTCATTTTTGTGCTATCTAGGTACCACTCAAAGACCAAAAGCCTTCTCAACCAAACTCAACATCTTTTTCTTACCACGTCAAATATTTTTTAAACCAAATTCCTCTTTGCTCATTAATTTAAAAATAGAACATTAGTTTGTTTTTATCCTAAGGACACACGACACCTATACATACTGCTTGCTTTACTTATAGCTATATATTTTGAATGTAATAAAATATGCTTTTACATGTTTCTGATTCTCAGTTCCAGAGATCCAACTCATTTACACCCAAGAGTTCCATTAAGATCTTTAGAACAGTTTACTTGGTATATTCCAAGGAAATTGCTATAACCACATGTTCATCCACACACACAGGTACACTGCTAATATATGTAACTACAAATTGCATTTTCTAGCTTGCTATTACTAACTTGACTGTAATAGGCAAGATTCTCTAATGGCCTCCCAAATTTTCATCCCTGGGCATCTTGTATAGTCCCCTTCCCTTGAGTATGGACTTAACTGATGGATGAGATATCTCTCCCTTCATAAAGCTACTAATTAATTGATTTTGAGTTAATCAAAAGGAAAATAATCTTGGATGGGGTCAACATAGCCAGGTAAGACTTTAAAAAAAAGGTGAGACATTAGAGAGATGCTTCCCTGCTGCCTTTGAATACACAGCCTCCATGAGTTCTGCAGCTGTGAGGAGTTGAATTCTTTTAACAATCAGAAAACTGGAAGAGGACCCTGAGCCTCGGATAAGCCCCCAATCTTGGCTGAAACCTTGATGCAGCTGTTTGGGAAACAAAGTAGAGAATACCACAAAGCCTTGCAAAAACTTCCAACATACAGAACTTTGAGATGTGAAAGGATGTTGTTTTAAGCCGCTCAATTTGTGGCAATTTGTTATACATCAATGAAAAATGAGCACACTGAACTGTGGAAGGAAGAAGCTCACAGATACATATGACTATATTTTTTCAACATTCTAACTAAATTGATTTCCGTTAAAAAAGCAATTATTAAAATATTAATCGCAGTTAAAGTATTAATAGTAATAGCAGTTGTAATATATGGAATGCATTAGTTTTTTATATATGTTGCCTCATATAATTGCTACAAAAACTCTATGAGGGAGGCATTAGACATCTAAATCTATAAGCCGTACAGGGAGGCTTAGGGAATTTAGGCGTCTTATTAAAAGTGGCAAAGCTAGTGTGTGGCTTGCTGACTGGGAGGTGTGTGGAAAATCCCTCAGACAGACAAAAACCCTTTTCTGTGGTTTCCAAGTCCATAGTATTTCCACTTGAGTACATTACATTTCATTATTTATAGGAAATTACATACAAGTTGTCCTCTCTTGCACTGAGTTGCTAAGATCAATAAAGTAGTTACCTATAATGAAAGACCTTAAAATTGAGTAGAGGAAGCAGATATGAATTCAATAATATTTTCCAAGGTCTAAAATGAAGTAAATGCTATATTTTGGGGTTATATGCTGGTGGGATTAGAAACTACTTAGAGAAGCCATGGCAACTGAGTTAAGCCTTAAATACTCCGAATGATATTTCAGGTAGGAAAAATTGGAGCAGCGATCATTTGGGTGAAGAAATGAAATGCTGCATTAGAAATGATGAATGTACAGAATATGTTCACAGAATGTTCAGTAGACAGGAGCAGAGGGGAGTCAAAGATAGAAATGAGCTTTATTTCCTCAATGCTTGCTTCCTGCATTGTTTACATGTTCTCTTCATTTGCCTTGCTGTTTCTCTCTTTCAATCTTCTTGCTCATTATTCTAACTGTCTTTTTGCATAGTAATCTGAAAATTTTTGAAACTTGTGTCAGCATAGCATTTTAGAAAGTGCCTAAGTGAAATCTTTATTTTAAGATCCAGTTGCACACACACATTTTTTACTTTACTGTCAGACTCATAGCTGATGCTCAACACATATGTCATTTATTTTCCTTTTGTCCTTGATATGTAAAGGTAGTTTTTGAGTGTTTTTCTTGATTCTTAGTGGTACAAGGCATACTTCTAGTATAAGAAAAAAGAAATAAACAAGTTTGGCAAGGATACTGATCTTGTATGGAAATGATGGTAGTTGGGGGCAAAACCTGAAAAAAATATATGTATCGGGAAAAAGTAAGTGAAGAAAATGTGCCAAATAATAGTAAATCCTAGACAGAGAATGAAACAGAGTGATATACTAAGAAGTAACTGAGGAGACAATGTCAGAGCAGGTAGTTAGAGAAGGGCTTTTTAAAAAGATAGCCCCTGAGAATGTACGTGGCCATTTCTCTGATCCACCAAACATATAGACTAGAAGGAGCTGTCTCTGGTCAGAAAGATCTTTTGTTTAATTAAGTAAAGCTTTTAATAGAAGGAAAATATTATAGGAAAACCCTACTTCTAAGAAAAAAATTATTTCTAATATTATATAAGAAATATAGTATTTCTAATAATATAATGTACTATTTCAAATATGTAATAAGAGAAAGCTAAAGATAAAATGTTACAGAAGTCCCTGTTAATACATTATAGAAAGAAAAGCTTCCTAAAATAAATATATGATCATAGACAAGCAGAGGAAATTTATCGAATTCATTTTCCTGTTGTATTCATATTATCAATAACAAATAAACTAGAGGTGAACTGAAAGGCACCTATGAAATTTTCCAAAATTATTGTCCAGAGATTTGTATAATTCAAACACTTTATATGGAGGAGGTGTCATTTTTGCACAGAGTTTAATTTTACAAACTCAGTCATGTATCCTTTTTATGTTTTTTTTTCTTTTTTATCCTTAGTAGAAAAAAAATGAAAGAGTAAAATGCCCCTCACAAGACAGTTAATCACTTCACTTGTGGGAAAAGTCAGAGTACTACACATCTTGTGGCAACTGAGAAGAATGCAGGATAGGCTATTTTTGTGCTCACTAGAGAAATATAAATCTTTTGAAATTTTCCCACTTATCATTTCTTGTATTCTATCTATTTGGTATATTAAATTCATATATAATAAACTTGAAAACCACTCATTTTACATGAAACTAATTATGCTCTGTAAAGACCCAGAGGACAGATTCACCCTGACAGAGTACTTTCTATACCATTTACTTGTAGCTTGCACATAGAGTGCAATGTCTCAGCTGGAATCACATGTGCAGCTAGTGACTGACACTAACTCACCAGCTGCTATTTCTTAGGTTGATGTTTATTTAATCCTTTTTCAAGATGTATGAAAAATGCTTCTCAGTTTTATACGGATTAAAGGAAGCATAGATTTAAAAATGATAATTTATATACCCTCAGAATAATAACTGATTTCACAGTTCATTAATTCAATTGATGAACAACAATAAAAGAGAAATGCTGCAAAAGACAAATGTGTGAAAGGTGGGAGAGAGAGTATATAATTTTACTCACTCAATACTCAAAAGAAATACATGATTAAATGCACCTTAAATAAAATGGCAAATTCACTGTAGAAAATAATTAACATTAATTAAGATTCCATTTAAAAAACTTACTTCAGATATGAAATTGAATAGGTAGTTTTTTGGAAGGATGGAATTCTAATATAATTTCAGATGTAAATTTTGTTGTTGAAAATAAAATCTGTTTTATGTAATCAATTACACAGAGTTTGTTTTCCTTCTGTGTTTGTCTTTGATAGTTTCAGAAAAGAAAAATGACATATGAACTATATGCTTTTGGATTTTATAATCAGAATGACAGCATTTAGTCAAAATGCTTAAATGTTTATTTCTCTATGTGTCCCCTTCAGTGAAATTTTTAAAAATCTAGTTTATATTAATGGAGGATATGGCACATTTTTCAAAAACTGTTGTCCAAATAAAACATTTTTCATTATATATATGTATAAATATATATATATATACATATGATGAATACACATATATATGTGTGTGTATGTGCGTATCATAGTTAGAATAGAGAAAATATATGTTAAATAATTTCTGCATGTCATTGCTTTATTGTTTTGTAAATCATCACTAGTCTAAACAAATCTAATGGTATTGGTGGATTTAATTGTATGTGGTATACATGTATATACGGTAATTATTAAGTATCATATTTGAGAATGCCATATGATTTTAGTTTTGTTTGTTGACAAAGTATTAAAAATTCCTTTTGTTAAGTTGCATGTGAATATGTAAATAAAATTCCTACTCTAATAGACCCAGAAAAATGAAATAAAAGGAATATTCCTATTTTTCTCATCATGAGAAGAAAATTTTGAAATTACTTTGCAAACGCCAGCCAAAAAGGAGCCACATATAAGGTAGTCCAACATATGATTATCTTATCATTACTCTACATTAAGAAAAGCAGTCTCATAATCAGATCTTTATTATTTCCAAATGAATGTTTAAAAGCATAAAATGAGTTTATTTTGAAGGTTAACTATACATAAGTCTGAACGTTTGTTGTACACAAACAGAGATTAAAGATGGAGGCTCTGCCCCACCAAGGCTTCGGAATTAATATAACATGACCAGTGTAGTAGCAGATCCAATGAGTCACTGCCTACTCTGAATAAATGCTCAAAGCAGCTAAAGAGAAACTGCCAAGGTCAAAGCTCAGTGCTATTTCAGACAGATGTTATTCTCTATACAGCAGTCACTCTCTCTTTCTGCTTCCAAAAGGAACTGGTGCACTGCAGGCACTCAGGATGAATCTGCCAGATTTAATAATGATCAAGAACACTCTTAAATAAATGTCTCCAGAAAGAGAAGCAATTGGAAAATTTAAAAGTAAGGACTACTTGAACTGTGGCTCACTGCAGAAAGTGCACCTTTCTTGTCTCATTTCAGAACAAAAGTACCAAAGAAGAATATAGAAAAAGTACATGGAGATACCCTCCTTGAAGCCGAAGGATCAACACTCACCTGCAGAAACCATACAGAAAATGTTCTGGGGAAATGCAAACGTGGATAGAAGCAAGTTTCTTTGGGTCAATATTCATTGGTGGAGATTTCTTTTCATTTTGGTACAACTATAAAGCACATATTACAGTATTCTAAAATTTAGAGTGAAACATTTAACAAAGCTACGATGTTGAAGGGAAAGTAGGAGACAAATATATTTAGTACAAGATTTGAGTACTTTATAGTACTAATGTTTGCAATTTTTTTTTGTTACTATGTTCTTATCTTCTTTTGAGATTGTAAGGTGTATTCTTATCTTTGGCTCTCTTTTAGCCTTTACATAAAACGTTTTCAAGTGAAAAATGTGGCACTTCATGCATTTGAGGGCTATAAATAAAATATTTCATTGCAACAGAATTAATGGAATTTAAAAAAAAAACTTCTCAAGCAGTGAAAGTTAATCAGGAAACACCCTAAGTGTAGGCAACAAAGTTAACACCTCGCTACTTTTCATTACCACAAAAGCTACCACTTCTCAGAGTGATTTTCATGCAACATTATTAATTTAACAGTGTCCGCGATAGATGTAAATATTTTATCAAGTACAATTTTAATCACATCAGTCATTTGTAGCTTACAAGATATTTATAAACTAATTAAAAAGTAAAATCACAGGCATCTGAAACAATAGGCATGTTGTAGTTCGTCTTTATGTGTAACAAATCATCCCAGAATTGTGTAACGCGCATTGACTTTTCATTGAATGCAGGTTGACCATAAAAATGGGTCATGGCTTTGAACATAGTGGCTCTCTTCTAAAAGGAAATTTCCACGTAGGCAATCAGATGAGAGCTGTCAGCTTCCCACAACCCAGCAGCTGTGGGAATGATTGCTTCATTTTTGAAAGGGGTGGGAGTCGATCAGGGTGTTGCACAACAGTATCTTCTTTCACTTCATCTTAAATTCATTTCAAATCCCTCTGCTTCTCTTCAGTCTCACCCCACCATTCTAATCACATCTCACCTGATTATTGCAAGGGCTCTCTATTGTTCTCAGTCTATTTTTTAACATTGCATTGAGTGTTAATCTTGTAAATAAAAACTGTTTTCCTATCTTACACATTCTTCATCCCTCCAATATATTCTCATTGCTCATATGTAAAGTAAAATATTCTATGACTTTCTATTAACAAGACTCATAATGGCATTGCCCTTTTTTTTTTTTAACTATTACATACTCTTCTTTACTCTCACACTTTTCCTTACTCTTTATCTCCAACTGAATGGGTTGTTAAAAGTTCTTCTAACAGACCTTGAGATTTTCACATCAGGGGTTTTAGATTTTCTGTTTCTTCAGTGTAAACACTTTCCAACTTCTACTTTCCTCCTCTTTTGCATAGTAAATGCTGACTAATCTTTGGAAATCCACTTAAATAATGCTTCCAGATTTGCTTGGGTATGCATAACATATTTTTCTACAGCCAGGTCATCAGTAGAATGTTGAACATTATAATACTAAAGATAGAGCCATGAAAAACTTTCTGCAAATTGATATTGATATATAATCTCACATTGTTTTTGACCCCAATGCCAGGTACTGTGCCCGACATCATGTAAATTTTCAATAAATATTTATGAGTAAGTTAATAGGCCAGATAACAATGAACTTACTTTTAAGAAATCTTCAGTTTATATCTGTTCATTTTATCTCAGTAACATAATAACAGATGTCATCAAATGCCTGGAAAATTTTCACATATCTTGTATCTGAGATAAGGGTTCTCAACCATATGCATGATTTTTCTCCCGAGGGGAGAAAAAAAAAAACAGGTTTTCACAAATCAATTAGAGAGGTAAGGAGGGAAGGACTGAGGCCAAGCAGCAGCTTAACATCCGACAGTATGCAGGCAGACCCCTCCCACCAACAAAAAATTATCCAGCCCAAGATTTCTACAATGACAATATTGAGAAAAGTGAAACTCTATCACTGCCCCAATTAACTAATTTGACAAGTACAGAAAAGAAGGAAAGAAGGAAGGAAGGAAGGAAGGAAGAAAAAATGAAAGAAAGCAAGGAAAAAAGAAAATGACATGTGCTTATTGAGATTTGTTCTTTGCGATTTATACATATATATATATATAAAATATATATATATTTTATTATACTTTAATTTCTAGGTTACATTTTATCCTGGCTCTTAACAACGGCTTCCTCCTTCCTTTTTCTAAATTCTTACAGGTATTTACTTCATAAAACCTTCTTAAACCACGTCTGCTGTTTTCCACAAATATGTCAGCCTGACAGATTTTAGGACTGTGTTATTTTCAATATAGTTCTTCAGACATCATTAGCTGCAGTTCAGTGATATCAGTGCACATCTTACTGTACTTCTGTAAGTAATTTGTCTGACTCGAGACTCCCAAAGTTATGTAGATTACTTAGGTGCTCACTTGTTATCTCCTAGTGTATTTTGGACTTTGATTATCTTCTATCAAAGATGGTTCTGCCCTCTCTCATCTGATAATGATTAGACTTGAAAGGGAAGTCAGAAGAGGTGAATTTCTCATTGATTTCTGAATTTGATGGACACTTTCAAGTATCTGTACTTGTCTATGTTGTTTCTTCAGATTTCAAAGATATTTCTTCTTACTTATTATAAAGGTACTTCCTTACCATACAGTCTTCCTTAACCATAAAACGATTACTCTTAATTCTATATCCAAGCACCATATTGTATTCTGGATTTTATTTCTCACACAGCCAAACACAGTTTCTTACACAGTATTTTATAGTATTACCAGAATCAAGGAAGCAAAGAATCAGAGACTCTAAAGAAAATTTACCTATATATATTTTGAGTTTGTGAATATGTCTAATCATACTTTATTTGTACTTTATTATTTCCAACTGTTAGTTCCCTTTAAAACAATAAAATATAATTTAATTATATTCTTATGATTTCTTCATTTTATTTAGTAAATTATTTGACTTTTTATTCATATTTATTCTATTAATGTGAAATATTTTATAAGCAGTGATTTATTTATGCTTCTTAAATATGTAATTCTCCTCTTTTTATCTTAAAAATCTCAGTTATATTCTCTTGAAATTTTACTTCCTTTATTGGATAACAGCTCCTGTGATTACATACAATTTTGTCCCATAGAATGGTATAATAAACTCTCGTTTTAGTATATTTGATGTATATCTTACTATTTAGGTTAACATATAATTTGCTGTGTATTCTAATTTTGAATATTTTTCAATATTTACATATTAACCAAATTTTTCTATTCTGCATTTGAAAATATTCTGTGTATTATTCTGAATGTAATATCCTGTGCCCTAAGGAAGAGATACTGAAAGGTATCCTGGTGTCATTCTTCGTAGAAAACATCCGTTTCGTTCCAATACTCAGAATGTAGTTGGAAAAGAGAAGTGAGTGAATCCAAACGTTAGTGCTTATAAGTCAGAGGCTTACCTCATCACATTGCTCTGAGGACTAAATCAGGTCTTACAGGATGTATTAGAATGGAAAGATGTAATGGTCAGTGTGGAGCCAGTATAGATCATAAATAGTATAAATTGTATAGTAAAAGACACAATAGTTTTGCCTTGAAGATGGCAGAGGTAGGAGGTTAACCAATGGAAGCAATGACATGCCACAAGGAAAAGAGCAGCTGGATTTTTTTTTTAAGAACAAATAGCCAGGAAAAAAAAAAGAAAGACAAAAAATGTGTGTTCTTGAGAGTTACAGTAACAAAATTGCAAATGGCAATAAGAAGTAAACAGTGTAAGCTAATGATACACATAATTGTGCAGGAGCCTAGAAAAGGCCATGTAAAATTGGCAGCAGCCACAAGGCCAACTGTAGCAGCAGCTGAGAAATATTTATAATAATGATTGGAAAACTTACTGTAATTTTTGTGGTCATGTTTAGCAAAGTAAAAGTCATTACCAGAAGTCTAATAAAGAATTGTTTTTAACTTGTGAAATCATTTATACGAACAGTCTTGCAAATAGTTTAAGAAATTTTGTTAAGTAATTTATAAAATTACATAAAATTGAGTAGGCCACAATGGTCCCCACTGTATGATTAGTTTAATTATAGCAGCAGGACATTGAGAATCTGCAAAGGAAATCTTTCTGACACTGAGTTAATGGATGAGCATATTCATCATCCAGTGATAGAATAAGGAATTACATTACAGACATAAATGGAACTTGGTCCCAAACAAGGAATTTTTTATTAAAAATAGCAATTAGTAGTGGTTTCCTTTGCAGTATTTTGAAAAATTAAGTCTTGCATAAGTTTAGGGAATAAACAAATCCAGAATGAAAAAATGCCATTAGTATTGTAAAAGCATATGAAAATTAAGTTTTGAGAAGCTAATTTTAAACCACCTCCTTACCAGAGCTCTTACACCGTTGAGTAAAATCTGGTATTCATATTGTTAGATAACGTCCATTCACTCACACATTTTAAAGTTGATTAAATGGACCCAATTAAAAAGAAAAAAAAAACTCCTAAAACCTGTCAAAAATTATATCAGTGTCCTCATGACTCACCCTAATGGAATTAAATTTTTTAAAAATCCAAACACCTAGATAATCTGTACATACATTTAAGTATTATTACATGAAGTAGACAGTAACTTGTTTCCATTTCTATGCCAGTGAAAAGGAACTTAAACAAATACAATATATTTTTCAAAAAGAGTTTTACTGTCACATTGAATGAAATTGACTTTAAGCCGTAAGATCCCTAAATGAGGTAACAACTAATAAGAATAAATTCAGTATTTAAAAAAATTAAATGTACATATTATTAGATAAATAATAGATAATTTAATATGGTTATGTACAGTAAATAAAATATTCTAAGAGAATTCATAGCTCTTTTACATACTGACATTCCCAGTATTTGACTAACAATTTGGTGGAATAAGTATTCACTTCAGTGGATTATTAGGTTGGTGCAAAAGAGATTGCAGTTTTTGCATTGTTGGAATTTGCCACTTGATATTGGAATGCATTCTTATTTAAATGTGGTTATGTTATACTTCATTTTAATGGGCATTTCTCACTTTACGTTTTTGCTAATGACTTATTACTTGCTGTTTATTTTATATTTATTGTAGACTATGGAAACGATGTTAGACAAAAAGCAAATTCAAGTGATTTTCTTATTCGAGTTCAAAATAGGACATAAGGTAGTGGAGACAACTTGCAATGTCCGCAATGCTTTTGGCCCAGGAACTGCTAATGAACATATAATGCAGTGGTGGTTCAAGGAGTTTTGCAAAGGAGACGAGAACCTTGAAGATGAGGAGTGTAGTGGCCGGCCATTGGAAGTTGACAATGACTAACTGAGACCAATCATCGAAGCTGATCCTCTTACAACTACACAAGAAGTTGCCTGAGGACTCAACATTGATCATTCTGTGGTCATTTGGCATTTGAAGCAAATTGGAAAGGAGAAAAAGCTCAATAATTGGGTGCCTCATGAGCTGAGAGACAATTTTAAAAATCTGCATTTTGAAGTGTTGTCATCTCTTATTCCACAAAACAATGAAAAGTTTCTTGATTGGATTGTGATGCGTGACAGAACATTGATTTTATACGACAACTAATGATGACCAGCTCAGTGACTGGACTGAGAAGAAGCTCCAAAGCACTTCTCAAAGCCAAACTTGCACCAAAAAAAGGTTATGGTCACTGTTCAGCGGTCTGCTGCCAGTCTGATCCACTACAGCTTTCTGAATCCCAGTGAAACCATTACAGCAAATCCATGAGCTGCACTGAAAATTGCAATGCCTGCAGCTGGCATTGGTCAACAGAAAGACCCTAATTCTTCTCCACAAAGCCTGATTGCATGTCACACAGCCAATGCTTCAAAAGTTGAATGAACTGGGCTGTGAAGTTTTGCCTCATCTGCTATATCCACCTGACCTCTCGTCAACCAACCACCACTTCTTCAAGCATCTCAATAACTTTTTGCAGGGAAAACGCTTCCACAACCAGCAGAGTGCAGAAAATGCTTTCCAAGAGTTCATTAAATCCCGAAGCATGGATTTTTATGCCATAGGAATAAACAAACTTATTTCTCATTGGCAAAAATGTGTTGATTGTAATGGTTCCTATTTTGATTAAAAAAGATGTGTTTGAGCCTATTATAATGATTTAAATTTCATGGTTCGAAACCACAATTATGTTTGCACCACAACCTAGTATTCAAACACATATCTAACTCTGTCTTCTTAGTATAGTATCAAGGCCAGAGTGTCCACTATTAAACATTTATTTATCATGAATTTAAAAGTTTCAATCTCTAAAATTTTCCCAATTAAAATACAAGTATAATTTAAATGTGAAAATCTTTGTCATCCCTTAACCCATTAGATTTATTAGAAAATAATCAATGAGTTAAGGAATGAAGGACACATATACTAGGAAATTTCTGAAAGAAAAAAATATACAGAGGAAGCAAAGTGTGACTATGCACATTTATCTGCTAAATTATTTGGTCAAAAACTTACGTGTTTTTAGACATCTCCAACTTAGTTAACAAAAATTGTGTGTGTGTGTGTGTGTGTGTGTGTGTGTGTGTGTTTTTAGGGAAGAGTCCAAAATGTGGTGGAGGGAAAACACAGGGTGTGAGGCTTTGAAGAAACTTTATTTTCTGTTACCTATCCTGGGGCAATATGTACTTTTCCTGAATGAGAATTTTATGTTTTTAAATATAAATGTCTTATTCTAAAACAACAACAACAACAAAAGCATTTGATATAGCATATTTAAAGTGGTAGGAAAAAACTGGAGGAAACACAATTGGAATAATTCTGTATATTGTTACTATGAATACCTAGGATTTAAAGTATATTTTAAAAACGTATAAGACCATAAAATAGACATTTCGAAGGCAGATTCCAGTCCTGACCTGTCATGTTTTCTCTGGCAATAGCATGTCAATTCATTTTGCCCTTGGATTCATCTGTTTAAGTTGTATAAGGAGGAATAGAAGAGAAAATAATGCATTAAATAGAGCAGGAAACAGTATAATTTCACATGGCCAATTTCTGTGTTCTGCTCAGCTCACTTATTTGGAGGACACAGTTACTAATCCTATTTCATCCATTGCCTTGCAATATTTACACTATGTCTAAAAACAGCTGGCTCAATTTTCCTGACATATTTCCTGATTTCATTTCTTTCTGTCTGTTTTTATACCATCTTAAAATTTACCCCCAAGGTGGATAGACATTTTGACTTATTTAGGGCTAGTCAAGACTGAAAGAGGCAAATTTTCACTCTGTAGCCCACCTGTGGCTTTTGCTCTCAATTCTGGTTGATGTCTGAGATTCAAGCCTTAAAAATGGATTCTAGGCAACAAGAATGACTTAACTTCTTTGTGAGGCCTCATTATCCTAACACAATGAAAGTCCTTGTTCCAAGGAGCAGGTTTAACAGTGACATTTTAATACAATGTAATAAAGTGATATGTGTATTACTTAAGACATCTTAAGTTGCAAATAACAGAAAATAAACTCAACCTAGCTTAATAAAAAATGATTATATTGGCTTAGAGTATATTCCTCAATTATTTAAATTAATACATATACACACACATACTTATATTTATATTTAACAAATATAGATAAGAAAGACACTAATGGAGGTTGACTTCAAAGAACAGCAAGGAGAATCTTAAACTCTACCTTTCTTATCTCTGCTTCACTTTGAATATTGTTCCATCACTTTGTACTGCAGATTCATTTTGTTCACAAGGCCAGAAACATAGTTAACCAGAGTTAGTGCATTCCTAAGACTGACATTCAAAGAAAACGTTATTTTCTTTCTCTCTTCCTTTTTCTTTCTTTCTTTTCCTTCCTTCCTTCCATCTTTCCTTCCTTCCATCTTTCCTTCCTTCCTTCCTTCCTTCCATCTTTCCTTCCTTCCATCTTTCCTTCCTTCCTTCCTTCCTTCCATATTTCCTTCCTTCCTCTCTTTCTCTCTCTCTTTCTCTCACTTTCTTTTTTTCTTTCTTCTTTTTTTTTTGGCCTAGCCTGGGCCAATCAAATATGAAGGATTAATTTGTGGAAGAAAACAACAACTTCAGTACAAACAATAAAGAATAGGTAGCCAAAAGATAATGCCAAGAAGGATGATTTGCTTTCTGCAAAAAGGGGCAATTTTGGAGAGAGAAACAAGAGAGATTTATTGATATTTTTCAAGTAAGGAATAGGAAACCTTAGCCCCATAGTAGTTGGCCAACATTATAAAATAATTTTGCTGAAAGGAATTATAAAACATGCATATAAAAGTTTAACTTCCCTTAAAATTTGAGAATGGAGTCAAAATGTACGGGGATATATATTTATGACCAGATTTATGAAAAGACAGTTTCAATACAGATATCATAACATTTTAATATTATACATATATAGTGGATCAAATATTGCTTGTATTCTTCAAGTTTTAACTAGGAATATGCAATCACTCAATGAATGCAAAGCACAGAAAACTTAATGAATAGGATTGGTTGTACTGGCGATGGAAAAGCTCAGCAAGAAAATAAAAACAGTGAGATAATGCAAATATCAGCAACCATGGGGAGTGGCCAATTCATTTTAGCTAGAGCTAAAAAGGAAAGAGGCCATCCCATTCTGCTAAGAGGTTTGTCTGCAATAGCCGGATTTAGGCAATCCTGTTTAGTGGGCGTCAGACCACAGAGAACATGTAAGCATTTCTAGAGAGGTCACTCTGGCAGAGTGCTAGAAATGTGCAGGAAGAAGAAGAAATAACTCTGCTGCTTCTTTTCTTTCATTCTCCTGTCTCCCACCAAGGCCTCCCATTGGCCAACTCCAGTCAGATGTTTCCTGACTTGAGAGCTTGGGAAATAAACCCATACGGTCAGGAACCCTATCATATAAGCAGAGAAAGCAATAGTGGGTAATGGGTCTTACGAGACTGCGTTTCTGCTCTCCTTATCAGGCTGGGTAGTTTGTGATTAAATGGCTTTACTACTTGTTTTGTTTTTCATATAGCTCGTTTTTATTGAGATCTGACTAACTTTGTAACACTACCCTAGGTATTGTTAATTTTTTTTGGACTTCTGTGCAAATGAAATCTAGTTTCTAAATGTTGTAAATATTGAAACAGTCAAGTTATATAAATCCGCTTTAGATTTGTTCAAATTATATTTATTTTCAGTATTTGCATCATATTATTATTTCAGAAAAAGCAGTTGTCCTTGGTATACTTAAGATTCTAGAAGTTTACAATGGCAGCAATACAAAAAATAAACAGACTGAATGTGTACAAGACATAAAGACTTGTACTGAAAGGCAACATACAAAGAAATGGGTACTGAAAACATGACAGTCCTTGAGGATAGTAGAAGGATCCAAACAGCAACCCTGTTGTATTTGATGATATTTGTTTCCTCTGCCTGGGGCTGAATAATTTTCCTGCTGATGTGTTCAGTGAAAAAGACAACAATAATCTTTCCAGGATTTTCTCATTTATAATACAGAATGTTTGCTTACCAGTTATTTCCTATCTAAATTGCTCTGATATGAGAAATGCATGTCACAGCAATCATTTTGCTTTAAACATAGGTTCAATTTAATCTCTGTCCTACTTTTCAGCAAAATATTTTGTACTAACCTTGGTTGCTTAATGAGGCAAGGATCTGTTCCTTTTCTTTCTTGTCTTATATTTTTGTTATTTATTTATTTATTTTTTACTTCATGGAGGACCAATGACCAGCAATAGTGAAAGCCTTTTCTTTTTCACATTTTGAAAAGTGCAAGCACTTTGTCCTCCTGAGCTGAGGCAAAGATCTTTCTGAACTGGGGAAAGCAGCCATTTGCATTTTCCTAATAAAGTTTTCTTAATACCTCAGTTTCCCATTGCCTTCCAGAGACATCTAGATGCTGTTCTAAAGAAAAGTACTCTCTTCCTTTTAACCTGCCCACCTCCCTATCTCTTCACCATGTTTTATTTCTTCATAGAGCTTAATACTATCTACTTTATCTTGTTCATTTGCTTATGTTCCATTTCTATCTTGTCGCACTGAATGTGAGCTCCTTGAGGGCAGGAAATTTTTCTTGTTTATTCATGCTGTCTCCAAGGCCTAAAATAGTGTCTAACACATTCCATGTGCTTTTTAAATATTTGTTGATTGGGTGATGAGAAAATTAACATACATGTGATTTGTTAGTTCCACATATAGCAAGAGCTAGACATTAATCTTTCATTTAACTCCTTTAACATTCAGAAACTACATATTCTACTACTTATTCTTAAAAATAAGGACTTGGTTTCAATCAATTGCATAATGTAAGCAGGAACAAGCATAGTGACTGACATATAATGTAATGGGTATTCATCAGATGCTTACTGAATGAGAGAACGCATGAATGAGTAACAACCTACTAAGCCACTTCCAAACATTCATTGATTCAATGATTGATTTATTCAGCAAATATTAGAATGAACACTATGAGCCCGCAAGTGCCTAGAAACAAGGGCTACATCAATTAATAAAATACATTATCTGTTCTTATGTATCTTACAAATAGGCTTTCGAAGAAAAAACAGCAACTAGATTTTTTAATAATATCATAATTGTCCTATGAATTGATGAGCAAATGGTAGTAGTTCATGGGCATTTTAACCTCTGCATTTTAACCTCTGCTGGGAGGTATGAGAATGTATTTAAACCTTGGTCAGAGGTCTCAAATCTTGAGGCCAAAGACTTTGGCAGCCTGTTGAGCAGCCATTATCTTTTGGGTAAATGTTTTCCTAAGTGAAACATGACTAGCCAGTTAGAGCGTTGTTTCTCAGATTGTGGATCATGATCCCTTCAGTAAGTTGTAAATCCATTTTATTTTATTTTGATCAGCCCTTTTAGGTGAAATAATAAGAAATACTAGAATAAAACAGAACAGAATAGAAAATTTAGAGTGCTTACACTTGACAATTCAATTGACAAATTCACTTGCCAAGAGTTAGTATTGTTTTATGAATCCTGTATTAAATGTGTGTGTATGTGTGTTTTATCCTGGCTTATTAGGGTATACATTATATTTATTGTAGGCTGAAGATAGAAACAAAACAGATTGAAAGTTATTAGGTGCTAAAGAAACAAGAACAGAGTCCAGACTGTAGGATAAAGAATGTGGAGGAAAGTAAAGGAGGGCACAGGGAGGGATTGCTGAACATGGGGGTGGCTCTGGCTTGAGTAAGTCTCTCATCCACCAAGCACACACAAAATCTAAATGCAAGGAAGTGAGGCAGAGATGATGAAAAGGCAGCTAGTCCTATGAATGAGGGAAACAAGATGATACCTAAATGTATTATGTGTGTGTGGGCAAGTGTACAATCAAGGTGATAGACTGAGGTGTGGGGAAACACGTCCATCTCCAGAGTAGCCAGTTTACAAAGGAGTAATAAAGGATGGGTAACTATCTGTATAAGGTAGGGTCTATGAGGATATTCAGGCCTTGCTCTAGACAAGGTGAATCTGTCATGGGATCCTTAGGGTGTTACTTCACCAGCCAGCAACTTCTGTGGCCACCGGTGGCTCTGCTTGGGTTTTGCTTGCACCTGCTGGGCTTGTTCTGACGACCTGGCCCGGCAGGCTGCACTCGGCTCATGCTACCAGCCTTGATCCCGTGCCTGCCAAGGGCGAGCCAGGTGCAGAGGGGTGAGGTATGTGTGAGCGAGTGAGCGCAGGATCCGGCCACTGTGCACAGCCGGGTACGTCGGCTGTGGCAGGGCAGGCAGCTCCACGCATCGGCACAGGTGCCTGCACCATGCGAGGCTGCAGCTGGACCAGCTGTACACAGCTTCTACTGCAGGCACACACATCTCTACGAGAGGACCGCGGTGGCATCTTGAAGCCTGGAGATGCCAGGAACCACAGAGTCCCAAAGAGGGTGTCACAGCCTTGGCTCAAGGAGCCCCTGGGTCTGGGCTCCCCAAAGGTCCCCAGCTCTTCTCTCCTTCTCGTCACCCGCAACATGGCAAGTGGCGGAGCATGTTTCAGCCCTGTTTGTGTTACAGCTCTTTCAGTCCCGCCATTCAGTGGGTTCCAAGTTCTTGTGCCGCATCCAGGAACAATGAGGTTTGCAGACAACTGGAGGTTGAGCATGGCAGAGAGTACCTTCACTGAGCAACAGAACAGTTCTCAGGAGACCTGCAGTGGGTAGCTCCTTTCCATAGGCAGGTCGTCCTGGTGAGAGTCTAGCTCTCAGTGGAGAGGAGATCTACAGTGGGTAGCTCCTTTCCATAGGCAGGTTGTCCTGGTGAGAGTCTAGCTCTCAGTGGAGAGGAGACCTACAGTGGGTAGCTCCTTTCCACAGGCAGGTTGTCCCAACGTCTGTGTGAATCTAGATGAGTCTGCGGTCTTTATAAGCTCTGGAAGGAAGAAGTGTGTGCTGATTGGTCCGTGGGTGTCCTTGGGCAGGCCTGGAAAAAGCACCTTGAGTTTTCACTCCGGACTTCAACTCCCCGACCCAGAACTGGCAACCCTGCCCCCAGGCTTTAGGCAGTCACCTTCCTGGCTTGAAGATGGCATTTCACCAGGGACCTGTCCCTTTCTGACCAAAAACCTGTCTGCTCCCTGCCATCAACATGCTGTCCATGGTGCCCATGCTGTTAGTGCCAAGGGGTGCCTGCAGGCCCACACGAAGCTGCATTCAGCCGCCAACCTCTGTCTCCCTTCCATGATCACGGGTGCCCAAAGTTCGGAGGGGGTGGAGGAGGCAGGGGGGCTGGTATGTCAGCGCCGCCACAAGTGCACGGACAGCTGGCTGGATCACAACAGCACCCGGGCTTGGCCACAACTTTGCTCTGCACCGAAGCAAATGCCAGGAGCCAGGAGAGGTCAGACAGTGGGAACAGGCACTTCTGAGCCTGCAGGAGCAGGGGCTGCCCAAGCCTCCGAGAGGGCAGGGATGCCAGGTCCAGAGCTGTGGTTGGGAAGCTGCAGCTGTGCCTGGGAGCACGGGGCTCCCACCTTGCGAACTCAGTAGGGGGCGGGGCTCCTTGCTGTTCTCAGCTCCCAACGCCCGGCAGACCGCATAACCCCAGTCACACATCTTCCTGCTGCAGCCAGCGTCTTCACAGTGGCTGCTGTAGACAGGCCACCGCTGCCATCAAATCTGAGTGTCAATTATCTAAAAACAGGAGACGGATGATAGAATAAGCTGGCATAGAAACCTTATTAGAAAAAAAGCAAAGCAAAGTTCTACCATATTTGTTTTGAAATGGAGGTTAAGAATTGTCAATGGGTGGCAATCGACTCAGAAACTGGTTGGCAGGGAAGATCTGGGCTTTCTACCTTTGTAGAAAAGGTTTCTCTGTGTATTTCATTTAGAATGGCTGGATAATCCCGAGAAGCTCGAAACAAGTTTGGGACTGGCAATTCACAAATTGTTACCAAGTAATTCACTAACACTGCAAGTGAAAACAAGAATGCTGACTTACCTACCTCCAGGACTTCCAAGAGCATCAGATGATATAACATATGTACAAAGAACTGGTTGTTTTAGGAGTAGATATTGACATTATTATTATTGCTTTTTCCCTTTGTTTGGATGATGGGTGAGCTGGCATACAGCAAAGATTGGGTAAATAGCAGTAGGAGATTATAAAGCTCTAATTTGAGACAAGATGATAGAGTGGAAAGCTTGCAGTAGAACAAGCTTTCAGCACTAAAACTGTGTTAGAAGGAACAATAATAATGGTAACATCAGAGGAAGAGAACATTTAATTGAAGGAAATTCTTTGTTATTTTTTGGTAAGTGCTTCAGGTCCTTGACAAAAAGTATAGATAAGTGATCTGTGGGAATATTTTTTGTATTTTGGGAATAAATTATAATTCACTATCTTTATATCAGTCTAAATTCATCAACTCAGTTTCTTGGCTTTTCTAAGCTTGGTTACTTTCACATTAATTTTATAATTTTTATATTGTATCATTATCATCATTTAGAAAGTGAAAAAATATTTTTCTATGAAATATATTATTTTCTTATATATTTTTTCTTTTAAGTACTCAAGAGAGAATACTGGCAATTGTTTTAGTCAGTCTGGACTGCTATAACAGAATATCATAGACTGGATGGCTTATAAACAACAGAAATTTATTTCTCATAGTTCTGAAGGCTGGAAGTCTGAGGTCAGAGTGCCAGCAAGCTCTGGTTCTGATGAGGGATCTCTTCCAGGTTGCAAACTGCCGAATTCTTATTCCTCACATTGCAGAAAAAGGGCAAGAGACCTTTCTGAGTTGTCTTTTTTAAGGGCATTAATCTGTTTCATGAGGGCTCCTCTGTCATGACCTAATTACCTCCCAAAGGCCCCATCCTCCAGCATCAATCCCTTGGCGGGTTAGGATTTCAAGATATGAATTTTGGGAGAGACACAAGCATTCAGTTCATGACAGCAACGGTAGTGTTTATTTTGAAGTTTCCTTACCACATGCAGAAACAACTTTTAGCCTCACAGAAGATGGAGTGACTTTTCTTAAAAACTTATGATGTGCTTTATCTTAAAAGTGGTGTCAGTGTCTATGTAAAGATCCAGGTGAAGAGCCTCTTGTAACCTGTGATTTGAATGTTGGTAATGCACCAGCACGTACTAGTAAAAACATAAAACTCTGAATTTGTCCTTGTCTTTCTTTAAGCTATCTTAGGATGGGCATATCATTTAGTCATCTTTTTAATTATATGCCCTGCCTAAGGGAATTAGTTGCAATTAATAAATACCTGTTAAATTGAATTACATGGATGTGGCAAAACAGTCTTAGTAGGACTTCATAGGTTTATTAGGACTAAAGTAGGTTTTAAAATTTGTAGTTTTCTTCTAAAGAAATCAAAATCAGAATAATACTTTTCGATATTTATGCTTAATAAATAAAACCTTGGCCTCCTTGGTTCACATTCCATAGACATTAATAAAATACTTTTAAACTAAAAGTTGGACCACAAAGCCAGGCTCCATTTATCAAGTAAATATTTGGCAAGTATGACTTTCACCCATGCAGAGATTAACACCGACCTTTTTACCGTGCTAATTCTTTCAATTCTAGTTGATGTGCTGCCAAAGGTAGCTAAACTCTACATCCAGTTGGACAAATTTTATTATAGTTGGAATAAATTACATTAAAATAGTCCTTTACTATTATCTACAAAGTAATAGAACAACAATGACAACAACAACAGCAACAAAAACTCATAGTTTCATCTTCTAAATTTGAAGTTAGTAAAAGCAGTTTAAATGTTACTTTTGTGAATTGCTAAGAATAACCTTCTAAAGTTGGGTTTCTTAGGTCTTAACACTTCTTTTGCTGTGATTAATGTACATGTTTAAGAGTTATTTCTTTGGAAAACGTCTAGTCCTTTTTAAATTCTATTAATTTCCTAAATAGAAATTTGTAGAGGCATCATATTACCAATGTATTTTCATTAAACAAAACTCCCCAAAGATTTAAAACCAACTGAAACTTCAAAATTTCCATTATGAAGAGGAGAACATCCTGGGCCCTCAGTGAAGCACATTTATTCAGATCTTCAGCAGAACACATATATTCACTTTATTATATAAATCATCACCCGGAAGGGTAGTTCTTTCATAATATCCCATTGATACAAAATAAAGAACTTAATTTTGAAGAGTCACAAGACTTCTTCAGAGCTGCATCACATTTGTGAACTCCTGATAGAGATCTGGATAACATTTCCTCTCAGTAGTCTACAGCGGCAGCACGTTTATGTGGGTCTCCTAAATTGTCATCGTCTGCTGAACTCTAAGAAGTTTAGGTTCCAGCAGTGATCCCATTAAAAGTTCTTTTTTCCCCTGAGGATTTTCAATTCTGGGAAAAATAAAAAATCACCCCATGATTTTGCACACAGGACAACAACTTGAGGAAAATTTAATTTAAACCATTCTCCATGCAGCTCTGTGCACAATGTTAGGTTATTTATATCTTGTAGAAAGTACCAGAAAAAATATCTCATATGTTTTTGTTTTTTTTCCAATATGTGGAAAAATGTTGCTAATATGTAGGGTAATTGTTTCTTGAAAAATATTATCTAGTAAATGTTTTATTATTTAAATTACATATATTCAACAGGAAATAAAAATAAACTGATGAGGATTTCAACCATTGGACACTTCAAAGTTAAAACTATATGTCAAAATACAATAATATTTTATTAAAATGAAGAGCAATTTATAGTTTAAAAACCATACATAATTTCATAATTTATTTCTTACTAAATGATACACATTTGTATTAGAATAACTAAACACAAAGTTATGAAGTTGAATGACCAATAATTTTCTTACATTAAAAATATATCTGGCAGAATAATATTTTAGGATATTACACTAGCTTGTTTTCCATATTTCCAGGTACCTCATGACCTTTTCCAAAATACTCCGTTTCAAAACCCAAGGCAAACTATTGGATTCAAAAAGTATCATTGATTTTATAAACAATAGATTAAGAGGAATAGATTAACAGCTTAAACTGAACTACAGATGCTCTGAATTGAGAAAATAATTGAATCAGAAGCTAAGAAGGATTTTTTCCAACTGAACTCCAAGGAATGTTGACGTTAGAATACCCAGATAGGATGGCCAATTGAATAAAGAATCCTCTGCTTAAGCCTTTTGTCCCCCAAGTGACCAAGTGTTCCTGCACCAGTGTGGCAGGAAGTGAGCAGAAATATCTTTGTGAAGTGTCTGCATAGATGGGTCTGAGGCAGCCTATAGCGTATTCTCTGGCTTTAGTGTGCTTTCCATTACCTAGGAATATCAGTAACAGGGTACCAGGAGCCAATGTACTCAACATGTGTTGCTGTCTAGATGAGGAGAAAATGGCCATCAAATTTGTGGAGCTTTAGAGACCAGTTGCAAAAGTAGCTTTCAGTAAGTGAATCAGTACGACTAGATGATTAGAGATTGAATAAAAAATATGATAGTCTTTTAATGCCTCAGGCCCTTAAAACTTTTACTTAACTTTAGAAAACTGAAGCAAGGAGGAAGAAGGAGGGATGGAAAAAAAGTTGAATTGACTAACAATAAACATCTACTGTGTAGATAAGACAAAGCAATTCACATTATTGAAGGATGACAATACATTTCTTATACATGAATTTATGAAATATGATGTTTATTGGTTACATATGTGTGAACTATAGTTAACTCTATTCATTTTAAACTACATATTACATGCAGAAATGTATCATTTTATTTAGCTACATCAAATATTGTCATGTATCACATTATAATTACAGTATGTGGATGTGGCTAAGTTGTGTGGGGTACAAGTAGGAAAATGGCTGTGGCTAAATAAAAAATGATACTTTGGGGCTATTCAAAAAACAACAGACTAGGGTCCTTGTTTTGTCATTATCTAAGCATTTGAAAATGTCATCTATAACCTGCCTTAGTTTCCTCAGGCAATTACCTCTGACAAAGAGAAAAGTAGACATCAACAGCTGGAAGATGCTCTGACACTATCATTTATGCCTTGGTGTTGCTAGGAGCTGGCTCAGCACTCACAGCCAGGCCATGGTGCTTTATTCTACTGCTTGACAAAAACAACTTCAAAGTACATTCACATCAGAAAAGGATGTTGAGATTATGAAGGAGGAATAAGACAAGTCCCCTCCATAATTATACCTGAGCACAGAATAAGCCAAGAACAATGTCCAAAACTAAAAACTGACCAAATGCATCATCTATTCTGGCTAATATCTATAATTGCTGTTCCTAGCCTCTATTTGCTCCTCTCACCTTGTAGGTTAAGAATGATTAAGATATCAAATCAGTAAATTACCTGCTTTAGTGGCATTATTGAATCCAGGGCAGACCTCACTTCTTCAAAACCTCCCTAAAATCACCCAATTCAAGCAAAAACTCTTACAGTGATATGGTTTGGGTCTGTGTCCTTGTCCAAATCTCATGTCCAACTGGAATCTCCAACACTGGAGGTGGGACCTGAGGGGAAGTCATTGGATCACAGGGCCAGATTTCCCCTTTGGTGCCATTCTCCTGATAGTGAGTGAGTTATCATGTGATCCGATTATTTAAAAGTATGTAGCAGCTTCTCTCTCTCTTCCTCCTGCTCTGGCCATGTGAAGACGTGCCTGATTTCCTTTGCCTTCCACCATGGTTGTAAGTTTCCTGAGGCCTCCTTAGCCATGCTTCCTATACAGCCTGTGGCACTGTGAGCCAATTAAATCTCTTTTCTTCATAAATTACCCAGTCTCAAGTATTTATTTATAGCAGTGCAAGAATGAACTAATACATGCAGTAAGAGCTTTTTACACCCTCTTAAAAAAAATACTCTAAAATTTTCAATGGTGTGCAGTCTTCCTCAATGCAAGTAAATAAGCCCAACTTTGCTTGACTACCAGTGTGTTCCTTGTAAGTTTTGTCTGGAGGGCACTGACAACTCCATAAGGGAGGTAAAATCCTTTGATCACCATTATATCTCCAGCATCTTTGCAGTCTCTTGGAACATAGTAGTTATCCCGCAAATACCTGTTATAATTAATGAATAAACATATGTTACTAATTTTATATATCTATTATAAAAATATAGAATTGATTTTTATAAGAAGCTCTGCAATAGATGACAGATCATAATTTTTAAGCTTCCAATAAACTAGTGGATATTTGGAAGTGTCTTCTCCAATACTGCAGATTCTGCAAGATGTATAAATTCATGATATCCAGGCACAAAAGAAATAGAACTCTTCAAAATGCCAACTACAAAGTCTGAGTTATTGGTGAATTAAATCTTTATTAAAAATAAAATGTATTTATAATAAATCTTTAATAGATATTTAATTCGCCAATACTTCAGACTTCACTATAGTATAGCTTAGAGAAAAATGACAGTTATTTCACAAAATATGGATGTCCGGAATGCAATTTCACTGATTCCTACAGATCCTGACCACCATTAAAAATAAAGCAAAACAAAACAAATGAATTTAAAAGAAAACAAACTGCAGTTACCACAGTGTATTTCTCTTTAGTATAGATTTAGACGCAGATGCAGAATTAAATATGTCCTATCAATGATAAATGAGGATTCACTTTATGACAAAAAGCTATACGATGTACTCTAAGTGATATATTCCATACCAGTATGATCTGCCTAATACTGTCAGTAAATTTGTAACTCTATCTATTTTCTTCATAATTTCCTTCTGGCAGTACTTCTTCTCATAGTACTTGCGTATGATCCACTTAAGTTTCTAACATAGCAATATTAATCTCATTCTGGTTTTATTACCACATCTTATCATATAAGAAAACCAATAATGTTTATTATTTACTGAATATGAAAGGGAAATGCTAATGATCGCACGTTATGTATGCGACCATTTCATGTTAACTATAATTTATGAGTATTTTATGTGAAAGTGTGTGGAAACTGAATATTAAGTTAGCTGGAATCATTTATGCATCACGGCCACTGAAAAATACTATTTTTTTTTAATTTTTGCTATGTTTGGAGTTCGAAATAATATATAGGCCAGTATCATAAGCATATTAGTGACTAGATACACATTTTTATTAATATCAGGTATCTTTTTGGTAGCTTTTCAAAATATTTCCTGATATTTCGAATAATTTTTTCTATCTTAAAGAAGGTTTAGGAGAATATTTGTGGGTTTACCTTACTTTTTTGCATTGCATAATTGGTGTTCATTATCTTTTGCACAATGGCTCATAAAATTTCTGAATTGACCAGAGATTGTTGATTAATACGTAAGATATTATTTAGTCTGTAAGTTGAAAGTAACTGCAGTGGTTGTTCTTTTTTTTTTTTTTAATATATTAACACAGCTCTATTTAAATCCTGCTAAAAGCAGTATGTTATCAAACTAAACATTTGAATAACTTGATTAATAAGACAGATTATGTAGAGTATAAAGGTACATAGATGTTTACTAATATGCCATAACAAAAAAATGAGCAAAATATTGATCATTATGTTTAACCTTGATTTTAGTTAGCATCACAAGTAGAAACATATTCACCAACAGGAAGTCCTGGAACACAGCCAGTGCAACAGCAGTGAAGTTATTCTTTGCTACAATACTGCTCCACTGGACTAAACAAGTATAAAAAATGGATGACAGCAGGAGGACACCTGGCCAGCTGTTGTATGGTGAGCTGAACTGAGGAGATCTCAAATAGGGCAGGCTGAAGGAACATGCCACAGACACATTGAAGAACAATTTCAAGTAATGGAAGCATGGCTGCAGAAGACTGGGAAATAATATCAGGAGGAAGACTGACCCAATGTGGAGCAATTGGAGCAGCAAAGGTGTGCAGCCAGGTGAAGCTGCAGCATTTCAGCTTGCAACAGCTTTTGTAAAGAGCAGTCCCTCTCCCAATCAAAGAGCCCCATCCACCTGTATTATCTGAGTAAACATGGCAGATTTCTTACCATACGTTTTAGTAGTATTTCAATTTTTTAAATATATTTTTATGAAAAAAATCTCAGTCAGTGCTATGTTCAAATAGTTTCAAGTTTCCAAAAGTTCTTGCATAATGACTAGTACCATACACAAATTAAACATATAGTAGGTTTGGAAGCAGGTGTGTCCATACAGAAAATAATTGTGTTAAGGAACTTGCACATATCTGTTTTCCTTCACAGCTTTTCTGGAAGGTCAGTTAATCTGTGGCAGTCGGGATATAGTGAAGTAGTTAAAAGCAGTTTTAGGAGTCAGGCCATCCACGAGTTAAAATCACGTCCACAGCAATTAACACAATTTTAGCCCTGGGCAAATTGCACACCTCTCTTTCCTTCCATTAGAATATTTATATAAAGAGGCACTCATAGGGCTATTGGAAGTATAATCTTCAGAAAATGCTCAGCTCTGTGCCTGACTACATAGTTATTACCAGGGGACCTATATTTTTTCTGAATAGTCCATATAAAATAAACAAGAATTCAGTCGTTCTCATACACAATATTGGTGTTTCAAGGAAATGTATAGAATCTGTGCAAAATGGAGTGTGGGTTCTATTCAATATTATAGTACCTTTTTATGTGAAAGGAAACTAAATGATAATGAAAAATATTAGTTTCTGAAGGAATACTTTAAGAAGTGGATAAAATACATTTATGAATTATATTTGAAACTGACTTTCAATTGAACTGTATGCGGTCTTTGCATTTTCCATTTTTATCTGTCTGTTTACTATCATAGTGCCTGAGAGAATGACTCAATAGCTAAGTGGTTGTAGAATGCATGAATGTAGTGTGCACTTAAATCAACTCCAGAGCCTTGATTTAGTTGCTAATACACATTGCTTATTTTTCATAAATCTTTAGTAGGAAATGATGTCTTCTTGCCTTCAAATATCAAAAGATGTGTTGTTATAATGAGATGAACAAACTTTTTTTGGCCCCGGATAATTAAAGAAAACTTAGCCTTATTTTTAAATTATGTATCTGAAGCACAGTACTATTTAAAATAATCAAATTATTCCCACTTTTTTCTTTACTTTGGGTGGAATATAACTATAGTATTTTGTTACCATTTATCTCTTTCAGCAATTTTCTTTATGTCCTTGAAAGATCCATCTTTGATCAGATCAAATTATTTCCATTTTTATTTCTTTGTATTTGTATTATTAAAATATCTAATTACCTTATTCATATTTATTATTTAGATATTATATAATGTATAATTTTTAATTTTTAACATTAACATAACAATGTCTATGGCCCCTTAGCCGCTATTTATAAATTTTCATAATTTTTACATAAATACCACTGAAATTTAAAACCTGATTCAAGTAGATGATTAGAATAATGATCTCTCTCTGCTAGACAGTAACTTTTTATAGAGCTATATTTTGAGTTGTACCTCTTGTTGTATAATACACCTTCCATCTGATGTTTAGAAACTATGAGAAATTTGATCATGGAGATTAAATAATTCACTTTAAATTTTTTTTATGTTTGTTCTGTGTGTTCTAATTTATCATGTTAAATTATGTGTGCTCATTGCAAATGAAGACTTTCAATCTTTGACTACGTGATTTCCACTTTTCTTACAAGGGGCTCCAGATGCCCTTGGGTAGACAGAAAGATCAAGTTCAAGGACTGTTATTGAAAATGCCAGTTATCTGGAGACTAGCAGCCCATAGAAAACTTTTAGGTAATAAGGTTGAAAGCAAATGTAATGATTGGAAGAAATGTCTAGTCCAAATAAGGGCTCTCCTATCCTTTCCACTAATATTGCTAAACTTTATTTAAAGATATTTAGTGACTTTGCCGTATCTACCTCATTAATAAAATGTTTCTACACTTTGATTGACCTTACTGTCAAAAAGTTTGGTAAATATCTAAAATAAATATAACTTTCTTCAACGTAAGTCCAGCATGTCTAGTTTAACATTAGCATCTAATGTTAATATTTCTCCATTTTACCAGATTCTTATAATGTCACCAAGAACCTTAATTAACTAATCATATTTTGTTTCTGAGTTGATTTTCTGATTTTTAAAAATGAAAAATCTTTGTAGCTTTATGTATTTTTAATTATCTTTTAATTGGTTTCTATTTTACTGAATTCAACTTTGCAATGACTTATAATGATTCAAATTTCACAGTAGGTATGTCTTTCAGAGAGCTTAGTGGTTATTGCAAAAATCATCCTATAGGTCTTTACTACTTTACAGTGAAGGAAAGAAACATTTAAAAAGCACAGAGCCATGTAGAAACATAACGTAAAATTTGAATTCCAAACTACGTACGGAAAACAGATTTTCAAGCCTTCATAGATTTCTTAGGGTTGCACTTTCATTTATCAATCTTTATATCCGATAAAATTTACTTTATCCATGGAAATGAAGCATTTTTATGAATATTTGAGTTAACTGTTATCTTTCATATTTCAATATTATATAATATTTAGGCATTATATTTTAATATAAATAATAACTACCTCTCAGATTTAAAGAGTCTAGAAAACAGGTCCTTATCATTTTTTCTAAGCAATTTAGGATGCCGGTGCACCCTGACTTAGGCAAGATGATTAAACAGGTTTGGTAGAAAACAATATTCACAGTTATTTTGGAATGCTGTGGAAAAGTACAGATTATACACATTTGGTAACCAAATTATATTAGTCTATTTTCTAGGATACATATATTAAAATAATTTTGTTTAATATGTGTCAAGACATTCTAGTCTTTCGTTTTGTTTTGTTTTGTTTGTTTTTTTGTTTGTTTTTGAGACAGAGTTTCACTTGTGTCGCCCAGGCTGGAGTGCAGCGGCACAATCTCAGCTCACTGCAACCTCTGCCTCCCGGGTTCAAGGATTCTCTTGCCTCAGCCTCCCGAGTAGCTGGGACTAAAGGCATGCCCCACCAGACCCGGCTAAATTTTTTGTGTTTTTAGTAGAGATGGGGTTTCACCATGTAGGCCATGCTGGTCTTGAACTCCTGACCTCAAGTGATCCATCTGTCTTGGCCTCCCAAAGTGCTGGGATTACAGGCATAAGCCACCATGCCTAGTCTATTCTCAGTCTTTTTAACAGAGTTAATATGTGACTTTTAATTTTTTTCTATTAATAAAATATAATGTATACTTTTTAATAACAGCCAGGAATTTTAGGTCTGCATCCATGTTAAGAAATTCCTTTGGTGTTCTTTATCATGGAAATTGTCAATTATTCTACCCATAAATCATTTCTGCATTTACTAACAGCTATAAGAAAACTGGAGGCCGGGTTGGTGGCTCACGCCTGTAATTCCAACACTTCGGGAGGCCAACGCAGGCAGTTCACAAGGTCAGGAAATCGAGACCATCCTGGCTAACATGGTAAACCCCGTATCAACTAAAAATACAAAAAAATTAGCCAGGCATGGTGGCACACGCTTATAGTCCCAGCTACTCAGGAGGCTGAGGCAGGAGAATGGCTTGAGCCCAGGAGACAGAGATTGCAGTGAGCCAAGATTGTGCCACTACACTCCAGCCTGAGCAACAGAGTGAGATTTCATCTCAAAAAACAAACAAACAAACAAAAATAAACAAACAAAAAAAAGAAAAAAGAAAGCAAAAAAAGAAAAAGATAAAAAGAAAACTGGAGGTGGAGGGGTGGGGGCGTGAGGGACGGGAGTGAAGGAATAAAAAAATCCAAGGAAATACAACCTACCAAAATAGTTTACCATACAGTAATTCTCCTTTAAATGAGAAATAACTGTTAAACTGTTTGAAATTGAATTTTGGTGATAGCAGTCTTATTCACTGAATTCTTATTTTTATTTCCACTTAAACTCCTTCTACTCCCTTAATTCTAAGCATTTTGGAGGTTTTATCTTGCTTTTAATTCCTTTGTCTACAATCCACATTGCTCACCAATTGGTCCTAAATACCCATCTCCAACTTTGGCTGATTTCCTGAGTAATACTCTTTAGTTTTCAATTGTCTACTACAATTTTACATAAGTGCCTTATTCAATATCAATCTGAAAAATATTTTTTGAGAATGTAGAATTCAACAGGTGAAGTTTGGGGCACGGCGGATAGGTTGAAATTTAATTGAAAATAATCTTGTCTTTTTGAAGATAATATTCCAATGAAGGAAGAACTTAAAATAAATATATTTAGCAAGTAATTTATATTATATAATACAAAATAAAAATTATCATTTTAAAAAAATCGAGGTAGGGAGCTTCAGAGCATTGTGGTAAGCCTTACTGAGAATTTGACATATGATCAAAAACAAAAAAAGGCAGCCTGTGCATATATCTGCAGGGAGAATGTTCCAGGCATAGGTAACAGCCAGTGCAAAGGACCTGTTGCATGAGTATTCCTGGCATAATTAAATAACAGCAAAAGTGTCCAGGGGAGTAGTAGAAGAGGAGATATATAAAAGAAGATCACAATGTATAAATCTTTAGAAGGTATTGTAAGAAAATAGCTTTACTGTGAAAGAAAAATGATGGTACCATTAGAAGTTTCTGAGAAAAGTGATGCAATCGTCTTCTTCATGTCTTAAGACAATCTCTCCAATGCCTTTATTAATTCTTAAAAATATACAAACACCCAGAAATTGAATTAGAGTGGGTTAGACCAAGGTGGTAGCAGTGGTGCAATAGTGGGAAGTGGTTGGATTCTGAAGTATTTCTATCACAGCATCAGTAAAAAAGAATGCACAGATTATTTCGTGATCTTTGGGCTGGGAATACTGAAGGATGCAGTAGGCATTAGCTAAGATGGAGATGACTATAGGAGGAAAGGATGTGATGAGGGAAGCAGGAGTGTGGGCACTGTAATTATAAATGTCCAAGTGAAATGTATCTCCTGTCATCCTGCTGTTTCTTTCTTTCCCTATCTTGATTTATTTGTCTCATGGACCTCTGCTAATCCTATTTAATGTTTCTTTTTTACATCCCTACTGTAATTGCCTACCGTTATTGTCATTGCTCAGACAAGTCATATTATTCTATAGCAAGTCTTTTTTTATGATGATTTCCAACATACATAATTAACCACTATGTACGTGTCATGGGATCTTTGGGGTGTTGCTTTGCCAGCCAGAAATCTCTATGGCTGGGGGTGTCTTCTGTCTGAGTATTGCTTGTGGCCACTGGGCTTGTTCCACACACTCGGCCCTGCAGGCTGCACTTGGCTCGTGCTACCAGCTCAGATTTCATACCTCCCAAGGGCACACCAGGCACAGAGCAGTGCGAGGTGTATAGGCAAGCAAGGGTGGGGACTGGCCATTGTCCACAGCCAGGCACGGTGCTTGTTGTGGTGGGGCAGGCTGCTCAAGGCACTGGCACAGGTGCCGGCTCTGTACAAAGCTGTAGCTGGACCAAATGTACCACACGTGGTTTCTGCTGTGGGCACCGTGTCTGGAAAAGGAAAATGCATTGGCATCTGGAAGCTTGCAGAAGCCAGTTACTGCAAAGCCCCAAGGAGGGTGTCACAACCCTGGCTCAGGGACCCCCTAGGTCTGGGCTCCCTGAAGAACTGCAGCTCTTCTCTCCTTCTCATCTTCTGCAACATGGTGAGCAGAGAGATGTGTTTCAGCTCTGTTTGTATTACAGCTCTTTCAGTCTCACCATTTAGTGTGTCCCGAGTTCTTATCCCACCTCCAGGAAGAATGAGGTACATGAACAACTGAAGGGAGAACAAGGCAGAGAGGAACTTCATTGAGCCACAGAACAGCTCTCAGGAGACCCGCAGTGGGTAGCTCCTTGCTGCAGGCAGATGTCCCGACATCTGTCCAGCTCTTAGTGGAGAGCAGACCTGCAGTGGTTAGTTTCTTTTTACAGACAAGTCCTCCCGACATCTGTGCGAGTCTGGCTGAAACTGGGGTTGGTATGGGCTCAGAAGGGAGGAAGTATGTGCTGACTGCTCCATGGGCAGCCATGGGCGGGCTTGGAAAAAGCACTGTAAGTTCTCACTCTGGGCGACGCGGACTCCACCTGGAACTGGCAGCTCCGCCCTCAGGCTTCAGGTTGTCGTTGGCTTGAAAGTGGGGTTTTATCAAGGGCCGGCCCCTATCTGCCCAGTAACATGTCTGCCTCCTGCCATCAACAGGCTGTCCACCGTGCCTAGGATGTTTGTGCTGAGGGGCACCTGCAGGCTCAGGCTGAGCCACCCTTATCCCCCCCCATTAACTTCCTCCCATGCTCATCAGTGCCCAAAGTCTAGAGGGGGCCGAGGAGGCAGGGGTCTGGCATGTCAGTGCCACCCAGAGTATGTACACACCCAGCCAGGTCAACATAGCAACCGTGCTTGGCAACAATTTTTCTTCACACCAGACTGGCTACTGGGAGTGGGGAGAAGCCAGACACTGGGAGCAGGCACTTCCGAGCCTAGGCGGCAGAGGATTACCAGGCCCCCGAGAGCACAGGGATGCCAGGAATCGGAGCCACAACTGGGCAGCTGCAGCTGCACCCAGGAGCATGGAGCACACAACCCTGGCCATGCCCACCCCGCTGCAGCTGGCATCTTCACAGCGGCCACTCCAGATGGGTCACCACTACCATCATATGTGTGCCTCAGCTTGGATCAACAAAAATTGACAGTTCTACTAGCTTCATCTATACCTTTCTCCAGCATTCCCTTTCTTTTCTTTCCTTTCCTTTTCTTTAAAAAAAAATTAGGGTATTTGTTTCTATATGTGTTTCAAAAAGAGGATGTTTTTCTTAAATAACTATAATGCTATTATTGCATCTCAAAAATTAAGAATAATTATTTAATATCTTCTAATACCTTCTCCATAATAAAAGTCCTGATTATTTTAAAAAAATAGTTTACTTGAAATAGAGTTCAAATGAGGTCCAATTATTGTAATAATGTTAATGAATTATCTTTTAATTCTGATGAAGTAATGTTAGAATACTTTTTTTTTTTTCTACTTTTTTCTTCACGAAAATAAAAACTTCGCTAAAGAAAACAGGTTAGATGGCCTGAAGACTATACCTCATTTTGGATTTGGCTGATTGTATCTTGTTGGTGTTGATCAGTTTATCTCTCCTTCCCCCGCACTTTCTATTGACTTCCTGTTCAATGATAGCTCAATGTAGGGTCGATGATAGTCAAGTTCAATATGCATGCGTGCCCGGGGTGAGTGAGCATGTTGTGTGCATGTGTGCTTGTGTAGAAATACTTCCTAGGTGGTGCTGTCACTAATAGCCTCTTAAGTGTCTCTACTCTCTCTGTTTATAAGGCTGGCAGAATTATCTATTTGGAGAACAGATCTTCTAAAATCCTTAACTGTTTATGCTTCAATGATAAAGCCTAAAGTTTTAAGCCAGCAATTCTACACCTTCACAACTTGACCATAAAGTCTGTGCTCCAGCAGTCTATGATCACTGTCTGCCAGCTCCTCATCACTGTCAAACCCATAGTGAGTTTTAAGAACTAACAGAAAGGGTATTTTGAAGGCACTTTGAATGGCATTGGTATACAAAAAGAACTAAAAAAAAAAATAGTAGTTTTCTCTTTTTAATACACTTTTCCATGTTATTCCTTAAACTTAAAATACCTGGCTCTCACACATCTACTGATCTTTTACACAGCCCTAAGGCTATTTCATGTCACTTTCTCTGACATTTTTTTCCCAACTCCACCCTTTCACCACAGCACATAGAATGAATCTCTCTCCAGTTCCATGGATTTTTCTTATGGTAACTCATATTTTATTTTCTCTGGATTTATGATTATTTTCGTAGTTATTTCCCATAAATTTTTAATTTTTTAGGAAAATGTGCTGTCTTACACATTTTAATAGGATTGCATATTCTGGGAACTCAATATAATTTTTGGAAAATAAATGTATAAAGGCATGCATCTTTTAAATTTGGATTCCTTATACAGCACAAAGCAAAGTGAAAACTAAGCTATTATTTTGTGATTCATAAATTAGGCTATTTTCTATTTCAAAGGCAATAGATAAGATATAAGTAAAAGGTAATGCTAGATTAGATCCTAAATATCAGGAGTAGAATGTAATGACAAATGATGCAAATTATTTCCTTAGTATATTTTTAAGAATTGTTAACGTTTGTTCTTCCTTATATGGATGCTTATGAAATGCTCAAGTTTAACAAAATAAAAATTACTATAATACTTATCATTTACATAATTTAACTCTTATAGTTACTAGCAAAAAATTGGTAATTTGGAAACTTTCTGATTTTTACTTTTAAGAATTCTTTCCTTTTTACAATAATAAGCAGTAAATAATAATTACACATATGCGATAAAATATCTTTGATAATGTGCTTTATTGAAACATATATTCTTTGCTATTCAAGTTTTTAAGAGGAAAAGCTTAGATATGAAAATAACTTATCTTTGGTATTATTTCTTTGGCTTCTTTCAATCTATAAAAGCTTTCAGTAGCTATCATAATCCTTTAGTTTTTTAGTGTAAATACTTGTCACTGTATCATCTTAAGTAATAACAACTCTCCATATGTATAATAAAATTGCATTTTATAGTTCATACTTAAAATAATACACGTTAGACTTCACATGAGATAATCGAAAGAAATCAAAATTTCTGTGACCAAAGAAATACTAAGAAACCACTTCTGCTTCATTGCTGACAGCTAAGCATGCTACTCATTTTCAATGCAATCAGCAGTCTATCTTTTTTTTATTTATTTCTACTATGAGACACACTAATTAAATTCCCCTTTGCCCAATTCTTTTCATATACCACATGAATAGCAAGTAAAGTCAATTTGTGAACTTATTGTCCTTGACATACTGTAGAAGTGTTTCCAGCTGGAACTGATTATGTTTAATCTTCAGCGTTACCCAGGTAAAAAATAATCCAAAAGATAACAATAAATAATTGCAGCTCTAACTTATTTAAATTTGTTCTGCTACTGTTTTGGAACAATGCAGATGAATAGCAAAAGATCTTTCACATTGTCCGACGAATGTTTCCACAGCCGTAATTATTTTCTTGCATGAGACCATGTGCCCTCTGCAGCAGGTGACAGATAAATGATTTTAAGATGTGAGAAAACTGAATTGAAGCACTCATTATTCTTTGAGGAAATAGAATCAGGACTAGAATGTGCAAGTCTTATACTCGATCTTCCTGAGAAAGACAATAGTACAGACATTTTAGAAGGTAAGATTTTACATGTATCTTAAAATCATTTGGGCTTTCTTCTATAATATACTCTAAAAAATGTGATACTTGCAGTCTTATTATAGGAATTATTGTCAACAAGAATAAAAGGCTGGTTTATAAACATGACAGAATCTTTGCAAATTATACTTTGGAAAAATGTGACTATATGTATTTATATACTACATAAATATTATTAAAATAATATAAAAATATATATACAAGCTACATTATATATACTATATAGTGTTTATATGCCACATATACTTTGCAATTTATATATATTTTAAATACCTGAGTAACAAAACTACTTTATAAGTGCCAAACTTTGTAAACTGAAGTTCTTATTTTTAAAGGAAAATGAGCTAGACAATGCTACTTACATGATATTTAAACTTTTAGGCAAAAGTACTGAATATCTAAGAAGCCAGTTGCCTTTATTAAGATGGAACAAAGTGTGCTATTGTATGTAAACTCATAAGAACTTGTGAATTTTAAAGACAAAAACCAGATATTTCTTTTAAAGCAAAATCTTTAAATAAAAACGTAGCTCTTACATATACTAAATGATGTACATTTAAAATATACACATTATAATTTAAATAAAACCGCATTGGGCATACAGTGCCTCTTACTGAATATTTGTCATTCCATAAGAAATATATTAATGTCCAAAATGCTGTCTTTCAATCTCTAATTATTGAAGGCCTATAAGATTTAATCTGTAAATAATTTATTTTTTAATAATAAAGTTATATTAATTTTGTTTTTTTAAAGATCAAATGGTGCATGGTATATTAAAACATTTTAATTATAATCTGTACTTTATTATATAAAATTCCTCTTAAAAAAAGACTAATCAAATCTGTTTTGTTCTATTTGAAACTAATTTTTTTCATAGAAAACTGCATACAATATAAAAGAGGATGCAATACTTTGTGAGAAAATAGTTAATGCCAAAAATAGTTTAGTGTTTTATCAAATACAAAAAAAAGACATAAACATTACAGTGTCAAATGAAAAATTAATCAAATTATTCATATCAAGGATTTAATATACTAACACTACGATGGTTCTGTAAAAATTTAAAAAGCTTCTGCACAGCAAAAGAAATAATCAACAGAGAAAACAGACAACCTACAAATATTTGCAAGCTAATTATCCTATCAAAGGCTAATACCCAGAATCTACAAGGAACTCAAACAACTCATGAAGAAGAAAACAAATAGCCCCATTAAAAAGTGGGAAAGGATACGAACAGACTTTTTTTTTAAAGAAGACTTAGAAGCCAACAAACATGAAAAAATGCAAGTTAAAACTACAATGAGATACAATCTTACACCAGCCAATATGACTATTATGAAAAAGTCAGAAAAAACAGTAGATGTTGGTGATAATGCAGAGAAAAGGGAAAGTTTATACACTGTTGATAGGAATGTAACTTAGTACATCCTCTATAAAAAACAGCATGGAGATTTCTCAAAGAACTAATTACTAGTAAAAGAATTACTAGCAATCTCACTGCTGTGTATATACTCAAAGGGAAATGAATCATTATAGAAGAAAAACCGGAGGCATATATTTATTGCAGCATTATTCACCATAGCAAAGTTATGGAATCAGCCTAAGTGATCAACAAATAATTAGATAAAGAAAGTATGGTGTGTGTGTGTGTGTGTGTGTGTGTGTGTGTGTTTGTGTGTGCGTGTTGTGTGTGTTTATCTATCATCTATCTGTCTCTGCCTTTCCTTTTATATATATTTGTAATATACATTTATTTATTTATTTATTTCTACACACCATGGAATACTACTCAGATATAAAAAAGAATAAAATCATGTATTTCACAATGGAATGGAAGGCTGTTATCTTAAGTGAAATAACTCAGAATCAGAGCGAAATACCACATGGTCTCACTTACAAGTGGGATCTAAACAAACAGTACACATGGATGTAGGGGATTTGAGGGGACAAGGGGAAAGTACACATTGTAGCCTACAATAGGTGGCAGGGTGGGAGGTGGGTGACGGTTGAAAAATTACCTATTGGGTACGATGTTTACTATTTGAGTGACAGGTATACTAAAAGCCCAGACTTCACTACACAATATATCAATGTTATAAAATTTCACTTGTATCCTCTTAGTCTATTTTAAAAATTTAAAATGATAAATAAAAAATAAAATAAACAAAATTCCTATGTGGACCAAAGTTAATATGTGACTTCAAATTCATCTCTGTAGAAAATCTCATTTTGTGTTTTGTTCTCTAATCTTTCTCGTTAAGTTTCTCAGTATTTAATGCTTACTTGTAGAATTACAAACTGCAATACTTTGCATTTCCATTTTACTTTGACATGCATAATCTCATTGGTTCTTTACAAATTTGTGAAGGAGACAGATAAGGTACTGCTACACTAATTAATTAATAAATGTTGTACAAGAGAGATTAAGTGGCTTGCTGCATGTCATACAGCAATGATGTTGCATAGCTGAATGCATAAACAATTTTCTCCAAGCCTGCAGCCAATCTGATTGTGGATTTCTTCCCCTTGGCACTTCTTACAAGAAATCGATTTAAAAAAAAAAACTCATTAAAATAGACTACTGATAATCCTAATCCTACAAAATAAAAGATTGGTAATAATTCAGAATAAAAGTTCAAAATGAAACATGAGTTATGTGTAGGAGGAAATAGGGTTACCACATGCCCTAGTCTTTTTATATACCTGCCAATGGACATGATAAATTGACATTTGATGGTTAAATGTAACTTTACGTGTATAAGCATCTCGGGGATTTTTGGCACATCTTGAAAGTATTTTTCCTGGAGTTTATTTTCCTAAATTAGTCAGTAAGATTGAAGCAATGCAATTTAACATAATAAATTATTTTTATTTTTCAACTACTATCAAGTGTTACTTTCACTTGGACCCAAAGCCTTGGCCTGGACTTTGCCATTATCTCTGTTCTAAACCTTGAAATAACTTTTGTTAATATCCCAGGCTCAAATAAAGCTTCCCCTTCCCTTGCTGCAAGTATAACTAGGTTTAGGTCTCACTGTCTTTTGACCCTGGAATTTCCATCCAATTTTTCTGTGTCTCCTGTGTTTAAATCCGTCCCTCTTCAATGTGGAAGTCAGAATTCCCTCACTTTCATCATTTTCTTCTTAGAAATTTGAAACTCTCTGCCCTGTTTTCTGTATAACTCCACCAGTCCTTCATCTGTCAATAAATTTCTGATTCTACAACTGAGTTTCTAAGCATTAACGAAGAAAATCAGTTGGCTGTGTAGGTTGGTGATAATATAACATACCTTATCTTTATCCTCAATAATGCCAGTACATTATTCTGTTTCCATTATCTGTTCCTTCTCCAATTCTTTCCTGCAGTAATTTCAAATTTTACCAATGTCTTCAACTTGCCTTTCTTCTTTTCTGAGAAAACTAACTTCTATTTCGCATAAAAAACAGACATCAAGGTAATAATACCTTTTTTGTCTTATCTGTCCCTGCCCTACCTAAACAGGTATTTGTATCCACTATTTTTACATTTTTTCCTTCAATACCATTGGGAAAATGTTTCTTCTCTTACCCAAGTCACAGGTGGAATATGTAGCTACTTGTGGCCTGAATGCGTTTTGCTTCTTCATCTTTCTCGATCTTTCCTTTATTTTGAAATCCTACTCTCCTTTTCCATTTGCCCAACAGCTGTATGTGACCAAGACTCTTCTTCTATAGTCAATCAAGTTAAAACGTTCACCTCCATAAGTCTATACTCAGTGCTTTAGTGGTATTACATTTCTATTTATACTTTAACATTTTTACTATAAATGCTTAATATATAGCAAGAAGTCCATAAAAAAATTAACACACATTGACAATTTACCTAGCTTAGGATATGGAAAATCACCCAGAAATATGGAGCATCCTGTATGGTACTACAATATCACATTATTTTATATTTCCCAAGAAATAAAAACCATCTTGTACTTTATATGCTTTTTATGGATTTTACCATATATATATATATATATATACACACACACACACACACACACATATACATATATATATATATATCTGTTGTATTTTACATAAATTATTCTATATAATGTGCATTGTTACATGATTTGATTTTTTTCAAATTGTTACTTTGAGATCTTTCCCTATTGATATGTGTTGCTTTATTTCTTTTCACAATTGTATAATATTCATTTTATGAAAATGCCCTAAGGTGCAGTGGCTCATACCTGTAATCTCAGCACTTTGGGAGGCCGAGGCAGGTAGATCACCTGAGGTCAGGAGTTTGAGACCAGCCTTACTGACACTGTGAAACCCCGTCTCTTCTAAAATACAAAAAATTAGCCAGGCGTGGTGGCAGATGCCTATAATCCCAGCTACTCAGGAGGCTGAGGCAGGAGAATCACTTGAACCTGGGAGGTAGAGGTTGCAGTGAGTCTAGATCGCACGATTGCACTCCAGCCTGGGCAACAAGAGCGAAACTCCGTCACACACACACACACACACACACACACACACACACACACACACACACAGAAAGAAAGAAAAGAAAATGCCCTAAGGTGTTTTATCTGTTCAACTGCTGCTTTTGAGAATGTGGCCTGTTTCTAAATTGTTGTCATAATAAACAATGAAGATATATATTAATGCCCATGTATCCTGGTAACATTTTTAAGGCTTATATTATCTCTTTTTGTAGTAAATTTTAGTGGATATAATTTTAATTTTAATATGTTTGAAGTTATTACCGTTATAATGCATATTTTGGCTTTTGTTCTACTTAGAGAATTCTTCTCTGCTGAAAGTTGATAGAAATATTTTCCCATATTTTCTGCTAAAAGTTTTAAAATTTTTTAAGTGTTGAATTTTACATGTAAGCCCTTCATACAACAGCAATTGTTTTGATAAATGCTGTAGATAGAATTTAAAATGTATTTATTAAAAAATAGATTGCATACTGATCTAAAATGCTAGTTCTATTAAATGTCAGATTCTCAATTAAGGTCTTGGATACACTAGGTTATTTATTGGAAGTTTTTCTGCTTTTTTTTTGATGTTGGCACTTATAGTTTTAAACTTCATTCTGAGTATTGATTTCATGGTATCCCATAGGTTTCGGTATGTTTTGTTTCCATTATCATTTGCTTCAATAAATTTTTAATTTTTCCTTTTTTTTAGTTTTTGAGATGGGCTCTCTCTGTGTCATCCAGGCTGGAGTGTGCAGTGGCACAATTATAGCTCCCTGCAGCCTTGACCTCCTAGGCTCAAGCAATCCTCCTACCCCAGCCTCTCAAGTAGCTGGGACTACAGACATGTGACACCATGCCTCTCTATTTTTGAGTTTTTTTTTGTATAGACAGGGTCTCCCTATGTTGCCTAGGCTGGTCTGAAACTCTTGAGCTCAAGCAATCTACCTGCCTCGGACTCCCAAAGTGTTAGGATTACAGATGTTAACCACCTCACCCAGGCCCCATTTTCCTCCTAATTTACTTATTGACCCACTGGTCATTCAGGAGCATATTGTTTAACTTCCATGTGTTTGTATAGTTTTCAAAATTCCTCTTCTATTGATTTCTAGTTTTAGTTCTTTGTGGTCATAGGAGATAATTACTGTGATTTCAATTTTTTTTGAATTTTTAAAAGATTTGTTTTTGACATAACAAATGGTCTATCCTTGAGAATAATAAATGTGCTGAGGAGAATACTGTGTGTTCTTCAGCCCTTGGATAAAATGTTCTGTAAATATTAATTAGGCCCATTTGGTATTTAGTGCAGATTAAGTTCAATGTTTCTTTGTTGATTTTATTTCTGGATGAACTGTCAGTGCTGAAAGTGGGGTGTTGAAGATTTCAGCTATTATTGTATACTTTAAGTATTGATACCTCTCTCTAGGTTTGGGAAGTTCTGTGTTATTATTTCTTTGAATAAACTTTCTACATCTCTCTCTCTACTTTCTGTTTAAGGCTAAGAAGTTTTAGATTTACCCTTTTGAGGCTATTTTCTAGATACTGTAGGTGTGCTTCATTTTTTTTTCTTTTTTCTTTTGTTTTCTCTGACTGTGCACTTTTAAATAGCCTGTCTTCAAGCTCACTAATTCTTTCTTCTGCTTGATCAATTCTGGTATTATGAGACTCTGATGCATTATTCAATATGTCAGTTGCATTTTTCAACTCCAGAATTTCTGCTTGATTATTTTAATTATTTTAATGTCTTTGTTAAATTTATCTCATAGAATTCTGAATTCCTTCTCTATGTTATCTTGAATTTTGTTGACTTTCCTCAATACAGCTATTTTGAATTCCCTGTCTGAAAAGTCACAAGTTTCTGTCACTCTGAGATTGGACTCTGGTGCCTTATTTAGTTTGTTTTGTGAGGTCATGTTGTCCTAGATGGTTTTGTTACTTGTAGATGTTTGTTGGTGTATTAGTCAGTTCTCACACTGCTAATAAAGACACCCGCAAGACTGGTTGATTTATTAAAAAAAAAAAATAAGAGGTTTAATTGATTCACAGTTCAGCATGGGTGGGGAAGCCTCAGGAAACTTACGCTCATGGCAGAAGGGAAAGCAAACATGTCTTTCCTCACATGTTGTCAGGTAGAAGAAGAATAAGAGCCAAGTGAAGGGGGAAGAACCTTATAAAACCCTCAGATCTTCTGAGAACTTACTATCACGAGAATAGCATGGGGGAAACTGCTCCCATGATTCAATTACCTCCCACCAGGTATCACCCACAACACAGGAGATTATGGGAACTATAAATAAAGATGAGATTTGGGTGGGGATGCAGTCAAACCTTATCAGTTGGTGTCTGGACTTTGAAGAGTTAAGTATTTATTGTAGTCTTAACAATCCAGCTTTGTTTGTACCTGTCCTTCCTGGGAAGGCTTTCCAGGTATTCAAAGGGACTTGGGTCTTATGATTTAGCCTTTTAATCACTGCAGTTCTGTCTTAATTAGGGGGCACTCCAATCCAAGTAACACTGTAGCTCTTGCAGACTTGCAGAGGTAGTACCTTGATGGTCCTGAATAAGATATAGAAGAATTCTCTGGATTACTAGGCAGAGACACTTGTTCTCTTCCCTTGCTTTATCCCAAACAAATGAAATCTCTCTATCTGTGCTGAGCTGCCTGGAATTGGAGAAGGGGTACACAAGGATCATTATGGCCACCACCACTTGGACTGTGCTCTGTCTGATCTGAAGCCAGCACAGCACTCTGTCTGCCTAAAGCCTAGTAGCCTACTACAACCACTAGCTGGCTACCACCTATGTTCATTAAAGGTTGTAGGTTGCCACATCAGCAGGTAGCAAAGTAAGCCAGACTTGGTTCTTCCATTCAGGGTGGTGAGTTCTCCCAGGCCCCAAGCAAGTCCAGAGGTGCCATCTGGGAGCGAGGGACTAGAGTCAAATACCTTAGAAGTCTATCCAGTGTTCTGTTGTACTGCAGCTGAGCTGGCATCAAAACCACAAAAAGCAGAATGTCCTACTCTTCCCTCCCCTTTCCAAAGAAAGAGGAGCCTCACCCGTGGCCACCACCACCACAGGCCCATGTGGAGTTCTACCAGGCTGCTACCAAAGAGAGCCTCAGGTCTCTTCAGTCAGATTGTGGTGAGTGGTGCCTGGTGTGGCACTCACTTTCCAGGGCAGTAGGCTTCCCTCTGGCCCCAGGCAGGTCCAGAAATATCATCCAAGAGCCAAGGCCTAGAGTTGGGGACTGCAAGAGCCTGTTTGGTGCTCTACCCTCTTGTTGGCAAGCTTGTATCCAAAGTGCAATACAAAGTCCTCTCTACCTTTCCCTCCATTTTTCTCAAGAAAAAAGAGCCTTTCCCTGTAGCCACCAAAGCTGGGGATGTGCTGAGTCTCACCTTAAAGCAGAGAGTCTCAGAGACTCACTCAAATCCCTCAATGTAGTACCTGTGTATTGCTGCTGGTTATTCAGGACCTAAGGGTTCTTCAGTTAGCAGCTGATGAATTCTTCCAGGACTGGGTCCTTCCGCTCAGGGCAGCTGGTTTTCCTTCTGGCCCTGGGTGTGTCTAGAAATGTCATCCAGGATCTAGGTCCTGGAAAGGGAAACTCACGACTCTGACTGGTGCCCTATCCTGCTGTGGCTGAGCTGGTAACCAAGATGCAAGAAATAGTCCTCCCCACTCTTCCCTCTCTTCTCTTCAAGTGGAAGAGAAGAATCTGCTTTGGAGCCATGAACTATGTAGTCTGCAGCTAAGGGAGCTGCAGTGTCAGCGCTCCTTTACCTGCACCAGCTGGTGTCTCAGTAGGTTGTGTTCCCCTCAGTCCACTGGCTCTGAGCCCAGTTCAGTACTAGAACTTTCCTAGGATTTGCAGTCCTTGTGGCCAAGATTCCTTTCCAAGTTTATTTAAGGCGCGATAGCACTTTAGTCTACAGTGGCAAGGCTTGTGGGAACTCAATTTCCAACCACTGGGCCAGGCAATTCCCCTCTGGCTAGGGCTGATTTAAATGCTCCCTCCACGGGTAGGTGTCAGCTGAGTTCATTCTGATTTTGTTTTCTGCTGTAACGGGGCATCTTGGGGCTCTACCCTGCTGTGGACGACCTGATAACTAAGCTGATTTTTGGTTCTTATGAAGGTGCTTTGTGTGTGTGTGTGTGTGTGTGTGTGTGTGTGTGTGTGTGCGTGCGTGTACATAGTTGTTACATTTGATGTTCTTGTGGGGAGGATGATCAGTGGAGGCTTCCCTTTGGCCATCTTGCTCTGCCTCCTCCTCTGAAGAGAAGTGCTTACATCTAACATGCGGGTAATTTGTCAAAACTCAGATACAAGGAGGATAGGTAAAAGTAAATTTAAAAAAATAAAATTCAAGTGGATATTAATACATTAAATAATTCAAAGAATACATTCAATATAGCAATCTATATTCAATATAGCAATCTATATAAACATTGAATACCATTAGTTTTTTTTGTTTTGATGATATGGTGTCAAAATGATCTCAGTAATTATTATTTGGGATTATAAAAGATTTCAAATACGATTGAATACTTGTACATTATTTCTATTTTCAAGGAACTTGTACCTATTTTCAAGCTGCTTGTACACATTAACTGAATGGTTCAAAGGAAGGATGATTAATATTTTTAATATCGCTATACATAATTTTTAGTTCTTTTCTGAAGTAAATTTTTTGAAGTAAAATTATGTTTTCACTAATGAGATCTAGGGCTATTTTTCTTTAATGTAATATTTTTCTCCATTTATTTAATAGTCTTTATTCTTTCTGAAATTTTCACTTTGTCTTAAACAGTTTTACCTGTAACTCATTAGAATAAGTTTACTTACATCTCTGAAGGGACATATTAATATGATTTTTATGTAAGTTTCAATATTCTCATGAATTTACTTGACCTTGTATTTAAATTTATTGAAAAAATAAAGATAAAGATAACTACAAAGCTAGTAAAGAAGCGAAGAGCAAAATTTCTCCATTTCTTATGTGATTGCAGCTGTTGCTAGCTACTGAATTACTTGCCTTCAACATAAGACTTGGCCTTCAGATTGACCTAAGGCTTCAATGTTATGTATGTATACTATAGGATATCTTTTTGTTTATTTGTTTACCAATGCAGATGGAATTCCTGTAAGATAATACACACCTGAAGAATACATACTGATAAATTTCAATTTGCATAGGCCCAACAGTAAGAAAAGCTGTGCATATATGGATTCCTCCAAAATATTTTATTTGCCATACAAGCCTATTAATATCTTTTATCTACCATTGTGTGAAATAAGTTTTCACCCTGACACACGCCTTTGATTACTATAACTTTGAAGCATCTTCAGCTTTGCCCTCTTTACTGAAATTCTTTCAACTTAAATAAATCTTATCCTGGTAAAATTGTAAAACTACCAGTTTATTCACTTCTTTATTTTATTTGCGTGATACACTATTCTTTTATGATGTAAAACCCTTGGCTCAATATATCTTTTATCATTTGTTTTTAATTACAAACATTAAGTTTTCAGTGACTTGAAAAATAATGTATTCAGAAATCAGTTAAGTTTTGTTACTTTATTGCATGCTATACATGTATTCTGAAGTCACAGGCGTACTGACAACGGCTAATATAAAATAAGAAGAATATTGAAGCAAAAAATTAGTTAATAAGTTTAGAATAGAAATTGGAAATAAATCAGAACAATCATATTAGATTATCTTTGAAGATTACTGTGATACAATGTAATGACATACAAGATGTGCAAAGCACATCTCAAAGGAACACCATTCACAAAGATCACAATAAGAATTTGTTCCCCTGGAGTTTTATGGTGTTGTACCTTTGAAAGCATTTTTATGAGAAGTTTATACAAAGAAAAATTCAAAGAAGACAAGGAAAAAGGTAAATATGTAAAAAAAATGCTTTTCATAAAATCGTATTTGTAAATATGCATGTTTACATTTTTAAAAATCATTGATTGTTATGGGATAATTGCACATGTAGATGTGAAATATATGAGAACAAAAACAGAACAAGTAGGAAAGGGGTAAATGGTATTAAACTACTATAAGATTTTTACATTGTTCAGGATATAGAATATTATTATTTGAGGAATACATTAATGGCAAAGAAACTTGCTCTATTGTCTAGAAAGAAAACAGGCAAATATACCTAAGAAGTCAATATATAAGATAAAGTAAAACACTAAAAAAAAAATACATGCTAGATTCACTTAAAAGAAGGCTAAAACTGAGGAACGGAGAATCATAGATCGATAGGTCATGATAAAAATAGTAGACTGTTACCCAATAATATTAATAATCGACTTAAATGTAAATGGATGGAATATTCTAATAAAAAGTTAAAAACGGATGCTGAATAAAAATAACAATATTGAATTGTGCTTTTAAAAAAATACTCATTGGAAACAGAGCAACTGGAAGTAAAATGTGGAATAATGGGTATTATGCAAACACATTAAGCATTAGAAGCTTACGTAGATATATTAATGTTAGAAGCTTATGTAGATTGTGCCATATGAAGTTTGTCCACAAACAACTCCTGATTTAGGCATTCGAGGATGCATTTCCATAAACAAAGCATCTATAAAAAGGGCAAAATCCATTTTGTGCCTAATCAAAATGTTCTGCTGCTTCTAGAAATCCCTCAGTTTCCTTGGAGAAGGTGGAAGTGTGGTCGCCAGATTTGGATTGTGTTTTGTCTCTTGTAAACCCACTGAAAGGTATCCTATGTGTACTATTTTAACCTGCTTTCTTTTTACAATATTTAGCTTGACCCGTCTTAGCACAGGTGAATCTCCTCTGTTTCACATCTTGCAGCCTTTATCCAATGTTGCAAGATTTCAAGAAGCAACTGTATCATATTCAAATATTTTGCAGTTATTTAATCATTTTTACAATTTTCATGTTATAAAACTTCTGATATAACAGCATAGACCTCTATGGCTTCTCTATTTCATCTCCCCAATAAAGATTTTGAGAACATATACAATGGATAGAGATGATACAGACTATAAATATTAAAATGGTTAGTAAGGAGTGGTGTAGGGAAATAAATTCTGGATTCTTGTTCTCACTTCAGCCAGGTATTATTTATAATCAAACTTTAATCACTTCTAAAAGGGAGAAATAACTGGTTATATACCACCTCCTATTTGTTGTAAGAATAAAATAAGGCAACAATGTTTAGGAAAGTTTCTTCAAAAACTTCAAAACATTTTTGCCGGGCGCGGTGGCTTACTCCTTTAATCCCAGCACTTTGGGAGGCTGAGGCAGGCAGATTACGAGGTCAGTTGATCAAGACCATCCTGGCTAACACAGTGAAAATCCGTCTCTACTAAAAAATACAAAAAATTAGCTGAGCGTGGTGGCGGGCGCCTATAGTCCCAGCTACTCAGGAGGCTGAGGCAGGAGAATGGCGTGAACCCAGGAGCCAGAGCTTGCTGTGAGCCGAGATCGTGCCAATGCACTCCAGCTTGGGTGACAGAGTGAAAACTGGACCTTAGTATCACTAGATGAACTCAGTATTTCAATTGAGTTATGTGGTTTTGATTAACAGTAAAGGTATCTCAATGACTTAAATCCCAATATTTCCCTATAAGTAACAATGAAAATATCAGACATGTTATAGATTTCATTTGTTTCAAATATTGGTTAACACACATATAAATCTTTTTAGGATATTATGCATATGTCTTTCTTCAAGGTTTCACTTAATTAAATATAAGAACTCAATTCCTGGATGTAATTGAACTTTTGGAATCTTGGGCATAGGAAAAAAATGTGTTATCCTTAAAGAATGTGAATTTATTAGACATTCTGAAAGGATTCAATTTATCTTTATCTTCAATTTGTTATTATCCTTGTATAATAATATTTTATTAGAATATTGAAACTCAGGGCATATGTCTTGAGGTTGAGCACCTAATAATTAGTGAAAATGTGTACTTCTGTGTACCAGTGGAATTAACATGAATAACGGATGAATAAATAACTTATTTCAGTCTACAGTGGATATGTTAGCCTTTGGTGTTTATATTCACATTAGCATCCTAAGAACTGGAACTAGAATTCAATCTCCATCCCAGGAGCTAACAAGTGAAATTATCCTGTAGTCATTGCTCAAAGTAATGTTCTAGAGTGGATCTTCTAAGTCATATTAATATTCCACAAATGCATATATAGAAATATCACTCCTTTTCTGTCTTCATTATCTCTATATTCAATCCTCTGGTCTAATATTGGCAAATGTGGAAAAAAAAACCTCAGAAAATCAGGAAAGAAGCATTCAGAAATTGCAGTATCCACCATTAACATACTTAGGACTATCGAATAGGTCAGTTATAAATAGTTCACCACAATGACAAAAATTCTAAAGACCAGTATATTTATTTCTTTAGAAAAGGTCAGCATACTCATACCTTTACTTTTCCCAAACACCCAAGGAAAAAAAATGTGACACTTTCTCATACTTTCCTATTAATATTTTTTACCAAGATTTTATTTTTCCTGACATTTTTTCTCATGCTTCCCTATTAAAAATTTTTTTTACCAATATCTTATTTTTCTTATGTCCATTTCTTTTTAGATTTCAGGCCTTTTAATCTCAATTACTAGCTATAGTCAGAAAGGTAACCCTTCTTCCAAGAGTCTTTGAATTTTAATAGAGATCAGAACCCAGCGATAAAAAAAAAACCAAAAAATTTTAGAGCCTAGAGATAAAATGATTAATCTCAAGAACCTCCCTTGGACCTATCTGAATTAACACTAAGTATATAACTACTCTGCCTGTGCATAAACTGACACAGGATATTAAATTTTAATGATATTCTCGGTTTGTTATATTGGCATTAAGAAAAAAAAATTGTAACAATATTGATGCAATATTTTTCTTGGCCCCTTCGCTGGACTCGTGACAGAGGTGTCCTGTTTATTTGGTCTGCCACGCTCAACTCCTAGTGGGAGGGAGCACATGAGCAAGCAAGTGCAGGATCCAGTCAGTTGCTCTGGGCACCAGCAGGAGCAAGCTCCATGCAGGACCTGTGGCGGCACCCAGGTGGGGGTGCCTGGGACCCTGAAACCCCAGAAGGGATGTTATGATGCTCTCCTAGTTTCACTGTTCCTGGTCAATGGTGTGTTACCAACTCAGTTGGCCCCTTGCCTAATTATGCAAGGTGGTTGCCCTCCACCAGCACAGGCAAAGGGGTGGGTCCCCAGTCTTTGTCCACCGTCCAAGAAGAATGAGGTTGTATGAACAATTGAAGGATGGTGAAGGTGGAGAATTTTGTTAAGCAAGGAAAACAGCTCTCAGCATAGAGGAGAGCTGGAGAACTGACAGGAAGTGCTGGCCATCTTCCTCTAAAGTCAGGCCTGTCTTCCATAGTCCTGCTGTCTCTTCTTCAAAGTCTGGCCATTTCTTCCTTGAAGTCTGGTTGTCTCCTTGGAGTCCGGCCAACTCCCCTCTACCAACTGAGTCTGGGGTCTTTGTAGGCACAAGATGGGGACTGCGTGCTGATTGGTTTGTGAGTATGCAAAATATGTTAAAGCAAAGACACCACTCCAAGGTGGGCATGACAGTGTAGAAAACCAAATTGGAAAGGGTAAGTATATGTAAAATAGGTGAAGGGTGGGATCAATCAGAGGAAAGCATGCCAAACAAGAAGAAAAGTTCTCAATCCAGTCTGAGGATTTAACCTGTAGCTTGGCTTTCAGGCTTTAAACTGTCTTCAGCTTGGAAGTGGGGTTTCACTAGGTACCTGCCCCTACCTGCCTTGGCATTTGGCTGGCTCCTGCTGCTATCAATATGTTATTTTATTAGTATGAATTAGTTTTATAAAACATAATAGATTTTGTCTTTTATGTAGGTGTCACTGAGAAACTCCAGGTTTATTTTGGAGATTCTACAAATAATGAATGTGCAAATAGACTTTTTCAATCCTTTATATGTTATCTAAATATAGATTAGATTTTATGTCTACATGATGAATTAGAAAGATGAAAAAATATATGTCATTGATGTTGGTTATGCTTTGTAAAATCTATGGCGGAGTTACTTTAAGTAGATTAGAACATTCACTTAAGATTCTAAGCTACAGCAACCAAAACAGCATGGGACTGGTACAAAGACAGACATACAGACAAAGGAACAGAATAAGGAATCCAAAAATAAAGTTGCACACCTACAACCATCTGATCTTCAACAAAGTCAACAAAAATAAGCAATGGAGAAAAGACTCCCTTTTCAATAAATGATGCTGGAATAGCTGGTTAACCATATGCAGAAGAATGAAACTGGATCTCTACTTTCGACCATATATGAAAATTAACTCAGAAAGGGTTAAAGATTTAAATGTAAAACCTGAAACTATAAGGCTCTTAGAAGAAAACCTAGGAAACACCATTCTGAACATTGACCTTGTGAAAGAAGTTATAACTGAGTCCTCAAAAGCAATTGCAATAAAAACAAAAATTGACAAGTGAGACTTGATTAAACTGAAGAGCTCCTGCAGAGCAAAAGAAATTATCAACAGAGTAAACAGACAAACTGTTTCTCACAGGAGAGAAAATATATATGTGCAAACTATGCATCTGATAAGGGTCTCATATCCAGAATCTATAAGGAAATTAAATAATTGAAAAAGGAAAAACAAATAAACCCTATCAAAAACTGGGCAAAATCATGAACAGATACTTCTCAAAAGAAGACACACAAGCAGCCAACAAACATATACAAAAAGGCTCCACATCACTAATCATCAGAGAAATGCAAAAAAACCACAATGAGATATCATCTCATACCAGTCAGAATGGTTAAATGGCTATTATTAAAAAGTCAAAAGCAGCAAATGCTGGCAAAGATGTTGAGAAAAGGGAATGCTTATTCACTGTTGGTAAATGCAAATTAGTTCAGCCACTGTGAAAAGCAGTTTCGAGATGTCTCAAATAACTCAGGACTGCCATTCAACCCAGCAATCCCATCATGGGTATAGATCCCAAAGAAAACAAGTCTTTCTACCAAAAAAAGTCACATGCACTTGCATGTTCATTGGAGCACTATGCACAATAGCAAAGACATGGAATCAACCCAGGTGCCCATCAATGGTATATTGAATAAAGAAAATGTGGTGCATATATGCCATAGAACGTTACAAAGCCATCAAAAAGAAAATTATGTCCTTTCAGCAACATGAATGCAACTGGAGGCCATTATTCTAAGTGAATTAATGCAAAAACAGGAAACCAATACCACATATTCTCACTTATAAGTTGGAGCTTAACATTGAGTACACATGGACATAAAGATGGCAACAATAGAAACTGGGGACCACTGGAGTGGAGAAGGAAGGATAGGGACAGGGCTGAAAAACTTACTATTGTGTACTATTTAGTATTGAGATCGCTTGTTCCCCAAACCTCAGCATCATGGACTATATCTAGGTAACAAATTTCAACATATATCCCCTCAAGGGAAAATAAAATTAAAAAAAATTCTTAATGATAGTTTTCAGCTTGCAAGATACACATTGCTATTTCTAGCCACTTAATCTACTATTCCTGTATTAAATCATCCAATCATCTTGACTTCTGCCTACATTCTCCTGCCATATGTAAAACTGTTACTTCAATATTTATACAAACCTTTAGAATTCTTTAAAATCCTATAAAACTTCTTAAAGAAGATCCCAATGATATAAATTTTAAAATTTTGTAAACGATCTTCCAAGTCATGTTATTACATTTAAAAAAAGATAACTTGAGGGCTTATTTAGGCTTAGTCACTTTATAATTGAGAATTTAGAAACATAGCTGCGTCTACATTTGTAAGGAGCAATAGAAAGAATTCCTTAATTTGACTTGATTACTCCCATACATACAACTCTACGTACCCAACACAAAGGAAAGTGAAATACAGTTATAATTTAACTTAAATTAGTGAATATAATTGATGTTTAAAAATTTGTGCTCCAAAGTGTAGCATTTATATATTCCATAAATTACAAACATAAACATGTATTTGTTTTGGTTTCTCAATTATTCAGATTTGATTCCTATACTAATCCTGATAAGCAAATATCTGCCTTGCTGAATGTAGGTGCAAAAAATAAACATTTGTAACTAAATTGTAGGGTTTAAAGCTTTTGGGGGGAGGAAAATTAAATTAGCTTATTGATAGACTTTTATAAATTACAAAATAGTCAATAGCTATTTCATACTCCAATCTCAGAATACTTTCAAGTAAAGGAAGATAGAGTGTAGAAAAAAGGTGAGCAACAGGAAGAGATTTGAGGTGGTCTGATAGGTGACTGGCAAAATGGAAAGGTTTTGGCCATTTAATTGTTGAAGAGTGTGATGAACATAAAGTAAAATAGCAAAATTGAAAGAATAATGAACTTCTGAAAATACTATTTCAAGTTTTTTACTGTGTTTAACCTATTCTTCAAAAGTTTTTATTCTCTTCCTCTTTTTCTTCTCCAGTTAACAAACAATATTTCTATTTATGGAAAATCTAGAATTTTCTTTGACTACTATTTTTCTGTCTCTTGAATATTCATGAAAATGTTTTCATTTTTCAGTTAAAAGTAGCTCAGGTATATAAACTGCAAATTTCACAGTGCTCTTTAACTATATCTCTTAATTATATTGTCTTCGGTATGTATAAATATCTATTAGTTGTATTTTGGGGACAGAGATCATGCTGTTCTTCCAGTTACAGCTATGATAATCTATCACATTCATTTTTCTTAATAAAAAATAAAAATTTTTAGGGTTTAGTCTAATTTATCCAAGCATTTCAGATTGCAGAAAGATACTAAAATATGACCCTTTTTATTCTATGACTTTCCATTTTTCTAATACTATCCTACCTGTATTAGAAATCTCATAATTTTATCACTTATATGCATTCGCTATCACATATTGGTTGGATTAGCTATTTCCACTGGAGCCCTAGTTCATTGTCTTATGCTTTTGATCTCCTAAAATATAGTTCTGCAAGTATGTGAAAAAAGTAATATGAATATCTTGTTACAACGCCTTCCTATTTTAATATATTTTTCTGAAAGAGTAAGGCATGCCTAAAAGAAATGAAGATACACATTTTGCAGCATAGGAAGTAGCACAAAATGGTGAATAACTCATTAAAATATTTATTGCAAACTTTATGCCTAAAACATTGCTAGGGCTTACACAATATATATTGTGATACTAAATTAGGTCAAAGTCCCACATGTATTAAAGTATTATTATAATTATTTTAAGGAATAGAAATTGAGTCTTATAGACTTGCAGTAACTTAAAAAAATAGCTATTTTCCAGGTAAATATTAATGTCTGTTATAGATTAAATATACATAGGTTGAAGTGGTTACAGTAGCTGATCAAGAATGTTAAACAATTTTATTTTAAAAACATATATATATAAACCAGCACGCCTGAATATGTATAGACTGTATTTATTCTAACACTGTTTAAAGCATCATTTGAAAGGGCAGTCTTGCTCTTTTAAATTTCTCAACCAATTAATCATAGTACATATTTAAAAAATATGAGTTTTATGGAGGTGAAGTGGTACATAATATTCTTCATGAAGCTTTTAATTTTATTATTCCTTAAGATTATCAACATTGTTTAATTCACAATGAGACTTTTGAAAGTATCAGTCAGAAAAGGAAACTTTTATTCACATTTAAACTTAATATGATTTCTCTCTTTTTTTTCTCTAAATCTTTTTCTGTAGCCATTTTTGGTGAGTTTTTAATGTAGACAATTGTACTTAGCTCTGATGAAATGTCATTCTCTGTCTACCTAGAAATAAGATGGTTCTTGACATTGAGTTTTGTCATTGATTAAATTGTCATAGTCTATTTGAAACCTAAATGCTGCCGTTGGTCATTGTTCTTTTTCTTCTTTAGAAAGTGACCTTTGTGAATAATTGTATGCCCCAGATGTGTCAGAATGAAAAGAAAGCAGCATTCCTAACTATGAACATCTTATAAACTATTTGTCTCCACTGTCTTAAACAGCTTTACAGAAATGAAATATTTCAAAATTCTACTGCAGAGTCAAAGAGTTTTTAACAATCTTAGTTATGAAATGAATTTAGTGCAGAATTATATCATGTATTAAACTTTTTAATTTTACCAACATAACCTTGTTAAAAATATTATACTACACCCCGAAGAAAAATTATAAAACATTGGTGCTTTAAATATATGTAAAATAAGATATTCTAAAAAGTATGGCATTTTAAAATGTGTTTATTATATCTTGTTTTGAACTCATCAGGAAATTTTAAACATTTACTGATGTCAAAGGAGGAATAAATATTGTCTTCAGGTGCTTTGGAAAAGATCTATATCACTTTTGAGTTAGAGTAATGCTTATATTAATGCAGGTAAAGATCATTGCAAATGAGGTATACATACTCATTAAATATATCAATTTTTAACTAAGTTTATTTTACTACCTACATTTAGAAGTATATATCACTTTCCAACCTTAATCTTTGAAGCTATTTTAAATTTTATGTTCTTAATGAGCTTGATAAAGAATATAAAAAGTATGCATAAACAAGGTATACATAGTCAAGCAATAGTATGCGTGATACAAGATATAAGGGACTATGAAATCCAAAGAAGATGCAATACAACATGAAGTAGAAGGAGAAGTAATGGAAATATTAGAGTTTATTTCTAAATAATGTATCTCATATAGGTTTAATAGAAGGGAAGAAAAATATAAGAATTCTGTAGTTGGAGTACTAACACACTGAATGATATAGAGGAGAAAATAAATATGTTTTACTGTTGGTAAAAAAAAGTTAATTTTTAAAAAGGTCCAAATTTATCAATTTTTTTAGAGGTTTAGTTTGGGGAGTGTGTGTATGTGCACGTCTGTGTGTGTGTTATTTAACATAGATTACTGTAAACCATCTGAGTTCTTGTATAGGAGCAAAAATGATGAAAAATAGTTTTTAAAAATATAATCTGGTAGTGGTGGATGGTAGAAAGAATCCGGAGGCAGTGAGCTGGAAAGAAAATATTTATAGTTATTTAAGAGTGAGTTAAAGGATTAGAGTGAGGGCCATGGGAAAAGAAATAGAAAGGAAAATTCTAAGAGAGTTTGTGAAGAAAATACTAAGAACAAACAAAGCGAAAGGAGACAGAACGAAAGAATATTGATTTAAAGAAGATTCCAAGATTTCCAGCCCTGGACATGTCAATAAAAGAAACAGAAAATCTGAAGGGAGAAAGAAAGTTAAGGAAGTTGATTTCTTTTTTTTTCAATCTGGCAAGAATGAGATGAAAGTCTACTATCATGCTGTACTTCAGGGTCTTAGGATTATGCACATGCAAGTAAAAGATCAAAATTAGAAGTGGTTTTCAGTATACATGCAATAGCTGTAGACATAAGGATAGGTAAATTCACTGAGTTTAGCAAAGTGATGATAACAAAGATAAGAATGAAGGATATAGGACTAGGAGATAAGTTACAATCAATAAGTCCAACTGAAAAAAAAGGAAAATTTCAGAAGATAGCTAAAGAATTGAAATTGTGAAGGGATGCAGATGCTAGGGCAATATCCCTTATGCAATAATTTAAAAATGTTAATATATCAAAATATTGAGGTACACACATTTTTTCTGCTACTTCATTATGGTCAAGAGATATAAAACAACCACACTGTGTAAGTAACATTGTATCATTGTATACCTAAGTATAACATAACTAAGGAGAAAATTATATTTTAATTACAGTGTAATTAAGCAGAAGCCAAATCTATCCATAAGCATCCCACAATTGGATCATACACCTCACCCCTTGCCACTAGTGTATGCAACACATTCATTCAGCATTCAGCTGCATGAGTGCTAGATATCAGGTACTGTTCAGAAATAGAAAGGTGAACTAGAAAAGCAAGGGTGTTACTTCTCTGCCTATACTAGTGGTAGAAATGGACAATAAGCAAAGAAGGGGATAAATACAATTATTGAAGACCATGATAAGTGTTATAAAGGAATAACTACATTCCACATTTTGTAATAAAAACTGAACTAATAAAGGCCAGTTTGTTCTTTATTATTACTATTATTTTTTGAGATGGAATCTCGCTCCGTTGCCCAGGCTGGAGTGCAGTGGCATGATCTCAGCTCACTGCAACCTCCGCCTCCCGGGTTCAAGTGATTATCCCACCTCAGCCTCCCGAGTAGCTGGGACTACAGGCACGTGCCATCATTCCCAGCTAATTTTTGTATTTTTAGTAGAGACGGGGTTTTCTTCATCTTGGCCAAGCTGGTCTCAAACTCCTGACCTCAGGTGATCCACCTGCCTCCACCTCCCAAACTGCTGGGATTACAGGCGTGAGCCACCGTGCCCAGCCTATGTCAGTTTAAATAAGGAGATACAGAATAGCCTTCACAGGAAAGTAACATTTTCAGCTATATAACTGTGATTAGACACTGCATTTTCATATGAGAGAAATGGGGATACATTGGATAGGTCAAATTAAAAGATGACATTATTTTTGAAAAACATGACACTGGCTGCAGTGTAGGAAACTAACTGGACAGGACAAGAATGGAAGCAGGGAAATCAGTCAGAAGCAGCTTGCAGGAGCTCTTAGAGCAGCTTGGCTGAAATGGTGTCAGTGGAAATTCACAACATATCCTTAAGGCTGAATGGATATTTGGAATCATGTGAGGGGTGAGGAAAAAGGAAGGAAACTAACCATGATAGTGTTAATTATTTTGTTTATTGGACATAACACAAATAATGGAAGAGTGAGTTTGTAAACATATATTTTTATGCATGTATCTATTGACATTTAGACACACACAGATTCGCACACATCTATTATTTAATTTTGTGATTTAGAACCATAAGAAGCTCAGGTTTCAGCTTTTTCTGTTATTAAGTGAACATTCATATTTATTTCAGACTTGTGACATTTCTTACCATCCTATAAATATGGCCTAACTAACCTAAGCAAAGAGAGTTCTTTTACTCTTTTATGATTATTTTCTGAGCAAGGAACATCTTGAAACAAGTTTTCCCATATGGAATTTATAAAAGAGGTAGTAAAAAAAAATTCTTGAAGATCGCCTCTCAATCTATCTTTGTGTTGTTTTAGCTATGTTTTGGAACTCCCATACAAGATTGGAAGACTGGAGGGATAGTGGATGCACGACGCAGATGTAACTCTCTGTGACCTTGAGGGGACTAGAGTCTTTGTCAGTGGCAAACATTCAGGCACATGTTCCTACTTTACATGAATTTTTGCTTAATGGGAGGTCTTAGGAGTGAAAGAGTAGAAATAAATGTGTTAAGGTTACAAATGACTCTTAATTCCCTTCGCCTTTCTTAATAGGAAGGAGATGTGATTTACTCTGAATTTACTCTATGTTGCTGTTGTTATTGTCACTATATCTTCCTTATCTTTGATTATAGTTTTGGGTTTCAAAAGGAAATTTCAGAAACAAACATTCAGCTTTCACCACTTACCCCAATATAGGAGACTCATAGTGAGTGCACAATAACTATTTAGTGAATAAATAACTTAAAAAAATTAACCATTCAGATGCAAAATATCTCATGTATTGCTAAGTGGAAAAACTAGGCTTAAACTATGTAATATATAACATAAAGTTTGAATTATACACAAATGGGAAAAGCATACTCTCAAAAATATTAGTTCAAAAACGTAAGTACAAAAACCATAATAAACCCAATTATAAATAATTTTATATCATCACTCATTTTACTTTTTTTTTTTTTTTTTGAGTTTTGCTCTTGTTGCCCAGGCTGGAGTGCAATGGCGCGATCTCGGCTCACCTCAACCTGCGCCTCCTGGGTTCAAGCAATTCTCCTGCCTCAGCCTCCTGAGTAGCTAGGATTACAGGCACGTGCCCGAACACCCAGCTAATTTTGTATTTTTTAGCAGAGACAGGGTCTCTCCATGTTGCTCAGGCTGGTCGCGAACTCTCAACCTCAGGTGATCTGCCTGCCTGGGCCTCCTAAAGTGCTGGGATTACGACCATGAGCCACTGTGCCCGGCCCACTCATTTTACATTTTATGTGTTCCTCCTCCTTACTTCTAGTATGTATAGAGAATATTAACCCCAGCTCTCAGTGTTCAACACTAAGACTCCTTCTACTGGGGAAAAAAAAAATCTTCACATGAACTCCAGACTGTGAAAGAGTCTGAAGATTTTCAAGGCCTATGTCAGAAACTGATCATTTAGATTAAATGAGAAAAGTCAGCCAAGTAGTAAAATTTTCTTGCATTATCAGAGAATGCTAGCAAAAGGTCACTCAGTCCAATTCAACTATGATCTATATAATCTAATTATGCTCATTTCTAAAGTAAATGTGTTATTTGCACTGCATTGGTATGCAGATTACAAAGTGTTATTATAGGATTATAAATGGAATGCTAGTTTGCACTTTGTGGGAAAAGGACCTGTAAATACCATTTAGCTTCACTTTTATGCAGCTAGGATTTAGTGCACACTAAAAGGCTTAGCCAGTACAATATTACAGCTGCAGATAGAGAAGTCAGCTAACTGAGCGCCAACGCTAACTAAAGCTGAGTGAGTGCAGTTTGGGCTCATCTCTTCATTTATTACATTTTCTTTTATCCACTAGAAATATGAAGTTAATAAATTCCATGTTATGTCTGTCTGAAAATTAAAACAACTTTTGTTTTAGCCTTAGAATAAAAATTATTTTATGAGATATTCAAATTGTTAAAGCCTTTCTTTGAATATGTGGTGTATATGCTTTCATACTGTATTTATTCATAAAGATGGGAGTAAAATGCCTTTCCTTATTTTCTTGAAGGACTTGTGTAAAACACAGTTTGGGGACTTTGGCAGATTTAATAATATTTGTCTCTGCAGTTAGTACTAGCGCGGTTTAACAGCGCATTAGCAATGATGCTTTAAAATGATTTTCAAGTAATTCATTACTTCCCTTTCTGATGCATTAAATTTAATATAGCTTGCAGGTTCTAATTCATCTTCATGCATACTAATAAATTGTGCACTACAAATAAATTCTACATTAGTTTTAAAGCAATTTCACTTCATCTATATATCAAATATGAAGTTGCCGGTTGGTTTTCAGCTAGCTGCAAATAAGTCCAGAATCTTATCTATGTAGTTACATGATCAATGACATAATAACCATCTTTGTGAAGATGACATACTCCTTTTAATATTTTTTTAAAGAAAGACTTAAAAAAAACTTTCTAAGGTGCTGAACACTCTTGAGGACACTGCTCTAGAATGTGAATGAAACCAATGAAAGCATCTTAAAATTCACATTCCACATCACAATGATTTTCTCCTTTTATATCCAAGCTTTATAACCAGAACTGCAGAGCAAACAAAATTGTCTGTCCTCTCCCCTCTTAGATCCTTCTATCAACTGGTTTAGTACTGGCAGTCACTGCAGCTGCTGAGTGACAGTTTCTTGAGCAGTTTTCACAGCAGCTAAAAACAGAAAGGGCACAGACTATGGCACTGATGGTGGAGAGGAGGGCAGAAAGACATCTAACTGCATAAAATAACAATGTAATGTGCCTATATAGAGCTTCATCATACAGGAAGCACTTTCATATAGATCATCCCACCTTAATATCAGAAACATGCTTTGATGTAAGCAGATTTTATCAGAGAGAAAATGTAAAGTGAGAAATCTTATTTTTTCCGTGTTGCATGACTTTGATGTTGGAACTTAACAGTCAAGTTTAAATTGTCCAATTCGAAATCATAGTGCTTTTCTTACCGCATCACACTTTATCCCGAGCATCTGTTTGTTTATCCCACAAGGAATGACAACATAGAATATTTTTCCACTCTATTCCCCACTAGGTTCTCCAGAAAAAAATATTGTACTCATAGTTGTTTTAACTGGAATGTTAGGAGAGAGACTCTTAGAGTCTTCAGTGTGGCCTGTGGACTAGCAGCATTATCATCACTAAGAGCTTTTTACAAACGCAGAATATCAGACCACACTTCAGACCTACAATATCCAAATCTCCCTTTTCAGTAAGGTCCTACTTAATTCATACATAGCTTGAAATTTTAGAAACACTATTTAGGGGGAAACAAAACACAGCTTATAGAAAAAAAGACCTTTTGAGTAACATAGGAAAAAATATTCCCAGTCACATCCAAGTGAAAAGAAAGCATATATGTATTCTTTCCTTTACCAACCATTTGATAAATTTTATAACATTTATAATACTTCTTCCACCCACTCATTTTTAGCAGCATTTTTGCTGTCGGCATGAGCAGAGTACATGAGTATGGTGAATGGTGGAGGAGACTCTGTATCTAATTAAGTTTCTGAATCATGAGAAATCGACTAGGAAAAGAAAACTTGAGCGATAGAAATTCTGCTTATGAAATTTATACAGTGAAAGGCAGACTGCTTCAGTAGTTTTAAGATTCTAATTTAAGCAATACATAAAGAAACTAAGCATGTTCTTCAATGTGTTCCATGACTAACATATAAAGTGATCGATTCTGACTGTAGTAGTGTGAACATTTCTTAATATATTAAACTAAATAAAAGTTATTTCAAAATTGATGTGTAATCAGTTTAAGGTAGCACTTTAGTTGAGCTCATAACACAGAGACATGTAACATTTTTCATTATTGCTGAATATAAGTACCAGGAACATAATTGTCATAGCCCCTACTACTAGTCTCTAATTTATCTCCACACAGGTCCAATCATTTGTAAACCTTAAAAAATTTTAAACGAAGAGGCTTCTTACAAAGACATTGTTCAGAATGTATGACTAGACTGTGGACTTACAACCACATTGTGTGTGTTGAAGTAATTGACTAGAGGGACAACTTTCTTAACAGAATCAATATTGAGGAATGTGGAATATTTTAGATGACGACTCTATAGGAGAGCACGTCATTTTCTAAAGGTCCTATTTATTGTGAATTTAAATTCACTGATCATTGTGACTAGAGCTATTTTATTTATTCTTAAAATATAAAGATAAGTTGTATAATGAAAATGAAGCTGAGATTTTTCTTTGCTTTGTATTTGCAGTGTGGGCCACAACAGTGACTCTGTCTCTGAATAATGATCTCCATTACGTCCATATATATTCACCACACCTACACCATAGTAGGGGTAATTTGTGAGCCTGGTGCTTCTTTTAACTTGGCTCCCATTTGATGAAAAAACTTAGACCAATATGAAGTTGCAATTTTTAGAGAAATTTTTAATTATAACTTTCTGAGCTTTAAAAGTTTTTAAAATCATATTATACAATAAAACTGAAAAATTATGAAGGATTAATAACAAGTAAAACTGGCATGTATAAAAATTTCACATATACATTATCCATTGTTTATAGAATTGTAATATTATCAATGATATTATCAATTAAAAAATGAGGGCAGATAATGACAGATGTACTTCAGATTTTTCAATCTGTAGAGTGACAAACTTTGCAAATTCAAGGATAAAACTAATTTGTAATAAATGAAGTAATTGAAGAGTATTGTGTAGCTAATAATTGCATATATTTTCCCATCCATTATTTATTTGTAAAAGAAAATAACATTAGAAATTTAGGTAGAGGGACTAATTATGTTGGACAGGTGCGTATCAATCTGGTATTACATAGAATTTCTAAAATACGAAGTAAAAATGTACTTTGTATTCATTCATTTTGGAAAAAAGTTTGTAATATTTAATAACTGCTCACAAGAGTAGATATATATTTATCTCTCATGTTCACTGAATGAAACAGGTGAAATTTATTTAATAGATTAATATTTTTAAAGTAGTTTGAAGTTAAGATGCTTTAGATAGTTGTAAAATCATACCATACATTCATAAAGCCACAGTCTAATTTTGTCTTGTTCATTACTGTTTAATATGTCCCTGGCATGTAATGGCTAATCAATAAATACATATTGGGTGAATAAATAAATGAATAAAAGCTTGAGATTCCAAAATAAAGATAACTCAAATTCAAAAGCTAAAAAACAGTTTTACACTTTAGCATGATAACTCAGCAGTTTCAAATGTAAGCAAACTGTGGTCACTACACAATTACTTTTTCACAATGCACATGCTAACCATAACACTTTTCTTCATTTAATTTTAATTTTAGTTGGACAAGGTGCATATTAGTTATCTGAAATAAAACGGACCATAAATATGTTTTCATATCTTACAAAAACAGGCAATTATATATTTACATCTTTGGATTCTTTAGGTTAATTTCCTTGTCAAATAAATGAATTCAAGGTGTCTGTGCTTTAGACCAAATTCTTTAACATATGGACATTGTCTTTAACGTTCAAGAGCCACACTTTGAAAATTAATCTGTGGGAAATATATTAAATATCAGAACAGTAGTGTGATGTGTTATTTTGAGCTTACATAAATATAAGCTGAAAGTCATAATGTGGTTTTTACTTAATTTCATGATTCTAAAAGGATCTTCGTGATTGAAGATTTGACATTTAATTTTGCCCAGAAGCTAAGAAATAATAATGAAAGTGGTAGCCTGGACTACTGGATTTAGAAGTTTAAATTTTAAAATATTTTTCAAGGCAAAAAACTAAATACTAATTTGAAGTTAACTTGGGTTTATTGCGGACACAATATTTTAAGTATCACAAACCTTTCAATAAAATTTATACAGGTAGAAACATATTACACACCAGAAAATTCATATAATTTTCATGTCTTTTAAACAGAACAAATGACTTACATTTGTGGTAAAAAGAGTAGTTTTAAGCTTCAGAAAATAAAATGTTAGGAAAAAGCATTTTAAAGCCTGCTTCAAATATGGAAATATTCTAGTTATCTCCTGTCTGTTAAAGACAAAATTACTTTGAGAGGTTGTCTCAAGATTGAATTATCCACTTTGCAGTTTAGAAGGTTTGCAGTGCTTATTCCAGCATCTCTTTCTTTAAATTCCACCTGGGCAAAGGGTCAAGTTCAATAGGGGCAAAGAAGTACTCGGGACAATCAGTTCAAGTCTGATCGACTTGCTGGTGGATGTCACTGACAACAGTGTCTTGAACGACCTTTATAATGCTAATAGAAAGCTTTTCTAATTAAATAAAAGTGTCAAAATGATACTTTCTGGCCACACAGAAACTGTTCTTTGAGTGTCTAACATTGAAGATTTCTTGCTCTCAGCTTCACTTGATTGGAAAATAATGTATGTGGCTCATTGACATTGATAGTCTATCTGGAGGCAGCTAGAATTCTAAAAAAAAAAATACTGAAGTACTGTATTAAGTTCTACCTGAGGACTAGTGACTACTGTATTATTTGCGTTACTTAAATTGCTTACATGATTTACTTAAATGATATATACTTCAGCATGCTCATTCATGTAATGGGTGTATTTACAATTGTTCTCACTCACATATACCTGGCTAGCTCAAATGAAATTCATTTGTGAATGTAGGATGCATATGCTTTAAAAAAACTGACCACAGGTCATAGATAGTGAAAAAGAAGAGTAATAGATCAACAGCAGTGGTGAAAGTTATTAAGATGGACATAACGAATTCTATAGCAGAGAAAGCAAAACGGAAAAATACAAAAGACCCTGACAATCACTTTAGCTTTTTGCATTCTCCAGCATTTTCTAGAATTACATTGTATCTATAGCTATATAATTTTTTGCCATCAAATTAAGTTTTCTTGATTTCTGCTCTTTTTTCTCAAGTGTTTCATAAATGGTATATACTATTGATCTTTAAATTGTTCACGTGAACACCTGATTTAATAAAGTGTGAATATCATTCCTCTACCAGTGTAACATGAGGACATTTGGGTGAGCTCATCATGTCATCACTATTATTATCCTCTTTTTATTTTAGTTGTCTTTTTCCTAACATTCTATTAGTTAATATAATTATTTGAATTGTTCTTCTAAAAAAATACCCATTCAATTTCCTCACATTTTTACTAGTCTCTGTTAACCATTTATTCTTTTATCCCTATCTCCATTCTGTTTTAAATTTTCTATTTCCTTTGTGAAATACACTAGAATCATGGAAATGAGAAGCAGAAACCATTTATTCAGAGCTTGCTATTGCAAGTGAGTTGGGTACCACCATTTGTATCAGGCAGAGACTCAAAGGCAGGCAGGAAAGCTTTATAATGGGAAAAAAAAGAGAGAGAGAGAGAGAGCAAAACGTTAGGTGTGCTCTGTTTGGAAGCTTTTGGCATGAGGAAGATGGAGGAAGGTTAAGTAGCAGTGAGGCATCTTATATGATAGTTTTGGGAAGCATGTTTTGCTTTCTCTGTTATGGACTGAGTTAGAAGTCAGAACAAAATATAGGAAAAGATGGTAACTGGTGATTAATTTACCATTCTGGGCAAACTGCTGCAGAAGTTGGGACTGTTTCCTGGACTACTTGTGCAAAGTTTGTGTGTCACAGTCCTGTTGTCATATATGGTCTGACCATTGTCCATTTGTATAATCAGTCTTCCACCTTGAAGCTAAGGATATTGTAACTATTTTCCGAAAATCTTTGAGTGGTAATCTCTCTCATTTATTTCATTTAAGTATATATTTTATGTGTCCTCAGTCTTGAGTAACAATTTTTCTGAGTCTAGAATTCCATTTTGTTGGATTTCTTCTTCACGGTAATTCAAAGATACCAGTCTTGTAAAGGCAGACTTCATTCATATAAGCAAAAAATAGATGTTTTAACAAATGTTATTTCTGATTTCCAGAATATTCTGCCTGCCTCTTTATTAGACTACTTCTCCATTTAAATTTCAGCTAATTTGTTTCCTAGTCAAAAATTTGTTGACCATCCAGTCAAAAGTAGGTCTCTTTCTTGATTACTTCAATTTCTGTTTATGTTTTCTTTCTTGTATAATAGCTATTACAGCTTAAAACAATTTTTATTTACCTATTTTATTTTTCTCTAGAATGTAGATTTGATTATATCAAGTGTTATGTGCAACTGTTACTTTTCTTTTGTAATTACTATCATCTTCTGTGTTTTTATTCCTTGGGATCATGTGGTCTGTGTACATTTTCAGATCAAATGTCAGCAAATTAATTACTTGTCAATTAAGAGAATGTATGTGTATGCATTATTAATTCCTGCTTTATTTCCAGCAAATATTTAAGAATTTGGTTTGAATTTGTCTATAACTACAGAATAGAAAGTATGATAAAATTGTGATTCACTCTTAGAAAGAAGGAACAGCACTTTACAATATGTAAAACATAGAGAACATTATTTTATGACTAAATGTTGCTTGAGAAAATTTTGTAAGACAGCATGCATAATAGATAGGATTAATATGCCTAAGTATTTTATAGACACAAACCGATTATAAAGAGACACAGTGTGGCAGTGAAGATAAGATATAGTCATTTTCAAAAAAAAAAAAAAACTCTCCTTTTCCCAAGTAGGATTTAAGGTAAGAAAAATGATATGAGGCATAAGTCACCTTAAGAGAGGGTTGTAATAGATCACCACGTGTCAGTTTCAGCACAAACAGGAACTTAAGAAAATAAGAATGTTTTATTCTTTGAGAACACCATCACAAAAATAGTCCAAGTCAATTGTGCATTTGAGTGATGACTCTTAACGAACATGATTAGTTCTGGATACCTCATTTTAAGATGAGCAACCATAACCAAATTGAATCCAGGGGTTGTAACAGCAGAGCATAAAGATGTCATGAGAAATGAGACGAAAAACCAGAAAATGTTAGCCTGGAAGAGAGAACACTAAGGTATATCAAATTGTGAACTGCATATATATAAAAGTTTATTGAAATGGAAACTTATCTTGGTCTGCCTAAGTGCAGAATTCTTAACTAGAATCAGCAAGGGAATGTGTTTCAGGAAACAGCTATGAAACATATGTCACTAAAAAATAAAATGATGGAAATAACTTGGTGAAATAATAAATAGCTCTTGATAATTGGGTGTTGAAATACATGAGAGTTGACCAGCTTCCAGAAATATTATAGCTAAAAACATGTTTTAAATTAGTATTTTAACTGTATGACATAAGATGTCTTCAAAATGTCCATGATAATCAAAGGCACCTTATTCACTAGTCAGTCATTATAAAACATATGTGAAAGTGTTTTAAACCTAATTTGCAATTTTATTATATTTGGAAGAGCAAACAAATTACATAATAAATCAAGTCTTTATGCAAAAGTTCTACTCAAATCTCCAATCTCTAGATGTATAGGAATTTTTCCTTGTATCCAAGTAGTTATTATTTATAATTTTTCTAGAAAACAAGTCATCAAAACAAGATATTATTTATTAATACCACTGATATAACTGATCACTACCTCAAATTTTCTTTTATGACCAACAATATCCATCCCAGTAAACTGAGCAACATCTTTTTCAGTTATTTTCCTTTTGGTTTTAGGATGTTCTATACATCTAACAAAACCATGAAATATATGCAAAGACAAATTGCAATCTTGCAATAACTACATGATTTCATGAAGCCAATAAAGGTAAGTAGAATTACTAGAGTTTATCACTAAAAGCCTTTTACAATTGAGAGTATCATAAACTGGTTAAAAATTAAAGAAATATATTGGCAAAGATGTTGATACATTAGGTGCTTCAAAAGAGAATGATTTGGATATCAAAGAGTTGAAAAAGGTTCTTGGGAAAATTAATGAAGCCCTACAGTATTTTGGCAAAAATGATCTTTTTTTCTGATTGTTCTTTTAAAAAATCACAATGTTATGTGCAATAATCAAGTTTTAGCAAAAAATACAAACGCATACAAAAACACAAACTTAAGTTAGTTTAATGCGAGCTTAAAGTTTTCAGAGAATTAATGCCTATTTAAAATAATGATTTAATTCTATTGAAAATAAGGCCAATGTTATATTAAAATGTAAATATGGTCAATGTTATATGAAATGTAAATATGTAAACATGATAATATGTAAATATGTACATGTAATATGTAAATATTTGTAATATGTTAGATGCGTTTTCAAGATAAAATCATAATCACATCTTTTTAAAATTATTCTACTATAAAATTGAGGTGAATGTTTTAAGTGAACTTTAAAATAGTTTTTTTTTAAGTTCTTTTTAAATAAGAACAAACTATGTTTTACATAGTGGTGATTTCCCACAGGTTCTTCAGGAAGTCTCATAAAATGTCATTTTTGTGTTACTGATAATGACTGTGATTTTAATTTGCAAATGTGTAAAATGATTGGTAAACACTAAACAGCTATACCCCTTGATTGTATTAATATTTTCATTCTCAACACATCAAAATTACCACTAATTTTATGGTCATAGTCGCATTGAACCTATCTTTTTTAGAAGCTGCAAAAATAACCAAAATATGTTATCCACATTACACATTACCCAGCAAATACTGATTTTTCCATGAAAAATATTAACTTTTTAAAAATCTGAAACAACTCACTTTTTACAATATTTTTGAGTTTGTATTAAACAGACAAGAAAAATATGAAAAATAAGTTGACTTAATAGCTTGTGAGTAAACCTTAAATTATTTAAGAACCTGTTAAATATTATGTTACAAGTTATAGAAGGAAAATGTAATTAACAATGAATCTCTGTGCTTGGCAAGATTACATTCTCCTTGTATTAGGATTTGTGCATGTGTGATACAGCAGGTTGTTAAATTGCTCAGCTATCATGATAGCATCTGCCATTTGTTCAGATGAGGTAGCTTGCTAGAAACTACATGAATCTGCCTGAAAAAGAGCCTACTAATATTTGTTTTCCAAACTTCTGCTATCTTGAAGATGTAATCCTTATTAATAAGTATTTATTTTAAAATATAGAGGTCTTCATAAAATTTGCTAGGTATTTCTCAAAGTACACTATAAATTCTTGATTATGTTTTATATCTTACTTTGTTTTGCTCCATATTCTTCATATAGTTGGAAAAGTGTTTCTACTTGTAAAATTAATGAAAGGTTTATGAGATTATTGAGATAATTCCAAATGGGAGGGGATAGCTCTTTTGCCCCAGTGTGATTTTACATTATTAGTTAAAAATTTAGTGGGGCAGAAATTCTTCAGAGAGTTAAATTTGTTTTTAATTTTATTAACTGGCTTTGTATATGCATATTAATATAATTTTTTCATTTGAAAGCCAATGTAGGTTACGTTTGTTATTCTAAATATTTTGACCATTTTAAGGACATTGTCTAGTGTAAATGATGGAAGTGTATTAATCACTAACATACTGGAGTTTACTGTGTACTTTCCTAAGTGTTATGCATATGTTTTGCCATTACATCCACAAAAACTCTTATGAGAAAAATTTTATGTTTTTATTTTATAGATAATTGAAAAAAAAACATAAATAACTTGCCTAAGAATTTCCAAATAGTAAAGGATAGTTCTAAGATTCTAACAAGAATTTCCATGTAGTAAGGAATAGTTCCAAAATTCTACTTGACAGGAGCAGTCTGACTCCTGAGCTTACAAATTTATACAACAAGCTCTTTTTTTCTCCGCTATCATACCTTGTAGAAAATATCACATAAGTACACGCAAAAAAAAATGTATTTCATGACAAAATCTGATTCTATAAACTTCTTCTGGAGAAATAATTATTTGGACAAAAAATTACTATGATAAAAATAATATCTATACACACATATAATCTTTTATTTAATCAGTTATAAATAGAAAATTGAGTAGCATTAATTATTTTAATGTTTAAATAATTGTGCTAACCATCACCACTATCAATTTCCAAGTTTTCATCACTGCAATTAGAAACTCTGTTGCAATCAAGCAATAACTTACAGCTAACCACTACTCTCAGCCCTTGATTACCTCTAATCTACTTTCTGACCCTATGAATTTGCCTATTCTAGATATTTTATGTAAGTAGAATCATATAATATTTATTCTTTTGTGTCTGTCTTATTTCACTAAGCATAATATTTTCAGAGTTCACTCATGTTGTAGCATGTTTCATAGCTTCATTCCTTTTTATGACTGAATGATATTCCACTGTACGTATATACTACATTTTTTAATCCATTCCTTTTTTGATAGACACTTTGATTATTTTTACTTTTGGTATTGTGAATAATGCTGCAACAATTACTGGCCTACAGGAATCTCAATGAGTTCCTGTTTTCAATTCTTGGGTTGTATACCTAGGAATAGAATTTCTGGGATACATGGCAATTTTATGTTTTGCTTTTTGAATAACAACAAACTGTTTTCCACATCTGTAACATGCAATATTTTACATTCCCATCAGCAATGTATGTGTTCCAATTTCCACATCCTGGCCAACACTTCTTATTTTCCTTTTGTTTTTATAACCTTACTAGTAAGTATGAAGTGGTATTTCATTGTGGTTTTGATTTTCACTTTCCTAATGATTAGCGATGTTGAGCATCTTTACATGTGCTTATTGGTTATTCTTTGGTGAAATTTTTATTTAAGTATTTGCCTATTTTTGAAACGAGTTGTTTCTTTTTTGTTGTTGAGTTATAGAAGCACTTTATATTCTGGATATACAACATTTATTAGATGTATAATCTGCAAATATTTTCTACCATTGTGTAGTTGTCTTTTCACTTCTTTGATGCATATGAGTTTTTGTTTTGATGAAGTAAATTTAGTATATTTTTTCTTTTGTTGCTGCGATTTTTTTCTTTTGTAGCATCTTTTGATGCTACTTGTGTTTATATATCTAAGTATCCATTGCCAAACCCAAGTTGATGAACAGTTAATCCTGTGTTGTCTTCTTAGAGTTTTACAATTTTAGCTCTTATATATAGGTTGATCATCCATTTTGAGTCATTTTTTACATGATATAAGGTAAGAGTCCAGCTTAATTATTTTGCATGTGATAGTCCAGCTGTTCTAGCATCATTTGTTGAAGAAGCTTTTATTCTCTATTGAATGGTTTGCCAAAATCCACTGGTCATAAATATATGAGTTTGTTTTTAGACTCTCAATTATATTCTGATAGTATATATGTCTATTCTTATGCCAGTGCAACAGTTTTAATTACTGTAGCTTTGTAGTAAGTTTTGAAATTGGGAAATGTGTCTTCCCATTTTGTTCTTATTATTAAAAAAAATTTTTGCTATTTGAATCTCTTTTTTTTTTAATATATTAAGACTATCCTGATATAGACATACTATAGAGACCCTGTCTCTAACTGGCCTTGAAGAACTGAGTAGTCATGTTAATAGGTCTACATGGCTAGCAGCTGAGTGTGGCCTCTAAGAGCTGAAGGCAATCCCCAGCTGACAATCAGCAAGATGATGGGGCTCTGAGTTCTACAGCTGCAAGGGAATTAATTTTTCCAGCAACCTGAAGAATCTTGGAAGTAAATTATTCCCCAGTTAAGACTCCAGATGAGCATGCGGTCTTGTGAGATTCTGACGAGAGGACTCAGCTAAGCCATACTCAGACTCCTAATTTACAGAAACTTTGACTTTTTTTGTTTTTTTGTTTGTTTTTTTGTTTTTTGTTTTATGTTTTTTGTTTTTTTTTGAGACGGAGTCTCACTCTGTCACCCAGGCTAGAGTGCAGTGGTGCGACCTTGGCTCACTACAAGCTCTGCCTCCGGGTTTACACCATTCTCCTGCCTCAGCCTCCTGAGCAGCTGGGACTACAGGTGCCCACCACCACGCCCAGCTAATTTTGTTTTTGTATTTTTAGTAGTAATGGGGTTTTATCGTGTTAGCCAGGATGGTCTCGATCTCCTGACCTTGTGATCTGCCCGCCTCGGCCTCCCAAAGTGCTGGGGTTACAGGCGTGGGCCACCGCGCCTGGCCTGCTATTTGAACCTTTTAAAATTCCATATAAATTTGAGAATTGACTTGTCCATTAAAAAAAAAAAACCTTGGAATTTTAATATGGATTGTATTGAATCTGTATATTGCTTTGGGTAGGACAATATCAAGTGTTCCTATCCATGAACAAAGATGTCTTTATATTTATTTGCAAACCTTTCACTTTCTTGATTAAATGCACTCATATATACATATATATGTACATACATAAATGTGAGAAACAATCTGGTTATTTCACAAAAGAAAATTGTGAAATTAATTGTAAGTTATTTCATAATGGCATACTTTCAGGACAGCCTTAATATCAAGTTTTTGTAAAAGAATTAAAGTTTTGGGCTAGGTGCAGTGGCTCATGCCTATAATCCCAGCACTTTGGGAATCTGAGGCAGGAGGAATGCTTGAACCCAGGAGTTCAAGATCAGTCTGGGCAACATAGGGACACACCGTCTCTACAAAAAAATTAATACATTAATTGGTCATGCTGGTACATATCTGTAGTCCTAGCTGTTTGGGAGGCTGAGGTGGGAGGACAGCTTGAGCCCAGGAGGTCCAGGCTATGGTGAGCCATGATCACATCACTGCACTCCAGCCTGGGCAACAGAGCAACACCCAGTCTCAAAATAAATACATAAATAAGAATAAAATAAATAAAAAATAAATAAAGAATTAAAGTTTTAGAAAAATTCATACAATTCATACAATATAATGTAAACAGGGAAAAAAGGATACCACCCAATTAAGAGAATTTGAATGAATATATTTATATTGCTCTATCCTGAAAACCCACTAAGTGACTGTAAAGTTTATTAATTAATTTATTTATTTTAGAATAAACACACAGGAAGAAGAAGAATGGTAATTGATCCATCATCAACAAACTATTGATGTTGGAAATTAATTGAACTTGTCATAACACTTTTTAGAAAACCTACCCAAATCAAACCTGGCCAGCAGTAAATAAAGCTGATAAATGACCAGGTTTGCATGTCAAAATTTGTCCAAAATGCTCACGATGTAGCAATATAAGGTGTCACTGGAAATGGAGAAGAAAAGAATTGAGCCCAAAATAAAGGGAATTAATTAGTAGTTTGTAGTGAATATGTTGCATGACCTCGTGCTCTATAATTGTTTGGAAAAGCACATAATTGCTATCTTTGAAAAATAATACTGAGAATGATTCTCTGAAGAGGATAAAAAGAGTCTTATTTTGCCTCTCTTAATTTTTTCTAAGTTCTTTTTTATCACCTTCGTTCTGTCAAACATTTTTTTTTCTTTTTTTAATTGTTTGTGAACAGAGTTTTTCTTTAGATGTCTTGTCATCTGTTGCTATATAAAAGATGATGACTAACTGACCAGTTGATTGGCTATGCTGAGTACAGTTCACCATTACTAAGCAATTCTCAGAGCCACAGTGACAAAAGCATAAAATAAATCCTTAAAAGAAATAAAGCAAAGTATTTCATTCATGAAACAAACAGAATAATGATTATATATGTATATACACACATGCATGCATATACATACATATATATGTATGTATCATAGAACAAATGAACATTGTTTCACAATTAGAAATGTAAAGCTTAATAGTATGTTTGAAAGATAAAGCTGAGAAAATTTCACAGAAACAAGAGAAAACAAACAACAAAAAGACAAACATGGAGGGAAGAATAGAGATGTGTAAGACAATAAAAGACACATCCCATTAATTCAAACATCCAAGTAATAGGAATGTATGAAGTAGATCGCATAAAAAGTTAAAAAGATTAAAGTATTAAATAAACATTTTGAAAATTTTTATATAAATTAAGGACATGCTTTTTCATATTTCAAGAATCCATTATGTGCCCATAGAAAGGGAAAAATTAGAGCAACACTGAGGCACATCATTATAATATTCCAGAATATTGAAAAATAAAAAGATCCTACAATATTACATATGAGAAAAAATGCCTACATGCTGAGGTTCGGTCATTAGTATGCTTCAGGCTTTTTGTGATAAACACTAGAAGCTAAATTAAAATGGAAATGCCTTAAAAATTCTGAAGAAAACAGAAATTCATAAATCCATAATCAGTCAAAATGTCACTCAACTGTCAATATAATATAGACATTTTTATACGTGTGAGGATTCAAAAAATTAAAGCATATTACTTAGCTCTCAATAGTATGTATATAGTAATCATGAAAGAAATATAAATCTTGATCTAACTCAAGTTATGATAAACCATAATTAGAGAATGGGGTTGTGGGCAGAAAGTGCTGAGTGTGTATTGTAGTTACAGAAAAACAGAAACAAATTAAATACTTATTCTTCATTGAGGAAAGATACATAGTAAGTTACACAGAAATACTAGCTTATTTAAAGATTTAAATCATTTCTAAAATATGTGAAAGTGGCTATTTCTGTTGCATAGTAAATAAAAGATGAGCTAGAGAAAGATTTTTTAAAACAAATTCTATATAATTGTTGTTTTTTATATGCTCATATTTACTCACATACTCTTGGGATATAAAGTGGAAGTAAATACATTAATATATTAAGACTTGGAGGTATTATGTGTAATGTCAATTGTATGCTTTATGTTTTTTTCATTTTTAGAAAATGTCTTGTAGTGGAACCAAAGAGAGCTGTTTCTAGAGAGGATTCTGTAAAGCCCGTTGCCCATCTAACAGTGAAGAAAATTTTTGTTGGTGGTATTAAAGAAGATACAGAAGAATATAATTTGAGAGACTACTTTGAAAAGTGTAGCAAGATTGAAACCATAGAAGTTATGGAAGACAGGCAGAGTGGAAAAAAGAGAGGATTTGCTTTTGTAACTTTTGATGATCATGATATAATTGATAAAATTGTTGTTCAGAAATACCACACTATTAATGGGCATAATTGTGAAGTGAAAAAGGCCCTTTCTAAACAAGAGATGCAGTCTGCTGGATCACAGAGAGGTCATGGAGGTGGATCTGGCAATTTTATGGGTCGCGGAGGAAACTTTGGAGGTGCTGGAGGTAATTTTGGCCTTGGTGGAAACTTTGGTGGAAGAGGAGGCTATGGTGGTGGAGGTGGTGGCAGCAGAGGAAGTTATGGAAGAGGTGATGGTGGATATAATAGATTTGGACGTGACGGTGGCAACTATGGTGGTGGTCCTGGTTATAGTAGTAGAGGGGGCTATGGTGGTGGTGGAACAGGATATGGAAACCAAGGTGGTGGATATGGTGGAGGTGGTGGAGGATATGATGGTTACAATGAAGGAGGAAATTTTGGCGGTGGTAACTATGGTGGTGGTGGGAACTATAATGATTTTGGAAATCATAGTGGACAACAGCAATCAAATTATGGACCCATGAAAGGGGGCAGTTTTGGTGGAAGAAGCTCGGGCAGTCCCTATGGTGGTGGTTATGGATCTGGTGGTGGAAGTGGTGGATATGGTAGCAGAAGGTTCTAAAAACAGCAGAAAAGGGCTACAGTTCTTAGCAGGAGAGAGAGCAAGGAGTTGTCAGGAAAGCTGCAGGTTACCTCGAGAGAGTTGTCCCAAATGCATTAGAGGAACTGTAAAAATCTGCCACAGAAGGAACAATGATCCATAGTCAGAAAATTTACTGCAGCTTAAACAGGAAACCCTTCTTGTTCAGGACTCTCATAGCCACAGTTTGCAAAAAGTGCAGCTATTGATTAATGCAATATAGTGTCAACTAGATGTAGATTCCTGAGGTCTTTTATCTGTTGTAGCTTTGTCTTTTTCTTTTTCTTTTCATTACATCAGGTATATTGCCCTGTAAATTGTGGTAGTGGTACCAGGAATAAAAAATTAAGGAATTTTTAACTTTTCAAAAAAAAAAAAAGAAAATGTCTTCAGCTTACATATTTTTTATAAGCTTAATTAAATGAACATTGAAAGACGAACTTACAGTGGGGTCTTCAGTGTTGGGCATCATATATAGCTAATTGAGCTAGACCAAATTACAAAGGCTTATCTAGGTTCTATGAGTGTTGACAGAAACTAACTCTGACTATAAAGTATGAATAAGCTAGGTTATTCTGTGGTAACAAATAACTCTCAACCACAGTGACGTCAAAGATTTAAGATTTGCTTTTACTCACTAAATATGTCCATTGCAGATTGTCAGTAGTCTCTGCTTCATGTCGCATTCATTCATGAGCCTGGAAAATTCACACAAGATGTTGTGGCAAGAATAAGAATACATGGAGGATTTATTCTGTTTCAGGAATGCTTTAACTGGAAGCAACACATATCATTTTTGCTCAATTTTTACTGGCCAAAGTAAATCATATGACCATGATTAAAGTTGAGGAAAGTGAGGTAGCGCAATCTTCCTAAGTACTTATAATGAGAGGAGAACTGGCACCAATCCACAAGGACTCAGCTAAGGTTAATTTGGTTTCCTTTTCAGTTTGGTTGTCTCACTGAGTCTGCAGGTTGAAAATCTGGTATCCCTGCTCCCTTGAAGGCCTGGGGAATATACATACTAACAGCTACTCCTATTCCCAGACAGCCGTGTGGCTTACAGTAAATCCTCTGCTTTATTCAAAACAAAACAAAACAAACAACAATGAAAAGAATTCTCACATCTATTATCCCAAAAATGAGGAGATACTTTATATACATAATATTTTTGACCCTACTATTTATATCTGTGAGATTTTCAGCATATTACTTAATGTTTCTCATCCAGAAAATGAAGATAATAATAGCATTTAACATGTCTAATTTTTGTAATGATTAAATGTGGTAACATATATAAAGTACTTTTAATAGTACTTTGAAAATTGTAAGCTTATTAAGTATGTTTTGTTATTATTACTAATAGTGATATTTTACGATTTTGTTTCAGGGTGATTAGACTAGTCGATCATGCGCCCAGGGAGAAACTGTCTCTGGAGATAGGAGGGTGTGGACAGCAAGTAGAGATCTTCTTGAACCCTAGTATTTCAATTTCAGGAATGACGTAGAATAATTAAAACTACAACTGATTCTTTAAGCATCCCCTGCCTGACTATTTCAAACTGGTTTACCTCTAACTCTAGCTCTCTCACAGAACAAATCACATGGGGTGGGGGTCAGGGAAATACATGAACGCAACACACTTAGATGCCTGGTGATAGCATTAGAGTTTCAAAATTCATCTTTGTTAATCTGAACAGGGCACTTGGTACAAATACCTAAAACACCAGAATAAAGATCTTCCATGAAAGTTTGGTCAGTATAAATGAACAACAGAATTTGGGGACCTAAGAAAATTCTGTGAAAATAATTTTATTCGAGCTTTTGGTGGGAATATTAATGGCACAGAATCAACACACTTACACAACACATAGCTATCATATTAACACTGCTACTTCCATATTTCATTAAACCTAAGATTTATCAATTTTATAATACAGTTCAATTTCATAATATAGTCCAATTTCAGAGATGTTGATATGTGAAAAAGTGTGTTTTCATGAAATATGGTACAGCCAATTGTTAACATTGATTATTCATTATGTATTAGAAATTACGTATAAAATATGTAATTATATATTACATAATTTCTAATATTTGCCATAGTTATATCAAGTAGTTTCTGATATTTCTATTCTACATATTCAGAAGTTGATATTCAGTAATATTAAAAATGTATGTTTCTAAAGCCAGGGTTTAATACCAATTCAATTTTTTTTTATTAGTCCACTCTTTTCTCAAAAGTTTTACAAATCCTCTCCCTATAAAATAATGCAATGAGATATTCTAGTACAATATTTCCAGGTCCCACACAAAAGTCAGGTCTTCAGAAATCGTTTTAGGTCATGGTGATGCGGGGAAACCCCCAGATTGTGTCTTAGCCTGGAAGGGTTCTTGGTTTTGCTCAGGAAAGAATTCAAGAGCAAGCCAATGGTGAAAGAAAGCAAGTTATCAGAGCAACAGTGTACAGCAAAATTGTTACTCCATTGACTCAGCAGGGCTACCCCATAAGTGGAGTAGCACTTGAGGGTTGCGGCTAGCTATATGTATACCTTCTCCTTATTATATGCTAAATAAGGAGGAGGTTATTCACTAAATTTCCAGAAAAGGGGTGGGGAGCTCCTGGAACCATATCAGGTAATATTCAGGTGTTGCTGTGGCAATTGTGAACTGTCATTGTGCTGGAGTGTCTTATACGAAGCAAATGTATTATAATTCCTAGTTGTAGCTAGTTTTGGTCAGTTTTTTGCTCCTGTTTTGATAGCAGGGTCATGAAAACAGGTCCTGCTGATCTCTTACCTCAATGGTACTAAAATAACTAGTTTGTTAGCATTTTCGACTCCTTGATAAAATCAATAGATTCAGGAAATGAGCATCAAATGATTTTTAACCTCACAAAAAGACAACTGGACATTACTTATTTGCTAGAAAGTACACGACACCAAAATATGAAGTACACAGAACAAAAACAATCAAATGAAAATCAATCCTTGATATTGAGCGGCAATAAACCTTTTCTGTAAAGAGCCAGAGAATAAATATTTTAGGTTTTATAGACTGCATGATGTCTACCACAACTACTCAATTCTACCTTTTTAGGTAAACATAACCATAGAAAATACATAAATGAATAATTTTGACTGGGTTCTAAAAAAATTGCACTAAACAAAATAAGCTTTGATGGCAGCGATGGCCCATCTGGAGCAGTCACTGAGAAGAGGCCAGCTGCAGCAGGGGAGGCACGGCAGGGACTGCACACTCCACGGAGCTAGCTGGGGCTGGGAACAGGCCAGAGTCCCACCCCCTACTGAGTTAGGGTGGGAGTCCTGCACTCCTGGGCACAACTGAAGCAGCCCAGCCATGGCTCTGGACCTGAGCATCCCTGCACTCTCAGGGGCCTGGAATCCTCCTTCCTCCACAAGATCAGAAGTGCCTGCTCCCACTCCCTGGCCTCTCACCATGCCCAGTGCCTGCTCTAGAGGGGAGGAATGTTTTGGCTGAGCCCTGGTGCTGTTGCAACCCAGCCAGGTGTATACCTTCACAGTGATGCTGACACCCCAGCCCCTTGCTGCCTCGGCCCCCTCCAGACTTGGGCACTAAGGAGCGCCGGAGGGAGGCCGGGATGGAGCTGAGGTGCCCCTCAGCACGAACAACCTGGCTGCCATAGTCAACATGTTGATGGCGGGAGGCAGGTTCCTGGGTGGAAAGGGGTGGGTCCCCGGTGAAACCCTACCCTCAGGTCAGGAACAGCCTGAAGACTAAGGGTCGGGCTGCCAGTTCTGGTTGAAGTCCAGGGCCTGGAGTGAGGACTTCATCGATGACTGTTTGGCCAATTAGATGGTGCTTTTGGGGGGCCAACCAAGGCAACCTTTTAAGTAATCAGCACGCACTTCCTCCCTTCTGAGCCCATAAAAAAAACCCAGACTCAGCCAGACTTGAGTGATGTCAGGACGACCTACCTTTGAAAAGGAGCTCAACCTGCCTGTGAAAAGGAGCTATCCACTGCGGGTATCCTCTCTGCTGAAAGCTGGACACGTGTAGGAACGACCTGCTGTAACACAAACAGGGCTGAAACACAGCCCCCTGCTCTCCATGTTACCGGCAACAAAAAGGACAGAAGAGCTACAGCCCTTCTGGGAGCCCAGACATAGGGGTTCCCCAAGCCAGGGCTGTGACACCCTTTTGGGACTCTGCAGTGCCTGGTGTCTTCAAGCTTCCGGGCACCACCATGTTCCCCTTGTTGAGACCCGGGTGCCCACAGGAGAAGATGCATGCAGTACACCTGGTCTAGCCTCACCCTCACACAGACCTGGCACCTGGGTTGGCGCCTGGAGCTGCCTGCCCCAAAGCAGCAGCTGGCGTGCCTGATTGTACACACTGGCTGGACCCTGTGCTCACTTGTTCACACAACCCTTGCTGCTTCGTGCCTGGCTTGTCCTTGGCAGGTGCGGGATCTGGGCTGATAATGCTAACTGAGCATGACCTGCCAGGCCAAGTGGACAGATGAGCCCAGAAGGTGCAAGCAATACTCACACAGAAGATGCCGCTGGCTAAAGATGTTTCCAGGTAGTGAAGCAACACCCCAAGGATCTCATGACAGCTTTAGGCTGGATGTGGCCACAGGCTGTAGTTTGACTATCCCTATTCCCATCTCTAACAACCAACTTCAGGAAATGCAGAGGAGAGAAGAGGATGTTAAACAATGCCATGAGGAGAAAATCAGCATTATCTAGACTCTGGGGGAATACTACAGGACAAACAGCATAATGCTTTTCAAAAAATTAAGTGCAAGAAAAAAATAAATAAAGGGATGCTGGTAACTTACATATTAAAAGACTTAGTAGACATAGCAACTGATCTAAATGTAGAGATTTTATTTGGATAGAAATTCAAATAAAGGAATTCTCAAAACATAAGGCAATCTAGAAAACTTTGGATAATCGGTATTTAAATGTAATAATGGTTTTCTAGTTAGTATATATGTATGTACGATTTATTGTATTTGAAGGTATAGATTTAAATAATTTTAGATGAAAAAGCCTGATGGCTGTGATATGATTCAAAATAAGATAGGGGTGTTGAGTGTGGGAAGCAAGTTTGGATACAGAGGAAAGAAGATGGGCAAGAATTGAGAATGCTTAAATTAAGTGATGTGCACGTGAGAGTTCTACTTTGTATATATTTAATATTCTACTTTGTATATTCTTAAGTGTTTCTATAATAAAATGTAAATTTTTTGTTTAGAATTGTATACAGCAACACATAATAGGGGTGCCCCTAACTTTGCTAAATGAATACATAGAGAAACATGTTGACTTGAAATGTTGACTTGGCAAAACATGGAAGTCAGCTGTTATGGGGGGCACTGTAATATTCTCTCCTCTTACCAGCTTTCCTACCTGTTCAATGACAATAACTTACTTATTTTTTTCCTTTCCATCTGGACACACCCTACCCAAACAATATAAACCAAACTCTTATAAACAAAACTCTCAAGCTTTTAATTATTAAATTAATCTGATTTTGGGTACCTGCCAGGGAGTTAGGAAAAATTCTGAACTAGTGTCACTTGCATATGGAAGTCTTGACCAAAAATATTTTCATATGGCTTCTATGCATATTTTTGTTAAACCCAGAACACTCTGCCTGGAAAAAAATAATTTTTAAAATTTCTGCCAACATTGATATTAGGAGTGAAAGAACAGAAAACTAGTGAGAAAAAGGACTTCCTGTGACCTCTCAAATATATTTTCCTATAAATTAGTATATGCTCCTTTGAAGACTGTTTGTCCATTCTAAGGAAATGAGTACGTCCATGCTACGGAAGTATATTTAGTATAGATTCATGTGAGTCTTTTATATTCTCACTGTCCCCAAAGGATGAGAAAATCATGAGGCTATTGGTTTGGATAAGTAGTGTTCCTGGCTATGAGGATACAAAAATCCGAGAATTATAGTGTAATGCTAAATAAAAAAGAAAGGGACAGGGTAGGTAATAACAAAAACTAAACAGAAGAAAAAATCATAATTTGAAAGAGGACTATTTGTTTTGACATAAAAAGATATTGTGTTTCATTTTTGTGATTCAGATACCCAGCTTTCTTTTCACTGGTCCTTGTTTTTCTTCACGTAAATGATATGTGAACACCTAGGCTGTTAGTAAGGTTAAATTAAACTCAGAAAATCCTTGTCATTTGCATTTCTGCAAATTTAATTTAAATTTAGGATTGACTATAAATAGTTATAACTGCTTTTTTTCAGCTACATAGTTGCTAAGCTACTTACTGTTCTTTTATTGCCTCAAATTATTTGTGTACTATCTGATGTTGAACAACTCTAAAACTAGAACAATTAGATGAATGAAAAATTAGATCTTTCAACCCTTCAAAAAAACTACTACAAATTTAATTACTATAAGATGCCACAAAGAATCTGTTCCTGCTGGAATAGTTCAGCATCTGACAAATGAAGTAGAGATACGGAATTTAGTGCAAATCCACAGCTACATTGTGACTTGGTAGGTGGTATTTTTAATGGCCTTGAGAATTACAGTGAAAAATTGGATGAAACCAATATTCAATGGCAGGGGCATTACTACTGCAATATGGATAGGAAATAAAAATTCCTCTAGCTCCAAATAGTTAATGAACATCGATATGTGCAAGGCACTGTAAAGAGGGCAGATCATTTTATTTCCTTGGAGCTTAGTTTGGTGCCAGAAAAGGAATTTTATGTGCTGAGTTGACTAGTACAAATCTTTCAGGTACGGTACTTTCTGCATACTGTGGAAAAACATCAGACAATTTATTTTCAGGAAGACTTCCAAATGCTGCAGCATTAGCAAAGATTGAACAAGGGGCAGTGTGATCTTAAGTAAACCTCCCATCTTTCTAAAGATGTTTGTGTTGGGAGAAATGATCTTTGAAAGTCTTTGCTTGGAAATGTCATGAGCACAGACACAATAACCAGGCATAGTGGCACTGCACATTGGTAAAGGCTCAAAAAATGCAACTGAGCAAACTGAGAAGACAGGATGGCGAGAGTGTTCCTTAATTGTTAACAGAAAACTATTGAGCTCCAGTGAGGGGTATACTGTCATTTGAATTGACATGATAGCAATTGCTGTTGTAAAAGAGATTAGATTAGACTTTAAGTAAAATATAACATTTGAAATAATCAGAAAACTATTAGTATCTTAATTTTCTGTTTCAGAGTTTTAAAATGTGGATTTTTTTCCTCTGTATACTTAAGTAAGCAGCTATAGGTCTCTATGTTTCTGTTATTAAGAATTCAGAATTGAAATTTTGGAACTCATGACATATTTTAATTAGTTATTCTCTTAAAAGGGGAAAATAACTATAGAAAGCATGACCTAAGATTGTTTCCTATTTAGTTTAAATTCCTTGATGGTATGACGTACTATTTACAGTGGTTGGTGTTATTGGATCAAATTAATATTAAATGTGAATCTTTCACAAACAATGTTTCAGTCAGAACATCTTAATAGAGGGTATATTTTTCATTTTGTTACTTTACCCAGTTTATTTATTTGTATATTTTCAATTATAATTCCCAGGTTATACTTTGAGAAAAGAATTAAAATAAAAGTAAGTGAAAATACTGAAATATTTCAGTAAAATCATGAGTGGCAGAACTTCGAATGAGAACCCGCAGTCCTGACTTGTAGTAAGCAATTCATTTTTAAATATTCAGAAGAAAACCATTAATCATTATTACATGTATTATTTGCCGGTTTCTATATAAAAGTTTTCAGTTAGCAGAAACATGTCTTGAGTTCACCTGGCACAGTTACTATTTTGGAAAATTGCAACTCTGTCTTTCTTGTTCTAATTAATGTTTCTGTATGCGTCATTCAGCAAAAAAATTTAATAATCTGTTCTCTGAATATTTAAATACAGTTATCCTCAAAATGCAAAATTATCATTAAAGCACAATTAGTGAAGGAGAATCAGGTTTAGTGTAACCATTGTCTAAAATGGTTCAGCAGCCTTTCTTCAGACAAGTAGATATATGTGATTTGTAAGACAATATTAAAGAAACAATACTGGTATTATTATAATTCTGTGCAATCAAAAGGGTTTAGTTATCTACTTACTTTAGTAGATAAATATATTAATCCAAGCCTTTGTATAGAAATAATAGTAGAACAACTTGCATAAAAATGAAAAGATTCTGTATACTTTCATATGAAGAAAAATATTTTAAAATATTATAAAATTATGATTAAAATATTGTAGAACAACTACAATCCAAAACAATCTGTTCAAAATATGTCATTATACTCTTTTCAGTAATTTCTTATTACCAGGTCCTTTGGTGTGGCAGCCCTCACTCTGCCACCCAGGATGTCTTGGATACTTGCAAAAGCCAGAATAAGAAGCACTATGTGTTAACCTCAGTTGAACATGCATATTTAAGTTTAATTACTTTCTTTCTGTAACAAAGAATTGAGTTTTTGAAAAGACTGTGGTGGTTTAATGGTGGAGTACTAGTTATTGACCCTCTTCATCCATAAAATGTCATTTTGAATGCAGTGTTTCAACTATATACAAAACTTAAATCCCTTTCAAAATAAATTGTCTATTTTTAAAAAATCTGAAATGAGAGTGCAATGTTCTTAAAATATATTATGTAACTGTTAAATGGTAATAGGAATGGGTATTTCTAGTATGTTTAGAATATATGGCACATATACACCATGGAATACTATACAGCCATAAAAAATGATGAGTTCATGTCCTTTGCAGTGACATGGATGAAGCTGGAAACCATCATTCTCATCAAACTAACAGGAACAGAAAACCAAACACCTCATCTTCTCACTCATAAGTGGGAGTTGAACAATGAGGACACATGGACACAGGGAGGGGAACATCACACACTGGGGCTTGTCTGGGGTGGAGGACTAGGGGAGGGCTAGCATTAGGAGAAATACCTAATGTAGATGACATGTTGATGGGTGCAGAAAACCACCACGGCACGTGTATGCCTATGTAACAAACCTGCACGTTCTGCACGTGTACCCTAGAACTTAAGGTTAAAAAAAAAGAAGAAGAAGAATATTAAGAATGACTGTATTTTCCAATTTACTCAAGAAATTGTGATTCTTCACATCTTCTTTAATGACTATTAATGTAGAAAGAAAAGATTACCTATCAGATTGTGCAGATAGGTTACCCGCTGAAAAGTGCACTATTGATATCAAAGGGGAAAACCAGGTAAACACAGTTAAAAATGTAAGTTTACAACACCCTGATTCAGAAAGTAGTTAAGTCATCATACAGAATTGATACAATATGATAAGATAACTTGAAAAAGAACTAAGTTATACAATGAAGGAAGAGGGTCAAGGATGGGTGGGAATTTTAAGTGAAATCAGGGATGAAATGAATGTATTTAACGAATGCCTCAAAATCTTGCAATGCTTCCCCAAGTTTCAGAGATAGTGGAAACTTTTTCTAAGAGCACCACTGAATTTAATCTTCACTATATGGATACAATTTATTATTTGTGGTATACCCCTCAATTTGTGCCACTTATTTGTTTTATTAGAAGTAATGTATGCCTTGTGTAAATAATATTAAATAGACAGAAGGATTTTTCAATAAGAATCAAGAATCATTTGCCCTAACTTGCCCTAATTATCCTCAGCCCCATTCCCCAATAATTGGTTTTAACCTTTTTTGGGAAATTTGAGAGGGGTTTTCTCTTGTGATTTCTTAGCATTTTAACTAACATGTTTAAGTCACTATCTTTTGATCCATCAACCTGAATATTCTGCTGTGTAACATACCATGCAAGATGAGTACTGAACTCAATTACACATTCAAATTACTGATTTTTCACATAATTTTATTTTTTAATCCTTCAAGTAATTTTTGAAGCTTGATTAACATACTTATAACTCTGTCTCTCATCCTGTCAAATTGTTATAGTATGTCCACACAATAAAAGCTGAATCCAAATTCATTTTATTACCACTAACAATTTGTTAGTGGCACTATGTGTACTTTTGGATGGCCAAATAAAAATATTAATAATGTAATAAAATTACAATAATGTAATAACAATAACAATACTGTAATGGTATGGTAATAATATAATAATAATAACAATAAAGTATATATTTTTATTAACCTCTTCTGACTTTGCCTTTACTGCATTCTAAATGTCTAATTAAAAATCAATATATTACTTGAACATTATTTAAATACAATTCCAGCAAAAGACAATGAAGATGCAAAAGTCATACCTCCATTCCTCCATGGATTCAATGAAAATAATTCTATGTTATTTAATGGAGAAATATATCTTAAGGGAAGGCAGTTTTATAAAAACATATTCAGTTTTCCAAAATCACTTGTGCCAAATTTGGGTGACAATTTTTTGTATGAAAATAGTTGCTGTTATGTTTTTTGTTATTTCTTTGTCATTATGTGGTTTATTCAATCTGAAAAAAAAGATATACTTTATTTTAGCAATATATATAAAATCTTCCAGGTTTTACTCACTTATTTTACTAATTTTAATTTATAACCTACTTCATTTAGAACATTCCTCTTAAAATATGTACATGTTGCAAATAAAAAGTTGTTTAATTATGGATTTTTTTAACATAATAGGGACATACTAATACATTCTCATTATAAAAAAGTGATAAAACAGATAAGGCAAAAACGTACCTGTGATTCCTGATTGCCACAGTTTTGGGTTTCCTCTCTGAAAGTAAACATGTGGTTATCATTAGGGCTTTTAAGTTTCTAGGCTTTTACATACAAATATAAATATATATGTGTAAACACATATGTCGTTCATGTGATGGTGGCCCACCCAGAATCTCCCTGTCAGACTACGGCCTTCATATTCCCAGTTGACTAACAGCTCTCAGCAGGATCTGTCTCCAGTAATCATCTTCTGCTGAATAGAGTCACCTCTTCTAAAGCAGTGTGCCCTTCTTGGATGCAGCCCGCATCTAATGACTATTTGTTGTGAAAATATAAAGGTCTTGGCTTGCCTCCATTTGGTGTATCTCTGAAGAGACTTCTCAGGTACAAAGATACCTGTGGAATTGGCTGAGGCTGTTGATCGACTCTGTGGAAGTTCACTGTCTTCCTGTGCCCAATTGTGTTGTATTTCTTATAGTCATTCACTCACATTTGTTGACCCTTGAAGAACTCCTCCCAAAACTTCTTGTATCAGAGTCTGTCTCTGTGTTCATTTCTTAAGGAACAAAATCTTAAAAAGTAAAAAATAAAAGTAAGCTGAAGAAACAACTGCAAAGCCAGAATTTGGAGCTAGATCACTCAGTGGTGGGCTGGCAATGAGAGGAAAGCACTGGTAGTAGGTGGAACAATAATAATCCTTGGCTTGTGGCAGTAGTTTCTAAAACGTTATTCTGTGGAACACTGGAATGGAATACCAGTTGAAAAAAAAATGCACTAATGGATAAAAGAAATGTAGAGTTTTTAGAGAAAAACTCTAATTATAAAAATCATGGGATTAGATAATAGTTTCCAGAGAAAAGTGATTTATTGAAGAAAGACAATGAAATGTTAAGGATGACTAATCACCAATTAAAGGCTATGAGTGAAAATGAGAAGAGCTTCTTGATAGCAGAAAGAGATTATCATTTCCTACAGCTAGAGGGCAAAAAATAGCTGATATTCAAGCCTAGGATTTAATTACAAACAGTCCCCAATTTATAGTGGTTCAATTTAAGTGTTTTCAACTTTACAATGGTATGGAAGTGATAAGCATTCAGTAGAAACAATATTTTGAGTACCCTTACAACCTTCTGTTTTCCACTTTCAGTACAGTATTCGATAAATTACATGAGCTAATCAATACTTTTTCATAAAATAGGCTTTATGTTAGGTGATTTTGCCCAACTGTAGGCTAACATAAATGTTCTGAGCATATTTTAGGTAGTCTAGGCTAAGCCATGATGTTTGATAGGTTAAATGTGTTAAATGCATTTCAACTTATATTTTCAACTTATGATGGGTTTATTGGTGCGTAACCCCAATGTGAGTCAAGTACCATTTGTATATGAATTAAGAGGTCTGAAGAAATGTGAATTCTCAGTCTTGACAAACACCAAGCAATCAGGTCTGATCAGGAAGAGCCAAGACCCTGAGTTTGTAGGCGTTAAGAAGGATTGAGACCCTGCGATGTGGGCATTTGCATGTGTGCATATAAAAATATTGAATCCTCAGATTTATTGTAAATGTGGTGCCTACAGAAGAGGTTCATTTTCCTAATAGCTTGTACTCCCCTACGAGCTTGAAGATGATGTAAAAATCTGGCTTACAAGACAACATGTGTTTTCTTCAAGGTAAAACCCATCTCCTTTCCTGTCCACCATTATAATTATGTCACATAATTACTCAAGCCAGATCACATAGTATCACTTCACATCTATAAAAAAAGAAAAGTGAAAGTCAATGTATCCTGGATGACTTTCAAGACCTAACCACCATGTAACAGCGGAAGCCCAGGGACTATACAAAGCACTGGGTCTGAAGGTGCTTGATCAAATGCTTGGAACATGGGGTAATAAGTGAATGTTTATCATTAGTAAAAAATTTCCCATGTTATAGCACTAATTTTTTGACAAGGACTTGTGAATTTAGTGCTACCATACTGTGAGAGTGGCTCTTGGAATCTTGGAGAAAGCAATGTTCCACATTAGGTGAAGCAGAAATAGAACAGCCATGGTATATGGTGGTAGAAGGGATTAAGAAAACTCAGGGAAGTTGACATGCTAGATTAGTGAAATTAGAGAGCTCACCAGATAACTGCATTCCATTTGAGGACATTAAAATTAGTCTATTCATAAAAGTGACGAGAAATGCTCTGGCAAGAAGGGTATAAGCATCACTGAGACCTACAGTGGTGCCTGTTTTCTATGTAGATGACTCCATGGATGGTAGGATGATGTAGTATTAGGCTCACCACTAGCAAAAGAAATAGAGAATTACAAAATAATAGAGGTCTACACAGCAGAGCTTAATTGTCAGAAGCAACCCATTACCATAATGAATAACGGCATTGTAACTGTGGCCAGAAACACTTGACCTGAAGAATTTTAAGGGAATGGTTATTGCAACATAATTGGGAATACAGATGGCTACCCAACAATAGTGTGTGTCTTAGTCCATTCCTGAAGCTGTAACAAAATGCCTTAGACTAGGTAATTTATAAATAATAGAAATCTATTTCTCACAGTTCTGGAGGATGGGAACCCCAAGATCAAGGTGCCAGCATATTTGATATTTGGTGAAGCCTCACCCACTACTCCATAGATGGTACCTTGTTGCTGCATTCTGACATGGCAGAAAAGACAAACAGCTCCCTTGCACCTCTTTATAAGTAACTAATCCCATTCATAAGGGCTCTGCCCTCATGATTTAATTGCCTCCTAAAGACCCCACCTCTTAATACTAACACACTGGTGATTAAGCTTCAACATACAAATTTTGGGGTGCCACACTCAGACCATAGCAGCATAGCAAATAAATAAATAAAATAATTGATAGGTTGAGAAGTGATTACTCAAGCCAAATCATTGACTTGAATCAGCTTTTATAAGAAAAAATAGAACTATCTAAAGAGAGGTTGGATCCTCAATCTCTAGGCACTAAAGTCCCTGCATCACAATAGCAAGTGTGTGTGATAGTGATTTATCCAATCCTTCCACCAAGAGACTCTACCAGACCATTTACTCAGAAAATGTGTGCTGGGGAAAGGGAACCATCTAAATATTTTGGGGATTATTGGACAGATGTTCCAAGTTGCCATTAATATCTAGGGATCTTATTCTTCACCTTTAACTCAAACAAATGATCTCAAAGGGGAAAAAGGGGGCAGGGTGGAGATACCTGCTATAAGCTCACCTTACTTCTTTTTACTCTTTCTGGAATACTTATTCTGTATGTTTTTGTTGTTGTTGTTACATCCACAGAAACATGATGCCTTTAAAATTATGATTTTTACACATGTATCTCATTTTTCAAATGGCTGTTAGTGGAAATTTTGACCTCCTATGACTGGTCACCTCCTAATTAGAGATAGATATTTCCCTTTGATTTATTTTGACTTTGAGCCAAATCAACTATCTTTTAAGCTGAAGGCCCATCTAGATTTTCACTCTCATTTTACTGGGATACATTATCAAGTATTTTATTCAGAAAAGATCTATCTATCTCTCTATCTTTTTATCTATCAATACTTTTTCTAAAGAAATTACTTTATGTACATATGAAAATATAAAGGATATATTTCTTACATATATAGTATATATATATATAACTATATATTTTTCTGAAGAAATTACCTGATACCTACATATACACATATTATATACAATTTTTTTCTGAAGAAATTACCTGATTTGTATATATAGGATATATAAATATAAATATATATACACACATATATATATACACCTATATATTTTCTGAAGAAATTACTTGAGAATTTATATACATATAAATACATGTAAATATATTTTTACATATGATAAATCTGTGTTTTAATAAGTGTCTAAAAATGTACTTATTTTTCTATATTTTCAGTTGATATTTCAGCTTGTAAAGATACAACATTCCTCCCTTGTCTGCAGTTTTGCTTTCTATGGCTTCAGTTACATCACAAAATATGTTGAGAGAGAGACACTATATTCACATAACCCTTAGTATTATACTTTTTCTAGCTTATTATTAGTTATTGTTGTGTTAATGGAAAAACCAAACTTTGTGAAATATTTTAGAGGTTTATTCTGAGCCAATATGAGTGACCACAGCCCAGAGAAAACACAAATTCAGGAAGCCTTGAGTAAATGATTCCAAGGCAGTCAGGTTACAGTTCGGTTTTATATGTTTTAGGGAGACAAGAGTTATAGTCAAAGACAAATCAACACGTGGAAAGTACACATTGGTTTGGCCTGAAAAGGTGGGATGTAGAAAGCTGGGACTTACAAGTCATAGGTCGATTTTAGGGATTCTTTAGCTGACAATTGGTTGAGAGAGTTAAGCTACTGTCTAAAGACGTGAAGTCAGTAGAAAGGAATGCTCCAGTGAAAATAAGGGGGTTGTAGAGGCCAAGGCCCATGATATGTAGATGAAACCTCAGAGGTAACTTTTACAACCCTTAGAAAGAATAGATGGTAAATATCTCTTTTCAGGTTTCCTAAGGTGTCACACTCTCCTAGATTTAGGAAAGATCTAAATAGGGGAGGCCTGGCTGAATTATTGGAGATTCTCCACAGATGCAAATTTCTCCCAGAAAACATGGCTATGCAGGCTCATTTTAATGGTGACAAAGAAACATATTTGGGGATAAAACACTTTTTATTCAGGGTCTGCTATCTGTCATGTCATGTGATGCTATACAAGGGTCAAGACTGAAGTAACCCACATTATACAAGATTAATAAAACACCTATTTAATGAGATTTTATGGTTTATAGGGTACAACTTACATTGGGGGAACCTGCCCCCAATATTTCAAAATAGGTTCTTTCTATTTTCCATAAGTGTCAGTCGGCTGGCTAAGAAATAAAGAGAAAGAGTACAAAGAGAGGAATTTTACAGCTGGGCCAGCTGGGGTGACATCACATACTGGTAGGACCATGATGCCCACCTGAGCCCCCAAACCAGTGAGTTTTATTATGGATTTCAAAAGGGGAGGGGGTGCAAGAACAGGGAGTAGGTCACAAGATCACATGCTTCAAAGGGCAAAAAGGAGAACAAAGATCATATGCTTCTGAGGAAACAGGACCAGGGCAAAATCAGAAACTCCTGATAAGGGTCTATGTTCAGCGGTGCACGTATTGTCTTGATAAACATCTTAACAGAAAACAGGGTTCGAGAGCAGAGAACCAGTCTGATCAAAAGTTTACCAGGCTGGAATTTCCCAATCCTAGTAAGCCTGAGGGTACTGCAGGAGACCAGGGCATATTTCATTCCTTATCTCAACGACATAAGACAGGCACTCCCAGAGCGCCCATTTATAGACCGCCCCCCAGGATTGCAATTCTTTTCCCAGGGTCTTAATATTAATATTCCTTGCTAGGAAAAGAATTTAGCAATATCTCTCCTACTTGCATGTCCATTTATAGGCTCTCTGCAAGATGAAAAATATGGCTCTTTTTGCCCAACCCCACAGGCAGTCAGACCTTATGGTTATCTTCCCTTCTTCCCTAAAATCACTGTTATTCTGTTCTTTTTCAAGGTACACTGATTTCATATTGTTCAAACACACATACAATCAATTTATACAGTTAACACAATTATAGTGGTCCTGAGGTGATGTACATCCTCAGCTTACGAAGATAACAGGATTAAGACATTAAAGTAAGACAGGCATAAGAAATTATAAGAGTATTATTAAGGAAGTGATAAATGTCCATGAAATCTTCACAATTTATGTTCCTCTGCTGCAGCTCCAGCCAGTCCCTCCATTCGGGGTCCCTGACTTCCCACAACAGACTTAACCATTGCCTTTCATGTCCTTAGATCTTGTTTATTATTTGGTATCTTATTGCTATAAAGAGTCTGCTTTGTCAGTCTTTTGATCTTTTACTTTAACCTTAATGCGGGAAGGGAATATAACAAGGGGTGTATGAACCCCTTCCCATCATTGCCAGGAATATAGTTTTTCAGGTTTCTCTGGAGTCCGTTGGCCAAGGGGTGATCCATTCAGTCGGCTGGGAAGCTTAGGATTTTATCTGTGGTTTACAGCTGTTCATCTCTTACTCTATGTAATTTATAGATTGAACTTTATCATAGTTATGTATGTATAGGAAAATACCTCATATATACAGGGTTTGGTATTATCTACAGTTTCAGGCATCCACTGGGAATCTTGGAATACATCTTGCATGGATAAGGTGGGACTACTCTCTCTCTCTCTCTCTCTCTCTCTCTATATATATATATATATATATATAAATAATATATATATAAATAATATATATATATAAACATATATGTCAATATAATTGCATGCCTGTATCCCAGTTGCTCTGGAGATAATTAATACAATCTATCAAACTATCTATCTATCTGTCTATCTATCTATCTATCTATCTATCTAGTCTCAGAACTTAGAATTTATGGCTCTTTTTCTTTTTATTCTATTGTCTACATATTTAAATCTTATTTCTCATTTATTTTGTATTTTTCATTTTGTATTATTAACTGCTCATTCCCACTGCAAAATTTTAAGACTAATTTTAGTTTTCTTTTTATTTACACTGTTTTATTTTCAATGGATCTTTTATTTCTGAAAATGTAGGAGGATCTGAAAATGTAGAAGAATAAACCTTTGTTTATTCTTGTCTTGATAGGTTCCACCTCCATTTTCTTTCTCATTAATTGCATTCTTATTAGATGAGTGTTGTATATCCTGAATAGTTTTTATATTTCTAATTTTATCTCATATATTGCAACTATTTGTGATTTGCTCTGTGATTTGAGAAATATTATCAAATTTAATCTCCAACAGAGATTGAATTTTTGTTATTTCTAAACATTAAGACAAATTCTCAAGGGCATTTTCTTATTGTTAATTCTTCTTAATTTGATAGATAGCAATTTGCTCTTGATTTTCAGAATTACCTCAAAATTTTTCCTTTTGGATTTATTTTATTATTTATTTTATGTTATTAAATTTGTTATTTCATGAATTTCCTTCATATGCATATTAATCCTGGGTTGTCTATTGTTTTATGTGGTAAAAATTTGGTCTGATTTCTCTGCTGTATAAGTGGATCTTATGTACAATTAGCATTTTAACAAAATGAGAAGAATGACAGAGGTCTAAATGTGCCTGGGGCTTGTTGGTTACCTGATAAGTTTCTAATTTAGATTTTAAGAGAAGCTTTTCCTACAAGGTATACAGAGAGGCCTCTCAAAGTTCAGAATCAGGAAGTTATTTTTCTTTAGGGAGTCTATTTCCACTGATAGTTATTTGTTTAATAGTTTATTTTCCCCATGATACATTTTCAATTCATTTAGTGATCATTCTGTTAACTTTGGTTTGATGTAAATGTTAACCTTAGATGTTTTATAATTGCCATTTCCTGCTGTCCATCTTTAGTATCTCCTAACTGTAAACTTAACTTTGCAACAATTCCTTCCATAGATCATGTCAAATACTTTTCAGATACTATCTTATTTAAGCCTCAAATTAATTATCAATCTGATATTTGGGTGAAAGAACTGAGGCTTAATATGTTGACTACCTAAGTTTGGATTTGAATATAGGTATTATGATTCCAAAATCTGCACTTTTTACCACTAGAATATAGCATCATTCATTTTCCATTGTAATGCTTTCCTGCTTTTCATGACAGCTACTTCCACACTTATTTATTTATTATTATGTTTTTCTTCCAAACGAGTTATACTTATTTTATTTTGATATGACTTTATTTGAAGATTGGCAATATTACTATTGGCTGAAAAAATTATACAAAAATATTTTTGTTCATGTTACATATAGTTAAGCAATATGCATTCTTAATAGCTTTATCAATGTGTCTACTGATGATTATTATTTTATCATTATTATTATTATTAAAATATTATTTTGAGACATAGGGTCATCCTCTGTTACCCATGCAGTGGTGTTATCATAATGCACTGTAATCTCAAACTCCCAGGCTCAAGTGATCCTCCCAGCTCAGCCTTCTGAGCAACTGGGATACAGGCATGCAATACCAGGTGACAATAATTTTTTTTAAATGCAGATCTTATGTTTACATGCAGACATTCCTTGACAACTCAGAATGGAGATAATGTGGGAAATATGCATGGTATTGTTAAAGGAGTTATTAAGCAATCATTTTAGGCTGATAGAGAGGAAAAGGGGTCCTTAGGAAGTTTGTTTTTTTAATTGCAGCTCCAGGAAGGTTTCTTGTCTAGCAGGAAAGCCTGGTTCTTAGAGTCAGGCCGGCAAGCCTTGATATGCAAATATAGGCCATTAGAGACTGGCTCCACCAAAACATGGCAATTCTCACCATCTTCTTCTTGCCCCCACATGTGCCTGACAACATGGCCGTATCCACATATCCCTAGGTTTGTAGAACATCAGGGCACCCTGCATTTGCATATTAAAGGCTAAGGTGGGAGGGCCAGTTTTTTCACGGGCTACCTGAATGACATGCCTGGTCAAACCAATCCCCTGAGCCCTATGCAAATCAGACACCGCCTCCTCCAGCCTCCTCATGTAACTGGCTGTCTTCCCTGCCCTCAGGGTTTCCTCTCTCCGCTTGGAGCCCCTCTCCCTCTGTCTATGTATGGGGCAGCGACTTCCTTCTTTCTTGCCTATTAAACTCTCTGGTCCTTAAAATCACTCCACGTGTGTCCATTTCGTTTTACCTAAATTGGTGCGAGACTGAGGACCCCGGTGTTCCTCCAGTCATCGGAGCCGTATCAGTGTTTTATCCTGTGCTTTTTCTAGCCTTTTCAGTTTTTATAAAAGCATCCTTAACTTTATAGAACCAGCATATCTAGTCAGGAACATGAGGCAGATTTCAACAAACAGCAGAAGAGAGCTGCACTCCAGGCATTAGCCAGGGGGGATAATTTCAAGCCTACAACCATTCGGTGTTTATCAAAAGCTTAGTTCAAAGAAACAATATGTGTGGAGGATTGCCTGAAGGATGTAAAAATCATGTATTCCTCTGGTTTCTATGAAATGTACCTCTAGGTTTTCCCACCTTCAGAGTGGTGTATCATATTGTTCTTATAGCATATAGCCTTTGATCAAATTATGCTTTCATGAGATGTCATCGACCCATGTGGAGGAACTCTCTAAGAACTTGTATTAAGAAATCGTACTATATTTTTAGTAAAGATTATGTTCATTATAGCATAGAATGTTCTGTTTTTTGTATTTTTAAGATTTCTTTTTTTGAAGACCAAGAATGGTTATGTCATAACTTTGAAAGTTATACTGTGTTCAAACTTTTAAACTACTTTTCTAAATGTTGGCTGATAGAATATGAACTTTTTAAAAGAGGTGCAATGTGGCTAGGAATAACAACAATATATTCAGATACTAATACCCTTGCCACACCCTGCCCCATATATTTGTTCATAATACAATCCAGTAATTTACTTACGTTATTTCACTTATATCCCTAAGAGGATTATGCAAACAGATTTTTTTTTTTTTTTTTGCACAAAGATACTCTTTCAAAAAGATTTATTAAACTTGGTGGATAAATTCAAACCAAATAAGTAAGAAACTGTTTCGAGCATAGCTAAACATTATGCTGGATATATAGCAAGCTCATTCAGTGCTCATCGATTGTTATTTAAATAATTCTTAGAGTTAATTCATTTAAAAATATTAAAAATAGCTTGCTTTTTAAAAAAAATTTTGGTGGATAATAAGCCATTGCTAATTAATGGGCTATTTATATCATGACACTACACAATGCTATCACTAATATATATGCAATGTTTTCCAATTTATATTCTTAATAGATTTTTTATTGCTCACTTTTCCCTAATTAATAGAGCAATGCATGCAATATTCTTTCTTGCTTCTGAATGTGCCGGTTGTAGAGCAAGGGAAAGAGAAAATGAAGGTATGTACCAAAATTGGTGCCTTAATGTATCTTAGTCAAATTTAGAAAACTAGTCCTCTGTGAATAAATTAGTTTTAATATAATTTTATGTATATTTGCTAAACATGCTTAATATTAAAGCCACTTACTGAATGCTGTTCACAATTACTAATGTAATACAATTTTATTGAACATTACACACATTTTTCTAATGGTGCTTAGATAAGGAAAATCTGCAACTTTAATCTTAGGATAAGGCAAAGAAAGGAAAAAAGAGCCAAGAATTTTTCTCATATATTTAGATTGTGTTCTTTAAAGAATTGAAGAAAAACACTGGCTGACTTTTTCTAAGCTCTACTTTTAGTGTATGACTTTATTAATATTTATAACTTGAATTAGTTCTCTTTTTAAGATAAAAAAATGAAACAGCTTTGAAAACCTACATTGAACCAACTCTTCCACAATATTTCTTTCTAAGACTAGACAAATGTTGTAATGGCTTGAGATGTAAATATTTACGTAAACTGCATACCTTTTTTCTCTTAATATATTTGTTGACAATTAAATTATTGAATTAAAAAAGCAAACAAAACCATATAGAAGCATAAAAAATCCTATATTGACTGTTTTATGGCTTTTTGAAGATGTATGCTATATTTTTGCAGGAGAAATTTTAAAAAAACATTTCATCCAAATCTTGGGAAAGGAGACATGACAAAACTATTCAGCTGCATGTATAGAATCATGTTCAAGTCTGTAGACTGAACTAATCACTATGTAGGATCAATGACTACATTCTGTACCAGAGATAAGCAACATATTATATTAATGTCATGTAAATATAGAGTCCAACCATCTAATAAATTGCTTCACTAGGCATCGTATTCAGTTTTATTAGAAACCCTGGTTCAGCATAGTGCATCTGTTTTACACTAAACATATAAACTATATAATATAGTTATGTATATAATTATATTATAATCAGATGTTGGTGTCAAAATATATGGTACTGTCTATATTTCAGTTAATAATATATTTTTTTCTTGCCATGAGATTTCTTTAATTCCCAATTAACAAAACTTCAGTTTTTCTATCTGGAATGTTATGTAACAAAAATAACAAAAGGAGGTCTCATAACATAAGCCATGAAAACTTACATTTAAAAATAAAAAATATGTATATATTCAAAAAGGTAAAGCCAAACGTTACACAGGGAGAAGTAGCAACATTTTTTAAACAGATTAAAAAATATAGAGAAAATTCAGTAAATGGTTAAAAGAAATAACAGAATTATATATAAATACAATTCATTTGTTAGAATAATACTATGTACTAATAACAACTCTCATACAATTGCTAGAAATCATTGTAGAACCCTAGCATTAGAGCACCTTGCTACAAAATAATTCCAAATTTCAGGTGAAAATGTATTAATCTCTATCTCTATAAATTATAAGATGTCTATCTGGTTTTAGAAACGTCTACTGTGTTTATCTACAGAGGCCCAAAGAAATTACATGGAGGGTTGAGTTAAATGATTATATATTACCAAGACTAAGTAAAAATACACCGAAATGTATGTAAAATTTATAGTAAATTTATTGCCTAAGCAGAAGATTAGATATACTAATGAATTATTAAGGAAAATGTGACCATCTATCTTACCACAGAGTCTTAATCTAGTGATAATTTACTTTGTTTCTGTTTTTGGAAAAAGTATTTAAAAATACTTAAGTAAGAGTTACCTGTTTGTCAATTTTGTAAGCATTGAAAATTGTTACTTATGTAACCCTGCTTTAAAACCATATAAGGATGAAATCATTTTATAGGTAGCAAATAAACTCTACAATTAGCTTTGTTAAATAAATTTTACTACATTATTCAGCACTACCAGTGTTGATTATAATTTCTCACAAAACTGTTTAATCAAATCCTGAAATTTTTGTTTTTTCTATAAAGTTCATGTTACTACTATTTGGAAGATGGTTCTGCAAATACCTCTAAGCTGGAATAATTTTATATCAGTGAACTAAATTAAAGTTAAACTATTTTCTTTTTTTCAACTAAAACTAAATTCAAGTAATTATGGTTTTATCTAATATGTTCTATAATTTAATAGTTATGTGATTCATTTTTATTATGTGATGACCAGAGAAAATAATATAATAGCTCCAAAAAAATTAAATGTTTTTAATACAAAAATAATTAAATTACATTATTCAGACTGAGACAATATGATGCATATTGGACATATATACAATATAAATTATTATATTGCCTTTTAATTTACTTTAATTTCAAGTAAATTTTATAGGAACACTTCAAATATCTCTTTCATTTTTCAGCAGGAAAATAAGATTTTTAAAAATAAAATTGATTTGCTATTTTATGCTGTCATATTTAGTATTTTAGACAATTTTGAAGCTGCTTAGTAAATGTTCATTTCTGACAAAATTGCTGGCTCAGTTGCCAGTATGCTTCATAAGATAATAAAATATAGATGGAGTAATATTTAAGTATCTGTATCTATTATGGAGAATTGCCTTCTGGAGTCATGCATTATTAAAAGTTTCTAACAAGTTATAATGGATGTAAGATAATAGAATATCATGTATAGCAAGTGATTTAAAAGATAATCTCACTGTGCTTGTCAATGGTTTAAAATGTAGATAATAGAGAAGTATAAAAACATTAGGTACAAAGTTTCTTATGTATCCAAGCTGTTAAAAGTTTTTGTTTGTTTGTTTGTTTGTTTTTTCCTTCATCTAATAGTGGCAGGGCATAGTGGCTGACACCTGTAATCCCTGCACTTTGGGAGGCTGAGGTGGGAGAATTGCATGAGCCCAGGCATTTGGGACCAACCTGGACAATATGGTGAGAACTCGTCTCTACAGAAAACAAACAAACAAAAATAATACTAGAATAAAATAAAATTTATTTCTCATGTCTATTTTAATGAAATGAATGGTTTTTAAGCATAATCAATTTTTGGCATTTGCCATACTTTAATATTGCTTAGTTATGTTGGCATCACAAATATTTTCTTGAATTCAATGCAATTTTATACAAAAATAAATATAATAAAAGAGTTTGTTTAGTCATGTAATCAAATTGTGATGATCACATGGCTTTAATATACAGGCATGCCTCATTTTATTGGGCTTCACTTCATTGCACTTCACAGACATGGAGTTCTTATAAATTAATGATCTGTGGCAATCCTGCATCTAGCATGTCTGTTACAGTAGGCAGATAGCTAGACAGGCGCAGGAGGGGGAGCCCTTGAGAAATGGGAAGTCAGGAAAATTTTACACCCCAGAGGCCACCCGAAACGTGCATGCATTCCTGTGGGGGAGGTAATGAACAATGCCGCCATTAAGTAGAATTTGTGTGCAACACCAGGCCCACACAGGCACATCAACTGACAGTAAGGGAGAATCTCACAAACCTGGGGCAGGAACTAGGCAGAGGAAGGTGTGACTTAAGGCAGAAGTGGGAAACCAGATGATATGGTTTGGCTCTGTGTCTCCACCAAATCTCATCTGGAATTGCAATCCCCACGTCAAGGAAGGGACCTGGTGGGAGGAGATTGGATCATAAGGGCAGTTTCCCCCATGCTGTTTTCATGATAGTGAGGGAGTTCTCACAAGATCTGATGGTTTTCATTTTTGTTTGTTTATTTTTTGAGACAGAGTCTCACTCTGTCATCCAGGTTGGAGTACAATGGCAGGATCTCAGCTCATTGCAACCTCCGCTTCCCCAGTTCAAGTGATTCTCCTGCCTCTGCCTCCCAAGTAGCTGGGATTACAGGCATGCACCACCACACCCAGCTATTTTTGTATTTTTAGTGGAGATGGGATTTCACCACGTTGGCCAGGCTGGCCTCGAACTCTTGACCTCAGGTAATCCACCTGCCTCGGCCTCCCAAAGTGCTGGGATTACAGGCAAGAGCCACTGAGCCCAGGCGATCTGATGGTTTAAAAGTGGCAGTTTCCCCTGTGGTCTAGGTCTGTCTTTCTCATTCTCTCTCTCTCTCTCTCTCTCTCTCTCTGTCTGTCTCTCTCCTGCTGCCTCATGAAGAAGGTGCTTGCTTCCCCTTCATCTTCCATCATGATTGTAAGTCTTCTGAGGCCTCCCTAGCCATGTGAAACTGTGAGTTAATTAAACTTCTTTCCTTTATAAATTACTCAGTCTCAAGCAGTTCCTTATAGCAGTGTGAAAATGGCCTAAGACACTAGACAAAGAAAAAGGTGGAGACTTGAGACAGAGGCAAGAACTTAAAGATCAGAATCCGGCATAATAAAACTGCAGTGCAGAACTCCGCAGCTGCTGGCTCATTCTCTTTTGAACAGCCCACTCTGCCTTGTCGATCAGAGTATACTTTCTCCACTATTACTTAACCTTTGCGGCTACTACTGCTGTTTTCTAGACAGACCAGCCTGTTACTCTCTTAGCAAGGACTTCCTTCAGTAAACTCCCTGCTGTTTATTTTCCTCCCATAAACCTTTGTTTGCATTACTGATTGGTCTCTTGTCCGATTCTTTCTCACAAGAAGACTGAGAACTGAGGATTCCTACATTTCCTAGTAACATATCAGCACCATTTTTTTTCTAATATCATGTGGTCACTTTGTGCCTCTGGCAATTGTCTCCATAGTTCCATTTTTAATTATTATTATATTTCTTAGAGTGATCATAATGTATGATCTTTGATGTTACTATTGTAGTTGTTTTGGGATGTCATAGGTCGCACCTGTATAAGATGGCAAACAATTAAAAGATGTTGTGTTCTGAGTTCTCCAACTACTGGCTGTGCTCCCCCCTCTCTTCTGCTTCTTGGGCCTCCCTATTCTCTGAAGCACAACAATATTGAAATCAGGCCATTTAATAGCTATACAATGGCCTCTAAAGTGCACATCTCTCACTTTAAATCAAAAGCTGTAAAAGATTAAGCATCCTCAGAATGAGTGTGAAAAGCCAAGAAAGGCCAAAAGCTAGGCCTCCTGTGCCAAATAGCCAAGTTTTGAATGCAAGAGAAAAATCTGAGGAAAATTCAAAGTGCTATTCTAGTGAACACACATATGATAAGAAAGCAAAACAGCCTAATTGCTGATTAGGCAAAAGTTGTAGTGGTATGAATAGAAGATAAAACCAACCATAACATTTTCTTATGCTAAACCTAATCCAGACCAAGGCACTAGTGCTCTTTAATTCTAAGAAGGCTGACAGATTATCAGGAAGCTGCAGAAAAAAAAAAATATATATATATATATATATTTGAAAGTAGCAAATGTTAATTCATGAAGTTTAAGAAAAGAAGCTATCTAACAAAAAAGTGCAAGGTGAAGCAGTAACTGCTGATGGAGAAACTGCAGCAAGTTATCCAGAAGATCTAGCTAAAATAATTGATGATGGTAGCTACACTAAGCAATGCATTTTCTTCACAGACAAAATAGCCTTATTATTATTTTTTAATGTGCTGTTGGATTCAGTTTGTTAGTATTTTGTTGAGGATTTTTCTATCTGTGATCATCAGGAACTTTGGCCTGTCCTTCTCTTTTTTGTTGTATCCTTGTCCGATTTTGGGTATCAGGGTAATGCTGACCTCATAGACAGATTAAGGACAATTTGCTCCTCTTCGATTTTTTAGAATAGATTATGGACAATTAGTTTAGTTCTTCATTATGAGTTTGTTAAAATTTGACAGTGAGTCTGTCCAGTCCTGAACTTTTATTTGCTGAGTTTACTACTGATTCAATCACATTACTCATTATTAGTCTATTCAGGTATTTTATTTATTACTGATTCAATCCTGATAGGTTGTGTGTATCCAAGATTTATCTATTTTCTCTAGATTTTGCAATTTGTTAATTTACAATTGTTTATAGTAGTCTCTGATGAGTTTTGAATTTCTGTATGTCAGTTGTAATGTCTCTTTGTTTCTGAATTTATTTGATTCATGTCTCTTTTTTTTGGTTTGGTTAGTCTAGATAGCAGTTTATCAATTTTGTTTATCTTTTCAAAAAGCATGCTTTTTATTTTGCTGATTTTTTATTTATTTTGTTTAGTTATGCTCTTTTATTTCCTTCTACTAATTTTCAGGTTTTTTTTCTTGATTTTCTAGTTGTCTGAGGTGCATTGTTATATTGTTCACTTGAAATCATTCTACTTTTTATGTAGGTATTTATTGCTATAAATTCCACTTTTAGCATTTCTTTTGCTGTATCCCATAGGTTTTGATATGTTGTGCTTCCAAGTTTATTTGTTTCAAGACATTTATTAATTTTCTTCTTACTTTATTGATCCAGTGGTTGCTCAGGAGCATGTTTCTCATTTTCCATGTTCACATTTTTATTTCTGGTTTTATTCCATTGTCGTCTGGGAAGAATCTTGGTATAATCTTGATTTTTAAGTAATGTATTGGGATTTATTTGTGTCTTACATATGGTCTATGTTGGAGACTATTCCATGTGCTGATGAGAAGAGTATGTATTCTATAGCTGTTACATAAACTGTTCTGTAGGTATCTATCAGTCCCATTTAGTCTGAAGTGCAGTTTAAATTCAATTTTACTTTTTATTTTTTTTTTTTATCCAGATGATCTGTCTAATGCTGAGAATATAGTGTGGAAGTCCCCAAGTATTATTGTATTCAAGTTTGTCTCTCTCTTCTAGATCTAGAAACACTTGCTTTCTATATCTGGGTACTCTAAAGGCTGGGTGTACACGTAGTTAGAATTGTTATGTCGTCTTGTTGAGTTGGTCCCTTTATTATGGACTTGTCTCCTTTTACTGTTTTTGACAAAACGTCTGTTTTGACATAGCTACCCTTGTTTACTGGTGGATTCTGTTTCTTTGGAAAATCTTGTTTCAATCCTTTACTTTCAGTCTACTTGAGTCTTTACAGGTGATATGAGGTTTTGTAAGCAGCATTTAGTTGGGTCATTTTTTAAAATCCCTTCAATTAGTGTATATTTTTTAAGTGAAAAATTTAATCCATTTTTATTGAAGGTATTTACTGGTATGCAAGAACTTATTCCTTTCAATTGTTAATTGTTTTCATGTCATTTTGTATATTTTTTGTTTCTTCCTTTCTCTCTTATTGTTTATCATTGCAGTTTGTTATTTCCTGTAATGGGAATATTTGAGTTCTTTCTCTCCATGTGTGTGTTTGCAATACCAGTAGTTTTATACTTTCATATGCTTTCCTGATGACAGATATCTTCCTTTTGCTTTCAGGTGTAAGACACCCTTAAGCATTTCTTGCAGGACTAGTGTAGTGGTGATACATTTCCTTAGGTTTTGCTTGCCTGGGAAATATTTTATTTCTCCTTCATTTATGAAGGATAACTGTACTGGGTATAATATTCTTGAGTCATCATTATATTCCTTCAATACTTTGAATATCATCCCATTCTCTACTGGTCAGTAAGTTTCCTGCCAAACAACTTGTTGTTAGTCTAATGGGGGTTTCCTTATATGTTACTCAATGCTTTGCTCTTGCTGTTTTTAGAATTCTTCATCTTTGACTTTTGACACTATGGTTATAATATGCCATGGAGAATTTCTGGGTTTTTATCTGTTTGGGGATATCTCAGCTTCCTGCATCTTAATGTCTAAATCTCTTGCTAGATTTGGAAGCTTTCAATTATTATTTTATTGAATTCGTTTCCTATTCATTTGGTTTTCTCTTTGACTTCTAAGATGCCAAAATATTTGGTTGCCTTATGGTGTCCCATATGTTATACAGGGTTTTTCCACATTTACTTTTATTTTTTCTGTATTTTCGCCTCATTGGTTTTTTCAAAAGACCTACCCAAATTCTGAAATCTTTTCTTCTGCTTGATCTAGTTTATTGTTGAAGCTGTCAAATACATTTTTATATCATTCATTGAATTCTTCACTTTTACAGTTTCTGTTTAGTTCTTTTTATGATATCTATGTCTTTGGTGAATTTCTCATTTATATCCTTAATTTTTTTTTCTGATTTCTCTGTCTTGTTCACCTCTGTTCTTTGGTATCTCACTGAGCTTATTTAACATTATTATTTTGAATTTTTTTAACATTTTATAAATTTTTTTTTCATTGGAATCTATTGCTAGAGAATTACTGTGTTTTTTTGGAAATGTTATCTTTCCTTGCTTTTTAATCTTTCTTCTGTTCATACGTTGATATCTGCATATCTGGTTTAACAGTCCTTTCTTCCACTTTTTTGGATTGGCTTTTTTAAGGGAGGCCTTTTTCCTGCATATTTATCTATTGTGTTTGTTAAATATGATAATTCATCATTTATTCTGGGTGCATGTGGTGTGTATTCTTTGTATGATTTCTTTGGCTTTAAGCAATGCTGATGATGTATGTGATTTCCACAGTGGCTTAGGCTGTGGTCGTTAGTGAAGGCTTTGGGTGAAGTTTTGCTGGGAATGGGAACACTAGGTGAGCCAGTCCTCAGGCTTGAATAGTGGCATCAGTGGGTCAAGCGTTCCTGTCCGTGGGCCCCAGGTGGCATACATGTGGACCAGTGTTGGTGGGTCTAAGTGGGCCAATTCTGAGGCCTCTAGGTGGTTTTCTTGGGTGTTTTGCAGTGATAGTGCTGAGGTAGCAAGGGGTTGGGCCTTAAGCTTTGGGCAGCAAGCATGTTGCAGGCAATGGCCAAAGCAGTGGTTGGAAAACCCTAGGCTCCCATACGGCATGAGCTTGTGTTATTAGTGGCTATTGGATAGGCCAGTCCTCAGGTCCTCAGGTGGCTTGTGCAGGTTGTGGCTGTGGTGGTAGTAGAAGCAGGGAGGGGCCCATCCTCAGGTCCCTGGTAGGAATACATAGATATCAGCATGAGGTGCATGAGCTACATGGGTTGGGGTGATACAAAGGTGCCTGGGCAGTATGCTTTTGTACTGGGGCTTGGGAGGTGATGCCAAGCTAGCTGAGCCGATACTTAGGCCTCTTAGCAGTGCAAATGGATAGGGGATATGGTGGGCATTGTTGCATGATTCCCGTGGCCCCTGGTAACATGTGTGGATGGTGAAAATAACACTAACAGTGGACAGAAAGAGCCAATCCTCAGGACTTGTGCAAATGTGTGAGGGCCCTGCTGATAGTGGAAGCAGTGTTGTTCTCAATGGCAGTGACCACAGACAGTCAGATTTCAGGATCTGGAGAGTGGGCACTCTGGTTCCCTTTGTCTCAAGGGCAGCATCCCTGGTGCATAGCACTGCCCATTCTCCAGGGAGCAGGACAATATGTCTGCTAGACTGCAGGGGACTCTACATCTAACAGGCATTATGTGACTGCCAGCCTCTGGATGAATGCAGGGTGATTTTAGTGGTGCCTGGGGCCATGGAGTGGCAGCGGTTGTTGGGCCATAGGGCAAAATGAAGTCTGGTGGGGACCAGGCCCTCAAAATGGTGCCATGCATAAGCTGCTTAGTACTTGTGGTGTTTGTGGGAACTAGCACGAGCTCCCTTTCTGGGACAATGCTGCTGTGTGGTCTCCAGGCATCTCTCTATGCTATTCTAATGGCCTGCAAGGTTGGAGGGGCTCTTCCATGGCTAGAGTTGTAAGATTCTATGGTGGGAATATGAACTGCAGGGAATCTCCCATTCACTCTTTCCCCACACTGGGGAGCTTCTTCAGGTTCCCAGCCAATCCCAACTGAGATGGCTTTCTCACTCATTTCTCCTTTTGTGCCTCGGTTGTTTCCTTTTGCTTCTCTGTTAAATTTCAGTGTTCTGTCTTAGATGCTCTGTATTAGTCTGTTTTCATGCTGCTGATAAAGACATACCTAAGACGGTAATTTATAAAGAAAAAGAGGTTTAATGGACTCAGAGTTCCACGTAGCTGGGGAGGCCTCACAATCATGTTGTAAGGCAAAAGGTACCTCTTATATGGCAGCAGGCAAGAGAAGTGAGAGCCAAGTGAAAGAAGAAACCCCTTATAAAATCATCAGATCTTATGAGACTTATTCACTACCACTAGAACAGTATGGAGGAAATCACCCCCATGATTTGATTATCTCCCACTGGGTCCCTCCTACAACACTTGGAATTATGGGAGCTCCAATTCAAGATGGGATTTGGGTGGAGACCCAGCCAAATTTCTTATGCCACATACTATGAATAGTGTCCCTCATTTTCCCTCCCATGAAATCATTCCACCACTGGCCCATCCCAAATCTCATGTCCTCACATTTCACAACCAATCATGCTCTCCCAACAGTCCCCCAAAGTCTTAACTCATTTCAGCATTAACTCACAAGTACACATCCAAAGTCTCATCTGAGACAAGGCAAGTCTCTTTCACCTATGAGCCTGTAAAATCAAAAGCAAGTTGTTACTTCCTGGATACAATGGGGATAAGGCTTTGGATAAATACACCTATTCCAAATGAGAGAAATTGGCCAAAATGAATAGACTAAAGACCCATGCAAGTCCAAAATCCAGCAGGGAAGTCATATCTTAAAGCTCCCAAATGATCTCCTTTGACTCCATGTCTTATATGCAGTCATGCAAGAGGTGAGTTCCCACGGCCTGGGGAAGCTCTGTCTCTGTGGCTTTGCAGAGTACAGCTTCCTTCTTGGTTGCTATTGTAGAGTGCCTGTAGCTTTTCCAGGAGCATGGTGCAAGCTGTCAGTGGATCTGCCATTCTGGATTTGGGAGGATGGTGGCCCTCTTCTCATAGCTCCACTAGGTAGTGCCCCAGTAGGGACTCTGTGTGGGCTTCAACCCCTTATTTCCCTTTCACACTATCCTAGCAGAGGTTCTCCATGAGCTCCTCTCCCCTGCAGCAAACTTATGCATGGACATTTAGTCACTTCCATACATGCTCTGAAATCTAGGCGGAGGTTTCCAAACCTCAATTCTTGACTTCCGTGCACCCGAGGTTCAACACCACATGGAAACTGCCAAGGCTTGTGGCTTGTACTCTCTGAAGCCACAGCCCAAGCTGTACCTTGGCCCTTTTTAGCTGTGGCTAGCGTGGCTGGGATGCAGGGCACCAAGTCGCTTGGCTGCATACAGCAGGAGGTCCTGGGCCCAGCCCATGAAACCATTTTTTCCTTCTAGGCCTCTGGGCCTGTGATGGAAGGGCCAGTTGCAATGGTCTCTGACATGTGCTGAAGACATTTTGCCTGTTGTCTTTGTGATTAACATTTGGCTTCTTGTTACTCATGCAAATTTCTGCAGCTGGCTTGAATTTCTCCTCAGAAAATGGGATTTTCTTTCCTATCAATATTGTCAGGCTGTAAATTTTCTGACTTTCATGCTGTTTCCCTTTTAAAACTGAATGCTTTTAACAGCACCCAAGTCACCTCTTGAGTACTTTGCTCCTTCGAAATTTCTTCCACCAAATATTCTAAATCATCTCCCTCAAATTCAAAGTTGCACAGATCTCTAGGGCAGGGGCAAAATGCCACCAGTCTCTTTGCTAAAACATAGCAAGAGTCACCTTTACGCCAGTTCCCAGCAAGTTCCTAATCTCCATCTGAGACAACCTTAGCCTGTATTTCATTGTCCTTATCATTATCAGCATTTTGGTCAAAGCCATTCAACAAGTCTCTAGGGAACTCCAAACTTTCACACATTTTTCTGGCTTCTGAGCCCTCCAAATTTTTCCAGCCTCTGCTTGTTACCCAGTTCCAAACTTGCTTCCACATTTTTGGATACCTTTACAGCAGTGTCTCAAGCTACCAGTACCAATTTACTGTATTAGTCTGTTCTCACACTCCTGATAAAAACATACCTGAGACTTGGTAATTTATAAGGAAAAAAAAGGTTTAATGGACTCGCAGTTCCACATGGCTGGGGAGGCCTCACAATCATGGTGGAAGGCAAAAGACCCATCTCACATAGCAGCAGGCAAGAGAGAATGAGAGCCGAGTGAAAGAAGAATCCTGTTATAAAACCACCAGATCTTGTGAGACTTATGAGGACAGTATGGGAGAAACAGCCCCCATGATTCAATTATCTCCCACTGGGTCCCTCCCACAACACATGGAAATTATGGGAGCTAAAATTCAGGATGGGATTTGGGTGGGAACACAGCCAAACCATATCATCCACTATTCAAACTGTGATTATCTATTGCTATTTTTGTTCTTTGTGGAGGTGAGTGCTGGATGTCTCTAGTTAGCCATCTTGAAGCGCTTCTCTGAAAAGGATATATATTTTTTGTCATCTTAACTAACAAACTGTGTTAACTGATTTTTAGTTGCTTGAATTGTTTGGTTTCCATAGGAATAAATTTTTTATTATAAAGTCAGGGATTTTGAGCTGCTTTGTTCCCCTAAATACTTTTAAAGTAACATTATACAATTTACTTGAGTTTAGATTATTTTTCCTTGGAAAGCTCAAGATGTCATCTGGTATCTGGCAACCACCCACTAAGAGCTGGTTAGAAATGCACAGTTAAATTTCACTCCAGACCTAGAATATTGAAATCAAATTTTTATGAGATTGTAAGGTAATTCCTGGAAACACTGAAATCTGAGTAGCACTGATGTAGAATCTTAAAAGAGGAAGAGTGGTTATAACTGATACTTTTCTCCCTGACATAGGTTACCACTATTTTTGCTTATATTTTAATGCCCTAAAGACACTACATTTATATGAATTCCAATGTTAATGTGAAGAACTCTGAATGAAAAAAAAAATTAATCTCTGTACTTAATTCCTTAACCTGTATTGCTCAAACCTGTTAGTTTTTCTCAATCAACTGCTATTTATTTTTTCACAAAAAGAATATATGTGTTCTACCACAGATCAAATAGTTAAATCATAATATAAGGGAACAAAATTATATAAAATATATATATTTTTAAAAAGTTATGGGATGACAAGAGTCAAGTCATGTTTTAGGACAAGGAAACCATAAAAAATATTTGCTAAAAATCTGGATCGCTGATGTTCTTGAATAGAGGCATCCCCAAAGATAATATGATCAATGCAGAAAAAACCTACGTGGCAATTCCAGAGCCCACTAAAAGCCATCCAGACCAAAACATATTATTTCATCTGTTTATCAATGCATGAGCATGAAAAATATAAAATTTAAGATTTAAATTTAAAGTGTTTTCTTTTAAACAGAGATATCATTTTAGTAAACAGATAGACACACATGTGCACAAACACATATGTATGTGTCTTAATGAGTTTTTAATGAAAATGAGTAATGTATAGATGTATAGGTACATAAAATATTATCAGTCTATTTTCACAGATATCAGAAGAGATAAAAACTATAATATAATAAGTCCTGAAATTCTTGCTATGTATGAATAAAGAAAAAGAAATAGATCCATTGAATCACACTAAAATGAGAGACTTTGGTGGCCAGAGGAAACTTTAAATGAGAAAGTAAGAATATCAATAATAGAAAGAAAGAACCAGTACGTCCTTTATTGGGTACAGTTATCCAATAAAAAGCTTAAAGGTAAAAACAACTTTCAATGTCTCAAATTTCTTTAAAATCATTTCTGGTGGTATAAAATATACAGGCATTTTTTTCTGTTACAAATGATTTTTTTCACTAAAATTAGAATTCTCTATTGCCTCTTTCAACATAGGTTTTTTTCTAGTGACCTGTCATGTAATTTTGTAATCAAATTCAATTTGGTGCTTTTCATGAACAGTGGCAGTAATAATGACAATGAGTTAACATTTATTGAGTGCTAATATTGTATTTCAGAAAATGTGCTATGAGTTAATGCATGTAAACCTCTTAACACTCTGCCCAACACATGATAGGCAGTCAATATATGTTAGCCAATACTGCTAGTATTACTGTTACTACTGCTTCTGCTACTATTATTGTTAGTATTATTTAATCTTCAGAACAATCCTTTTAAGTGGGTATTATCCTTACAATATTTTAGATATAAGAAAACTGACATTCAGAGAGATTAAATAACATGAACAAATCACCCAATGTCTAAGTAAAGTAGCAGCATCTTCACTGAGAATTGATTAAACAGAGCCTAAATTTATCAATCTGTATTAAGTTGTGTGCCTAAATTCTTATCTTAGTATTGCTTATAATCAAAACCACAACAGATTCAAAAAAATATACTCAAATTATAATGTCATGTTATCAACTTTCTGGAAATTATTGGTCCCTGCCCTCACTAAGAACTGACATTTGTCCAGAGCAAATGGATTCTTTTGCTTTATAAAATTAATACAGTTTTAACAAAAGCAAAACTTTTCTAAAATAATGACTGCAGACTAAATAAAAATTATATTACCCTAAATCATACAATTTCTATGAAAAATATAACCAAAATTCTTTCATCTTTTATCAAGCAGAATATCCTTTTTATCATTAATAGAACTTCATTAGTTTTGAAATGGATAGCAGAAAAAATACTGAGTTTATATTTGTGCACATAAAACAAACTTCTTTCCAGGAAGGATGACATTAGCAAGATGGCTAAATGGGAAGCTCTAGGTTTTCCTTCTCCCATGACAACAATACATAAAGAAATTACTATTGTGAAAAATCTAGGAAACATTTAAGACGTTCTTGCAGTGCAAGCAACCCAAGAAGAACCACATGAAAGCTGACAGGAATATTCACAGCAATGTCCTTCCAATAGCTTCTCCTCCCAGGAAGCATGGCCTGATCAGGAGAAAATTTTCAACTTCCAGCTTCTGTCTAGGGAGAATAAGAAGAATGGCATGTATGTCCAACCTTCTGCCATTTTTAGATAGCTCTTTGAGGGATTGATTTCTGTCTTGCCGGAATATAAATGCTGACAGTAATAGGCACTAGGATGAGGGCTTCTTAAAACAAAGAAGAACTCCTCAGTTTGCCTAGCACTAGAGAGTCAGCAGTATCACCAATAATCACCAAGGAGCACTCTTGAGTAGAAATAAGTGCTCCTTATCTAGGGAATTATATGTACAGCACAAAGAAGACATATCCCCAGAAAAGGCTTCCAGAATCTTTAGCCAGGTTGATTGGTGAATGTCCTGCCCGTATGAGTCCAGACCGTAAAGACTAATAAGAGTGATGGTATTGCTTTCAAGTTCCCAAGTCCCAACAAAATATAACAGGCATATAAAGAAACAAAAACATGGTCCAACTAAAAGAAAAAAATACTTTTTTTCAGAAACTGACCCTAAAAAAATGGATACATGAATTATCAAATAATTCATCACTTTTTGATGAATTATTTGACAATTTATGTATCCATTTCTGCCCTACAAGAAATGCTAAAGAGAATCCTTTAATTTGAAACAAAAAAGACACTATACAGCATAACAAAACTGTCTGAAAATACAAAACTCTTTGTCAACAGTAAGTTTACAGACAATATAGGATCTTGTAGTATTGTAATATAGTTATACACATTACTTTTAAATTTAGTAAATAATTTTAAAGAAAAAAGCGTAAAATGTAGCTAAATTTATGTTAATAGATATATAATAAAAGGAGAAAATTTGTATCATCAATTACATTAAGTGTAAAAACAGATGCAAAAGAGTAAAATTTTTATATGTGATTAAAACTAAGTTGCTATCAATTAGAAATAGATTGCTATAATTTAAAAATATTTTATGCAATATAATGTTAGTCACAAAGAAATTATAGAATGTGCACAAAATGAAATGAAAAGAGAATCAAAACATGTCACCACACAAAAAGAAAAGAAACAATAGAACACAAAGGAAGCAAACAAGAGGAGAAAGGAGAGATAATACAGCTACAAGACATATAGAAAATAATGACTGAAATGGTATTATTATCTTCTTATTAGTGATTACTATAAATATATGTGAATTTCAAGTCACCAATTAAAGGACACAGAGGGGCTGAATAAATAAAAAAAAAAATTAAGTTAAAAAACAAAACCCAGGATCCAACTGTATGCTGTCTACAAAAGACTCACTTTATATCTACAGACACACATAAGCTGAACGTAAAAGGATGAAAAAGGATATGCTACATAACTGAGAACTTAAAGACAGCAGGTATGCCCATACATATATTAGACCCAATATGTATGGAGACAAAAGCACTCACAAGAGAAAAAGATGAACATTATAATATGATAAAATAATTCAGCAGAAAAATATGACAATTATAAATGTATATATGTAAGCATTAGAGCCCTTAAATATATGAAGCAAACACTGCCAGAATTGAAGAGAGAAATAGATAGCAACACAATAACAATAGTAGTCTTCCATAGCCCAGTTTCAGTTATGATTAGAACAACCAGACAGAATATCAGTAAAGAGCAGCACAAAAACAGACCCATAGATCAGTGAAATGGAATAAAGAAACCCTGAAATACAGCCACACACCTATAACTATTTGATCTTTGACAAAGTCCCCACAAACAAGCAATGAGAAAAGAACTTCCTATTCAACAAACGGTTCTGGGATAACTGGTCTTATGCAGAAGAATAAAATCAGACCCCTACTTTTCATCATATACAAAAATGAACTCAAGATGGATTGACGATCTAAATGTAAAACTTCAAACTATAAGAATCCTAGAAGGAAAATTAAGAAATAGCCTACTCAACATCAGCCTTGGCAAACAATTTATGGCTAAGTCCTCAAAAGTAATTGCAACTCAAAAAGTTTCTCCAAGTGTACCTAATTAAATGAAAGAGTTTCTGCACAGCAAAATAAACTCTCAACAGAATATAGGGAACAATCTACAGAACGGGAGAAAATATTTGTAAACTATGTATCTGACAAGAGTCTAATATCCAGAATTTATAACAAATTTAAAGAAAACCAGCAAGCAAAAAAAAAAAAAAATCTCACATTAAAAATTGGCAAAAGACATAAACACTTCTCAAAAAGAGAACATACAAGTGGCCAAAAAACATGAAAAAATGCTCAACATCGCTAATCATCATAGAAATGCAAACCATAACCACAATGAAATAGCATCTCACACCAGTCAGAATGGCTATTATTAAAAAGTCAAAAAATAACTGAAGTTGGTGAGGCTACAGAGAAAAGGGAACACTTTAGTGGAAATGCAAATTAGTTCAGTCTCTGTGGAAAGCCGTTTGGATATTTCTAAAGGAACTTAGAACTGCCATTCAACCCTGCAATCTCACTACAGGGTGCATACCCGAAGAAATTAAATTGTTCCCAAAAAAGGCACGTGTATTTTTATGTTCATTGCAGTACTCTTCACAATAGCAAAGACATAGAATCAACCTAGGTGCCCATCAGGAGTGGATTGAATGAGGAAAATATGGTACAGATACACAATGGAATTCCATGCAGACATAAAAAAACCAAAAGCGTATACTTTGCAGCAACATGGATGCAGCTGAAGGCCATTATCCTAAGTAAATTATCTCAGGAACATAAAACCAAATACCACATGTTCTCAAAGTGGGAGCTAAACATTGAGTACCCACAGACATAAAGATGGGAGGATAGATACTGGAGACTGCTGGAAGGGAGGGTGCCATGCCGTGGGTTGAAAAACTACCTACTGGGTATTATACTCACTTCCTGGGTGAAGGCTTCAGTCATATTCCAAAGCTCAGCATCACACAATCTACCCGTGTAACAAAACTGAACATTTACCCCCAGAATCTAAAATAAAATTTGAAATTGTTTAAAAAAAATCTAATAGAGAAATAATTTATGTAGGTAAGAAAAATCAGAGTAGAGAACTTTAATAACACTGTAGAGCAATGAGACCTAACAGACATATATAGAAGTTTCCATACAGCAACAGCAGAATACATAGTCTTCTAAGTGCACATGGACTGATCTCCAAAAGAGACCACATGTTAGGCAACAAAACAAATATTTAATACATTTAAGAAGATTAAAATCATAAAAAGTATCTTCTCCAACTGCAAGAGAGTAAAACTAGAAATCAATAGCAAAAGAAAAACAGACCAGTTGAACATAATAGAGAGCCTGGAAATAAACCCGTGCATATATGTGTAAACAAACTTTGAAGAAACAAGACTACACAGCCTTTTCAACAAGAGATGTTGGAAATACTGGATATTCGTATGAAAATAATAGAGTTGGACCCTTACTTTGTACCATAAACAAAAATCAACTCAAAATAGATCAATGACCTAAGGGTTAAAATCTAAAACTGTGAAAGTCATGGGAGAAAACAAGTAGAAAAGCTTCAGAACATTTAATTTGCCAAGGATTTCTTAAACATGACATTAAAAGCACAGGCAACAGAAAGCAAACTAGACAAATGGGACTATATCAAACTTAAAACCTTCTGTGCATTAAAGGAAACTATCAACAGAATAAAAAGTCAGGCTACAGAATGGGAGTAAATATTTGTAAATCATATATGTGAATCTACAATATGTAACAAAGTGCTTCAACTCAGCAATAACAACACCCGCCCCCCGACCAAATAGTCCTATAAAAATGGCCAAAGGGTGTGAACAGACAATTCTTCTAAGATGGTGTACAAATGCCCAACAAACATGAAATTGAGAGACAGGACTAGCTGGATTTCCTAGACCGACTAAGAATTCCTAAGCCTAGCTGAGGAAGGTGACCACACCCACCTTTAAACACAGGGCTGGTAACTCAGCTCACACCCGACCAATCAGGTAGTAAAGAGGGCTTACTAAAATACAAATTAGGCAAAAGCAGGAGGTAAAGAAGTAGTCAAATCATATATCATCTGAGAGCACAGGGGGAGGGACAATGGTTGGGATATAAACCCAGGCATTTGAGCAGGGAGTGGGCAACCCCCTTTGGGTCCCCTCCTGTTGTATGGGAGCTCTTTTTTCACTCTATTAAATCTTGCAATTGCACACTCTTCTGGTCCGTGTTTGTTACGGCTCGAGTTGAACTTTTGCTTGCCGTCCACCACTGCTGTTTGCCGCAGTCCAGACCCGCCGCTGACTTCCATCCCTCCGGATCCGGCAGAGTGTCCGCTGCGCTCCTGATCCAGTGAGGCGCCCATTGCCGCTCCCAATCGGGATAGAGGCTCGCCATTGCTCCTGCATGGCCAAGGGCCCAGGGTTTGTCCTAATCGAGCTGAACACTAGTTGTTGGGTTCCACGGTTCTCTTCTGTGACCCGTGGCTTCTAATAGAGCTATAATACTCACCGCATGGCCCAAGATTCCATTCCTTGGAATCCGTGAGGCCAAGAACCCCAGGTCAGAGAACAAAAGGCTTGCTGCAATCTTGAGAGTGGCCGCCTCCATCTTGGGAGTGGCCCACCACATCTTGGGACCTCTAAGATCAAAGACCTACCTGTAACAAAATGATGCTCAAATCACTCATCATAAGAGAAATGCAAATCAAATATAGTAAGACATTACCTCATACCCATTAGGATGGCAGCTATCAAAAGAACAAAAAAAACAAGTGTTTCTGAGGATGCACAGAAACTGGAACTCTTGTGCACTGTTTATATGATTATAAAATGGTAGCCATTATTAAAAACAGTATGTAGATCCCTCCAATAAATTAATAGTAGAATTACCATTTGATCCGGCAACTGTATGTGTCTGAAATAACTGGAAGCAGGATCACAAAAGGGTATTTGCATATCCCTGTTTATTGCAGCATTATTCACAATAATCAAGAAGCAGAAGCCACCCTAATTTCTAGGACTGAACAAATAAAATGTCCTATATATATATACAATAGAATATTATCCATCCTTAAAAAAATCCTGTAACATGCAATAACATGGATGAACCTCAAGGACATGATGCTAATCAAAATAATCCAGTCACAAAAAGACAAATACTATATGCTTCTGCTTATATGAAGTATATAAGGGTTGACAAAGCCTGGAGGGATAAGGGAGAGGAAATTAGTGTTTAATGGGCATAGAGATTTAATGTTGCGAGATGAAAAATTCTAGAGATCTGTGCTACAACAATGAATATATTTAACACTATCGAACTGTACACTTAAAAATAATTAAGGTGGTAAATTTAATGTTGTTTGTTTTTAACACAACAAATTTCTTTAAATTAAGAGTTCATTTAATTATTTTCACAATTAGCTAGGCCATTAATTAAGAAAATACAACCATAAAATCATTAGTTTGCTAATAATTAAGTATTTATACACTTTTCTGCTCCTTGCTGATGGGCAGTGATCATTCAAAATGGCTGTCCCATAAAAGATAGTTGAGCAATTTTTGTTTATTTCAATAAGCAGTGATAAATATCAAATCATAATGCCTTCATTTTCTTATTTTATTGGGAATGCCTTACTGAAAAAAGATCTAAAGAAAGACTAAATAAATTAATGGATCTACTTGACTTGCTCATAATGGCAAGATAATTCTTAAAACTTTAGTTCTATTTTGGTTTGGAATTCTTTATTTCCAGGACATTAGGTATTACTCAAGAAAATATATTGCAATATACTGCAATAAACAATTAAAGCTTTTCCACCTCATACTAAATTTTGTACTCACACATGTCAAATCTGCGATTCAGTTGTCTGGTTTGGAAAATAGAGAGACATCTTGGACAAAGGCAGATATCCTAGCAGTTATTAGGTTTATTTTTTGGGGGGTGGGGGTGGTGTATGTGTGTGTGTGTATGTACTGCCCATTGGAATTTTGAGCAATAGCAGAAATGAGTGAGTGAATGCGAGTGTTTATGTGACTGTGTCTGCAGATGCTGTTGCAGCCCAGCGATGTTTAATTGTTACTGTGGTTTGGACATGATTTGTCCCCACCAGAACTCACATTAAAATTTGATTCACAATGTGAAGTGTTGGAAAGTGGGGCCTACTGGGAAGTATTTGGGTCATGGGGGTAGATCCCTCATAAATAAATTAATGACCTCCCTCCGGAATTAATGAGTTGTTTCTCTTACTGCAATGGATTAGTTTCCTTGAGAATGTGTTGTTAAAAATCTGGCTTCTTGGATTTCTCACTCTTGCTTCCTCTCTTGCAAAATAGTCTCTGCATATACCAGCTTCCCTTCCACCTTCCACCGTAAGTTGAAACAGCATGAGGCCCTCACCAGATGCAGCTGCCTATCCTTGAGCCTTCCAGCTACCAGAATCATGAGCCAAATAAACCTCTTTTTAAAAAATAAATTACCCAGCATCAGGTACTCTGTTACAACAACATAAAATGGACTAAGACAACTGTGAATATGCTACCAGTCCAGTCTTAGACCTGTCAATGGTACTTGATAGACTACACACATCTATGAAAACTTTTCTGGAATGTGCCTTTTCACTGGATCAAATACATAGTAATGTAAAATCTCTTCCTCTTAAGAGTGTTTGAGCTCTTCATTTGAAGCTGGATGTAAATTATTTGGTCTTTTGTTAAATAAATATCAGAAAGCATTATAGGTAAGAAAGATGCTTCCTAATAATCAGGAGAAAACCTTCTACCTGTTGTGATGTTTATAACTCTTTTTCTTTTACAAAGAATCCCAATCAACCTAGCTTAAGCAAAATTTGTATCTACTTACCAGAATGTATAAGTTTAACGAAGAATACAGTGTTAGGAGTTCAGCTTTACCTCTGGTTTGGATGAGAACTGTTGATAGAGCACAGTAGAAACTAAAAAAAAAAGAGATCTGTCTTGAGTGTTCCTTGAAATATCTCTACATTTCAGCTCTACTCTCTTTGGGAAAGCTAGCTTTTATACTTTCCAGACTACATTTGAAAATGGCCCTCATCGTGGATCATGCCGGCAGGAGATCGAGACCATCCTGGCTAACACGGTGAAACCCTGCCTCTATTAAAAATACAAAAAATTAGCCGAGTGTGGTGGCGCACCTGTAGTCCCAGCTGCTTGGGAGGCTGAGGCAGGAGAATCACTTGAACCTGGGAGGCAGAGCTTGCAGTGAACCGAGATTCCGCTACTGCTCTCCAGCCTGGGCAACAGAGTGAGACTCTGTCACAACAAAAGAAAAAAAAAAAGAAAATAGCCCTCATCTACAGGTGCTGACTTATTTTCTTCATTCAAGTAAATTCCAAAGCCAAATTTTCAAATGAGGCATTTTAATTGGCTAATCTTCATCAAGGTGCCTTTCTAATGGAATAACACTGTCATATTAAGTGACCACATAGTTTTGGCCTGCAGCAGAGTCAAGCTTGCTTCTACTGCTTTCCTGTAAACAAGGGACCTGGGGAAAGAGCAATCCCCAGTATGTGGTGTGTTGACCTTCTAGGGGAATACTACAGTTGAAATCGTTCTATACTATGATATAGGAAATCAGTTCTCAAACTTTAGTCTGCATTAGAATGACCTGAAGGGCTTTTTTTAATAAACAGATTTCTGGGCCTTATTCCCAGAATTTCTGATTCAATATGTCTGGGATAAAATCCAAAATGTGCATTTTTAAAAAGCTGCCAGAGAATTTTCTTGGTGCTGTTGGAGTCCCACACACTTGAGAACGAGTGATACAGTGCAGTGAGGACACACAAGCTAGAAGCATGTCTCAGCTTTGTGTCTTGCAATGTAACAGTAGTCCATGAAATTAAGGGTGACTAAGTCAACTGAGTTGAACTTTTTCAGTCAATTAATCCCCAACTATTTTTGAAAACAACATGCAATTCCTATGGCCTGTCTGATTTCTGAGTTACATTCAGAAACTGACACTTATAGAGGAACATGTACCATATTTGTTTTATGTTTTAGAATTAACCAGTGGCTGGGCCCTTTCTTTCTCCACAATTATTTTCCAACTCATAACTCTATTGCAACATTTTTCTTTTGATCTGATTTTCTAATAGATAGCAGAAATCTATTCTCAGGGACTTCTGGTTTTACCTCTGACTTATAAAAAGTTTGGAAGTCAATACTCCCATTCTTACAAAAAGAAAGAGCTGGACTTTCTAGAAAACAATTGCTTTTCTTTGACGCATCAGAGATTTGAAGTCACAGGGCAAACAACTACACCAAAATCTAGAGAGAGGTGAATCCACAGTCATAATCAGGCTCCTACCTGGAGCAGAAGCTGCTGGAGCCATAAACTAGTAGGAACATTTAAATTGCAATTTTTACAAATTATTGTAAGCTATGTGGACTAGCAGGAGAATGAGAAACTCCTGGAGTTGCACCATATGGTGGAAACATTTTTTTTTTGTGAGCTTTGCCATCAAGAAAATATCAACAAGTATCCTGTAAATGTCATTGGGTTTGAAAGGAGAAGCAAAAGGGCGTAGAACATAAGGAATATTTGAAATATTAATGAAAAATAACTTTATAAATTAATTATAGACACCAAACTACACTTCAGGAAGCTCAGAAAAAATAAGCATGATAAATTTAAAAAGAAAACCAAAACAGGCATACAGTATTCAAACTATAAAAAAGCAAATACAAAGTGAAAATTGTATAAAGCTGAGAGAGGGGTTTCCCACAGAAGAAACAGGATAAAAATTACAGTGTATTTCTTATCAGAAACTATACACACAAGAAAAAAAGTGAACTGAAATATTTCATGTTGAAAGAAAAATACCCAACAATCTAGAATTCAATATCCAGTAATATTATTCTTTAAAAGTACAGAAGAAATAGATGTCTGAGACAAACAAATATGGAGGAAATTTATTGCCAGCAGAACTGGCTTGTTAGAAATGTCAAAACAAGTTTTTCAGGTAGAAAAACAAATCTAAAGTAGGAAACATATCTATGTAAAGAAAGAAAAAGCATTGTGGAAAGAATAAATGAAGATGAAACAATGTATTTTACTTTTCTTATACTCAAATGATTTAAAAGATAATTATTTGTTTAGAGCAATAATAATAATAATGTATTAGGTAATTATATCACAGGAATAAATGAAATAAATAATAGCAATGTCATAAAGAATGGGAGAAATGAATTGGGAATATATTGCTATAAATTTTCTCCACTGCAGATAAAATGGCATAGGGTTATTTGAAGGTGGATTAAGGTTAATTTAAAAATACATTGTAAACTCTAGACAACAACCAAAAAAATTCCTAAAAAGTAGTCCAATTGATGAGAGGGAACAAAATGAAATCATGTAAAATGTTCAATTAAACCAGAGAAGCATAAAAGGAAGAGAAAAAAAGACACAAAGAACAGATGCCAGGAATAGAAAATAGTTATTAATACAAACATGATAAATATCAATCTAATTATATCATAGTAACATTAACTATATCTCTAAATGTATCAATTGAAATCAGATTTTCAGAGTGGATAAAATACAAACGCAATTATGTACTGTCTTCAGTAAACCCTCCTTAATATAAGATCTCAGAGATGTTAAAAGCTGTAAGTTGTAACATGCTAAAATTCAAAAGAAAGTTCCAGTAGCAGTGTTAATTTCTGACAAAGACAACTTTAGAACATGGAAGCCTATGAGAAAAGAAGAAGAGTATTATGTACAATAAAGAGGTTAAGTTTCCCATAAAATATAAAAATCCCATATATATATATATGGCTCTAACAAAAATTACTAAGGCTGTAGGTGACCTGAACAAGATTTTTAACCAATTTAAATAGCTTTTATAATACACTCTATCCTACAGTGGCAGAATACACATTCTTCTGAAGCTCACATGAAACATTCAATAAAATAAACCTCATCTGATCCATAAAGCATGCCATAATATATTTAAAAGGATAGGAAACATAAGATATATTCTCAAACCAAAATGGAATTATATTGGAAACTAATAAATTAAGACAGGTGGAAAAAATATGTATTAGCATATTAAATAACACACTGCTAAATAACCCAGAGATCGAAGAGAAGGTCTCAAGAAAAATTTTAAAAATATTTTGAATTTGATGAAAATAAAAGTAAAACTTATCAACTTTTATAAGAGCAAAAACAATGCTGGGATGAAAATCTATATTGTTAATTTCATCTATTAGAAAAGATCTAAAATTGATTATCTAAACTTCCACCTTAGGGAACCAGATAAAGAAAATAAAATTAAACAAAAAACACATGATATAATAAAATTAGAGCAGAAATAAATAAAATAGATAACAGGAAAATAATAGAGAAAATTAATAAAAACAAAAACTTATTCTTTGAGAAATTCAATAAAACTGATAAATATTTATCCCAGGCTATCAGAGAAAAAAGAAAGAAGACATAACCAAAGTAAGAAATGAAAAGGGGTTATCATATGGATTCTTTAGACATTAAAAATGTTATAAAAGTACAAGACTAACAACTCTATGCCCAGACATTTGATAACGTTTTGTTATTAAGGAATAAACGAATTCTTGGAAATACCTAAACTGTCAAAATATACTCAAGAGGAAACAGATAATAGTCATATCCCTATTAAAATGTATTTAATTATTAATTATCAAAAAAGAGAGATCCAAGGGTCCAGATGGTTTCACAGGTGAATTTTAGCAAACTTTAAAAAGAAATAGTTACAATTCTCTACAATATCATCTGGAGAATAGAAGCAGAGAAAATGATTTTTAACATAATCTAATGATGCTGTCATTACCCTTATAACAAAAACAGATAAAGACCTTATGAGGACTGAAAATCAAACACAAATATTTCTCATGAATATAGACACAAATCTCCTCAACAAAATATTAGCAATCAAATCCAACAATGTATATATTATTTATACAAGACCATGATGTGGAGTTTATTCTGACTATGCAAAAGACATACAATCCATGTACTCACAACATCAGCAGAGGAGGATTTTAATATTGAAGTCAATAGAACAACCTGCTCTGCAGATACCAGTTTTGCCTGTCATTGCCCAGTGGGATCATAAACAAAGTGGTCATGGTAGCCGGGCCTGACGTTATTTATGGGCTTAGCAACATAAACACTTACCAAGGCTGACCTGGCTATGACAAGGGCAGTCCACAATCAGCCAGCAGTAGTGACCAATCCTGGGCCTCAATATTTCACCTTTCCCCAGGGTAATCAGCTAGCTACCTGGCGGCAGATAGCCATCCTTCCATCTACTATGGAAGGAGCAGCATTTTGTCCATACTGAAACAGACACTTTATGTATAGATTTGCCTTTCCTGTATGTAATGCTTCTGCCAAAACTACTGTCCATGGATTTACAAAATACCATACCCATCATCATGGTATTCCACACAGCATTGTTTCTGACCAAAATATTCACTTCACAGCCAAAAATGTTTAGAGACAGGCCCATGCTCAAGAAATTTTGCTCTGTTTCCACCTTCCCTGCCTTCCTGAAGCAGTTTGCTTGACAGAAGAGTAAAATGGCCTTTGAAGACTCACTTACAGCATCCGATAGCTGTCAATAACTTGCAGGTCATTGTCTCTGTTCTGGTTTAATGCCTTCAATGGTCATTCTTGTTTTTTAGTATATGATGAAGGCCAATCTTCTTACCAGGTATCAAGAAAAAACTTGGCCTTTTTTCTTTTAATATTTACTATATAAATGTTTGTCTAATGCCATAAACTCTAAAGAATTCCCTTTAGTGAATAAGTTTAAATACATTAAAACTATTTTCAGAAGTTTTTTTTGAGAAAAGGCAAGGTTTTGTTATATAAAATCATGAATTTTACATGAAAATATTTTAAATACTATAATTGTGACTGGAGGCAGATTTCCAATGGGCTATTTCCCTGAGAGAAATATGACAAGATATTTTTTAATGCTGAATTATTACTGAAAGAAATCTGTAATAGAAGAAGTTAGATGAAAATGTCAATCTTATCCCTGGGGATGGATCAAAATGTTGTGGTTACATCTATTGAGAAGATTTGAAGAAGAAATTACAATGATTATTTCAGGGCAACCAAGATTGTTATTGTTACTGGTTATTCAATAGCTCGTATGCTGGCTCTTTTTTGTTACTTTTTTTTTTTTTCTGAGTAGACAAGCTTAATGCTACAAGAAAGAAGCACTTCAGGGAAATAACCAAAAATAGTAGAGGAAGAGAACTTTGTTACTGTTCTCTTCCCATATGCCAGCAATGCAATCAATGGCATTTTAGTTCTGTTTGCCTTTTATGGTACTTTGGGACATATTTAAACTTAAATACATGTGTTATAAAAATAAAAAAAGGAAGATTATTAATACATGGGGTTTTGCCATTAGTGTTAATAGCTGAATGGGAACAGAGATGAAGAAGTATTTTCTTGTCATTATCAGCACTTGGAATCTATAGTTGGAAGGCGAGGATAAAATTTTCTTTAAGTGGTGGTCACTGAAAACCCCAATATCATGGTCATTTTTCTACTGACTGAAATATTGGCAATATGTAGGATACTCTCCATCCTTAATTTCTCTCCTAAAATTCATCAGCAATTAGCATCTTCATAATAGGTGGGGACTTACTGTTTCCTGTACCCCAACCTATGCCACATCTCACCTTGGCCTACTCTCAGTGGTGAGCAACATGCTTCAAATTATTCCCCTGCAAGGAACAGTTTGTCTTTAAAGCACAAGATGGAGGAGTATAGATCTTGTGGGTCATACGTTCTTGAATTCACATACTAGTTTGTTCATTTATTTAGCTATGGATTAATTCATTTATTTCAGTATTCAAAAAAAGATTATCAAATGTCAACTGGTATAAGTAAATACTAATTGATGTTCTGTTACCATGTTTCTCTGTAAAGTGGTTAAAAACTTTATTTTAATGAATAGATAGTTGAGGGAATTTAAACAATTAGAAGAATGAAGTGGTTTGCTAAAAATCATACAATAGGCCCAAATAATTAGAAGAATGAAGTGGTTTGGTAAAAATCATACAATAGGCCAGGAGCGGTGGCTCACGCCTGTAATCCCAACACTTTGGGAGGCCGAGGCGGGCGGATCAAAAGGTAAAGAGATTGAGACCATCTTGCCTAACACGGTGACACCCCGTCTCTACTAAACATACAAAAAATTAGCCAGGCATGGTGGCACTTGCCTGTAGTCCCAGCTACTCAGGAGGCTGAGTCAGGAGAATCACTTGAACCCAGGGGGAGGATGTTGCAGTGAGCCGAGATCAAGCCACTGAGTCCAGCCTGGGTGACAGAGCGAGACTCTGTCTTAAAAAAAAAAAATCGTACAATAATAGATCTGTTATAAGATCTGCTCTTTCTTTTTATTGATACATAATAAGTGTACATTACGTATTTTGGGAGTACATGTGATTTTTTTATACATTCATATAATGTGTAATAGTCAAATCAGGGTAATTGGTATATCCATTACTTCAAAAGTTTCTTATTTCTTAATACTGGTGACATTCAAATTATCCTCTACCAGCTCAGTAGATTATTATAAAATATAGTCACTCTAATGATGATCAAAAGTTTCTTCTGTTTCTTTAACTGTATTTTTGTACTGGTTAACCAGACTCTCTGTTATCCCGTTCCTGCTACCCTCCCTGATCTCTGGTAACCACCCCTCTAGTCCCTATGTTCATGAGATCAACTTTCTTAGCTCCCACATGAGTAAAAAATGCAAAATTTACTTTTCTATGGTTGGCTTATTTCACTTAACATAATGACTTCCAAGTTCTATCCATATTGCTGAAAGTGACAAAACGTTATTCTTTTTTTATGGCTGAATAATATTCCATTGTGTATATACACCACACTATCTTCATAGACATTATCTATATTTTTATACAATAAATTATATACTATTTATACATTGATGAGTACTTAGGTTGATTCCATATCCTGGTTATTGTGAATAGTGCTGCAATAAACACGGGACAGCAGATATCTCTTGTATATTGACTTTACTTCTTTTCAATATATACCAAGTAGTGAGACTGTTGAATCATATGGCAGTTCTATTTTTAGTTTATAAAGGAATCCCCATACTCTTTTTCCTGGAGACTGAACTAATTTACATTTCCACCAACAGAGTATGAGGAATCCTCTTTATTCATATCCTCACCAGCATTTGTTATTTTTTGTCTTTTTGATAGAAGCAATTTTAACTGGGGTGAGATAATATCGCATTGTGGTTTTGATTTTCATTTCCTTGATGATTAGTGATGTTGAACATTTTTAAAAATATACTTATTGGCTATTTTATGTCTTCCTTAAAAAATGTCTATTCATGTTATTTGCACACATTTTAATCGGTTTGTTTGTTTATATTATCATTAACTTGCTTAAGTTATGTATGTATTTTGGTTATTAATCTCTTGTCAAATAAATGGCTTGCAAATATTTGTTCCCATTCTGTGGGTTTTCTTTTGCTTTTTTCCTTGTTTCCTTTGGTATGCTGAAACTTTTTAGCTTGACATAATCTCATTTGTTTATTTTTGCCTTTGTTGCCTGTGCTTTTGAGGTCTTACTTAAAAAAATCTTTGCCCAGACCAGTATCCTGGAGTATTTCCTCAAGGTTTTGTTCTAGTAGTTACAAAGTTTCAGGACTTAGATGAATCTTTGATCTATTTTGATTTGATTTTTGTATATGGTGAAAGGTGGGGATCTAGTTCTATGCTTCTGCATATGAATATCCATTTTTCTCAGCAACATTTGTTGAAGAGACTGTCCTTTCCCTGAATGTATGTTCTTGATGTCTTTGTTGAAAATCAATTGGCTGAAAATACATGTATTTATTTTTGGTTTCCTTATTCTGTCTCAGTTGTCTATTTGTCTGTTTTTATGTCAGTACTATGCTGTTTTGTTACTATAGCTTTGTAGCATATTTTAAAGTCAGGTAGTATGATGCCTCCAGCTTTGTTCTTTTTGCTCAAGATTTGTTTGGCTATTCAGGGGTTTATACAGATCCATACGATTTTTACAATAGTTTTTATCTATTTATGAGAAGACTATGATTGTGATTTCGATAAGGATTGCATTGGTTCTGTAGATCACTTCTAGTAATATTGACACTTTAACAATATTAATTCTTCCAACTCATGAGCATGAATTATCTTTCCATTTTTGTGTGTCTTCTTCAGTTTCTTTCATCAGAGTATTATAGTTTTTCTTGTGAAGAGCGTTCACTGCTTTGGTTAAATGTATTCCTAGATATTTTACATTTTTTGTAGCTATTCTAAGTGTAATTGTTTTATTGAGTTATGCTTTATGTTGTTCACTGATTGCAAATTTAAATGCTACTGATTTTTGTATGTTGATTTTGTGTTCTGCAACCTTACTGAATTTGTTTATCAGTTCTGATGAAATCGTTAGGGTTTTCTAAATATATGATTATATCACCTGCAGACAAAAATAATTTGTTTTTCTTTCTCAGTTGGATGCCCTTTATTTCCCTCTTTTGTCTGATTGCTCTGGCAAGGACTTCCAGTATTGTGTTGAATAAAAGCAATGAAAGTGGGCATCCTATTTTGTGCCAGACTTTTGAAGAAAATATTCCAATATTTTTCTCATTCAGTAAAATATTAGCTGTGGGTTTTTTATATTTAGGCTTTATGGTTTTAAATTATGCGCCTTCCATACCTAGCTCCTTGAGAGCATCTTTACTATAAAAGGATATTATATTTTATGAAATGCCTTTTCAGCATCTATTGAAATGATCACGTGGTTTTTGTTCTTGGTTCTGTTAATGGGATGTATTACTCTTATTAATTCGCGTATGTTGACTCATCCTTGTGCCCCTAGGATAAATCCCACTTGATCATGGTGGATGATCTGTTTAATATGTTGTTGAATTCAGTTTGTTCATATTTGCTTAAAGATTTTTGAATCTATCTTCATCAGTAATACTGGCCTATAGTTGTCTTTTTTGTTGTATTATTATCTTGTTGTGGTATCAGAGTATTTCTTGCTTCATAGAATGAGTTTAATAGTATTCTCTCCTCCTTTAGTTTTTGGAAAAGTTTGAGAAGAATTAGTATTAGCTATTCAAAAACTGTCTGGTATAGTTAAGCAGTGAAGCCATCAGCTCCTGGGATTCTCTTTGATTGGAGACATTTTATTACGGCTTTGATCTTGTTACTCGTTATTGATTTGCTGGGGTTTTCTACTCCCTCAAGATTCAATCTTGGTAACTTGGACGTGTCCAGAAATTTATCCATTTCTCCTAAGTTTTCCATTTCTTTGGCATCAGATTGCTCATAATAAACTTTAATGATTATTCATATTTCTGTGGAATCAGTTGTTACGTCTTCTTTTTGTTTCTGACTTTGTTTGAATTTTCTCTCATTTTTTCTAAGTCTAGCTAAGTTTGCCAATTTTGTTTTTCATTTCATAAAATTGACATTTTATTTTATTAATTTTTGTATGGTTCTTAGCCTCAATTTTATTTCTGTTCTGATCATTATTTTTTTTTTCATTCTACTAAATTTTGGTTGGATTTTTCTTGCTTTTCTATTTCCTTGAAGTGAATTTATTAGGTTATTAATTTGAAGTCTCTACCTTATTTTGGTATAGGCATTTGTTGCTATAAACTACTCTCTTGGAACTATTTTTGCTGTATCCCACAGAGTTAGATATAATGTATTTCTGTGTTCATTTGTTTCAATAACAAATTTTCTTCTTGATTGCTTCATTGACTCATTGATTGTTCAGGGGCATGTTGTTTAACTTCTATGTGTTTTTATGGTTTCCAAATTTCCTGTTTCTATTGATTTCTAGTTTTATTCCATTGTAATCAAGATACAGATGTGGTATAATTTCACTCTTGAATTTGTTGAGACTTGTGTTTTCTTGCCTGGCATATGGTCTATTCTGAAGAATGTTCCATGTGTTAATGAGAAAAATCTGTATCCTGTGGCAGTTGGGTTAAATGTTCTCAAAATATCAGTTAGGCTGATTTGGTCTAGTATGTAGTTTAACTCTGATGTTTATTTGTTGATTTTTTTTTTTTGTCAGGATGATCTGTTTATTACTGTGAATGAAGTGTTGAAATCATCTCCCATTATTGGATTGTAGTCTATCTCTCCCTTTAAATCTATTCCTGTTTTATAAACTTTGGTAGGCCTATGTTAAATGGATAGATATTTATAATTATGATGTCCTACTGCTGAATTAATCTCTTTATCATTATATCGTGTCATTCCTTGTCTCTTTTTACAGTATTTTACTTTACTATTTTATCTGATATAAGTATAGCTGCTCCTGCAGTATCTGGTGATTCTATTTGCATGGAATATCTTTCTCCCCCATTTCATTTTTAGTCTATGTGTGTCTTCACAGGTTAAGTAAGTTTCTTATAGGCGCCATACAGTTGGGTCTTTCTTTAACTATTCAGTGACCCTATCCTTTTAATTGGAGAATTTAGTCCATTTACATTCAATATAACTTTTGATAGGTAAGGACTTACTCTCGCCATGTTGTTATTTGTTTTCTGGTTGTTTTGTAACTCTTCTTTTTTCTTCATTTGTTTTTCTTTTTTTCTTACCCTTCTTTTTCTTATTGTCTTCCTTTGTGCTTAAGGGTTTTCTTTTGTAGTGTGTTTTAATTTATTGTTTTTCATTTTTAGTGTATTTACTATAGTTTTTTGCTTTGTGGCTACTGTAAGGCTTACAACAAAACATCTTTTAGTTTTAAAAAATTGCTTTAAACAGATGAGAACTTATCTTTGCTCCAAAGAAAAAAAAATAGAAAGAAACTCTACACTTTAATTCCCCCCTCCCCATTTTGACATTTTGTTGCCTCAATTTACGTATTTTATGTTATTTATCTCTTAACAGGTTGCTGTAGCTGTTATTATTTTCTGATAGATTTGACTTTTAGTCTTCATAGTAGAATTATAAGTGGATTGGGGGATTGCATGCCACAATTATTGTGTTCAAGTGTCCTGACTTTTTCTGTGTACTTACTCTTATCATTAAGTTTTATACCTTCAAATGTTTTCTTTCTGCACATTAGCGGTATTTTTTTCATATTGAACAATTTCCTTTAGCATTTCTTATAAGACAGGTTGGTGATCATGTATCCCCTCAGCTTTTGTTTGTCTAAGAAATATTTTGTTGTTTCTTCATGCTTGAAATAATAGCTGTGCAGGGTACAAAATTGTGGGTTGTCAATTGTTTCCTTTCAGCAATTGAAATATGCCATCCCTCTCTCTGCTGGCCTGTATAATTTCGGTTGAGAAGCCTGTTGCCAGATAAATTGGAGCTTCTTTATAGGTTATTAACTTCTCTTCTTTTGCTACCTTTAGGATCTTCTGTTTGTTCTTGACCCTTGAGATTGGTTATTTGCCTTGGGATAGTTTCATTTTAGTTTAATCTGTTTGGTGCTCTCTGACTTTCTTGTATTTGGACTTTTATATATTTCACACATTTTGAAAAGTTTTCTATCATTATTTCTCTGAATAAGATTTCTACCCCTTGCTCTTGCTCAACTCCTTTTGAACACCAATAATTCTTTTTTTTATTTTTATTTTTAAATGTTACTGTAAATTCCAGGATACATGTGCAGAACATGCAGGTTTGTTACATAGGTATATGTCTGTCACGGTGGTTTGCTGCACCTATTGACCTGCCCTTTATGTTCCCTCCCCTTGTCCCCTACCCCACAACAGGCCCCGGTGTGTGTTGTTCCTCTCTCTGTGTCCATGTGTTCTCATTGTTCAACTCCCACTTATGAGTGAGAACATGCAGGGACACCAATAATTCTTATATTTACTCTCTTGAGGGCATTCTTTATTCGTTTTAATCCTTTGTGGGTTTTTTTTTTTTCATTTTTCTTCTCTGGATATGTTTTTCAATAGCCTGTCTTTAAGCTCACTGATTTTTCCCTCTGCTTCATCTATTTTGGTGTTCAGATCTTCATAAACTTCAGAGCAGCAAATATATTTTTGTTTCCAAGATTTTTGTTTGACTTTTAAATTCAATCTCTTTATCAAAATTTTCTAACAATGTTTTGAGTTGGTTTTCTGTGTTATTTTGGAGTTCACTGGGTTTTTTAAAATTGCTATTTTGAATTTTTTATCAGAAAACTCATCTTTCACCATTTCCTTAGGCTTGGTCACTGGCTCATAACTTTGTCTATTTGGGGAGATTATGGTCTGTGTTTGCTATTGTTTCTTCTGAATGTACATCTGTGTCTTTGCATTGAAGAATTTGTTATTTATTCTAGTCTTCTCTGTCTTACTTGTTTTGGATTTTGTTGGATATGTTTCCTTAAAGATTTCTCTGCAATATACCTGTTGAGTATCTTTTTCGTGAAGTCACTTCCTCTTTTTCTGCACTAGATGTGCTGAAACCCAGGTTTGCCTCATCACCAGCAAACTTCAGAATATTGCTTGTCCCAGGTGGGGAGGAAGATCCCAAGGGGATATTCCAGCAGTATGGGAAGAATGGCTAGGCATTTGTGCAGAGGGAACCCATGGGAGGTGCCTCCTGTCATATGGTGTTGCTGAACAGCTATCCTGATTTCATGTCTCTTTTGGCTGAGATACATAGAAAAGAGCTCTCTGTTGTGTTGTGATGCTAGTCCCTCCTGTGATGCTAGTCCCTCCTCCCTGCTTCCTTGTTTTCAGCTGTCCTGTGGAATTTTTCTTCCTTCAGGCACTTGCAATGCTTCACATGAGTTGAAGCAGGGAAAGGTCTCCTGCCGGGGAGACCAACTTGGTGGGGAAGCTGGTTATACACCTCAATCTCACTTGTTCCAGTGTTACAACAATTAGTTGGAAATTTTCCACATTCCTGGTACCTTGTAGACTGGAGGAAGGGCATTGTGGATATAAAAGTTCAATTATTTTCCCATTCACATGAAGTCTTTTCACTCCTCTGTGGCCCCAGGAACTGTCTCATTATCATATTTTATTTCTGGACTATTGCTGATGATAAGTTTGGTGCTGTACATTGTTTTTGGTTTCCTATGGGAGAGAGTAAACAGTTTGCACTACTCCAACATTTGGTCAAGGTCTATTCTTTCTAATTGTAGATTGTTTCTCTCTCTCTCTCTCTCTCATTCTCTCTCTTTACTTTCATTAACATATAATTCACATGTCATACAACTTGTTTGTGACTTTGTTGACTCACTAATTAGGAATAGTTTTTCTTTAATTTTTACATATTTGTGATTTTTTTGATTTTCTTATATTGATTTCTAATTTCATTGCATTGCAGTCAGAGAACATATTTTGCATGATTTAGTCTTTTAAAATGTATTCAAGAGTGTTTTGTGCCCTAGTATATGCTATAGCTTGGATAATGCTTTCTATTCTATGTGCACTTGAAAAGAATGTGCATCTTGCTATTGATAGGTTGAGTGTTTTATTGATGCTTGTTCGATCTACTAGATTTATAATTTCGGTTGAATCACCTATTTTTTTGAACTTCTCCTTAGTTTTCTATCTACTGTTGAAATTATTGTTGAATTATCAATTCCTTTGATTTCTGTTTGATTTTTCTTAATGTACATTGCAGCTCTATTTTTCATTGCACATATGTGTATAATTTTTATGGCTTCCTGATTGATTGGCACTTTATTATTATAAGATGTCTTTCTTTACCTGTAGTAACTATGTATGTCTGTATAATTATTTTCACCACTTAAGCTTTCTTTCCTGTTAAAGGGCCCATAGAACTTCTCCTGCCACTGTTCTGAAAGTTGTTTTACATTCTATCTTGTTATAGGGCTCCATTTCTTTTATTCTTTCCAGAATTTATGACTTGTGGCTATGCTCTATGCTTAAAAATTCCCCCCTACATCACCAACATTAATAAGCAATTTATAGCCAGCTATATAAGAATCCCTACAACATTACTAAATCAACAAGAAATAACACACAAAGGCAGGTACTAAACAATATAAAATGTCTCCCTAGTGAATGTACTTTATACAGTATATTTGATTCATTTTATCCCTAGGCTTTTAATGGCTTTATCATATTTTTTTTTCATTAGCAAAATCATCATGGCTTACAATAAGTTGTTCTCTATATTTTGCTTGATATCTTCACTTTTATAACTCAAATTGTTAAGAAATAGACACCAACTTAGTAAAATCAGCCTTGTTGGTATGGTATGAAGATATCTCCTTCTTTCATCTTTTCTCTAATAGCAAAAGGGGGTAATTTCTTCTAAATTTTACAAACTGGAGAAATGTTCTGCCTGTTTCTTTTAGGGATAGATGTAATATTTGTCTTATTTTGTAATTGAATAGATTTTGTTTATGTATTAAAGGAAAACAATGTATATATAGTTAGTAAACACTTAGAACAAAATTTGGTTTACTTACCTGTATTAGTCCATTTTCATGCTGCTGATAAAGACATACCCAAGACTGCATAATTTATAAAGAAAAAGAGGTTTAATGTCTCACAGTTCCACGTGGCTGGGGAGGCCTCACAATCAAGGCAGAAGGTGAAAGTCACATCTTACATGGCAGCAGACAAGAGAGAATGACAGACAAGAGAGAATGAGAGCCAAGTGAAAGGCATTTCCCCTTATATAACCATCAGTTCCCATGAGACTTATTCACTATCATGAGAACTGTATGAACTGACCCCATGATTCAAATATCTCCCACCAGGTCCCTCCCCAACACATGGAAATTAAGGGAGCTACAATTCCAGATGAGATTTGGATGGAGACACAGCCAAACTGTATCACTACCTGAGGAAAAAAGTGAAGAAAAACTATATGCCATGGCTACTTTTTTGGAAAAAGTATATGTTGGGTGCTTTTTGGAAACATTATCTTGATGTGAAAGAAGAATTATCACTTCTATTGTAGATTTAAGATACATAAATTTTAGAAAAAAATACATAGAACTGAAGACAGAGGTAGTACTTAAAATCATTTTGACTGTAGACCATATTTTAAGTCAAAAATCTCTTGAAATTATTTCTGCAGCATACCATAAGTAATAGCATCATCCGGAATGGCTTCTAAGATAGATTTTACAGAGTCAGTACTCGAAAGAAGCTGAAATTCCAGAAATGTGTATCAATCTTCCTACATTTGAGAAATTAAAGGAGGTTTTATGGTAATGTTGGAAGAAATGTTATATCTGTATGGACTAAGAGGGAGGTTAAATCAAGCTGAATTTAGTTAAAGTAATAAACATTTGCTTTGCAGTGTATTTAAAGTTGTACAAATATGGTAACTTAACATTCAGCCATTTTATTTAAAGTTGCATCATTGTTTAGAAGACATTCATCCTTGAATAAAATATTCTAAAAATTGGCATTACCAGAATATTTCACATGAATCTTATGTCAAAAACGGACCCTATAAATTATCTATTCAAATTACTAACAACGAAATAGCTGGAAAGGATCTGTGAGGGGAAAGAAGTTTTGAGTTTTCAAACACAACTAACTCAAAATGCAAAGTGACAGCCAATGCTACCAGGTATTTCGGAAAAAAATATACAAAAAACTCCAAATTCAGGAAAACTGGGTAATTTAATTTAATGGGAAATTTACAAAAAATTATGTACCATAAAAAATGATTATGAATTATTACAAAATAAGTTAAAAGAAAATGTATGTGGTTTATGTCTGTGTGTTTTCTAAGAAAAACAAGTTAGTTGAAGGTTATGTTTAATTAAATTTAATTAAAAGCATCCAGATGGTGTAAGTAAGGTGTTATCTTTGCTTATCAAAAATAAGCAAACACATGCACACACAAACACACTTTTTACCTGACTTCCATTCACTTAACATGATAGCCCACAGTGACTACCAAATCATCTTTATAATCTTATCAAGATAAGCAACATTTCTAACATTTCTAATACAATAAAATTAATAAATGAAATCTAGAAATATCAAATAATTGTCCTGAATTTTGACATATACTCACATGAAGACCATTTTTCTATAGACAGTAATTCCATGTTGCAATGAATATTAACAATAGCATTTTATTTTGCGGTTAATATTGATAAAGATAATACTTAGATTGTTTTCAGTAACTACATTGAAAAAATGTACCCTAAAAAATGAAAGAAAATTAATTTTCCTGATAAATGTTGCAGATAAACATGATTTTAGAGAATTATCAACACAGATAGTTTATAAAAAGGAAGTTGTTACTCTTTATACCATATTAGAAACTCTTGGAGCTAAATCATGTAGAAAGCACCTTGTTTTTCTACCAAACATTTTTGTTAACATAGCTACAGTAATACTATCGGAACATACATATTCTAGTAGTAGAGGGCAACAGTTATATTAAGAATAAAATTCTAGAGAAGGCTGGACATGAATATTTTTATGTTAAAGTTTGGAAAAATAGTTTTAGTTAACAAATAATTTTTCAGCCTTGCTTATTTTTATGATGGGTTCATATTTCTGTATAAATCTCTAGAAAAAATATATTATTTATATATATATATATAGAGAGAGAGAGAGAGAGAGAGAGATGGAATCTCGCTCTGTCACTAAGGCTGGAGTGCAGTGGCGCCATCTCAGCTCACTGTAACTTCTGCCTCCTGGGTTCAAGCAATTCTCTTGCCTCTGCCTCCATAATAGCTGGGATTACAGGTGTGTGCCACCACACCGGGCTAATTTTTGTATTTTTAGTAGAGACGGGTTTCACCATATTGGCCAGGCTAGTCTCAAACACATTGCATGTTTGTTATATTACCAATGACTTAATTATGTTTATTTATTCCATTGAATTTTTGGTAAAAGATTCAGACTTTATAAAAGACTGTCTAACCTCTATCTGCTAACTACATGGGCAAAGTTACTAAAACCATAATCCTCAGAATTCTTAAATATAAAACAGGGATCACAAAAGTAGTCAAGAGCATTAACATGTTTGCATAGATCTTAGAAGAGTATCCAGTGGATAATACAATTTCAGTGAAATCTAGTTATTCATATTATTGTGTAATACCGGGGTTCCTAAATATTAACAATAGATATTTTAAGTTCAGTAATGATATATTGACTTATTATAATGTTTTAACTGTTTTACTTATATAGTATCTACACACCTCCATATACACCTACATTTTATATATGCATTCATTTCTCTTATATTTATGTGGTGAGTGTACAATATGATAAAAAGAGTTTCAATATAATTGAAGGTAATCAGAACTTTCTGTCATAGTAATATCTAGGCTTTTGTATTTTGTATGGGTAACTAGAATTTAAAATATGTTAGAAGCTGTGGTGTGTCTCTCTCTTTAAATTAGATATTCAAATTTTATGCCACTAATACCCATAATACTTAGGCAGTCTATAGCTCATTTCCAAGTCCAAGAGTGTTTCATGTGTTGTTATCCTTTGAATTTGAATTACTGCTCATGCCCTTCAGATATTGAGAAAACAAAGTTAGTGCTGGTCTGGACATGTGGACATGTGTGGATCTTCAGGGCCTTCATTACCTGAACAGTACACACACACACACACACACACACACACACATAGAGTAACTGAAATGTTCATATTTTCAAAACAGATATTTTATTGTATTATGTACATATGTATGTTTAATGTACAAGTAACTCAATTATTCATTTTGAAAAAAAAACTTAGGTTCTGTTTTTTACCCAAATTCAGCACCCAAATTCATAGAATTATAAAATAAATCGTTATTGTATTACTTAAAATAGTAAAATTCGTTATACGTTTCTTATATTTATAAGCATTTTTACTCCACGTGCTATTTGCTTTCAATCTCCATCACACAAACTTGAATTTCCCAAAAATATTTTTTGCTTAAAACTTTTAGTATTAACTGAAAATTTGAGTAATATACAAAGTAATTTAAACATTTGTATATAACTTTAGAAATCATCTAACTCTTATACCCACAATACTGCTTACTTATTGAGAGCCTGCAACATGAAGTAACATAGTGGGTAATGAATAAAATAAACTGAATTCTCTGTGCTTTTTAGAACTTGACAAACTAATGAATAGTGGATGGCAAATAGAAATTTAGAATAGAAGTAAAAATAAGTAGCCAAAATTAGAAGAAATATACAACTAGAGAATTAGGACAATGGTAAAAGACAAGAAATAAAGAGAAATTTTCACAAGTAGCACTATCAACAGCACACACAGAGAAAAACAAATAGTAGAATAACAAATTTAATATAAAAGAAACTTTGGCAACTGTTTCTGCTGTTTCCCAAGCTAATTTACCTAAGCGTGCTAAAACTAATTCAGAGATGAGCTTAGAGTCTGAACCAGCTATCGTCATAACTGAATAGGATTAGACAAATTATTTATTACTGCTCAAACCTCTCTGCCTCTCTTTCAGCTAACATATGGTTGTCTTTCAGTTCTCTTAATTGTCAATACTGTTGGGACACAATCACTGAAGGTCACATGTGGCATGTGTCACAATTACACTCGGGAACAAGCAGATGTTTCTAGAGAAATCTCTCTCTCTCACACACACACACACATACGCACCACAGATAATACTGTATTTAAAAGTTTCTGAATGGCCAGGTTAAGGCCTATTTAAATATACAAATGACACATATTTTGCTGAAAATGCCCTGGTCTCAATTAGATATTGAATCATATTTTCTCAAGTCTTTACTAGTGGTTACTATTGGTAATAAAACTGGTGAGAAATTTACTCACCTAGAAAGGAAGAACTTGGACATACTGCAAAATCATTGTAAGGTATAAGATAATTTTATTATTATATTTAAACATTCTATTACATTTATCAATTTATAAAATGAAATTATGCATCTAGTAGGGACGGGTGTTCCTTGGCTACATTTGACCCTTTTTTTTTGTACTTGGTAGGTTATTTTTTGAGTCAAACAAAAATATCACCTTTGAAAAATATTATCCATACTCTTAACACACATTCACATAAATTCTACAGAATAGGGTATTAGTACAATTTCACAATACTTCTTGTTGATATTTATCCACCTTGTTGTGTCTCCATTAATAAATTTCTATTAGTCATCAATTGACATGTCTGTTCATGAATATTAACTGTTACATAAACTAACCATAAAGACAGAAAATAAAATTATTCATCATTTTAAGGGATCATTCAATTTTCTATGTGCAGCAGAATCCTCATTCTATAAATCCTATTCATCTCAGAAACTATATCAATGTTTAGAAAAAAATATTTAAGTTTTGTTAGAGACTACAATTCATTTGCATTAGCACAGATACATGAAAACTTTGGAAAGCACAGAATTATGAGGTGACTATCTAAATGTTTTTGGGGGACAGGAAATTGGACAATCAGATGATGTGTTCAATACAAGTAAATGTGCTTAAGAAGTTTCAGAAAATATGTAGAATCAAACTTGAGATCCTAGTCTAAAAAAACTACACAATGAGGATATAAGCAAAGATTCTATGTAGTAGACCTAAAACAAAGTTTTATGTGGAAATAGATATTTTAAAATTACTTTACCAATACATGTTTCAATAGTGTTTATACAAAATTTTGTGCATATATTGGTATATATGAAAATACCACAGAAATGAACCACTAAATCCTTAATTCATTATGCATTTATTAATTAATTCAAAAATTATTTTTAAACATGTAGTAAGTTGAGTAGTAATAACATTAGATTTTTAATGCTGTGGTCAAAGCCAGGAATTGAAAGCCCGATGTCAGTGGAAGACATTCATCAAGGTTGCACTGGATAATATCTGAAATCAGTGAATATATTTTATGTTTGAAAAATGTCACAATTTATTATCCAATTAAGGAATTATCTTTATACACATAACGTATATATGTGTGTGTGTGAGTGTGTGTATAGTGAAAAACAAAAAAAAACAAAATAAATGTATTTAAAATACCTTACATATTAACTTTTACCATTAAAATAATTTACCATATATCTCTGAGATAAGCAAAAAGATATTATTGTCTACTTTTTATAAACTAAGATATTTTATGTCACAGAGTTCCCAAGATCATGTGAGTAATAATTCACAAAGCCAAACTAACTAATTACTTATTTTGATTTCTACTCCAGTGCTCTTATGCTACTGTGTTATGTTTCTACTCTATGCTATAATAAAATATAACTGTTGAAAAAGTCATCATTTCTTGACAATAGCATAGCAATAGAGCAAGAGGAAAACTTAAATTCACGTGAAATTTGAGTTAAGGGAAGCTATCACTGTGGAAAGAAAACTGCATCTCGGGTGTATATTCCACATGATTCCTACTACTGTATAATCATGCCTTTTAAAGGAAATATGCTGCAGAAAAGCATTAAGATCCAAAAACCAAACAGAGAGAATCACTGAGTCTGTGGTTAACATAAAATAGCTCATGCAAAGTATGATTTTTTTTGTACCCAGAGGCAAGGTCAAATTTACTATAGTACACTTAACTGAAGAACTTCTCAGCTTGCTGCTTGCATGCCATGACTGCTTCTCTGTCGGATTCTCATTGGACCCCAATGTTCCTGCTGATAGACTTGTCTGGAAGATGACCTCTGGTTATTATGGTATGTTGTTTTCAGAGAAGATAACAGTGTGTGTTCATTTTAGGTTTTCTGCTATAGGAATGCATTAGATAAAAGCGACCGTATACTGGCTCCTAATCAAAGCTCACAAACACTCTCGTGGGGCCTGCTTTTGGTACAATGAACAGATTTTAGAATATCTAAGGACAATTCAACAAAGAAGTATGGCAATATAAAAAGATATTCTGAATTACTTTTTTCCTTTTTTTTGTGTAACCTTAAATTCTTCAGGAAATATATTCATATATATTTTTTAAATAACACATGGAATAACTTACATTTTGATGTGTACAGGCATGTTAGTAAATATTATGTATTTACATTGAATAGGACTAGTATCTGTATTTTCACCATTTTTATTAACTTATATCAACATTTAGTACAAAAGACATATGCAAATAACAAAATTGCAACCTAAGAAATTTTTAATTACAACAAATTTACTTAACTCACTTTGACAATTTAGTTAAGTTACCGTATAAATATTTTTGAGAAATAATAGTATACGAACCAATTGAAACTTGTAGAATAAATAGTTTCTTGCACACATAGCAATGAAACAAACATAACACATCACATTTCCACTGCATATTTCATGTCGCACAGGATGTGGCTTTGGCAGCAGTAAGTGGGTTAAAAATTCAGTGTCTGCATTAAGCTAAAGCACATGTGTTCAGATTCAAAACCAAAATGTGTTCAGAATTCTATTGTGTTTCAACAGCTGTACTCGGGCCTATTAAAAAAATAAATTAGATCAAGTCACTCCTATGCTCAACCCTTTCAATGTTACTCAGAATAAATGCCAAGGCCTTCTAATGTACTAGGAGGCTCTCTGTGATCTAACTTCTGTCGATCAACTCCTACCCCTCTTTGCTCAAGTCTGTCTTCTTCCTTGCTTATTGAGTTTGCCAGGCGAGACTCAGCTTCAAAGCTTAGCTCAACCTCTTTCCTTTGTGTGGAATCTTCTTTTCTTATATATTTGTTTGACTTGCTCCATCACCTTCTTCAGGTCTGTGCTCAGTGACATTTTCTCTATGGCTTTTGTGGCCACCCTACATAAAATTCCAAACCACCCTCCATCGAGAAGCGCACAAACACCAGGAGCAAACACCATCACCATTTGAAAGAATATATTTGTTTACCTCTTTCTACTAGAATATAAACTCTATCTTAGCAGAAATATTTGTCTGTTTTATTCACTCTTTGAATTAATTTGGCAAAATATTGTCTGGTATAGAGTAGGGGTTTGATAATTATTTCTGGGCTGGTTGGTTATGCTAATGGCAATGTAGTCCACTTGCCATGTATTAAACAAAGTGTATATTTGAAGCCACACCATAAATAAGGTTTTTTGGTATTAATTTTCTATGCATTGTTTATTTACCCAAATATTCCATGCTTGAGCTTGCTTACTTTGAGTAAGATTTTATTGCCAATAAATAACTAAAAAGGAACATTTTGAATTTTGGTTTTATGAGTTGTATGCAATGATAAAAGCTTACAAATATATGTATGTGTATATATATATATACACATATATATATACAAATGTATGTGTGTGTGTGTGTATATATATACACACACACACACACACAGTGTACAATTAGCCTTAAGAGACTAGTAAGTTCACTGATGGTAAGAGTATATTATTTAAATATAATTTTGCATAAATATTCAGAAAAATTATAAGATAATGAGCAGCCACATTATTAAAATGTTAGCAATTTATTTTATCCAAAATTTAATGGTATATATATCATAGTAATGTAGATCTTTACATTTCTAGATGATTTGTCAAACTTCTTTCTACTTTCAGTAATTTTATGCAATAATTTAATATTCATTATAATGTTTAGTTAAATATGATTAATACTTCATTGAGAAGTTATACACTAATTGAAATATATATGAGTGTATATATTAATATAAAAATATGTGTGTATACAAATATTACCATGGATTTTTCAATAAATATCTAATTTTAAACAATTATGTTTCAATAAACTATGAAATCCTATTTAATTCGAGTGAAGAGAAATGCTTTTCAGTGAGCCAGTATTAAATTACTATTAGTTTTGCTGACGTTGTCTGTCTTTATTTTGAGAAATTTGTACATATTCACACATACATGGACTCTCATACATATAAACTGAGAGACAAATTACCTTCTATACATCCAGCATTCTTAATTTCACTGAAGTTTTACAAGTGTAATTTACATGAAGTTATATTCTCTACCTTGCACAGTGACAGGTTTTAAAGAAAAATAATAGAATTTGAGAAACACTGTAGAGAGATCTCTGTAGAGACCAGTGCTGCTGGGCCGCAGGATAACACATGGAGATGATTGTTGACCCATACGTCAACTTGGCCTTCTATCTTCTACAGCTGAAACTTTCCGTGTAGAATGTCTGTAAATTACGAATGCGTGGGGTTTGGTTTCTTCTTTGTCACATAAATCCTCAGTGCACATCATTTCAACACTTTTGACAAACTCTGTTTGACTCAAGTTTTGATAACTGCAAGAAACGTTTATTGTAGCTATGTACTGTGTACAAAAATATTATAAGCTAATTGTAATCATAAAAAATAAATTTATATTGAAGGTACTGAAATTTTTCTGGCATAATACAAATATTGAATTTATATGTTTTATAATTTTACTCAACCCATGATATAAATATTAGTGAATATATACAATTTTCAGACCTGATATCAATTAATGAGATCAAATATGGGACATTTTTAGATGTTGTTCAGTTTGGAACAAGGAAGATAGATTTATTAACCTATTGAGATCCATTACACAAGGTCAATTTACCAACATTTATGAAACTTCACACACTAGGAATTAGACTGAATAAGACAGTTCGTGCTTTTCTACTTCTAAGATATTAAAAAATGGCAGCAATATTTTAGATTAAGATTGAATTTTAATAATTAAAATATGCATATTATGCATATTACTATCTGAGTCAATTATTTCTGGCTTAGTTGTTGTATATAACTAGGAGTTAATGTATCAATTAAGCCAAGGAAAAGGCAGCTTGAGCTGAACTGGGAACAATTAATGAAAATAGTTTACCTTTCTGATATTCTATCTAGTCCCTGTCATTAAAATGTATCACACATTTCTGGACTTTTAACAGGATACAAGAATAAAAGTGAAAATAACCTATACAAACACCTATAGAAAATTAAAGTTATTTTCAAGTATAGGAAGAAAATATATTTTTAGCAAGACATCCAACATCATCTACTTATCTTTCTATGGAAGCTATGCAAGGATTTAATTTCTTTTTACAAAATGTTTTCATAGATAACTTTGAAAGCATATATGGGAAATGAATTTTTAAAGAAGTGTTTCTGTTCTGAGGCTATAGATTGTGTTTTAAAACTGCCTATATTCAATGGACTGTTGAAGGAAGCCATGAGATGTAGTAGGCTTGATCCATGAAAACTGGGTTCAGATACTTGTTTCATGAATTTGAGTAAGTTATTCCCAATCTATTTGCTTTTTGTTCTATAAAATCTGATAATATGCTTCTCCTGCCTTTTTCTTACAGAGCTTGAAAAGTAAAAATAAAAATTAAATGATGCATATGAAAGTATTTTATAAACTTTAAATTGTTATGCAAATACAAGAATTTCCAAAGCCATAGTTTATATAACTATTGTTTCTACAACTGCTTCAAATAAAAAAAAGAGATTGGATTTGCTGATGTTTTAACCTCAAAGGACTATCGATTCCTTTGAGGTTAATGCATTAATAACATAACAAGGTGAGCTCAAGATTTGCCTAAAGGGATTATTCCCTACCCCTTCATTAATTTGTCCTTCATTTTTTTTTACATGAAGTTGAAAAGGTAAACAACCTCAAAAATTGCCGTTTTTTCTGTTAATATTGAAAACTAAAATAAAACATACAAAAGAGTTTAATACTTCATGAGAAAGTCAACCACTAAAGCAAAACTATTAATTTAACTTTCCCCTTTAAGTCTTTGTATTTTTGCTCTGCGTTTATAAATCCAATACTTTTAAACTTTTTCATAACTTTATGTCATTGTTTCACGGACGATTATTTTCAAATTGGCTTATAGTGCCACCACCTATTTAGTCCTAACTATTGCATTCGGTTTACTTTTAGAAATCATTAAATCGATGACCTACCACCTCAGGATCATCTGGACGGTAACATTGTTATTTTTTACTGTGTCACCGAGTAATATCTTCAATAACTCTCACCTAATTCTCTTGTGTGGACTTTGTTAAAGCATTATGAAGAGCTAAACGTTTTTCTCTACAGGTTCTCTACAAAATAACTTTGTTGTTTATTGAGTTCCATATATATCCCATGTTTGCTCATATATAATTACAAAAAGGGAGTAAAGGTAGGTGAATTAAGAAATGAAAAAGAGAGGGAAAAGTAGCTCATTTCAACGGCCTTAAATATGTGTAGGAAATGCTTTCCTCGAGTTTGATTCAAACTGCAAAAGCTGAAAGTTTTAGCAATTGATAAATTTGTTTGATTTGATTCACACCTACTTTTGAAGCTTTAGATTTCTGAAAAAAAGATATTTATTTCTTCAATTACTCCTCAAAAATATTCATGAAGGAGGTCTTAAAAGTGGACACAAATTTTAAAATGTCTATACTTTGAATATTTGAATTATGGGTTTCTATGAACTCCTGATGGTCTTTTCTAATTAAGGTAATACAGTGTTTCATAGTTTTCCTTGTAGAGATCTTTCACTTCCTTGGTTAGATTTATTGTTAAGTTTGTTTGTTTGTTTGTCTGCAGTTGTAAAAGAGATTGAGTTCTTGATTTGTTTCTCAGCTTGGTTGCTGTTGGTGTATAACAGTGCTACAGATTTGTGAACATAGATTTTGTATCCCGAAACTTTACTGAATTCATTTATAAGATCTAGGGGCTTTTTGGATGAATCTTTAGGGTTTTAGCTATACAATCATATCATTGGCAAGCAGCAACAGTTTGACTTCCTCTTTACTGACTTGGATGCCCTTTATTTCTTTCTATTGTCCGACTGCTCTAGCTAGGGCTCTCATTACTATGTTGAATAGAAGTGATTAAAGTGGGTATCCTTGTATTGTTCCAGTTCTCAGGGGAAATGCTTTCAACTTTTCCCTGGTTATTAAGATGTTGGCTGTGGGTTTGCCATAGATGGCTTTTATTACCTTGAGGCATATCCTTTCTATACCAATTTTGCTGATGGTTTTAATCACAAAAGGCTACTGGATTTTGTCAAATGCTTTTTCTGCATCTATTGAGATGATCATATAAGTTTTGTTTTTAATTCTGTTCATGTGATGTATCCCGTTTACTGACATCACTGCATTCCTGGTATGTGACCCATTTGATCATGGTGCATTATCTTTTTGATACACTGTTGGATTTGGTTAGCTAGTATATTGTTGAGGATTTTTGTGCCTATGTTTATCAGGGATATTGGTCAGTAGTTTTCTTTTTTTATTATGTCCTTTCCTGCTTTTGGAATTAGGGTAATACTAACTTCATGGAATGATTTTGGGAGGATCTTCTTTTTCTCTATCTTTTGGAATAGTTCGTGTAAGATTGGTACCCATTCTTCTTTGAATGTCTGATAGAATTCAGCTGTGAATCCATCTGGTCATGGACTTTTTTGTTGTTGTTGGCAGTTTTTAAATTACTGTTTCAATTTTGCTACTTGTTATTGCTGTGTTTAGAGTTTCTATGTCTTCCTGATTTAGTATAGGAGCATTATATATTTCCAGGAATTTATCCATCTCCTCTAGATTTTCTAGTTTGTGTGCATAAAGGTGTTCAAAGAAGCCTTGAACAATCTTCTGCATTTCTGTGGTATCAGTTGTAATATCTACCATTTCATTTATAACTGAGCTTATTTGGATGTTCTCTCTTCTTTTCTTGGTTAATCTTGCTAATGGTCCACCAATTTTACCTTTTTAATAACCAGCTTTTTGTTTCACTTATTGTTTGTAGTATTTTTGTGTTTCAATTTCATTTAGTTCTGCTCTGATCTTTGTTATTTCTTTTCTTCTGCTGAGTTTGGTTTAGGTTTGTTCTTATTTCTCTAGTTTCTTGTGGTTTGACCTTCTATTTTCTATTTGTGCTCTTTCAGACTTTTTGATATAGGTATTTAATGCTATGGACTTTCCTCTTGACACCACTTTTGCTGTATCACAGAGGTTTTGATAAGTTGTGTCACTATTATGTAGCTCAGAGAGGTTTTAAATTTCCATCTTGATTTCATTGTTGACCCAAAGATTATTCAAGAGCAGATTATTTAATTTCCATGTATTTGTATAGTTTTGGTCATTCCTTTTGGAGTTAATTTTCAGTTTACAAATGGAAATATATTCCATGCTCATGGATGGGTAAAATCAAACATAGAGAAAATGACCATACTGCCAAAAGCAATCGACAGAGTCAATGCAATTTCCATCAAAGTACCATCATTGTTCTCCACAGAACTGGAAAAAATAATCCTAAAATTTGTATGGAACCAAAAAAGACCCCATATAGCCAAAGCAAGACCACCAAAAAGAACAAATCTGGAGGCATCACATTATCTGAATTCAAACTATATGACAAGGCCACAGTTACCGAAACAGCATAGTACTGGTATAAAAATTGGCATGTATACCAATGGAACAGAATAGAGAATCCAGAAATAAAGCTGAATACAGCCAACTAACCTTTGACAAAGCAAATAAAAACAAAAAGTGGGGAAAGGACACCCTATCCAACAAATGGTGCTGCGAAAACTGGTGGCAAGACAAATGTAGAATAATGAAACTGGATCATCATCTCTCACTTTATACAAAAATCAACTTGAGACAGACCAAGAACTTAAATCTAAGACCTGAAACCATAAAAATTCTAGAATATAATATGGGTAAAACTCTCCTAGATGTTGGCTTAGGAAAATAGTTCTTGACCAAGAAACCAAAAGCAAATGTGACAAAAACAAAAATAAATAAATGGGACCTAATTAAACTAAATAGTTTCCACACAGCAAAAGAAATAATCAGCAGAGTCAACAGACAACTCACAGAATGAGAGAAAATACTCGCAAACTATGCATCCAGCAGAGGACTAATATTGAGAATCTACAAGGAACTCAAACAAAAGAGAAAAAAAAGAATGAATAATCCCATCAAAAAGTGGGCAACGCACATGAATAGGTAATTCTCAAAAGAAAATTTATGAATGGCCAACAAATACATGAAAAAATGCTCAACATCACTAATTATGAGGGAAATGCAAATTAAAACCACAATGAGATGCCACCTTACTCCTGCAAGAATGGCCATAATTAAAAAAATCAAAAAACAATAGATGTTGACATGGATATGGTAAAAAAAGGAACACTCTTACGCTGCTAGTGAGAGTGTAAACTAGAACAACCACTATGGAAAACAGTATGTAGATTTCTTAAAGAACTAAAAGTAGAACTACCATTTCTCCCAGCAATCCCGCTACTGGTTATCTACCCAGAGGGAAAGAAGTCATTATATGAAAAAGACGTTTACACATGTGTGTTTATAACAGTGCAATTTGCAATTGCAAAAATATGGAACCAGCTAAATGCTCATCAACCAACAGGTGGATAAAGAAAATTTTATATATATCCACATATCATGGAATACTACTCAGCCATAAAAAGGAGTGAAACAATGATATTTGCAGCAACCTTGATGGATTTGAAGAGCTTTATCCTAAATTAAGTAACTCAGGAATGGAAAACCAAATCTCATATGTTCCCACTTATAAGTAGGAGCTAAGGTACAAGGATGCAAAAGCATAAGAATTATATAATAGACTTTGGGTGGGGGAAGTGGGCAGGGGAGTGAGGGCTAAAAGACTACACATTGGGTGCAGTGTACACTGCTCGGGTGATGGGTGCACCAAAATCTCAGTTATTACCACTAAAGAACTTATCCATGTAACCAAAAACCATCTGTTCCTCCAAAACTATTAAAATTTAAAAAGAAAGAGAGCAAAATATCACAAAATTTAATAATAAAAGTATCCTTAAAAATCTGAAGTAAAATTTTATATATATATATAGATCTATAGATCTATATATATATATATCAGAAATTGAGTACTCATATTGAAGGTTTCTGTTCCACTGTTTCTTAACCCTCCTTCCTGCCAAACACATTTTTATCTGATGCATTAGGACCCTCTAAACACCTCAACCTGTTCCTTGACCTTGAAAAAGACATTTCCAGCAATGGAGAATTCAACCTCTCTGAAGTTTTCATACTCACCTCCTGGAAGTCTGATTATAATAAATTTCTACCTAAAGTTCGTAATCTTTGACTTTCATCCAGGGGACATTTTCCTGACTTCTGTGGGAAAGTGAAGAAAGCCTTCTCCCTTTAGGATATAAAATGCCTTCATAGAGTTGAGAATGACTCTCATGCCTCTCCCTGGAACTTCTCTCCCTTTAAATTAAATATCCCCAGTCCAACCAGCAATGTTAGCTTGTTTGAAGTTCCCAGCCACCTCCTCTGGGCATTTTTTCACTCACCCGTGCTCACTAAGACAACATAAGTCATTTACTTCATTTATCAATTGTCATATTTAATAATAATTAGATTTGTTTGCATAGTTTAAAGGAAAAATATCCACACATATATTTATTCTTTTCTTGGAATTATTTGCTTTAGATTCTAGATTATGGAATCTAGAACTAGAAGACTTTAATAAAATTATAACTCTCATCTTATTTCATCTTCTGTATCTCCTCTATCTTTATTTTCTTTAACCCTCCTCGTTTTTACAAACAATAATAAAGTAGTTATGCCTAAAAGAAAAAAAAATAATGTCAGCTGGCAGAAGAAGGAAATGCATTACGCACTGCTTTTATTTGGAGTTTTTCGAAGAGCATATATGTCAAAGCCTTATTATATCTTAACATACTATTTCTCAGTTCACCAGCCACCTTAAGAATCTTATAAATAAACCCAGATTCAGGATAGTTCCACAGAATTCTCACATATAAGAAATGAAGGAAGTCATTAATTATTACATTAAAACCACCCACTTTACAAGTGAAGAGACTCAAAGACCAGAAAGATCCCCTTATTTTTCTAAGTTTACAGAAATAATTTGAGTAGGGTTAGCATACGGTATTCTATTCTGGCTTATAAAATTTAAAATACCACTTACCAAAACAAAGTACAGCATTGAGGTATGATAGGGTACTTTATAAAGAAAATAGAACATCAAACTGCCTTTAATACCAAAGCCATGTCCCCACTGTAATCAAGACGCTAGTCCAGAGGCCTCTCTAAATCATGTATGCAAATAATATTTTCTTAATGCCAAAAATAACATATTAAGAGGATATTTTCCTATAAGATCTTTTAATCTTAAAGACAACACAAACAATTATTTTATTGTTCATCTTTGTTGGCAAGAGAAGTGGAGAAAAATGCTGTTAAGCCAGTAAAACAGGAATCTCTTAGACACTTCTCCCTATGAACCAAAAAAAGATTGTCTTAGAGCAAAATATATGTTGGCTTTAAGTCCTCAAGTATTTCATCTGATTTTAATTGCTTTTAATGCTAAAAATTTAAGGCATCAATTTCAGGTCCAGAAATATTTTGTAGATATATAGAATCTTGTTTTGACATTTTAAGAGTTCAGAGAGAAGAGAGAAGTCGAACAACAGTCGTAGAATATAATGATAGAATAATAGTAGAAATGTATCATTGAATGTTGTAAGAAATTAAATATGGTTGTTTTGTGGAAGAACACAATGTGTCTTCTATCCAAATTATCATGTAGCATATAACGGAAATCTCAGCTACCCATAGCTTGGAAAAATAAATACATGGGTTGAGAAATTCAAAGCAATTGAACTCATGTTGGTGTTGTCCATAAATATGAAATACCACATCTAGAGGGGTAAGACTACTTTGCAATATAGATCATAGGCTTTTATATTTTACTCAGTATAATTCATGAAAATCCCTTTCTTTAGTTTCAGATCTATTATAGGCTTAATAAAGTAAAATCTAAAATACTCTGCACTTCTTCACCTACACATTAAAATACTTCTATTTTGTGTTGATATTTTATCTGTTTCTCCAAACTCTAAGTTTCATGCATTTGTAATTTAAAATATTATGTTGTTTGAATATATTGGACATTAATGGAATGTATAATCACTATCTAGACTTTTTTTTCACAACTTAGTACAGGAAATTTTGATAATGTCCTGATATAATTGATGAATTACATTAGATGTTAAAAATTTCCCTTGGTATAGAGAAAGGGCAATGCTAGATGTCAATGTGAGAAACAAAGTTTATATATATACGTATTTCTGTCTATTAGCAGTTTATTTCTAGAGAGACATACAATACAATTTTCATAAAATTGTAGACAAAGTTCACAATAATATTGAAGGATTAATAAATCTAGTTAATTTGCTGGTGAATACAATATCCCCCACTCTGAAAACTAGTACAAAACTTCACTAGTTTTTCTTCTGTATTTCTTTCACCTTTCAAAAATCAATAATTTACTAAGAGCTTCTGATACATTTATTACTTAGGTTTTTGTGAATGTAGTGAGAGAAAATACAGGTAATGAGTACAAAGAAAAGAGAGATGACTTCCTAATGGACTGCAAAGAAGGACTTTTCTTTATTCCATTTCGTCTGTCAGCATGACTTAGTTCCACCTTTTCCTTCAGCTCATTGAGCTAAATTTACTCATAAAACATTTTTTAAGAAGCCAGCAAATAGTCCCTTGGTTTCAAGGAATGAGAAACAATACTTTTAGTCCACTGAAATGGAAAGTAATTCTTGAATATGTCATGAAATTACAGATTCACCTATCTTGCATGACAGTAGGAACCTCATTATAGTCCTTTCTTAAATTTTAAAGCAAGGATGTTTAAGGCACTGCCGAATCATTTCTTAAATATTGCTTCCCATTTGTTTTAGTGTACATTAAGAGAGGCAAATGACTGCACAGGAGCAGGAAGCTGGAAAACCATACATTTTAGCCTAAGAGACAGAGAGAGAAAGAGTATGGAAAAAGTAGAAACACATGAGATCTACAAAAATGTAGAAAAAAAAGTGCTGCTATTAGATCTTCTCAGAGAAGAGGTGATAGGAAATAAATTTGGTAAGCTTGGTTTCCAAGGAATAAAGGACGATGCTAATCCTAGAGCAATCCTGGGATGATGAGTTTCATAAGATGGATTTCTTAGTAAGGCATTGTCATTTTGGACCTGATAAATGATTAAATTTTACCTTTCAAAATGGGGATAATAAGTTTCTCTTGCCATTATTTCCCAAGACTCTTTGGTGTCATCCTATACTTGATACTTGCTTACCACATAGTACGATGTTAAAGTAACAGAGAGCCATATAAAACTTGCTGAGCATCATCAACCAGATCAATAATCTTGGGTAAAATCATGAAAGTAACGTAATACAGAAAGTTTCAGTTCATTTTATATAAAGATGACAGATCTCACCTCAACTAGAGGTCCAAGTAATTTAATTTTGTTTTTGGTAGTAGTGATAGATTGTTAATTAGCTAGCTGCACACTTTCCCCTATTACTTCAAGTAATTAAAATTCCACCTTTAGCAGACAACACCCTTGGTATTGGAGGACATTGTAAAGTTATGTGACAGAGCACAGTAAAATGGACAACAGCAATCAGTGATAATCCAATTTTTTTTGTTTTGTTTTGCTTTAATGTCTCAAAATTTCCAAAGACATGTTAAACTGGGAGGATCTGGATAAATATTTATTGTTTACACAATAAATTTATTGATTCCTAATTTTTAGACTTGCACTTGAGAATACAGCTGATTTTCTTTGTTCTGCTCTCATTCTCCACAGTGAAAATTTACAATTTTAACTTGACCCATAGGTCAATGTTGACCTAAATATTTTCTATGCTTACAAGTGTCATGGAAATAATGTATTCCTGAAGTTAAAAAAAAACATCGGTTTCTGGTAGATTTAAATAAAGTCAAGCAGGGATTTTTGGTGCGGTATTCTCATAGCCTTAAGAATACTAACACAAACTTCGTAAGAAGAGGACATGTGTGTAGTACAGAAATTATTTGACCATGTACAATTTGACCATGTACATTTTCCTTCATGGAACAGATCTAGAAACCAGGGTCTAGGTTTTTTTACGACTGGACTTGAAAAATTTGACTGTACTGTTCATTCTTTAGAATTTCTTAATAAATGATGTATAATGTTTTCCTACTAGTCATTAGCTGCGTAATCATGAGCAAACCCTTTAAATTTTCTGAGCCTCAATCTTTTCATATATAATTAGAACAAAAATTCTATCTACTTCATATAGTTACAACATTAAAAAATTCGATATGTGTGAAATGCTTAGCACAGAACTTAACGCATAGGGAACAACAAATGAGTTAATAATGATTACTAATTTTTACTTCTGAAATATAAAAAGGATTATAATACGTGATTGAACATATGAACAAATGTATGCATAAGTGTAGGTTGCATGTCCTTTATTAGGCTTGGTGACTGTGGATCTAGACAGCAAATTGCTCCAAGGCAGAGTCCTTGATGGTCATACCCAAACCCAAATCTACTGTTATGCCCAGACCCAAATCCACTGTTTAGTTGATAGTAAGAACTTTTAAGCATTTGCTGACATAAAAAGAATTATTTTTTTAAATGAAAGAATATGATAAATGAGTTTTATTGTATTATAGCACTCTTGTAAGTTGAGTTTGCCTTTGCTCTACCTGAAACAGCAATGGGTTGTGTGAAACTTAAGAAACAAAAAATACAAGCATAAAAATTATCTAAGTTTTCAAGTCCAAAAGTCTATATATATATATATAAAATGACCCCTCTGAAATTCTACTAATGAGGCTTTTCTAAGTTATATATATATATATCCTGTCTTCTAGTCAGGACAAAATGTCAGCTAATATCCTTGGTTGTGTTTATTAGGTGTTTTTTTTTTTTTTTTTCCCTGAGACAGAGTCTCGCTCTGTCTCCCTGGCTGGAGTGTAGTGGCGCAATCTCAGCTCACCGTAACCTCCGTCTCCTGAGCTATTCTTGTGCCTCAGCCTCCCGAGTAGCTGGGATTACCACACCCGGCTAATTTCTGTATTTTCAGTAGAGAGGGGTTTTGCCATGTTGGTCAGGCTGGTCTCAAACTCCTGACCTCAGGTGATCCACCCACCTCGGCCTTCCAAAGTGCTGGGATTACAGGCCTGAGCCACCGCGCCCAGCCAGTTGTGTCCATTAGTTTTTAGCTCTGTGAAAGTAACCATGTTTTATAATATACCTTGCATATTACCTACTTCTTTTATAAGATATCTTGCATTTTACCTACCTTTCCTTTTCAAGAAAATAAACAGAAAATCAGAAGAAAGTTTACCTTACCTATACGTAATGAAAGTATTTACACTGAAGAATTGATAGGAATTTCTTTTAGTAAGCATGTGTATTAGAAATTTTAAAGATGACTTTTGCGTGAAGAAACATGCATAGCTTTCATGGAAAGCTACATGAAAAGCACTACCCATTGATGCTTTAAAAAGTGGTACGGATACAATATGCCATCATTTCTCTTTTTGGAAAGGAGTTTTATGTACTGTTTTTCTTCAGCATTGAGTATGGGAAATACTTTATATCAATCAATAAATTAAAAGCTCTGAAACTCTCAGAATACTAGGTAACTTGACCATTGGCCTATAAATAGTGGGTTTTTCAAAACAAGATAGACTACAGTGTTTTTCATAGGCCATTTTTAGATTTTTAAATCTGCTATTATTTTATCATTTTATGTTGTTAATTTCTTATAGTATTATAGTAGACTTAATATAGATTATTTATGCTATTCATAAATTTAGCATATCTCATAAGATGACATAATTATAATTAACAATGATGACTATTTTTATATATGTTTAAAAATTTAACAATTTTGTCTGTGAGGTTTAGTGTTTCACCCTCCCAACAGCATGAACATCCTTTCTTTGGCCCCTCTTGTTTAATCTGTGTTTCAGCATAATAATTTTTTGCACATCATTACCTTGAGGTTATAGCACAAATTTACTTTCCACGACAAAAATGCCTTTTCCTTTTCGATAATTCCTATGAGTTAGAACATGAGCCACAATTTGCCCCTGTGTCATAACCTTATTTGACTTATGTAATTTATACAGCAGAATGAATACTTCTCTTAACCGAAAAGCCAAAAGGCACACCATCAGTTGCACAATAGGAATCACGGTAAGAACACAAATAGCTGATTGTGGAGGTTATCACTGCTATTTCTCAAGCGCCACTGAGTCTAGTAACATGTGTTGACTAAAGATAAATGTGTTTTCTCTCTGTGGGCCACCATTTCCACAGATTTTTTATTGCTCCAGTGTCAAAGAGACAAAATAGATTTTGATCGGGCATAAGTAGCTGCCAGAGGGCTCTGATCTGTAAATGGCATTAATGCTAATTATACCCTAAGTAACCTATAATGATCACCTAACTGTTTTTCTTCAGCATTTTAACATAGTCACCTTTCCTAGTAAGTCTAAGGATAACCTACACAAAAAAAGCATATTAGTAGAAAGACCCAGAACGTGCTAACCATGTTTACTGCATTATGAAATAAAATGGAAAACATTGTTTTGTGTAAAAATTAGTATGCTTTCCATGTGTATTTTAATATTAGAAAAATATTAAATAATATTTTTAACAGAAAGTAAAAGAAGAAAACTAACTAGAAAACTAGATTTCTTGTCAGAATGATTTTTTTGAAAATAAATAAAATTATTTTAATGAGTAATGTCATCACAAGTTCCAGGCTGTCCTATGCTGCTTTCAGAAATTAAAAAATAATACTTTTTGTAAAAAAAAAAATAATATGATGACCTCGGCTGGTATGTATTAGTTTCCATACAAATAACTGTAGCACTCACGTGATACTTCTTGTTTCTTTGTACTAACCATTTTGCTTAGTTTTCACCCAATACTTTCAACTTTATCTTCTTCAAACAATGTAAACAAGCCGTTACCATTGGTATCAATGTCATTTTAGTTTCAAAGCACTCCAGACGAAGCTGGCATGCAGAAAGAGTTAAAAATACCTGTTATTTCCAATTATATATCTGTACTTAACTGTTTACTGATAATTAATTCCTTCTCTCTCCTCTTATCAAATCTGTATTTCTACTTATTTCTATGTGCATGTTCAATAACACTCCTTTTTTAAAAAATAGAAATTCCAAATCTACATGTTGTTTCATACTTTTATTTTTCACTTGTACATTGTGAATATTTTTATACTATCACAATTAATAAGTAAGACTAGTCTTCCAGTGCTTCCTATATTCTAGGTAATGAGCTAAAAGTTTTACATATATTAACTCGTATAATTGTCACAATGACCCTAAGAAGTAGGTGCTACTATTATTTACATTTTATAGATGAGGAAACAGAAGCACAGAGGGCTTAAGTACTACTAGCAAATGATCTCCAGCTATGATTCTATCCCAGCTAATTTGGCTCCAGAAAACATGTTCTTAAATACTGCACTATACTTTCTTTCTGCAAAGGGGTCACCTTCATCCTTTTCATCAGCCACCTGCCATTACATAATATAAATGCATCATTGTAAGTTTAAGAATTTTGCAGTTTATGGAAATTTAGATTGTCTCCAGTTTTTTAATAACACTGGTAGACACTTATGTACATATAACCTTGCATTATGTACGCAACCTGAATAAAAATATTGTATATATCTTTCATATAATATTGCACAGTTATTTCTGTAAGATAATTCTCTAGTAACTAAATGCCAGGTCTAAAGAGTAGTTATATTTAACATTTTTATCAGTTCTGAAAACTTTTCTACATGTTAAAATACTTCCAAACAAGTGACTTTATTTTTTTCATTGTTAAGCTGCATCAAGACATTTTCGAAAACTTAACTACTACCCAGAACTAACTGTTGCGACTTGTTTTTGGTGATTAGCAAATTTGATAGGTAGGCCATCTAAACCTCTTTTTAACATATTGGCAAATACAGCAAATAAAAGAGAGAGAATTAGTGATTTGGCTCTGGAGCTTGAATGTAGAGATGCCCTTTACCCTGGCTTATTTATTCCTTCAAGAAATGTCTATTGATATTTGAACAATGCTGAATAAAATGTGTTATTAGCTTATTGCCTGCCAGTCATCAAGCCCAACATATAAAATATAATCACTGCTGATGATAAATTTATAAAAATGCATAGCATTATCTCCCCATTCTACATATTAGAAAACCAAGGCTCTGAAAGACTATGGTGATAGCTGTATGTCCAGTATTTGCACGAGCTGAGATATGAATTATAAGTTTTAGAGCTTTATTTTTATCCTATACATCACTTCTAATTTCTTAATTCATTTTTATTGCATCATAAAAACAGATTTATTCATGTTAACTCCAGAAAACAAGAGTGAATGTTCAAAATGCACATAAACATAAAAAAGTGACTGCCAGGAACAGCAGCATACATAGGACTCAAGAGAATCTGGGACCATGGTTTAGAAAACAGAGATTATGGCCAGGCGCAGTGGCTCATGCCTGTAATCCCAGCACTTTGAGAGGCTGAGGTGAGCGGATCACGAGGACAGGAGTTCAAGACCAGTCTGACCAACATGGTGAAACCCCTTCTCTACTAAAAATACAAAAAATTAGCTGGGCGTTGTTGTGTGTACCTGTAATCCCAGCTACCCAGGTGGCTGAGTCAGGAGAATTGCGTGAACCTGGGAGGCGGTGGTTGCAGTGACCTGAGATAGCACCATTGCCCCCCAGCGTGGGTGACAGAGCAAGACTCCATCTAAAAGAAAAATAAAAAATAAAAAGGAAAACAAATTAAAACAGATTATTCAGCGTCAAATGAAACTCTGTGATACCATTTCATGCTATCAATAGGTGAAGTTTATTGATTTTCTTTTACTTTTGTAGAATTTCTCTATAGCCTTTGCAAACTTTTTTGCTTTTGTTTTCTCATAGCTTCCACTGTTTCAAAGCTTCTGCACCCTATAACCTTCCTGGGTATGCTTTATTTTCCCATTACCACTTATGTATTTTGGTAACATCACTGTATTGCAGATAGAAGATCAAGACATGTTTCGTAGATAGACTTTGCTTATAGTGGTATTGGAAAAGTCCAGCTTTTTTTTTTTACACAGTTCCTAAAACTGTTCAAAATCTCTGTGACATTTCTCACATCTTTTCATTTATATTTTTTTCTTGTCTTGCCTGGACTTAGCATATTTCTTTGGTCTTGTGATAAAATGCTGTTTAGCTTCAATAATATCACTTAAATACTATTTTGTCTAGAAATTTTTTTAAACATTATCCACAAGCTTCACAGTCCCGGAATTCATATATGTTTCCCATTGTGTTTTTGCCTGTATAATTACACATTGCACAATGTGTAACTACATTTTAACATTACAAGTTCTAATACGTATGGTTTGCTTATCAGTGAGTCTTCCACTTTGGACTGTGAGGTCATAGATTGCAGGAACTCTATCTGTCCTCTTTGTATTTCCTGAATTTCATACCTTGATTGGAACCTGTTAGTTAGTAATATCATTTTAAAGAATGATCAAACTGTGTTATTTTTCTGCCTTTTTCCTAAGAAAGGCTTTTTAGGGGCCTATCTGAAATAATCCATTTACTAGTTTAGTAACATTAAGATGTTTAACAAATACCTTGAATTATTAGGCAAGAAAAATGTATTTGTATATTTATTGGAATTCTTTATATTTCATGATATTTGTTTACTTAAAAAATAAACACAAATCCTACTTAATCTTTTCTTGCTAATTCCTTAAGTTTTATTTTCAATACAGCTGTATGCCTCTTATCAAATTTGTTTGCCCATTACCAAAAATGAAAAATAATCATAAGCTAACATATTTTTAAAAATATAAAGTTACTTCACTTATTCTAGCAACAGTTTTCTCAAATTTCAACTTGAAATTTCTTTTTCTTTGTTATGTAATTTTTCATTTTTGGCCAACACGTTTCCCCATTAGTGATCACTTTAGATCAGCTTTAAGACACTTGTGTATATTTTCAACAGCCAAAAATATTACTTACTTGACCTTCAGTTATCCTCTCTTCTGAAACAGAAGATATTTGTATTTTTGTAAGCACGAAGCTGGTCTAAAGACAAGTGGAAAATACTGCGAATTATTCATTCCTGAAAATTTGACACAAAGAGCAAAAGTACCTGACTTTAGGAGAAATCCTTTTTTTTTCCTCCCCCGAGGCTACTTCAACTTCACTCAGTAAAATTGCCAATATATCTTTCCCTTAAATTTAGCCATCCTCAGAAAAGAATGTTTCATTCTTAGATAATAAAGAAGAGCTCTATAATTCATATTAGAATGTAAAAGGTATTCCAGATTTGAATGGAATTAAATACATAGTCAAATATTACTTCTACTTTTAAAAAAGTATTTAAAATTTGTGATATACTTAATTTCAATACAAATTAATTCAAGATGGGTTAAAGACTTAAATATTAGACCTAAAACCATAAAAACCCTAGAAGAAAACCTAGGCATTACCATTCAGAACATAGGCATGGGCAAGGACTTCATGACTAAAACCAAAAGCAATGGCAACAAAAGCCAAAATAGACAAATGGGATCTAATTAAACTAAAGAGCTTCTGCACAGCAAAAGAAACTACCATCAGAGTGAACAGGCAACCTACACAATGGGAGAAAATTTTCGCAACCTACTCATCTGACAAAGGGCTAATATCCAGAATCTACAATGAACTCAAACAAATTTGTAAGAAAAAGCAAACAACCCCATCAAAAAGTGGGCGAAGGACATGAACAGACACTTCTCAAAAGAAGACATTTATGCAGCCAAAAAACACTTGAAAAAATGCTCACCATCACTGGCCATCAGAGAAATGCAAATCAAAACCACAATGAGATACCATCTCACACCAGTTAGAATGGCGATCATTAAAAAGTCAGGAAACAACAGGTGCTGGAGAGGATGTGGAGAAATAGGAACACTTTTACACTGTTGGTGGGACTGTAAACTAGTTCAACCATTGTGGAAGTCAGTGTGGCGATTCCTCAGGGATCTAGAACTAGAAATACCATTTGACCCAGCCATCCCATTACTGGGTATCTACCCAAAGGACTATAAATCATGCTGCTATAAAGACACATGCACACGTATGTTTATTGTGGCACTATTCACAATAGCAAAGACTTGGAACCAACCCAAAATCCAACAATGATAGACTGGATTAAGAAAATGTGGCACATATACACCCGGAATACTATGCAGCCATAAAAAATGATGAGTTCATGTCCTTTGTAGGGACATGGATGAAATTGGAAATCGTCATTCTCAGTAAACTATCGCAAGGACAAAAAAACCAAACGCCACATGTTCTCACTCATAGATGGGAACTGAACAATGAGAACACATGGACACAGGAAGGGGAACATCACACACCAGGGCCTGTTGTGGGGTGGGGGGAGGGTGGAGGGATAGAATTAGGAGATATACCTAATGCTAAATGACAAGTTAATGGGTGCAGCACACCAGCATGACACATGTATACATATGTAACTAACCTGCACATTGTGCACATGTACCCTAAAACTTAAAGTATAATAATAAAATAAAAAAAAAGAAGTGTATGCCCATGATGCCCATGTTTACCTATGATTGAAGAATCTCCTACTTTAAAAAGCACAAAGTCTTCGACATGCCTTCAGTTTGTCCTAGTATGTTACCTGACACATAATACCTATATTTTTGTTTTGTAATTGAGAGTAGGACCACTGCATACATTATCCTTGGTTCAAAAGACATTTTGGAGCTTGCGTTTAGTGATTAACTAAAATTTAAGAATGCTGCCCAGTCCGTACTTACATCAAAGACAAGGATGCCTTAAATTACTAAAAATGATACCAGATTTAAATATTAAATACAGCAGAGGTAATGTATTTTATTTGTCTTAATTTGTATTGAAATTAAGAGATATTGTTATGTATTTTTACATGCATTATATTATAATCACACAGAGGTTCTTAATAAGCATCAATTTAGTTCAAGTGTATTGAATAAAGCCCAGGCATATGTTGCAAGTCAGTAGTGTTGATTTGACAATCTGTTTTGATGAAATCTGGTGCATAAACCTGTTGTAGTGAAAATACAAAGCAGGAATAAAACAGTCTTAATTCACTCTCTAATACACTCAAAATGAACCACCTATATACTTACAAGTTACTGACGATATTATAACTACTTTACCAAAAGAAAATAAGATTAGCTTCATTATCAGTCCCAAATGTATTATAATAAAAATCTCTTACAAACTCATCTCATGCTGGTTTCTATTTACAGCTGGTAAACATTAATAAAATTAATTGCATTGTCTAGTATTGTTTTCTTAGTTCAATCATATTCTACTTACCACATATAATGAGAATCAGATATACCTATGATTAGGTGCATTCAATCCTCCCAAAGAAAAACAACCAGTATTTATTACAATAAATAAACTTGGAATTAGTTTATATGGAGGAAATAATTCTCAAAACATGCTGACATAATACTTTAAGATAATAACCAAAGAAAAGCATGGATTATTCACATGCTAAACTGGTACTCTTCACAAAGATAGATTTTATTATTCATAACAGTGTGATAAAATTGCAAGTATATGGGAAGGGTTTGACAAAGGGAACGTTGCTTCAGCAAAGCATGTGAGTTTGTAGAATATTTAGAAGATTTAAAGTAACGTTTTATGTTTCCATGGCTTAGGCTATCAGCATCCATCTGCAAAGTACTTTAATTAAGAAAGTTGTTGTTGTCTCTGGTGTTTACTGTGTCATTAATAATTGAAACATATATGTACACCCAGAGATGTCAACTTAATGTGTAATGTGAAATTTTTACATCAACTATTCAACTATTTCCAGTACCTTAATATTAGTAAATCTTTTGTTAAAATTATAAAATTAAAAATTAAATTTATCTTAAAAATTTTCAATAAGCATCACCATAGAGCAAAATCACTCTGTTCCTATTTGGGTTACAAATGAGCCTTCAAGGGAAATATAACAACAATAAGTTTGGAGAGAATATTATACCTGTCCTTTTAAATCAAATATTGGTTAATATTCAGTTATTTATAAAGAAGTTGCAGCTTCGCTTTTCATACGTAGTTCTAACACCAGCTCTAGAACGGAAATCCCTGAATAAATTAATCAATACTCTCTCTAGGTAACTCAGGATTTTTAAAACTTTAACTTAGTTAATACATGATTAATTATGTCTTAGCTAATATTTTAAATAAATTATTTAAAAGACTATGCAAAAAATGATAGACTACACTGGTACATAAATATATATACATAAATCTTAATAATTTCCTTTGTATAGACATAATTTTAGCTCCCAGTAAACTTTGATGTTTTGTCTAAAGTCACTACAGTAATATATGGTGATAGAGAGCCATCTATTTCCATAATGATAAGTCCCAATGAATACTGATACTTTTAATTTGCCAAAGCCTCTAATCAATGCTATAATAGAATGTAATTATAATTATCGTTCACATTAATCATTGTTATCTTTGGTCCCTGGATATCACTTCATAAGTGCTCTCCTCTTTTTCCAAGTCTCTGACATAAATATATTGGTGATACATTACTAAAGGAAAAGCTATAGAATTTAAATTGATTAATCTGAAGTAAGGTCATAAGAAAGACATATAAAACAAGTATTCATGTGTTTAGTGTGAACTCCTGGAGGGTAAGTAAACAATTTTACACATTATTATTCATTTAACAAAATGGCTTTAATTCATTAAGAACATTCGCTCAAATTTGAATAGGTAATGCAGATTTAATATATATGAAGCACTTAAAGATAGCAACTGTATGTATAATAAATCATTAGAAAACTCTCTAACACCTAATATTGTATATGGTAGTTGTAGAGCTACAGTGAGAGATTTAAAGTGTAAATGAGAGCAAGAGAAAGAGCAAGAAACAGAGAAGTGGAGAATCAGAGAGATGTTAAGAGAAATAATACATAAGATTCACCATTTAAAAACGTATTTTGTTTTGGAAGTTATTTAAACATTTTACTGTGCTTTAGTTTTCTTATTTGTACAATGGAAATGATAATAATAACAATCTGATAGTTTGTGTGCATGTATGTAATGACTAAATGAAATAACATAGGTGAAGTGTTTCAGGGTCTCACAGAGTCTTGCAGTTTTTTTCTAGAAGGGCAGATAGAAGGGGCATATTCTTCTTAGAGTTTACAAATTTTGTTAAATAAAATTACTAGAAATTAATCTTTTCATGATTAGAATAACGTAGCCAAGCAAGGAGTGGCGGGGTGATGACATTGGAGGCTTTCTTCTGGACACAGCTCAAAGCAAATATGAAATACAGAATGTGATATGTTCAGAAAATCTTCATAGACAACGGGTGTTATTCCTGAAGAACCTGCATTATTACAGGAGAAAAAAGTATTACACAGTAATTGAGTAACTAGCTCCAAAATCTGGAATGTTTGCCTGTTCTTGAGTGTTAAATTAATAGTATCATATACTACGTACTCTTTGGCACCTGGCATTTTCACTCAACATATTGACTTTGGGATTATATTGTGTTATTGTGCAAAGCATGATATTTCATTTGTTTTTGCCATGCAATATTACAGTATATGAATATACCAAAATTGATCACTGATGAACATCTGGATTGTTTACCATGTTTGGCTTTTATGAATAAAGTTGTTACAAATATTTCACACAAATGTTTGTGTTAGCAAAGCTCTCAATTCTTTTGGGAATTGCTGCCCAGGAACATATACCTAAGGACAAATTAAAAGACATATGATTAGCTTTAGTATAACCTGTGAAGCAGTTTTTCAAACCAATTATGCCAATTATATGACTACTGGCAATATATGAACATTCAACATGTTTACCAACCACTGGTTTTATAAGTCACTTTAGCTTTTAGCCATTGTGATGGGTTTATAGGTGTAGCTGATTGGAGCTTTGTCTCTCAGACATCTTTCAAAAGAGAACCTGACACTAAGAATGCAACTGGCAGTTGTTCATATTGCCTGTCTTAGACTTTGAGCTGAAACTGTGCACTTTTCTGGCAATGTCCAGCCAAAGACTGAGCAGACTACTACTACAAAGAGTCGTCATTACTGGCCAATGTAGAATTTTTCTGTGTGTAACATTAGCACTGTTTCTCACTGTGATTGCTAAAACATTCTCAGTGCTCCACTACACTCTCAGGTTCTTCTTACCTGATCCCCCATTGCTCCCATCTCTTTTCACAGACCTACATTGCAACAGAAGGATTTTACTGCCTACTCTTGCTCATTCTTTCCTTGGTGGTTCACACTCATTACCCCGGTAAATCCCATATATCTACTTCCCTCTTGACATCTGCTTCCCGGAGGACCTAAAAAACACAGTAGTGATATTTCCCTAGTTATGATATTAATTTCTGTAGTGAATAAAGACATAGATCACCTTGTTATGTATATATTCGCTATGTTAATATCTTATTTTGTAATATGCCAGTTCAAGCCTTTTGATGACTTTTCCAACAGGATATTTGTCTTTTCTCTTGGATAAGTTATTTAGGTGTTCTGGATGAGGTACCTTTCCAATATATATGTTGCAAACATATTTTTTTCAGTCCGAATTACTGGTTCATAATTTTTGGTATTTTTATAAACATAATTCCTTAACTTTAATAATGGAATTCATTTCATGTATTTTTTATAGTAAATAGGTCTTTCTAATGGTATTTCCTTTTATAGCTTTTTCTCAATAATACAGTATCTCACTATTCTAGTTCCTTTGCATCCTTATAAATTTACCACATTAACAAAAAAAAGAAAAATTAAAAATATGATCATTGTATTAGACACCAAAAACATTTGGAAAAAAAATCACACTCCATTTATAATGAACAAACTTTTAGCAAGCTTTCAATAGAAGAAATCTCACTTAAACATAAACAGAATGTCTACTTAAAAACTTGAATGACTATATGACTTAAGTGTGAAAATGAAATGTTTCTGTTCTAAGTTTAGAATAAAAACAAGGATACCTACTATTCGTGGTTCTACTAAATATTTAATACAATTTTAGGTAGTGCCATAATAAACAAAAAATAAAGGATATGGTAATTGAAGAAAAAAATGTAAAACCATCATGATTTGCAGACTTCACAATGTGTATATATGGGAGAAAATACAATGGAAATGATAAATCTATTAACAAATAAATATTACTAAATAAATAAAGTATATTTCTAGAATTGATGTAAATATATAAAAATCAATATTATTTCTATAGATTATCAATAAACCTTTAGAATGCAATACTAAAAGTAATATCATTTTGGTCTAGTATATAATAATAAAATGCAATTAATATAATTAGTATCTTGGCCATTTTAAAATATGCAATAAGTTCACATTGAGAATTTCTAAACATTGCTAACATGGTGTTTTTATAAAATTTAAAGATTCTTTTAATGGAGGGACACAACACACTGACACTTGGATAGAGGAAAGGCAGAACTCTTTGTTACTTACAGCTCCAAAGGAAAGAAGGTCTGCAGGCTGGGCCATGAAGGGGGTTGGTTACACCTTCGGGCAGGGTAAGTACAAGCTGGAACTGTTGAAGGCAGTTTCTACCTGTCAAGTTGGGCAGGCCTAGCTAGTTCCCTGTGACTTATCTAATTTGAATAATTTCATGAGCTCCAGGGAAGCATAAGACCTGTTCCTAGCTGTCTGGTACCTGAACCCTGGGGATATTAGGAAAAGTACATAATAACCCCAACCGTTAGAGCCATAGAGGAGAAGTAAATGGAGTGTGGATTTAATCAACTACATAAGAAGGAGAACTAACTAGACTGCAGGTCCTCAATACTGGCCCAAGCAGCATTTCTAAGTAAATGAACAAACAAAACAAAAACAACTAAATTACATGTGGTAAATGATATTGATTGATCTTTTTTTCAAAAGTTAAGCCAACCTTAGTATTCTAAAAAACTTGTTTTGGACATGAAGTAGTATCCTTTATATGTCAATACATTCAATTTGATATATTGTATTTTAAATTTTTGTATTTATAGCCATGAGAGATATTGGCCTTATTCTTTTCTTGTAATGTTCATTTCAGGTTTTGATATCATAGTTATAGTGGCCTAATAAAATTTGTTCAAAATTCTTCCTCTTTTTCTATATTTTAAAGTGCTTTATGTAAGATAGTTATTATTTTGTTTTCTCAAATCCATGGGTGAGTTTGCCCATGGAGCCATTTGGAAACGGAGTTTGCTTTGTGAAAAATATTTTCTGAAATACATGAGTCAAATTATTGTATATGTCTTCTTTTTATCTATTCCAACTTATTATTTCAGCTACTTTCTTGATTGCTTTAAATAACAAATTTTCCTATACTTTTGTCTGTTTTTTTCTTCAATCTACTAAAAGATGAAATTTATGTTCATCTTAGGATGAACTTCTTGAGTACTTTTTTAAAAATTATGCATCTTGCTTCGGCCCTGTCTAACAGTAAACAGCTAGTTTTTTAAAATACATTCAGATGTTTCTATTTAGCTCATCTCTGACTAATACTTACTGTCAGATAATATAATAATTGGTGTTGTTAAAGCAACAGAACAGAGGTTTCATTTATTTCAAACAGAGTTGTGAAATAAATATATAACTTATTTCACATATACTTGCCTTGTTCAGATTTCAGTTTGGGGGTCATTCCTTATATAATTTCTTTTAATTTTGATTTTGAAATTTTTAATAAAAGTAAATCCTAAATTTTTTGAATATGATTATTATGTGATTTATCTCCATAGAACTATTAATAATAGTGAATTACATTATAATTATATTATAATTCCATTACCACTATATGAATATAATGAACTATGTTAATAGTTTTCTAATATTGAACTATCCTTGCCTTTTTTTATTAAAACTCACCTGAGGCTGGGCGCAGTGACTCACACCTGTAATCCCAGCACTTTGGGAGGCCAAGGTGGGAGGATCACTTGAGGTCAGGAGTTCAAGACCAAACTGGCCAACATGGCGAAACCCCATCTGTACTAAAAATACAAAAATAGCCTGGTGTGGTAGTTGGTGGCTGTAATCCCAGCTACTCGGGAGGCTGAGGCATGGAGAATCGCTTGAACCCGGGATGCAGAGGTTGCAGTAAGTCTATATCGTGCTGCCACTGCACTCCAGCCTGGGTGACAGAGCAAGACTCTGTCTCAAAACAAACAAACAAACAAACAAAAAAAACTTACTTTATATCAAAGTATTATTCTATTAATGTCCTATTTGTTACGATTATATTAAATATTTTATTTTAATTTTTTAACTGAAATATGTTAATTATGTCTATTTATGGCATACAATGTGGTGTTTTGATCTAGATATATAGTAGAAAGATTAAATCAAGCTAATTAACGTATCTATCACCTCACCAACTTATCTTTGTTTTTGTTGTGAGAACATTAACAGTCTATTCTTTTTGCAGTCTATTCATTTTGCAATTTTGAAATATATATTATAATGTATTTCAAATATATTTGAAATACATTATTAATAACTGTGGCCACCATTCAGTACATCAGATAATTAAATCTCATTTCTACCGTCTGTCTGAATCTTTGTATTCTTTGATCAATACCTCACCTTTCTTCATTCCTCCCCAAACTCCAACCTGTGGTAACCTGTGGTAACCACCTTTCTACTCTCTGTTTCCATGAGTTCAACTTTTTAGACTCTAGGTTTAAGTGATCTCATACAGTATTTGTCTTGTGCCTAGGTTATTTTACTTGGCATAATGTCCTCCAGATCCATCTGTGTTGTTACAAGTAATGAAATTTTTTAAGCCTTTATTATATTTAATTCTGTAATATTATATTTATGTATAATGGTATATTTATTGAATATTATATTCAATATTGTGTAATATATTATATTTCATTGCATATTTACAATAATAATTAATATTTAAATAATATTTACAAGTTAAGTCATTGTTATCTTTTTAAAATCTCATAACAATTGTATGCATTAAGTATTTTTATTTAAGCAATGAGAAAATTTAAGGATAGATTTAAAAATTGGTTCAAGACACACATCTAGAAAGTGGATACTAGCAAATGACATAGCAGGAATTGAAACAAATCCTGTTGGAATAAAAAACTTGTGTTTATCTATCAAATTATGTTGAATTACATGAATGCTAACACAATATTTAATTGATTTTGCTTTTCCAAATTGTGTAAACTAATGGATATGCTTCTAATCAAATTCTATAGCACTAGGCATTATACTTAATGCTTTATCAAACATAAACCTTCACCCAAAGTAGGCTTTGTTAAGTGTAGAGAAAAAAATATGCATGTGTATATGTGTCTAATTTATTCAGAAAATTATTAGAAGAAAAACAGAGGTGTCAGCATTGGCAAAAAATAAAATCTAGTATTTACTCACAAGTTCCTTTGAACTGTATCACTTCTTGTTGGGGTATCAATGGATAATTATATGTGACCCTTAAAGATGCTAGCCTTACTATACCATAAATTATATATTAACTTAATAATAGAAACTTCAGTTCTCAAACTTTGTCAATTTTGTTTGGCACAGAGTTAGCCAACAATTTAAGAGCAAAAGAAGTTCATTTTTGCTGTTTTGGATATTTTTACGGTGAAATTCACCAAAGGTCTCATTCCATTTTTTGTTAGTTACTGACAATGGACTTTGGTGTGGCTTTCTTAAATTTTCTCTAAACTCATAAACCCAAATATGGAGGAAATTTTGACTTAACTAAAATTAATCCTTGTAGGCAATCGTGAATCCTAATTTTAATTCACCACATCTTTCCTCAAATGTCATTTCCAATCTTATTTCTGAAAACACTTTTTTTTTTTCACTTCCCATTATATTCAGGAAACTACATTGACCTCTAGTTACCTATAGTTTACTGTCCAACCCCTCAGTTTAAAGTTCACTGATAATCCAGGACATCGTTTTTCTTACTATCCTCTACCTATACTGGAATGTAACTGCTCACTCTTGAGTAATCTCTGGATCAATTTTAAAGAAAAACAATTTTGAAATCTTGTCTGAGAAACTTCAATTAAGATATTATTATATTTGACAAATATATCTCTTATGAGGTATCACTTCAAAACAAATGGTTTGTGTCATATCTACATATATAATATATAATACAGGAAAATATGTTAACTCCAATTAATAGTTCATGCTTATGTAGTATTTCAATGTTTAAAAAACGCGTAAGTGAATACGAGAAAATTGAATGACATTGGTCTGTTTTGAAGTAGGAATTTTCTCAAAGATATGTTTTCTACCACATTTTAGCTTATTTCGGCTTTGTGCTTTTCTCTTTCCCATTGTTCTTGCACTCAACAGTTGCTCCAATCAAAAGCAATGTCTCCCTGCATTTTAGCCTTTCTCTGTTGTAGAAACCCAGCAGAATAGCTGACCACACCATGCTATAAATACTGGTTTCAGTCAAACCTTAAGTAAAAAGACTCCTTAGCTCCAAACCAAAAAAAGGATTTGAAGATATTTGAAGCTTCCAAATCTTTCTTATTACGTGGAGGCAGATTGTAATTTAAAGGCAGTACTTCTATTCCAGCTGATGTATGATGCTGCCTTTAGAAGTGCAATTAAGCTGCGTTAGTGAAGAGGTCACATCAGAAATCACGAAAATTAAATATTTATAACATGAGATCAGAAATGGTTTGTACATCACACCAATGATCCTCCATTTATACAATTATCCAGTCCTTAGATTTCTTGGGTCTTAAAACACAGAAACCATTAATAGAGCAAAAATAAGTATGAAATGAACATTAGATGCAGTTTCTAATGAAAAATGTATTAGATAATGCTAACGCAAGCAAACAGAAGTTAAAAATATCAGGGTAAGCACGATCAGGGTAAGTACGATCAGGGCATAATTATTCTTGATGTTCCAAGCAGTAGAAAAATCAATGTTCCTGAAAGCTTGGAAATTTTACCAAAGTATGTGAACTATAAATGGTAAAGTGTATACTTCATACTGGGGCATCCTTTTCTGTCTGGACACTACCTGTTAATAGAAATATCGACAAAATTTTACATATATAAAGTAAATATATATCTTTTAAGTGACTGCTATGTAGCATGCTAAATGTTGGGTATTAAACTAAGCATAAAATATAGTTTATCCTTTATGAACTTGGAGTCTAGTTAAAGAAAGCAGATAAAGTGAATAGATTGCAATGCAATATTACAAATGATGTGTTTACCGAATCTTATAGGATATAGGCAAGAGGATATCAAATCAGAATAAATGAAGAAATGAAGCATCAAAACAAAGGATTGTGCAAGACTAAAATGATAAACTGTTTTTTGAGATGTGAGGCAGCCTCCGCGTCCCCATGCACACTCTGCAGTGTGTCTCCTTGAAAGCATAATAGGCTGTATAAAAGGCCCAATCTTTTGATTTTACAATGCAAGGTTGAAGGCTTTCTAACCCTTGGAATAGTGAATATGTAACTCTGAAAATAATTTCCTTATAAGTTATACTGGCGATAATCACTAAATGCAACTATTTGTCTCTCAAGGACATAGTTTTATTTTATTTTTTCACTTTATTGGATGAATTTCTGTAAACTTCTATCCAGACTTGTAGTGACCTTTGTGTTAACTTGAAGACATACTCATCCCGTAATGTTTATTTAATATTAAATAGTTTAGACTGTCTTCTCTATATTGGTATAAAGGATTCTTTTGTTAGCAAGATGTTCATCTGATAATGTTTATTTAATACTAAATATTTTAGCCTCTTCTTTCTATATTTGTATAAAGGAGTCTTTTGTTAGCAAGATATTTTTATTTTGCTAATGTTGCTAATTTTTCTAATAATTCTCCTATCGAGAATTTGGTAGAACATACTCCTGCATTGGAAAGAGTAATAAATTCCCTTTTACTTATAAGTTTTACTTTATGATTCTATCATTTTCATTAAGGGCTCAGTTTTAACAAATACACCATAGAATAGATGTTTTGTTTGTTTGTTTGTTTGTCTGAGATGGAGTCTCGCTCTGTCGCCCAGGCTGGAGTGCAGTGGCGCGGTCTCGGCTCACTGCAAGCTCCGCCTCCCCCTTTCACACCATTCTCCTGCTTCAGCCTCCCGAGTAGCTGTGACTACAGGCACCCGCCACCACGCCCGTCTATTTGTATTTTCAGTAGAGATGGGGTTTCACTGTGTTAGCCAGGAGGGTCTCTATCCCCTGACCTTGTGATTCACCTGCCCCGGTCTCCCAAAGTGCTGGGATTACTGTTGTGAGCCACCGCACCCGGCCACCATAGACTAGGTGTCTTAAACAACAAACCTTTATTTCTCATGGTTCTGGAGTTGAGAAATCCCAATTAAGGCGCTGGTAAAGTTGATATCTGCTGAGGGCCCTCTACCTCACTGGTTTCTAGAAGGCAATTGTCTCACTGTAGCCTCACTTGGAAAAAAAAAAAGAGAGAGAGAGAGCAAGAGAGCTCTCTGAAGTCTCTTATAAGGACACTAATCTGCTTCATTAGTTCCCTACCCTCATGACCTAATTACCTCCCGAAGGCCCCATCTAATATTATCACATTAGGGATTAAGATTTCAACATATGGATTTAGGGAGGACACAAACATTCAGTCCATCACACTAGGGTAGCACATTTGTTATAATTACTAAACATGCGACGATTAAGAATACTCTATTTTGATTTATTTAAATTAATGCGTTATGTTAATCAAAAGCATCTATATATAATTTAAACTAGACTCAAAACTTCAAATATATCACCACTTTGCCCTCCCTGATTTGAGGTGTTATGAGGATTCTGTCAAGGTAAAAATCTATCTTAGAACTCTAAGAATTATCTCAGTTTTGCTTTATCAGCATGCTATTTTGGTGGCTTTTTAGGAATATATAAACTCTATTGATACATAGAACTAAAAACACAACTCACTACAAATAATGATAAATTTGAATTCAATTGAATAAAATTCTGCAAATTCAAACTCACCACCAAATTATAGCTTACGTTAGCAGGGTAAAGACATACAAAAGAAAGCCTTCTCATCAGTACTAAAAATCGAAGGAAAATAAGTGAAAAGAAAAATGAAAATCTAACAGATTTATATATGTATCTCTATGTCTTTATCTATCCACATGAATATCTGTCTATTTACATATATATCTATAACTCTACACCACATTAATCCAAACAGCAGTCAAACTAGCAAAGGAACATATCATGGCCTATCTTTCAAATGGATTTGGTAAGCAAAGAAAGAAAAAGAAATAAATCTTTTAGCTCTAATCTTTCCCACCCTCCCTTCACATAGACTCCATCAAAAGTTCTGTGAGAATGTGATATAAGAGAGAAATAAAAATTAATCAGACAGAAATCCTGAAATTTCCCTTACTCCTAATTTGAAGTGAAGAAGATGGTCAGTTTAAGCAGGTATTCTGGGGATAGATACACAACCCTAAAACATGTTAATAGCAGAAGCTACTCATAGAGCTTGTGATTCTCCAAAAGGCAAGGAAAACCAGTGTACTAAGCATTTTGTGTGTGTGTGCCTACTGGGAGGATAACTGGAGAGTGAAGACAAAATTATCATAATCACCCAGAGCTAATTATCTCCTTCAGTAAACAGGAATTTAGCAGAAAGGAAGTTAAATGAGAAAATAGATAAGGGAAAATCCTCTAGGGGAGCATGAGGGCTAGGGAAATAAAGTACTCTAGGAACTCCATTGAAGTTTTCTCTCTGGCTGGACACTGGCAGTGCCATAGCCCCAAAATCCTCTTGTGCCATATGTTTCCTACTAGGGTAAATGGAATGTGAGTGGCTGAGAGTCTGTGAGGAGTGATGGGGAAACAGAGGAAGTGAAAAATTGTTGGACAGATTGCCACTGTCGAAGTCACTCTTTAGGAGACCCTCAAAATGGAGAGTAGACAACAAACCTAATTCATGTGTTCCACATAAATGCAATAATAATCTTATGTGCCTGGGAAATAGTGGAAAACTAGAAAAGGGCAGCTATCACTTAAGAAGACAATAAATTATTCATTTAATAACCAGGATAATAGTCTAAAAGTTGAAAAGTAATTAATAAAGCAGTGTCCCCAGTTCTGAATGCATCAAAAATTGTTCAATTGTAGCCTGGACCATGAAACCCTCAAGAAGCTTATATTTTGAAGGTTTTTTTGTGGGTTGTGGAGGCAGGGGGCAGAAGTCACAGAGAGTAATTGAATAATTTCTAATTTGAATAATGTTTTGATAAGTTTATTTTTGGATATTTCAGAATCATGTTTTAAACAAACATCATTTGGAGTATTGTATTTGTTGATTCTGTTGTTACATTTATAGAAATGTTGAAGTTCGCTAATGACAAGATAGGGTATGAATATTCTTTCTAAAATCAGTTGATTTTTTAAAATAAATATTCTTCATTTTAACAAAATGATACATTTCTATTTCTTGAGATTCAAATTAAATACAAATGTATTGCTACTCATTCTCTTCTTTAGGAAAACTCCCATAGAAACGCCTATTGAAAAGCACTACAATTTCTGATCAAAATGAAATGATGACTCCACAATAGTACTACTAATTCTTTCCAGGCATGAAGCGACTGAATATATATTCAGTATACTCTTAGTGTCTCAAAGACATATAAACATCTGATAATTTTTCTGAAATTTCTCCACTTTGCAGAATTTATTTAAAATACCCCACAATTTCTCCAAAGCCCCATTTCCTTTAAATTATTTAGCTTTTTAAGATTATTTTACAAATTAATATAAATTATGTACTCACAGACATGAATAAACACCAAAAAAGAGCAAACAGCTGTTTGAGTTGAAGTACACATCTGTTGGCAAGTGAAGAAATTTTATGTATGCTACATTACATCTGCCCCTTATTTTTCTCTTGATGGTAAATATAATAACTAAAATGGTATTTTACCAATTAAAATAATCATCACCAGGAAGTTAATTGTCTACTTTCATAACCTCAAATGTTGCATTTATCTCACATTTTTATTTGATAAAGGAAATCTCTTTACAAAAGGTATTTTGCGAATCACAAGTAGGATTTACCTGTAAAGTCATGTTTGTAACAATTAATTGTAGGGTATACTATTTAAAATTATTAGAAGAATTGTGTTTGGATATATTATGTCGTCAACTGACTAAGTTTATTGTTATTAGCAGGCTAGATAGTAATTAGAATCACTTTCTAATTACATATCTGCATATTTTATATTGATATAAATACTGCATTATTTTCTTGACACCACGAAGAATAAAAAAGAGTCATGATTTACTGCAAACTATGGCAACCTGTGAAAATCAGTTAAGTGGAACTGAATTAATAAATCCTAAACAATAGTACACACATTTAAAAGGGGTACAGTAACCCAAGGTGTTAAATAGATGGTATATATTTACAGAGCTGAGATTTACTACATTTACATATTGTCTGACTCTAAAACTATGTGAGAACATATTAAAATACACCAAATAATACATTTAAACAGGCTAATGGAAAATGTAAGCTACTATAGGCAAAAATGTTAAGAGGTTTTGTAGAAATACATTAAATATCAAAATTATTTAGAAGAAAAAGTGGGAAATCTAGTTTTAGAAAAATGATAACCTTCATAGGAAGTGCTTTCTTTTTGTTTTTAAACATATATATCTCAATATTTAATAGGAAAATCTCAGCTTTTCTCAACTTGTCACCATAGTTACTTCAGCGGCTTCCTATTCATTCAGCCATGGGATAGAGTGGAGGACTGTAAATGCAGTAAGAAACCCTAATTTCAAATATTGGATCAGGTACCTATTTTTCATGTCGTAATTCTTGCACACATAATCTGACCTTCATATATTTTGTGTAAAACTAGTGATACTTTTGTCATAAGAATTAGATAGTATTAAAGCTTGAAATTCATATTGCACTGTTCTACCTCAATGTATCTTCAAAATATTTGCCTTTTTTCCTGAGAATTTTGTGCTTTCTTTTGAAGTACTTATTTTTAAATTTCAAATGTAGAAGGTTCGTCTTGTTTAATTTTTAATCAAATACTTTTTAAAAATTACATTTTTTTTTACAAAAGCCAACATTACACATTTCAAAATATTTTTAGGCTAAAATATTCATTACATATGTTAAATTATTTAGTAAAATATATATATTATGTTCAGTACAGATTTACTTGGAGGTCAAGGACTGTACCGAAAATGCAAGAAGTGTAAATAAAAGAGTGTGATGGTTCTGCATTTAGTCCCATAGTAGATTGTTTGAAAAGTAATATTCAATGTTAGCTTTTTCTTCTACCTAGTGCTAGTTGGTGGGGTGGGGGAAGGTCTAGTACATAACAAAAGGAATTGTCTTTGAAGGCATCCTTACTACCTACTATTTTAACTCCTTGTATAAGAAAATGAGCTCTTGTTTTCCTGATGAAATATTACAAAAACTCTATCTTGAAAATGAGGAGTATCTTCCACACATTACAATCATCTCTCTAATGCGGTATCTAAAGCGAACATTCTTCCATCAAAATCTTCATTCATTACCACAGTACATTATATTTGAGGTCTGTCCCAAATATATACATCTTCTTGAATGACTATTTTGACATTCTGGAGTTCCCTCCAGAAGGGAAATGAAAAGAATCTATTCATAATATCACTATAGGTTTTATATAGAGATATATTTGTATATGTTGTATGCCCATTAGTCAAGCAAGTGCTAAAGTTTAAATTCTCAAGAAACATAGTCTGTGATAGAGTTTAAAATGCCAATAATTTCTTTTTTTCAATATCAACATCTGGGAAATGAAGGAAAGGGAGCAAGATTGGGCACAGGAAGAATTGTAATGCCTGGTCACCACATTCTGCTGACCGCCAAATAAACCTGTAGAGATAAAACAACTCCTCAGTCTTTAAATGGAGGAAAACTCAAGAAAGGCTGTAATGTAGGCGTGGGTAATGTTGGCTTGTTCACAGCAGGCAATTCCTGAAGGAGCAGATGACTGAGAAAATCTTCAAACATCATTCACAGCAGCTAGAGCAAGTCATTCTTCCATAAAATTTATGTTAATATGTAAAAAGCAAATATATTATAAATCATTTTTGTCTGAAAGAGATAATAATTTCTGTAAAGTTAAATTACATAGCTCTGCTTTTATTGTGGTTCTTAAAACTTCTGCCTCACAGATCCTGAGACCCTGCTAAATGGTTTATAAAGCCAATTTTTAAAATAATTAAATAGTGATACTAATAAATATTCACCTTTTTCATTGAACTAATAGTTTTCTTGGACATGTAAAACTAGTGGGTACCTTATTAGTGGCATAGAAAATATATATGTTGTATACACATATAGGTTTAACTCTAAAATGATCTTTTGAAACACAAACAAATATATTTTTAAAAAACTTTAACTTGAATACACTTAAAAGTTGCCTTAAATATTGAATTTTGAGTATCTGATTTTAAAATACAGTTAGTATGTGTCACGTTATGACAAAAATATGTTTTGAGAAATGTGTCACTGTGTGACCTCATCCTTCTGTGAACATCATAGAGTGCACTTATACAAACCTGGATGACATAGCCTACTACACATCTCCACTGTATGATATAGCCTATTTCGCCTATGCTAAAAACCTGTATGCCATGTCACTGTACGGAATACTGCAGGCAAATGTAACACAATGGTAAGTATTTGTGTAGCTAAACAATTTAAATATAGAAAAAGCACATTAAAAATACAGTATTATAACCTTATGGGACCACCTCATTGACTGAAATGTTAGGAGGTTCATGACTGTATTCTGTGACGAAATGCACGTTTGCTACATACCAAATTATAATAAGTGTCTCCAAAAAATTACTTATGATGTTACTTGAGTTGCAAACTCAAACACATTATCTTTCCACGGCCAGCCATTTGTATTTGTGAAAACAACTTGACAGAAAAATCATGATTATTCAGTCCTAGGTATCTGATGAATATTTTCTTGAAAAGTGAACAAGGGGAATGTCTCACTTTATAGAAAACATCCACAGTGTTGTTGCAATAATAAAATATGAGCTTTCAAGCTTCTCGATTTAAGAATGTTCTCATGTAATCAATAGTTATAGTAATAAATTTGATTTTTGACAAGGTAAAATGTATAAAAGTAAAATGGGTAAATATTTGGAATATCTGCTAAGAGAACCATATATCTACCTTAACGTTGATAAAACTAAAATGTAAAAAACGTAAAACTAGAGTTTGAAATTGTAGGAAATATTTCTACTGAAAGTTGGAGTTACATATTTAACATTTGTTGCTTTCTAGCAATATTAATTTTTTCTTGAATTAGCCTAAGCTTATATTTTCTTGGATACACTTAAGCTAATGTTATTAACATGGTATTTAACACTCTAAATATCATCTAGGGATGTGAGATAATATGACTTCCACATGAACTTGTAATGTGGAAATATAATTTATGGTCAAAGAAAAACTGGCTACATATTTAAGAAATTAATTTTAAATACATTAGTTGCATATACTATGATGACAAATATTAAAGAGGCATTCGATTATATTAATACACAGACAAAATTAATTTATTACCCTTTTATTAAGAAGAGGATAATTTTTAAAATTCCTTATATTATTGTGAAAACAAAATAAATTAGCAAAATTTTTATTTAGATTTTTAATATGTATCAGTTTTTAATTGGATATGATATACTTTCAGCTAGTATTATACATACTAGTATAATAAACTAGTGTTTTCAGTAACTGATTTATTTGTATGGCTCATGTGTAAATCAATGAATCTCAAGTATTTACAAACATTTGTAATTCTATAATAATAATCTTTTATACAAACATATTTTTACACATAAAACAGTAGTGCAGTTTTGACTAGATAATATTTAATATCAATCATTTTGTTGGAAAAATCAAAGTAAAATATAAATTATTTCTGAATTTATATAACACTCTTCTTCAATTTATAATAAATGGAAGTTATTGACAGATTATACAATGAGATGCATGTTGAAATGCAACTTTAATGCCACATATATATAATTTAATATTTACTGAGTATACCCCCACTCATTTTCTTGAACATAATAGTTTTGTTGTTTCTCAGATTTAGCATTTGCTTTCAGATATGTCTCACACATTGCATCAACAAGCAAAATCAGAAAAATCAGAACATCAAATCAAAAGATACCAAAAAAAGCACGTGACAAAATCCAACCACATTCATGACAAAGACTCTGTAAACTTTTTGCGATATTGATTCTTCCTATCCATGAGCATGGAATGTTCTTCCATTTGTTGTATCCTCTTTTCTTTCACTGAGCAGTGGTTTGTAGTTCCCCTTGAAGAGGTCCTTCACAACCCTTGTAAGTTGGATTCCCAGGTATTGCGTTCTCTTTGAAGCAATTGTGAATGGGAGTTCACTCATGATTTGGCTCTCTGTTTGTCTGTTATTGGTGTATAAGAATGCTTGTGATTTTTCACGTTGATGTTGTATCCTGAGACTTTGCTGAAGTTGCTTATCAGCTTAAGGAGATTTTGGGCTGAGAGGATGGGGTTTTCTAGATATACAATCATGTCATCTGCAAACAGGGACAATTTGAATTCCCCTTTTCCTAATTGAATACCCTTTATTTCCTTCTCCTGCCTGATTGCCCTGACCAGAACTTCCAACACTATGTTGAATAGGAGAGGTGAGAGAGGGCATCCCTGTCTTGTGCCAGTTTTCAAAGGGAATGCTTCCAGTTTTTGCCCATTCAGTATGATATTGCCTGTGGGTTTGTCATATATAGCTCTTATTATTTTGAGAAACATCCCATCAATACCTAATTTATTGAGAGTTTTTAACATGAAGGGCTGCTGAATTTTGTCAAAGGCCTTTTCTGCATCTATTGAGATAATCATGTGGTTTTTGTCGTTGGTTCTGTTTATATGCTGGATTACATTTGTTGATTTGCGTATGTTGAACCAGCCTTGCATCCCAGGGAAGAAGCCCACCTGATCATGGTGGATAAGCTTTTTGATGTGCTGCTGAATTCGGTTTGCCAGTATTTTATTGAGGATTTTTGCATCGATGTTCATCAGGGATATTGGTCTAAAATTCTCTTTTTTGGTTGTGTCTCTGCCGGGCTTTGGTATCAGGATGATGCTGGCCTCATAAAATGAGTTAGGGAGGATTCCGTCTTTTTCTATTGATTGGAATAGTTTCAGAAGGAATGGTACCAGCTCCTCCTTGTATCTCTGGTAGAATTCGGCTGTGAATCCATCTGGTCCTGGACTTTTTTTGGAGGCATCATGCTACCTGACTTCAAACTATACTACAAGTCTACAGTAACCAAAAGAGCATGGCACTGGTACCAAAACATAGATATAGACCAATGGAACAGAACAGAGCCCTCAGAAATAATACCACACATCTACAACCATCTGATCTTTGACAAACCTGACAAAAACAAGAAATGGGGAAAGGATTCCCTATTTAATAAATGGTGCTGGGAAAACTGGCTAGCCATATGTTCAAAGCTGAAACTGGATCCCTTCCTTACACCTTATACAAAAATTAATTCAAGATGGATTAAAGACTTAAATGTTAGACCTAAAACCATAAAAACCCTAGAAGAAAACCTAGGCAATACCATTCAGAACATAAGCATGGGCAAGGACTTCATGACTAAAACACCAAAAGCAATGGCAACAAAAGACAAAATTGACAAATGGGATCCAATTAAACTAAAGAGCTTCTGTGCAGTAAAATAAACTACAATCAGAGTGAACAGGCAACCTAGAGAATGGGAGAAAATTTTTGCAATCTACTCATCTGACAAAGGGCTAATATCCAGAATCTACAATGAACTCAAACAAATTTACAAGAAAAAAAAAACCCCATCAAAAAGTGGGCAAAGGATATGAACAGACACTTCTCAAAAGAAGACATTTATGCAGCCAACAGACACATGAAAAAATGCTCATCATCACTGGTCATCAGAGAAATGCAAATCAAAACCACAATGAGATACCATCTCACACCAGTTAGAATGGTGATCATTAAAAAGTCAGGAAACAACAGGTGCTGGAGAGGATGTGGAGAAATAGGGACACTTTTACACTGTTGGTGGGACTGTAAACTAGTTCAACCATTGTGGAAGTCAGTGTGGAGATTCCTCAAGGATCTAGAATTAGAAATACCATTTGACCCAGCCATCCCATTACTGGGTATATACCCAAAGGATTATAAATCATGCTGCTATAAAGACACATGCACACGTATGTTTATTGTGGCACTATTCACAATAGCAAAGACTTGGAACCAACCCAAATGTCCAACAATGATAGACTGGATTAAGAAAATGTGGCACATATACACCATGGAATACTATGCAGCCATAAAAAATGATGAGTTCATGTCCTTTGTAGGGACATGGATGAAGCTGGAAACCATCATTCTGAGCAAACTATCGCAAGGACAAAAAACCAAACACTGCATGTTCCCACTCATAGGTGGGAATTGAACAATGGGAACACCTGGACACAGGAAGGAGAACATCACACACCAGGGCCTGTTATGGGGTGGGGGGAGGGGGGAGGGATAGCATTAGGAGGTATACCGAATGTAAATGACGAGTTAATGGGTGCAGCATACCAACATGGCACATGTATACATACGTAACAAACCTGCACGTTGTGCACATGTACCCTAGAACTTAAAATATAATAATAAAAAAAAGACTCTGTAAACTAGAAATAGGGAAGAATTTGCCCAACTTGGTGAAAAATATTAACAAAAATCCTACGGCTAACATCATACAAAATGGTGAGAAACTGGCAGCTTTCCCACTAAGATTAGAAACAAGGCAAGGATGTTCTCTTTCATTGCTCTTATTCAGCATAGTACTAGAAGTCCTAGCTAATTCAATGAGACAATGAAAGGATATAAAGTTATACTTATTGGGAACAAAACATAAATTTGTCTTTGTTTGCAGATGACATGAATGTTTATGTAGAAAATACAAACTATCATCAAAAAAAAAAACTTGAGGAACTAATAAGCAATTATATCAAGAGGGAAATGTACAAGGTTAACATTCAAAATTCAATCACTTCCTTATGTACCAGCAATGAACAAGTCAAATTTGAAATTAAAAAGACAATATCATTTACATTAGCATCACCAAAGTGAAATACTTAAGTATAAATCTAACACAATATGTACAAAATCTATATGAGAAAAATTACAAATTCTAATAAAAAAATGTAAAATAACTAAATGGAGAAGTAGTCCATGTTCATGAACAGGAAGATTCAATATTGTCAAGATGTTAGTTTTTACCATTTGATCTATAGATTAGAAGCAATCTCTACCAAATTCCATCAGGTTATTTTGTGAATACTGACAGACAGATGCTAAAGCTTCTATGAAAAGAAAAAAGACGAGAATAAACAACACAGTATAAGAGACTGATACTATCTAACTTCAAGATTTACTATACAACTACAGTAATCAACACAGTGTGGTATTAACAAAATGATAGACAAATAGATCAATGAAACAGAATAGAGAGTCCAGAAATACATCCACATATAGAAAGACAACCGATCTTTAACAAAGGAGCAAAGGCAATACAATGCAGCAAATATAATATTTTCAAAAACAGGTGCTAGAAAAACTGGCCATCCATATACCTGAAAAGAAATCTAGATGCCAACTTATAACCTTCACAAAAAATTAACTCAAAATAGATTACAGATTTAAATGTGAAATATAAAACTATAAAACCCTTAGAAAATAACATGGGAAAAAACCTAGATGGCCTTGGGAATGGTGATAATTTTTTAAAATAAAACACCAAAGGCAGAATCGATGAAATAAATTATTGATTAGATGAATTTCATTAAAATTAAAAACTTCAGCTCTATGAAAGACAGTATCAAGAGAATAAGAAAATCTACAGACTGGGAGGAAATATTTGCAAAAGATCCATTTGAAAAAAGGATTTTACACAGAATTTTTAAATACAACAGTAAGAAAAGAAACAACTCAATTTAAAACCACATAAAAGACCTGGACACCTCACCAAAGATGGCAAGTAAGCAAATGAAAAGATGCTCCAAATCATATGTCATCAGGGAAATGTTAATTAAAACAGCAAGATATCCCTACACACCTATTAGAATGGCAAAAATCCAGAACACTGACAACACTTAATGCTGGTCAGGATGTTGAGCAACAGAAACTCTCAATGATAGCTGGTAGACATGCAAAATGGTACAGCCACTTTGGAAGACAGTTCGGCAGTTTTTTACATGAGTAAACATTCTCTTACCATATGATCCAGGAATTGTGCTCCTTAATATTTACTCAAAAGCAGTAAATATACCTGAAAAGAAATCTAGATCCATAGATTAGAAGCACAATGTTCATAGTAACTTTATTCATGGTTGCCAAAACTTGAAACAACCAAGATGTCTTTCAAAAAGTAAATGGATAAACTGTGGTACAACCAGATAATGGAATATTATTTTGTGCTAAAATCAAATGAACTATAAAGCCTTGAAAAGAAGTGGAAGAACATTAAATGCATATTTTTAAGTGAAAAAGAAGCCAATCTGACAAGGCTACATGCTGTATATGCACAGTTACATTGTGTAAAATGCAAAACTAAGAACACAGTTAAAAGATCAATGTTGCTAGATGTTTGGGAGATGGATCAACAGACAGAACAGATAGGAATTTTAGAGTTGTGAAACTACTCAGTATGATACTATAATGACGGACACATGTCATTATACATTTGTCTAAGCCAATAGAATGTTCAACACCCAGAATGTGCTGTAATATAAACTACCACATCTGGGTGACAATAATGTGTCATCATAAGTTTATCAGTGATAACAAATGAACCACACTGTTGAGGGATGCTGATAATGAGGGAGGCTATGCATGTGTGGGGGTGGGAGATATATGGGTAATCTCTGAAACTACTGATTAATTTTGCTGTGAACCTAAACTGCTGTAGAAGAATATAGTCTATTAAAAATACAGCAAGAATGAATACAAATATGATTGACTTTATTTCATCTCTCCATAGTTCAGTGCATACCATCTCCATAATACAGCCCTCTAATATATGTATGTTTATGTATATTTGTGTGCACTTTTATGTAAAAAATGTATGTTTATGTACCCTTTTATAGAAAAATTTGTATTTCATTGTATTTTTCTTTTATCATTAATGTTTTTAAATACTTTTTGTTTTTGAGAAAGTATCTCACTCTGTCACCCGGGCTGGAGTACAGTGGTGCCATCATAGCTCACTATGGTTTTGGTCTACCAGACTCAAGCAATCCTCCCACATTAGCTTCCCAATTACCTGGGACTACAGGTGCATGCCACCATGACTGGCTATGTTTTATTTTTATTGTTTTGTAAAGATGAGGTCTTATTTTATTGCCCAGGCTGGTCTTGAACTCCTGGGTTCAAGTAATCCTCTGACTGCCTCCCAAAGTGTTGGAATTACAAGCATGAGCGACTGTGCCCAGCTGTAAATACTTTTTATCTATGAGGTTTACCTTACATTTGGGTATATTATATATTCAGTAAATACTTGTTTCAATGTCTGATTTGTTGTTTTATGAGTGTGTTGTGTAAAGAAGGATAATTTATGGGGATGGCACACTGTACAATGGAATATGATGCGTTTGGTCAACTGTAGGGTCTTTGTCTTTTGCATCTAGACACCTCTAGTCAATTAGGGGCTGGCAGAGTTAAAGATCAATAGAAAGTTTATGATGTATTTAATCAGGCATTATTTCTAACTTGAAATAATGTTTACAGTAGATTCAAAAGCATAGAATTTAATGAGAGGTTATCGCAAAAAGCTTTGAATTAGCAATTTGGAAGAACTTCTTTCAATAACAAAGATAAAAAGATTAAAACACATTTTTAAATTGATAGAAAACGTATCTTTCTACTACTAGGAGAGCAGCAGTGGTTTATGGTATGAATAAAGAATATAAAAATTATAAATTAAGCAAATATGACAATAATGAATTACTTGTCAGCACTAATGTAAAACATTTTATAATTTTAAGTGTTATTTTATTTCTTTCTTGGTTTTTATTTAGAACCTCTATATCATGATGTCTCAAAGAAAGTACCTACATAATCTACCACAAATATTTGTGTACATATTCCAAATATAAAATGTCAACAAATTGAGAACAATATACTTTACCAACAATAGCATCTGTAAACATAAAATATTATTTGTAAATGTCATATGTAAAAACTGCTTCCATATTAAAGATAATGTTACATAGAAAAGCTTGTTACATTATTAATTATCTATAATTCAGAATCATAGTGTGTGTTGATAGCATATTTAACTATTGTCCTATCTAAATTGAAGATTATAGACAAAATACATTCTTTAAATCACTTCTTACTCTGTGATTCCATTTAAATATCACTCAATAAACTAAACTGAAAATCAAGCCATTATCAGAATCTCATTATTTTAGTTTTCCCTGGGCACTGTAATTACCAATAAAACCAACATCTTTGATTGCTTTAAATACAAATTAAAATAATATGCCTGAATATAATTATTAAACTGTATTGAAAATACATTTGTAGTATGCTAAACCAGATGATTTAAACAATAACAAGGGTTTTTCTTCTCAACTAACAAAAGATCAGGATCATAACACAGGTGGCTTAGAATTGTGTTGGATTTTAATTAACACTGGCCCTGTCATTAGTGGCTACTGAAGTACTTTCTCCACTTCTTTAGTTTTCACAAGCCATGTGTGTCATCTCAATTGGTACAAAACTAAATTGATTTTTCTCAAGTTTCTATCATCTTGTACAACAAAGCTCTAATATAGAGTGATTGATTTTTATTACATTAATGTAATATAATGGCATTGAAGTTAAATAAGCAGCCAGCATTAAAAAGGATAATTTCTAATTATTTTCTATTAACTTCCAGTCTATCATTTTTCTCTATGATTGTTCAACATATGACTGATGAAGACATTGAAAAGATCCTTTTCTCTAAGCAGACAACAGAACATAACAATGTAATGTTGAAATATAAAAGCTAGAAAATGATTCTTCACAAAAATAAATTGAGACAAACAACAGGGTTTTAAGGTTTAAATTTAGGTATTATGAATAAACCATATGTTCTCATAACCAGCATCTGTTAGTTATGGTGATCAGGTTAAGTATCTTTTTAATAAATGAAAATATTTTGAATTTTGTCTTTTTAAGTAGGTGGAAGCCATGCAATAAACTAAACAGACTGTGTTTTTCTTTTGCTTTGAAGATATTGGTTAAGAATTCCTGAAATGTGTAACTTATAGCTCCTGGTTTAAGAGAAAAAAAAACTAAGAATATACCTGAACTTTAAATTATAACATTGTAAGAAGAGTTAAAGAATACTTATGTTTAAAATACACACTTCCATTATAAACATTCAAGGTCCAAAACAGTAGACTGTTTTCATAAAACATGTATCAGTGTCATTTAGCATCATGGCAATTTGAGATTTCCCACAGGTAATGCAAACTCCTAAGCATTAGTGTATGGCTCTGTAATGATGTGACTAAGGAAATGCATTTTCTTTTCTGGAAATTGTAGGTTTTCATTAACTATGACATGAACCCAAGGATTCTCTGTTGATTGTGGAACTAATGAATAAAATTGGTCCTCTTGAATTAGAAACCTCCTCAAACACTTAAAAATTCCATTGTCTGGCAGTTTACTAGTTTGCAGAGTATACACTAGCATCTGTGGAGGTTTCCTAGAAAGCTTAGAAGCTGGCTCTGTGTAAATTAACAGGAAATGTAATGACTGAAAAGGTCTTGTTTAATGGATAGTTAGTATTTATGATTAACTACACTTATTTCCTTATGTAAACTATTCTTATTTTCTTCAATTCCAGCTTTGTGGAACTAAATACAATTTGGATGGGATAGTTAATAGTGTCTCTTCAAAATAATATTTTTGGCAAATCTATGATTTTAAACACTTGTACCAACAAGCACTATGCAATACATATGTACAGCAAAAACAAATCCATTTTATATCGCATCTATAAGAAAAAAAAGCAAAAGTTATATTTATATGTTGCTTTATAGAGTAGCAATTTGTAAAAGTAAATCTATTGTTTATGATTATGATTTTGTATGAGTAGAAGAGTATAGAAAATTGATGTAATATTGCATTATGATTGTTTTAATAAAACTTTGAGAAAAAGACAACATAAACTCCAGCTCTTTCTTACTGTCATGTTTGGGAGTCTCAAGTGGTCCTAGTTGACCAACTTCTCTGGGAATAGCTTCTCCCCTTCTGTCTGATTTGCACTAAAGATGAGTCATAGACACTGACTGATGTTCAAGCAGTTTATTTTGGAAGTGCTGTTACAAGACAGATAGCAGGAGCAAGCCAGTAACATGAGCCGGATGACTGACTGACCAGGAGGATCACCATATGGAGACCATTCTCAGAGTTTGCAAGACTCTTCTTCATTTCTTATACCTATATTTAGTCTAGGTCAGTTACCAGATATTTATTTCATAAAGTAACCCTAAGCTATTCTTGTAAAGTTAAGTTTTGTTTTAAGGTTTATGAGAGTTATGTCTGTGCCAAGGTGGCCTTTTCTGTAGGGCAAAGATATGTTTTAGGTCTTGTCATAAAGACCCAATAATCCCCAGTCCTGGTTGCTATGGGGGTCTATACAGTCCCATACTGGGGGTCATTGGAAAGTCCCCAGCTCTAGTTCCCATGGAGATCTGTAAAGTTCCCTAGGCCTCGTTACCATCTACCATTAAGTGGCAGGTAGTATTGGCCCTGCAAGATGTTTAATTAGGCCTTTGGCTATCTTTACTTTTATAGCCATAATACATTACTTACAGCATACTACATTAACTTTTTTGGTGTACCTGATGGAGGAACTCTATTTCTAATGGTCTGTCTTGTCTGCTTTTCTCCATGCTATCACCAAGGAAAATGAGCTCTAATGGATAAAACTTCTTCATAACAGAGCAAATGAGTTCTTTTCTAAATTCATAACCACCTACTTCACAGGCTTTCTTATTATGGTCCAGAAATATTCCATATATTCCAATTTTCTATGGTGAGTTTTAAAATATGTATTCTTTATTTTTCTTATAATTATAAAATTAGCATGCATATAGAACAATATTCAAATGTCAGAGAAACATCAAAGAGATAGTAATTTAGCGCTTATATGCAAGTCCATGTTAAGAATTTATAGGATAGCAGAAGACATAGATAGACATTCATCAAAAACTATCATTTAAAGTTAAATTAAAAATTCTGATGTTTATTAATGAGAGTCACTTAATATTATAAAAGAGGTAGACTTCTCCTTGTCGGGGTTGTCAGAGAAAGATTTCCCAAGGAAATGAAAGATAAGCTGAGAATTGAAAATAAGGAAGCACTACCTAGGTGAAAAGTTCAGCATACAAACAGGTTGTGTGATGGGAGGAGAATATGTTCAGAAAAGATGTAAGGAGGACAATTCAGTTGGAATAAAAGTAGGAGAAGCTGCATAAAGCTGCATAATTAGTCCAGGACCAGATGACTTTATCTTGACAAAATTGTTTTTGGACCACTAGTGAGAAATCTATCTAAGAAAAGAGGGATCATTTTACATGTTCTAATTATGGTGCATTCCTCTTCCCACTTCCATTCTGATGCAATTGTGCTAAACTCTGACTCAATCCAATAAGGCTGCCCCCTTCTGTTTGTGCTCTGTTCCCAGTGGCATTCTAGGCAAAGTCCACGAAATTAGATCTCATCTAGTATGCTCCTTTTCATTCAAAGGTGGAATTTGACAGGTGATGTCAGCAAGGTGGCCAATTAGAAGCTCTTAGTGCTCCTCCCTCTGCAAGACAACCCAAAACAACAATTAACTACATTTTGACCAAGAAGAAAAATAGTGCTGGAGAACAACAAAGAAACAGCAGAAATTCTACAGAGAACAGAAACCAGGATGACTGTATAGGGAAGGAGAAGGATCACCTTGCTTCTCCCACTTTGTTCCCCCAGTGGGAATCAGCTCAGAACCAGAAGGTACTTATTTCTGTGGAGAAAATGTAAACAAAAGGAACACAGAAGCCCATATCAAAATCATGGACATCTGAATTCTTTGCTACTGAAGAATCCTACAGTTCTCATGTTTTGGGCCCAGCTGAGTGAGCTCCCTGGAGTCTACAAGCTGAGCTACCTTCAGAGAAGCAGCCACACTGCACCCTGGGTCTTTGTGGTCGATGCTACTACTGTGCTACATCATCTTAAAACCAAAATCACTGCTAGAGTGTGTCCTGCTTTAAGAGTGAGTAGTCATTTCATCCCTCCATCCCTGAGGTTAAGCTACCACTGCACCAAGCTTACCCAGTAGCACTCCATCTTCAAGCAGTGCTATTACTCACTAGGGCCAAGCTAACACAGATCTCCTCCACCCCCTAAATGAGTTGCTAGCAAACTCTAACCTTAGAGAAAAGCTGAAGAGGTGCCCACCTCTGAAGACCCAGAGTCTCAAATTTCCGGTCTAGTCATGAACTTAGTGCCACAGCCAAGAAAATGTTCCAGCCCCACCAGGATCACAGGCCTCCAGTACACCAGAGCAGTTGCAAGCCCTAGTGCCACAGCTACTGCAGTGCTCAGCCTCTAGGAACCTCAGGCATCTGATACACTGAAACAATACCCTCTACTCCCATGCCACCAGTGAGGCAGCACCCACTCCCAGGGATCCAAAGGCTCTGTTGACCCATGTAGCTGCACTTCCTGGGACTGAGCAGATATGGTGGCAGGGGTCCCAGGAAATCAGAATCTTTTCTGAACTGTGCCACTCTGCCTTCTAGGCTGAACAACCACTGTGCCCCACCTCCCTGAAACTGGACTAGGTCCCCACAGTCTGAGATGCTGAGGTACCCATCCTTTTCAGGGAATGTAAATATTTCTGTGCTGGTCCCTGCCCCACATCTTACCATTCCTGTGTCCTTGCTGCTGCTTCACTCAAACTCACAAAGCTTGAACAACTGCTGTGTCCCACCATACCAGCATCCAGAGTCACCACTACATGGTACCTCATCCCCACAGAACATATGTTACCACTATACTCTACTGGTTCTGGGTCCCAAATTGCAAGTGTTTCCTGTTCCTTGAGAACTGAGACTGCAAAGCAGTCCTCCCCCACAGCCATTCCAATGTTATATCCTGCCCCCCATGTTAGAGCCAATGCTACATCCTACCCACCGGGCTTGAGCTGTTGGAGTGTGCCTCAGAGCAACAGATTCTATCTTAGAGGGAAAGCTACATCCATTCTTCCCTTGAAAAGTAAACCTGTACTTCAAGTCCCAAGTGCTACAGTGGTTTAACAAGACCCCAAGTCTTGGACTCTGGCTTCAGAGCCATTCCAAACACCTGTGCAGTAAATCTCAGTACTGCTGTGGCTTCTTGTGCATCCTGTCAGACTCAGCACCAAGAAAGATCCATTTAGCTATTACTCCCACTTGGAAGAATACAAGAACAAGGGGATCCCTAAAGCCCTTGCCCTAATAACTTACACAGCTTCTGTCACTGCCAGAAACTCCTGCAGTCTTTACCACTGAGCCATCAACAGTTATTGTTAATGTTGATCACAATGAAAGAGCTTCATGAAGACTATATCACTGTTCCCACAGAGAACCAAAGCTGCCACACCCTGCCCAACTGTACACTCAGGCCAATGCACAGGTAAAAATCTTCCTCTACAAAAAGCACTCTGTGAAGTTTGGAAGAGGTGACTGCATCACCAGTTGCACAGACATCAATGTAAGTACACAAAAAGCATAAAAAAGGAAAGAAATATTATAACATTAAAAGTACATGACGAGATGGCCAAATAGGAACAGCTCCAGTCTGCAGCTCCCATCGAGATAGACACAGAAGATGGGTGATTTCTGCATTTCCTATTGAGGTACCTGCTTCATCTAACTGGGACTGTTTGGACAGTGGGTGCAGCCCATGAAGGGCAAGTGGAAGCAGGGCAGGGTGTCACCTCACCCTGGAAGCACTAGGGGTCGGGGGATTTCCCTTTCTAGCCAAGGGAAGCTGTGACAGACTGTACCTGGAGGAATGATACACTCCCGCCCAAATACTGCACTTTTCCCATGGTCTTAGCAACTGGCAGACCAGGAGATTCCCACCCGTGCCTGGCTCAGTGGGTCCCACACCCATGGAGCCTTGCTCACTGCTAGCACTGCAGTCTGAGATCGACCTGCAAGGTTGCAGCCTGGTCGGGGGAGGGGCTCCTGTCATTGCTGAGGCTTGAGTAGGTAAATAAAGTGGCCAGGAAGCTTGAACTGGGCAGAGCCCACTGCAGCTCATCAAGGCATACTGCCTCTCTAGACTCAACCTCTGTGGGCAGGGCATAGCTGAACAAAAGGCAGCAGACAACTTCTGAAGACTTAAAGGTCCCTGTTTGACAGCTCTGAAGAGAGCAATGATTCTCCCAGCATGGTGTTGGAGCTCTGAGAATGGACAGACTGCCTCTTCAAGTGGGTCCCTGACTCTCGTGTAGCCTGATTAGGAGACACATCTCAGTAGGGGCAGACAGACACCTCATACAGGTGGGTGCCCCTCAGGGACGAAGTTTCCAGAGGAAGGATCAGGCAGCAATATTTGCTGTTCTGCAATATTTGCTGTTCTGCAGCCTCTGCTGGTGATACCCTGACAAACAGGGTCTGGAGCAGACCTCCAGCAAACTCCAACAGACCTGCAGCTGAGGGGCCTGTTAGAAGGAAAAAAAAAAAAAAAACAGAAAGGAATAGCATCAAAATAAACAAAATGGACATCCACACCAAAACCCCATCTGTAGGTCACCAGCGTCAAAGACCAAAGGTAGATAAAACCACAAAGATGGGGCGAACCAGAACAGAAAAGCTGAAAATTCCAAAAACCAGAGCACATCTTCTCTTCCAAAGGATTGCAGCTCTTTGCCAGCAACGGACAAAATTGGATGAGAATGAGTTTGATGAGTTGACAGAAGTAGTCTTCAGAAGCTCAGTAATAACAACATCTCTGAGCTAAAGGAGCATGTTCTAACCCATCGCAAGGAAGCAAAAATTCTTGGAAAAATGTTAGATGAAAGGCTAACTAGAATAAACAGTCTAGAGAAGACCTTAAATGATCTGATGGAGCTGAAAACCACAGCACGAGAACTTTGTGACACATGCACAAGCTTCAATAGCTGATTTGATCAAGTGGAAGAAAGGATATCAGTGATTGAAGATCAAATTAATGATACAAAGCGAGAAGACAAGATTAGAGAAAAAAGAGTGAAAATAAATGAACAAAGCCTCCAAGAAATACGGGACTATGTGAAAAGACCAAATCTATGTTTGATTGGTGTACCTGAAAGTGACGGGGAGAATGGAACCAAGTTAGAAAACACTCGTCAGGATATTATACAGGAGAACTTCCTCAGCTGTGGAAAGCAGGCCAACATTCAAATTCAGGAAATACAGAGAACACCACAAAGATACTCCTTGAGGAGAGCAACCCCAAGACACATAATTGTCAGATTCACCAAGGATGAAATGAAAGAAAAAATGTTAAGGGCAGCCAGAGAGAAAGGTCGGGTTACCCACAAAGGGAAACCCATTACACTAACAGTGGATCTCTTGAGAGAAACACTACAAGCCAGAAGAGAGTGGGGGCCAATATTCAACATTCTTAAAGAAAATCCAGAATTTCATATCCAGCCAAAATAAGCTTCATAAGTGAAGGAGAAAGAAAATCCTTTACATACAAGCAAATGCTGAGAGATTTTGTCACCACCAGGCCTGCCTTACAAGAGCTTCTAAAGGAAGCATTAAACATGGAAAGGAACAACTGGCACCAGCCATGGCATACATAAACATGACAAATTGTAAAGACCTTCAACACTATGAAGAAACTGCATCAATTAATGGGCAAAATAACCAGCTAATGTCATAATAAAAGGATCAAATTCAAACATAACAATAATAACCTTAAATGTAAATGGGCTAAATATCCCAATTAAAAGACACAAACTGGCAAATTGGATAAAGAGTCAAGACCCATCAGTGTGCTGTATTCAGGAGACCTATCTCACATACAGAGAGGGATCAAAATACACATAGGATAAAAATACATGGATGGAGGAAGATTTACCAAGCAAATTGAAAGAAAGAAAAAAGCAGGGGTTGCAATCCTAGTCTCTGATAAAACAGACTTTAAACCAACAAAGATCAAAAGAGACAAAGAAGGACATTACATAATGGGAAAAGGATCAATTCAACAAGAAGAGCTAACTATCCTAAATATATATGCAGTCAATACAGAAGCACCTAGTTTCATAAAGCAAGTCCTCAGAGAACTATAAAGAGACTTAGACTTAACACAATAATAGTGGGAATCTTCAACACCCCACTGTCAATATTAGACAGATCAACAAGACAGAGAGTTAACAAGGGTATCCAGGACTTGAACTCAGCTCTGGACCTAGTGGAACTAATAGACATTACAGAACTCTCCACCCCAAATCAACAGAATATACATTCTTCTCATCACTACATCACACTTATTCTAAGATTGGCCACATAATTGGAAGTAAAACACTCCTCAGCAAATGTAAAAGAACAGGAATCACACACACAAAAAAACAGTCTCTCAGACCTCACTGTAATCAAATTAGAACTCAGGATTAAGAAACTCATTCCAAACCTCACAACTACATGGAAACTGAACAACGTGCTCCTGAATGACTACTGGGTAAATAACAAAATGAAGGCAAAAATAAAGATGTTCTTTGAAACCAATGAGAACAAAGACACTACGTACCAGAATCTCTGGGACACATTTAAAGCAGTGTGTAGAGGGAAATATATAGCACTAAATGGCCACAAGAGAAAGCAGGAAAGATCTAAAATCGACACCCTAACATCATAATTAAAAGAACCAGAGAATCAAGAGCAAACAAATTCAAAAGCTAGCAGAAGGCAGGAAATACCTAAGATCAGAGCAGAACTGAAGGAGATAGAGACACAAAAAACCCTTCAAAAGATCAATAAATCCAGAAGCTTGTTTTTTGAAAAGATCAACAAAATAGACCACAAGCAAGACTAACAAGAAAAGGGAGAAGAATCAAATGGGCACAATAGGAAATGATAAAGGGGATATCAACAGTGATCCCACAGAAATGCAAACTATCAGCAGAGAATACTTTAAACACCTCTACGCAAATAAAGTTGAAAATCTAGAAGAAATGGATAAATTCTTGAATACATACACCCTCCAAAGACTAAACCAGTAGGAAGTTTTGTCTCTGAATAGACCAATGAAATTGAGTCAATAATTAATAGACTACCAACCAAAAAAAGTCCAGGACCAGATGGTTTCACAGCTGAATTCTACCAGAGGTACAAAGAGGAGCTGGTACCATTCCCTCTGAAACTATTCCAATCAATAGAAAAAGAGGGAATCCTCCCTCACTCATTTTATGAGACCAGCATCATCCTCACACCGAAGCCTGGCAGAGACACAACAAAAAAAGAAAATTTTAGACCAATATCCCTGATGAACATTGATGCGAAACTCCTCAATAAAATACTGGCAAACCGAATCTGGCAGCACATCAAAAAGATTATCCACCACAATCAAGTGGGCTTCTTCCCTGGGATGCAATGCTGGTTCAACATACACAAATCAGTAAACATATTCCATCACATAAACAGACCAAAGACAAAAACCACATGATTATCTCAATAGATGCAAGAAAAGACTTCGACAAAATTCAACAGCCCTTCATGCTAAATACTCTCAATAAATTTGGTATTGATGGGATGTATCTCAAAATAATAAGAGCTATTTATGACAAACCCACAGCCAATATCATACTGAATGAGGAAAAACTGGAAGCATTCCCTTTGAAAAGTGGCACAAGACAAGGATGCCCTCTTTCACCACTCCTATTTAACATAGTGTTGGAAGTTCTGGCCAGGACGATCAGGCAAGAGAAAGAAATAAGGGTATTCAATTAGGAAAGGAGAAAGTCAAATTGTCCCTGTTTGCAGATGACATGATTGTATATTTTGAAAACCCCATTGTCTCAGCCCAAAATTTCCTTAAGCTGATAAGCAACTTCAGCAAAGTCTCAGGAAACAAAATCAATGTGCAAAAATCACAAGCATTCCTATACACCAATAACAGACAAACAGAGAGCCAAATCATGAGTGAACTCCCATTCACAATTGCTACAAAGAGAATAAAATACCTAGGAATCCAACTTACAAGGGATGGAAGTACCACTTCGAAGAGAACTACAAACCACTGCTCCAAGAAATAAAAGAGGACACAAACAAATGGAAGAGCATTCCATGCTCATGGATAGGAAGACTCAATATCGTGAAAGTGGTCATACTGCCCAAGGTAATTTATAGATTCAATGCCATCCCCATCAAGCTACCAGTGACTTTATTCACAGAATTGGAAAAAACTACTTTGAAATTCATATGGAACCAAAAAATAGCCCACATAGCCAAAACAATCCTAAGCAAAAAGAACAAAGTTGGAGTCATTAACGCTACCTGACTTCAAGGTATACTACAAGGCTACAGTAACCAAAACATCATGGTACTGATACCAAAATAGACATACAGACCAATGGAACAGAACAGAGGCCTCAGAAATAACATCACACATCTCCAACCATCTGATCTTTGACAAACCTGACAAAAACAAGCAATGGGGAAAGGATTCCCTATTTAATAAATGGTGCTGGGAAAACTGGCTAGCCATATGTAGAAAGCTGAAACTGGATCCCTCCCTTATACCTTATACAAAAATTAACTCATGATGGATTAAAGACTTAAATGTAAGACCTAAAATCATAAAAACTCTGGAAGAAAACCTAGGCAAAAGAATAAAAATAGAAAATACAATAAAATCAGGAAAACAAATTGTAATTTAAATGAGAAATTCAACAAAGAGATTACATAAATAATTCTCAAATAGAAATGTTGGAGCTAAAGAATTCAATCAATGAAATGGAAAATACAACTGACCACTTCAACAGCAGACTAGATTAAGCAAAAAGAATAATTTATGAACTCGAATATAGGTCAATTGAAATGACGTATATTCCATTAGAGATGCAGTTAAAAAATTAAAAAAAAGAAAAGAAAAATAATTAATCCAGCCTATAGGACTTATGTGACACCATTAAGTGAATAGGTATCCTTATTGTGAATGTTTTTGAAAGAAAGAAGAAGAGACAGAAGCTTATTAATAAAATAAATCCTGAAAACTTCCCAAGTCTTGTGAGAGATACGGACATCCGGATCGGGGAAACTCAAAGATTCTCGAATAGATTTGAAGCAAAGATGTCCTCTTTGAGGCATGTTATAATCAAATATCAAAAGTAAAAAACAATGGGAGAGTTTTAAAAACAGCATAAGAAAAGTATCAAGTAACATATAAGGAAATATCCACGGGACTATCCGAAGATTTCTCAGTAGAAGTCTTGTAGGCCAGGAGAGAATGGAATTATATATTCAAAGCACTGAAAGGAAAAAAAAAAAACCTTCCAACCTAGAATATTATACCAAGCAAATCTGTGCTTCAGAAATGAAGTAGAAATGAAGTCTTTGGCAGTCAAGTAAAAGCTGAGAGAACTCATTACCACTAGACTCTCCTTACAAGAAATGCTTAAAGAAGTTATTCAAGTGGAAACAGAAAGACAATCATTACTATCATGAATACATATGAAAATATAAACTTCACTGCTAGAGGTAAGTAGTCAAGTCCAGAATACTCTAATACTGTAATGCTGGTGTGGTAAATCATACATATCTCTATTGTGATGGAAAAATAAAAATTGTCAAAGATAAAGATATGCAATATAAAAATATGTAAATTGTGGTATCAAAAACTTAACTTGTGGGGAGGATAACATTCTAGAGTTTTTAATGCAATAAAAGTTATCAGTTTAGAATAGATAATAAGATATTTTATGTAAGCCTCGTGAAAAACACAAAACAAAAAACTACAGAAAATTTATGGATGATAGAAATAAAAGTTTAACACTACAGAATCCTATTAAATCATGAAAGTAGACAACAGAGATAAAAGGGAACAACGGAACTACAAAAGAATGAGAAAACAAACAACAAAATATTAAGTCCTGACTTATAAATAATAACCTTAACTCTCAATGGACTAAATTTTCTAATCAAAAGACATAAAGTGACTGAATGGATTAAAAAAATAGACTCACCTATATGACACCCACTAGAAATCTTTAAGGACACATATAGGTTGAAAGTGACAGGGTGAAAGAAAATATTTCCTGCAAAAGATAACAAAAAGAGAGGAGTGATGGCTATCCCTATATCTGATAAAACAGACTTCAAGTCAAAAATTATCACAGGCAACAGAGTCGGTTATTATTTAATTATCAAGGGGTCCTTTAATCAGGATAATATAATTACTGTATATATATAGTGTATATATATAGTGTGTGTATATATATAGTGTGTATATATTTATGTATATACACTAAATGTTGGAGCACCTAAATATATAAAGCAAATATTAATGGACATGAAATACTGGACTTGAATTACACTTTTGGCCAAATGGACCTAACAACATTTGTAGAACTTTTCATCCAACAACAACAGAATATACCTTTTTTTGTCAGTGCACATGGAACATTCTCCAGGATAGATCATATCTTAGTCCACAAAACAAGTAAGATTGAAATCATATCCATATCATCTCATACAACAATGTTATGAAACTAGAAATCAATAATAGAAGGATTTTAGAAAATTCACAAATATGGAATTTGTGATTTTAGAAAATTCACAAATATGGAATTTGTGAAAATTAAATGTCATTCTCCTAAACAACCAATGGATCAAAGAAGAAATCAAAAGGGGAATTAAAAATAACTTGAGACAAATAACAATGGAAACAAAACATACTATAACCTATGAAATGCAGCATATGCAATTGTAAGAAGGAATTTTATAGGAATAAATGCATACATTAGAAAAGAAGTCCCCAAATATATAGTCTAACATTATTTCTTAAGGAATGAACAAAAGAAAAGCAAACTAAACCCAAAAGTAGCAGACAGAAGAAAATAATTACAAATCAGAACAAAAATAAATCAAATGGAGAACAGAAAAACTACAGAAGTAATCCATAAAACAGGTTTTTTTAATAAACAAAATTGACAAAGTTTTAGGTAGTCTACAAAAAGAAAAAAGACTCCAATAAATGAAAAATAAACATGAAGAAATTAAAACAGACACCTCAGAAATGAGATAATATTAAGGGAATATTATGAATAATTACTTGCCAACAAATTGGATAATCTAGAGGAAGTGGATAAATTCCAACAGGATGTAATCTACTAAGAGTAAATCAGGGAGAAATAGAAAGAGTGAACAGACAAATACAAAGAAATAAATTGAAGAATTAATCAAAAACTTACCCCAAAAAGAAAACTCAGCACCAGGTGGCTTTACAGTGTAATTCTACAAAATTCAAAGAACTAATACCCGTATTTCTTATACTCTTCCAAAAAATAGATGTGGAGGAAATACTTGCAAACATATTTTATGAGGTGAACATCACCTTGATACCAAAGCCAGGCAAAAACATCACAAGAAAATAAACTACAGCCCAATTTCTCGGATGAGCGTCAATACAAACATTCCCAATAAAAAGGATTAGCAAACATATTCCAATAACACATCGAAAAGATTACACATTATGACCAAGTGGGATTTGTCTCTGGCATGCAAGTCTGGCTTAAAATATGTAAATCAATAAATGCAATATGTCACAATAACAAAATGAAAGATCAAAAAACACATGATCATTTCAATTGATATTGAAAATTTTAAAAAGGTCAATGATATTTCTTAATAAAAACTCTCAACACTTTAGGCATAGAAAGGAAAGTTCCTCAACATAATCAAACCATTTATTAAAAACCCACAGCTAACGTTATAATCAATGGGGGAAATTGAAAACTTTTCCACTAAACTTTGATTGAAGGCAAGGACACCCACTCTCATCATGTCTATCTATAGACTCTAAGTACTAGCAAAATCAATCAGAAAAGAAAAATAAGAAACCCTCCAAATTACAAAGGAAAAAAGTCTAATTATTTTTATTTGCAGATAACATGATCTTATATTTTTAAACCCCAAATATTTCACAAAAATAACCATTAGAAGTCAGAAATGAATTCAATAAAATTTCGGGACACAAAATCAGTACACAAAATTAGCAACATTTTAATGTGCTAATTGAAAATGAGTATATTGAAAAAGAAATTATAAAATCCCATTCTTATAGCATCAAAATAATAAATACCTATGAATAAAAATGTAAACAAGGAGGTAAAATATTTGTACACTGAAAATTATAAACATTGATAAAAAGAAATTGATGAAGACACAAAAAAGTAAAGATATTTCATGAACATAGGTCAGAAAAAATAATACTGCTTAACTGTCCATAGTGCAAAGGCAATATTCAGATTCAATGCATTGCCTATCAAAGTTCTAATCACACTCCTCACAGAAATAGAAAAAAAATCTTAAAATATCTATGGACTCATAAAAGACCCCCAAATTGTTGAGTAGCCAAAACAATTCTGAGAAATAGAAACAAGGTTGGAGGCATCACATTTCTCTTATTTAAAATTGTATTACAAAGCTATGTTAATCAAAATAATGTAATACTGGCATAAAAAACTGACACATACACCAGTGGAATAAAATAGAGAGCTCAGAAATGAATCCAAATATATATGGTCAACTGATTTTTAAGGAGGGGCCCAAGAAAACACAATGGAGAAATGACAGCCTCTTTAATAAATGGTGCTGAGAAAATGAAATTTCTACATCACAGGGAATGAAATTTGACCATTTTAGCATACACAAAAACAATTCAAAATGGATAAAAGACCTAAATATAAGAACAGAAACTATAAAACTTCTAGAGTAACTCATAAGGGAAAAGCTCCTGGCGATGATTTTTGAGATATAACACCAAAAGCTCAGGCCACAAAGGAAAAAATAAACAAATGCAAGTACACCAAACTGAAAAGCTTCTATACAACATGGGAAAATGAGACAGCAGCCTATGGATGGGAAAATATATTTGCAAACCACACGTCTAATAAGAGGGTTAATATCCAAAATTTATAAGGAAGTCATGCATCTCAAAACTGGGAAAGTAGAGAGCATTAGGAGATATACCTAATGTTAAATGGCGAGTTAACGGGTGCAGCACACCAACCTGGCACATGTATACATATGTAACTGACCTGCACGTTGTGCACATGTACCCTAAAACTTAAAGTATAATAAAAAAACATGAGCAAAAGACATGAATAGACATTTTTCCAAGGAAGACATAAGTGCTAACAGTTATATGAAAAGGTGCTTAACATCATTAATTGTCAGAAAAATGCAAAATGAAACTACTATGAGATACCACCTCACACCAACTAGAATGGCTATTAAAAATCAAACGATAACAAACGTTGCCAAAGGTGTGGGGAAAAGGGAACTCATACCCTTTGTTGGGAATGTACACACAGTCATTATAAAAAACAGCATGGTGGTTTCCACAGAAATTAAAAATAGAACTACCATGTGACCCAGAAATTCCTCTTCTGAACATGTACCAAAAGAAAATGAAATCACCGCCTCATCAAGATACCTGCACTCCCATGTTCTTTGCAACATTATTTACAGTAGCCAAGATATAGAAACAACCTAAATGTTCAATGACAGGTGAATGGATAAAGAAACAGTGGTACATATGTACAGTGGAATTTTATTCAGCCCTAAAAAGGAACACAATTTTGCTACTTGCCACCACCTAGACCAATCTTGAGAACAGTATGCTAAGCAAAATATGCCAGATATAGAAAGAAAAATATTGCATGATCTCACTTATATGTTGAATATAATTTTACAGCTCAGATATACAGAGAGAGAGAGAGAGAGAACAAATCAGTGGTTACCAGGGATAGGGTAGAGAGAGGGAATGGAGATATGTGGTTCAGAGGATACAAAGAAGCAGATATGTGGGATGAATAAGTCTAGAGATCTAATGTCCATCAAGGGACATAAAGGTAGTAGAATAGTACCATATATGGAATTCATACTAAATTTGATTTTAGCTTCTCTTGCCACAAAAACAAAAATAAATCGGTAACTGTGAGATAATAAATAAGTTAATTTATTTCACTGTAGCAACATTTCTACCATCTATGTGTATGTATCCCATATCGCCATGTTGTATACTTTAAACATACACAGTAATTTTTTTTAAAATGAAATTTACCTCAGTTGGCTTTCTTATGCCTTCAGATTGTGAAATGCATATACAGTTTAAGTAAAATTTTTACTTTTCCTTTAGTTTTCTGGGTCTTATCTGAGAATACACGGTAACCGCCAAAAATACAAAGTTTTTTTGTTTGTTTGTTTTGCTTTTTGTGATGGAGTCTTGCTCTGTTGCCAGACTGGAGTGCAGTGGTGCAATCTCGGCTCACAGCAACCTCCGCCTCCTGGGTTCAAGTGATTCTAGTGCCTCAGCCTCCCGAGTAGCTGAGATTACAGGCACATGCCACCACACCCAGCTAATTTTTGTATTTTTAGTGGAGACGGGGTTTCTCCATGCTGGCCAGGATGGCCTCATTCTCCTGACCTCATGATCTACCCGCCTCGGCCTCTCAAAGTGCTGGGATTACAGGCGTGAGCCACCGCGTCTGGCGTGTTTTGTTTTTTTTTTTTTAAAAATTATAATGTATTCATGCTATTTCAATTACATAAAATCAAATATTATCTGGTAAAACATTTCTCTAATGAGGTTGAATATGTTAATTTTTGAGGTAAGTGGAAAGGGTAAGAAGTGGCATGTGAAACAAAAATAACTTTTTAACTGATTAATAAAGCACCACTTCACCAGCCGCAGTTCACTGTTTTTATATTGTTAGTTTATTTCCACTGAGTTTGGAAATTCCTTACTACCATTATTCAGTCAAATATATAAGTATCTAGTTAAAGGTGATTTACACATGCATGACTGGCTGAATGTTTTCCCTTTTTCTGCTTCTGAAAGTGGCATTTGCTTCTGGATTCCATGCTTTGTGTATATATTCAATGGATAAATTTTTGGTTTGTATTTAAGAATGTTAACATGCTCCAGAAGAAATTTAGAGTAAACCTATCTATACAGACCACCAAACTGAAAAATCATTTTAACTTATGTTCCAGATTTCTGAGCCTTATTTCATACAAGAGTATTAAAGTTAATGCAGTTTAACTTCCAGGAAAAAATTCTTGTAAATCTCTATTTCTATTTTATTCAGAGTTTTAAAAATGCACCAGAGTGTTGGTATTTTTATCAATAATGGCCTAGTTTTGGAATGTCCTATTGAAATCCCTGAGACAGAAAGATTTGATTTATTAATATCATCTTGCTTTTAATGGAAGAGTCGTATTAGTTATCTGACATACTTTGGCTCTGTCTCCCGACCCAAATCATATCTTGAATTGTAATGCCCAGGTGTCCAGGGAGGGATCTGGTGGGAGGTGATTGGATCATACAGGCAGATTCCCCCCATGCCGTTCTCATAATAATAAGGGAGTTTTCATGCGATCTGATGGTTTAAAAGTCTGTGGCAGGCCAGGCACAGTGGCTCACAACTGTAATCCCAGCACTTTGGGAGGCCAAGATGGGCAGATCACAAGGTCAGGAGATCGAGACCATCCTGGCTAACACGGTGAAATCCTATCTCTACTAAAAAAATACAAAAAATTAGCTGGGTGTGGTGGCGGGTGACTGAGGCAGGAGAATGGTGTGAACCCGGGAGGTGGAGCTTGCAGTGAGCCAAGATTGTGCCACTTCACTCCAGCCTGGATGACAGAGCGAGACTCTGTCTCAAAAATAAAAATAAAAATAAAAATAAAAAAGTCTGTGGCAATTCCCTCTTCACTCACTCTCTCTTCTGCCACCTTGGGATAAGGTGCCTGCTTCCCCTTCGCCTTCCACTGTGATTGTGAGTTTCCTGAGGCCTCCCCAGCCATGATGCAGAACTGTGAGTCAATTGAACCTCTTTCAGTCTCAGGTAACATCTTTATAGCAGTGTGAGGACAGACTAACACATCATCTGTATTAGTCCGTTTTCACACTGCTGATAAAGACATACCCAAGCCTGGCCAATTTACAAAAGAAAGAGGTTTAATGAACTTACAGTTCTACATGGCTGGGGAGGCCTTACAATCATGGCAGAAAGTTAAAGTCATGCCTCACATGGCGGCAGAAAAGAGAAGAGGGCTTGTGCAGGGAAACTCCCATTTTTAAAACCATCGGATCTCGTGAGACTTATTCAGTATCACCAAACAGCATGAGAAAGATCCTCCCCCATGATTCAACTACCTCCCACCAGGTTCCTCCCACCACACAATTGGAATTGTGACAGTTACAATTCAAGATGAGATTTGGGTGGGGACACAGCCAAACTATATCATTATCTTTGCTATGTAATAAAATAACACAAATTTTGTGTTTTAAAACAAGATTCATATTTTGCAGGGTGGAATCTCGGATGTGGATTGACTGAATCCGTTGCTCATGGTCTTCACAATGGGTCAGTCAAGGTATCAGCCAGGGTGGTAATCTAATCTGAGGCCCAGGGTTTTCCGCCAGGTTCACTGGCTATTGGAAATTCCTTGAAGTTGTAGGAGTGAGGTCCTCAGCTTCTGGAAACTACCTATTATTCCTTACCACACGGTCCTCTTCACAACATGATAGTATGCTATTTATTTCAAAGCTTGGTCTTTTCCAAAGACCAAGAGAAGTGTCTACTACTTTCTTTCTCTTATCTTTGTCCCTCTTTTACAGGGTTCACTTTCTTACTACCTGCTTACATGCTTATGAAAGCCACCCAGGATAATTTCCCTGTTAGTTATCTCAAAGTCAATCAATGAGAGATCTTAAATGTATCTGCAAAATCTATTTACTTTTGTCCTATAATGTAATCTTGTGTCCAGAATTTATTCCTTCTGGTGGGTTCTTGGTCTCTCTGACTTCAAGAATAAAGCCGTGGACCTCTGCGGTGAGTGTTACAGCTCTTAAAGATGGTGTGTCCGGAGTTTGTTCCTTCAGATGTTCAGATGTGTCCGGAGTTTCTTCCTTACAGTGGGTTCGTAGTCTCACTGACTTCAAGAATGAAGCTGCAGATCTTTTCAGCGAGTGTTACAGCTCTTAAAGTCGGTGCAGACCCAAAGAGTGAGCAGCAGCAAGATTCATTGTGAAGAGCGAAAAAACAAAGCTTCCACAGTGTGAAAGGAGACTCAAACAGATTGCCGCTGCTGGCTTGGGTGGCCAGCTTTTATTCCCTTATTTGGCCCCACCCACATCCTGCTGATTGGTCCATTTTACAGAGTGCTGATTGGTGCATTTTTACAGAGTGCCGATTGGTGCTTTTACAATCCTTTAGCTAGACACAGAGCACTGATTGGTGCATTTACAATCCTTTAGTTGGACACAAAATTTCTCCAAGTCCCCACCCCACCCAGAAGCCCAGCTGGCTTCACTGCTCAGTCTAGCCAAGGCATGTGTACTATGGAGTAGAAATCTTGCAGCCACCTTAGAATCCTGCCTCCCATGCAAGTTCAAATGGAATTTCTAAAACAATAATAATAAAGATAACCATTTCAGGAAGACAAGTGTGCAAACCAAAGTGTTTAAGAATGATTATACTGTGTGCTTGTATAATTGAGTGGTCAATTAGACATTTAATTTTTTCATGTGAACATAATAGATATTCCCCTAAAGAGATAAAGTGAATTTCAGGTTTATGGAGAGGGAGCAACATTAAATCAAAACACTGTTTTCTCACATTTTTCAATCTGGTTACAATTTGTGGAAGAATTTTCCATCCTCTACAAGAAGTAGAAGATATTCGTTGAAGGCAGTTGGAATTAAATGCAATTAGAAAAGCTCTGATTTATATTGCTACCCAATTTTCTTCCATTATCTTGTAAGGAAATACCTTAAAGGTGAAAGGAGAATTCTGAATTAATTTTTCTGTTACATGAAGCACATTTACCAGTCTCAGCCTAAAAACATGTAGGGAGCTCTAGCAGTTCTGTTTTCCACTACTTGTTCCTAAACTAAAATAGACAGTAAATAATATAGTCTATAGTTGCCTGATTTATCATTGCAATTACCTAATTGAGTTTTCATTGCTCAAGTGTACTTGGTCTGTTGGATGGCACTTCAGAACATGGTTATGTTTCCTGTTATAGTATTCAGCATCTTAGAAGAGCTTATATTATGTAAAATATTTATATGAACACTGTAGTTTACTGTAGAATTACACACTTCTTATTTTTTTAGAAAGATTGATGCATATCCATTATGACATTTTTTAAAAATAAAGATGTGTGGATAAGTGAAAGATATAAAAGAAGTATGATATAGAGTTTATCTCCAGTAAGATTCACTCCACTATCAGAGTTCATTTTGCTAAACAGTTTTTCATTAAGTAAATCAGCATTTGAGGATATCACTATAATTATATATCCCTTAATGTAAAATTTATTCAGTATCTTTGTCAATTAGTTAGATGGAATTTCAACTTCCAATATTTAACATGCATATGGTGCATACTTCAGTGTGAAACTTAAATCCTTCAGTTTTGCTTTACATGATTAACATTTCACCCAGCCTAATCTATATATTTGGTTTTAAACTTCTGGGATGGTCTGTGATGCATGCTTTGAATGAAAAACAACAGCCTCAACTGCGAGAAGATGATTTTCTTATGGTCTTACCACCAGAACTGATCCATCTGCTTTCAATTTCTTGCACTTTAAAATTCACTTGTATATTTGTATGTGTGTGATTCATTCACATTTTGGCCCCTGCAAAAAGCTTTGGTTACCTATCAAACACAATATGAAATGCTGTCAGTTTATTCATCTGTCCCTTCATGTAGAGAATTGAGAAGGAGGCTGTGGAAAGCAGCTATAAACTGCTGTGGAAAACAGCTATTTCTGAAAAATTCCTAGTATTGAATTTCAAAAACTCAAAGCAGCATAAGATCAGCCCAGAGTGCAGTATTTCTCTGTGGTTTAAGAACCATATTACGTAGTACATATATGTTCTTTTATTAGGTTAAAATTTCAATATAACTAAAAAAATTTGCTAATCCTCTCATTTATTCTGTTTCTCTTCATTTTTCAAGTACTACACATTACTGTTATGTTTCTGTTGCTAAAATATTCTAGGCAAAGTTTAAGTAAGAATATTCCTAAGTAACCAAAGGTTTAATTTCTAATTTCCTTTACCAGAAAATCGCAAAAGAATAGGGCTCACATTATCTATAGTAAAAAATGTTATTCTTAGAGAAAAAGCTTCCTTCCTCAATTCCCTGTGTCAGTGACCCTCTCCCAAACCTAGTTGATAGACTATTTGAGAATGTGGCATACACCATCAACCTGTATCTTTATGAACACTACATTGTAACTTCTCACTAACTTGAAACCAGCACATAGACTTTTGACTTCTCATGCCGATGGTCAAATGTTACTTTTATGGCATTCTTTAAAGGAATCTGCATGCAGTTTTTTCCTGAGCCAAGGCCATCTTCAGAGGATTATATAACACCCAAGGTTGATCTGGTGAGTATAAAATAACATATCTTTTTTCATGGGGTGGAAGATTTATCACTCATTTAATAGATGTATTATATTATATTTGCAACAAAAACAATATGTGAAGCATTGTAGCAGTGTCTGTTATTAAAAATAATGATCAGTGACATCATTAAGAAGTGAAAATAAAACTATCAGATACCTATCAGAATGGCTAAATTAAAAAATGTACAACAAATGCAGATGATGGTAATGATGAGGACAAAGTTGATTATTCATTCATTGCTTGTGAAAATAGAAGATGGTTCAGCCACTCCGAAAAGCAGTTTGGCAGTTTCTTAAAACTCTATGCATTTGGACTATCACCTGGCAGTTGCACACTTTATCACTTATCTAGGAGAAATAAAACCATGTGTTCACACAAAAACTTGTACAAAAACTTTCATAGAAGCTTTATTAATAATTGCCAAAACTTTAAAACAACCTAGATGTCCTTAAATGGCCAAAGGTTAAACAAACTCCACATACAGACCAATGAATACTACTCAACAATAAAAAGGAACACACTATTGATGCATTTCATCACTTGAGTGGATCTCCAGAGAATTATACTTATTGAAAAAAGAAAATCACAAACAGTTACATATTATGTAATTAAATTTATATATGTTCTTCTAATACTGCAATTGTAGACATGAATAACAAATTAGTAGTTGCCAGGAGTTAAGAGATTGGGACCTCTCTTAAGAGAAGGGTGAGTTTGGCCATAAAGGTATAGCACAAGAGATCCCTGAGGTAATGGAACAGTCCTTTATCTTCAATTGTGGTGGTGAATGCATACATCTATGCATGTAAAAAGTTGCATTGCACTACCTATGCATAGTAATATATGTAAAAACTGATTAAATGTAAATAAGCTCTGTGGAACCAATATCAATTCTCTTGTTTTGGCATTATCTGTAATTATTCAATGTGGTACCACTGCGGGACACTGGGTGAAGGGTAGAAAACGCCTCCCTGTACATTTTTAAAACTTCCTATGAACCTATAATTATTTCAAAAGAAAAATTTAATAATGCAAGAATAAGTGTGCAGGATCTACTTAGTTTTTATCCTCTAAAAATGTTAATCTAGGCAGTGAGAAATTTGGTAAGACCAGATATTATAAAAAAACATAAAAATAGTAGGATAAGAGTATTATGAGAAAATTTAGCATAATGTATTCAATTAAAATTGAATAGGGCTTAAACTTAATGAAAAAATAAAGCAAACGTTTAGTAGTAATTGTCTGCTATACTATACTTTAAGATTGATACTCAACATAATATGTTTTGAATCCACCATCTACACCACAGTGTACTTACCTTCTTGACAACCCTTATTTTTTACCAGATATATTCTCCAATAAAGATGAGCAGATGAGTCTCAGTGTCTGGGAAAAGGGAATATGGTTTCAAATAAACAATAGCACAGGCAAGAAAGAGATAATGACTAAAGAAACAGCCAACATTTGAAGAGGAAATATAATGCCCTTAAGTTTATGTAGGAAAAGGAAAGAAGCAAGGAGTGAGAATAGAGACAAAAGGTCAGTAAAAATTATGTTGGTTCTCTTCACTGTAGTATCATAATTCAGATTAAAGGGCAATTGGATCACTCATTAGGTTTGGGAAACTTCTCATGCAATGTAGCTTTCCTCATGTTTCTCAAGATGTAGTTTGGAAAGTTCCTTGTGCCCACATTACTCATGGCATCTGAACTACAGGGTATCCCATGCCTTGGATTAGAAGTAGATGAGAAATTATAATTGGAAAGAAAGAATTAAGAGCACCGTCACAGAGACAGGTTTTCTCAGTTCTGCAAGGACAGCAACATGCTAACAAAATGGGTAGGTCCTAATAGGCCTGTCATTAAGATCAGAAAGTAGTACAGGAAGAACACGAGAAAGGAAGCTGTGTACAGTCCATGACCCTCCAGAGAAGAAATTTTGCTGGAAATCCGTGTTGACTGGTAGAGACCAGTTGAACCTGAGTAAGTAAGAGCTCAATCAGAAGAGATTAAACATCAGTCCTAACATCAGGACTCAAGGATGACTCAAAAGCATCCATTTTCGTCTGAACTGTGTCTTGCCAGAATTCATATATTGAACCTCTAACAGCTAATTTAACTGCATATGGAGATAGAACCTTTAAGGAGGTTAAATGAGGTCATGTGAGTGGGATCCTAATCCCACAGGATGGGTGTCTTTATAAGACATGGATGAGACTCCAGAGAGCTCTCTGTGTCATCAGAGAAAAAGGCCACAGAGGGACACAATGAGAAGATATCTACAAGCCAAAAAGTGTGGTCTCCCTAGAAACCAATCCTGGCAATACTTTGATCTTGGATTTCTAGCCTTCGGAAAAGTGGAAAAATTAATATCTGTTGCTTCAGGCATCCAGTCTGTGGTATTTTGTATGGCAGCCCTGGTAAACTAATACACCAACCTCTAAAAATCTTTCTAAATTTTCTTTGCACCATATTTTGGAAATTTTCTTATTAGATAATGAAAGAAAATTTAATGACATTATAAATGATATATAAAATATGTAAGGGAAAAAGTTTGATAGGCATAACTCTGCATATAAACTTTGAATTGATTAGTTTATTTACACAAATCTGATTTAAACCAAAAGGGACTCCTTTTGTTTAAAAAAATGTTATTTTTAATTCGAACATTAGTTTTCCTTAAGAAATGAGTGTAAGTGATGTTAATAGCAATATTAAGATGAGCTCTAGATAAGATCTAAATAGATATTTGGCATAACTCAGTTGTAGTTTAGCAATTTAAACCATATCACCCAGTTTTTAACATCTGCAAGAAAAAAAAGTTATCCCAAAAGGATAAAAATATGCATGTGCCGTAGATTTATTAAAATAATAGTAATTATTTGCCATAAAAATTTATTATAGACTTTCTATAATTTTGGGATTGTGATATCTTATACTTTAGTATAAGCTTATGAATATATACTTCCTCTTAATCTTGTACCTTTATTGAGTTTGATATCTTTATAAATCCTTTATGTTAAATTTATAGTGTGATACTAAATTTCAGATTAATGTAATGGGTCTCAACATTTTCAGTCATTCTTATCAACAAGAAATAGGTTATAAATATTATCACATAGTAAATGGAATGGTGTTCTCTAGCACCATCTAGCTTACTTTTTGAGCAATTCACAGCAACAAAATTTAACAATTGGATAACAATTTTAGATAGTATAACTATGAAGGTCAATGAAGATAGGTCAAAATGATTAACAGTATTAATGCCATTTAAAAAATTACTACATGCACACTGTTGCTTTCTCATAGCATTAAGGGATTTGTCCTCTACTGCTGTCACTGCGTCTTAAAAAAATCATTTTCTATCTGCTAATTGCCAGAAATACTTCATTTAAAACTGTAGGAAGATCCACTTAATTGCCCTGAGTTGCGGATAAGCTTTAGAACTAATGTGTTTTTATATCAATAAAGATTGAGAGCACTATATAAAATAACTCATAATGTTCATCATCTTTATATCATGAAATACATGTCATTGGCATTGCCCTGATAGAAAAAGCTAAGCCATATAGAGAGCAGAGAATTCAAACTTACACTTAGTTTATGAAGACAGGTAGTCATAGGAAAATCACATCCAATGTTTGCCAAGTATCTTCTAGAAGAACGTATTTGAATTAATTTCTGTTTGTGATACACTAGCATATTTACTAGTAGTTTGCATTTAGGTGACATAATTTAAATTTATCAATTCTGATTGTGGGTGGCCACTTTTCATTTTATTCTACAATACCTTCACGTTGCTATTTAATCTCTAGTTGTTTCTAGCCCTGCAAATCTATTTAGGAAAAAACATAGAACTCTGATAAATGCAAAATATGTGCTAGTACAATGTATAAGAACACTTGATGAATGTTAGCCAGAAGAAAATATTAAAGCAAAAGGGATTTTGAAACCAACTTTGGTTGTAAGAAGCTAATAATATGGATATTCAAGCAAATATTTAAATATTTTGATACATTGTATTTATGAGAATGTAATTTGGCTACCTTATTTTCAGTGAATGCAATAAAGTATGTTTAAAATAATTCATCAGTACTAGAAGTTGTAAAATATTGTTAAATGAGTACATTTTTCCAATATTCTTTAAAAAAGAATCTCTTCCAGATATGGTTGGCTTGAGTTGAAACTTAAAGTGAAATTTAATGGAATTAGTCTGGTTACTCCAATTATATAAAATTCTAAAATATTAGAATAATTAATATTCAATCTTATCAATTCATTTGCTTATTAAACAAGTAATTACTTAATGAATATTATTTACCAGTCACTGTTTTACATGGCCAGGATTCATTTGTACTTAATGCAATTAAAGCACTTGATGTGGTGCTCTTAAAGAGCTTATATGTTAATATGGAGATACAGACAAATTATATATGTATACAGGTGCATGTGTATGTGTGTCATATGCGAGATAGCACTAAGCACTATGTAGGGAATTAAGTGACGTGGTAGTGATTTTCTTTTGAGATAGTGATTTTTAAAATTTCTTTAGATTGCATAGGCAGAAAGATGACATTTAAACAGAAATTTGAAATCATAGAAAAAGGAAGAGGTATATTCCAGGAAATCAGAATACCTATTTTGCAGACTCTTAAGTTCCTAAGAGTTTGTCATATTTCAAAATTACTGCTACAATTTGGGATCAGCATGGAAGGTAAGATAAAAGTGTGATGGGATCTATGGTTGGGGCCAGATCAAATAAGGCTTTCATAAAGAGGGTAAGGAGTTTTGACTTTCATTTCTCTCATCCTCCTTCTCATCTTCGTTTCTTCCTTCTTTTCTTCCTTCCTTTCTTTTTTTCTTTATTACGGTAAACCCTGTGAGAGATGGTGGTGGCTTTTATTAGGATGATAGGACATATGTAAGGACATGGTCAGAGTCCATATGTGTTTGAACATACTAAAATATATTTTCTGATTAAATAAGTTTGGGAGTGTGTGATTGAGAAAAGTGAAGTATCAAGGGCAGCACAATTAAATTAGGTTTGACAGTTGCTGCTAGTGTTTCCTTAAACATTTTAATGCTAGCGCTGCCTTTTACAAAACTGAGAAACAGGTGGAGGTTTAATTTAAGTGATGGCAGAATCAATATTTCTGTTTTGGCTTTTTCAGTTTTGAGATGTTTTTCTTGTTGAGCCGTCAAGTAAGTAATTATTGATAGGAGACTAGTGTTTGAACGGGAAGTCCCCGTAGAAAATACAGCTTTTGGAACTGTCTACATATTAATGCAATTTATGCTCTAGAAACAAACCTATAAGCCTTCTTAAAACATTTTCAATCACTGTTTTTATGTGACATGAAAAAGAGAAAATTCTAATTTCTATTTAATATTTTCCTATAAAAATAGCATATTGATTATTGGAAATTTAAAGCTAAGTAAGAAAAAAGCATAGGCCAACATGAATGAGCACAATAATTAGTATCTTGGTGTTATCTACAGATTTTCTATGCAGAAAACAAATTATAAAGGTGGAAACTTCATTGTATAACATGATTGCAACTAAAACATCACCAACCACATTTTTTTTCTTTAGTTAGGAAGTAACATTTTAAAATCTAACACTAGCTCCATTAAAGAACACATCTTTACCCCATTTATCATTTTAAAAATGTCTTTCCCCCATGCTATTAATTTTACAGGATTTCGGACTCAACACTCCAATAGATTACATAAGCAGAAGTGATATGTAGCTACAACGGCTCATGCTTAGCTAGATACAGAGTACAGAAAAAGCAGCACACAATGCAAAATACCCAGATTGCTGTCCTCATCCAAACATTTAGCATCTTCTCTGCTAGCCTGTTTTATAGGGAAGGATGCTGCTACTTCCCTATGCTTAATTTAATTTACAATATTTTGCTGATAACCAGGCTTTCATATTTCCCCTCATTATCATCTCAGCATCTGACTTTTTCATTTCTTGATCATTGCCCATAAGATTAAAAAGTCTATTCTGGAGCAAAGCCTTGTTTTTTGCCCTATGTTCTGCCAATGTGAAAACAGCTCCAGAGTCATATCTCATATTTATACAGAATGCCAAATCCCGTTCCTTTAATTGTCTCAGCTGGGGAGCTAAGAGTGCATAAAACAGCTGGTGGCAACTGAGTACATAGCAGATAGGTAGGGTAGACTCTCCTGCAAAGTGCAATGCTGTACTGAGTTTTCAGTTAGGGGTTCTTCCCTCTGGAGGAAACCAGCACAATTGGTCCTGTTAAAACTCATTTACTACACACAACCACCTACCAGATGGTAGCCTCTGACACCAGAATGTGCCTGAGGCAGAATTGTGGCTGTAAAGATGTACATGTAAATGTGATAGGGTAAGGAATTTTTTTTAGAAGCAACTGAGAAAGCATTTAGGAAACGGAGGCTTTAACTTCACCCTTCAGACCCAGTGGTGATGTTGCTGTGCTTTGCAGTTAGCAGAAAAACTGAGATGCCATTTTGCTCATTTGTACATATGTTAAAGATCTATTTTAGGTCTTCATTGTTTTTCTATGAATGTGCAACATGATTTTAAAAACAAAATGCCACAAAATATTGCATATTTTGTTCATAATGCAATCTTTTGTTTTGGGGTGGCTTCTATTTCTAAAGCTATGGATTAATGTCACTTTAAAGTTTAATGCTAGTAGAAAGTCACTTTTGGTTTGTCTATTATCTTTGTCCTCATAGTGTACACTTAAAGAATAGATAAATTCAAGCACTTACAGTCAATTAATTATCAAAAGGTGACCAAGAAGACACAATGGGGAAAGTTTCTCCAACAAAAATGAAAAAAATTTCTCCAACAAAATGGGAAAACTGAAAATCCAAAAGCAGAAGAATGAAACTTATACTATACACAAAAATCAACTAGAAGTAAATTAAAGATCTAAACTTAAGACCTGAAATTAATCCCCTAGAAGTAAACCTAAAGGAAAAGCTCCTTGACATTGGCCCTTGCAATGAAACTTTGGATATCACAACAAAAGCTCAGGCAATAAAAAGAAAAATTAACAAGTGGGACTACATCAACCTAAAAAGCTTCTGCACAGCAAAGGAAACAATCAGTAAAATGAGAAGGCAACATATGGATGAAGAGAAAGTATTTGCAAACCACGTATCTGATAAGGGGTTAATATCTATGATATAAAAAAACTTCACACACTCAATAGCAAAAAAAAAATGAGTCAAGGACCTAAGTGCCCAAGTACAGTGGCACCCATGTGTAACCCCAGCTACTCAAGAGGCTGAGGCAGGATAATTTGACCCTAGGAGTTTGAGGCCAGCCTGAATGACATAAAAACCCTATAACTTAAAAAAATAAAAAAGGCCAGGCACAGTAGCTCACGCCTGTAATCCCAGCACTTTGGAAGGCTGAGACAGGTGGATCATGAGGTCAGGATATCGAGACCATCCTGGCTAACACTGTGAAACCCTGTCTCTACTAAAAATACAAAAAAAATGAGCCAGGCATGGTGGTGGGCGCCTGTAGTCCCAGCTACTCAGGAGGCTCAGGCAGGAGGATGGCGTGAATCTGGGAGGCGGAGCTTGCAGTGAGCTGAGATCAGGCCACTGCACTCCAGCCTGGGCGACAGAGCAAGACTCCGTCTCAAATAAATAAATAAATAAATAAATAAATAAATACAAATAAATAATGAAAGAAAGAAAGAAAAGAAAAATTGAGCAAAGAACATGAGTAGACACATTTTCCCAAAGAAGACATAAAAATGGCCAAGTATATTGGTCCGGTCGTTGTGGGAAAGAGTATGAAGTTTCCTCAAAAAAAATTTAAAAATAGAACTACGATATCCTCCATCAATCTTTCTTCCGGTTATATACCCAAAGGAAATGAATTCAGTATGTCATAGTGACATCTGCGCTCTCATGTTCATTCACAATAACTAAGATGTGGAAACAACCTAAGTGACCATCAATAAATGACTAGATAAAGAAATTGTGCTGTATTGACCATGGAATATTATAGAGACTTTAAAAAGATTCATTTGCAGCAACATGGATGAGCCTGGAGAACATTATGCTAAGTGAAATAGTGAAATAAACCATGCACAGAGTAAAAAATACTGCATGATCTCATTTATGTGCTGAATCTAAAAAACATGAATATATAGAACTTGATAGTAAAGTAGTGGTTGTCAGAAGCAGGAAAGGATATGAAGTGGGAAGAAGTGGGAAATAGGGTACAGACTTTCAGTTCTGTAGGATGAATAAGTCTAGAAATCTAAGGTACAGCGTGGAGACGGTAGTTAATAATATTGTTTTGTAGAGCATTTGCTAAAGGATTAGATTTTAGGTGCTGTTACGACCAAAAGTAAAGGAAAATAAAATGTAGCTGTTAGGTGATGAATGTGTTAATTTGCTCGACTGTAGTAATCATTTCTCTTTATATATTTATTTCAAAACATTATGTATACCTTAAATACACACAATAAAAAACAATGAAAGGTCATATTTACTGTGCATCTATATTATTTTTGCTCATTTCTCTAGAGTCTATCTATATATGTTTTTTCTATTGGTTTAAAAATTAAATTCAAACTTGGATGAATCCCATGGGACATAAAAAGGTGGGAGGGTTAACAGAAATATCTTAGTGCTGCATTCCATTTTATCAAAAAATACTAATAATAATCCCACTCGATTGAGACTTATTTTTTATTTTGAAGGTCTTACTAGTATCATTGAAATTAAAGGTGAATCTCCACAAAATGTAACAGATTGCTTATTCATATAAAAAGATAACTATTTTGATTATTTTTAGAAGTTCCATAATCTGAAAGAGAATGAATTAAAATTAAAAGAATACTATAAACTTTTAAAGAATTCAAAATAACTATGCTGGGGAAACTGAATTGTTAAAAAAAAAGGTCTTCTGGTGAGTTGTATAATTTTTTAAAGATAGCTTTTGTTGTTGTTTCTGAAATATCAGAGTGTTGGAATTAGGACTCAAAAATTTTGATGGGTGATACAAGTCAATTTGTAATACAAGTTATTTGACAATTAGCTATACGTGTAATAATGTCATCTATTTATTTATTAAATGTATTGATGGTGTACTATATGCAGAACCTGTTGAAATTCTAAGGGTCTATTGCTAGGCCAATAAGCAAACAGTTAATTAAAAAGAATGTATGAATTATAGCTCTATGGCAGAAATGAAAAGCTGAATTAAATCGCTGAAAATTTTAAAAATAAAAAATAAAAATTTGCCTGAAAGTTTATGACTATTACATAATATGCATAATGGGGAAACAAGAGAACCAATTCTATAAAAACTTCACTGAGAAGCTCACATTCAGGGGACAGCAAAAACTTACCAATACAGAATAATATGAACAGAAAAAAATGACAATAGTCAAGTTCCTTCAATTCTCGGCAGCAAATTCATTTGATCTCGGATTGCATGGAAAGTATACATCCATCCATTTGCTTTTATTCAGAGATATTTCTGAGGGGAATTTTGCAAGACTGTTGTTCTGGAAATTAGCTTTCAGAGTTGCATATGCCAGAACGGCATTCTTGGAATTTGTTTTAAAGAGAATCCCGTTGAGATGTTAAAGAAATGCACAATATACACCAACACAAAGTTATTTTGAAATCAAATAATAAAAGATTTCTTCATGTATATTTTATATCCCTACTTAATAATAGAATAATTTATATTTTCACGGTATGTTTTTATTATGTCAGTTCAGATTATTCTATTTCTCATGTGATATCAGCCCAATTTCATACACTACACATTGGGGAAATAATAGGGAAAAGTGAAAACATAGTGTTTATAAGCTTGTGATAGTGTCTAGCTCAAAGGACAACTAGGCAGTTTCTCCTGCGTATTTACAGAAGGAACAAGTGGATTGTTGAATTATTTACTCATTTCTAGCCCACAAACTATATTCAATAATAGATAATGAGGGATGTCATAAAATTTTGTCACAGATAGAAAAGAGCAAACATATCAGAGTATGTATATATAAGCACATATAATAGCACTGTCTTATTTGTGACATATTACAGACGTGTTGTTAAAGTTGCATACTTTCTTTATATAGAAATTAACATATTTATGAAAATATATGAAACACTATCATGAGTACATAGTAATACTTATTTTTAATTATATGATGAACTTCTAAGAAATAATGTTGAATTAATTTTAAAATTAAGAAGAGAAATTGTTATTTGGAGATTTACTTTTCAACAAAAAGAGCTCTACTTCATATTAAAAGCAAAATAAACTTGTACTTCAAAATATTATTTCGGCATATATTAGCATCTTTATGTCTTTCTGTTTTTTCTTTCTAAATATACTCAACTAACTCAACAGTTACAGTGATTAATTAGTAGACTGAACTTAGGACACCTCAAGTATAGATAGTATTTATACTAACTGAACCCTGACATTGGATGGGCTTTATTTAAAAATAATGTTTGTTGATTTTACAAACTATTATATTTACTTCTATTTTGTTTTAATTTCTTTTAAAGTTTCTCTTTAATATTCTTTGATAAATTAACATAGGTAATAAGTCTAATATATTAATATAATATAAATAAAAGACCAAATACAATGAATAACTCTCTGTGGACCTTCCACAATTTAATAATATTAGTTTCCAAATTTGAAATACCAGCAAATCATGAAACATTTCTTCCACACAATTTATGATAAAAATATTAGTTTAAATTCAGTCACATTGTGATAAATATAACATGCAAGTACACTACATTTTTTTCTAATACTGATTAGTGTATCACAGAATCAAATTCATATTTGCATGTCACACTTTGAGTTTTTGAAAAAGAACACAGAAAGATTTTGTGGCTAAAAACAATTCCAGTTGATATATATTGAGATTTAACAGATTGCCAGTTCCTTAACTAACTATTGGCAGCACAACGAATTAGACAAAATTTAATATCTAACGATCCTAACTTGTTCAATTGACAGATCACATAAATCAATTTTATTATTTTATAAAGAAACAAACCAAAAGCTAGCAAGAACAGTCTTGGACAAACTTAACAGAGCCCATAAAACTTACAGGCAAGTATAGGAAAAGTGCCTTGACATAAAGCACAAGGGCCAGCAACAGTGGGAAAGATGTATAAGGGAGTATGATTTCTTACCACCACTAAGCTGGAAGGAGCAAGGGGATAATGTGATTGATGAAAATCAGGAAGGGGAGGCTAGGGAAAGTCATTTTCCAGTAGCTGTGGCCTTTACTCTGCCGCCACGAAGTGAACCTAAAGGAAATAAACAGAAGAAATTAATAACACATCCGTACACTCCTCCCTTCCTCAGATCTACTGCTTGACTTTACGTGTGACTTACACTAACTGGAAGCAAGGAAGCAATGGAGCCAAATAATATATACAAAACAGTCAACATCTAGAGGCAACGTATAGCATGGTGGAGAGTAATTCTGGACAGGCAAATGCATGATATCCACATTCTCCACCCTTTTGGCCCTCAGCATCTACTCCTTTTCTTTATTAAGGTGAAAACCTTGTACTCCCAATACAGTCTCTCATAATCTATTATGTAATCATAGGTGATATTAATTTGATTATACTTCTTCCTAAAACCTAAAATACTAGGTACGCAGTGTTCTTTATATAAGGTAGTGGGAAAGGGTTGGTAAAATGAAATAATTTATTAATGTAAAGCATACTACCATAGTCCTCTCTTTTATATTTAGTCATAAAGCCTAATATTCTAAACATGTTCAGCTTCTTCCTACTACATGTTCCCTTTAACTTCTGCAGGCATCTCAGCTGGACAGGGTCCTTTTGTTAGTGGAGAAACAAACGTTCACTTCTGCATTATGTAAGTCCTTGTGAGTCTTGTCTTGAGTTTCTGAAGGTGTTGTATTAGGATCATCGGAGAGGGACAACTAAAAAGCACCTCAGGGAGTTGCACTGGATAGAAAAAATTTTATTTTCCCTATTATGAGGCAGTGAGCCAATTTCTTCTAGAAAGTTAACAGAGCAACCTTCTCCTCTGCTACAGATTCAGTGGACGAAGAACCCAAAATGTGCAGGTTACAATCTCAGCTTCTAATTAATCAGACACGTGATTTGCTTCTCTCAGAGAAGCATTCATCCCTCATGCACTAGGACCTGAAAATCTTAAAACCCAAAGCAGAATTTCCTCCAGTGAATTGATAGTTGTAATTGTGTGATAATACAGTCACACCTCCTTCCCTTCATTTCCATATACTTCGTCTATGGCATAGATGCCATTATAAAGAGACTTTGGTTTAAGGAATATACCGTAACATGATAGAGAAACTCCAAAGTGTAGGTTCCTTAAATAAACTTTTATTTGGCTGTTTCACCATGTAAGCTGCTTCTAGGTGATGGAGTGTAGTGAAACCAGTGAATTGAGTGGTAATGAACCTATTTTATCTTGCAGTACAATCACGTTTGAATAAAGTTACATCTTTAAAACACAAATCTGAAAATAACTTTACTGTTTTTAAAGCATTCAGTAATTTTTCATTTCCTCTAAAATCTAGCCCCAAACTTATAATATAAAATACAAATGTAAGATCAGGCTTTAGACTTTCTGTTTTCTTTTATTGTCTACTAGCATTTTGTAGATTCTCAAAATATAGCTACATGAGACCACTTGCTATTTACATTTTTAATTTTTTGGACATTTGGCTATAGTCCTGCATTTCTGAAGATGCCTTATGTCACATTTGTACTTATCCAACACTCATTCTTCAAATTCGATTCAAAGGCTATTTCTTCTAAATTAGCTAGGCCTTTACAGCAATTTTATAATTTCTCCCATTCTGTATCTTTTAAAAAAATCTGCTGAAATCTCAATGAGAGCAATCAATATTACATGTACTGTACCGTTCTGCAACTCTGTTGCTCACTTCTGGGTTTAAGCTCCTTGAAGCCAGGGAACCATGGTACTGATACTTTTCAATCGTTATTTGTTGGATTTAAATTAGCGCAAATTTGTATGTTAAGAAAAACATGATAAAATCATAAATGATGGCCCATCATACTTTATTATTAAGGCTTTCAATTTGTTTTTCATCTTTTCTTCAGGGACCTATGTTATAAGCAGAGTACTTAAGTGGTGCTATTTGCATTTCTGATGTTGTATAATGCATATTTGATTATTCTCTGCTATCAACTTTTGCAGAAGTGGCTGCTCCAAGTAGAGAGGCAAAACATCTTCAAAGTCTCCTGCTGACTTAGCGAACACTGTAAATACTTTTGAATAGGTTACTGAGTACTTAGAACTTATTTGTTATCAATGATGATTAAATCAGCAAACATGTATTAAAATGTGGGTAAACCTACAGTTTAATAGGATAATAGCATCTTACTGTAAGAGTGTGGGATCATAACTACTTTCAGTGTTTTAAAGTATGTGTAACCACTTAGTTTTGTAATAAATTTTGCAAACTATGAAGGCATTAAAAATATGAAAACTATTTTTAAAACTCCAGATAATTGTTCAAAAATATTCATTTGTCTATATTTTCTGATTTTGTTACGTTACAAAATGTTCATTCAATAATTATGTGAAGCTGAAAACTGAAAATTTCAGTTTACAAAAGCACGCTGAAAATTCCCACTTATTTACAGTAGATACTAATAATTTGTTGGGAAATAATGCAAATTGGTTGGATATTGTAGTTTTATTAGCAATAAATAAGACGATAATGTCCACAAATTTAGGGTAAACAAAAAGTTTATTTTTTAGGATGATATTATGGCTTTGTGTAATTTTTATTACAGTTTAAACCTAATGTCTTATGTAATCATATCTTGGAATTAAATATGGAGGTGTATCAAATATTTGCTGTCACCTCAACTTTCACAGCATAATTAGTAGTGTAAATGTGCTGGAAATTAGAAAAATAGTTTGCTCATTCATTTGATTATTCATCAAACTTGTATTGCTTTTTTTACTCATTCAACAAATACTTAATGTATACTGACTATGCAGGAGCATTTGAAGAATTTCTGGGAACATAATGATAAACAAAACACTGATAGCCCTTCAAAATGCTTAATGATCATGGAGAATCTAAACAAAGTACTACAGATAGAGAATACCTACCTAGATGAATGAATGGATGGTTAGATACATACATACATACATACATACATACATAGTAAGTGTGTAGTTAAATAGATTAGTTAATGTGAAGAAAAACTGAAGATAAAATTAATGAGTATAACAGAAATATCTAATTGAGATTTGAGATTCAGATTAGGTATATTTGAAAAATGAAAAGCTATGAAAGGTAACCCAGTAACCAAAGAGAAGGGCATCCCAAAAAAAGGGAGGAATGCTTGCTTTGGTGTGATGAATACTTTATGGTGTTCAAGGAACTAGAATAAAAAAGTAGAACTAGTTTAATGAAGGGAAAAGTGGAAGCAAGAGAGACTAGATTTGAAAGTAAGGCAGGAATAGAAAATAGCAAAGAGGAAACATGTAGACTTTGTGAATTTGCCTAATTGGTATGGAAAATTATTGAATTGTTTGTATCATAGAAAGGTTGCAGTATTATGATTATTGAAAAATCACTCTACAGAGAAAATTTAGGGACCAAACTTTGGTGCTAAGAATGGAAGAAGGGAGACATGTAGAGGCTTCAGGTCATGCACAATGATGGTGGCTATACAAGGATGGTGACGGGGGCTAGGAAAAATAGTGGATATATGTGATATTTATCCAAGACGTTAGATATGTATAAAATGGTAATATTTTGAATACCAAAGTAGGGAGGAAATTGACAGATAAGATTATTCAAAGATAATCAATCCCCTAGCTTTTAGGAAGAACCAACTTGTTAGATGAAATAAAATTTATTGAAATGAAGAGACACAGGGAGTCTAAACACAGACTAAATTGCTTCACTAAGTTGTTAGGAGCTAGGTTGTAGGACTGGAATGGGGAAGCGGCAGGATGGGAGATGAGTCATTCATTCAATTTTGAAGATATTAATCTTAAGGTGGCTAAGAACACAGGTACAATGGACAATGCAATATTGCATTTGAATATATGGATCTGGATTGTTACAAATAGAAAATATAATTTTGATAGATGATACCAGATGGTTTAAAAGACTTGTAAATAAATTTATCTAGAGCTGGAGTTGACATGATAAAACAGAGTGTGGAAATGAGTTTGTCTAGTATTGATACAGCAGGTTGAATAGTTAGAGCTATGAAATGATAGAGAGGAAATATGTAATCTGATGAATATTAAGAAAAGAAAGTATTTCAAAAGAAATATTAATTCAATTGTGTGATGTCAAGCTAATTGACTAAATATGTTAAAAAATAATATTAACATCAAGATTACTGATATATTTGTTTATATTTCATGGAAAGACATATAATTTGCCTGCATGTGTTATGCCTAAAATTAAAACTAAGGAGGATTTAAAATATTAATAAGTTGCATCGCATCAATAGATTTTAAAAGAGAACCCTTAGAGAAAAATAAAATTGCATGTGAGTTTCCTTATAAAATGAAACTGATCTATAGCATTAATTAAATTTAGAAATTGTTTATGTTATAATCAGTCTCTACAGAATGTACAGCATTGCATGAACTTATGAAAAGAGAGTAATACATGGATTGTTATCAATGTTAAATAAGTATGGTATAATAACCTGTTGAATTTTAATGATATTTAGAGATAGTGAGGTTCAAAGTTAAAACTGGCATTAAATGGTTTATAACAGGTAAACTCCTGAAATTCTTCAATGTATAAAATTAGAGTCAAATTTGTTAAAGATAAAGCCTTAATGACATTCAGAACAAAAGAAATATCCTTTGATCCATAACCACTCCATGTTTTGCTTGAAATGCATTTATGTTTAATAGCAATTACTTGAATCAAAGCAAAATTAATCCTCATTTCATCTGTAGTTAAAAAGCACCTGCGTGGCTTTTACAAATTCAAAGATCGAGATATATAGAATTCTGTTTCCTACCTACTCCATTATTTCAGGATTCCCTAGAAAAGCTCCAGTCTTACGAAAGCAGCTGCTTGTATTTAGCGATAATCCTCTGTACTATTAGTTTTGCCTTTTGGGATAGGAAATTGATTACCTGACCTTAACATAGTGAAGACTCTGTGTGTGTCTTTCTCTCTGCCTCAGACAGTAAATCAGTTATGTAAACAGTGAAGAATAATTAAGAGTACAATGATGATTTTAGTTTTATTAGAAAAACTAAGACTTTCATTGGTTTGTTTTTATTTTCCCTAGCAGGTTACAAATTCACATGCTGCTGCCTTAAGTAATGCATTTTTGGGTGAGTTTTTGATAATTTGTAAGCACATTTATAAACACTGTAGCAAAGAGAGCTGATGGGAAGAGGGGTGACATTAAATAGGTTTACATATCATGATGCCTATATCATGATGTCCTTATTTCAATGGAAAAAGTGCTTTTCAGCTTGGAAACTCTTTCCATTCATAACCTCAACAAAACAGACCAAACACAAACAACAAACTGAACATTTTCTCTTCGTTATACTTGGTTAAAGTTCTTCATTAATCTATTAGTAATGAAGAATTAAAGTTAGTGTCAATGTTCCCTTGAATGCTTTAATTATTTGCAAAACAGAATTAACATTGTTCTCAAATCCAATCAGCAGTCAGTGATAATTTACAAATACTATTGTTTCTTGTCCTTACAGTAATTTATTGATGTCCCTTAAAACCTTATGAAAGAGTTTAACAGACCACTGAGAAAAATTTTATCACTCCAAAGCAGATAGGTAGTCCTTCCTGTAAGTGCTCACAGCCAACATAGGCAATGACTTAGTTACTTTCTGGATCATAAAGAAAATGCAAGTGAAAAAACAAAACTAAACAAAGAACCTCATGAAGGAAGGATTAAGATTGCGAATTCTCAGGGGTATGTGTAGAAAACAGACACTATACCGATTTTCTAAGACTGATACACGCACACACACACACACATACACACACACTGCCACGTTGTTTCACAATTTGTCTTTGAAAATGTGTGATTTTTATTCCCCAAGCTTACCTTTTCTTTAAAATGGTAGTCTTCCAAACTGTTTTTTTTTTTAAAGCCTTCCCTTTTCACTTGACATGGACCAGAAGCTCTATTTTCTCCTCTGTCATTTAGCCATTAGAAGCAGAGTCTAGTCTCCACAACACAAACGATATCCACAGAGCTTGTTAACCCTCTGGGTTCAGCAATCACTTTATTTTAGGTCTCTCTGTAGATCCCTCTCTCTTTCTAATTTGTTTAGGTATGCAACTGAAAGTATGTTTGCCTTAACCAACATTTGCTTTATACAAATATTACTAGTATTTATAAACCAAGGGTTTCAAAACATGTGGTTTGCCATATTGTTTAAAGCAGAAGTCAAATTATAAATAACATTATAGAATCATTCACACCATTTGTTAACATAAAATTTGTCTTGTTTCTTGGTGGGTTTTATTTCCTTTATTCCTTTTAGGATACATTTTTGTTTCTAAATGTTCTGAAGAATATTGGAGTTTTCACTGTTTTTTTTAATATCATAGATTTTTAAAATACATTAATCTCTTTATAATTTTGAATTTTATCATCCATTAACATTGGAAATCTCATTATTTGGCTAGGTTATCTTTAAAGTAATATTTTTCATTTCTCCATCAATATTTTATAAATTGTTTTTACATATATCTTATGGTTATGGTTATGGTTACGGTTGATGGAATATTTATTTTATTGTAATTTCCAATTAGTTACTGCAATTTTATGATTCAGTTTTTACTTTTTTATGCTTATTCTCTAGCCATAAAAATTATTTTTAAATACTTTTGATATACTATAGACAATAATATTTTCTGTAAATGATATTTTTATTTCTTTTTTTTAATACTTGTGATTCTCATTTCTCTTGGCTTACCTTATGGAATTAGCTATGGCTTCCAGTATAATGTAAAATGATTGGGATATAGCAATTTTTCTTTTTTTTTTTTTTCAGACGGGGTTTTGCTCTGTAACCTAGGTTGGAGTGCAGTAGGGCGATCTCGGCTCACTGCAATCTCTGCCTCCCATATTCAAGCAATTCCCCTGCCTCAGCCTCCTGAGTATCTCTGGGACTACAGGTGTGTGCCACCACTCCTGGCTAATTTTTTTTTTCTATTCTTGGTTTTCTGAGGTTCATTTATTTATTTATCAAGTATACTTTAGTAAAAGTTGTTTGACCTTGACTTTTATCTTTCTATATTTTATGTTTATTCAGTTAAAATAGTAGATTTTATTAATGGATATTTCAATATTTAGCCATTCTTGACTTCTTAGGAAACACAGTGTGAATTTGATGTTGGTGAATTTTAAGAAGGTTAAAAATTAACACTTCTGGTGCTTCATCTAAATAATTGGGCAAAAAATTTCTGTTTCTCGATTATGAATGCAGATCCAAGAAAACCAAATCCTCATTATTTTACTGAGAAACACTGCTTAGGACATAGTGGCTTATTTTTCATAGCCATGTGGATTTGCTAATTTTCCCAGAAAAAAATTAATCAAACTTCCTTTTGGGGACATATACACTGCTGGAAAATCTCAAGTAGTCCCATTAAGACTTTGTTGTGGAGATTTTTAAAATATGGAGGAGCTACTATCTTTGAATTTATCATGTTCTTTTACTAGACTTCTGATGTGCTTTTCTACTTCTAATATTGTCAGGCTTATTTATATATTTATATATTTTAAAACAAGCTGGAGTCTAATTCTAATTTAAGTTTGGTTTATCTAACAGGTTTTGATACACAGTACTTCACTAAAATTTATATCTAAATGTTTTAAAATAATTGTTGTGATTATTCTATACTCTTATTTTTGGCCATTTTATTTCAATTTTAATTAAATGATGATTTTTAGATTATATTTATCTTTCTATTTTGAGTTTATTTGCATGTAGGTCAGGTTACTGTGTCCTGGTGGTTAGCTATTTTTAAATATATATTCTACTTATTATTGAGAATAACATTTATTATTTATTTGTTGTATAGAGAAGTCACCCATTCACCAAATATATATTTATACATTACCTACTGTATGCCAGATTCTTTTCTAAGAACTAAGAATACAGAAGTCAATCAAACAGATGAAAATCCCTACTTAAATTAATTTTAGGGTAATACATAAGATTAAAGGAGCAAAATATAGTGTCTTAAATTATTATAAAGGAGAATATAAAATACAGCAAGATAGGGAAAAGTATAAAGAACTGTGAAGGGCCTGACTTTTATCCTCCTTTGCAAGCTAACATACTAGTTTTCCACAATATCATGGATTGAAGAGGTGAGACTACCAAGTAAGAGATAAATGACATTATTACTAATGGCATAAAAAGGAGCAAGAACATCAGCATATTTGCCTCAGTTATGCTTGATGCCAAGTCCCAGAGGGATAATGCTAATCATTGTAGCAAGATACCTGTGTATGCCTTTTGTTACATTACAGAAGAGAAACCCTGAGCATGAAAAATGAGTATTTCATAAGAGACAGTAAGAAACCTGTCATTTGTTCTGAATAAAATACAATGTCTATTTTCCAACACTGTCCAGTACACAAACACACTAGAGAAGACAGTCCAAAACAAGAGATCATCAGGGCCTTTGTTCACTAGACATACAGAATTGCAAAAGACTGAAGAGTCTCCTACAAATATTCGCTCCTCGTCCCTACATGATTTTGGCTTTAGTTGAATTGTCATGTGTAAAATGCTCTAGGACATTTTAATTTATCTGACCAACAGAGGCTGGGACAAATTTTGTTCCAATTGTCTCATACAGAATTTAATTATGGCTATCATCTGTAGGACTCCAAGCAGCAGGATAACTTCCCAAAGGGAAATTCATCAAGGAACTAACTTTAGCCTAATTATGGGGAAATTATCCTACTCATCATCCTGCTGATTTACTTGTTGTGCTTCCTCAAATATTTGCAAGTTTTTTGTGGCCACCTTTAATTAAGGTACATGTCACCATGGTTTTAGGAAGGAAGTGAATTAATCCTCGGAATTAATCCTCAAGGTTAATTCTAGGTAAGAAGCAAAGTCACAGAAGCACATGGTGTCCATAAAAAGAAAATATTGTTTACAATTGTTAGGGCCTTCCAAGTTGTACCTACAACTGCCAAGAGGAACATGGTGACAATGCCTACAATATGACCTTCCAGATGGATGGCAGATCTTGGGTCTCTCAACTCAGTTAAATAATTGAGAGTAGTTCTTGTTTTTAGAAAAAATGCCTAAGGGTAGTTATCCCAATCTGCAGAATTTGCCCATATCGACAGCCCAATGCCATTTATTCATCACATGAAATGGTTGAGAAAAGGCTATGAGAGTAACAGTGGAAAGGGCATCCAGAGGTATTGTCAGGCATTTGACGTGGAAGGTACAGGAGCCGGGGCCATCCTTTTCTGTTTCTGAAAGAATACTTCCTAAGGTTAAAGAAAAATGGAGGTGACAATATTTTAATACTCCCACATAAAACTTTTGTTTAGGTGTGAGAGAAACAAAGGCATTCTTATAAAACTTATAAAGACTAATTATGTTCCCCCTTTGGCCTGGAGTAGGGATACTTAGTGACCAGAATATTCAACAAGTGGTCATTATCCTTATGATCCTAGATCATCCCCATTCAAAAAAGCAATCCATGTGATTAAATTTGAATTAAGTTTGAAAACTCAGGCCAGCATGAAATTTATGTTAGAAGAGGGTGAGGTGGAGAAGAATTGTGCCTGGAAATAGCAGGTCAGAAAACCTAATTTTCTGATGAAATTTTCTATATGAAACCACTTACAGTTTTTATCCTGATGATTAACCAGAAAGTAGCAAATAGGTTAAGACCCATTTCTAGTAATAGTTGCATGTGTTGGTCAAACTGCATTACTAAGGTCCCTGGAGGAAATTAGGGAGTTAGAGTCAGAAATGTTTTTGAGTCAATTTTTGAGAAGGCTGCTCTAATGCTTAGCAAATTTAAATAATTGTGAATGATGCAGCCTGTGAAAAAAACATCAAGTCTTTTGATAATTTTGAGTGCTTATGAGTTAAAAGGCACACCATTGGCAGTTTGGAAATGGTAATGGAGATCAAAAACATAACACAGTTTAGTATTAAGGCCATAAAGGTGGAGTTAACTTATCAGAATGGAAAAAGAACACTAACTTGAAGTTTCAAAATATTGGTGTAACACCACTGACAGCCTCAAGAGGGAGTCAAAGTTTTAGGCAGTCAATCTTCCGTGAAGGAGCACAGCTCATACCCCATGTTATGGGGCCTCCTTATTAAGAGATGAACAACTCAAATTCAGCAGAAGCTACGAGTTTGACATGTACTGATCACCTCTTCATAACAAACATGTAGTACTTTAATTTGTGCCTAATCTGTAATGGTGATGTATTGCTCATCTGGTACAAAAATGGTTGCAGGTAGATGGGGGCAATAAACCAGTGCAGGCCCTATAAGCAGATTGATTCTAGTGGGTATAATCAGAGAATGGGCTCTCACTGCTAGCTTCTATATGAGTGACCCAGAGAGTACAATCAGGAGTTGTGATTTCCTTCCACAGTTCATAGGCCCCAAAGTGAAATGCATTTAACATGCCAACCTACAGTTTCTGAAGCAAAAGACCAAAGAGCTAGGCCATTAGCAATATTCCATAGGTTAGTACAAGTATAACAAAATTCATCAAGGAGTGTATTGGGCAGTGCTATGAAAAAAAATTAGTCTTAAATCCTGCTCATTGAACGGAGAAAAAGAAAATCTCCATTCAGTTCTTCATGAATGGCACTGAGGTTAAAAAGTGTCACCAGCTCAGGGATCACCGTTGAGTTTCAGTTTAGCTGAAACATCAGTGGATCAGGTTGAAGCATTTAGGGGAACTTTTATGAATAGTGGACCCCATTTAGCTGGGAGATTTTTCTCCAGAGAGTAGAATGAGGATTTCAGTTCCCACAAAGAACTAGCTGCCACTTTTTTATATCAAGTGGTGATGGAGCGGGGCCCAGGAAAGCTGCATTTTTAAATATCCATTTACATTTGACAAGTGAGGTTTGTTGGGACCTTCCCACTTTGTTAGTCATAGAGCCTGAGTTGGCTTACCCCAAATTAACAGATTAAAGAGTCACAAGTTCTCGGGGAGTCAGACATTTTTTTTTTTTTTACAAGCGCCCAGTAGCAAGCTCATAGCTATTTATAAAACACAGTTTACATGGTAATCATGCTAGAGAAATGAAAGGTCTAAAACCCAAAGAACCACCTTAGGTGGAGTATATCTTCCTTTGCCAGAGGATCCAATCAGCAAAATCATTAATCACACAGGCTTATAACTCAAGGTGTCATCAGGGTTGCATGTCCCCAACATTAGACTCCACAGCTTTCTGGATATTTTCCAGTGAAACCTGTTGATTTGGACCCCACTCAATAAATACTGATTTGTGAATTAACAAATATCCAAAAAAATCCAAGGATGCCCAAGTGATGCACTTAGTGTCTTCAATACTTGAGTTCCATATGGTTCTGGGCCTCCCTTTTTACCTGTGGGGAGTTGAGGGGATGGCAGTTTTTCCTTGACTGCCAGAGGAATAGAGCATTGTAAGGCTTCCCACATAATCCAAAGAAAATTTATTTGGTGAACAGGCCCCTGAATTTTTGTCAGAAACTATAACCTACCTCTGCTGGCAGAGGTTTGATAACAAACTAATCAGGGTTGATGAAACTGAGGCTTCTGACTTGGCAATTAGTAGGTCATCATCTATAAGTGAGATCTTCGGACAGCAGAGGTAGAGATACTAATGCTACATCCTTATTTAACAAAGGTGGTGGAAAGGGATTCCAAGAGAGTTTGTCTCCCTAACACTTTTCTACATTCAGCAATTCATTATCAAGAAAATAATCTCTGACACTTTGGGTACAAATATATAACTCATTGAATTTTATTATGCACTCAAATGTAGAAGCAACAGTAGTAGATTTGTGTGGTATAAAGGGCCTCCAACACAAGACCATGATAGGCTCCATCCTCCACTGTGAATTTGCCCAAAACCCATCCATTGAATTCATACACCTCTGCCCCATGGTACAAGGCAGGATTTTGACTTTGGTGCATGTGAGAAACAAACTCACTTGTCCAAACCCAAAGAATGGACTCAGGGGCCCAGAAAACAGTGAAAGTGAGACTTTTAATGATGGTCTTGCAAGATCAGGTGTCTGATGAGTAGGCACACCCAGCATAGTTTCAACAAGCAATTTATCCCCTAGTGTGCAGATCCGTTTCCCGGTTCCTCATAGGCTGAGTACTATGGGGTCACAATCTTTCCAGATGTCGCTTATTGATTGTTGGGTAGGGGCTTTAGGTGTTCTCTTTAGGGTTTTCTTGCTGCATTTTGTTGCAGCCCACAATGCATTGCAATCCTAGTTAGCTCAGGGGCTTTTCAAGTGGTATGACTTTTCAAGTGACTTATGACCTAAGAAGCTGGGCAGGCTGATAAGAACAGACAAAATGAGCTATTTTGCAGGCTTGAAACTTTTATCTTATACTAAACTTGTTTCGTTCAGGTGTGGTGGGGGTAGGGTGGGGAGGGGGAGACCCAAAAGGAGGCATCAGTTATCCATTCAGGGGCCTAGTACATCCTGTTTTTTCTGTAGTTTGCTGACCTAAGCCAATTCAAGGCACTTTGTCTTGAAAATGGACCACTGTATACATTATTTCCTTCAGTGCCTGACTCTAACAGAGGCATAGATATTTTATTTCTGCTTCTCTCCAGAGCTACTCAGTATATGCAAACAGGTGTGTATGATTTTCAGTCTTTGCTGTGGACACTGAGTCTTTGGCTCCAACTCTAATCATCTTCTTCCTTAAAGCATATTAGTTAAGGATAGAGGAAAAGAAAGAAGTCAGGAGTGCAGAGGAGAATAGTTTCTTAGTAGTAAGGCTTACAGTGGCATTTCAAAACTCCCTATTAACAAAGGCTAACAAAGAAAAAATTTTATGGGTCCACTTTCAGTATTACAGAGCATGGCAAAAATGGTAGATTTGGAGCAAAGAGACACGAAATAAATAACTAGCATGATCTAACCCACTGGCTACTCAACAGACATAGATAGCATTCTTCAAACCCAACAAGAAATAGCTATTCCTCTTTCAGGTGTAGATAGCTTCACCTTCTTCCAATAATAAGAAGGCTAATACTTTCAATAGTCGTTATATCCATCTCTAGTTATGTTAATTACTTCTCAATTTTTCTCATTGTACTACTGAACATAGATATGGTGCAGATAATAAAACTAAATTGTGAAGATCACTTCTAACAAATTGTATTTAAAATAAAAATTCACAGAAGTACAGAAAATAATAACATTTTATATGCATACACACATATAACAAGCAGAGAGAAAATATGAAAACTCTTAGGTTGTTATTACAATGTCAAGGTTAATATTTATGACATTTCTTCTACTATCCATTCCATATTTTTCTTGTCCAGGTTTTTCCCCTCGTGGAGTTACATAAATCCTTTTTGAATGGTCTGGCTTCTCAAAATTTTTCTCTTTGTTAGATACTATATTTTTCCATTAATCTGTACTATTGATAATATAAGTACAAAGAGGTACCTTCAGAGAATTTTCTGGTTTCCAGAGATATTCTTTCTTTTGGCTTGACTGATCTTCTACACAACATACCTATTTGCCATGGACACTTTGAATATTATTACATAGTTTGGAAAATAATGTCCAGTTGAGAGTGAAGCTTGCATTACAGCCTGGATTTGCTTCAGAGCCTTCTCTTGCTCTGGTTCCTGCTTGCAATTGGTAGTCTCATGAGTGACTTTGTGATGAGTTGAAGTCTCAAAAGTCTTACTGTATTATATTGACAGGTACAAAAACTTTTCTTGACTATAGAGATGGCATCTTAGTGTGCTTCAGACCACTGAAACCAAGCAACTTTATGTAGCTAACAGGCCCCTAAGGTTTTGTGGTATTTATTTTTCATTCCTTATTTCAAAGGATGGAAACTTCTTTTGTAAAGGACAATATAATAAATATTTTAACATCTGTTGTACAGAGTGGTGCTGCTGCAACTACTCTACTTTTGCAATATCAAAGTATCCATAGATAATATGGAAAGAAACGTGCTTGACTTTGTTCCAATGAAGTTTTATTTACAAAATATTTAGCCTGCAGGCTATAGTTTTCCAATCCCTCTTCTAGTTGGCATAGGTCATATTGAGGCACCCAAGTACTCTTGACTCTTTTTCTCCTAAAATTCAGTCAAAATGATGCAGTCGATAAGGAGCAACATAATGTTTTGTGGAATTCTGTAAAGTTTTGTAGACCATATTATGGCAGAGAGCATAGCCCTGAGGCAAAGTTGTGAAGTTGTACTATTGGTCTTACTAGGTAAAGGAAAACTGCTTCTAATAATCTTTGCATATTGATATGAAATACATATATATATATATATATATATGTATATTGGTTAGGTCAATAGTTGCATGCCAAGTGCCAGGGCCTGTGATGATTTGTCCAATAACAATACTATGTCCAGACAGCAGTTTCAACTGGAGTTAAAATCAGATTAACTTTGAAATAATCCATAGTTATTATCAACAGCCATCTGATTCTACACAGGCTAGAAAGATGACATTAAAGGAATTTAGTAAATGCCATCACCAACAATTTTTAAAAATATATTTATAATGGCAATTACCCTTGCAGTTCTACCTAGGATGACATTGCTTCTGTGGCATTAGACTTATTACTGATGTTATGAGTCTAATGGTAATAGTATGTGATTATGTTGCCCCTTACAAAGTATCTACTCCAGAAACACACAGACACACACACACACACACACAACTTTCACAAGCTTTTAAAGTACAGAAAGCAAGAAGGCAAGTCTGTGAAGAGAAACAAGAGGAAACAATACTTTCACTAGTAAGGAAAGCACAGAGTAATCCAGGAGTCCAAAATCTCTTCTTTTATCTGAGTCCAAAGTTTCCATTTCAAGTATTTCCAGTTTCAGAGTCCTCCTTTTTTCCCAATCCATACACTATTTGTCATATGAGAACTTGGCGAGGCTGTGAATTCAGTTGATGTTGTATTTTGCTGCACATATTAAATTTTGTGTTTGATTTTTAGCAATATTGGTTCTGTGGATACAAGAAATAACAGATTATTTTGTGGCTGCCATGGAAACTTTAGTTTTAGTTTTCAGACTGTAATGTAAACTGATAGTTACAGGCTTGAGCTTATCATTTTCTCTCTATAAACACTGTAGTGCAGTTAGAGGAATCCATATAATACCACAGTCAGATAGTTACCATCATCACTTCCATAACAGTCAAGTAGAATGGCCTCTTGGGCTCCCAAGGCACTTATTTCAGTTAGAAATTTATAACAACCAACTGCATGTAATAACTTAATAAATTAGACACCGCCACACGCTATGGATTGCTAGCTACTTAGTGATCATATGCAAGGAACACAGCGCTACACGGAAGCCCAATCCAATCCAGGAGAGACTGTCTCCTGGAATCTCCCTCAATGTCAATTCTGCATCAGTTAGATCTAGTTCAGAGAAAGAAAACACATTCGGAATTTGAAAAAGATAATTTTCATATAAGGAGTGTTTAACTAGACAAAAGTGATCGGCTACTAAAAGAGGTAAGAAAGTACACTAAGAAATCCAGAATTAGCAAATGCAAAATGAAGCAACTATCTGGAGACTAGTAAGAGTGGTGAAAACAGAGGATGCCTACCCAAAGATATTCAAATCTCTTTAAAGAAAGATTGACTCACACAGAAACAAACAAATAAACAAAACAATGATGTCAAAAGTTGCCTGAAAGTGTGGGCTAGAGCCATTCTGTAGAAGTCACCTACAATTGCCGCCAGGTATGAGCAGGCAGAGGTGATCTAGAAATGTGTTCACTGAGCTGAAAAGAGCTGATAGAAGGCACAGCCAGAGCTGCTATGGGAAGGATCTTTGGGTAGAGAAAGTTAACTCAGGCAGAGGCAGAAATAATCTATAGAGGCAGTTGCTTATGTAAGGAAGCTGCTGTCTGAAAGGTGGTAAAAATTCGTTTAAAGAAAAAGCCCATTGATGGGGAGAGTATGGTCTCCGACTGCAGAAAGAAATGTCCTCTACAAAGTATCATAGAGTTAGAGAGAGAAGAGCTTGAATGACAAATGTCATCAAAACATCCTTGGTGCAGAGAAAGGCTGTGAGCTCCAATGATATCGTTGGTGAAATATGATTAAAACAAAATCTCCTGGCACCCTAGAAAATCTCTTTATAAAAGTATGAGAAATAAACCTGTTTTGTTATTGAATAAGCATTAAAACAGAGTGTGATGGGCATCACAAGCAGTCATGAAAGAGATTAAGACAGAAATCTCACCTTTTCTTATAGCCAGGCGATATACTATATACATTTTCTCATGATAAATAAAAACTAGAATTGGGCAGCACCATTTCTTACAAATATTTCATCCTGAACCACCTGGTCATTGTGGTAGTTGCTTATTTTGCTAATTGCCTTTAAAAGAAAAAAAAAATAAATGTCTTGAGTTCTTATGATAGGAGATAGGTTTGCAATTTGGAGCCAGGTGCCAATTAAAGTCAGGCTTCTACGTCTCAGGAAACTGGGAGATAGGACTACTGTCTTCTGTGATGATTACATTTCAAGGCTTTGACCAGATTCCCAGGTCCCCAGGTTGCTTATTTATCCTTTTAAGTGACTTGCATACATTTCTAAGACACAAAGAACTTACAAGTTTTCTAAAGTGAAGTTTTCTATGAAAAGGGTGGAGGGGTGACACAAAAGTCTCTCTCTTTATTTTCAACAGAGAGAATTAAGTTTCTTATTTTAACTTTGTATTTGCTCTTACAATATGAGCACCAACAGGTCTAAGCAAACATGTTTTTTTTTTGTTGTTGTTGAAGCAGGACTAGAACCAGGAAAGCAAGGGACTTGCCTCTGTCTCTTTACGGCGTTACTCTAGCGCTTTCTTTTTCAAAGGCTAACCTTTTTTTGGAAAATTATTTTTAATAGCATATATATACTTCATGTAATTTTTAGGAATAAATGGGTTTGACTGCAAATATCCATATATCATTTTGTTGGCAAAGTGATATGAACTCTAATTCATGTGAACTTATATTCATTTCCTTAATTATTAAGCTTATATGAATAATATCAGGTTCAACTGTTGTTTAGAGGGAATATAAAATATACATATGAGTGAAGCAGGGTGGTCTAGGGTGGGTGATATTTAAGTGAGGTGTTCATGAATGTAAAAATGAAAAACAATGAAAAAATTAGTAATAACAATAAAAACTGACACACTTCAGGTGACATTTTTCCCATTACTTTTTATTCAGCTATGACCCTCATAGAATATGTCTGAAAGTGTTGTGTCTTTTTCAAATTCATTCACCTCAGTCTCAGGGGAATAATTTAAATTAAGATCCATAAAGTATAAAATAGTGTCTCTCATACTCATAAATAAATGAATATTAAGTACACTTACTTACCTTGGGATATCACTTCTCTCACCAAAATTTTAATTTTACTTACTAAAACTTTTACAACGAGTTTCAAAAATATCAGTTACATATATCCAGGAGAAAATACAAAAATGAAACAAAAACAAAACCTGGCCCGATTACTTAGTGTTAGAAAGAAGCTGGGGTTTTATTTAAAAACAAATATGAATCATCAATGTAATTCAAAGGCATTATTAAAAGCAGATGTAAACTTAGGCTTAAGTTATATAGTAATAGAATATAGATCCAGGGAGGAAAGAGTCTCAATATATAATTTGATGGTTAGAATTTATCTGGAGATGACAAAGAAAAGCCCACATACATACAGTCTTACTATAGTCCTGAATGCAGAGTTTATTAACAATGTTAATTGCAGATGGTAAGAAGACAAAAATATTTTTCACTGTATTCAAATACTCACTGTAAATCAGATGTCAATAAATACAGGCATGTCTCAAAGGTTACAATTGGAATGAAGAAGTTCCAAAAGTTTTCACTCACTCATGAAGTGAATGAAGTTAATGGGGATTTGCATTTAAAAACATAATAAATGAGATGTTTATTATTCTCTCAAATAACATTTGAAAAAATTATTTCTACCCAATATAAATTTGGTGTAATATATAAAACAACAATGGATGGAAAATAATTGTAGTAACAGTTTGTGCTTAAGTAAGGTGAATTGGCCATCTCACAGGTTCTTTTTTTTTTTTTTTTTAACCAACAGATGGGAGGTCATTTGCTGGCAAGAAAGAATACAAAATCTGCAATTCACAATTTCTACTCTCATAAGTTGACACCAATCCACCTTTGTTGAAAAAATTTCAGAACATTTTCAGTAAGTTAACCAGAGGGCCTTGATGGTTTCTTTTTAAGAACATCTCTACTCCAAGGCACACACGCATCCCACAGTCATTGACTTTATAATGGTTTTTTTTGACACCTACCATATCTTTCACCTAGATAGTATAGATTAACATTAGATTTCAGTTGTAGAGTTTATATATAAGCATTTTAATTTTTCATGTTTTTACCTGGTTTCTTTTTAGAGTATGTCAAATTTGATAAATATACATTTTGTCCATGTTTAAAATACACTGGCAAGGCTTAGACATACGAAATTTCTTTATCACTTTACAAGTTCTGTCATGTGTTTGTTTTTCTATTTGTAGTTTATCTGGGGAGATACGGATAACATTTATGATCTTTACTTGCTCATATGAGAATTGCTGCTGTTAAAATACCCTGAAAACAGCATTTCAAATTAAGCCAAAAATGATTTGCCCCATGCTGTTGTCATCTTGTGTGAGACTTAAACAAGAAACAACTGTGAAATAAAAGCTACTAGGAATGCCCAGAAAACTGAAGTGCAACATAAAGAAACTCAACCATGACTGGATAGTACATTTTCTTTCCCCATGCTTCTATTAAATGAAAAAAAGATGATAATGTGTGAAATAAAATTCCTAAAGACCACAAAACAGACAGATTTTAATTCTAAATATAGCAAAGATTTATAAAATGGCTCATTTCTCTAGTGTTTTGTTCATTATCTAAATGAGCAATGATGCACTGATGGTGTATTAAATGGTGATCCATTTTATGTGATATTTAAACATTTCAAGGAACGCTTTTTGAAATGTTTAATGTTTTAAAATATATTGAGTGTCAATATTAGAAGAATAGTTTCATACTTTGCTTGTTTCTATCAAAATTACTATACATTTATTGCTGGATCAAAGATGCTAATTTTTAGAACAATATTTTTCCAAATGTTTGACTACTGCAGTAGCCATTTTCTTTTCTTTTTTTTTCTTTTTTTCTTTTTTTCTTTCTTTTTTTTTAGAGACGGAGTCTCGCTCTGTCACCCAGGCTGGAGTGGCATGATCTCAGCTCATTGCAACCTCTGCCTCATGGGTTCTAGCAAATTCTCCTGCCTCAGCCTCCTGAGTAGCTGGGACTACAGGTGCACACTGCCACATCAGGCTAATTTTTTGTATTTTAGTAGAGACAGGATTTCTTCATGTTGCCCAGGTTGGTCTCAAACTCCTGAGCTCAGACAATCCACCCGCCTCCCAAAGTGCTAGGATTACAGGTGTGAGCCACCACTCACCACCAGTAGCTATTTTCTTGACAAGTTTTGCTCCATTTTTTAGGTTTTGCAGCTTCTGCCCTGGGATATTATTAATGTAGCACCTGATGGGGTAGAAAAACACCGAACATATTTCAAATCAACCACAATCAATTTCAAAGTATGAGTTATCTGAAGCAGTACAAAAACCATTATTTTGTGTAAAGTGATTTGTTCCATTTCCAAAAATTTTATATTTAATAGACTCAAACAAAGTTTGCAATTAAAACAGTACCGTTAATGAAGGTGTCATTTGAAACACCGATTATTAGGCATTGAAAAGTGTAACAATCTCCCGTATTTACTCTCACATCTGATCACATGTGTGTGCATTTTGGGTAGTGTAATATTATTTGAAGCTGTGTTTCAACTCAAAATTCATGTAATAATAGCCATGTGGAATAAATGTAGTTCAAAGTATTTCCGTAAAAACTCAATTTACTGTTACGCTGATATTTAATAGCCACCATATGATTTTTTTCTTGTGTAGGCCTTAGGAAATTTGACTCAAGATGCACTTGGCCTAATGGAGAATGAAATTTTGTCCTTATGAAAACTTTATTAATAAAGTAAGGAGGCACACTGAAAGACCTGCCTGAGATCTGACTGTTAGTACGTGACAAAGCCAAGATTAAAAAGTAAGTTTGTCTGGCTCCAAATGCTGTACTCTTTCTACTACCAGAGAATATTTTTTAAAGTTGATACTATAATCTTTTACAACATGTAGCCAATTAAATATAAATCAGTAAAGCAATAAGTACAAAAATTAATATAAGGGACAGTTAGTCTATGTGAAGTAGAAGAGGAAGAAAGTTTTGGCAAAATTAATGTATTTACAAACACAATATTAGTCTCTCATAATCTTTAAGTGATCTTAAAATTTCCTTCTTATTTGTGTGTGTGGTTTCATTTTTATTCCAATGCTACAACAGGTATGGATTACAAGAGCTCTTCTTCCAAAGAGTGTTTGCAAATAAACTGAAACAAATTAATGATTTTAATATGTTTACATGCTAAAGTCTGTGTTAACCCATAGACTTTTTCCTAGACAATAAAAATTTTATTGCATTTTCAAGGTTAGAAGCCTTCAGAGAAGAAAAGTTTTCCATACGTAGCTTTTTACGATGATATCAGTTGATCTATATCTGATATCTATAACAAATATGCATTGTAGAAGGCAGATTCAATAAAGAAAATATTAGAACATGGGGAATAAATGGAAAACATTGATAATCAATCATGGTGCTCATTCTCACTAAGCCGGGACAAGACCTCAAAATCCTTCTCAAAAAGTGCTCCAGCCAGCCACTACCAATTGATCAGAGTTGGCATGTAAGTTGAAAACCTATTTACTATCCCTGCCCTCAATTCCATTCTCAACACTGCTGCCAGAATTGTCTTTCTAACATTTCATTCCCCTACCAAAATCCTTCAGTGACTTGACAGTGCCTTCAGGATGAAGTATAGACTCTTGAATATATCATAGAATGCCAGTGGAGTTTCTGCCTATCCCTTCTGCCTCAATGCCAAACCTACTTCCCCAAACTCACAATACAGAAACACACACACACACACACACATCCTAAAATGGACAAACACATACATGACAACACACATTTGGACTTACACTTGTAGATACAAACACAAACACACCTGTACCCAACTCAAATAATAGTAACAATAACAATAAAAAACTAGCAAAACTCTTCCATAACAGTTATATGTATTGTTTTGTTGTTTTCTTTTTCAGCCTCCCACTCCCCTTTCCACTTTTCAAATTGTGTAATTACTACTTAGGCATTCTAATATATCTCTTCCCTGACTACTCGGACTGATTTAGGTACTCAAAGTGTCCCTTTTCATTTCATTTTATTTGTTGTTAGAGACAGGGTCTTGCTTTGTCACCCAGGTTGGAGTGCAGTGGTGTGACCACAGATCACCACAGTCTTGAACTCCTGGGCTCCAGTGATTCTTCCACCTCAGCCTCCCAATTAGCTAGGAATACAGGTGCACACTACTAGCCTTGCTATTTTTTAATATTATTATTTTTTGGTAGAGATTGAATCTTGCTATGTTGCCCAGGAAGGTCTTGAACACCTGGTGTCAAGCAATGCTCAAGCCTAGGCCTCCCAAAGCACAGGGATTACAGGGGTGAACCACTATGTCCTGCCTTATTATTCTTTTGTGTTTAAAAATTATTAGCACTCTATGCACTCATATTGCCAACACTGGATTTTTAGTATTGGCTTAAGTATCTCTCTCCAGACAGACTGTATAGGCATAAAAATAAAGACAAGATAATTGCTTTCTTATTTTTTGATGTTCAGGATTTGCTTACTATAAACTAGGCATTCAACAATTTATTGTTTTATTAAGTGGAACACATTTAGTTTTACTATTTTATAATTAATATACTAATATGCATTTATCACATAATATGTGCTAGTTATAGTTATATATGCCATTAAACTTTGACAATATCCTTTGAAATAGGAACAATATTCCAATTTTAGAAGATGGGAAAACTGGATGTCTTTAGTCAATTTCTCCAGAAGGAGATTCTGAGATGAGGTTTGTTGCAAAAAGATTTAGCTAGAAAGTGCCCAAAGGAGAAACAAGTAGAGAGTGGAGAAAACAGGTTGGGAAAGGTAAAGAAACCAAGAGAGGGTATAATTTCAAGCTAAGTGTGGCCTTATCCCAGAGAGAAGCTGTGAAGTACAGATTATGCTTTATATTTTGTCCTGGAGAAAAATGAGCTAAACGTTCACCCTCCTGCCCCAATTACTCATTGATTAACAATACCCCAGACAGTTGTGAGTGTCCAGGCAAATCCTACTATCTACATGTGGCAAAAAAGCTTCACACTTGCAAATAGGAATCTTTTGAATGGCATCCTTGGTGCGGCAGTTTGAAATAAATAACACAGCTGGGGATGAAATGAACAAAAACAGTGAAAAGCATCTAGATCCAAGGGAGTTTGGGAGGAATACTACCATTGTCAGGTATAGGAGGTTAAATAATTTAACATAAATTCTCCCAAGTAGGCAGTAGAGCTGGTATTGAAACCCTGGGCATCTTATTCTCAATTCTGTGCTCTTAACTACTGTACAGTGCTGTTATCCCTTTTTAAACATTAATTTAGAACTTCAGTCCATCAGCCTGGTCTCTCTGCTCAATTGGCTAAACTCCCAGCTAAGATACATGCTTCACTCTAAAAATTGACTTTGAGGTTTGGCTCTGTGTCCCTACCCAAGTCTCATCTTGAATCATAATCCCTACATGTCAAGGGAGGGACCTGGTGGGAAGTGATTGGATCATGGGGGCAGTGCCCTCCATGCTGTTCTTGCGACAGTGAGTCTGTTGTCATGAGGACTGATGGTTTTATAACTGGCCCTCTCTCTCTCTCTCTTTCTTGCCTTGTTGCTTCTCCTTCTCCTTCCACCATGATTGTAAGCTTCCTGGGGCCTCTCCAGCCATGCAGAACTGTGAGTCAATGAAACCTCTTTCCTTTATAAATTACCCAGACTCAGGTATTTCTTTATAGCAGTGTGAAAATGAACTAATATAATGTCTGAATCTTGCTTTAAGGTTTATGTTTTACAAAAAAAAAAAAAAGTTACATATTAGAAAGAGAAGAGTACGGGTTTTGGGGTTAGATAGTTATGGTTTATAATCCTTGATCAACTTCGTATTAGTCCAGGTACTACAGAGAAACAGAACCAGTAGCACTTTTATATATGTAGAGAGAGAGAGATTTATTTTAACAAATTGGTTCATGAGATTATGGAGGCTGGCAAGACCAAAGTCTGTAATGCAGGCTGGGAGGCTAGAGATGCAGGAAGGAGCCACTGTTGTAGCTCAGGTTTGAAGGCCATCTGCTGGTAGAATTCCTTCTGTCTAGGGCAGGTTACTCTTTTGTTCTATTTAGGCCTTCAACTAATTGGATGAAGCCCAACCAAATTAAGGAGGACAATTTGTTTTGTTCATAATCTGCTGATTTAAATGTTAAAAACACCCTCACAGTAACATCCAGAATAATGCTTGATCAAATATCTGGGCACCATGGTCCAGTTGGGTTAGCACACAAAATTAGGCATCACACCCTTTTCTAATTACTTTGAGAAGCTTAGTAATCTCTCAAACTGAGCTTTTTCTTCTTTATTGCTTGCTTTTTAAATCTTCTTCCTGTTTTCAATAAAAACATTAGTTTGAGCCAAGAATTACATAAAATGGAATAAATAAAGCACATAGCAAAATAACTCTTTAAAGATAATTGGTGGTATTTGTGGAAACCACGTCTAATAATTTTTTAGAGTTTGTTGAGTGTGGAGTTTCAAAGTTTCATAAAGCAAGTGTTAGTAGTAGCTTGTTGGAATAATTGTAAAGGCACAGAGTGTACAAGTTTCCTTTTAACGCAGACATTTATTTGCCATCTTTGGAGGATAAAAATATAAAAAGTTAAGGACCTCAAAAAATAGTATTATGAATAAAATATTTTAATTTTCAGACAAATAAGAAGGTTCCTCTGCTAAAAATGACTGATTGATAAAAATCTAAGTTTCATGAATATATTAACTGTCTCAGAACCCTTAAAAAATTTTTATTGCAATTTTTTCAATGTGCCAAATTGTCTTTTGTTTGTTTGTTTGTTTTCTGGTGAAAAACTATGTTAGAAAAAAACTGAGTACCTTATATTACTCAGTAACTACTCCACCCAGAGGGGACAATACACAAATATTTGCTAATAAGTAAATGAAAGCCAACTAATCTACATTTACATGTTTATTCATTTATAGACCCTACTGGCAATATGAAATTGCCATAATGTCAATCAGATTACTTGCAATTTGATTAAAAAAAGCATAGTAAATGACAATAAAATCTCACATAAAATTCATAACTGACTATAAAACACAGAATTTATCACGTTGGTGGCTTCATTTAGATGGAATTCATGTGGGTAAAATTCAAATATCAAGACCATTAAAACCGAAATATAGTTATACGTTATTCTCTCCCTTTTATAAGAGCTTAGTAAATAGCATATACTTTCTATTTTTTTAGTTTGCTTTATAGAAAGTGTATATTTTTCATAGTCAGTTGTGACTACTAAAATTTGGTGTGTCTACAAATTATAATTACTACATAAATAGGGCTTATTGGGGTCTCTTATTTCATGTTCTGCTAATAAACCTGTTTGCAGCTCAAAGTTGCAAATCTCCTATGGCTCATGAACACTTGCTGATAGTTGGAATTACTGAAATTTTTAAGAAGGACATTTTTAAGTTTTCAATGCAAACTTGATTATTTTACCAATCAAGAGGGATTTCTGAGTACAGTTGTCTGCCATGACATTTTTGACCTCATAAACAGGGTTCAAGAGATAGTTCCACATTCTCAATGAGACAGCCCCCAAATCACAAACCCTAGAAGGATTAAAAAATGAAGCCCATGTTCTGGGACTAAGTCCACACCTACACAGTCTTTCCATCTTCTCATAGAAATGGGTCAAGAGGGAGCCTGCTTGCCCATAGTAACGTGGCAACTTCTCAGAATGCTGCTGCCATCTATAAAACTTGGACATACCCAATCTCCAATATTCCATTATTAGTCAAACTGTGTCCAATCCAAATCCCCAGACTCATAGTGATTCCTAATATCTCACAAACTAATCATCAGACAGATTTGTATGTCCCTTTTCTTTTTCTGTTTTTCTGTCTCTGTCTGAAATCAAGGTCCATCATAAAAATATTTTATGTCCCTGAAATTTTCTCTAAACATTTTTATTACCTTCTTTAGTAAAAAAATACCTGGCTCTCCCCTGAGATCTCTAGTTATTTGCCTTCAGTTTTCTGAGGAGGCACCTGTTTTCTCTACCACTGTCCACATAGGTAGTGTTGATAGCCTACTGATACCCATTCTTTGTCACTTTGAGGACACTTCCTCCTTTTATCTTAAAACCTCCAAGCATTGACTCATGTTTATTACTGATAACTGCACAACATTCATAACTGAATGCCATGCTCAGCCCTCTGTCTACCACCTCCTTCTAGTGCTCGATTGCTCACTTCTAACAACCCACGGTAGACGTTGATCCTACTGACTTGTACTGTTATTCATCCCCTTAATATATTATCTTCCATTTCTACCAAGAATAAATGTTATGGTCAATCATTGTACTCTTGCATACATAATGTTGGTGAGGATGTAGAAAGATTGGAACCATTGTACACTATTGGCAGGAAGGTAAAATGGTGCAGCAGCTATGGAAAACAGTATGCAGGATTCTCAAAAAATTAAATATAGAACTAGCATACAATCCAGAAATCTCATTTCTGAGCATATATTTAAAAAGTTGAAATCAGGATTTTAATGAAATATCTGTACTTCCATGTTAATTGCAGCAGTATCAAAGTAGCCAAGACAAAGAAACAACCTAAATGCCCTTCAACAGAGTAACGGATTTTAAAAATGTTGTATATACATGAAATGGAATATTATTTAACCTTTAAAAATTACATCTTACAGTATTCAACAACATGGATGAACTTAGAGGACACTATGCTAAATGAAATAAGACAGTCACATAAAAACAAATCTTGCATAATTCCACTATAAGAGCTCTCTAAAATAGTCAAACTGAGAAAGAGATAATAGAAATGGTTTTTGCCAGGGCCTAGGTAAAAGGGGAAATGGGGAATTGTTCCACTGGGATAAGGTATCAGTTATGAAAGTTGAATTATGTGCACTATACTGTACACATAATTTTTATTAGAGAGTGGATCTCATGTTAAGTGTTTTTGCTATAATTTTTAAAAAATTGCTTTCCAAAGCAGATATATACCTTGACATGAATTCATACAGTTTCATTTTATGTGCAGACATTCCAATTAGAATATACTATTGGTAAATCTTTGCTAATTCTGTAATTTGCAATATATTGCTTTATTAGACATTTTGTAATATAAAATTCTGGGCATAAAATCATATTTATTTTATAAAATAAATTAAATAGTTCCTCCTTATCTGTGGCTTTGCTTTCTGTGGTTTCAGTTACCCATGGTCAAATGCAGTGCAAAAATCATTAAATGAAAAATTCCAGAAATAAACAATTTGTAAGTTTTAAATTGCATACCATTCTGAGTAGCTTGATGAGATCTCATGCTGTCTTCCTAGACCATGTCTAGTACCTGAATTGTTCCTTATCCAGCATATCTGCGATAGGTATGCTACCTGCCCACTAGTCGCTTAGTAGCCACCTTGGTTATCAAATCATGAAACCATAGTATATAGGGAGTTCAGTACTATCCAATTTTCAGGCAGCCTCTGGGAGTCTTGGAACATATCCCCAGAGAATAAGGAGGAACTATTGTAATAGTAAAATGCTAAAAAATACTGAGCAAATTTTTATTTGTTTTATTTGTTTCTTTTCAATTTTTTTTTAATCAATGAGTTATTTCAAGAAGTGTTATGGGTTAAATTGTGCCCTTCAGAAATAATATGTTGAAGTCCTAAACTCCACTCCCTCGTTTGAAGACAGGGTCTTCACAGATTTAATCAAATTAAAATGAGGTCATTATGGTGGACCCTAATCCAATTTGACTAGCTTTCTTATAAAAAGGAGAATTTTGAAACCAGTGACAGACCTTCATAGAGGGAATATGTTGTGTAGAGACACAAAGAGAAGAAAGCCATCTAAAAGTCAAGGAGAAAGTCCCAGAACAAATCCTTTCCTGACAGCTCTCCGAAGGAACCAAGTATGCCAACACTTTGCTTTCAGTCTTCAAGACTCCACGACTGTGAGAAAATACATTTCTGCTGTTTAAGCCACCTGGTTTGTGCTACTTTGTTAGGGAGACCTAGTAAACTAATACTAACAACTACGTACTGTGGACAACAAGAATATGCTATGCTATGCTAGTTTAGTATGCCACCATCAAAAAGCTTGAGAATTTTTATATAAAGTGAGATATGAGGATCCAGTTTTATTTTCCTGCATGTGGCTAGCCAATTATCCCAGCACCATTTGTGGAATAGGGTGTCCTTTTTCCACTTTATGTTTTTGTTTGCTTTGTTGAAGATCAGTTGGCTGTAAGTATTTGGGTTTATTTCTGGGCTCTCTATTCTGTTCCATTGGTCTATGTGCCTATTTTTATACCAGTGTCATGCTGTTTTGGTGACTATGGCCATATAGGATATTTTGAAATCAGGTAATGTGATGCTTTCAGATTTGTTCTTTTTGCTTAGTCTTGCTTTGGCTATTAGAGCTCTTTTTTGGTTCCATATGAATTTTAGGATTGTTTTTTTCTAGTTCTGTGAAGAATGGTGGTGTGTTTTCATGGGAATTGGATTGAACTTGTAGATTGCTTTTGGCAATATGGTTATTTTCAGAGTATTGATTCTACCCTCCATGAGCATGGGATGTGTTTCCATTTGTTTGTGCCATCTGTAATTTCTTTCAGCAGAGTTTTGTGGTTTTCCTTGTAGAGGTCTTTCACCATCCTGGTTAGGTATATTCCTAAGTATTTAATTTAAATTTTTTTTTTATTTTGCAGCTATTGTAAAAGGAATTGAGTTCTTTATTTGATTCTCAACTTGGTCACTGTTGGTATATGGGATAGCTACTGATTTATGTACATTAATTTTGTATCCTGAAGCTTTGCTGAATTCTTTTATAATTTCTAGGAGCTTTTTTTGAGGAGTATTTAGGGTTTTCTGGGTATACAATCATATCATCAGCAAACAGTGCCAGTTTGACTTCCTCTTCACTGATTTGGATGTCTTTTAGTTCTGCCTCTTGTTTGATTGCTCTGGCTAGGACTTCTAGTACAATGTTGAATAGAAGTAAAGAGTGGTCATCCTTGTCATTTTTCAGTTTCAGAGGGAATGCTTTCAACTTTTATCCACTCAGTATTATGTTGGCTGTGGTTTTGTCACAGGTAGCTTTTATTACATTCAGGTATGCCTCTTGTATACCGATTTTGCTGATAGTTTTAATCATGAAGGGATGCTGGATTTTGTCAAATGCTTTATCTGCATCTTCTGAGATAATCATGTGACTTTTGTTTTTAATTATGCTTATGTGGTGTATCACATTTATTGACTTGCATATATTAAACCACCTCTGAATCCCTGGTATGAAATCCACTTTACCATGGTGGGTTATCTTTTTATTATTTTGTTATATTCGGTTAGTTAATATTTTATTAAGGATTTTTGCATCTATGTTCATCAGGGGTATTGGTCTGTTTTCTTTTTTGGTTATGTCCTTTCCTGGTTTTAGTTCTAGGGTGATACTGACTTCATATAATTATTTAGGGAGGATTCTCTGTTTCTCTATCTTCTGGAATAGTGTCAATAGGATTGGTACCAATTCTTCTTTGAATGTTTGCTGGAATTCAGCTGTGAATCCCACTGGTCCTGGACTGTTTCTGGCAATTTTTTTTATTACAATTTCCATCTCATTGCTTGTTATTGGTCTGTTCAGGGTATCTACTTCTTCCTGATTTAAGCTAAGAGGGTTATATCTTTCCAGGAATTTATCTGTCCACTCTAGGTTTTCTAGTTTATGTGCATAAAGGTGTTCATAGTGGCCTTGATTTTTTTTTAATATCTGTGATGTCTATTGTAATATCTCCCATTTTGTTTCTAATTGAGCTCTTTTGGATTGTCTCTCTTTTCTTGGTTAATCTTGCAAATGGTCTATCAATTTTATTTATCTTTTCAAAGAACCAGCTTTTTGTTTTACTTATATTTGTATTGATTTTTTTTGAAGAAACAAAATTTTCTTCTCTGCCAATTCTTGCATAAAAATTATCCCCATCTTCTTGGTTAAAGAATAGATGTATTTCGTCTTATATGAAAATTTTATGATATGGTCCTTACTGAGATCCTTAATCTATTTTACATCCACATATACAAACTTTAAAAAGATCTGTTTCCAGAAGAGAAATTATTTGCCTCCTTTTGCCCTTTAAAATACTCTTTATTTTTACTGGAAATATCTAGCTGTCTTGCTTCCACTTAGTTTTCATCTACTATCAAGTTTTCTTTACAATTTACTAGTCCTATATAGACAAACAATGTAGACCCCATTTCTATTGTCATAGTGTTTATATTACCATAGTTAAGTGAGACAGAATTAATAAACACACAAACAAAATCAAGCTTGTTTAACAAGCATAGATGGAGAGATCCAACAGATAATGATATTGAGTTTGAGGAGTTACCAATAAAAGTAAGGGTAGCTACAAAATAGTGAAATTAAGCTGGTTTACTTGGTAAATAAAGTGAATAAAATGATGGACTTATTTGATTAGATATTAATTAATTCAAAGGATTATGACTTTGAGGATCCCAGAGCACATGAGCAGGAATAATAGATGATGGCTCTCCAAAAGTGAGATATTTGAAATGGAGACTTTGGAGATGGTATTGTTATCAGTGATCATGAATTCTGTGGCTCTTCAAAAGTGAGATATTTGAAATAGAGACTTTGGAGGTGGTATCGTTAATAGTGATCATGAATTCTGTAGCTTGTCCTTTGGCATGGTAGTCAAGAGAGTGTAGAGGAAATGTTGGAACTGAAAAAAACAAACTCTTGTATGAATCCTCAACATTAATGTTGAAGACACTGAGAATGATATCATAGGTTTAGTGGAGAAGAGGATGAATACATAAGAGATTCTCAAGTTTTCAATATAAAGATTACAATGAATCAGAAGGTATGCATATTACAGCAGTGAGGAGAGGGCATGGAAATGGAGTTTGAAAGCATGAGCTTCAAGTATCACAATTTTACAGAATCAAGGTGAAGAATAACTGAAACTAAAAAGGATAACTTCTTCAACGTTGGCTGTGAGGTACATGGGATATAGGAGATTTTAAAATCTTCATCGCAAAAGTTTCAGGGGAAAACTAGGTTACAGTTAAGAAATACGGCCAATGAAAACATTTAAGGAAATGTGGAAGACAAGAAGAATTTAATTGATAATGAATCAACAGCTCTACAAAGCACAGTCAAAAGTTTTGGGGAGGACAGAGCTCACAAAAGAGAAAAAAGGTATTCAAGATTTCTGGCAGAGACAAAAATATGCAACTATGTAGGACATAATGAAACTAGTTTCAATATCCTTTTATAAAATCAAGGAAATTTAGTTCTAGAATCATATAATCAAACACATAGTATAGTGTTATAGCCACAGTTTCTCTCTTCACTATTATAAGTTGGTGGGGGGCGTTATAATGATTTGCTATCTGGTTCTTCCTAGAAACATATCGAAAAAAATCAAACACTTTCCATTTTCTGATTCACACTACGATTTTAATTTTTCTTTTATTTATTAACATGGATCAAATTATATCTCACATATAAGAAGTCATCTTTCATAAATAAGAAGTCTTTCCTTATTTTGGTAGACCTTGCAGTCATGATGCTTCCATAGTAAATGCATGCTGAAAATGAGAATCTGAATGGCCACAATTCTTTTACTTTGTCATTGTCTCTAATCCATGTACCTTGCCATTTATTCACCATTCATCAAGACATCTTCTATTCACTTCTCTCTATGACTCACTTAAATTTTATAATCCATCATCAAAACTGTAAAATCCTTTTCAACAAACTTATTACATGGGTGCAAATGTAATTTAGTTGAGGATTTTACAACTAATTTTAATTTAAAAAACCACAATTATCTTTGCACCAACCTAATAATTCTCTGGTATATTTAATAATTTCCTTGCCTATATAATTTCTTAGACTGCATCTTTCTTCAACTCAAGGACATTACTTCTTGATGGTTTTTATTCAGTACTAAGATGGCATTATCTGAATCTGTAGTTATATTATTTCATTAATGTTATAACTGAGCCTGATGATTTATTGATATAGTCAAGCAGTAAAAAATGTCTATATCAATGAGAAATGGTTTACTATAACAAGACAATGCTATAAGAACAGATTATCAGAGAAAAAATAAAACATCAATCCCTATCAATCTATCTATCTATCTATCCATATCTTAATTTGAAAATATACCAAAAAGTAGGCAGAGACATTAACTACAAACTAGTAGAGAAATAGCAGGTGCATTGCTAATATTCCCAGTTAACACTTAGCTATAAAAACCTAAGTAGCGAGTAATTTAGCTTCATATTACTGATGGTGTGTTTTTATTGTATTCTTACCACAATGCTAAAGAATAGTTTTATTAGAACCAAAATTAACTTATGAAAAGGCAGCTGGACTCAGTGGCTCATGCCTGTAATCCAGCACTTTTGGAGGCCGAGGCAGGCGGATCACAAGGTAAGGAGTTCAAGACCGGCCTGGCCAACGTGGTGAAACATTGTCTCCACTAAAAATACAAAAAATTATCTCGGCCTGGTGGCAGAGGCCTATAATCCCAGCTACTCAAGAAGCTGAAGCAGGAGAATTGCTTGAATACAGGAGGCAGAGGTGGCAGTGAATCGAGACCGTGCCACTGCACTCCAGCTTTATTTTAACTTTTATATTAAGTTCATCAGATTTGAGATGGTATATTCTATTTTGCATTTTAGTTTGTAGCTCAGGCTACAATGACTTTAAAATATAATGGTTATCACTGATTCAATGTTTATGTTCAATTACACAATGAAATACATTGTTGCCAAAATTTTAAGACAGAAAATGCAACTCAATCTCTCAGATGATGACAGAAATTCAGGCTAAAAGTTTGAATATGTTATTATTTTGGTCTTATAAAGAGAACACACACACACACACACATATATATATAAAGGTAATTTATATTATTGTTAGAAATTTATTTATGCTTGAATCTTTTTCTTTTCTACAATCTCCTCTGGGAAAACTGAAGAACAACTTTGTTGACATTGGGCAGATTCTTAGATAGCAAGTTTGAAATTTGTTATAGCATTTACCAATATTACTATAATGTGTGTGTCATGAATAATGAATATGGTGTCTTTCTATGTTATAGTGAAATAAGTGCATTATGGTTAACAAAAACCATGGTTTCTGGGGGCTGTAAGATGCCATGTTTATAAAATTCAGAGTTCAGGTTTAGTAAGACATTATATAACCCAATGTATGCATTATATACTGTTGTGCAAAAAAGTACCCCAAAATTTGACAGCTGAAAACAAAGACCTTCTATTATCTAACAGTTTCTGTAAGTTGGGATATTAGAAAAATTTATCTGTGTGGACTTAACTAAGGGACTTTCATATGGCTACAATCAAGATATCTCCTGGAAATGCAGTCATTTCAAGGCTCATGTAGAAGGGGAACTGCTTGCAAGCACACTCAAGCCTTGTTGAGCCTCAGGTCTCAGTGGCTGTTAGCTAGAGACAACTGTTTCTTACCATGTGGTCATATTCATAGGGATACAAACAATGTGGCACCTTGTATTTCCCAGAGCTAGGTGTCAGAGAGAGAGCGAGCGAGAGAGAGAGAGAGGCATAGAGAGACAGAGGTGAACAAAAGGGATCTCCAAAGATGGAAAACACACATCACTTCTGCCATATCCTGCTCACTAGCAGCAAGTGAAAAAGTACAGCCCACATTCAAGTGTAGGGAATTACAACATAAGAACACAAATGCCAGGAGTCAAGGTTCACTGAAGGCCATCCTAGAGCCTGCCTATCGGGGACTTCACTTTGATTTCCAATAAGTCATGTTTCTCTACTGTGCAGCATGCACTCTATCCCTTCCAAGGTGCCTCTAAATTATCATCTCATTATGGCATCTGTTCAAAGTCCACAATTTCATCATGTAAATCAGGTCCAGATCTAAAAAAAAAAAAACACAGATGTAGTTCCCTGAGTATAATACTGCAAGTGCAACTTCTTCAGACCTGTGAAAGTAGACAAATAATCAGCACCCCATCCCCACCCCAAGAAACACCAGCATATAATATTGGGGTAGACAAAGGATGTCTAAAGCTAGGGGCAAGAATAGGAGTAGGTGAGCATGCACTATAGACACCTTTGTTCCAAAAGGGGAGAATTGAGAGAACAAAGAGAGAAAGTAGCCCACAGAAATTCTGACTTATAAATGTTGATAGTTCTTGGATTCAGTTTCAAGATCTGAAAATAATTCTCCATGGTTGTAAACTCTGCCATCTGGGCTCTTGTTTCTAGCCTCTGCATCACCTTTCCGTTTTTAATAAAAAATAGCGTGCATCTGCTACTGAGTAGCTGTCTCAGCCTGCTGACTGCCAATAGAATTCCGGGGATCCAAAGATCTCTCATCATATTGTGCTGTCTCTGATTCTCTCAGTCCAAGCTGGGGATGTCTTTGTATCTCAAATCTCAAATAAAGATCTTAAACTTCTAACACATGAAAAAATGCTCACCATCACTGGCCATCAGAGAAATGCAAATCAAAACCACAATGAGATACCATCTCACGCCAGTTAGAATGGCAATCATTAAAAAGTCAGGAAACAACAGGTGCTGGAGAGGATGTGGAGAAATGGGAACACTTTTACACTGTTGGTGGGACTGTAAACTAGTTCAACCATTGTGGAAGTCAGTGTGGCGATACCTCAGGGATCTAGAACTAGAAATACCATTTGACCCAGCCATCCCATTACTGGGTATCTACCCAAAGGACTATAAATCATGCTGCTATAAAGACACATGCACATGCATGTTTAGTGTGGCACTATTCACAATAGCAAAGACTTGGAACCAATCCAAATGTCCAACAATGATAGACTGGATTAAGAAAATGTGGCACATATACACCATGGAATACTATGCAGCCATAAAAAATGATGAGTTCATGTCCTTTGTAGGGGCATGGATGAAATTGGAAATCATCATTCTCAGTAAACTATCACAAGGACAAAAAACCAAACACTGCATGTTCTCACTCATAGGTGGGAATTGAACAATGGGAACACATGGACACAGGAAGAGGAACATTACACTCTGGGGACTGTTGTGGGGTGGGGGGAGAGGGGAGGGATGGCATTAGGAGATATGCCTAATGCTAAATGACGAGTTAATGGGTGCAGCACACCAGCATGGCACATGTATACATATGTAACTAACCTGCACATTGTGCACATGTACCCTAAAACTTAAAGTATAATAATAATAAAAAATAAAAAATACAAAAATAAAAAAATGATAAAAAGGGAAAAAATGGAAAAAGAAGAGCAAACTAAACCTAAAGAAAGCAAATGGAAGAAAATAATAAATATTAGCATAGAAATCAAAAAGGGAGACAACAGAAAACAATAGAGAATATCAACAAATGAAAAGTTGGTTATTTAAAAAGATAAACAAAATCAGCAAATCTTTAGTTACACTGACTAAGCGAAAAAGGGAGCAGATGGAAATTACTAAAATTAGGAATGAAGTAAGAGGTATTATCAATGATGTTATAAAAGTAAAAAGAATTATAAAGGAACATTCCACTGTATATCAACAAATTAGATACTGTATTAGTCTGTTTTCACATTGCTATAAAGAAATACTCAAGACTGGGTAATTTATAAAGGAAAGAATTTTAATTGACTCGCAGTTCCACATGGCTGGGGAGGCCTTAGGAAACGTGCAATCATGGCAGAAGGTGAAGGGGAAGCAGGCACCTTCTTCACAAGGCAGCAGGAAAGAGAAGAAGGAAGGAGGAACCTTCCAAACACTTAATATAACCATCAGATCTCATGGAAACTCACACACTAATAATGAGAACAGCATGGGGGAAACCACTCTTATCATCCAGTCACCTCCCTCCCGGAACACGTGGGAGTTACAGGTCCCTCCCTTGACATGTTGGGATTACAATTCGGGATGATATTTGGATGGGGACACAGAGTCAAACCCTATTAGATAGCCTAGATAAATTAACAAATTTTACAAGCAAATTACTCAAGCTGAGTGCTATAGACTGAATGCATGTGTCTTCCCAACATTCGTGTCAAAGCCTAAATCCCTAATGTGATGGTATTTGGAGAAGGGATCTTTGGAAGGTAACTGGGTCATAAAGGTGGAGCTTTCATGAATGGGATTAGTGTCTTTCTACGAAGAGACAGGATAGAGAGAATACAGTGAGAAAACAGCCTTTTGAAAATGAGGGATAGTGCCCTCACCAGGGCAGGGTGAGGAATAGCACCCTCACCTAGCTCTTCAATACCTTGGTTTTAGATGTCCCAGAAACTCCAGAACTGTGAGAAAGAGATTTCAGTTGTTTAAGATACTCAGTCTATAATATTTTGTCATAGCATTCTGAACTCACTAATACACTGACTCAAGAAGAAATGGAAAATCTGAATAGACCTGTGAAAATAAAGATATTGAAGTAGTAATTTTAAAACATCACATGCAGAAAAGCCAGGCCTAGGGAGTTTCACTAGTGGATTCCACCAAACATTTTTAAAAGAATCATTAGTAATCCTTGGCAAACTTTTCCAAAATATAAAATAAGTAGAACTATTTCCCAATTCATTCTTTCACATGAATATTACCTTGAAAACCAAAACCAGACAATGGCAACCCCCACCCCAAAAAGAAAAAGATAAAAACAAACAAATAAAAAAAAACTAAACATCAATATTTCTTATGAAGCTATATAAAAATCCTCAATAAAATACTATTAAGCCAAATATTAAAATGTATAAAAGAATTGTACACCATAACCAAATAAGATTTCTTTCAGGAATGTAAGATTAATATCTGTCAGTAAATATAATATATTCTATCAAGTGAATATAAAGATGTTAACTGTGGGATTAAAAAGAAAGAGAAAATAAACAACAAAACCACACGATCATCTCAACAGATGCCAAAAATATATTTGACAAGTTTGAACACCCATTCATGACGCTGAACAAACTAGAAATAGAAGGAAAATTTCTCAACCTCAGTAAAGGTTTCTATGAAAAACCAACAGCTAATTCATGATTAAAATGAAATGCTTTCATCCTAAGATCTTTCATTTTCCATTTGTCCAATTTTGGTATGTGGAAATACAACTGATTTTACTATACTTATTTTTGCCCTTCAACTTTGTTGAATTCATTAATCGTCTGCCTTTGTCCCTTCCTCCCTCCCTTCCCTCCCTCCCTCCCTCCCTCCCTTCTGCCTGCCTTCCTGTCTTACTGCCTTCCTTCTTGATTCTTTAGAATTTTCTACATACAAGGTCATGTCAACGTAAATGGAGATAATGTTAATTCTTCTTTTCCAGTCTGGATCTCATGTATTTGTATTTTTTGCCCAGTTGCCCTGGTGAGAATCTCCACTACCCTGTTAAATAAAAGTAAACTTCTATTCAAAGAGGCTATCCTCCTCTTTTTTTGTGTTCTTAAGGTAAAGCATTCTGTCTCTCTGTTTATTTGTTTGCAATTTCTCAAATTGTTGAACATAGTTTACCATATGATATACCAAATGAGTAAAATTGTTGCAACAATTTTACTTCTATGTATTTTCTTGTCAGCAGAGAATTTTATGCATGCAGTATTTTGACTCCTGCTTGGCCACATAAGAATGGATTTTCGGCCTGAAATACTTCCTTACCAAGATAGATAGTCCACACAGATTGTGCTGAGTTTATCATCTTGTGTGGGAATATCTTTTCCTGTTTCAGACTCAGTGTGTACTTCTTTGTCCTGTTTATGTCCACCTGTCAATGGCCTTCAGGCACATCCCCAGATTTTCATATCTCAGACCACATGGGAGAGTGGTCTATTTCCTTCTACTTCATCACAAAGTAGGATGTGTGTAGCTGTGCTTCCTGTGTAGGCTGAAGAGTCAGTCTACTGACCCTGGGGGCCCAACAGCCTGCAAAGAGTCGGATCTTGTACACTCTCTCTCCTCTCTTACTCTAAGCCATGTTGTCTATTATCAGTGACCATAAATCATGTACTGGTTTCTACCCAGAGTGGCAGTTATCTGCCTTTTAACTATGGCTGCACTCATGTTATACTTTATCCTTCAGCACAGCCTGACCACTCGGTGAGCAGTAAAACAATTCCCAAGACAAAGGAAAACATGTCTCACAAAACTTGTAGGTGAGTGTTCGTAGCAGCATTGCTCATAACAGCCACGTAATATAAATGTATCAATTCCCCATCAAGTGATGAATGGGTAAATAATATTGTGAATATACATCCAATAGGATATCTTTCAACAATAAAAATAAATAAAGTATTGATACATACTACAATAGGGATGAGCACTCAATACATTATGATACATAAAAGAAGCCAGTCACAGAATATTTCATATGGTGCAATTTAATTTATATTAAATATCCAGAGTAGAAAAATCTATATAGAGAAAAAATAGATAAATAATTACCTAGAATTAGGTAGTTGGTTGGAATGGAGATTGACTGTTGGATATGGGGCTTTTATTTAGGGTCGTAAAAATGTCCCAGAAATGATTATGGTGATGGATGCACAACTCTGAGAATATAATAAACATCATTTAATTGTTTGTTATATAAGAGTGTTGTAGATATGTAAACTATATTTTTAAAGGTGTTATATAGGTTTATGTTTTGAAAAATAAAAAACTTACATCTGTTAATGACCACAAATATTTTAACTTCAATTTCTTTTTCTTGTTTGAAAATTAAACATTTTGAAACATTTTAAAAGTCTCAATTAATGTCAGGAAATGTATTGTGCCTGTGAGGAGAGAGAGATTATGGTAATAGCTATCCAATTTTACTAATGTAGGACAATGCCCTATACTGGTCATGATAGTAAAACATCCAGATATTTGAAGAAAAAGGGGGTATACCTCCTTTAGCACAATATTCTTTTTCTTCCTCTTCACCTGCATTGATTTATCTCTTTTGTGCAATCTCATGTCATGAGTTTCTTTCCCAAACAATAAACACTGATTTGTACTGAAGCTGCTCTCCTTCGCTGAAAACACAATAATCATGCTATGATTTGATTTCTCCTTCATTTCTTCTAACAAGGTAAATCTAAAGAGTTCTAGATCTGGACACCAAGGTGGGAGGCCAGGTTAGAAATACTTGCTCAAGGACTCCTGGAAGAGAAGGAAGGGCTTGAACACATAAATGTCATGATATATCCCAGAGCCCTAAACCATGGAATATGAGCCGAGAGGACCAAATAGGGAATTAAAATCAATAATTCTGTACACAAAAGTAGATTTATTTGTGAATATGTCTGCATTTAGATCGAAGACGGGAAGTAGTAGGAACATAATAATAATCACTATGCAACATCTGAGGAAATGTCAATTACGATATAATTGGAATACTAGAAAGTCAACTAAAATTAGATCTGGTTATGTAAGTCAACATTGACCACAGTCATTTATTTGAAAATGCTTACCATGTTTTTTAATTACTGCGTACAATGTCTAGAATTGTGAATATCAACATGTATCAGATTATAAATTTTATTGGAAGAAAAAGCATAGTTTATACATTTTACCCATTTTTGTTCAGGTTGTCATGATTTTCTATCCACTATTTAAAACTTAGAGTAACATTGTTTTTAGTGTTATATTTTTAACAACGGCCAAAATCTGAGTTGAATGGCGTATTTTTCCTATTAATGTGTGCTCATCCCTCTCTTAATTCACAGTTTTCAATAAAATTTCATGCCTTTTAAAATACGCAGTTTTATTGAATTGCATTGTTTCAGATAACCTGTTATTCAAAGCACTTCCTATTAAGCATAAATCTTTGTAACCTGGGTTGGCTTTCATATGAAAGAGTTCATTCATGCTACAAGAAATGATGTAGTACCACTGCATGTGATGTATTGTGTTAGATTCCACCGGTTGCTGGAAAAGACAAAGGCACTTCTCTGAGGTGAAAGACCTTGTACAATATAGTGCTTCATCTTTAAACCCTCTATTTCTTTGAGAAAACTCAATGCCTTATTTTAATTTTGTATAATGATTATCATTTTGACTGACAGCTTAGAGAAGGCCCAAGAAATATTATTAATAATAAAATGGTTTTGTCTTTATTCAGAAAGCAGGCTAAATGCTTTCTTATTGTTATTATGACAAAAATATAATGCTCAAAAGAGCAGTATGAATTGATTGCTATTATAAATCTCCATTTTAAAGATAAAATTACTAAGTTAATTTATGTTGATAAAATCGGTTCGAAATAAAGTTAGTGACTCAGCACTCAAAAAGACCACCAGTATGGTTAGAAATCCATATTCTTAACTATTATTCTAAACATTGCTGCTTGCAATGTTTTCTGCCTCCTTGTGTTCACTTGGTAGTTGCCACTTGTTTACTTACTGTGTTTTATTTTTAATGGCCATTTTAATTAATGTGTGTGTGTATATATCTCTCTCTATATATCTATGTATACATACACAAATTATATATATAATTATGTCAAATATTTGCATACACTTTTATATATTTTTCAAAATTAAGAATGCATAATTTCATTTTTGTTTCTTGTCCTTTTAAATATTTAGTCCAACCTGTCCTAGCATATATTTACCTGCAAAACATATAATGAAAACTCAAGTTCAATTACTATTACTTACTTCTTAAGTACTAAGATAATTGTAGCTTAACCGAATTTTTAAAATTCTCTACATCCAATTAATGTTTGGTAGTATTGTGTATGAGCATGTGAGGATGTATACACACATATGGGGTGGCGGTAGCGATGAACAAAGTTACACTCTCTCCTTCTGTTATATGTTTCTGTTCTCCAGTCCCTGGTTATCGTTGTTAGAAGCACACGGAGCTTGGTTCCTTCAGGGGTGATCTTTTAGGAATGATCTTGTGGAATTTGAAACCTGACTTATAAAGGAAAGGGAATATGTTGCAAAAGAAACAGATATAGGTAGAACACCACATATAGCCGACTATACACATTATTTTTCCAGAGACATAATTAGTTTAAGCAACCTCTCCATAACAGTAGCAGATAGCTTCTTTTAAAAATAGGGAACACTGTTGTTCTTTAAAAAGTATAAAGCTAACTTGGCTATACCTATAATTTTTGTCTTCTTTAATTCTTGTTTGATCATGTAATATTCTTTGGAAAAAAATTATTTTTTCCTGTGAGATTCCATTTCACTTTTCAATTATGCGGTAAATTTCTAACTAGGTAGTTAATGTAGTATCTGAATAGCAGTTCTGGTTCATAAAAGAGCTAGATAAAACCCAAAAATCTTCCTATGTCTGCTGCATAAATTATTCATTTTGAGGACTCAAGAAAGCAGAGAAAGTTGCTGGTAAGTGTTTTGTACTAATTATCAGAAGAACGATGATTGGAGAAAGCTTTCTAAAAATGTAGGATGCCATAACCTAAATCTTTTCATGGAGATAGTCCCTGGCAAAGCAAATGAATAATTGCAACAAAAAGAATGCAGGGAACAATGGGAAAAAATGGGAAGGCTAACATATGAAATAGAACAATTGGAAAGGGTGTGTGATTTTAGCATAAAGAAGGTGAGGAATAATAACAAAGCTAGAGAAAATTGTGAGACATTTGTAATATCATGGTTAAACAAAGTTAGGGAGCACGGAAATAAGTGAGAAATGCTGAAGGGTATGAGATATATTATGGCGATAATGGAATAAAACTGGAGGATTCAAAATTCAATGTGAATATGGTTATCTGTGATATTAAAACACTAGGAAAAGACTATATTAAACATAACACTGGTAAAAGAAGGATTATAAAAATGTATGCAAATATTGGCCAATATGTTTTAGAATAAAGAATGTGTATGATGGAGCTAATTACTTGCGAAGGTCATTTACACTATTCAACAAATGAATTCTAATTTACTCTTGAGGGTGTCTGGTAAATTTTTAGCTACTTATAGATTGTTATCATTACATGGTCATTTTTCTAAGTGATCACACCTAAATTAAGATTGAAAAGTTTACTTTTCAAGGAATTCATGTAATTTAAAATGGATTTCTTATTAAAAAAAGAAAGCATTTTTGTTGAGGCCATTCATCAGAAGTTACTTGATCAGACAAAGAAAATTGTCTTGGCCCTTCATAAAACATAAACCCAAGATTCTTTTTCCCAACCTTCCAGGATATGTCTAGCAACATGTAAAAAAAATAAATAAATAAATAAAAAATACAAGATAATCACTCTTCTTAAACCCGTACTTTTCTGGGTTTGATAGGCTGTACATTTTTCTCAGTATCTCCAAAATATATATCTGGAAGTAGAAGATTGGGTCCTCTTTTGAGAGATTTGAAAATTGTATAAGTATTGGGTTGATTCTACTCTGATGAAGCACTACAAAATACCTTATGGCAGCCACCGGATGTAATGGCCAAGTTAGCAGAGAAAAACAAAAAACAAAACAAACAAACAAAAAAAAAATGGGGAGTCTTCCTTTTTGAATCTTCACTGAAACCTCAGTTGTTTAATAGTGGTGCATATTTGCTTTATCAGAAAATCATCTCACTCATAAATATGCCATGGGAAAGGGCATACACAAAACACTATTATGCTATTTTAGAGTAACTTGTTCAGAATGACTTCATTTTCCGTATAATCACTAACACAGTTAATGTAGTACTATGTGAAACCAATCTGTGCTACATAAAAATGTAAAGTGGTTTGGCGAAATTCCATGACACTCACTAGCTATGAGGCAACCATCTGATGGATCTCTATTGTGCTTCTATCTGTATTTGAATTACCATTAAAGAAGAGAGAAGGCACAATTCAAAATTCACCTAGGGAATATATATATATATATATATATATATATATTTCACCTACATATTATATATATATAGGTGAATTTTGAATTCATATATATATAGGTCTCAATTTTGAATATATATATAGGTTTTATGTAAATATGAAACCTTTTATGAAAATGGTTTATCATTTACAATGCTATAAAATATAATGCTTGTCAGTCATATTATTATTTACTTTCATTCCTCTACTTCCCACATACATCAAAACTCCTTGCCTTTCATATCTCACTTCAAAATCCATCTCACGTCTTATTTCTACTTAATTTTAAAAAATGGCAGAAGAAGACGGTAGAAGATTAAATTTTAAAGAGTAAATGTTTATTCTTTGAAATAACATTTGCACTTGTGAAGATCATTTATGATTTTGGTTTACGAGTGTATTATTGGAAAGGAAGGCAATTTAGGACCAAATCAACTAGCTCAAAAGATTGCTTTTGCATATGCTTGGTCAAGTTTGATAAAAAACGTAGAACTCAGCCCTCATGACTCTAGACAGTAAACATTTATTGAAGTTAGACTATAAAACCTTTTCAAAGATCATATACATTAAATGCTCCATAGGACATTGTATCTACGGTCATTATTATTATGATTTCAGAATTAAAAATCAAATCTATTTGTGCTGTATTATCCCAAATATTTCTTGAGACTATCTGCTAAAAACAGTACTGTTTGGTTCCTGCTGCTTAATACATTGATTCCTATAAAATGTACTTTAATGTCAAATGGAAACTTTTGAAATTACCTCAGTGGAGAAGAGATCTATGACTATACTTGAGTATCAACACCTTATGGATATCAGTCTCTTGTTAAAATCCTCTGATTCTCCTTTACAGATGTTATTATGATTTCTGCATATACAACTCTCTGGCAATGAACTTATGTTACAGAGGAAAAGATTCCCAGGTTGAAAGTTAGCATTTGTAGCTTTACTGGAATATTTTTTTTTCTTTTCTTTTCTTTACTTAGCAAGCCATCTGTGTACTCTCATAATTATACCAGTAGCAGTGACATCTTTTAAATTTTGATTACTCATGGTTTTGCAATATGCTTAAAATGAAAGTGAAGAATATAAAGTGAAACTAGATAGAAAACTTAGAGAATAAAAACAACTAATTGAAGCATAAACCTAAAATTTAGACATGAAATAGCAACAGTGACTAAAAGTAAATGAAGGTTGTCATTGGAGAAGTTTGACAACTAATTTAAATTATGCAATCATAAATGATTTTATACAAATCTGGAGTCATCCTTATTCTCAAGGTGCCATTGAAGCTCTTTAATAAGAATCTGAGATGTGCACGAGATGACAGTTTGTAACAAATGTTACTGAAACAGTACACATTAAACACTCTCTCTGTTATCCTCACTGTCCTAATATAAAGATATCCAATCTCCATGTTAGATTGGGAACATATCCGGGTTAAGGTGAAGCTCATAGGAGATTATCTGGTTCTGGAAACTCAGCCAGTATTCAGCTTTGTGGTCCACAAATGTATAAGCGTGGCGCATATACTTGGAGTATGCGTGTTTCCATCGTGATTACTTGGCTTGTAGAGTAAGAATTCATGTTGTAGGAAGGCAACATGAAAGTTTATGATACTTCTCTCATCCTGGTCAAGATAGTAAACAAAGGTAATGTCTCAGGATAAATGGCAGTGATGATTGGCTCCTTATATATCCATCAGAGGCAGGATTCATGATAACCATTAGGACTCCATTTAATCCCTGTCTGTTGTCCCCAAAACCCAAGATGGATACTAGAAGATGACATAAGACTTCTGAAAAAATGAACAAATAGTAGTCCTAATTGCAGCTGTAATAACACATTTGCTAGAACAGAAGAACATGGACTCAAACATATGTAACAGGTCATTTATCAAACAAATGTGTTCTATAATATTTCACCAGGAACAAAGACCAGAAGCAATTTACATTAACAAAAGACAGTATATATTATAGTCCTGACTCAGGTTTATGTTAACTGCCCTATGCTCTGCAAAATATGGTTCAAAAGGATTTGAATGTCTGGAGAGTCTTACGACACCATGTTAATTGGCCAAAAGTGAAAAGTTCATTGGAAGGCTTTTCAAAAATTGTATGTTCTGGAGTATAAAAAATAAAAAAGATTCAGAGCACTGGCAATATAGCGAAACCTCATCTCTACACAATAAATTAAAAATTAGCTTGATGTGGTGGGACATTCCTGTAGTCCCACTAGCCAGGAGGTTGAGGAAGGTGGATTGTTGGAGCTCAGGTGTTCAGGGGTGCAATGAGCTATGATCGTATCACTTCATTCAAGCCTTGGCAACAGTGAAACCCCGTCTCTCCAACCCCTGTCTCCAAAAATAAGAGAGATTCATAAAGAGTCAAGATTTTGCCATATTAGTGAAATGTTACAGATGAGGCTAGTAGTTTAGGCCATGGCACACATTCACTTGAAGCAAAGAACCAACCAAATGCTGATAAGGATGCAGAAGAACCAGGAATATCATACACTGCAGTGGGGTATGCAAATAGGTACAACCACTCTCAAAAATGCCTTATGTTTCTTGTGAAGATAAATACTTTTACTTTATGACTCAGCAATCCCATTTATGACTTTTTTTTTTTTTTTTTGAGGCGGAGTTTCACTTTTGTTGCCCAGGCTGGAGTACAATGGCACGATCTCGGCTCACCACAACTTCCGCCTCCCAGGTTCAAGCAATTCTCCTGACTCAGCCTCCCGAGTAGCTGGGATTACAGGCACGCACCACCACTCCCGGCTAACTTTTGTATTTTCAGTAGAGACAGGGTTTCTCCATGTTGAGGCTGGTCTCAAACTCCTGACCTCAGGTGATCTGCCGGCCTTGGGCTCCCAAAGTGCTGGGATTACAGGCGTGAGCCACCGCGCCCTCCCCATTTATGAGTATTTAATGTAGAAAAATGAAAATTTATATTCACACAAATACCTGTATACAAATGTTTAGAACAACTGTATTCAAAACTGTAAAATATGCACTGCAAATTGCCCAAATGTTTTTCAATTGATGAAGAATAATCTACCTTTGATATAGCCATGCAATGGAACTTTTCTTGGCAATAAAACGAATTAAACTATTGATGCACTCGACTACTTGGATGAATATAAAAGACATTATCCTGAGTAAAAGAAGCCAGTTGCAAAAGGTTACATACTGTATGATTCTTTTATATGTCATTATCAATTTTAAGAAACCCGTAGTGATGGAGAACAGATAAGTGGTTGCTAAAGATTATGAATCAGGGAAAGAGATGAGAAATAGCATGAAGAAATTTGGGGTGGGTGATGGAATTTTTCTGTATCCTGATTTCAGTATTTCTTACACAAATGTTAAAATTCACAGAAATATATGCCAAAAATTCAAAATGATCATTTAAATTTTGTCTTAATAAAAAAGAACAGATTATTATACTTGACTCTAAGTATTTACAGCAACACCTGAAAGTTCTCTTTGACTTCTGGACACAGCATATTTCACAGAACATAATAAAACTGTTCTGATCTAGTTATAAATACAAAGTGACAAGCAAACTTGCTAACTTCCAGTTTTACCTATTACAGCAAGGGGCACTGTGCCAAGTCCATGTTGTGATACAAGCAACCATTCTACTTGGGCTATATACTCTGGCACACTCCAAAGGGTAAGATACATTCCAGTACATATAAGGTAAGATACCTCATAGTATTATAGCAAACCTCAATAGAAAAAAATAAAAATGACATCTTTTCCTCTGGGTAGATACCCAGTGGTGGGATTGCTGGATCAAATGGTGGTTCTACTTTTAGTTCTTTGAGGAATCGCCACACTGTTTTCCATAGTGGTTGCACTAGTTTACATTCCCACCAGCAGTGTAGAAGTGTTCCCTGATAACCACATCCATGCCAACATCTACTGTTTTTTGATTTTTTGATTATGGCCAGTCTTGCAGAAGTAAGATGATATCACATTGTGGTTTTGATTTGCATTTCCCTGATCGTTAGTTATGTTGGTCAATAATATTGTAAAGTCTTTACAAGACTTTACAATAAAAGTATAGGTACAAAAATACTCATGAACAAAATGCTCTTACGATTAGAGTTAGCTGCTCTCTTGTCAGTCTTCAACTTTTTTTTACATTATGTAAATTGGGATTTACATATGCCATTCTCACTCTGTAGGAAAACAAGTACCTGTTTTTCCATACATTCCATGGTAAATGTACAGAAATACCCCAGAATAAGTTTGCAGTACAGACAGTTCTGCAGTTTGGGATATGAAGTATAATATCAGTTGTCTGGCATGTACCAATTTGATTTTCATAGTATTTTTTTTCTTTCTTGTGAAATCCTGTCTCTACATAATATTATAAATTATTGTCCTTCATTTAAATTATGGAATGCATGGAGTCTGTAAGATTAGTGTCTCCTTTTTAACATCTGTCTATTTATATTCTTGTGGGCATGCCTTATTCAAACCTCTTCCTTCTAAATTGCATGCTAATGCAAACGATATCAATCACTCTCTATTGTTCTCTTGGTGACCCCACTTACATTTGGAGGTCCTATGTGTCCAACCACACTTTAATTATCAATTTATTTGCTACTGGTATGTCTCACAAGGCCTGTTTCTTCTGTGTTTTGTGAAAGGATTGACTGACAGCAAGATCAATGGCACATAGTAAATCAATTCTGTACTCTTTGTAAAATGTCCTTACTTAAGATTGAAACATTTCTTTAGTGACTCTCACAAATAGAAAATCTTGTTAGAAAGAAATCACTTTAACCTTTCTATTAGTTTTGGTTTTTGAAATTCATGAATAAAATTGCAATAATGTGGAATCTCCTCTGCTCTTTCCCAGTCTCTTAGTATCTGCTCCCTACCCTATCATGAAAAGAGACCTATATTTTTCTCTTTCAATAAAATAGAAAATATATAATTACAATTATTAGCCTGACATTTCTTTTAATTCCATTTCAAATTAAAATTATGGACTTTGTTAATAATTTAAGATAAAATGAAGCTTTAGGAGAAAATGAAATAAATGTTTTGTACATAAACTCATTTTATACAGACCAACTTCTAAAAGGATGTTTTAAAAAATTATTTAGTTGGGCCAGGCGCAGTGGTTCACCCCTGTAATCCCAGCACTTTGGGTGGCTGAGGCGGGCTGATAGTTTGAGCCAAGGAGTTCGAGACCAGACAGAGCAACACGGTGAAACCCTGTCTCTTAAAAAAAAAAAAAAAAAAAAAACTTTAGTCTGCCACAGTGGTGTGTGACTGCAGCCCTAGCTACTTGGGGAGCTGAGGCAGGAGGACCACTTGATACAGGGCTATCGAGGCTGCAGTGGGATGAGATCATGTCACTCCACTCCAGCCTGAGAGACAGAGCAAAACCCTGTCTCAAGAAAATAAAAAGAATTATTTAACTAATTAATGTTTGGATTAAAATCTGGCTTAATAAAAAGAAATGAAAAAACTTCTTTCTGGCCACATTATGAGATCATATTTTTAGTCACTTAGCTATTCATATTCAGCACTTAGGCAAAAAGAGAATAAAAGACATTTTTTCTCATAAAGACATCATTATTCCAATTTTGAGGGAAATAGACATGTGACGTGTACTTTAAATCTTGCCAATAAACAAAACAGATGTTTATCTCCAGTGCATAGAATGAACATGACGATTTGATTAGTCATAACTTGTGTTTAGATTATCGTCTCTTCACCGTGTTAAAGAGGGCAGAACTTCTGCCCTAGACTTAGGGGAGGCAGTGAAGGATGTTATGGCCATGCAGGGCCACATGGGAGTTGCAGCCTGCAACAGAGTGGACTGCCAGGAACTTTATAGTAACAAGAAGTTAGATGTTTCCCTGTCCCCTCAAAATATGATTGACTTTTTGGAATAATTCAGCAGGCTGGCAGAGAGCTGAGGCCCACTTTTTCATATATATATATATATATAAAATACTTTAAGTTCTAGGGTACATGTGCACAACCTGCAGGTTTGTTACATATGTATACATGTGCCATGTTGGTGTGCTGCACACATTAACTCGTCATTTACATTATTTATATCTCCTAATGCCATCCCTCCCCCCTCCTCCCACCCCACAACAGGCCCCCGTGTGTGATGTTCCCCTTCCTGTGACCAGGTGTTCTCATTGTTCAGTTCCCACCTATGAGAATTTCATATCCAGCCAAACTAAGCTTCGTAAGTGAAGGAGAAATAAAATCCTTTACAGACAAGCAAATGCTGAGAGATTTTGTCACCACCACGTCTACCCTCCAAGAGCTCCTGAAGGAAGCACTAAACATGGAAAGGAACAACCGGTACCAGCCACTGCAAAAACATGCCAAATTGTAAAGACCATCAATGCTAGGAAGAAACTGCATCAACTAACGAGCAAAATAACCAGCTAACATCATAATGACAGGATCAAATTCACACATAACAATATTAACCTTAAATGTAAATGGGCTAAATGCTCCAATTAAAAGACACAGACTGGCAAATTGGATAAAGAGTCAAGACCCATCAGTGTGCTATATTCAGGAGGCCCACTTTTTCACAGTGAACAGGCACTCTGCTTGGTCCTCATAAAAAGGAGGGTTGTTTGGCTCGGGTTCTTCATCCACAAGACTGCATGGGAGAGGTGAGCTTGCACCTAGGCCACCTCTCAAGGTTTCAGATGTCATAGTGGAAGATAACATTGAATCTTTCTGGCGTTATAACAGAACTTGTAATAGAGATACTTAGAGAGATAGAAGAAACATTGATTTTTTAAAAATAATTATGTATTTAAAAATAAATTATAGGAATTGTCTTATTAACTGAATATTTAGGAAATAGTGAGATTACACTTCTTGCCATCTAGTTTTTTAAACCTTGGATATTTGTTAGAATATTTTTGTGTATCTTAGATTTTATAACAATACTTTCTGGTTATTTGTCCACAATTTGGTTTAGCCTCAGTTGTATATATAAATAAATTTAAAGATTGCTACTCCTTCTTTTACCAGTGCTGGCATACTATGCAACTCTTCATTTAGATTAATATTTTCTTTTCCAGATGGTGTCATCTAGTTAAGTTGTTTTGTTTTGTTTTCTTCCAGTAGTATTTGTAAATGCTGTAATTCCTCAACTCTTGCCTGATTCACTTTGTATTAGTTTGGCTTCACGTTTTAAGTTGTAAATTTTCCTAAATGTGTAACATTAATTCTTCTTAACTCTCTTCTCTTTATATATTTTGTCATTAAGGCCATTTTTTGCTTTTATTTGTCTTAGTGGCAGATATCCTCAGTTCTTTCCCCTTACTCTAGTCCAAAGAGGCTGACCACTAGGCCTGCAACACAGCTTTCACTCCTGGTTTTTCCTGATTTTCCTTTCTTATTTCCTTTTCATTTTAAAATACCATTTCCAAACTCACATGTATTTTTCTTAAATTTTGATTTGCCTACTTTTATTCATCTACTTCATTGTCTCAAACTTTTCTCATTTTTACCTAAGAAGCCTTAGCATATTTTTTTCTAATTTCCTCCAATATGAAAATTTAATACTATACATATACTGTGTTTTAATTACAAGAAGAATATTTTTTTCTATCCCAAGAACTAATTTTTGCCCACTTGGGTATAGTATTGTCACATTAAAAAAGAATTATCTACTCTGTTATAGTGTGACAAATCTAATATTATCCTGAGCAAAGAAGAATGAAAGTCAATTCAAGTAACACAATTTTTTAAAAGAATTACACATTATAACTGTGTTTGTATTAAGCCTTAAAAATCTGTATTCTTTCTACTCCCAGAATTATTTTTAAAAAACTATTATTTAGGGATATACACAAATTAAACAGTACATTTAAAAAGGGAATGTGGAAAAGAAACACACAACTCAGAAAAAGATTGTGGAAAGGGGAGGAATATGTGATATTTGTAGCCAAGTGGACAGTTTCATAACTATTGGTAATGTTCTATTTCGTAATCTGGGAGATGGTTACATGATGTTTATATTGTTAATAATCTGTATGCCATCTAGTCTGCTATATTGTCAGAAAATGAAATTTCATTCACTCTGTAACTAACTTTCATCTGGCTTCTACCTCCTTCATTCTCCTGAGTTTGCTTAATTCCAAACTTGTTATTCAGCTACCACAAACACTTTGCTAAATTCCTAACACTTGGCTGAAGTATTAAGAGACTTACATACTGGTAAATATTTGCTGCTATGAGCTGTTGTGTTCCTACTCACTGTGTGGGCTGTCCAAGTCCTTTTTTCAACATATCAGACCTCCTCCAAATCTAGCACTTATTGGGATAATCCTTGGCATAGCAGGGGGCCTCCAAGACCCTGCCTTGGGACTAACACAGTATCTATTTTGATTGATATGTGATATTGCTAATCTGTTGTTAAGTATGCTAAATATTTCTTTGGCTTGTGTTCATGTCATCAGTTTTATCCATGAGGCTAAATTTTATGGGAAGTTGTATTTCCCTATCTAATCTGTTCTTTTAATAGTATTTGTTGAAAGTGGCTAGCCACCCCTCTGTCCTGAAGCTGTTTGCTTTCTAAGCTTCCATTACACCACACTCTTCTGTATTTTTCCATAAGGCCTTTCAGGAACTTCTTTTTCTTGATCTCCTATTACTTAGTTTCCTCATGACATACAATGATATTATTAACTATTTATCTACCATTCATAATATAAAAATGGCTACATTTCATTTTATTCATTCATTCACTCACTCATACAGTATTCATGAAATCATGTTTATTAATCTGCACTGGGTGCTGGACTAAACAAAACTGTCACTGCCTTTTTGGATCACAGACTGTAATGAGGGAGAAAGACAAATAACAATCTAATACAGATAAAAGTTGTGAAGGCTGCTGTAAAAGAAAAGATCTGGATGTTGGGAAAGACTAGTGGAAGAGGATAATTTTAGACAGCATAGTCAATGAAGAACTCCATTTAGAAATTATTATATAATGCATTCTTTCACTCAATTTATTTACTCCTGCATATATATGTCCTGACACTTATTGTCATGAGGTAACAAATGCATTCAGGCGATCTATTAAGTTATATATATATATATATATATATATATATATGTATATCCTTTTAAAAATGTTTACCTTTATTTGTTTCTTCCTGCTTGTCTCCCACCTTGGTTTAACTTTGGCCGCTATCATATAGCAACTGTTCACTTTTTTGTGTGTGCTTTTACAGTATCTATCTATCTATCTATCTATCTATCTATCTATCTATCTATCCATCTATCTATCTATATCAATCATATATATGTGTGTCTATCTCTCTAGTGCATTTAAAAATGATTGTATTACTTCTATGTATCTGAATATTGTTAAAAATTATTGTGGACAAATCACTCTAGCTAAAATCACATAATTCTAACCCATTCATTTTAAAAAATATGTAATATTCCATGAGACGAAAAAACATCAATCATTTCCCTCTTGATGGGCATTTGTTTCCTTTCCAGTTTTTGTGAATAGCAAAAAACTTGGCAAACATATTTATAATAAATTATATGCATTTTCAGTTTTATTTATTTTATGAGATCTATTTGGAAAGATTTTTGATGGATCAATGTGTATATGTCTTTGTGGCTTGGATATTGCCAGTGTTCTTTACAAAATGACTGGAACATGACATATGTATCAAACAGTAGGAGAAACTTCTCTGAATGTCCACATTGAAAGTCTTCTCTGGCCTTTTCTAACCTATTTTATCCCAAGGCAATAAATGTGGCTATACAAGCTTACTAAAGCAAAGTTTTTACAGTAATGGAATATGAAAATTCTTTGTTTTGTGTCTATGACATGTGTCTACTACATAAATCATATAACATATTTTCTCTGTAGATTAATTGATTAGTAATTTCTTTAACTCATAGTTTTTGATGTGATAAGAATTTAAATTTGTATGATGACTATATATAAAACAGGCCATACTGATGTTGATGAACAACTTATATTATTTCAAACTTCCACCAAGGAATAAGAAGAAATGATAGAGAAAATAAGACAGAAAAATTAAATGGTTTTCCACAATTGTCTTCATTTTTGTATTCCTAGGTACTCCAAATCAGAACAAAAATATTTCGTAAAATAACAAAACTTATTTTCCAAACTTTTGGTGGTTAAGAGAAAAGGTCAGCTTCTTTTGTAATTGTAGATTCAATAGTAGCTGAAATTAAGGAAAATGCTTTTTTATAACCTAGACATATGGCATAGATTAGAAAATGGATAGAAATGGGTTCTGATTGGCTGGCTAATATTCTAATGAGATAGATTAATCAATGTAAACCACATAGCTCAGTTGAAATTGCCTTTCTATATTGCCAATTTCATTTTCTTCCAGCAGAGAAAATGCCAATCTTTTCCTATGTAGTAAAATCTTCTTGTTATAACAAGTAAGCAACTCCAGAGTTACTGTTATTGTGGAACATCTGGTAACTACAAGATGTGGCTCCTCAGAGATAACTATATCGCTGGAAAATAAGAATGTCCTCAGCTGAGTCATATTTCATGTTTTGTTATACTCTAGAGTATGGTCGCCTCATAATACAGTAATCACTTTCCTTCAGCACCATAAATGAAACCACAGATGCTACAGTTTGCTATAATTGGAGCAGCTTACCACAAATAAATAATAAAAATAAAAATATATGCATAAACTATATGCCTGTTACAGAGGTTGAACTGAAAATATTACAAAGTGATTACCCAAATCAATGAGACAACATACTTCAAATAATAGGAAGATAACCAGCTAGATTCGTCTCCTGACCTCATTATTTTTATAAACTGTATAATTTACTTCAAACTTTATCCCAACAATGAAATTTCAAAAGATCTGGCAATGTAGCTTTAACAGAGTTATCTGCTTTTACATAGTTATCAACCAACTGATTTATAACTTCACATCACAACACTCTAATGTTCGACCATGTTTCTGGTTTTATAAATGTTAAATTTGTTACTTCTGTTCATTGTCTTCTATTTCTACAATCATTTCTTTTCCATATTTGATATATTTCTAAAATTTAATTAAATTTTATTTTGTTGATCTCAACATTAAAACAGATAAATGCAATTAATTCCGTAATTTGTTTAGAATATTTTTCTACAGCTCAAAATAAATATTTTTGTGCATTCTTTGGCTTATAAACCCTCGTTGGTTTTTTTTAGGCACATAAGGACATTGAAAGTAAAAGAGCAAGCAGATTAGATATCATGCATCAATGTTGAATTAATTTGCTGTGTTCTTCAGTAAAATTGTGTGTATGAATATTTAGAGTATAGACAATATCTGATTTGCCTTAACTCTAGAATATTTTAAATTAATAACTTGTGAAAACTAAAAAATCAAATAACACATGAAAACCTTTAAAAAATATTTAGGTAGTAATGTTCTATTTCTCACTGCAATCACCTTAACTTTACCCTTGGCTAGAATACATGAATAGCTTAAATGCCCTTCACTGAAGAAAGTCCGGAGCGAGACTTAAGTAGCAATAACATAGCAATAGAAATGTTTTCTCTGAATTTCCATTACTGTCAGAATCTTTTTAAAAATTTGAGTGATCGGTCATCAAAATATGAACAAGTGTCAGTATGTCATATATGTGTAATTGGTAATGATTTGGCACCAGTACTTAATTAGCAATATGTTCCTTTTGCAGCGGTACTTCTAAGCTGTATGTTGTGCTAATGTATTTGACTTGTTTTTCTTTTTTTTTCTTTGTTTAAAGGAGAATTATTCTGAGAGCTCAAGTCTTATAAAGTTGTAAGCCTCATCTTGAATGAGTTCCCAAGGACCTAAAAATGATCAGAACCACTGTGAACACGACATAGTTCATAGAGCTTTTCCTCTGATCTCTGCTGATTGGTAACCTTGGCAGCATGACTGTATGTTTATACAAAATTATAGTTGAGAAATAAATTTGAATAGCTTTAAATTTTGGAAAAGCACCATGCATTAATGATTTTATACTTTCCACAAGTCTAACTATTAGGCACAGTTCCCAGATGTAGCACAATTCTGCTTTTTTCTAATTTATTCTCTACTGAAAGTTTTCTATACTCCAACAGACAAATGACCAATTGCCCTTTGGATGTATTCCCAGCTGCATTTTTGTCTTAATATCTGTCTCTGTGGTAGATAGCAACTAGAATTTACATTTGATTTATTTTTCTGCATTTTGACTGTGCAGTAGCTGAATCACACTGAGTAAGTAACCTTCAAAATATTTTGGATAGAAAGATGATTTAATCTTTGATTTTCTATATTTAAATCTGGAACAAATTAATGTACTTACTCATTTTGGTTTTCTAATAATTTTGCCTTATTTTTTTCATTTTTAGAATTGTGTAATTTTATTAAGTCCAAATTAAATAAAGTATTTGAGGATCTGCAAAATCCAACATACACTCTAATTCAGTTCCAATTAAAATAGTGTTATTTTTATGCATGAAAAGGAACAGTGTGTTCATCTTAGTTACTTATCTATTAAGATTTGGTCTGTGTCATTAAGACTTCTTCAAAGCAAGGGTTGTAATTATTTCAACTGATGAAGCAGATGCCGCATTAAAAGAATGTGAAATTTGTGTCATTATTTTATTGACTCAGAGTTTATGAAGATTCAGCGAGTTATTGCACTGCTCACAAATGTCTTCTTCCTGCAGTTATGATAGACATCAATTAGCAAGGCCAGGACAAAGTAGAGCAAGTCATGATCATTTTAAATTAAAACATCCTAAATATTCTGCACTTAAAAATTCCAACTACAATCCAGGAGAATGATTTTGAGTCCAAAAGGTGACATCAGATTGTGCTGAGAATGAGGATTATGTATCGCCTGGTCTCTAGGGCCTCATCTGCCTTTTCTACCAGCTGATTAGTATAGACAGGTATTCAAGGAGGGAGAAAATGTAAAGTGAGCTTTATTTAAGTTTTAATGAAATCGTTTGCTTTTCCTAGCAGTTTTCTATCATATTAGCAATGTTTCTTCATAATGCATGAATATTAAATTTGCCTAATACAGAACAAAATTGTCTTATTAAGAACTCACATGTTATAATAGTGGGAAAGAGAACTAATGCAATACAGCACTAATTCAATTTGATGAAAGTTACTGATACAGAAAAGCAGCTTATTTTCCTAAGAGTATGTCAAAAATATTTATCATGCCTCACTTCAAAGAAATGCTCCTTTAAAAGCAGAAATGTTCTTTCTAGTTAATTGTATCACAAACTGAAAACTTAGAGATAAGAGAGAGAGACTAGCAGGTCTATCCTTAGCCCTAATTGAGAGGGTAGCTGTTTAATGATCTGAAGAGTACGTAAAAATGAGACATCTAAAGAATAAAGAGTCATGAAAAATGTTCAGTGGAGGGTTAACAATGAGAATGGGAAATATTTGGAAATAGAAAATGTGCTACCTCAAATAATAGAAGAAATTAAATGTAAGAATTCCAAAGACAAATTGGTTTCATAATTACACTAGAAGTTGGTTGTGAAAGTAGAGGTCATGGAAATGTACACATTCCTGTTGCTGCAGGATGCAAACTGGCCCCCACATTTTTCTTTTTCTATTTCTGTGATTACTTGGGTGGTGTCTGCATGAAGGATTCCATATGTGCCCTTTGTTGCTGACCTTTTATTTTATCTTAAACTGCAAAGTGATTCCAGCTAAATGAAAAGGTCTTATTCATGTGCTCACCCAAACTAAATGTCGTTTCTCATTCAAAGTTTGGCTGAGTATTTTATCCCTTTGCTAAAATCAGAATAGCTGTTCTAGTTTATACACAAGAATGGAGACTCTGAGTATTGACAAAGAGTCCAGTGGATTCTGTATGTGTTAAAAGTTGATATGACTTGGTAACAAAATATTAGCTGTAACTCCACCAAAAGTAACATGTTTCAGAATTAAAGCATACCGAAAATATATAGGATAATTATGTAAGCTAAAATTCACCTCTTTCAACCAATACACTTCCAGATGTATGAAATATTTATTCAATTTTTTACTATACATTTAAAACATTCACCACACCCCAGTTTCTAACTTTATATCATATTTCAACTTCCTTTCATTCTTGTACTCATACCTAAAGGCCCACTTTAAATATTAAATTGTTAACATATCATTTTGAAGCTCCAAGATCAAATTGTGTTCTCTATTTATAAATAACTTTATTAAGATACATGTCACTTCATGTTAAAGTTGTTTGTTTATGAGTATCTCTCTTTCATTAGATCATGGTTCTGTTTAGTTAACATATATTATTCACCATCTCTAATCAAAAGTATCTAGCAACATATCTGACATACAGTAAATGCTCATTAATTGCCTTAATGCTATTTTAATTGTCATTCAAGTTCTCATTCAAGCTGTTTTACCAGAAAACTGTCATTTTTAACATATTCTTCACTATTTTAAATATAAATACGTTATGCTAAAATAAAGTGGATTGTTTTTCTTTTAAATATCTTTCTCTTTACTTTTTTTCTGCTTCTGCTTATTGTATGTAATCCCCTTTTAACAATTCATAATTGCTTTCTACAATGCTTGGCTCAAAAGTAAATGGACCTAAAACTGCTATTCCTATTTAATTTTACATCTTTATGAATCTTGCAAAAGACTTAGTAAAGTGACTTGCACATGAAATTACTAATAAACATCTGCTTATTGAATAAAGGATTGGTCCATAATTGCTTATGGAGATTAGCATGTAATAAGCAATTTAAAGCAAAAAGCATGCAATAACAGCTGACATTTCATTTGTGTAGATTAATACCTATGTAAAGAAGAATTCCTTATTTAAGCATTCTGGACCCCAGGCAAATTTGAGTATATGTTAAACCCAGATAAAGAAAATCAACTTTTGGGTAGTATTGACTATTTTCTGACCTCAAAAATAGTCTTATGATTCACTACTGGTCATATGAATCTTATTGTTTCATTGTTTAAGTTTTCTGCACGCTTCCTAATGATAAAATAATAATTTATTAAGATAAATAAATGAAAATTTCACAGGGAAAACATTATTCCTTAAACAACGTGATGGGGAAAAATTGTCAAATATTTCATTTAGTTAAAATAATGAGTTAGGAAAGTGGATTTATTAGCAGTTTTCTATTTTAAATAAGAAAGATGACTCTCATTCATACTTACTAGGAATTATCCCTTGAATTATATTCTTCTTTCCTAATTTGAGGACCTTTTTCTTTCAGATTTTTTTTATTATACTTTAAGTTCTAGGTTATATGTGCAAAATGTGCAGGTTTGTTACACAGTATACATGTGCCATGTTGGTGTGCTGCACCCATTAGCTCGTCATTTACATTAGGTATTTATCCTAATGCTATCCCTCCCCCTTCCCCCCACCACACGACAGGGCCCAGTGTGTGATGTTCCCCACCCTGTGTCCAAGTGTTCTCATTGTTCAATTCCCACCTATGAGTGAGAACATGAGGTGTTTGGTATTCTGTCCTTGCAAAAGTATACTCAGAATGATGGTTTCCAGCTTCATCCATGTCCCTACAAAGGACATGAACTCATCCTTTTTCATGGCTGCATAGTATTCCATGGTGTATATGTGCCACATTTTCTTAATCCAGTCTATCACTGACGGACATTTGCGTTAGTTTCAAGTCTTTGCTGTTGTGACTAGTGCTGCAATAAACATACGTGTGCATGTGTCTTTATAGTTGCATGATTTATAATCCTTTGTGTATATACCCAGTAATGGGATCACTGGGTCAAATGGTATTTCTAGTTCTAGATCCTTGAGGAATCGCCACACTGTCTTCCACAATGGTTGAGCTAGTTTACAGTCCCACCAACAGTGTAAAAGTGTTCCTATTTCTCCACATCTTCTCCAGCACCTGTTGTTTCCTGACTTTTTAAGGATCACCATCCTAACTGGTGTAAGATGATATCTCATTGTGGTTTTGATTTGTATTTCTCTGATGATGAGTGATGATGAGCATTTTTTCATGTGTCTGTTGGCTGCATAAATGTCTTCTTTTGAAAAGTGTCTGTTTATATCCTTCACCCACTTGTTCATGGGGTTGTTTGATTTTTTCTTGTAAATTTGTTTAAGTTCTCTGTAGATTCTGGATATTAGCCCTTTGTGAGATGGGTAGATTGCAAAAGTTTTCTCCCATTCTGTAGGTTGCCTGTTCACTCTGATGGTAGTTTCTTTTGCTATGCAGAAGCTCTTTAGTTTAATTAGATCCCATTTGTCTATTTTGGCTTTTGTTGCCATTGCTTTTGGTGTTTTAGTCATGAAGTCCTTGCCCATGCCTATGTCCTGAATGGTATTGCCTAGGTTTTCTTCTAGGGTTTTTATGGTTTTAGTTCTAACATTTAAGTTTTTAATCCATCTTGAATTCATTTTTGTATAAGGTGTAAGGAAGGGATCCAGTTTCAGCTTTCTACATAAGGCTAGCAGTGTTCCAGTCACCATTTATTAAATAGGAAATCCTTTCCACATTTCTTGCTTTTGTCAGGTTTGTCAAAGATCAGGGGGTTGTAGACATGTGGTATTATTTCTGAGGGCTCTGTTCTGTTCCATTGGTATATATCTCTGTTTTGGTACCAGTACCATGCTGTTTTGGTTACTGTAGCCTTGTAGTATAGTTTGAAGTCAGGTAGCATAACGACTCCAGCTTTGTTCTTTTTGCTTAGGATTGTCTTGTTAATGCAGGCTCTTTTTTGGTTCCATATGAACTTTAAAGTAGTTTTATTTTTTTCCAATTCTGTGAAGAAAGTCATTGGTAGCTTGATGGGGATGGCATGAAATCTATAAATTACCTTGGGCAGTATGGCCATTTTCACAGTATTGATTCTTCCTATCCATGAGCCTGGAATGTGCTTCCATTTGTTTGTGTCTTCTTTTATTTCATTGAGCAGTGGTTTGTAGTTCTCCTTGAAGAGGTACTTCACATCCCCTGTAAGTTGGATTCCTAGGTATTTTATTCTCTTTGTAGCAATTGTGAATGGGAGTTCACTCATGATTTGGCTCTCTGTTTTTCTGTTATTGGTCTATAGGAATGCTTGTGATTTTTCACATTGATTTTGTATCCTGAGACTTTGCTGAAATTGCTTAAGGAGATTTCGAGCTGAGACGATGAGATTTTCTCAGTATACAATCATGTCATCTGCAAACAGGGACAATTTGACTTGTTTTCCTAATTGAATACCTTTATTTCTTTCTCCTGCCTGATTGCCCTGGCCAGAACTTCCAGCACTAGGTTGAATAAGAGTGGTGACAGAGGGAATCCCTGTCTTGTGCCAGTTTTCAAAGGGAATGCTTCCAGTTTTTTGCCATTCAGTATGATATTGGCTGTGGGTTTGTCATAAATAGCTCTTATTATTTTGAGATACGTCCCATCAATATCTGGTTTATTGAGAATTTTTACCATGAAGGAGTCTTGAATTTTGTCAAAGGGCTTTTCTGCATCTATTAAGATAATCGTGTGGTTTTTGTCTTTGGTTCTGTTTATGTGATGGATTATATTTACTGATTTAAGTATGTTGAACCAGCCTTGCATCCCTAGGATGAAGCCAACTTGATCATGGTGGATAAGCTTTTTGATGTGCTGCTGGAATTGGTTTGCCAGTAGTTTATTGAGGAGTTTCGCATCATTGTTCATCAGGGATGTTAGTCTAAAATTCTCTTTTTTTGTTGTGTCTCTGCCAGGCTTTGGTATCAGGATGATGCTGGCCTCATAAAATCAGTTAGGGAGGATTCCCTCTTTTTCTATTGATTGGCATAGTTTCCGAAGGAATGGTAACAGCTCCTCTTTGTACCTCTGGTAGAATTCCGCTGTGAATCTGTCTGGTCCTGGACTTTTTTTGGTTGGTAGGCTATTAATTATTGCCTCAATTTCAGAGCCTGTTATTGGTGTATTCAGGGATTCAACTTCTTCCTGGTTTAGTCTTGGGGGGGTGTATGTGTCCAGGAATTTGTCCATTTTTTCTAGATTTTCTAGTTTATTCGCATAGAGGTGTTTATAGTATTCTCTGATGGTAGTTTGTATTTCTGTGGGATCGGTGGTGACATTCCCCTTATCGTTTTTTAACGCTTCTATTTGAATCTTCTCTCTTCTCTTCTTTATTAGTCTTGCTAGCGGTCTCTCTATTTTGATTATCTTTTCAAAACACCAGCTCCTGGATTCTTTGATTTTTTTGAAGGGTTTTTTATGTCTCTATCTCCTTCAGTTCTGCTCTGATCTTAATTATTTCTTGCCTTCTGCTAGTTTTTGAATTTGTTTGCTCTTGCTTCTCTAGTTCTTTTAATTGTGATGCTAGGGTATCGATTTTAGATCTTTCCTGCTTTCTCTTGTGGGCATTTAGTGCTATAAATTTCCCTCTACACATTCTTTTAAATGTGTCCCAGAGATAATGTTACGTTGTATCTTTGTTCTCATTGGTTTCAAAGAACATCTTTATTTCTGCCTTTATTTCTTTATTTACCCAGTAGTCATTCTGGAGCAGGTTGTTCGGTTTCCATGTAGTTGTGCAGTTTTGAGTGAGTTTCTTAATCCTGAGTTCTAGTTTGACTGCACTGTGGTCTGAGAAACAGTTTGTTGTGATTCCTTTTCTTTTACATTTTACATTTGCTGAGGAGTGCTTTACTTCCAACTTTATGGTCAATTTTGGAATAAGTGTGATGCGGTGCTGAGAAGAATGTATATTCTGTTGACTTGGGGTGGCAAGTTCTGTAGATGTCTGTTAGGTCTGCTTGGTGCAAAGCTGAGTTCAAGTCCTGGATATCCTTGTTAACTTTCTGTCTCGTTGACCTGTCTAATGTTGACAGTGGGGTGTTAAAATCTCCCATTATTATTTTGTGGGAGTTTAAGTCTCTTTTTAGGTCTCCAAGGACTTGTTCTATGAATCTGGGTGCTCCTGTATTGTGTGCATATATATTTAGGATAGTTAGCTCTTCTTGTTGAATTTATCCCTTTACTATTATGTAATGGCCTACTTTGTCTCTTTTGATCTTTGTTGGTTTAAAGTCTGTTTTATAACAGAGTAGGATTACAACCCCTGCTTATTTTTGTTTTCCATTTGCTTGGTAGATCTTCCTCCATCCCTTTATTTTTAGCCTATGTGTGTCTCTGCACATGGGATGGGTCTCCTGAATATAGCACACTGATGGGTCTTGACTCTTTATCCAATTTGCCAGTCTGTGCCTTTCCACTGGGGCATTTAGCCCATTTACACTTAAGGTTAATATTGTTATGTGTGAATTTGATCCTGTCATTATGATGTTAGCTGGTTATTTTGCTCGTTAGTTGATGCAGTTTTTTCCTAGCATTGATGATCTTTACAATTTGGCATGTTTTTGCAGTGGCTGGTACCGGTTGTTCCTTTCCATGTTTAGTGCTTCCTTCAGGACCTCTTCTAGGGCAGACATGGTGGTGACAAAATCTCTCAGCATTTGCTTGTCTGTAAGGGATTTTATTTCTCCTTCACTTATGAAGCTTAGTTTGGCTGTATATGAAATTCTGGGTTGAAAATTCTTTCCTTTAAGAATGTTGAATATTGGCCCCCACTCCCTTCTGGCATGTAGGGTTTCTCCCAAGAGATCCACTGTTAGTCTAATGGGCTTCCCTTTGTGGGTAACTTGACCTTTCTCTCTGGCTGCCCTTAACACTTTTTCCTTCATTTCAACCTTGGTGAATCTGAAGATTATGTGTCTTGGGGTTGTTCTCCTCAAGGAGTATCTTTGTGGTGTTCTCTGTATTTCCTGAATTTGAATGTTGGCCTGCCTTCCACAGCTGGGGAAGTTCTCCTGGATAATATCCTGAAGAGTGTTTTCTAACTTGGTTCCATTCTCCCTGTCACTTTGAGGTACACCAATCAAACATAGATTTGGTCTTTTCACATAGTCCCATATTTCTTGGAGGCCTTGTTCATTTCTTTTTATTCTTTTTTCTCTAAACTTCTCACTTCATTTCATTCATTTCATCTTCAATCACTGGTACCCTTTCTTCCACTTGATCGAATCGGCTACTGAAGCTTGTGCATGTGTCACGTAGTTCTAGTGTCATGGTTTTCAGTTCCATCAGGTCATTTAAGGTCTTCTCTATGCTGTTTGTTCTAGTTAGCCATTCATCTAATCTTTTTTCAAGGTTTTTAGCTTCCTTGCGATGGGTTCGAACATCCTCCTTTAGCTCGGAGATGTTTGTTATTACCGACCTTCTGAAGCCTACTGCTGTGAACTTGTCAAAGTCCTTCTCAGTCCAGCTTTGTTCCGTTGCTGGCAAGGAGCTGCGATCCTTTGGAAGAGAAGAGGCGCTCTGGTTTTTAGAATTTTCAGCTTTTCTGCTCTGACTTCTCTCCGTCTTTGTGGTTTTATCTACTTTTGGTCTTTGATGTTGGTGACCTACAGATAGGGTTTTGGTGTGGATGTCGTTTTTGTTTATGTTGATGCTATTCCTTTCTGTTTGTTACTTTTCCTTCTAACAGTCAGGAACCTCAGCTGCAGGTCTTTTGGAGTTTGCTGGAGGTCCACTCCAGACCTGTTTGCCTGGGTATCACCAGTGGAGGCTGCAGAACAGCAAATATTGCAGAACAGCAAATATTGCTGCCTGATCCTTCCTCTAGAAGCTTCATCTCAGAAGGGCACCTGGCTGTGTAAGGCATCAGCTGGCCCCTACTGGAGGTGTCTCCCAGTTAGGCTACTCGGGGTCGGGGACCCACTTGAAGAGGCAGCCTGTCCATTCTCAGAGCTCAAACTCCATGCTGGGAGAACCACTGCTCTCTTCAGAGCTGTCAGATAGGGACGTTTAAGTCTGCAGAAGTTTCTGCTTTCTGCTGCCTTTTGTTCAGCTGTGCCCTGCTCCCAGAGGTGGAGTCTACAGAGGCAGGCAGGCCCCATTGAGCTGCAGTGGGCTCCACCCAGTTCGAGCTTCCTGGCAGCTTTATTTACCTAGTCAAGCCTCAGCAATGGTAGACGCCCCTCCCCCAGCCTTGGTGCAGAGTTCGACCTTGGACTGCTGTGCTAGAAGTGAGCAAGGATTCGTGGGACCGGGACCCCCCAAGCCAAGTGCAGATATAATCTCCTGGTTTGCCATTTGTTAAGACGTTTGGAAAAGCACAGTATTAAGGCGGGATTGTTTCAATATTCCGGGTACCCTGTATGGCTTCCCTTGGCTAGGAAAGGGAAATCCCGCGACCACTTGAGCTTCCTGGGTGAGGCGATGCCCCGCCCTGCTTCAGCTTGCCCTCCGTGGGCTGCACCCACTGTCCAACAAGTCTCAGTGAGATGAACCAGGTACCTCAGTTGGAAATGCAGAAATCACCCCTCTTCTGTGTCGATCACTCTGGGAGCTGTAGAACGGAGCTGTTCCTATGTGGCCATCTTGGAATGATCCCTCTAATTTGAGCATCTTTATCCACGTATTCTAAGATGAACAGCTTCCAATATTGAGAGTCTTTAAGTCTTGATGTACCAAAGAATAATTGATTTTACCCAGATGATTTTTTTTAATTAAACATTCTGATTTTTACTGTGACATGTGAAAATGAAGGGAGAAAAACTATCATTTGGTCTCTCATTGCTTTACCAACTCAAGAGCTTCCTATTATATTAAGTAATGCTCACCCTGGTCTCCATTTTTCCTAGTATGGCTAAAAGAGGAATTTTTAAAAATTGTGTTAAGGTTAAAGTGGCTTTCATTTAAAAATTCTAAGTCGACTCTTCTTTGGAAGATCTAGATTTCCTCTTTTTTATTTAAATTCTTTTTTTTTTTTTTTTTGCTGTTGTTAAACAGAACTCTAGGTCTTTCAAAGATGAATAGATTTTTATGTAGAGAATAAGATAATTATAAAATTATCTAATGAGCTAGAGGGGTAATATTCAAGAAAGGCCATGACTGCAACTGTGGTTCAGAATTTCAGGAAGTTGTTGCTGCTACTGTCAGAAGAAAAAAATCACACTGAAAGTTGAATAGAACTGGACAATTTTTCGAGACTATTATTCAAGACTTTGCACATAAGGGAGAGGCATTGAACTCAACTTCCCTGAAACAAAAGGCAGGTGGATAGTTAAATGCTGGGATTAGCTCATGGCAAAGTACTGTAGGACATTTAAGTTGGTCAATGTGATTAGGCCATCCCTGTTCGCTAATTGTTCCTCTTCAAAGTTAGGTTTCTACCCTCCCACAGAGACTGAGAGACAGGGCACTATCTGTCTTGATGATTATATTTCAAAGGGATGGCTCCCAGGTCCTTGAGAAAGACATTCCTGGATTGTAGAAAATTTACATTTCAAAGAGTCAGAGAAAGAATCTTCAAATACACATTTTCTGAGATAAGTGCTCTAAGAAAAGTGAGGTTAGAAGCCTAGAATCAGGAAGAAATCTATCTAAGTAGAGGAGGAATCTTAAAGCCGGCTTGGTCCTTGCCCAGGTTAGCAAGCTTCAGGAAACTATTGCTTATCTGATAGTCAAAGTTGAACTGCAATATTGAAGTAGATAATTCACTGGGAAATGGCTGGAGAAGCTGCAAAAGATGTTCTTTGAGGAAGCCAAAGAGACCCCTCACCATTGCACAAAAGAGTAACTTTCCCTGTAAGTACCCTTAGCTGTATCTCATAGGTTTTTGATTTATAGTATCCTCATTATTGTTAAGTCCTAAACATTTTCCCATTACATTATGAGTTTTTCTTTGTGGCATTACTTATTTTCAAACAAATAATTTTCTAGTTAACATTCTGCAATTAATTTTTAGCAAACTTTTATTCCTGTCATAAATACGTTCATTTTTTGTGTAAATCCTTTGACATTTGTTTGGTCAAAATTTATGTCCAAATACTTGGTAAATTTTGGTAAATTCCTTATGCATACATGAAAACAGTGTTTATTCTGCTATTTTGGGAGTACAGTGTTCTGCACATAAACATTTTAAACAAATGTTATTCCTTTATTCCTATTATGCAAATTATCTTTACTCTCACTGAAATTTTGTGTCCTTTTTCTATCAGTTACTGGGAGAGAGTTATGTCAATATCTTTTACTCCGATTATAGATGTTTGTATTTTTCTCCAGCAATTCTATCAGGATATAGAATATATCCTGTGTATCGTGGGGGCCAAGGCTGTTGGCTCCCTAAAGGTTCAATGAAAAATCACTGACATTAGGCAGATTGATTAATAGAAGAAAAACCATGTAAATCTATTTAACATGTATACACAAAGCTTTCAGAATGATGATCCAACTCCTCAGTAAAGTACAGAAGCTTATATACCATCTTGAGGTTACAGAAATAATGCAGGCTCAGAGCATAGCCAAAACCGTGTTATGTTGATAAATCAGGTTCTAGTGGCAAGACAGGTTAAGAGAGGGAGAAGAGAAGAGGCTTGATTAGCAAAGGGGTGGTGTTATGTAGATGAAGCCTCATAGATAGCAACTCTCAGAGAGAATAGATGGTAAATGTTTCGTTTTGGACTTTTAAAGATATCATACTCCAGTAAAGTTTTCTAGATCCTGGAAAGGCCTAGATAGGGAATTCCTGGCTACATTAATGGAGATTCTCTACAGAAGAATCTGGCCCTGTGTTAGCCATTTTAAAATAATGTCGAAGAAATATATTTTGGGGTAAAATATTTTTATTTAATTCAATATGTTTTGAAATTATGTTATACATTCTAAATTATTATTTTAGTAGGATATTTTATTATATTATTTTTCTAACAATATTTTATAACTAGAAGTCTATTTTATTTTAGTTTAATATAGTACCATCTTTTATTTAAAAAAAAACACATAGACAAACTGAATTAAACAGAGTTTAACTGGGCAAAGAACAACTCATGAATTGGGTGGGCGTAGAGCCAGAGTGTAACTGAAAAGCAGGTTAGTCGCTTGCCACATGTAGAGTCCCATTAAAAACAGTGGAGACTGGTACAAGAAAAGTGAATTTATTTCCAAAGCTAGCTTGAAGAAGGGGCACAGAAGGTCTTGCTTTAAATGTGCTGCTTCCCCTTTGGAGAAAAAGCAGGCATTTTATAATGTAGGGGAGGAAATGAGCAAGGGCAGGGATCCTCTGCTAGCCCCTGCTTTATCTACTGGACATGAGAGTTGAGTTGGTGCCTTCCTGGGCAGAAGTAAGTTGTAAAAGTGAACTGGTGAGCATGCTTTCAGTAGGTCCTCCTGGGGCAGCCCTCTGGAGGTGGGGGTTCCCTGGGGACATTCTTTGATCTGCAAATCACTGTCAACTCTGAGGAAGAGATCCCTCTGGAAACACACAGAGGAACTTGCCCTATAGGGAATGTCTGGTGAGGGGGAAGTGAGAGGTTATGTTGCATTTCAAAAAGGACAAAGTGGAAATTAGAGAGAAAAGAGAAAGGAGAAAAGAAGAGAAGAAGAAGAAAAACAACAACAACAACAAAACTATCTCTTAGAAAAATGGAGGAACTCAGTTACAAGAGTAGGTTCAGAAAAACTCCAGCACAGCCACATGGTAGAAGATTTATAGACAGAAAAAGGAAAGTGACACACAGAAAATACAATTGAGGTACAGAAACAGCTAGATGGCTTACCACTTGGTATTTGCCTTATTTGAACGTGGTTTAAATAGTTGGCCACTTTGATTGGTCAAAACTTGGTGATCCTCATAAGAGTAGGTTACCTCCTGTTTACACACTCAGGTTTCAGCTTACTTTGTACCAAGAAACCTTTAGGCTCAGCTTAAAATATGTAAGGAGGTAACTTTAGGATACACTTAACCCACCAGTCCTTTTTTGGTTAGAATTTGGTTTAGAATGGTGCAATTTGATCTAATGCTTTGAATTCAAACTGTTTACACTTAGGCTTCATTTGTGCCTTTAATAGTTGAATTTTTAAGGTAGTTCATTAAATTTGTTCTCTACTGAAGCATTGAGTACATCCAATTAATTATAATTATTAATACGTTATTTTGTTTAGTTGGCATCATATTTTATATACCTGTCTTCTTGTTTCATATATATTTTTCTTTCTTGCACTCATTTTGAAAAATTATACATTTAATTATTCAATTATTCCTACTACTCTTTTGAGTTACATTCTCTAAGACAATTTCTTTAGTAAATAGCTAAATAATTACAGCAAGTATGTTGATCTAATTAGAGTACAATGTAAATGATTATCCTCTTTATGAACAATATAAAACAATATCTGAATTTATGAGTTTTCTAACATATTCTCTTATTGTATGTTTTCATGTTAGGTTGTTTAATTTTAAGATCCTCAGTAAGTGATTATTAGCAATTTATACAGGCAATGTTCATTTAGTTTTACCTATACATTTAGCACTCTTTTTGTTCTTTTTCTCCAGTGTACTTTATATCTTATTTTTCTGAAACCATTTTCCTCTACATGAAGCTGATTTTAGATCTTCTCTTTGTCTCTTCCATGCTATATCTTCTTTATGTTTGTGGTTCTTAAAGTGTCATCTCCAGACCAGCAGTATAGGCACTACCTTGTTAGAGATGCAGTAATTATTTTTAGTGTGATTTATATTCCTTTTCTATTTTTCTTTCTGGAACTGGTTCAGCTTCATGAATCCGTGGTTTCATTTTTTTTTCATGAATTTTCCTGATATTATGTTTTCAATTTTTTTTGTTCCCTCTTCTCTTTCTCTCTCTCCTTCCCTTCTGGAACTCTAGATAAAATTTATGTTATGTCTTCTCCCTCCATACTCTATGTATCTTAATCAATTATTCATATCTTCTTCTCTTATTTTTCTCTCTGGTTTCATTCTGTGTAATTTCTTCTGTGTAATTTTCCTCCAATTATGTTTTCAGTATGTTTGCCAGATGTTGTACATAATACATCAATTAGGTCAATTTGTAGACTCTTCATATCAAATAATATATTTTTTGTTTATTATTGCATGTTTCTCCAGTGTTTTTTCAAATTATGCTTGTCATTATTTGCAGTTTTTGCTTCCCTGTGAATATGGTCAAGCATGTTTATTTTTAAAAAAATTCATATTTTATTTATTTGTAATCTGTGTCTGCTAATGTCATCACTTAAAATACATTTAAATCTATTTTCTTTGTTTATTGTTTATCTTGGTTCTAGATCATAGTACCTTATTTCCACGTATATGGAAATATACATATGGAAATATATAGATGCATTCTTTTCATGCACCGCTAATTTTTCTGGGAATTTTATTCATTAAAATCTTTACTACGTAAAAGTATTTCCTGAGAAAAGATTGTTTTTATTTCTTCTAATTTATTTTGGTGAGATACTATGCTGGGATTATGTTAAGCTGAATTTCTACCAGAGGTACCAAGCCACCAAAAAGTATAAAATCAGATTATATAGTTAAGCAAATTTCGCTATATGTTCAGTGCTAAATTATATATATTTATATATATAAATATACATATATATATATATAAGTTTTCTCATAGCCTGCAGATGATCACTGTTCTCATTGTACCCTTGTACTGATATCTTTACAGGAGAGAATATCTTATTAGCTTTCCTATTTTCAGTGAGCTCTTGAATTTATATTTTTACCCCATGCTCAATGAGGTCTCAAGTCTAGAGTTCATTGAGTTCAGCAAATATTCTCAGTGTGCAAGTTTTATGTCATTTTCCTCTTACATATGCAAATTTAAACCTTTGCTTAAACCTCTCTTCATCATTCTTAACTTTCTTTCAAGATCATTGATGATTCTAATTTTATAAAATCTATTGTAAGTAGTATTCACTTTTTAAAAAAGAGAATCAATCCTAGTTATTGATGCACTATCTTATTGGAAGCAATATATTCTTTTAAAAATATAAATAACTAAATATTGGCCATTAAATACATTAGAAAAATAGATGTTAAAATATTTATCTTTCCTTCTTGATAATTTTGAGTGTTTCACCCTATATATTATTTTATTTTTATATATTTTTATGTCTGCTATATGTTAGCTTCTGATTGGGGATACAGTGATGGACAAACACTCATCACATGTAAATACTAGGGAAAATTCACAAATAAAACAAGTACGGAAAATTCACAAATAAATCAGCCTTACGACTGCTTCAATTACATGTAAAGTGCTATACATGGTTATGGAACGGGAAACAAATCTACTGAAGGCTATGGAAGAACAATTTACACAAATGTGAGAAATAGTATGGTTCTTGCTTGAAGCTGAAAAATTAGTATGTCTCAATACTAAAATAAGTGTATCTCAAGCCTAAAGAGAGGGTATAATTCAAATTGAGAAAAAAATATATAGACAATGGCCAAAAAAGAAATCACATTGTGTAGAGCATATTTACCAAATGCAAAGAAAAGAGTAGTTTTAAATTCACTCCCGGACTATTTTAAAGATAATAACATATACATATTATTTAATAGTAAATGGTTTATTAATGTCACAATTACCAAAGCTATTCTGTACTTTTGATTTGCCGATAAATGTATGTCACATGATTTACAGGCTGTGATTTGGAAAATAATGGGGTACTTCCCAATAATTTGAGAGTGATGGAAATAAGATTAACTTTGCAAGAACTAATCAAATTAAGATGGACAGAGTAAACTTTTATTTCTGTATCAAAGATAGGAACATTGGCCACAACAAACTGAAGCTTCAGTGGATACACAGGTGATATTCTACTTTTTCATATAATATAAATTTGTTCAAAATATGAATCTAAAAGTGTTTAATAGACTGATTGTAAGGAGTCTTTTATTCCAGAAAAACTGGAAAATAAATTAGAAACTTATAATTAAGTTTCTTAAACATAATTAGTTTTTACCCAAAGCGATCATGTCTCAAAAAAATTAAAATTATAACAGCTGCTGTCAAATCATATGCTCTGATTCAAGGACTATAACCTTTTCATTTACTGAAAAAAAGTCATGTATCCCTCTACTTCATGTACCTTTCTTCATGTCAACTTCCCAAAGGCTGCAGACACATTTTGAGAAGCTTGCTCTTTAGCTTCTTCTTGCTTCTCTTAGATTCACTTCACTGCTTTCAGATATGAAGCATAAATGTTGTGACTACAACCAGAACATAGGCTGTCCATAGTTGGAGTAAAATATGTAGCCTGTATTATAAAGATGCTGGAAAGTAGGAAAAGGGCAGCAAGAGGATGAGACATCTCAAAAAATTACTTTGAAATCTGACAAAGTTATTTTACTCCTTCTCACATCTTCATAATCTCCCACTATGATCTATTAAAGGTTTTATGTAAAACATTTTCATTTCCTTTTATAATCTAGCTCGTTTCATAACTTGTTTTATAATATTTTTGAAAATTATATTAGATCAAATGCTTAATTATAGAATAAGATACACAATTTTTTAAAAAGCAAATAGAACTATCATAGATAGAAAGTAAAAATTCCATTCAAGTCTAAGAGGCTCTTATCAGAGAAAAACAATTTGATTTATATTTGCACATATTTACTATTTTCTATCAAGATTCTGTTTTTAACATGATGATGATGATTATTTTATAGAAACCATTTCTAATGTTTTAAAACTGATTTGTTTTTTGCCTTTCCATTAACAATGGATATGGACATTGTTTAGTATTGATATCTATGTATTATTATTTCACCATTGATAGAATATATATTAGACTATATTATGGGCCACAAAACAAGTCTCAACAAATTTTTAAAAATCAAACTCATATCAAATATCTTCTCAGATCATAGCAGAATAAAACTAGAAATCAATACCAAGAAGAAATTTGGAAACTATACAAATACATGGAAACTGACCAAAAAGTTCCTGAACTGGGTCAATGAAGCAATTAAAAAGAGAATTTAAAAATGTTTTGAAACAAATAGACACACAACATACTGAAACCTGTGGGATACAGCAAAAGCAGTGCTAAGAGGGAATTTTATGGCATTAAATGCCTACATAAAAAAAATATAAAGATCACACATTAACAACCTAACATAGCATCTCAAGGAAATAGATGAACAGAAATTCAACATTTTCACTCCTAGCCACTCATACACAGAGAATTTAAGTGGCCTATTGCCTCATTTTTTTCGTAAACCATTATTTATTTACTCACTCCTTCCTGTTTTACTTGATAATAGTATGTTAAGGTTTTCCGTGGCTATATCCTCCTCAAATTAATTTACATTATATTTTCCCTAGTTTTCTCATCAATTCAAGTCTACCACTTTTTCTACAGGCAAGTATAGAAAATGCAAGAAAACTGTATTTTCTTTATAGAAAAGTATAGCAAATATAATAAAATTTCTTAGAGATGTATTAAACAATATTCTGAGATAAAAATATGATGCAGCAATATAAGGTTTTATTTTTGAAAAATCAGTATGAACTGACAAAGATTTTGTGCTTGGAGAAACTTTAGTCAGGCTTCTGAAACTTCTTCAAGAACCATGTGAATACTTCCATGTATAATCCAGTCTTAGCAAATAACCCGGTTAAGTCACTATGGCAAGCACTCCCAGCCTCATTTCCTGATCAGTGTCAATATCTGATCAAGTTCCTCATCCTACGCCATCCTCCAGGCCTCCGCTCTCTGATCACCCTGGCCTGTCTTCAGTAAGAATCTGGTTAGTTCAGAGTAACTAGAATTCCCTCAACCCTAATGTTTCCTCTTTGGAAATCCACTGATCACCCTGGTCCTTGGCTATAGATTGCCACTAGCTCTTGTTGTATTCAAGTAGAGCCCAAACTCTGCTCCACTGTAAAAAATACCATTGCCTTGGTCCCTATATCTAACACAATGGTACTGAATGAAGTATTTCTTAAAGTGGCTTAACAAGTGTCACCAAGTAATTTTTTTCTTTAAAAGAATATATGACTACTAGATAGACAGATTAATAGATAGATAGATATCCAAAATAATGAATGACCCCAAACCAGCAGCATTTTTGACACCTATTAGAGAATAGCTATTTCCACGTCTCAGAGGAAGAAAAAAATCCAGATGTATTTAGAAATGCTGAATGCTTTTGAGGTTGTTAGAGTTTGTTTGAAGAGGCAAGGTGAAAAATTAAAAGTTAAACCACTATCACAACCATCACTACTACAAGAGAAAATATACAGTGTAAAAAGGCTATGTGTTTTATAAAAGTTACAGCTGGATGAATTTATTTCAAATGATATAAGAATTCTGGGAGTGATGATATATGCATGGCTATTTTGTTTCTTATGTAAGTAATGTGTATGTTTTATACATCTGGGGTAACAGGCATAAATAAAGAGCATGCCAAGTCATCGAGGACAAAAGGATTTAGACAAAGAGGGAAATCACTGTCAAATAATCAGAAAAGAACAGCTTACTACTTACACAATCCAAAATACCTTTAAATACAAACCATGTGTGAAGCCACTAAATATATGAAAACATATTCCTAACAATATTATAAAACAGTCAATGAATCAGTGATAAGATGATGGGTGATGTAATGTTGGATAAGCAATTTTTAAAGCTGTTATTTTAGCTGTAGCTAAAATTTTGAAAAATAAAGAAATAAACATAGAAAATAACAACCTGATGCCAAGTGAAAAATATACAATTATAAAAAAACTTTAAACTGCCATCATGGAGATTACAGTCATAGAGTATCAAACATCTGGACTAGTTATTAAACCATAATTTGTTGAGGTACGGAAATCATAACCCTGAGCCACTGTGAGGTTGAGCTTCCTTTCTATATTCATTAATTAAACACAGAGTTTAGTCCAAATAAGTCACACATTCTGTTTCTTTTCAGCTTATTGAGTTGAATACACACCTCATTTATATACTTCAAGTTTTATATATGAAAATATATGAATATTATCAATAACGAAATTGTAAAATGCTAGTAAACTTTATTAGTAAATCTTTGGATTTATCTCCTAAGAAAGAAAAGTTAGTGGTAGTGAAAGGTGAAATAAGTAAATATATTCAAATATAAAATTTATTTTATGACTTAAGTTTATTTATAATTTAATTTTTTCTTTGATGTAGTATGTTTGATGTCTATTTATTACATTTTTAAAATCTAATATTTTATATATTTTTAATTTTCATATTTTCCCTTGTAATCTTTCTCTGGAAATGGAAGAGAATAATCTTGTTAATTTGTGCTGTTTTATTAATTACTTTTATGGTCCTTTATTTCAGTTTATACTTGCCATTTTAATTTTTTAGGGATATTGAATTTTTTTATTGTTGTTTCCTGGAATATTCTCCTTCCAAAATGTATTATTCACCTGGTTTTTGTTTATTTTCTGCTTATTAATCAAAATATTTTTATTTAAATCTCCATTTGAATAAGGGAAGTTTCTCCCCAAAATGATATAGGTAGTCCTCCTTGAGTCTCCAATAAATTTATTTGAACATTTTAACTATAACTTTAGGTTTTTACTGGAGGGCTAAATACTAAAGATTTGTAAGTAAAGTTTAACCTTTCAGAATTGTTCTTGCCCTATGACTACATCTATTTTTATGAGTTAGATTTTTCCCTCTTGTCTTTCTCTCAAAATTATCTACAGAAAATTAAGCAAGCATGGGTTTGTTTTTGGTGAAATAAGTAGCCCTCAAAGGGGAGCTTCCTAATTTATCCATAGACTCTTCCATCCGAGTACGGATGTTACTCTTTTAGTCTCCTTCACTCTCTTTAACTGTTTCTCTTATTGGGGCTCAGCTCATAGATCTTAAAAAACAGCAACTACAATAACTGGAGAAATGCTGTTTAAGGGAGATGCTGGTCAAAAAATATAATATGCTTTTAATATTTAATTGCATGAATATATGGGTTTTACATGTCATCTAGTAGTTCAGGATTCAAAAAGTAAAAACACAAGGCCGTGTTTCTCTACATATGTATTTGATTCTTTTTTTTTTAGCCTTACTATACCAATTATTTTGATCTTCTTTTGATTCTCCAGGCTGTGAGTTCATTCTCACCAATGAAAATTGTAATGATATTTTTATCCCTATTTAAATATTACAGTACAGAGAGCATTTATAGAACAGAAGGCAATGATCAGAAAGTGGTATACTTGGTAATTGTGGTTTATTTTAATTCACCAATAAAAGATTGATTGCATGTTGTAAACATTGTCTGAGGTGTTGAAGACTTTTTATGGATCATTTTTTATCATCATGTTATGCATATCAGTATGTTGGTTTTCTTTCATCTACATTATTACTCCTTGGTTTATTTAACCTCTTAGAGACTGGATGTTTCTGGATAGACTATTTAAACTGATATTTTGGCCCACAAATCTGATAATCCCACTTTGAATCACAGCAATGAGCATGAGGGGCATTCACCTGCCATATGCATTTTCTAGTTTGTGTCACTAACTTTCCCCAGGGTCTAAGATTGCTCCACCTTAATGTTACCTTCTCCTAGTTCCATAACTCCCTGCTGCATTCCATGACTGTGCAGCTATTATCACATGCATGACATCGATACTGCTATAGATTAGTAAGAGAAGGCATTTATTTAGTTTTACTCAAGAATTTAAAAATTATTTCCATCTTTCCCAAGGAGAAACAAACACCTTATCACCTTCCATATACTCTTTTTCCTTTCATATTTTCCTCTCATTTGTTTTTCTTCTTTCAGTTTCTTAGGTTGTCCTCCCTTAAAGTTTTTTTTTTCTGGTAACCTTTTTCATAATCTCCTTATCTTTATATCAAATGTGGTCAATAAAGAAAGAGGGGCTTTTGCAATGTTCTCGGTATGATTAAAACTTCCAGTATCCGGAAGATTTTATTCTAATGTTTAGTTTTCTCTAAGTTAATTATTGTGTTTGTCTGAGAAAACATTATGTCAAAGACTATGATCATAGCAATACAAAGTTATTATTATTAAAAAGTCTCAATATAAATTATAAGATTAATTACATATAAGATATGTAAATGCGTGCATATATGAATGTACACTTACACATATGAAATATTAATTCGAGCAGCAGAATTTAGAATTTGAGAGCAAATCAATAGCCATTATTTTCAATGTTATTTTCAGCAGGAAAATCATATAAGATAGAGCAAAATAAGTAACTACTAGGTTAACTGGAAATTTTAATCTATATTCACCAGATATGAAAGTGCTTATTTGCATTTTTTGCTATTTCTATATTGTATGAATATATATTGTAATTTCAATTAATAAAACCCATATGAATATTTTATAATTTAAAAACTTGTATCAAATTTACATCTTTTATTCTCAATTTAATTTAAACTTTTATTCTCAATTTTTCCTGAAAAGTATTCTAATCAAAGATATAAAAAGTTTAGCGATGGCCGGGCGCGGTGGCTCACGCCTGTAATCCCAGCACTTCGGGAGACTAAGGAGGGTGGATCACGAGGTCAGGAGATCGAGACCATCCTGGCTAACACGGTGAAACCCCGTCTCTACTAAAAATACAAAACATTAGCCAGGCGTGGTGGCAGGTGCCTGTAGTCCCAGCTACTCTGGAGGCTGAGGCAGGAGAACGGTGTGAACCCAGGAGGCGGAGCTTGCAGTGAGCCTAGATCGCACCACTGCACTCCAGCCTGGGCGAAAGAGGGAGACTGTCTCAAAAAAAACGTTTAGCAATAACCACTGAATTCTACTGACCATAAAAAAATGCTGAAATTTCATTAGTTTCAAATACTCCTTCATATTTGCTTATGTTTTGTGAATTATGTATTATGAATAAATACTACAAAAGAATTTCTGAATAGTTGGGTTATTTCTCTTTTTACATTTTTTCATATATGTATATTGTCACACTAATTTTCTTTAGAACACATCCTAGACAATGTGCTGACATAAAACTTTCTGATTAATTAAAATTTGTAGAATTGACTGTCCCTTTCCCACATAAAAATCCGTCTGTTCCATTCTAATAAGCCAATGCTTACGTTTAGATGATGAATTTTCAGTGGAGTTCAAGTCTGTTAACTTTAACAGGGGCTTATTGGAACAGTCATAGTGAATGATGTAAGAATTGTGCCACCGAGACTCAATTATAAGGTAGAATACTGCTCAATTTTGATGGTTACAGTGCAGCTGGGATTTTTTTTTCATCTTTCATATCTAGTTCTCTGTCTCAGGCTGGTATTTTCATCTAGGCACAGAGACAAATTCAGTTATCTTTAACACTTGTGATTTTAATCCATATTTCTATTTTATTTCATTCTTTCTTACTCCTAAAATATCACATGAAAGCTGACTAATGTTTTCTTACTCTAACGTTTCTAGCAACTCTATTACCATGTAATTTATTTTTTCCATACACTAGTAGGACAATTTCAAATGTGACTGTAAGTATCTATTGACATTTTCATTGCAACACTAAGTAGTACCAAGGTAAAAAGTCTCTCAGACTATCCTTTCAATGACTCTTGTTTGTTATTGTTATATTTAAATCAGTAAGATGCTGAATCTCTCATTTTAATACTATTTCTACAATTCAGTGTAAAACTGGACATACTCATAAGAGCAGATTAGAAATCACTGGCTTCATAAAGATGTATTTTTATCTATAATACATTGAAAATAATATTTTAAGAATAAAGTATCATTATGAAATAGAATGCTGGGTAAAATAAAAATAAAATAAATGATTATTTGTATCATCTTTATGTATTTATTAATAAATCTAATTTATGTGGCCATTGAAGTCACAGAAGTGAATGAAACCTCAAAAGGAGATGATAGAGCAGAATTTAGAGGAACTGTGACATTCAAAATTTAATTTACAAAGTAATTATTGACAAATAGCATGCAAATAAGTGGCAATATAGTAATCAAGAATATTTGAACACTGGATATGTATTCAAGGATTACTATTAATAACTTTTATGTTTTATAATATTATCATGGTCATGTTAAAAATTAGTCCTTTCAAGAATACTTAAAAATGAAAATTGTGTAGAAAGAATATGACATTTTGGATTTTCTTTAAAATAATCTAAGTCTTAGGATTGAGTAAGATTGTAAATTACATAAGACTGATACTATGTTGACCATAGTTTAAAGTAATGATGGTTAAATAAAAGTTTATTATACTAATGTAGGTTTTTCTTTTCTTTATTTTAGAGACAGGTCTTGCTTTGTCACCCAGGCTGGAGTCCAGTGGTACAATCATGGCTCACTGCAGCCTCAAACTCCTGACCTCAAGCAATCCTCCCACCTAAGTCACCTGAGTACCTAGGACTACAAGTGTGAGCCACCACACCTGGGTAATTTTTTGTATTTTTTAAAATAGAAACAGTCTCACTATATTGCCCAGGATGGTCTCAAACTTATTGGCTTAAAAGATCTTCTCAACTCAACCTCCCAAAGTGCTGGAATTACAGGCACAAGCCATTGTGCTCGGCTTAGACTTTTCATTTTAAATATACCTAGTATAAAATTTTCTAATATATAAATGTTGGCATACCTACTGGGTTTGCTCATGGAATGTAGATATATCATGAACTTTGGAATCAAAAAGAAAAAGATTTATGGCTGGGCTTCTCTACTTACCAGCTGTTAACCAGTTGTGTGATAATAGGGACATTACTGAACATCTCTGAATTTTATATTTCTCATATGTAAAATAGGAATAATAATTGTATATTGTATATAAATATTACTTACTAAATATATAGTACTTACTAACTATATAGTACTTACTAAAGAAGGCAATGCTCTAAGTATTCTGAATATGTTAACTCACTTAATCCTTAAAAATCAAACATAGGAGGTAGGTAATATTGTTATGCCCCTTTTATAGATGAGGAAACTGAGGCAGAGAGTGATTATACAGCTCTTAAATTACAAAGTCTAGATTCAATTAGAGCAGTCTGGCTCTAACTATGCATTGAATCACCATGTCGCTTAGCCCCTCATTATCTAACAAATACAGTTGCTCTATAAGTTTATATATCTATTTTACATGAAAGTACACATTATATAGCAAGTTCTCACTAACAATGAGCTGTTGTCTCCCTTGTTATATCCCTCGGTACTTTCAACAACTGAAACACGTGTGGAAAATGAGAAAAAATAATTCTGATGTGGTTTGAACTTTGTTACAAGTTTTAATATCTGGAAAACTATTTTTTCTCTTAGCATGGACTGACATTATTTAGAAGTTGCATATTCTTGACTCTTCTGTGAAATGATATATTTCCAGGCTGGTAAAGTCTTTATTGCTTTCTGGAAAGAACCAAGTGTAAATTATGATTTTTTTTCGTTTTTTAGTTTGCCAAATCATAAGTTTGCTATTGATGAAAGGACATATTTTTGCCATCTTTTTTGGGGTTTTGAGAATAGTTCCTTTTGTGTTAATTTATTAATCTCTCCATTTAAATTATAATTGCCAGGCATTGCAATTGATGATGAAGATAGTAACAGTGAACAATATAGCATGAATCTTGACTTTGATGGAGTTTAGATTTTTTTGATAACCCAATAGAAATAAATAATCTATTTTTTCAAAAAGATATATGAAATTTAGAGTAGTAGAAATATATAGTACTATATAACATAGACAATACTTCTAAAATAGCTTTAGCAGGAATAATGTAATATTCATGGAAAAACTGATATTGAAACTAAACCCTGAAAAACATTTCCTTATTCTGGAACCAAGAAAAATGTATACATAAAGATTCAGAAGTAACAACTTGTGTTGATATCCTTGAATAATATTATGAGCACAGGTAAGGGTTTAAAAATGTGTTAAGATTCAGGTTAAAGGCAGAATTAAGAGATGTGACTGGATACATAAGCAGGGGCCATTGAATGAAGAGATATTTAATCTCTGCTAAATATTTTTTACTTTGTTATAAAGAAAATGAATAACTGATAAAGAATTGTAAGCAGGTGATCATATTCACACCTTAGAAAATTAGTCTGTCTTCAGTGAGAGAAGTGATTGGAAAAAATCAAGACCACTGTTGGACATGCCACTTAGATTATTATAATTATCCTGGTGGACATTATGGCGGCTTGTCTCAGAGAAGCATTATTATTTTTTTAGAGAAGTTAAAAAATAATAATTGAGATATATTTGGGAGTTAGAATCTAAAGGTTAATTATTGAATGTAGAGTGAAAGTCGAGAAAAATGAAACTCAAAATGACAATTAGGTTTCTGACTTGGACATCTAGTTGCTGGTAGTAATACTTTTTATTAAGTCAGGAAAGACAGAGAAAGAAAACGTTTGGGAACAATGATTATAAATCTAGGTCGGAATATTTCAAATTTTTCATTGTTGAATTTTAATCAAAATATCTATTCATAATTCAATATATTGTAATGAATTAAAACGGGAACTACTGATGGTGGATGATGTTGATTTTGGAGTCATTAAGAGCCAACTAGTAATTAAAACTATGGGAGCAAATAAAATCATGTAGGAATGTTAGGCAGAGTGAGAAATGTAATATGAGTCATACTGAAGGAAGGAAGAGAAGAAGATTCTCAAAATACCTGAGAAGATGTGCCAGAGAATTAGGTGGAAAACTGTCTGTGTCTCACACCCTGAAGTCAAAAAAACATACCGGGTCAAAGAATAAATAGTCATGTAAAATTTTGTCCAGAAGTTAAATAAGATTTTTCATGAATGCCTCAGTGGAATTTTATGGATTAAAAATGAGATTTAAGAAGCTGATATATAAATAGAAGCCAAAGGAGAGAGACAAAGAATATAGAAAATTGTTTAAAGAAATGTTGTTCAGGTAGAGTGTTTATATATCCATTTTTATCTGAGCTATTTCTAGGTTGCACCTGTTGCCTGGATTAATTATTTTTTTTTTTTTTTTTTTTTTTGAGACGGAGTCTCGCTCTGTGGCCCAGGCTGGAGTGCAGTGGCGCGATCTCGGCTCACTGCAAGCTCCGCCTCCCGGGTTCACGCCATTCTCCTGCCTCAGCCTCCCGAGTAGCTGGGACTACAGGCGCCCGCTACCACGCCCGGCCAATTTTTTGTATTTTTAGTAGAGACGGGGTTTCACCGTGTTAGCCAGGATGGTCTCGATCTCCTGACCTCGTGATCCGCCCGCCTCGGCCTCCCAAAGTGCTGGGATTACAGGCGTGAGCCACCGCGCCCGGCCGATTAATTTTTAATAAATATTATTTTTTACTTTCAAAATTGTTACAGTGAAGTTCCGTTCCAGATAAGATGGACTTATTACACAGTACACTGCCTCTAACTAAGTGCAGCTATAAAACCTGAACAGAATAAATAGAATGGCTATTTGAAGCCTCTTAAAAGTAAAAAAAAAAAAAAGTGATGACAAATTATAGAAAAAATGACCATCATTCAAAGTAACAATGAAAAATTGTTGAGTTTATCATTTCTCCCCCTCTAGCAATCCCCGAGCTGAATTGATTGGATCTATAAAATTCAAAAGTGAGATTATCATAAACAGAAATGGCGCCAGGAGAAGCCCAATGGTTCTGCTTTAAGAAGGGACAAAGAGGTCACAGAGAGGGTATAGAAATCAGCCATATTTTTCTTTATTTAAACAAAAAGCTCCCATTTCATTAACCTCAGCTCCCAAGCAATCATGTGGTCTTCAGGGCCCTAAAAACTCTAAGGAAGGGACATCTCTTCCTACTTTCAAAGAAGATGTGATCCCAGAAGGATGAAGCATACACCTATTGCTTTTTTCCCTGTATCTCTTTCTTCCCATGGCTCTCCCATGACATGGGCACTGTTGAGAAGAAGAGACAAAGGAGCAGCATAATTAAGAGTTCTGCGTTCTAGTAGGAAACCAGACAAACAGATCTCCTGAAACAGGAATGTACAAAGAAAAATGCAAGACAGGATCTCAGAAAAAGTACTCTGTAAATTTGTAGATGGTAAAGTTTCATATGTAAGAAGCTATGGTAAAAAGTCTAGAGTAGCACAATCTCTCTAACCAGAGAAAGTTCTTTAAATATAGCATTATTTTCTTTTATTTTTGCAAAATTAAATCTCCCACATACGTCAGAAAACCTCAGTTTCACCAGTAATGTGAAGTTAACTAAATATCTTATTTCATGAATTTCAGTATCAATAATTTTGCCTTCTTCAAAGGAGATTAAAATAATAAATATTTAAAATATTTAACTTAATTTAATTTAAATATTGTTTTGAGAAAGGTTTTTACTTTTATTGACCCTAAGTTCAGCACTTTGCAACATACACTGTTAAAGATAAGTATAATGACAGAAATTTTAAAAAATCTGCCAGTAATAAACCAAGGTTAATTCTCACAACGATGATATGATGTAGATAATTATATGAGAACATTGAGATACTGACAGTTTGTTTACTTCCCCAAAGCTTATGCCACATGGGTATTGTATCCCTGTCAACAAGAAAATACGGGTTAAATTTATATTCAAGGTGTCATCCAGTGTAAAAATATAAGATAAAGCTAACATACAACAGATTTAATTCAAGGGTTTTACTTTCCCCCAAATTTAAACATTCTGTGTTATTAAGAAGACGTGATTCTTTATGTATTAGCATAGAGAAAAGTAGAATGAGCCCACTAGTGATACAACAGCAAATCTGTTACCTCCATGGATTCCATATCCATGAATTCAACCAACTGCAGTTGCAAGATATTTTTTTTAATTGTGTTTGACTGAACATGTACAGGTTTTTTTTCTTCTTGTCATTATTCCCTAAACAATACAGCATAATACTACTTAAATCACATTTACATTGTGTTATGCAGTATAACTAGTCTAGAAATGATTTAAAGTTTATAGGACGATATACATAGGTTATAGGCAAATACTATACCATTTTATATTAAGAACTTCAGAATATGCAGATGTTGTTACCCCTGGGGGAGATGGTGGAATGAAACCTCCATGGTTACTGAGGAACAACTGTATATATATATTTTTTTTTTTGAGACAGAGTTTCACTCTTATGGCCCAGGCTGGAGTGCAGTGGCATGATCTTGGCTCACTACAACCTTCACCTCCTGGGTTCAAGCGATTCTCCTGCCTCAGCCTCCCGAGTAGCTGGGATTACAGGCACCCGCCACCAAGCCTGGCTAATTTTTTGTAGAGACAGAGTTTCGCCATGTTGGGTACGCTGGTCTCAAACTCCTGACCTCAGGTGATCTGCCCCCCTCGGCCTCCCAAAGTGCTGGGATTACAGGCATGAGCCACCGTGCCTGGCCAACAACTGTATTCTTAGCATGGATTTTGAGCAGACAAGGACAATCTTAATTCTCAGGCTGCTGATCTTGAACTACAAGTTGGCTTAACATTGTAGACTAAGCTAAGGCTGACTGAGACAAATTTACGTATTAGTTGGCAGCTGTAATCGTTACCTTTAGCCTTGAAAACAGCTGAATTTTCTAGAATACTAGGACGAGTATTGAGGAACACTAGGAAAACTCTTCTTGAAAACGTATATTTTGAGCCTAGGTAGTATCATTAATTGCTCAAATTTTATTTTGTTTGGGCCAAGGTAGGAACTAACAGGATTCTCAGGCTGAACAGCTCCATTCTATCTGCTTAAATTGGCTATATTGCTTAGTAGCATAAGCAGAATAAAGGAAGTCATTTTAATCCTAAACAAACTCATATTTTGGCTATTGTGATAATGTTTTAATGAACAAAGGCATGCAGATATCCCTTTGATATACTAATTTTAATCCATTTGGATATATTTCCAGAAATAAGATGCTAGATCATTTTGAGGTTCTATTTTAAGTTTTTTGAGGAACCACCATACTGGTTTCCATAATGGCTGTATTAATTTAGATTTCTACCAACAATTTACAAGGGTTTCTTTTTTTGCCGCATCATTGTCAACACTTTTTATCTTTTTTATTTTTGATAAAAGCCATTCTAACAGATTTGAGGTGACTATTTGTCAATTTAAAATAATGTTAATTTGAAAAGAAAGTTAAAAAATAACCAAATTCATAGCTAGAGAGGAGCATAAACCACTAGAGGAAAAAATAAACAGGTATGTTCACATGGAAGTGCAGATGCTATGACATTATCTGAAGTCCACAGTTTAGAATCAGGATTGCAAAAACATGGACAGGAAGGAGGGAATAAAAATTAAGATTTGAATACATTGGATGTAAATTAAAAACCATTCAAATGTATTGGCTAAGATTATCACTAGTACTCACTTCTAATACTTGTGAAAAAGTAGCAATATTTTTAATGTCCGTCTCTGAAGGAAGAAAGGCAGTACAGAAAAATAAACACCTAACGCCGTAATCAGAAATGTACAATGTTAAAATTATTTATTTGCTTAGATATTTCTCCATGTAACTTTGAATTCACACTGGCATATACTGACTTGATTCTTGAAGTCCACTCTTTTCTTTCAGATCTTGAGTCTCTTTTATGATCGTTGGGTTAATACTAGGTTGGAATACTGGGTTTATGTTTTTTGGACAGAGAGGAAACTTCTGCTTGGAACAACTGCATGGGGGTTTGAAACTGTCTTGTTTTTCATACTTGGCAGTGGCAGTGCCATAGCTTGAAAAGTCAAGTGTATTCTATTAACTCTTTGAGCTTTTTCAAACATGAGGCTTATCAGGCACTTTAAACTCAGTCAACTTCTGAGATTCTGGGGGAACTATATCAATTCTTAAAGAAGTAGCCTGATGCTATCCCTCCCCCTTTCCCCCTCCCCCACCCCACAACAGGCCCCAATGTGTGATATTCCCCACCCTGTGTCCAAGTGTTCTCATTGTTCAATTCCCACCTATGAGTGAGAACACGTGGTGTTTGGTTTTCTGTCCTTGTGATAGTTTGCTCAGAATGATGGTTTCCAGCTTCATCCGTGTCCCTACAAAGGACATGAACTCATCCTTTTTCATGGCTGTATAGTATTCCATGGGGTATATGTGCCACGTTTTCTTAATCCAGTCTATCATTGATGGAAATTTGGGTTGGTTCCAAGTCTCTGCTCTTGTGAATAGTGCCACAATAAACACGTGTGCATGTGTCTTTATAGCAGCATGATTTATAATCCTTTGGGTATATACCCAGTAATGGGATCACTGGGTCAAATCGTATTTCTAGTTCTAGATCCTTGAAGAATCGCCACACTGTCTTCCACAATGATTGAACTAGTTTACAGTCCCACCAACAGTGTAAAAGTGTTCCTATTTCTCCACATCCTCTCCAGCACCTGTTGTTTCCTGACTTTTTAAGGATCACCATCCTAACTGGCGTGAGATGGTATCTCATTGTGGTTTTGATTTGTATTTCTCTGATGACGAGTGATGATGAGCATTTTTTTCATGTGTCTGTTGGCTGCATATATGTCTTCTTTTGAAAAGTGTCTATTCATATCCTTTGCCCACTTTTTGATGGGGTTGTTTGATTTTTTCTTGTAAATTTGTTTAAGTTCTTTGTAGATTCTGGATATTAGCCCTTTGTGAGATGGGTAGATTGCAAAAATTTTCTCCCATTCTGTAGGTTGCCTGTTCACTCTGATGGTAGTTTCTTTTGCTGTGCAGAAGCTCTTTAGTTTAATTAGATCCCATTTGTCTATTTTGGCTTTTGATGCCATTGCCTTTGGTGTTTTAGACATGAAGTCCTTGCCCATGCCTATGTCCTGAATGGTATTGCCTAGGTTTTCCTCTAAGGTTTTTATGGTTTTAGGTCTGACATTTTAGTCTTTAATCCATCTTGAATTCATTTTTGTATAAGGTGTAAGGAAGGGATCCAGTTTCAGCTTTCTACATATGGCTAGCTAGTTTTCCCAGCACAATTTATTAAATAGGGAATCTTTTCCCCATTTCTTTAGGAGATATACCTAATGTAAATGACGAGTTAATGGGTGCAGCACACCAATATAGCACATGTATACATATGTAATAAACCTGCACGTTGTGCACATGTACCCTAGAACTTAAAATATAATAAATAAATAAATAAATAAATAAAGTAGCCTGAGAAGCAGCTTCTGAAGTAACCTGTTTTGTGATCGCCAACAAGAGGTTCTCAGAATAAGAGTGAGCAGAGTATGACATTCTAATAGATTCCAATTTCTTTGACATTTTAACTCAAATAAGGCTCAATATTAATTTTGAATTTTAATTTATTCATATTTTGTTATTATTATATTTTCATCTGCAAAATAATTGAATTTTTAGACTCCTCCTTCCCAGGAATTTGATTAGAAGTCTTATATTAAAACGTGACAATAACCTATGGATGACATTTTATTATTGGAATAACTTAACATTGCATTTGATGTTTTGCAAATCCTTTGATTAAATATATTGGACAATGTGGTTTGACAAAATTTGGATGAAAGATAAAAAGAGCCATAGTTTTGACTTTGGATATATAATTACATTGGAGAAAATTGTGAGTTAATACGTTATTCTGCCCTAATTTAAGAGACATTTGCACTGGCCATAAGTAGTTTTCGGGGAAAATATTAAGGACTAGTGGAAGAGATTGAGAGAATCCCCTTGTAAACACATATAAAGGATGATCTAATTGATTGCTATTCTCCTGTGAAGAAATCAACCACATTGCTAGCTGACAACCAATTCCCCTTTGATTAAATAATCACAAAAGTTATAATATAATTAATATATAATATGTGATATGAAGAACATTTAGGTAGTACAGTGAGAATATTCAACAAGGAGAGTTAATTATAAGCATATCAAGGAACACTCCCTTGAAAAACGGGCTTGGCTGAAATCTTTAAATTAAGTGGAAAATAAAAAGTGTGTAAGTATCTTAAAAGAATATCTGGAAACATATGATGAGAGGAGTGAATGTGTCATCCTGGGAATCTTAAGGAAAGCCAATATACCTTAAATACAGAGGGAAATTGGAGGAATGATGTGTGAAATAAGGCAGGATCTAGAACTACAGGGCTTCACAGACAATTAGAAATTTTGATCCTATTTTAGAAAAAACATGAACTGTGGCAGCTTTCAATAATTGCCTAGTAATTATCCATTCTCATCTTGTGTCTTAATGAAACAGATTGAAGATTTCACCCAATGTTGCTTGTAATATTAAGTGATCATATGACTAAGTGTTGGTCAATGGAGGTAAGAAAAAGTATTGGTGCAAAATTCAGAATATCTGTTTAAAAGGAGCTGACTCAGCTCTGAAGAGCACACTTTCTTCTACCAGCTGCCTAGAATATAGATGTAATTGCTAATGGTATAGCAGCGGTTTTGTATTATTAAATGGTTTTAGAGAAGGCAGTCAGTACTGAAGATGGTAGAGTCGAAATTAAAACTTGGTTTCTCGATGACACCATGAAGTTATCAAATCAGGCCTATATTCTTACCTCAAAACTTACTTTATGAGAAAAAAACTAATATTGCATTTCATTTTAGACATGACAATTCTTATTTCTGTGGCTATATTTGGCCAAACCTAATTTTTATTGCTATATAAACCAATTAAAGTAAAATGGGGAAAGTGGGAGCACTGAGATGAAAAAAAATGCAGTTTGCAAATATCACTCTGATCTATAGAAAAATACTAGAATGGAGTAAGAATAGATTTAGGAAAACTGGTTAATAGTGCTCTTACAATTGGTTAGGTGAGAAATTAGGGTTACTTAGGCTATGAAGATAGAAGTGGAGGGAGAGAACCGGATGTATTAAAGAGTTGATGAGAAATTTGACATGAACATCCTTCTGACTATAAGCCAGTTCTTTATGAGCTAATTTCAACACCCAAACTCATATTAATTTCCATGAAGAAGTGAATCATTTTCAGATAATTCCCATGTTACAAATCTTATAAAAGTTATATAATGTGCATTTCAATGTCATTTTATACTTGGAGTTGCAAAGTATTTTTATGGTCAAATCATAAAATAAGAGCTAGCAGCATTATTCTAGTGGCATATAGTGAAATAATAAGTATACTTTGGTATCCATTAGTAAAAGATTTATTCTTCTCAGGATCTTTGATGGGCATATTTAAAAAGCAAATAAAGTCTCATACATTTTCAAATATACTAAGGATAAAATTTAATAGATAGAATCAACCAAACAGATCACATATTTGGAGAATAATATATTTCAGCTTTTATATTCTATCTCCTGTCTTACTATCTTTTTTGCTAATGTACATTATTCACAGAGATGCAAAAATAAGTGCTACTTAAAGAAAATGGAAAATGAATTTTAAAGTTGTAACTACAAAAGCCTTGTCAATGAACTAAAAATTGCATTTAGGTGCTTTTACCTTTCCCAACCAAAAAAAGGTGAAAAACATTTCCAACAATATATTTATTATCAATACAAAGTATTTCTCAATCTCATATTTAAAAGATGGACTAGGCAAAGATGTATGAAAATTAATTTGTTTTCCAGTGGTTTTGATGGCTTTCCATGAGTATTAGCGGGATTCAGAAACACAGGATATTTCTCCATGGATCTGCTGTCTTTGGATAAGGATATTCCTGAAACTGTGAGTGGGCTAAGCTACAGAGAAGGCTGATATGATCAAGAGATTATTAAATTCTAAAATAAAATAATTTAATTAAATATTTAAATTTTAATTAATAATTAAAATAAATAATTTAATTAGATTATTAAATTTTAAAATAAGGTAATCAATTGAAATTAAACCAAAATAATATAGTTGAATTCTAAAATAAGCAATTTAAGATACATGTTAGATTCATTTTAAATGTTTTAAAAAACTCTGAATGAAAAGACTTTTTAAGAAATGTTTAAAATATTATGAAATATTATTATAAAACATAACAAATATTATAATAGAAAATATAAATATTTAATGTGTCATTGAAAAATATAAGAGGACAAAAATAGCATATTTATTTTATGTTTTATTCCTATGGGAAATTGGCAATTTAAAAATACAAAATTTTTGGACTATAACACATTTACAGAGGTTATAGCAAGTAAAGCAAACATTGCTTATAAGAGGACAATAGAAGTACTAACACTGACTCGGTCTCTGAAAATGCACAGATTTATACTCTGACTCTACTTAGAAAATTATGGAAAAGCATGAATACACACCTACACATTCCATTAGCATTTAGAAGAAGTGTATCATTACATGCCACATGACCTCTGTAAAATTATACTTTTTAGATATTCAGAGAGAAAAGAGCAAATTATATTTTAGAATTATGGTGGAAATAATTTTGACATTACAGACACCACTGGTACTGGGAATCTCAAAAGTGTCTAGACTGTACTTTGAGAACTGCTATTGTAGAGACTGATATGGTTTGGCTGTGTCCCCACTCAAATCTCATCTTGAATTGTAACTCCCATAATTCCCATGTGTCTTGGGAGGAACTTGGTGGGAGGTGATTGAATTATGGGGCAGGTCTTTCCTGGGCTGTTCTCGTGATAGTGAATGAGCCTTATGAGATCTGATGGTTTTAAAAATGGGAGTTTTTGTGCACAAGCTCTCTTTTACTTGCTGCCCTGTGAGATGTACCTTTCACCTCCTGCTATGATGGTGAGGTCTCCCCAGACATATGGAACTGTAAGTCCAATAAACCTCTTTCTTTTGTAAATTGCGCAGTCTCAGGTATGTCTTTATCACAGTGTGAGAACAGACTAATACAGTAAATTGGTACCAGTAGAGTGGGGCATTGCTGAAAAGATACCTGAAAATGTAGAAGCGACTTTGGAGCTAGGTAACAGGCAGAGGCTGGAAAAGTTTGGAGGTCTCAGGAGACAGGAAAATGTGGGAAAGTTTGGAACTTCCTGGAGACTTGTTGAATGCCTTTGCCCAAAATGCTGATAGTGATATAGACAATAAAGTCCAGGTTGAGGTGGTCTCAGAGAGAGATGAGGAACTTGTTGGGAACTGGAGCAAAGGTGACTCTTGTTGTTTTAGCAAACAGACTCTTGGCATTTTGCCCTGCCCTAGAGATTTGTGAAACATTTAACTTGAGAGAGATGATTTAGGGTATCTGGTGGAAGAAAATCCTAAGCAACAAAGCAATCAATAGGTGACTTGGATGTTGTTAAAGGCATTCAGTTTCATATGGGAAGCAGAGCATAAAAGTTTGGAAAATTTGCAACCTGATAATGCAATAGAAAAGAAAATCCTATTTTTGATGGAAAAATTCAAGCCTGCTGCAGAAATTTGCGTAAGAAATGAGGAGTTGAATGTTACTCACCAAGACAATGGGGAAACTGTCTCCAGGGCATGTTAGAGGTCTTCATGGCAACCCCTCCCATCACAGGCCCAGAGGTTTAGGAGGAAAAATGATTTTGTGGGCTGGGCCCAGGGTTCCTCTGCTGTGTGCAGTCTAGGTATTTGGTGCCCTGCATCCCAGCCACTTCAGTCATGACTAAAACGGGCCAAGGTACAGATCAGGCTCTTGCTTCAGAGGGTGCACGCCTCAAGCCTTGGCAGCTTCCATATTGTTTTGAGCCTGCAGGTGCACAGAATCAATAACTGAGGTTTGGGAACCTCTGCCTATATTTCAGAAGTTGTATGGAAATGTCTGGATGCCCAGGCAGAGGTTTGCTGCAGGAGTGGGGCACTCATGGAGAACCTCTGCTAGGACAATGTGGAAGAGAAATGTGGGGTCAGAGCCCCACACAGAGTCCCTACTGCAGCACCACCTAGTGAAACTGTGAGAAGAGGGTCACTGTCCTCCAGACCCTGGAATGGTAGCTCCACTGACAGCTTGGACTTTGCACCTGGAATAGCTGCAGACACTCAACACCACACTGTTAAAGTAGTTGGGAGGGAGGCTGTAACCTGCAAAGCCACAGGGGCAGAACTGCCCAAGGCCATGGGAACCCACCTCTTGCATCAGTGTGACCTGGATGTGAGATGTGGAGTCAAAGAAGATCATTTTGGAACTTTTAAGATTTGACTGCCTCACTGGATTTTGGACTTGCATGGGGCCTGTAGCCCCTTTATTTTGGCCAATATCTCCCATTTGGAATGGCTGCATTTACCCAATGTCTTGTACCCCATTGTATCTAGGAAGTAACTAACTTTCTTTTGCTGTTACAGGCTCATAGGCAGAGGGGATTTGTCTTGTCTCAGATGAGACATTGGACTGTGGACTTTTGAGTTAATGTTGAAATGAGTTTAGACTTTTGGGGACTGCTGGGAAGTCATGATAGGTTTGAAATGTGAGGACATGAGATTTGGGAGGGGTCAGAGGTGGAATAATATGGTTTGGCTTTGTCCCCACCCAAATCTCATCTTGAATTGTAACTCCCCCAATTCCCACATGTGGTGGGAGGTGATTGAATTATGGGGGTGGGTCTTTCCTGGGCTGTTCTCAGGATAGGGAATGAGTCTCATGAGATCTAATGGTTTCAAAAATGGGAGTTTTTTTCCACAAGCTCTCTTCTCTTGTCTGCTGTCATTTGAGATGTGCCTTTCACCTTCTGCCATGATTGTGAGGTCTCCTAGCCACATGAAACTGTAAGTCCAATAAACCTGATTCTTTTGTAAATTGCTCAGTCTCAGGTATGTCTTTATCAGCAGCATGGGAAGAGACTAATACAGACATGAACACACACATTATAAAAAGGAATTCTGAGGTGTTCTTTTAACCTGCAAAAGGTAAGTGAGAACTAAATTTGTAATAGAAGTGTGGTACTACTGGAAAAAAGGAAAATCATTTGATCTATGTTTTGAAACCAGGTCACTCATAGAATCTGGCAAAGTATTGAGGAATCTATTTGCAGAGCATAAAAATAGTGAGAAAACTGTTATAAAGCTGGATAAATAGTAACCCATAGGATATAGTTGTGAAATGAATGATAAGGCTGTCACTTGTGGTTCCTTGGAGGGTAGGAAAAAAGGACACTTAATGAACTTTAAGATTTGAGCAGCAAAATTTCCAAGCAGAATGTTGACATATCATATAGGTTTTACTAGCTGCATGCCATAAGATACCAGAAGAAAGAGAAAACTAAAGAGAGAATGGAAAAGATTGCTAGCAAAATTTAGAAAAATATAAAGAGCTCAAGACTACCAGTACTAAAAAAATAAGACTTCTTCTTTCTTATCTCCAGTTCTTTCCAAGAAAAAATGATTTCTCAAAGTGAAATATACTTGGGACAAAGACCAGATCAAAGGCATAGATGTAAGTTCCTTCATTAATGCCATTGAAAAAGTTAAGGTGATATGCCCTCTCAGGCAAAGGCTTCTAGGAAACTTAAGTACACTGTGTCACAGAAGTATCACAAGATCAGAGTAGCAGTAGCTATATACAGATTGGCAGGCATGACTTTAAAAGTTTGTGAGTGAGGCTTTTGACACATGGAATGAAATAAATTCAGATTTATAGAAAACTCACATTTTCAAGCAGACTGTCTTAGCAAAAGTCTGCCAGATTGGACTAAAATGGGCTAAAACTATTCAAAATGGACTTTGCCTTAGGCCCCCACATTTCACCCATCTGTAAATAGGCTGAAAATATTGTTCAAAGACCATATAACTCAATGCCTTATTCGAAAGTGGCCAAGCATAGTACATGAAGATACATTTCTCAAAAAAAGACATGTAAGTGGCCAAAAAACATATAAAAAATGCTCATCATCACTCATTATCAGAGAGGTACAAAGCAAAGCCACCTTGAAATGCTACATCTCATCAGTCAGTATGGCTGCTATTAAAAAGTCAAATAATGACAGATGTTGGGGAGGCTGCAGAGTAAAAGGAAGCCTAATACACTGTTGGCGGGAATGTAAATTAGTTCAGCCACTGTGGAAAGCAGTTTGGAGATTTCTCAAAGAACTTAAAACAGAGCTACCATTCAACCCACCAATACAATTACTGGGCATATAGCCAAAAGAGAATAAATTATTCTGCCAAACAGGCACATGCAAGTCATATGTTCGTTGCAGGACTATTCACAATAGCAAAGATGTGAAGTCAACCAAGATGTTAATCAATGGTGAATTGGATAAAGAAAATGTGATAAATACACACCATGGAATACTATACAAACATAAAAAAAAGAATGAAAACATGTCCACTGAAGTAACAGGGATTCAGCTGGAAGCCATCATTGTAAGTGAATTAACACAAAAGTAGAAACCGAATACCGCATGTTCTCACTTATAAGTGGGAGCTAAACATCAGGTACTCATGGACATAAATATGAGAACTATAGATTCTGTGGACTACTAGAGAAGGGGAGTCTGGCATGCACTGAAAAACTACCTATTGAGTATTATGCTCACTTCCTGGGTGACAGGATCCATATTCCAAAGCTCAGCATCAATCAATATACCCATGTAACAAACCTGCATGTATACACCCACGCTGTATCTAAAATAAAAGTTAAAATTATTTTTTTAAGTGTCCAAGAAGGGTTAACAAAAAGGACACCTCAGAGAACAGAAGCAAAAATTATAAAGAAAAGTGGTCTGGAGAGTCTGCTTTTGAGGGGCAGAACCAAATTAAGGAGCATTCACTGCCCATGTAGTTTGGGTATCTGCCAATATGTGCCTGCTGGTTTGCAGAATGGCTCTGTGCCAGTAATACTATTTGTCTCCCATTTTTCCCTTTTCAATCAGAGTGTTTATGTAATTATCTTCTCCCTTAGTCCCCATTGCTCTTTGTGTCTGTGGGGAGCAGATAATTGGTCTTATAAATTCATAAGTATCCAGATCAACAGGAACACCATGCGTGGTGCCACATCTGAACCAAATGTAAATTACAAGATCTTGGATTCACAAGTCCTAGTGCTTTGCTTTTATGAGACTTCTGTAGCCCTTGGATGACTGTTAATATATACTACATATGGGATGGATGTAAGTAATTGTTGCCAGAAAGTAAATTGTGGTAGATGAATTGCACTGAATCCTTGATTCTTACGAAGTGTTTGATTTAGAAAGTGGGAGGGCTCTTCTGTGTGACTTACTTTGCCTAGTGGGAACTTGTCAATAATGACACAATCAGACCTGAAAAACACTTATTAATTGGTGTATTTATCATTTCACTGTTTTCCATTGCCATATCCATGATAAAATTATATGATTGCAGACACATGGAATACATATGTGGAAGAGAGCTAAAACTTTGTTTCAAGAAAGTCATCAATTTTATTTTAAGCAATAACAACAAAAATTGAGAAAACTAAAGTGAAAACAAACCACTGTAAATAGCATTAAGACATATCAAATATCTAAAAATAAATATAAATGAAAATGAGTATGATCTTACATAAGAATCTGTAAAATATTATTAAAATAATTATTAGAACATGTAAATAATGGAGGAACATATCATGTCCATTGTTTGGAACACTTAACATTGTAAAGTTTTCAATTTGGCCCCGACAAATTTATACATCTTGGGAAGTGTCATGACATTTACGGAAGTCTTTGTATGTGTGTGTTTGTGTTAAAATGGAAAAATGATATTATACATTATATGTAAATCTAATGGACAAAGAATAGCCCAGGCAATTGTTCAGGAAATGATGGAATTTTTAATTTAACCAAATATCAAAATTTCTTACAAAGTGTCAGCAATTAAGACAACATAGTTTTGGAACAAGGATGGGTAGAAAGACCATTAATGCAAAGTAGAGGTCAAGTGGATGATTGCATATTTGATTTATAAAAATATAAACAAATATTTACTGCACATAAGTGGTTAAAGTCATTGTCTTCAAAAAACAGCATGGGTCAATTCTATACTCTTATAGAATATAAAATATTTGGCCTCTATTTCATACTATATACAAAATCAAATCCTGTTAGACTATAAGCCTCAATGTGAAAGTCAAAACAATTAAGCATTGAGTGTATAATATAGTTGAATATTTCTTATCTTTTGAAAGATGAGTTTCTTACAATAAAAATACTAACTATAAACAAGTGTCTTGATACATTGGACTATTAAACTGAGAAACTCATAGCACCATAACTCATTATTCAGAGAGAAAAAAAAGACAAAGAACATAGTGAGAAAAGTTATTCACAAGACGCAAAGATAATAAAGCCTGATATTCTGAAAATATATGTTAAAATGTTAAAATTCAATAAGATAATGAATTACAAACAAATAACACCATAGACAAATGACTTAGACACTTTAAAAATAACATAGTCAAAAGATCAATGAGCACATTCTATTCTCACTCTAGTAGTCCACAAGGAAACCCAAATCAAAACCATATTTTATAACGCCCTCTCCCACAATAGCAGTAGCAGGAGCCAGTGAAATTGTGGAGAAATGGAAACCTTAAAACTAACAGAAAGAATGCACAACCATAGAGGAAAACTAATTTACATTTACTTAAATGAAGATAAGGATTCACTGTGTTAGAGAAATTCCACTCCTCAGTGTATACTCAATATGCATGTATATGTGCATCAAAAGACATACAAATCAAGTACAAAACATTATTGTTTATATTATCCCTAAGCAGAAAACATGCCTGAAGAATGAAACTGCACTGCAAACTAAATAGCAACAAAATGAAGAAACTACATGAACACACAAAATCATAGATGGGAACTCAACACAAAATTGAACAAAATAATTCACATTTAGAATTCCATTCCATTCTGTAGCCAGGTGGAACAGCTCCATCGAGCAACTGAGGTTACTGGAGTGCTCCTAAAATATCTTCAGAGGGAAAGAACCAAGAGTGGACAAAGGAAAGACACAGAAGCTAGGCTCAAGGGAGAGACAGGAGGGAACCCAGCATGTGGCTGCTGTACACCAGAACTCATTCGTGATTCCCAACTGCTTCAGGGGCAACAGATGAGCTGAACTGGCAAGGAGTAATATATTCTCACCACAGGCCTCTGGAACCCTGGTAGGGGGAGACCCCTCAACCACAACAGACACTCAATTTGGCAGGGAAAGCTGCTTAAAGAAGTGGTAGGGGCTGCAAGCCAGCTGATGTGGAGCCCAGAGGGTTTGGTGCTGGAGCACCTATAGCAGAGCATGGCCACAGAAAGCCATTCCTCCATGGTTGACTTGCTTCCATAGGAGACTTTAGCCCTAGGAAAATTTTCAGACATAAACTCTGCAGGGCAGTCTCGCCCATCAGACGGGGCTGGTCTGACCTGAGCACTCATTGGTCTGCTGCCTCTTCTGGTGCCCCACCCTGGACACATCTGCTTTCAGGCAGCCTTGGGTGTCCTGGGGGCCACACCATAGCCTCTGCACTGGTGGACCATGCCTGACTGGTAGAAAGCTCCAGGCGGGCAGCCACTATGGCCACACACCAGTGCACATGCTCTGTCCCCATACTGCAGCTTCCCCCAGGGCTGCCCTGCTTCACTTTGCTGGTGTGTGTTTGTGCCACTGTTTACTTTTCTTGCCTCACCAGCTCTCTGGAATGCAGTTCATCCCCCTCTCCCTACCGACCACCATTGAAGGGCACAGAGCCAGCAAGGCCCTCCCCAACCAGCACTCTCCCCTTGTGCTAACACTGAACAGACAACAGCATATCCTCCCCTGCTCTAAGCAATCACTCCTGATTGCAGGACATGGAGAAGACATCCAAACCTGTGTCTGCCCGTGCCTCACCCCTAAATCATCACCACTTCTAGTGTGGCTACATACACAGTCGAAGCAGCCCACCGCTCCCCCACCCCCCCCGCCGCCCCCAGTTGTATTTCTTCTGCCACTGTAGTGATTTCCCACAGGGAGGAAGGAACCTCAGCACATGCTAGCACTCTACCACAGCTGCTGTTGCCATTGCTACTGGTACGTGTAAATGAGGATGGATCTCCAGTCACCTCATTGCAAAACACTTTGGCTGACACCACCCATTGGAGTGGCCAGTGGTCTGAGAGCACCACTGGAGTGACCACTGGAGTGACCAGTTATCTGGGAGCACTTAAGCCCACCAAGCACAGTGGATTCCTAACCTCGAAGAGCCAGAAGACGAAGTCAGGTCTCAATAAAAGTCCTCCAGAGCTAGAGCATGCAGTCTTGATGTGGGGAGCTGAGCGTGGTTCCCCTAAAATCTTCCAGAAATGAGGCCAGTTGGTCGAATCTACTTATACCACAATCAAACTCTCAAGGTCATCAAATAGGAAAAAAAAAATCCAAAGGCCAGCAACTTCAAAGATTGAAGGTAGATAAGCCCACAAAGATGAGAAAGAATCAGCACAAAAACCCTGACAACTAAAGAGCCAGAGTACCTTCCTTCCCCCAAATGACTTTATCACCTCTCCAGAAAGGGTTCTGAATTGGACTGAGGTGGCCGAAATGACAGAAGTAGAATTCAGAGTATGGATAAGAACAAAGGTCACTGAGCTGTGGGAGTGCATTGAATCCCAATCCAAGGAAGCAAAAAATCATAATAAAACAATGCAGGAGCTGACAGATGAGCCAGCCAGAATAGAAAATAATGTAACCAAATTGGTAGAGCTGAAATCACACTATAATAATTTTATAATGCAATAAGTATTAATAACAGAAAAGATTATGCAGAGAAAAGACTCAGAGCTTGAAGACTGACTTCCTGAAATAAGACAGTCAGACAAGAGTAAAGAAAAAAGAAAGAAAAATCATGAAAAAAAAACTTCCAATAAATATGGTTTTATGTAAGGAGATCAAATCTACAACTCACTGTTGTACCTGAAAATGATGGGGAGAATGGAACTAACTTGGAAAACATATTTCAGGGTATCATCCATGAGAACTTCTCCAACCTAACTAGAGAGGCAAACATTCAAATTCAGTAAATGCAGAAAACTCCAGTAAGATACTTCACACGATGATCATCCCCAAGACACATATTCATCAGATTCTCCAAGGTGGAAATGAAAGAAAGATGTTAAACTCAGGTAGAGAGAAAAGTCAGGTCACATATAAAGGGAAACCCATCAGACTAACAGCAGATCTTTCAGCAGAAATTGTACAAGCCAGAAAACATGGGGGGGTGTCGATATTCAACATTCTTAAGTAAAAGAAATTCCAACCCAGAATTTCATATTCAGCTAAACTAGGCTTCATAAGCAAAGGATAAATAAAATCCTTCTCAGGCAAGCAAATTCTGAGGGAATTTGTTACCACCAGACCTGCCTTACAAGACCTTCTGAACAAAGTACTAAATATGGAAATGAAATACCATTACCAGCCACTATAAAAACACACTGAAGTCCACAGACCACTGACACTATAAAGCAACCATGTAAACAAGTCTGCAAAATAACCATCTAACATCATGATGGTAGGATCAAATCTACACATATCAATACTAACCTTGAATGTAAATGGGCTAACTGCTTCAATTAAAAGACAGAGTGGCAACTAGATAAAGAACCAAGACCTATTGTTATGCTGTCTTCAGGAGACTCATCTTACATGAAATGACACACATAAGCTCAAAATAAAGGGATGCAGAAAAATCTACCAAGCAAATGGAAAACAAAAAAGCAGGGGTTGGAATCATAGTTTCAGACAAAACAGACTTTAAGCCAAGAAAGATCAAAAAAGACGAAGAAGGGAATTACATAATGGTAAAGGGTTCAATACAAAAAGAAGATCTAACTATCCTAAATATGTATGTACCCAACACAGGAGTACCCAGATTCACATTGCAAGTTTTTAGAGACCTTCAAATTGACTTAGACTCCCACACAATAATATCTGGAGATTTTAACAGGCCACTGATGATATTAGGACCTGAACTCAGCACTGTATCAAATGAACCTGATAGATAGCTACACAACTTTCCACCCAAAAACAACAGAATATACATTCTTCTCATCTCCATATGGTACATACTCTAAAATCAATCACATAATTGGAAGTAAAACACTCCTCAGCAATTTCAAAAAAACTGAAATAATAACAAACAATCACTCAGACCACAGCACAATCAAATTAGAAATCAAGGCTAAGATATTCATTCAAAATCATTCCATTACATGGAAATTGAGTGATCTGATCCTGAATGACTCCTGGGTAAAAAATTAAATTAAGGCAGATATCAAGAAGTTCTTTGAAACTAAGGAGAACAAAGATACAACATACCAGAATCTCTGGAACACAGCTAAGACAGTGTTAAGAGGGAAATTTATGGCTCTGAATGGCCATATCAAAAAGAACGATCTTAATTTAACAACTTAACACCACAACTAAAAGAGCTAAATAACCAAGAGCAAACAAATCCCAAAGCTAGCAGAAGACAAGAAATAGCCAAATTTAGAACTGAACTAAATGAGACTGAGACACAAAAATCTATTCAAAAGACCAACAAATTCAGGAGCCAGGTTTTGAAATTTTTTGAAAAAAAAAAATAGACCACTAGCTAGCTAGACTAATAATAACAAAAGAGAGAAGATTCAAATCAACACAATCAGAAATGATAAGGGGGGTATTATCACTACCTCACAGAAATACAACCATCAGAGAATGAGAATACTATAATACCTCTAGGCATATAAACTAGAAAAAATTAGAAGAAATGGATAAATTCCTGAACACATACAATAATGACACCAATAAGGAGACAAATAATGAGCTCTGAAATTGAACCCATAATAAATAACTTACCAACGAAAAAAAGCCTGGGACTAGACAAATTCCTTCTGGATTTTACCAGATGTACAAAGAAGAGCTGGTATTATTGCTGCTGAAACTGTTCCAAAACATTGAGGAGGAGGGATGCTTCCTTAACTCATTCTACAGGGCCAGCATCATCCTGATAAGAAAACCTGACAGAGCCACAACAACAAAAAAGAAAACTTCAGGCCAATATTCTTCATGAATGCAGATGCAAAAATCCTCAACAATATACTGATTCCAGCAGCACACTGAAAAGCGTACCCATCACAATCAAGTAATCTGGAATGCAAGTTTGTTCCAGCATACACAAATCAATAAATGAAATTAATTACATCAACCGAACTAAAGGCAAAAACCACATGATTTTCTCAAAATAATAAGAGCCATATATGACAAACCCACAGCCAGCATCATACTGAATGGGCAAAAGCTAGAAGCATTCCCCTTGAAAACCAGCACAAGACAAGGATACCTTCTCTCACCACTCTTATTCAGTATAGTACTATAAGTCCTGGAAAGGACAATTGGATAAGAGACATCCAAATAAAGGACATCCAAATAAGAAGAGAGAAAGTCAAACTATCCCTTTTTGCAGACAATATAATCCTATATATAAAAAACCCCATTGTCTCAGCCAAAAAGTTCCTTAATCCAATAAACAACTTCAGCAAAGTCTGAGGATACAAAATCAATGTGCAGAAATCACTAACATTCCCATATACCATCAACAGTCAAGCTGAGAGCCAAATCAGGAATGCAATCCCATTCACAGTCCTCACAAATGCACAAAAATATGTAGAAATACAGCTAACCAGGGAGGTGAAAGATCTCTACAAGGCAACTGCAAAACACTGTTCAAAGAAATCAGAGATGACACACAAACAAATGAAAAAAACATCCCATGCTCATGGAGAGGAGGAATCGATATTTTCAAAATGGCCATACTGCCAAAAGTAATTTGTAGACTGAATGCTATTCCTATGAAACTGCCGTTGACATTCTTCACAGAACCAGAAAAATACCATTTTAAAATTCATATGTAACTAAACAAGACCCTGAATGGCCAAGACAATCCTAAGCAAAAAGAACAAAACTGCAGGTGTCATGCTACCTGACTTCAAACTATAGTACAGGCTACAGTAGCCAAAACAGCATGGTACTGGTACAAAAAAGAGATACGTAAAGCTCAATGGAAGAGAGTAGAGAACTCAGAAATAAGTCTGCATACCTACAACTATCTGATCTTTGACAATCCTGACAAAAACAAGCAATTGGGAAATGACTCCCTATTCTATAAACAGAGCTGGGATAACTGGTCAGCCATATGCAGAAAATTGAAACTGGACCCATTTTTACGCCTTATATGAAAATCAGTTCAAGATGGATTAAAGGCTGAAATGTGAAACTGCAAACTATAAAAACCCTAAGAAGAAAACCTAGGCAATACCACTCAGGACTAAGATGTGGGCAAATATTTCTCGCCAAAGATAACAAAAACTATTTGCAATAAAAGCAAAAATTGGAAAATGGGATCTAATTAAAAACTAAAGAGCTTCTGCATAACAAAGGAAACTAGCAACAGAGTAAGCAACCTACCAAATAGGAGAAAATGTTTGCAAACTATCCATCTGACAAAGGTCTAACATCCAGCATCTGTAAGGAACTTAAACAATTTACATGAAAAAAAAACAAACAACCTCATTAAAATGTGGGCAAAGGACATTAACAGACACTTTTCTAAAGAAGGCATACATGCGACCAACAAGCATATGAAAAGAAACTCAACATCACTAATCATTAGAGAAATGCAAATCAAAACCAGAGTGAGATGCTGTCTCACACCAGTCAGAATGGCTGATTAAAAAGTCAAAAAATAACAGATGTTGGTGAGGTGGTGGAGAAAAAAGAATGCTTATACACTGCTGGTGGGAGTGTGAATTAGTTCAACCATTGTGGAAGACAGTGTGGAGATTCCTCAAAAATCTAAAGACAGAAATACCATTAGACCCAGGAATCCCATTACTGAGCATATACTCAGAAGAATATAAATTGTTCTATTATAAAGACACATGCACACATATGTTCTTTGCAGCACTATTCAAAATAGCAAAGACATGGAATTAACCTAAATGCCCATCAGTGGTAGACTGCATAAAGAAAATATGGTACATAGACAACTTGGAATACTATGCAGCCATAAAAAAGAATGATATCATCTCATTTGCAGGAACATGGATGGAGCTGGGGGCCATTATCCTTAACAAACTAACACAGGAAGAGAAAATCAAATAATGCATGTTCTCACTTATAAGTGGGAACTAAATGATGAGAACACATGGACACATAGAGGGGAAGAACACACACTGCGGCCTATTATGGGTGGAGGGTGGGAGGAGGAAGAAGATCAAGAAAAATAACTGATGGGTACTAGGCTTAATACCTCAGTGACAAAATAATCTGTACAGCAAACCCCCATGACACAAGTTTACCTAAATAAAAAACCTGCACATGTACTTCTGAACTTAAAATAAAAGTTAAATTTTTAAAATCTAAAAAAAATAAAGAATTTCATTTATACAAATGCAAACTATAGGACTAATTAAACCATAGTGTTTAGGGATACATGCTTATTTGGTAATAGTATTTAAAAATCAAATAATTATGATTAAAAGTAAGAACAATGTTTACTTTGAGAACGAAGTATGAAATAATGAGTGAAAAGGATATTTTGGTAGCTCCAGATCCTGGTACTCCATTACATCCTCATCTTGATGTTGCTTACATAGATGTTATGTTTTATCATACGTCGTTAAGCAGTGATATCAAAAACACTAACCATCTAGAAATAAATCTGACAAAAGATACACAAAAAAGTTATCACCCATTATTTAGATATAGCAGCACAGAAAACTATTAACCATTGTTGAGATATACTGTTTATGAATTAAATGAATTAATGTAGAGATATCAGCTCACACATAGAATCAATATGTTCTTAATTAAATGAGAACATTTAATTAAGTAGTAGAAATGAGTAAATTTCTCTTAGTAGAAATGAGAAAAATACTAATGTCGAAGAATAGCCAGGACACATTTACAGAAGTACAAAGTTGTCAGAAAGTATTATATTAAAGCTTGTTACTAATTCCAGGAGGTTTTGGGAGATTCTTTGATTTTTCTACATAGACTGTAATGTCATCTGAGCATAAAGACAATTTTGATACTTCATTTCTAATCTGTGTAAGTTTTATTGCTTTTTCTAATCTTATTATTCTAGTTATAATTTTGGTACAAGGTGAATAACAGCAGAGAGATATAACATGCTTGCCTTTTTCTTAACCTTAGGGAAAAAGAGCCCAGTGTCTCACAATTATGATGTTAGCTATAAGTTGTTTTAAACATTATTTACCAACTTGATAAAGTTGTCCTCTATTTCTTGTTTGCTGAGATTATTTTTTTTTTAACATGAATGGTGTTGGACTATGTCATATACCTTTTTTACCGTGGTTGTTATAATCATCTGATTTCCCTTCTTTATCCTTTTCGTCCTTTAATGTGGTATATTATTGTATTGATTGATTGATTCTTTTTGTTTGTATTTTTTTTTTTAAGATGAGATTTTCCTATGTTGCCTGAGCTGGTCTTGAATTCCTGGGCTCAATAGATCCTCCCACCTCAGCCTACCAAATTTCTGGGACTATAGGCTTGTGGCAATGTGCCCAATTTTGTATTGATTGATGCTGAATGTTGAACTAGCCTTGATTATCTCAGATAAATCCCATTTGGTGGTGTTATATAATTCTTAAGATAAAAAATTATAAGAAAGCTACATTAGTTAAGATTATATAGTATTAGTAGAAAGATAAACAAATCGATGAATGAAATAAAGGAGATAACCCAGAAACGGGCTCATGCAAACATCTGCACTTGACCTGTTAGAAAAAGTGTCAATGCAGAAAAGTGTCTTCAATAAGTTGACTTGTAAAACTTAGAGAGCTGTGTGGGAAAATTGATGCCTGTACCACACCACTGACAAAAAAGACAACTTTTAAGCAGCTATTATTAATACATATAAATTAAGAGGAAAAATAGCAACTAGAATACAATATAGAAAAGCGTTTTTTTTTCGGTTGTAAATTTTGAGTAATTTTAGCACTACTGAATTATTTTAATAATCTTGGCAAAAAATTTTGCCAAAAGCATATAATTTTGACTTGAATTTTACCTCAGCAAGTAAATAACAGCTTTGCTGAAAGCCAACCTGTGATGCTCAGAAAAGACTACATCAGAAGCATATTCACAGTATAACAAACACAAGGTCACTCGGCAACCACACAAATGACTAAATATCTTCCTCTCTGACAAACATGGATTATTACTACTCCTTTATCAATGACTATAGTTCTAAATTTATCTTCTTGCCTTATAAATAAAACTTTAAGACATCTAATCACTGAATCTTCTCTATTTTTTGAAGGCGTCTACTTGATAATAATCTCGCCTTACTTAATCCTGTTCAAAAGTCCTCTACACAGGTTTAAACATTAGAAGAGGTCTCTGTATTCAATTTTCTTGAGACAATCTCTGTTCCTCTAGGTATATATTTTCTTTGCTACAACAAACTAAAAAAACCTAACTTCATTTAAACAAAGATATGCTCCATGTCACCTTTACTTGCCTTTCACAACCAAAGAGAAATGTGACAGAATGTTTGGGCAACTTCCCACTGCACTGTAAGTGGTTATTAGACGGTGTAATTATTGAAAATTTGTACATTTTCAATTTCAAGATATATATTATTACAGTTTAAAATAGTGCTTTATATTTCTTTCCAAAAACAATGTTAGGTAGTTTATTGTAGTAATTACTTAGTGATTTATTCAATGTTTAAAATATTAAGTTTATTTCCCAATCCTAAAATAAGTTAAGCTTTTAAAAGGCACATTTTTATGACTTAAAAATGTTTGAATTAACAAGAAAACCCATGCCTACAAAATTACAGATACATATTTAGAATACAATTTGTTGTAATTACATGTCTCCTTAGGGAGAACATGTGTATGCTACAAGAGTGTGTTGGCAATCATTTTCAGTGTTCTGATTATACCCTTTATGATCTGCCTTCTTAATTCGAAGGGCAGGCACATTTTTTCTTACCATGTTAATTAGTTTCTCTTCAATGATCCAGATGTTTTGTTTATGTAATTTATTCCTTCCTGTTGATTTTTTAGTAATGAGATTAATCTGTCTGATTCCCCTCTTTCTAGCTCAATATTATGCTTCTATAATCATTCCCTTTAAAATGGGAGCAAAGACCTCAATCAACCAGTTTGTCTCTTCTTAAAACATTGAAAGGTTTTCTTTTTTATGGAAAGATTACTGGGAATATTTTTTAAAGTTTTTACATTATCCTTGTTTTACAATTTTACTACAAAAATCATAAATCAAAAAAACACGCAAACAATGCATAGAACTATTACAGCAAAAAATAGAATTCAGCATTATATGGGATGTAGTTAAACAGTGATGTAAAAATATATCACCAACTAAAATGTATATATTTCTTCCATTACAAGTCAAGAACAAGCCTCCATTCATTAATTGCTGCCCCAGTCTTCTTTCATTATAGATTTTCATCTTAGCCACATTTCACAGATATTCCCATGCCCATAGATGAGTGAGCTAAATTCAAGTTTCAACCCAATGCACACTTCAGCAGTGATTTCCAATGTATATGTAGAGGTAGGTTAGTTTCAGTTAATTTCTTAGTCTAAGATTAATAATGGGAATATACACAAATTATTTCTAAATCTAAATAACTGTCAAACAATTAGAAGTAATTTGGGTTGAAATATGCCCCTTAAAATTTTCCAAGATGTACAACTCTCTAGATTGGCATACCAAGCAACCCTCAATCCATATCCCTTTGATAATCAATATTCTATATTTAACCTTATAATGAAATTATTTTATTTTCTCAAATTAAAGCTAGTTTAAAGGAAAAAATTAGAAAAAAAAAGATTAGGAACTCATTAAATATTCCCTATTTCTGTGTTTTCAAATATAATGTATTTATAACACAAGCATTGGACTTATTTTTTTATCTCCAAAAGATTTTATTTCTTCAATTACATTATAATGATCATTATTCTATAATGAATTTAAATATTTAATAGGGATATAATAATTGATAACTCTTGTTTTTTTTTATACTATCCTTAGCTGTTGCATTCAGTATGTTTTTTTTCCAGAGAAAATGTTGGATCATTTTTCATCTAGTTCTCAAAAATATTTCTTGTGATTTTGATAATAGAATGTAAAACTTATTAGTCAATGGGAAAAGAAAATAATATATAATTATATTTTGTGATACATATACTGTACCATATATTACATACAATAATATTTATTTTATTATATATTGTCATATGTTATACATCATATGTTATGCTTCATATATTAAACATACATTGCTCTCTGTTTTAGTGTTTTCCAAAGAAGTAGTATAAATAAGATGTAGATAGATACATACTAGAATTCATACATATATAGATTTATTATAAGGAATTGGCTTATGCAGTTAGAGAGACAGACAAGTCCCAAAATCAACAGTTGGCAAGCTGGAGTCCCTGGAAATCCAATGATGAAGTTTCAGTTCAAAGACCAGAAAAAACTGATATTCTCTCTTGAAGGCAGTCATGCAGGAGGGATTCCCTCTCAACTGGGGGAAGGCCAGCCTTTTGTTCATTCAAGGCCTTCAGCGTACTGAATTAGGCCCACTCATATTAATGGGAATATACACTATATATATATATGTATAAAATATATATATATGTATTTTACATATATATATATATATATATATATTTTTTTTTTTTTTGATGGAGTCTCACTCTGTAGCCAGGGTGGAAGGCAGTGTCGCAACCTCTGCCTCCCGGGTTCAAGCAATTCCCCTGCCTCAGACTCCCAAGTAGCTGGGATTACAGCCATGTGCCACCACACCCAGCTAAGTTTTGTATTTTTAGTAGAGACAGGGTTTCACCGTGTTGGCCAGGATGGTCTCAAACTCCTGACCTCGTGATCCACCCGCCTCGCCCTCCCAAAGTGCTAAGATTACAGGCGTGAGCCACCGTGCCTGGCCAAGTATTTCTAAATAAAAATATCTGTCAAATGATTAGAAGTAATTTGGGTTGAAATATGTCCTAAAAGTTTCCAAGATGTAAGCCTCTCTAGATTGGCCTAACAAGCCATAGTACTTTACTCAGTCTATTTATTTAAATGTTAAACTCACCCAAAAAACACTCACAAAAACTGCCAGAATAATGATTGACCATAATATCTGGCCACTCTGTAGCCCAGTCAAATTGACACATAAAGTAAGCCTTTACAATTGCAATTTAGGACCATGTTCTATTTATCACATAATCATCAATTTCATAAATATACCTATTTATTTCCTTTTCTATTTCTCTCTCTCCCTGAAACACAAAGATAACAATTCAATATATTCTCCTGATTTGATATTGCTATTTTAATTTCACACACACACATATAATAGAAGAAGTCGAACAATAATTAAATTCTGCATGCATGTGTGTGAAAGACAGAGAGAGTGATTGGGAGTAAGTAGAGTCACTGTGATGCTTAATTGTATGTTTCTTCTTTACTAGGCTATGGCTTTAAACTATTTGGTGAAACACTGGAAATTATATGTTGCTATGAAGATAAATGGATGTAATTAACATTTATAATAGGTTAACCTTAAGTAAAGCAGATTAGTCCTACATGAGTAGGACTCACATAATCAGTCGAAGGCCTTCAGAGCAAAAACTCAAGATCCCCAGATAAAGAATTATGTTTCAAGGTTGTGACATAAAAATCTTGCTTGTGTTTCCGGTCTACTGGCCTGGCCTGCCTTATGTATTATAGACTCAAGACTGCAACAGCACTATTGCTTGAATCTCCCCGCTGAAGGCCAGCATTACAAATTTCAAACTTGCCAACTTCCACAATTAAATCAGCACATTCTTTAAAATAAATGTCGCTGATACTCCACCCCATCAGTACCCTAATGCTCAGTGCAAACACAGACTAAACATTTAGAGTTCTGTTTCTGCCAGTTTATTATTTTAGAGCAAGGTAGCACAAGGGAATTTTGGCTATTTGCAAAGAAGTATTTTAAGAAGGTAGACCATATACTTTACACTTGAAACAGCAAGAAAATTAGAGTTGTATAAACAGACAAATATTCTAGGAGTTTAAGAGATCAAGCAATCACGACACCAAGGGTTAGAAGAGATATACATGTGAGCATGCACTATAGTTACATCTATCACTTCTGTATGTTATGGATTCTGAATTTCTTTTTTTCTGTAGGGAGACCTCCACATACATAGTCTTAAAACTATTATCTCATACCCTCTGCTTTTTAATTTAATATTTGATATTTTTCGACATTAATTATATCTCAAATTTAGTTTTACATATGATATGACATAGTGATCTAACACACTTTTTTTCTAAGCAGATTTAAACTCTTTGAAAAAGTGCATTTATTTCAATATTGACTATGTATTACCTAACAAATTATTTAAATACATGTGCATTTGTTCTTTAGAAATAATATACATTGTTTAGAAAGGAAAGAATTATTATTAGAAAAATGTAAATACTTCTTTTAGCATATCTACTTATTTTATGAGAAAGTCACGTTATTATGTTATTTTCTATTGGTTAGAACTTTTTACCTGCTCCCTTGCAAGTGACATTAGTTGAATTATACTTTTTTTGTTTGTTTGTTTTTTTGTTTTTTTTGATGGAGTCTTGCTCTGTCGCCCAGGCTGGAGTGCAGTGGCGCAATCTTGGCTCACTGCAGGCTCCGCCTCCCAGGTTCATGCCGTTCTCCAGTTTCAGCCTCCCAAATAGCTGGGATTACAGGTGCCCGCCACCACGCCCAGCTAATTTTTTTGTATTTTTAGTAGAGACGGGGTTTCACTGTGTTAGCTAGGATGGTCTCGATCTCCTGACCTCATGATCCACCCGCCTCAGCCTCCCAAAGTGCTGGGATTACAGGCTTGAGCCACAGCTCCTGGCCCGAATTATACTTTTAATGGAAATAGACATCTAAGAATCCTGCCTTTCAAAGTTGATAATAAACTCTTGTTTGTAAAATAATATTTATAATTAAATTTTAGTTTAAATGGTTTGAACTTACAAGAACATTTTAATTCTCCTTTTTCAAAAGTTGAATTATTTTGTACCATATCACAAGCACAACTTTCCCGAAGAGAATAGCGAGCAAATTCAGTTAATGTAAAAATTAAACAGCCAACCCAACAAATAAAATATACATGAAGGCAACAGAGAGCTTTTAAGGCAATCAGGACATGAAAGAACACAATTCCAAGGAAACAGGATTTGTGCTGAAATTTGGCGTGACATTCTGCAGCAACTATTATCCTCAGGACATTTCCCAATTCTGAGAAGAGAGTCTTCTATAAAAAGCATTTGAAAAAAAATCTTGTGGACATCTTTCAGACCTAAGAGACAGTCATCTCTTGAGACACTTGAATCACAGTGTAGTTTAACGGCAGATCAGAGTGAAAGAACACCCTAGGCTTTCAGATGGAGCCTCTAGAAGGCTGTGCTCTAGGACCAGAGGTGAACAAGAAAAACTGGAGTCTTATCCAAAGTGTGATCTAACTTTTAGTCATTATGGTCCCAAATTGAATTAAAGTGATTAGTCACTCTATCTTACTAGCAAAAGTAAAAGTGAATTCTCTATACAGGAAAAAAAAAAATCCCCGGAGACTATAAAATTCCACACCAGTCCTGGCATTCATTAAAAATTATCCTACCCCTTGCATGAGTGAACAAAAGCTGACTTAAAGCCAACAAACAAACAAATGAATCAACAAAACTACACAGTTAACCTAGACTTTGGAATTTTTAGACACATGCGGCTGCAGTTAACATGTATAATAAATAGGGAAAATAAGTGAAATAGAAACAAAGTTGGATGATAGCCTAGGATAATTGAAATATGCAAAAACAAATTCAGATACACATTGCAATATACAACATATAAAAAAACAAAAAGTAAGTGCTCAATTGATAAATTTAACAGCAAGTTCTAACAAAAGAAAATATAAACAAAGATCAAGAAAATATCTGGATAGAAACACAGATAGGTAAAGGATACTACTAGGAAAAAAAAGACATGGGACGGAGTAAAAAAAATCTTAAATATTGGTACTTGAAGTCTCAGAAGAAGAAAAAGAGAGAGGGTTCAGAGAGGTACAGAGAGAGCCTGAAGTAGTAATTAAGAAGAGAGTGGCTACAAACTGCAAAATTCACAAATAGACAAGTATGTTCAAGAAGCTGTGCAAACGTTGAGCACAATAAATATAATAAAAACCAGAGACAAGGAGAAGTAGCTTCCAAAAGGTCAAAAAAATATTGGCACCGTTAAAGAAACAAAAATGAAATTTAAAGATAAAATTAGAAATGTCAAAATTCAGTTAATAGACGTCCTTGCTGTTATTAAAAGGAATAACTGCCAAACTAGAATTGTATACCCAGCAAAATAACCCTTCAAAATAATGTTTTCTGCTAACCACAAGCTGAAAGCCTTCAGCACCAACTGACGTGCACAAAGAAAAAATTCAAAGAGAGTCCTTTAGAAAAAAGAAAAATAATCTCAGGCCAATGCATGGGGATGCAAGAAGAAATGAAGAGCAACTAAAAGGTAAATATAATTGTAAATGTAAATAAATATTGACTTTAAAGAAATTGTTACTAAGATTGATAATATCATGTTGGAATTAATGTAAATGCAGAATTAAAGAATGTGGTGATGTTAGGGAGATAGTGAAAGTGATAATATTAGATTTTAACAAATCAAAAATGATTCTCTTTAGGGTAAATAAATAAAAGTAAAAAGTAAAAAACCTGTCAACATAAAAAAGGGACATAATTTTTAGTAATGACAATAAGAATGTCAACCTTATATGTCCCTCAACAATGGCTATAAGTTTTAAATAATTGAAGTATATCCATGACTTCTTTGCTCCTAATAATTAATACCTATAGCAATCTGTATAGGGATTAAATTTTGTATCTACAGCTAATTAGACTTTTGTATTAACGTGTTTTATTAGACAATTTTGAATGTGCATGTGTGATAATCACTTTCATTTTATCACATATAACATCTATTAAATAATTTTTCTCCTGAAGTCTATTTTAATAAAAAAAATTATCTTTTGATCCAACAGGTTCACATTTTACATTTTTTAAGCCTTACTATTAACTTTAATAAATGAATAGCTTAAACTGTTCCTATTATCACAAGTTTTCAGAAAATCTGACAGTTGATAACTAGAGGGAGATTATATTAATTTACTTGCCATAGGCTTTTGATATAACTATTTCTTGAGCATTTTATGTTTTATTAAAGGAAGGAAAGGCAAAACTGAATAATGGGGCTTTTATTAGTTTTTACTTCAAGGCCAATGACAGACTCCTGTGGTAATTTCTTCTGATTTTAAAAACTAATACAACTTCACTTGAATTTTCCCCTAGGAATATTATATTTTTGATATTGAGCAATACCAAATTTGCTATATTATACTGTATAAATTTGTCTGATTACCTCCCCACAGAAATAAAATTAGTATTATTCAAGAGCTTCTTTTTTTTTTTTTTTTTTTTTTTTTTTCTGAGACGGAGTCTTGCTGTGTTGCCCAGGCTGGAGTACAGTGGCGCGATCTCGGCTCAGTGCAAGCTCCGCCTCCTGGGTTCACGCCATTCTCCTGCCTCAGCCTCCTAAGTAGCTGGGACTACAAGCGCCCGCCACCACGCCCGGCTAATTTTTTGTACTTTTAGTAGAGACGGGGTTTCACCGCGTTAGCCAGGATGGTCTTGGTCCCCTGACCTCGTGATCTGCCCGCCTCGGCCTCCCAAAGTGCTGGGATTACAGGCGTGAGCCACCGCGTCCAGCCTCAAGAGCTTCTTAACAGTTCTTAATAAATAATGTTATTATCAAACAAGGTTAGTATTATATGATACATATATTATACATACATATTATATGATACATACGGGAGTTTGATGTAAAAAAATATGCTATTAGAGTATAGGATTTCTCTTCATTAACTTGAAGTAAAACATTGCTAGTGTAGTTTGTGGTGCCACAAGTATGCCTCAAACTGACTCTTTACATATTTTTGAAATAAAGTGGCAAAATATCTGCTATGACTCCATAAAAGCTTAAATTACAAGTTTAGATCTTGGGGTTCAGGGCTTAATATTTGTTAAGAATCTACTATTTTCTTTCTGAATTTAGACAAGAAATTTCCACACATCTTTGACATTTAATCCACATCAAAATACATTCTTGAATGTAATGACTTTCTAAACATATTAAAATGTTTTATTTCATGTGTAACATGAGTAAGAAACAAAAATTGGTACTTCAAAAAAGATGTCATTTTCAAGTGAATTTAAGTGCCCTAGCACTATGTCTAGTTTGCCGAGTAGCAAGATGATTCTAAGAAAATGGGAAAAATCAACTTGTAGAATTAAGATTATAAACAGTAGTAGAACCAGACTAGTAAGTGTTAAGAGCAGAATGCCAAAAATAGTTAATATCTGTAGAACTTCCACAAACAACCATGTTACTTAAAATATGGGAAATTTAATTGTGTAAATATCCGTGCACAAAATTAGGCCCGCTTAGGCCTGGTTTGTTGATACATTACTTTTTAAATCATTTTTCTAGACTGTAAGTTCTTCTGCTTCTAGGAAGAATGTAGTTCGGAACAGTAGACCAATGGTCAAACCGACCAAATATTCTAATTATTATAGAAAAATATTTGTCAGAATGAAAGTAAGCCATAGTGTAAATATATGTTTCCCAACAACAAGAATGACATATAAGTTCAAGTATGGAAATTTATGTAGCATGCAAAAATTTACCAGGAGAAAGCTGGTAGCTATTCTAATAGTAAATGAAGAAGACGTAAAAACAAGAAGCATTACCTTAGTAAAGATGACATCTCTCATTATAAAGTCTCAATTCACGCATAAGATAAAATTTCAAAAACTAGATATTGGTGGATAAAATTACATGTGTATACAAAATCATATAAATATATTAATACTTAAAAATGTTAATATGTACATGAATATATATATTTCTGCATATATTGTAAAGATGTACATATATGGATGTTTATTTATAATTAACCCCTCCCAGTGACTTGTGGAGAAAAAAAAATGACAAATTTGAGCCAATAGCAGCAATAAGTACAGAAAATGTAAACAATGTGAATATTCCAATAATTATAGAAAAATAGTCGCAGAATGAAAGTAAACCTTAGTAAGTATATGTGTCTTAACAACAGGAGTGACATGTAAGTTCAAGTATGGAAAATTATGTAACATGCAAAAATGTATCAGGAGAAAGCTGGTATAGCTCTTCTCATAGTAAATGAAGACGACAAATACAAGAAGCAGTACCTTAGTAAAGATGACATTTCTCATTATAATGTCTCAATTCATAAGTAAGATAAAATTATTTGATATCTATATATTCCCAATAATATAGCTTTATAAAGGGAAAATGGGTAGAACTAAAAGAAAATTAGAAAATTAAACTCCATTCATTGTTGTTAATTTTAATACATTTTTCTCATTAACATTAAAAAATCACTAATCTCCAATACACCTCCATTAGAATTTTTTTCTGGGGAAAATTAGTAATAAAACCTTCTAATAAATGTCATAAATATCTATGTTCAATCACACTATTACCCAAATTAAAGCCAGACCAAAATAGAAAATAGTTACCTCTGCTAAAAGTCATGACCTCCAGAAGACATTTTGAATAAAGCAATTATGTGCTCTGTTATTACTCAAAGTGCATTGTTACAAAGAATTAATTAGATAGTGGGAGCACATTGCTACTTATTTGACTACAAATTACTAGAGATATTGCAGATTTGAAAGGCATTATTGACCAAATTTGATCTAACAGCTAAATGAGATGACACCCAATAGCCACTGATTATATATTCATCTGAAAATAACTCCATGATAAGCCATAGAGCAAGTCTCAACAATTTTTAAAGTAATATTGTCATAAAGTGTATGTTCTCCAATCTTAATGAGAATTAAGCTAGAATCCAATAATAAGAAGATAACTATACTCTCTTCCCACCTATTTGGAATTTACATATGCATGGATAAAGAATAAATCACAATAGAATTTAGAAAATTATTAGAAATGAATTAAAATTATATTGAAAGCATGACATATCAAAACTTATGGAATACAGTTAATGCTGTTTCATATAACATCAAAGTTTCTATATAAAAATGATACTTAAAAGCCCCAGAAGTTTAAATCTAAATAAATTTTAAAAAGAATCTAGGTAAGAAGAGCAGAAATCAACATAAAAAAAGAAAAAAGAAAAAAAAGAGTAACAAAGAAAGCTAACAAAATCAAAATTGTTTTCTTTAGAAAGATTAATAAAACTTATGTCTCTATCAAAGTTGATAGAGGGAAAAATGCTGAGAAAGCACAAATAACTAACATGAAAAATAAAAAAAAATTACTCCAATACACTTCATAGAAACATGGGAAGAAAGAGATAATGTCATCTCTAGTTCAATAAAATTGAAAATTTAGACACCATGGAGCAGCCCTTCAAAATTCAACTTTCCAAACCTCAAATAAGAAGACATAGAACGTCAGAAAAATCTCATATATAATAAAAAATAAAATCCCTAAAAACCATCTATCCACAAAGAGAACCATAGATTTGATGGCTTTTATAGTGAACTTTCCAATTTCAGAAGGAAATAGCAACACTTTTCCAAAATGCTCAGAGATAAATTAAAATAAGAAAATACTTCTTGAACCACTATATGAATCCATACTAAAACCAGACAAAAATATAACTAAAAATGAAAATTGGCTGGGAGCAGTGGCTCATGCCTGTAATTTCAATAGTTTGGAAAACTAAAGAAAGAGGATTGCTTGATGCCAGGAGTTTGAGACCAGCCTGAGCAATATACCAAGCATCTATACAAAAAATAAAAAATCAGCCAAGCGTGGTGGCACACACCTTAGTCCTAGCTACTCAGGAGGCTGAGGTGGGAGGATTACTTGAGCCCAAGAGGTCGAGACTACAGTGAGCTATGATTGTGCCAATGGACTCCGGCCTGGGTGACTGATCAAGATCTTGTCTCTAATTAAAAAAAAAATAATGAAAACAGAGAGAAAACTATAGGCCAGTCTTTATAATAGGCACCCAAAATTTGTGTATTTGTGTGTGTGTGTGTGTGTGTGTGTGTGTGTGTCTGAAGACATAAATCTGTCATTACATTCAGATAGCAAGGTTATAATGATTGAAATATAGAAATTAAAAACTATAAGAATTAATAGGTAATTCTATCGTGGTTGCCGAATTTAAGATCACTATAAAATATACTTATATAAAAACAACCAGAAAACCCAGACTATGTATTAGAAGATGACAAACTCAAAAATATTGAAAGCAAGAATTCACACAAAAATAAAGAAGCAGAATATACATAAATTTAAACATAAATGTGGATTGGATAAAGTCACCTACTGGATCAAAAAAGAGTGGCTATGGGTTATATGTAAGATATTGATATAAAATTGTTACTTAGAGGTTTGAAATTATAAGAATGGTTGAAGACAGCATGATAATAGCATTTATAAAGCGAAGTTGTTTTATATAAATATCTGCCAAACTTAAATTCAGGGCAAGAAATATTAAATGAAAAACAAGATGGCACGCAATGTACAGTCCACAAGGATGATTTGATTTTATGAATGTTTAAATGCCAAAAAACATAATATGAAAATAAGTAACATAAAATCTACAGAGAGTGCACAAAGAAACAAATAGAAATGCAATATTAGAATATATTTCTACTTAACCCATTCAAATAGTTGTTCTGATAGAAAAACACTTAATAATAAAGATCCTGAATAAAATAATTATTTGTATTGATCTCATAGGTAAATTTTAGCTTTATTTTATATCAAAATAATGCTTATTTTTAGGGACACAAGGAAAACTGAACAAACATGGCCATACATTACACCAAAAACAAAATTTATTGTAGATTTCAAAAGGTAAAAGCAATACAGAAAAACACTTCTGAACACAGTGAATAAATACAAAAAAGAAACATTAAAATCAGTAGTAGACAAATATTAAAATGATCCAGAAATTAAAAACATATTGATAGCAATTTGTCTTTCAAATAACTTTAAGATGAAAAAGAAAAGCAAAACTAATAACTCAGTGTATCTAGAAAACAATAATAAAATTCAATGAGTAAATGTAATAAACAATGAAATACCACTACGTATCAACCAGAATATCCTATTTTATATAATATCTTATATATGTATACACAGAATGACTCAAGTGTAGCAGATTCAGGCACAATCTTTTTTGTATTGTCTTTTTTTAAGATCTATAATAATCTTTCCTTGAATCTATTTGCTTATTTTTAAATTATTCAACAAATATTATGTTCCAGGTGACATTTTATGTATTGAGAATACAGCAGTAAATAAGAAACACAGGATGTGTACATGTGGTGCGATGGGGGTGCAGGGACTGATCTGCAAACAGAAGTGAATGAACAAGATAGTACTGTGATGATTCATGCTAAAAAGAAAGGATGGAAGGTGAGGAGAGAGAGAAAAAAATTGGGGAAGAACAAGTGAGGGAAGGAGGGAAGGAAGGAGAAAGGATAAAAGGAAAAAAGAGAGAGAGAGCAAGCAAGTATTCCCATATTTATGTGATTTAGAACAATTGTCAAAAAGATTGGGTGTCTAATTTTGATTGGGCTGTCACAGAAGAAGCCATTTTGAGTTTGGACTTAAATCTCTGTAAGTAGCCAGGATGAGAATAGCTGGGGGCAGAGAATCACAGAAAGAGGGACAAGTGCAAAGGGCAAAGAAGAAAAATAAGATGAGATCGACCTGATTAACAATAGAAAGGTAGGTTATTTGTCAGAGCATGGTGTAGAGGGAGTCAGAACTAGCCAACACCACTCAGGAATTATCTTAGATAAAGTAAGAATTGAAAATATATAAACCTCTTTCATCCTTTTTAAGCTGTTTTTTCTTCTCCATCATATTTGATTCATAAAAATCACTTTGACTATCCAAGCAACTTTCCAACACACATTCTTACATCCAAAAGTACATTCTATAATTTCAAAACCACACAACCACGTATTTTACTTTTTTGTAATGTAATGGTGAAAATATGGTAAGGTATTGTGGTATGGTAAATGTAAAATATTTTAAGAATATAGTAAAGCCAGGTGTTATTATTAACTTAAAACCAAAATTTAAAAATTCATTTGGTCTACTTAAGTTTTTCGTAGTAGTCAAGGACATTCAATATCCCAATGTTGAGTTTCCTTTAAGAGAAATCACAATTACTGAAGGGACCCTCCATGAGAAATCATAAAATCTTTGCTGTGTAACATGGTACTTTTTTAAATGTTAACTCTCAGCTTCTTCTAATTAAGAAACTGAAATGACCGTACTAAGTCCCTCAGGAGGCTAATGCCTTTTCCACGTGACATTTCACGCCCAAGGAGATAAAACAGGGAGAGTGGACAAACAATAGCAGCTACTGCCTTGACTGGGAAATTACTTTGAGAAAGACTCATGCACTTGGTTGTATTTGATGGATTATCTATTCAGTATTTCATGACTTTCTTCATCTATAATTGACCAAGAAAGTGATGAGCTACAGATGGTCCAGGTTTTTTTTTTTATGGCACCGAGGTAGAATGCAACAGTGTGTTTGCTTTTGCACACCCAAGCAGTTAAGTTTCACAAGTAAAGCGTAAAAATAACTTCTGTGCATAGATAACACAGTTCATCTGTTAAAATACAGGGCAAAACTGAATACAAAGAGCCTTTTGGTTGAAAAAACAAGGAATTATAATGAATAATGTTGCTCCACTATAACAGATGTAGAACAATGACAGTCTGGCTGATACATGAACAGAAAAAAATGGCTTAAGAGGAAAAGCCACGGAGCTCTCTTTCTCTGTCTCTCTCTCACTGCTCATTTTAAGTGTACAGTTCAGTAGTGTTTATGTATGTTCACATTGTGAAGTGTACATTGTTGTAAACAGATCTTCAGAACTTTTTTCATCTTGCAAATCTGAAAAATCTATACCCCTTAAACAATTAACTCCCCCTTTTCTCCTTCCTCCAGCATTTTTATTATGACTGGGGCTTTGTTTACTGCATTTATTATTTAAGTCTAGATTTAAGAAACAAGCTTCCTAAAAAGTTAAACTTTGTTTTTTAAATCAAATGAAGTTAGAGTAATCCAATATTTACATTAAAGTTATGTGAAAACTTTTGAAACAAAATTTATATATATTTATATTTATGTTTGTCTCTAAGTCTTCAAATGCAGACATAGTGCTTTGGTAAGTTCATGGGTTTTTTTGATAAATTATTGAAGACAATTTATGAAGGTACTGGTTGATAAAAATAATGTTGAGAACTTGACCTCTCTGATTGATATAAGCCATGTACTTATTAGCATTTAAGCATTCAAGAAATAGTTCTTGTTTAAATGAATACGTAGATTATTATATAACCATTCAAATAGTGTTAATGATCCATTTACATTGTAAGGTAAAGCAGTGGGATACAAAAGTGCTTCAATTTTACTTTATGTAGCTTACGTGAAATCCACACCCTATGGAAATATATGAAGAAACATTAAATTTGGGTCAAGGATAACGTGGATTGGATACAGTCACTTACTACATCAAAAAAGGATAAGACACTGATATAAAATTGTGATTTAGAGGTTTGAAATTATAAGAATGATTGAAGAGTACAGGAAGTTCAAAATACCAAGAAAAAATGACTAGCAAAATAGCTATCTTAATTATTTTATTAAGTTAAATATAATTATTCAATTTTGTCTCATATCCTTTCTATCAAATATTTGAAATGAATAAGGCTTTTGGTTACTTTTAATTTGTATTAAATTATATTATATTTACATAAAAACATGTACTTTTGTATAAGAGCATAGAACATTTTTTAAAATAACCATTTCCTCTTTCACGACACTAGATACAATTACTCATACTGTCTTACAAGAATGTGTCCTTTCATTACTTGTTGAGAGCAGTGATAATTTTAGCTCATCTCTCTTGCTTTCTCACAAAATTTTCCTCACTGGCTCAAGCAGGGATTTCTAAACATGATGATTATGCTTAAAGGCCTAGACAGTGGTAATGCCTTTATAGACACACACCCCTCTTTGCCCTGTGGATTATTTCTGCATTTATTCATCTAATGAACAATATTTATTAAGGTCCTAGTACGTGTTGTATAGTCTGCAGATGTATAAAGCCCTCACAAGAAATGAACCTGAAGACATGGCTTCCTAAGTGCATTGCTTTAATTAGCTGAGCTGCTCCAGACAAATTCATGAATATAATCTACAGACATCTCTACACTGAGATCACCCACAGAGGCACCTATCCATTCATAATTCATATTTTCAAATATAAAGTCACTACTAACAGCTAAATATCATCCATTTGAATATTTCCCACGAGTGAGAAGTTTCTCAGCCATCATTCAACCCATGCAGTAAGCAGCATCTGCAGTTTCTGGGCCCATTATCTGTTTACTTAGTAAGTGGTTTCAGGATATGGCATTGCCCAGCCAATTCAGATAATGTTCTGACTGCAGTACTTAGTACCCGCAGTCAAGAAAAACTATTGAGACCAAATCCATAATGTCTCTCAAACCTATTTTCATCAGTCAGTGATGAAATGCAAACCCCAACTCCTCCAGCACACACCCACACTTTACCTCACCACCGGCATATTGATGTGTGTTTCCTTATCCCTGACCCAACTTTCTCTCTCTCAACTAAAATGACATCTGTCAGCTTTGTCTTCTGGGACAATTATCCCATGATTAATCAAGTTTCAATATCCTCAAATTTTTCTCCACAGGTTCCCTTTGCTGTTTGGTCTTACCTGAAACCTGGCTCACTTTTGACAATGTCACCTTCTCACCTCCTCTGAGGTCCCTCCCACATACTTTTCCTACCAGCCTCTTTTAAGAAACCTTACTCCATTGAAGTCTAAGCAATTGTAATATTCTACCCTAAACCTTTATTGTTTCATTTATTTGACATCACTTGACCTCTTGGTTACCAGCCATGTTTATTTAGGAATCCGAAAGCTGGCTCACAGTCCTTATCTGTAATGCATGCGTTCATTTTTTTCCTGGATGTCTTCAAAGTGTGCTTTGATGACCGTCCAAATCTCTAGACTTTTAGCCCCTTTACTGTTTTTTTTTCTTTTCTTTTTTTTTTTTTTTTTTTACAAAAACTGTCCACGCAGCAGCCTGCTAATTCCTACTCACTCCAAGGAGATTTCTCCAAATCTTTAATGTTCTGCTGTATGATTGTAACTTCTTTTAGCTTTCTTTAAAACCATTCCCACTACAGTCATTTTTAAAGCAGAGTCTTAATCATACTTTAGATAGAAAAGAAAGATGTACCTACAAAATATCAGCCCTACACCATTCCCGAAATTCAGATGTTCAGCATAAAAGGTGAAGTGATAAAATGAAGACAGAAGTGATAAGCTGTTAGGAGGAGAATTAGGAAAGTGCTATCACAAAATCATGTGTATATGGATCTTGTATATGCACATATATCTGTGTATATATATATGTATTCAAATACATACATATATAAGAATTTTTTACATGTGTATGTTTATTCACCTTTTACGGAGGTAGATCTATTAAAAGAAACATTTTATTTAGATTAAATTTAACATAGTTTAACTGAGTAAAGAACAATTAGCAAATCAGCCTGCCCTCAGAACCAGAAGAAGTTCAGAGAGCTTTGCTCCAAAAGTGAACAGCCAGCATTTATGAACAGAAAACTGAAGTGAGGTACAGAAACAGCTTGATTGGTTACAGATCTGTTTACACTATTTGAATACAGTCTTATCAATCAGCCACTCATGACTGACTGAAGTTCAACTGCTGTAAGTGGCTGAGACTCAGCTATTTGTTACAGAAGCATGCACCTAAATTAAGCTCTCAGTGAGTTTATATACTAAGTTAGGCTGAGGTTTGTTACACAGGGTCTCACAGTAGGGAGGCATCCTCAGGCTAGTTTAGTTTAATTAACAATACTCACCTGTGACAAAGACTTCTTGAGTTAAAACAGAAGATAACATAGAATACGTCACTTGATTTTTCTCAAGGTTGTTATTTGTTAGCTCGACTATTGCACTTTTGATAGAGAGTAGTGGAAAGAAGCCTGAATGAAGTTGGTTAAGGAAAGAATAGAAAATGCTGGTTAAGGGAAGAATAGAAAATGCTGGTTAAGGAAAAAATAGGAAATGCGGAAATATAGGTATATTACTTTCTCATGAAGTTTGGGTAGAGGAGAACAGAGAAAAGGGGCTGCAACTGTCAGAGAGACAAGGCTAACAAATGAAACACTGCACACCTTTGTATTTAATTATGATGTTGCAGTATACAGGATGAACTGATACAATTAAGCAAAGAAAGGATGGGTACAGAAATGATGTGCTTAAGACTTCAGGAAAGGGTGGTACCTAGAGTATGGGAAATGGCTTAACCCTGGATTAGAGCCAGAGTTCTTCCTACAGTTATGACAGATGGGAAAGAAAAGATGGAAGTAAATGGGCAGAATTTATCTGAAGAAGATAAAGAAGCTCACTTTCAACAAAAAGAGGCCATTAGATGAGAGTAGCCAAAGCCTAGAGGTTTCAGGGAAGAGGGTATTAAATAATTCCCTTATAAGGTATTATTCAAGCTATTGGCCAAGCTGCTGTGAGAAAGAACCTAAAACAGTGACTGACTTGTAAAAGGTAAAGTTGCCTTTTTTTTCCTTTTAGATAATATCGCTAGGCAAGTAGGTGAACTCTCCTGTCTGAAGTCTTGCAGGGAACCAGGCTAAAAGTGCAGCTCTGATTTATTCAACTCATGGCTTCCACTCCTATTTCAGTCATCATCATTTTCAGTCTGGTAGAAAGGGTAGAGTTAAAGCACAGTGTAAATAAATCGACTTTGAATATGTGTTCACGTATCATTATCTAAAAATTGGTCACATAGCTATATCAAGCCACATGGATGCCTGGAAAATATAATCTGTGGCTAAGCAGCTGTTTCTCATTTAAAACTCTGGGGAGGAGGCTTCCAATACTATAAGGAAGATGGCAAGATTTCATACAGAGAGTTAGCTATCCATGCCACAAGAAGTGTGGGAAAGAAAACTTATTAAAGTAAGCATTTCACGCCTGTAATCCCAGCACTTTGGGAGGCTGAGGCCGTTAGATCACAAGGTCAGGAGTTTGAGACCAGCCTGGCCAATGTGGTGAAACCCCGTCTCTACTAAAAATACAAAAATTAGCTGGACATGGTGGTGAGCGCCTGTAGTCCCAGCTACTTGGGAGACTGACACAGGAGAATCGCTTGAACCTGGGAGATGGAGGCTGCAGCGAGCTGAGATCTTGCCATTGTACTCCAGCCTGGCGACAGAGGGAGACTCTGTCTCAAAAAACAAACAAACAAACAAAAACCAACAAAAATGCACAGCCATAGTGTGGGTCCTTTTGAGCATTACAATCATAATTTCAGTCAGCGGATATATTTTCAGCTTCTCTCTGACTAATTTATTGAGGAAGAATTGTAGGCCAGGAGATGTTATGAACACTAAAGATAGAACATTAACATTTTATATATCTTTGGTATCACAGAACTTTCATTCTAGTAGGTGGAACATATTGTCAACCAACATGCAATCAAACAAACAAGAAATATATCACATAGTGAAAGCACAGTGAAATAAATTAAACCTATGTGATTGCAAGAGAAGAAAGTCTATTGGCTTGAAAAGGCATTTAAAGTGAGATATGAAAGAAAAAAAAAGCCAGTCATGCAACAATAGGATGACAGAGAATTTCTGCAAGTAGAGCATTCGGCGCAAAGCTCCTAAACGAGAAATAAGTTTTGTTTGAAGAACAAAACGAGAGGCAACGATATTAAAGTGTAGTGGGCAAAGGGGAAGAGATAGGGCTGAGACTGAACATGCAGGTGAAGGCAAAAAACGCAGGATTTTAAAGGCTGAATAAAAAGATTAGAATGCATATGAAGTGAAAAACGAAGTGATTTTGACAATTTCAGAGTTTAAGTGATGTGCTCCAATTTTACTTCAAAAACATAACCAAAGTTAGGGTTTTTAAAAAAGTAGGATGAAGCAAGAAGAGTTCAGCTAATCCCACTTTGAGGTATTGATCCAAAAATAATGAGCATGTATGTCTATAAAATATTTGTACAAAAATATTTATAGAAGGTTTATTAATAACAGTCCTTAATGGGAAACAACTCAAATGGCTATCATCAAGTGAGCTGACAAATTATATTGCATTCATACAATGGAATACTCCTCAGCATTTTAAAAGTTATGGGTTATTGACACACACAACAAAATGGCTGAATCTCAGAAGCATGCTGAAAGAAGTAAGTCAGATTCAAAAGAGCATGTACTGTATTATTCAATTTATATGAAAAATAATCTCAAAATATGAAGTCTGTGGGAACAGAAAGTAGGTCAGATGTTGTCTGGGTCTGAAGCAGTGTGAGGGCTCACTGAAGGGCAGCATGTAAAAATTGTTTAGAGGTGATGAAAATATTCTGTATCTTGATTATGGTGGTGATTACATAGGTGTACACCTTGCTCAAAACTGTTTAACTTTACACTTGAAAACATGCATTTCATTTTAGACAAATTATATCTCATTAAAGTAAAGCACTTATTAAATTATGTTTTTGTTTTAAATGTAAAGGATCAATGGAGTTAATGGTTTTCAGAAGTTCTTAACAATCTTTTAGTAAAATCCTATTTCATTTAGGAGACTCATAGTAAGTTTTCATACAGAGGACAATTCGCTGAATAATCTGAGTCATGACTAACTCTCCAGCCTAAATTAATTTACTCAAATTATCTTTTCAGCCCTAGGTTTGGATATGGTTTTCATTCCATGCAAATGCTTTTCTAAACCCTTTCTCACCTAGTTAAACATCAATCTTCAGCTCCTCCTGGGAATAAGTTTCAACTGGCTTACCATATACTGCTATAACTTCTTCATCAATAAAGATCTCCATTATTAGATCATAAACTCAAAGAGTACATTTTTTTTTCTTTTCTTATTACCACATCATCAGCAACTAACAGGATTTAGCTATCAGAAAGCTTCAATAGCTATCATTAGAGCCATTGTCATGAGGAATCACACACCAAATATACCACATGATATTTGGGCAGTGGCTTATATTACTTATGTCTCTGAACATATATTTCCATATGGATATCTATATTATAAAGATTTTGAATGTCTCTGAATAAAAGGAGACATGAGTCAAGTAATTGTGAATAGAGGGTTAAGCAAAAGAAGAACAAATTACAAGAGAATAGATCAATAGTTATTTGAAAATAACAGTAGTTACATGAACTGCTAAATTAAAAATATGGTTTAGCAACATTATGTATTTCATACAGTGAAAATTCACCAGTTATGAACCACTGAACATGTGATATTTGGTTTATTGTTCCTATGTTAGTTTGCTAAACGTAATGACCTCCAACCAGCCATGTCCCTGCAAAGAATATACTCTCATTCTTTTTTGTGGCTGCATAGTATTCCATGGTGTGTATGTACTACATTTTCTTTATCCAGTCTATCATTGATAAGCATTTAGTTTGATTCCTTGTCTTTGCTATTATGAATAGTGCTGCAATGAACATGCACGTGCATGTGTCTTTATAAAAGAACACTTTAAATTCCTTTGGGTATATTCCCAATAATGTGATAACTGGGTCAAGTGGTATTCCTGTCTTTAGGTCTTTGAGGAATTGCCACACTGTCTTCCACAGTGGTTGAACTAATTTACACTCCCATTAAAAGTGTATAAACATTTTTTCTTCTCCACAGCCTTGCCAGCATCTATTTTTTTAAATTATTACTAATAGCCATTCTGACTAGTATGACATGGCATCTCATTATGGTTTTGATTTGCATTTCTCTAATGATCAGAGATGTTGAGCTTTTTATTTTCAAATACTACATGTTCTCACTTATAAGTGGGAGCTAAATGATGACAACACATGAACACATAGTGGGGAACATCACACACAGGGGCCTGTTGGAGGGTGGAAGAGGGAGAAGGAAGAGGGTCAGGAAAAATAAATAATGGGTACCAGGCTAAATACCTGGGTGACAAAATCATCAGTAAAACAAACTCCCATGACACAAGCTTACCTATGTAACAAAACTACATATGTACCCCTGAACTTAAAAGCTAAAAAAAATTAAAAAGGCAAGTCAAAGCGATAAAATATAAAACTGAAAGTAATAAAAGAAAATGTATAAAGATAAGGATTTTAAAAAGAATCATTGAAGAAAAGCATTTTATCTTTTTCTCAAAAGCTTTCCATATGATGTACTTTAGAGTTGTAAATATCTGAAGATGGAGCAATATCTGAACAAATATTGTTAAATTCTCAAGACCACACCCCAATTTAAAAGCTCAATGCAAGAAGGAACAAATTCTGCTAGGACTCTCTACATTAGTAATTCTTACCTCACTCATCCATGAAGAGAATGTAAAAATAAAGGACACAACTGAAATATGAAGAAAGCTTTCTAAACCTTTTACTAACCCCAGCCTTCTAGTTCTCTAGTAGTAGTTTTGGGATGACTGAAAAAAATCTAGAAAAATAATTTTCTGTATCCATGGAAACCTTTTTATGAAGATGGTTGAGATAAATATGGCTGTCAATATTTTTGGTAGAAGATGAACCTTGCTACCTGTAAAAGCAATATTAAAAGTCCCCTAGGGAGAGCTAAATAGAATGAGTGATTTTATTTTCTGTGGTCAAATTATAGACATAAGTCTTTTAGCTGAAAATAAGCCTGTCTTACAGGGAAGTGGAAAAGTGCACACTCAAATACTCTGTAGGTTTGGGAGTAATTACACAAACATTTGAAGGCCACTTTGTACACCTGATACAACCTCCCAAGTGAAGTCTATTTTTCTCATATTATTATATTTTTACTTATTTTAGTGCTTTCTGGGTAACTCTCACTCCTCTTTACATCTATTTATAACCTATAAATCATACTCACTAAATAGTCACTCTTGTCACACTGTTTTATGCAAAATAAGTGAAATAACATGAACATTTTATTTTTAATAAATTTGGGATCTAAAGTTGTCAATCTGCTGAACATATGTACATGTTAAACATTAGACAAATCTACATTTCGATAAGTATAGTGGCAGTAGTGAACCAAGTGCTTAAAAATACATATATATTGTACACTTACTATTGACGTAGCTATGTTTTAAAAAGTTATTGATTTAGCAAATGCTCAACTCTTGCTCCTGGGAGGGGAATATATAATCTCACACAGATTATAATCTTACATCCTAAAAACAATATATCCTTGTAGGTTCTATTCCCCGTATTTTACAAAGGGACAAATAAGTTGTGTAAGTGTTGAGTGACTAGCCTGAGGATCTCCCACTCACAGGCCCCAGAACTTGGATTCAAACTCCATCCAGTTGGCTCTAGAGCCAGAGCTTCTTTCACTCCACTGCACTAGCTCCTATTGCCTCCATCCTTTGGTCATCTCTGTATGGGAGCTGAAACCAAGCTGAGTGACCTTATTGGATCAGAACTGGAAACATGCCTGCAGGGCAACTCAAATTTTCACTACTCTGTGTGTGTCCTTGATGACCACAGTTTTGCCTTGGAGGCTACAATTGAATATTAGCATGGAGGAGAATTTGCAAATACAGAATCTGAAAATAATAAAGATTAACTTTACGTCTTTATGAATTTGATTCTGTCATTATTATGATTTCTAGTCAGTTCACCCTCAGATGTTTCATCCATATTTATAGAATAATTACTTTCTGCACAGGATGTTATTCAGTTCTAACTTTCATACATATTTGATTTACTTTATATAAGCATATCAAATTTACGTGTACCTTAGACCTACTGTAAAATAATGATATCTTTGTGGTTGGAAGATTATCTGAATGCCCCTCTATCTCACCTTGATTGACTAATATTAGTTTAGTGACATTGACTTTTAAATCATCTATCACTGGAAAGAAGCACACTGGGTTAATTTCAGGAGCAACATTTTCATATTTCAATTATTCCTATGTGAATAACTAGTTAAATGATGAAAATTATTTATAGTTTATAGTAAATGTTCAAGGTGATTCATATATTTATAAAATAAATAGAATATACACAGAATTTACAACAAAAATACTTTAATTCTTTACGGATTAGGAGACTGAAGTTGAGAAGTGGTAGGTGTTCTCTCTAATATATATTAGTAGTGGGGACTGAAACTTAAGGTGTTTTCTCCACCTTTCAGATTAATGGTTCAATATCAATCCACACTACTTCTGGGAACAATTATTTTTCAGAAAATTAAAAGAAATATAATTAAAAATCAGAAAGTCTTAGAACATAGTATTCAATAGTTCATTTTTACATTTTGTTAATTGTGAAATGATTTTCAAATCATAAAAGACATTTTTTAAGTGTATGGTTATGAATTTGACAAATGATTATACTTGTGTGGCCAAAATTTCTATGTTTTGGAGATTCACCTAGGTTATGTATTAGTAGTTAATTTTTTGCTTTCTGTATGCTTCAGTTTGGATGATTTCTATTGATCTATTCAAATTTGTTAATCCTTTCTTCAGTTGTGTCCCATTTGCTCTTTACCCAACCCAATATTTTTTCATAGTTTTTCAGTTTAGCATTTTTAGTTTTATATTATATTATATTATATTACATATATATATTTTGAGATAGAGTCTTGCTCTGTCATCCAGGCTGGAGTGCAGTGGCGTGATCTTGGCTCACTGCAACCTCTGCCTCCCGGGTTCAAGCAATTCTCTTGCCTCAGCCTCTCCAGTAGTTGGGATTATAGGCACGCACCACCACACCTCGCTCATTTTTGTATTTTTAGTAGAGACAGGTTTCGCAATGTTGGCCAGGCTGCTCTCAAACTCCTGACCTCAGGTGATTTGCCCTCCTAGGCCTCCCAAAGGGCTGTGATTACAGGCTTGAGCCACCGTGCTTGGCCAGGTTTTTATTTGTTTCTATTTTTTTAGTTCACAAATTTCCCATTTTTCCAATGATTATAATATCTACTTATAGATTATTTCAAATATTCCTAATCATTATTTAAAAATTATTTTCTCTTCATTCCAACATTTGAGTTGTCCTTTGGTCTATTTCTATTGATGTTCTTTTGACTGTGGGTCACCTTTCTCTGTTTTATACATGTTTAATAAACTTTCCTTTTTTAACTGACATTTTGTGGATTAATACAGAATAGAGAGTCTGAGTTTTGTTTTCTTCCCCAAGAGAGTATTCTGTGTATTCCAATAAGCAGTTACTGAAGTTCAGCTTTGCCCTGTGCAGGCTTGCTTTTGTTTTTTAATAGTGTAGGCCCTGGGATTTGGCCCTTACTTCTAATATGTGACTCTTTCAATGTGTCTGTAAGAATTCTAAGATGGCTACCAACCCTTTTTAACTTGATGGGACTCAAATCTCAAGTGTCTCTTTCTTATGGAAGACAGCTACTGAAGTGTCTTCTGGGCTTTCATAGTTCTTAGCTGTTGTTTCATTCCTGGACTCCTTGCATTTCCCATTCAGAGAAAAGTGAAAGACAGAGGGGAGTTTTTTAAGATTTTGGTATTTTCTCTTTTTTTGGTGGCTTCCTCCTCCTGAGAGTTCCCTTTTAATTTCCAGCGACTTTGGTGACTCTGACCTCCAACCTGACTCCTAATACCAATAAAACTGTAGCTCTTGCTTGAACCCTGTGTCCTAGTCCAGTTTATGGGCTGAGCAGTGCTCTCGTGGAAGCAGCCAGATGAATGTGGACCTTATCCAATGTATTCCTGTATGGAAGACTTATATTTATTCCATATCTTCCTGCTTTTGACCTCCTTTTCGATGCCTTCAAAAGTTGTTTTCCATATTGTTCCAGGGTTTACTATTGCTACCAGTAGGAGCATTAGTTAATTAAAAACAAGTCTATCATTACTATAATTCAAATTCATTTTTTAACACTGAACAAAGCACAACTGATCTTTAGTTCGGGCTTTCCATCTTGAAGAAGCTGCTAATTTCTGTCTGTTTCTTCTTGTTAGAAATATTATGAGATAAACTCAGAGAATTTAGGAATTATACTTTAAGGTATTTTGAAAAAAATTCGCTCATATATCAAAAATCTCATTGTTATTCTTTACCTAACTCTCTCCTCTTCAATGCTTCAGTTTTCTAAAAGAATTGTCAACCTTCCTTTAAGAACCTGAAAAGGTAGAGTTAAACATGCTTCAATATCAAGGTCACATGTACAAATAAGAAGACATTTAAGAATTCTTGAGAGTCCATTTATGGTTGCTGCAACTATAGTATAGATTTCAAAAAGAAGCCCAGAATATGTTAAAAGGAATTGAGTTTATCCAATGTATAAACTGTCAGATGTTATCGTTTGTATATTTGGATATAAAAATACTACTCCTAGTTTTTAATTCTTATTTCACCAGAGTGACTGATCTACTTTTACAGAAAAATTAACTCATTAATTATTGGCACTTAAATAACTTTTATCTAATATAAAGTAGTAACTCTAAGGGCAATATATTTTTCTCAAACATAAAGGTTTTCTAATGTGCCGTGGTTTAAAATGAAAAAGTGGAATATAGTGAATAAGGAGAAGCAAAATGAGGAAAAAGTAAGAATGAAATTTAACAATAATACAACTCATCTAAAATATATTATGGTTTCACTACATAGGTCCTGTATGTCCTAAAATATGTCTATGGTTTATATCTTTGTTTGTATACATTAGGTCTCCATTATAATCTGTTAACATGGTACTTGACCTCGAAAGTTGAAAAGAGTTTCTCAATGCCAAATATTTTAATTAATAAGAAACGATACTGAAATGACTTGGGATAGTTGACTAATTGCCCTATTGTGTGGATATATTTGATAAATTAGTATTTTCAGCATTCAGTTCAAGTTTTCTCTTAAAAACCACCACCTGCTATATAAAATGTGAAACTTTGAGTTGGGACCACAAGGTAAGTTATCAGTCAAAAACAATCTTCTTTCAGATATATTTATAAACACACTCCAACCCATATTACTTCATTCTACTTTATTTTCAGGTTTTCTTCTTAGTCTTTTCTTCTCTCTGCTCACCTATTGCAAAGCCAGAAAATTACATTTTTGTTGGGGTTTTACAATTTCTTTTTGGTGGAAAGAGTAAAGGTCAGGCAGCATTCCATTTCAGGAAGATAGCTAAATGGTTGGCATTAAAGTGTCTGCCAAAATGATGGAGTAGTATTTATTTTTATTTTTCAGTGAAACCATATGAAATTGCAAATAAAAGCGCTCACTACCTTTAATGTCAGATTTTAAATTTAAAAATCTCTCATGTTCCTGCCTCCTGAATCAAAACTTATTCTGGGTGATTCATATTGACTTCAATGCCTATTCCTTTTTAAAATAGCTTTGAAATCTGAATTATACCAAAACAATTTTAAACAACTTTAAAACAATCTTATTTATCAGGATAATAAATTGATAAAACTATTTGGTTAATAATTAATTTTTAACCTTATTCATTATTAAATTATTTTAAGTTGTTCAAGATGAGGGGAGTCAAATATAGTATGATCTGCATTCTGTATGGAAAACATGGAAAAGCTTTATAATGTTGTTTGCAGTGTTTCAAAAGATAAATAAATAAACCATTCTTGTTTGTTTGGCATTTTTTGATTTCTAAACTTTTCAATATTCTAAATATAATAAATAATAGTGCCTATGGCTGCAATGATAACAAATAATAATAATAAGTGATAACTACCATAATAATAGCCTGCGTTAGTTGACTGCTGTCTAATTACAGGCCAGGCATAATGATAATTGATTTACTTACATTAGTTACCTGTCAACAGGTCCTAAATACCATATACAGTTCTTAAATGCCATATATATGCATACATGTATTTCATATACACTTTTCTACCTATGTGTATTCTATAAGTTAAATATTCTAAAATGGTTAAGCTATAAAAGCCATTTTAGAGTCTGGATAAAAACAAGTAATTCATTCACATTAAATAAGTCAATTTTAAGTTATAAAATAAACTGGATAGGGGTACAGCCTTTTGATCTCACAAATCTAGTTGGCTTCAGAGGGTGATACAAAAAAATTTACTCTGTTTTTCAACTTGATGCAAATATTTTCTCTTTATAAGAAGTGATACACTGTACAAAGTAAAGATCATAGGCATTGATGAAGCAAACCTGGATTTGAGTCTTGGATCAGTCAATTGCTGACAAATTTTTGTCTTCATTCCTTGTTTTCAAATACGTTTTTTTTTAATACAATTTTATTGTTGGGGTCATAGCAATGGAAATGCAATAATGACATGAATACAAAAGAGACATTGGCTATTGCTTTTCTTTTGAGAGAATGAGCTACATAGTCATTTGCACAGGTTATCACTGGGTGGTGATATCTGTATACTTTCTGGGGCTAAAGTGAATGACTGTAAGCCTGGTGATGAGGAACTCAATGAACTATTTGGGAGACATTAAATTTAAACAAAAGGTCCTCTTTCTGAGACAAAGCAGCTCTCTAGGTAAGGTCCTAAATACTATATCTGTAGATGTAGATATAGCTATAGATATACATATAGATATATACTATATTATATATATTTTGTAAATGCATATATTATATATACACTTGGAATATTTTGGAAATGTATATATTGTATAAGTACTATATATAATACATATTTTATATATAAAGTATAATACTCTCTCTATATATATATCTCTTATATTTTTCTACATATGGGTTTTTTTTTTTTTTTGAGACAGAGTCTCACTCTATCACCCAGGCTGGAGTGCAGTGGCAAGATCTCAGCTCACTGCAACCTCTACCTCCTGGGTTCAAGCAGTTCTTCTGTCTCAGCCTCCAGAGTAGCTGGGACTACAGGCGCTCGCCACCACACCCAGCTAATTTTTGTATTTTTAATGGAGACGGGGTTTCACCATATTGGTCAGGCTTGTCTCAAACTCCTGATCTCAGGTGATCCGCCCGCCTTGGCCTCCCAAAGTGCTGGGATTACAGGTGTGAGCCACCGCGCCCGGCCCACGTATGTATTTTGTAAGCTAAATGAATATCTGACCAATGAATCTAACATATGGGGTATCCTTATTTAAAATCATCTGAGATATCGTACTCTTAGCAACATCAAAATCTTTAACATCATCAATACATGAATATTCTTCTTTTTTCACAGAATGTTTTCTTTCTTTTATTTTTTTTTAATTGAACAGTAAATCTGAGTATTACCCTGGACCTAGAGCAAGGGATGTCATATAACATCTTTCCTATCTCTAAGAACTAAATAAATCTAACTAAAAACTCAAAAGTTAGAAAACAGAAAAAATGAAATTTGTATATGATCAAATTCAAAAATTTGTGCCATACTGAACAATCCTACACATTAAGTTTTCGCAATATTTTAAGTAGTGAGAGAATCAGTCCCATGGTATATTAATTCGCTAACCATCTGAAGCCAGGCGTGCTGTAGGGAAAATTTGGGTGTAAATAATGTATCAGCTGATTAATTAATTTGAACTTTACTGAGAACCTGTTTTCTGTCAGGTATTCCATTAGAGAAGTTTAACAGTGATTAAACTATTTTCCTTTATTACTGAATGCTAGGAGAAGGGTGGAAGAAACAGACATGTACTCAATTGATCTTCAACTCTTACCACTTTAACGGCGTAGCTTGAGTAATTTTATGTTTGTTATAAATGGGAGTTATCTACATGAGTGGGAGAAGAGGCACAAAGAAGGGTAAAATAGAGCTGTATATTATAAAGTTCACCAGGCAAAGGAATTGGACAAGAGATAGACATAAAAGACAAAATTATATCCAGGTAGAGATGTGCTGTAGGAAGTTTAAAATAAGTATGGAACCCAGAAGATAAATAGAGAACTACACCCTACCTTGCTAGTGCAACTTTCTGTGAAGTCTTGTAAATATTTTTTTACAACCCTGCTGTGAAATTGGCAACTCTTTGAGAGATATTGTTTTTATTTTTTTATTCCTACACTAACTCTCCACAGAATAGATAGCAAACAACTGAAATGCACGTATTTCCAGTAAACACAGATTACAAGGGGATAAAGAGGACCCTTCTAAATCAGAAATACTTATGAACCTCCAGAAGAAGTAGATGTGTGTGTATGAATGTGTATTTTTCAGGTGAAGGAGAAGACTGGAAGTGTGGAGCCATTCAGACTCTCTCATTTAGGATGCTCACTTTGATAATATAAAATTAGATATCGGTAGATAATCGTTGATATAATTGAAAGGTTGTGAATACTTTGGAAATGAAATTGTTTAGTTCCACTGGTGTATATGTATCTGTCTTTATGCTAGTACTACACTCTTTTGATTACTGTAACTTTGTACTATGTTTTGAAATCTGGAAATCTGAGGCCTCCAGCTTTGTTTTTCTATCTCTAGATTGTTAGGATTATTCAATATCTTTTGGGATTCCGTATAAATTTTAAATTAATTCTACTTCTATAAAAAATCATTGAGATTTTGATAGGGATTGCGTTGAATTTTTAGATTGCTTTGGGTAGTGTGGCCATTTAACAATATTAAACTTTCCAATTCATGAACCTGGGTTGTTTGTACATTTACATTTATTTCTTGTCTTCTTTAAATTTTTTCAGTAGTGTTTTACGGCTTTAGTGTACAATTTTTTTTTTTTTTGGCTTACTTCGTTAAGTTTATTCCAAAAGATTTTATTCTTTTAGATTCCATTGTAAATAAAATATATATTTCTTATTTTCTCATTTGGACAGTTCATTTTTAGTGTATGAAAATGCAACTGAATTTTGCATGTTGATTTTGCATCTTGCAACATTTCTAAATTAATTAATATTGACGGCTTTTGGGAAAGGAGTTTTTAGAGTTTTTTATGTGTAATATGTCATCTACAAACAGATATAATGTTGTATTTTTCGAATCTATTTTGATTAGTTTTATTATTTTTTTTTTCATGCCTAGTTTATCTGGCTAGGATATCCGGTACTATGTTAAATAAGAATGACAAGTGTCTGTATCCCTGTTTTGTTCATCCTCTTACAGAAAACATTTAATTTTTTCAGTTGAGTATGATGTTAGCTTTGGGCTTTTCATATATTACTTTTATTATGTTGTGTTACATTTCTTTTATTCTCAGTTTATGGAGTGTTTTTATTATGAAAGGGTGTAGAATTTTGTCAATTGCATTTTCTCCATCAATTGAGATGATTGTGCATTTTTGTTTTTCTTTCTGCTAACGTGTTGTATTACATTAATTAATTTTCATATGTTGAAATATCCTTGCATTCCAACAATAAATTTTATCTCTTCAGGTTATATAATTTTTAATATGCTTTTAAATTCATTTTCTTAATATTTGTTAAGAATTTTTACATCACTATTCATTGAGGTTTTTCATCTCCAGTTCAGTATTTTTGTAGTTTATTTTTCTGGCGTTGGTATTAGCGTAATGTTGGCCTCAAAAAATGAGTTTGAAAGTGTTTTAACTTCTTCAATTTCTTGAAACAATTTGAGAAAGCAGTATTAATTCATTTTCATGTTTGGTAGAGTTCTCCAATGAAACCACCTGATCCTGGGTTTTCATTATTGGGAAGTTTTTGATTGTGGATTTAATTATCTTACTAATTGTGAGTCTGTTTAAATATTTTCGTTTATTTATGACACATTTTTGATAAACTTTGTATTTCAAGAAATGTATCCATTTATTCTAGACTTTCCAATTTGTTGGTGTATAATTGTTAATAGTAATCTCTTTGGATACTTTTTACTTATGTGTCATCAGCTGTAATGTCTCCTCTTTCATTTCTCATTTTTGTTATTTGAACATCCTCTTTTTTTCTTATTATAGATAAGAGTTTGCAATTTTATTGATCTTTTCAAAGAAACAACCCTTCATTTAGTTGAATTTTTAAATGTTTTTCTGTTCTCTATTTTATTTATTTCTGCACTAACTTTTATTATTTCCTTTATTCTCCTAACTTTAGGTCCAACTTGTTCTTTTTCTTGTTTTTTTTTTTTTTTTTTTTTTTAGTTCCTTCAAGTATAAAGTTAGATTGTAGATTTGAAATATTTTTCATTTCTTAATGTAGGTGTTAACTGCAAACTATCCTCTGAATACTGCTATTACTGAGTCCCATAAGTTTTGGTGTGTAATAGTTTTATTTTCATGTTTTGTTCAAGATAATTTTAAATTTCCTTTATGAACTTTTATTTTGACCCATTTTTCATTGTTTAATTTAGACATTTTCTTTTTACTTTTTTAGTTCTAGTTTTCTTATTGATTTCTAGTTTCTTTTCATTTTGGTTGAAAATATAATTGGTATGACTTCCATATTTTTAAATTTTTAGGACTTGTTTTATGGCCTAACCTATGATCTGTCTTACAGAATATCCCATTTGTACTGAAGCAGAATGTGTACTCAGCTGTTGTCGGGTTGAGTGTTCTGTAGCTGTTACTTAGGTCCAATTGCTGCACAGCATTGTTCAGTTGTCCTGTCTCCTTATTGATCTTTTGTCTGATTGTTCTATCCACCAATGAAAACGGGATATTGAAACCCCCTACCATTATTTTGTTTGTCCATTTCACCCTTCAATTCTGCCAATGTTTGCTTGACATGTATGAGTGCTCTTTTGTTGGGTGCATGCGTATTTATAGTTGTTATATCTTCCTTGTGAATTGACTCTTTTGTCATTCTGTAGTGCTATTTTTTTGTGTTTTTGTGACAATTTTGACTTAGGATCTGTTTTATCTGATGTAAGCATGGCCATCTTGGGCCATGCTCTTTTATTTATCATTTTCATAGATTTTCATTTTTCATCCTTTTACTTTCAGCCTTTATGTATCCTATTATCTAAAGTAAGTCTTTTGTAGCTAGCATACAGTTGGATCTTTTTTATTTTTTGATATGGAGTCTCGCTCTGTCGCCCAGGCTGGAGTGCAGTGGTGCGATCTTGGCTCACTGCAAGCTCCGCCTCCGGGTTCACGCCATTCTCCTACCTCAGCCTCCCGTGTAGTTGGGACTACAGGCGCCTGCCACCACGCCTGGCTAATTTTTTGTATTTTTAGTACAGACGGGGTTTCACCGTGTTAGCCAGGATGGTCTCGATCTCCTGACCTCATGATCCACCTGCCTCAGCCTCCCAAAGTGCTGGGATTACAGGCGTGAGCCACCGTGCTCGGTCGTATCTTTTTTTTTTTTTTTTTTTTTTTTTTTTTTTTTAAATCTATTCAGGTACTCTATTGGGGAGTTTATTTCATTAATTAAGTAATTGATAAGAATAGACTTATTATTGTCATCCTGTTCACCATTTTCTGTATGAGTTGTAGTTATTTCATCTCTCTTTTTTCTCTTGCTTCCTTCTTTTGTGTTTCATTGAGATTTTATATTGACATGCTTTGATTCTTTGTTCATATAATCTTCGAAAGGTATTTTATTTGTAGATACGAGGGTTACAAAATGTTTTATTTCAGTCTCAAAGTTTAGAATTAAAACTTGATAAAGTTCTTCTAAGTACGTAAACTTAAAATATTTATAACATTTGTATTTTAAGACTTCAAATGAATGCATAGGCTTTTTTATTTAGAAGGCTTAGCTTGCTATAAAGAAACAATGTTTAGTATTACAGTCTATATGTTGGAGCAACAGAGACCAAATTAAGGTGTTAATTTCATATCTTATGCTCTTTAATACTGGGCATTAATTTAAGCTTTCTAAGCTTTGGTTCTTTTTCTGGAAAAATAATGAATGTAATATCTTTTCTAGAAGAATGTTGCGTAGATTTATGGAAAAAAGTGTAGTACATAGGTTTATATAATAGTAATTCTATATCTTCCATTTTCTTAGTGATATATATCCTGATATTTATTTTTCTAAGATAAAGGTAATTTACCTTCATAATATATATTTATTGTTTATGTTGTGATACATTTACAATGGAAAAGACAGTTAAAATATTTCTTCTTCAATGATTACATTTCAAAAGATGTTTAGAAAAATAAAATTAGAGAGGTATGTGTGTTTATTTATAAACTAATTTTCTTAGTTAATAGAATAAATTTAAAAAATGGTATGTCTTAAGCCTTAGAATGTGAAACCCAACAAAACTCCCCCTGAGGATTTTCTATTGTATGGTTCCATTTTTACCTTGTAACATTTTTCACACTTAAAAGGTAGAAGAGATGAAATTCAAGGAAGTGTTTCTTTTACAAAAAATTCTAGAATACACTGCTAAGTTTTTTCTGCTTTTGACTTGACTTCAGAGTGAGATATGTCTTTATCCTTGATTAAAGGTAATATGTATTATGTAAGTTCAATTAGATTAAGGTCTAATCTTTGACAAATTAGACTAGAAAGACCTCAGTTTGCTTTTTGAAGAATGCATCTATATGTCAATATTAGATTCTTCTAGGAAAACTAAGAGAAGTTTCTAGTTTAAAGTTTGGAATCCATACTTGACAACTGTGAGAGAAGAAGAGAACATGGTAATTTACTCTTGCTTTTTCTTTTTACTATATTTGGCTTGAATTGACAATGGATGTTAAAAAATACAACCATGGTTGAAAAAATATGTATACAAATTATTATATGTAAATTATGTTTATATATTTATACACATTTATGTATATATGCATAAAAATCATTCAAATAGTTATTTGGCTGCTGGTGAGGAGTTATATTTGTTGGGTTAACCAGAAAAAAATTAAAATAGGAACAGTATCTAATATATACTTGTTTTTTAGCAAATTCATGTATGCATGTATGTATGTACATATGAATAATATCGCCATTCTAGTATGTATAGGAAAATCTTTTGTAAAGATAAAACATAATTCTTTTAGTCATTCAGGGAAGCTGATTATACTGACAAAAAATAAGTATGTTTGTTATCTTCTGGGCCACTAAAATGAAGATAGTAATATTATATTTTTGTATCTCTTATCTTTTTTTAGGTTTCATATCCTATGAATTATTAATACATCAAAAGCATTATGAAAATTTCATGAGTACAATAAGAAACAATGTTTCTAGACTAACCAATCTGAAACATCTTATTTAGAATAGTGAATTTCAAAATCTACTTTTTTATTTTAAGCACTTATAACAACATGAAGAAAATTATGATAAATATTTACCTAATATTCCATTATTTTTGTTTAGTGTCCAGCAGCACTATAAGGTTGTTGCTGTTGAACATTGGAGTATTAAAGCTGTGACCAAGTCCCATGAGGACTTTTTCAGGTTATCATGTTCTCTGGTTGACTAGCTAGAAGCAAAGATAATGACAGTAAATTACATAAAAAAACTTTATTACCTTTATCATCATCTTGATACATTCATGTGACCATCTTAGAAATTAGCAGATTAAAAACAATCATAATTGTATTCAAAAATGCAATAGCAGAAGACGAAGAAATTAAGTGCTGTTTTAAAAAATTATATTGATCAAAAATAGCATTGTACTATATGATCATATTTCCATATCAATATCTGCATAACTATATGTACAATTATAAATATGTCTATAGCCCAATTCAGATTTATGTATATGCCTTATCCTAAACAAACCAATTAATAAAATCAAAAGGCAGGTTACTCCAAATGAAGCACAAAAAGTAGACATAGAAAGAAAATGTATATAAGAAATGACACACAGATAAAAGATTAAAAATTGATGGAAGATTACAGGAAAACTGTATATTTATGTAGTTCCCCCAATCTAGATTTTTAGTAAGAAAACCTCAGTGAAAAGGATGTCAATTAAGTGTCAGCTGGCCTCCATATCCACCCCTCATAAAAGTTCTAGTGAATTTAAAAATAAATTATAACGTATAATTTTGTGAGAAAAATATCATTGCAGATGAACAACTATCCACGTTAGTTTTATGTCTTATATAAAAGTCTTTTAAATATGAAAGTATTTCTTTACATATGAGAGAAGAATCTATAGCAAATAGAGTACTTGTAGCAGAAGGTATTGTTCAGAATATATTTGTACTATACTTCCACTGGATAGAGTTTGTATTTGAAAATTTGTGCTCAGTCAGGGATTCTATTTTCCATCCTTAATAACATCTAGATGAAACCTTGTGGCCAAGTCAAAGCTATTAAGTTGTGGATGGAAGGTACATACAGTACTTCTAAGTGTGGTGCATAAAAACCTTTGATGCTATTCTTCATGCTTTGTCTTCCCATTTTTCAGCTGGTTTGTAGGCATCCAATGTGACTTTAAGAATCACATGTTGCTACCAAAAAAGGATTAATCTGCCTGTGTTCCTTAGTGACTGGATAAAATATCTGTAATCCCTAACTGCCTGCTTTGAGTTGGACTTCAGGTGAGTGAAAGTTAAACGTTTATTATGCTAAGCTAATGATATTTTAAGTTTACTCAATTACAGCAGCTTCTGTTTCTGAATTAATACAGAACTTAATGTGCATGTAATATTTTAATAGTTTTAAGAAGAAATGATGTAGCAGATATACATACTATAGCAAGTTAGCTAAGGTCAAACCCTAACTCTGCCAATTACTAGTTGTGTAACTAAACAATTTAATTTCGTTGAAAATTTCATTGAAAATGTGGAAAAATCAAAACCCTTTTACATTTCTGATGTAAAATGGTACAACTGCTATTGAAAACAGTATGGAGATCCCTCAAGAACTTTCAAGAGAATCACCATGTGATCCATCAATCTCACTTCTGAGTATATATCAAAAATCATTGAAAACGAGATCTCCATGCTATATTTCTACATTCATATTCATTTACAGCATCATTCACAAGAGGCAAGGTGTAGAAACAACCCAAATGTTTATCAATGAATGAATGGATAAAGGAAATGAGGTTTGCAAGTACAATAAAATATTTTGACTTTTAAATAAAGAAAATCCTATCATACACTACAGCATGGATGAACCTTGCTAAGTGAAATAAACCAGTCACAAAAAGGAAAATGGTACATGATTCCTCCTAAAGTAGTCAATCTCTTAGATACAGAAAATAAAATGGTGGTTGCCAAGTGCTGAAGATAAAGAGAGGAGTTGTTCAATGGACACAGAGCTTCAGTTTCACAATGTGAAAAATTCTAGAGATCTATAGCACAGCAATGTGCATACAGTTACACTATTGTACTGTACACTAACAGATGATTAAGCTGGTACACTTTATGTATTTTTAACATAATGAAATATTTAAAAAGTATTATGAACTTTAGTTTTAGTTTTCAATAACATCATTTTAATGTAGATAACTATTTTAGGAATTTTAGATAGACTTGGCAATTTTAGGGTTTTTTTGTTAGACAACTACAGGTGACAGTCAATATTTCGGTAAAATTTTGCACAATTCTTGTTCCAGTTTTCACTTTTGCTACCATAAACTTTTTTTTTTTGTAAATGCCCTCAAGTTAGATAGGAAACATTCATATTAACCAAGCTCAAGTTACTGATATATAATACTAAAAGGGAATCTATTGTTTAATAGTAATAAAATAACTTTAATTTGTTAGATTTTTTTTTAATAGAGACAGGTTTTCACCATGTTGGCCAGGATGGTCTCGAACTCCTCATCTCAAGTGATTCACCCACCTCGGACTCCCAAAGTGCTGAGATTACAGGCATGAGCCACCACGCCCAGCCAATTTCTTAGATTTTCAAATTCCATTGGACTCTAGTCCAGTGAGGAAGTGTCCTTGTCTATCTTGTATGCACATGGTCAAAAACACAAACAGAGGGTTTGACACATACAGTGCTTTGGGATTATCCTTGATTCCTCTTTTTCTCTCACACTACATAGCAAATCAATTTCAAAAGCCTGCTAACTCTGCTTTCACATAACTGGCTGTGAACAATACCACAATACTTTCATTTTTGTTACTGCTGTCCCTTATCTCTTCTCTTGATACATTTGCTTTCTAATTGCTCTGTATGCTACCACCTTCACTTCCCTATAATCCACTCCCACCCCAAAACCACTGTAATCCTTTTAAAATTTAGGTCATATCATGATCTTTCTCTGTTCATAATTCTATTTTTTGTCTTCTCTTTTAATTTAATGGCCAAGAAAGTCCTTTTATTGATATTCTTACTGTTCACTTTCAACCTTTACCACAAGAAAACTCTCTGAATTAATTTTCTATTTGCACTGCATTTACACTGTCCTTACTGTAACTTGAATCCTCCAGACATTATCCTAAGTGCAATAGCTGTACTTCCTTTCTGTGCTTGGAATGCCTTTCTCTGGAAATCAGCAACACTTGCACCTTTAACCTTCAATCAAATGTCACTTGCTCAGTGAAGTGACTACTCTGTAATTGCAACCACATCTCTACATCCTCTACCCTATATTCAGCATCTTTTTCCTCCATCTTCTTTATAACTTTTAGCATAATATGTAATTATGTATTTATAATATTTTCATCTATTTTCAATGACTAAAACATATGATTCATACAATCTATGGCCTTTGTATGTTCACTGAAGAACAGGAATTCTTACTGATTTTTCTGGTGTGCAGCACAATCTTCAGCACACAAAGAGGTGCTCAATAAATATATGTTGAATAGATGGTACATAGTAATTCTTTTGAGTGACTCGTGTCCCTAGTGTATATCTTTCTTCACTGATTACCAACAGTTTTAAAATAACACTGAAATAGTTTACCAACAAGGCAAAATCAAGTTTATTAGTTCACTGCACTAAGGAAAAACAGCCTCTTGCCAGTGTCTGTGTAATGTCACAGAAGGAGAAAGGTGAGTGATAGATTTTTATGGGGTTTTGGTAAAAGATCAAATCATTTAAAGGGAGCCTTCCAATGTAAGTATCTGAGTGGAACTGTGCACCTATTTCATAGTAGGATTCCTGAAAACAGTAAGGCAAAGATCAGAAGCAAGTGTTGATGATTAATCAATTGATAATTTAGGAGTTGAGAAATATTGTCCTCAGAATGGAGCTAATTAAGCAGCTAAGTATCCTGTTTTCCTGATAAGGGGGTTGCTTAATCAGTCTATCATTCAGATCATTGAATTTTGGGGGAAGTTTCTGGAGGCAAATATTTAAGTTGTTTACTGGTGTGCAAAAAATCTTCCTGAAATAGAAGTTCCTGAATTTTTATACTTTCCTTTTCTCCTTAGAAGCTGAAATTATTTTCCAATATTGAATTTCTAATCATGTAATTCAGGGGTTAAGAATATTTATAATCTCTTTACTCTGTACTTGGTAATTCACATGCATTAGTTTATTTAATCCTCAAAAACAAAACAGTGAGGTTGAATATTATCTACAATGAACAGATTTGAAAATTAGAACTTAATTGTTTTTCCCATGTTTGTACAGTTAGGAATGATCAGAATTCAGATTTAAACATATAACTTCATAATACTTGGGTTGAGAGACCATAAAAGTTAGTGACTAATAGCTTGGGGTTGGAATCAGACAGACACAGATTTAGTTGGCTTTGCTATTACAAACTTCATAAGTTTTTAATCTTTTGAAACCCCAATTTCTGTATCTATAAAATAAGTATAATTGTAGAACCTGCCTTATGAGCTTGCTATGATGATTGACTTAAACACTTAATGCATACTCTGACATATAATCAATGCTCAATACATATAATTTGCTTGTAGCATTATCATTAAAGTGTATGTTATTTCCTCTGTGCTGTTTTTATGGACCACTGTAAATCAATATCTCTTATTTTCACTCACTTGAACAAAAGCAGCCTAAATTTAAAATGGACAAAACAAAACATATAAAATGCATTAATAACAGCTGCTGAACAAAGACTTTTTAAAGAACATATATCACAAGACTCCCCTCACAAATGTTTTTAGTTAAAAGCAACCTTGTGCAAAAGAAATAGAGGCTCTCATACTGCATTTCTCATTTTGGGTCTGGTTTGGTTTATTTGGTTGAATTTTATCTTGTAAAATATGTGCAAGTTTATACCAATTATTATACCAATATTTGTAATTAAATGCTTCTATTACTTTGTTGTAAAAGTAATTGAGGTTTTGCCATTACTTTTGCACCAGTGTAATATAATTATCTCATGATACCATAACTTTATAAACTTGCCATCAAAGTTGTGACTATAATACAATTTTCTACATTCTCCAAAATTATTTGCCTATAAGAATGATAAATAACTGCTTTTCCACAGTCAATATTTTACAAGAGTTTTTTTTTGGAAAAATTCTTAACTATCTCTCAACACATAAATTGATGAAGCTAAACACAATCACAGAGGCAACGATAAGGTACATAAATTTATTTGATAATGGTGACTTATGAAATACATGGAGTAAAAAAATAAATACAGGGAAATATCAGGGGAAATGACAGTGTACTGACTCCCAAAATGCTCTTTTCCATATGAGACCACTGATAAAAATTGCCTAAACTTATTTTTTCAGAAATGAACTCAAATCTTGCAAAAATTCAAGAGGCATTCATTCAAGAAAAATGGGTGTCTCAGTAAGAACAGTGAGCTTTGTAGCATTTAACTAGCCCCTTTCCAACCCTCCTTTCAGCAGTTCAACAGTAACCTTGAAAACATACAGACTTGTAATCATAATGAAAATCACCAGCCTAGTAGCCACTGAAACTAGAAAAAGCAGATTGGATTTCCCTAAAGCACCACTCCTGAGAATTGTCATTACTTGACCTGTCTGGCAGTTTCATGGAAACCCCCATTCAGAAGGAGTGTCTTCATTTCACCTATCTTAGAGCTCTTCCAGTGTTCACAACCTGTTCTCAGTGATGTTTTGCAAAAATAATCAGCAGAAATTGTTTAAAATTATGCCCACTTGAAGTCGTGATAACAATTAGGGCAAACAAGAAAGTCAGCAAAAAACTTCAGAGGGAAGGCTGGTAAAGGAGATGTCCATGGGGGCGCTTTGAAAACAAAGACAAATTTGGGGATATCAATAAGGCCATGCACATATGTTAAGCTGTATGCATAGCTAGAAAAGACCTGAGAAGGCCCTAAGCTTTTAGCTCTGTCTAACGTTAAGTCTGCACAAACAGGAAGGTAAAGGCTAAGACAGAGTTGTAAGCTAACTGTCTGAGCATTAACAGCCTGCCTCAACACAGAAAGAGAGCCTGTTAGGAAAGTCTAGGAGACTTACTGGTTTCAGATGTTAAAGAAAATCTCTTTGCAATCATTAGTTGACCATTAATCTAAATAAGGAGAAACTTAATGGTCATACATTATAAAGAATACACATGGTATAAAAGCAGCACAGCAAATCACTTAAAACCAACAACCATCCCTGGAAAAGGGGAAGAACATGATTTTAGAAGTTGCCATAATATATTATTTAAGTTGTCTAGGTTTCAACAAAAACTTTTGAAACATTTAAAGAAACTACAATGCATGGTCCATACAAAAGAATAATAAAAAAAGCATCAATAGAAAGGTTCCCTGAGGAAGCTCACATGTTGGATTGTCTAGATAAAAACAATTATCTATTTTAAACATAATACATAACTAAAGAAAACCATATCTAAATAACAAAACAAAAGTGTAAAAATAATGCCTCACTAAATAGAATATATCAACAAAGAGATAGACATTATAAAAAGAACCTAATAGAAAATCTGGAGTTGAAAAATACAATCTAAATTTGTTTTGTTTTGTTTTGAGACGGAGTCTTGCTGTTTCACCCAGGCTGCAGAACAGCGGCACAATCTCACCTCAATGCAGGCTTCGCCTCCCAGCTTCAAGTGATTCTGCTGCTTCAGCCTCCCAAGTAGCTGGTACTACAGGCACGTGCCACCATGCCTGGCTAATTTTTGTATTTTTAGTAGGGATGGGGTTTCACCATCTTGGCCAGTCTGCACTCTGATATCTTGACAATAGATTTGAACTAGCATAATAAAGAATTAGTAGACTTGAATATGGGTCTATTTAGATTACCCAGTTTGAGAAACAAAAAGAAAAAGAATGAAAAAAAAATGAGTAGTCTATGGGACCTGTGGAATATTTCAAGCATACTAAAGTATGAAAATCCCAGAAGTCGTCTCAGAAGAAGAGTTCCAGAAGGAGATGGGCGAGAGAAAGAAGCAGGAAGAATATTTAAATAAATGATGGCCCAAAACATCAAATTACATGATTTATCATAAATATTAATCTATACATGCAAAACTTCATGAACTCCAAACAGAATAATCCCAAAAGATCCAGACATATTGTAATCAAACTGTTAAAAGTAAAATTCAAGGAAAGAATTTTGAAATTTACGAGAGAAACCTGAGTTATCAAAGGGAATCCTCAATAATTTTACTACCACTTTCTCACCAGAAACCATGGAAACCAACAGAAACTGGAATAACATATTTAGAGTGTTGGTGGTAGCAGCAAGAGGAAGGAGAACTCTCAACCAAGAATTCTATATGCAGCATAATAATCCTTCAAAAATGAAGTAGAGGAAACCATTTCAAGATAAAAACAGAGTTATTTGGTAACAAAGCTGTTTTCAACTGTGCTTGTCAAAAACAATTAGCTGAGATTGTATACTATTATGAGAGAATAAAATAAGAATGATTGTTGAAGAAAATTTGCAAGAAAAATAAAAAGAACTTCATGTAAAAATAAAAACTAGAAAGTTAAATAAATTCCCATAAAGAAACAAACAATACCAATAAAGGTAGTTAGTTAAGTAAACATAAAAACAATATAAACATATATTGTTTGTAGCTATTCTTATCTCCAGAATAATTTAAAAGATTACTGCATAAAGTTGTTTTAAAATTATAAAACTTTTTATGACTTGTTATGTAAAAAGATATAATTTTTATGAAAATAATAGAACAAAGAAGTGAGGAGTTAATGGAACTACAGAGAAACACAGTATTTGTGTACTACTGAAATCAAATTGGTATTAATTCAAACAAGATTGTTACATATGGGTTTAAAGTAAAAGTTTAGAAAAAATATGTCATGCAAACATCAACTATAGAGAGTTACATGGCTATACTAATATCAGATACTTAAGGAAAAAATTCTTACTAGGGACAAAGAAATATTTTATCATCATAAAAAGTTAAATGATTAATATATTCTTTTGCCTTACTATAATAACCATTTTACTACCTATATGTATCCCATATCGTCATGTAGTAAACCTCACATGTGCACAATAAAATTTGTTTTTAAAATCATCAATCCATTAGGAAGACACAACAATTATAAACATGTATGCACAGAAAAACATAGACTCAATATACGAAAAATGAAAGTATTGAAATGGGAAATAGACAACTCAATGACAATATTGGAAACTCAATACTCTAACTTCAGTAATTGATAAAACTAGGCTGACAGTGAAGAGTGAAATTAAAAAACATAAACAATGTTGTAAGCCAACTACACCTAACAAACATCTTTAGACCCCTCCACAAAACAAGAGCAGGGTGCATAACAAGCACATGAAAATATGTTCAGTATTGTTAGACAAAAGGGAAATGTAAGTAAAACCTATAATGAGATTCCACTTCTATTACAATAGTTATCAGAAAGACAATAACAAATGTTGATGCCAATGTGAAAAAATTAAAATCCTCACAATTTATGGAAATGTAAAATTGTTCAGTCACGGTAGTGGGTTCATTGCTGTCTCTCCAAAATTCCCGTCCACCCAAAATGTCATAATATGACCTTATTTTAAAATAGAGTCTTCGAAGTTGTAATTAGCTAAGGATTTCTAAATTAAATCATCCTGGATTTAAGTCAGGCCCAAATACAGTAACTGAAGATCTCATAAAAAGAAGAGAAGAGAAGAGAGAGACACATGGGGAAGAAGTCCATGTGAAGAAGAGGGGCAATGATGGGAGTGATGCAGTCATAGTCCAAATACTCTAGGAGCCACCAGAAGCTGGATGAGGCAAGAAATAATTTTTTTTTATATCCTCAAAGAAAATCAGGAGCCCTTGACACTTTGATTTTGGACTTCTATCCTCCAGAACTTGAAATTATAAATTTCTGTTATTTTAAGCCACTGTTCTTGGGGTAATTTGTTATCATAGTCCTAGGAAATTAATATTTTTAAAAAATTGACAGTTTCTTTAAAAATTAAAATGTTGAGTTAAAACAGAATCCATCAATTCCATTCATGAGAATAAGAAAATATATGTCCATGCAAAAATTCACTCATCAATGTTTGCATCAGAATTATCCATAGTAGCCAAAAGGTGGAACAGCTCAAATGCTGATCAATTGGTGAATGGATAAACAAATGTGGTATATCATACAATAGAATATTATGTACCCATAAAAAGGAATTAAATATTGTTGCATGTCACACCATACAGGAATCTTGTAAACAGCATGGTAAGTAAAAAATAAACCTGACTCCAAAGGCCACATATTGTATAGCTGCATTTCTATGAAATGTCCAGAATACACAGATCCATAGAGACAGAAAGTATGCGTCATTGTCAGAGGCCAGGGAAAAAGAGAACGAGGTGTGAATGCTAACAGTGCAGTTTTTTGAGGACAACCGATGCAAATATTTTGAAATGTGATAGCAGTAATGGTTGTAAAACTTTGAGAAATGTTAAAATAACTGAATTGTACGCTTTAAAATAGTGAATCTTATCGTATGTAAGTTACATTTCATTTAAAAATAAAAAATTAATATTTACTGCATTATTCTAAAGATTCCAGATATTAATCATTTATATTCTGTCTGCACTTTTTATAATTTTGCAATTCATCAAAATCCATTCACTTTTAAATTTGTGATGCAAAATATTTGACACAGTCATAACGTGTCTCTATGCTGTCCAAAACCCTGTTAATATAATAAAATCCACTCCATCTGATATTTTAAGAAGCTCAGCCACTCCATATATTCCATTCACTCTTAAATTACATTGTACAAACTGCATTTTAGACTTTTCTAAATTTGTTTTAATTAGACCTTTACTACAAAGTGTTTACTCATGTAATGTGCTAAACCTCTAAAGAGAATAGAATTTTCCCACATAATGTTATTTTTCTTTTTCTAATCAAGCTAAAGGCCTGGCTAACTTTTTTTCCATGTGATTACCATATAAATAAATAAATACATAAATATACATTTATACTTAAATCAGTATAATCTTAACCAGGCTTTACTACCACCTCTGCAATCTTTCTTTGTTCACCACTTATTCATTGGAGAAATAATAATGTGTCACTCAGAAATAAATGGCACAAGAGCAACCCACTTTTATCAGTTTATGGAGAAATTGCTACTATATACAGATTGTGATAAAATTAAACTATATTCACTTCATATATTTCTCCGGTTTTCTTTAAAACCAAATTAAAGTTGGGGTAAAATTAATAAATATAAAGTCTTCAGAAATACTAAATTTTTGTCTCTAAATGCATTTGAAAAAATATATTTCAAAATAATTTATTGCAGAAAAACATCTTCATTTACATATAAGGAATCTGCTGCACCAATATATCAAATATTTATTTAAGGTCACACAGTTAATAGGAACTGAGGACAGGATGCACACTCTAGTTCTCTGGCTGCAGAGCTCCCCCTCTTGTTGACTGCTCTTTGGGGCAGTAGTTAAAATTTTGGGGTATAGCACTGCACAGTGACCCAGATAATAATAATGTATTGTATATTTCAAAATTACTAAAATAATAGATTTTTAATGTTTCTCATCATGAAAAAAATAAGTTGGTGGATATGTTAATTTGCTTGATGGAATCTTTCTAAAATGTATATGTAGATCAAACATCACATGGTACCCCATAAATATATACAACAATTATTTGCTTATTAAAAATAAATTAGTAAAAAATTTAAAAATCTAGGGGGGGAAAGCCACCATTCTTACTGATATTGTAAAAACTCCAAAATATGAAACAAACAAAAATAAAACCATTTTTTCACTTCATTTCAGAACATATAATTCGTTTTCACCCCTTTCATCTAACCAGCACTACCAGAAATCATAAAATCAGAATATATTACTAAGAAAAACTTTTACGCTTTGCTCCAAATGTTTTCATATTAACATATGGGGTTTTTATTTCTTCAGGATTATTAGAAACTCCAGACACGTGCCATGTATTATGTTATGACACAGATATTTGGATTGAGCATTTTCATTGAAGTTCAAATAGCTTCACTGAATCTTATGGCTAACCTTAGCTGTTTTATAAAAGAGTACAAAATGGACTAAAATAAATATAAATCACCACAAACAACCCCAAAATGGAAAGGTCTAAGAAGTTTTTACTCCATTAATGTACATCATATGCTCTTCAACTTACACATATTAGGTTAGTGAACATTCATTCAAAGCACTTTGAAAATGCTTTTAAGACTCCTTGGAGGTGATTTTCATATAAAATTATCAAAACTGAGATCTACTCTACAGTAGATAGCTTCTTTGAGTATGCTATTTTCTTACATAAAATTTAATGCAGCACCATGGATCATTAAGTATGAAGAATTCAAACACAAGTCTCTAGTGACAATTTACTATGTAGAAATCTTTCTGAAAGAGACTTTTGAAAACATAACGGTCCTGTGCCACTCAAATCTATCATTTGTAGTAACTTGTCAAACTTACAGATGAAACTGATGAACAACAAAAGACAGTTTATTAATGAATATCTTGCAGTTTTATGTAACGGTATTTTTTTTTATTTGAAATCTTCTTTAGAGTTGAAATGTGTTGCTTATATTAACCTTCTGGTTTAGGTCAAGAAAGCAAAAATGCAAGTATGTGTAGAACACATCTTATTGTTCAAAAATAGCCTTTACAAAAATGTAATTTTTATTATATTCTGAAAATGTTTTATAGAATATTAATAGTTCAGTTCAAAAATATTTATTGCACTTAAGCTTTATAAATCTTTATAAACTATTGGCTGTAGTTTATAAAAAAATTACTGCTAAGTAACATACCATTATGTAGTATAATACTATATATTTGCACATACATTTCTCTAATTGAATATATGACTTGAATATTGAAGACCATTTCTTAGGTGTGGTATATATGATAAACTAAACTGTAAGTTCTGCGCATTTTTCCAATAGCTTATTATGCATAGAGTTAACACTGTCACGATATGAGGCATTTCCAGATGGCAAGTACATAAATGGGAGATTGGGAAAACTTGTAAAATCAATTACTATTGCAGGTGAAATTAAGCTTGGAAGCCGAATCATTAATATGTTGAATATGCATCTGGTTAGAATTCCTTGAACCATTTAAGAACATTTCTATCTTATTCTAACTCAAGAGCCTCTTACATGTTGCAACTGTTAAGCATTCTCTGTCTGAATTAAGACCATATGTGAAGTTTAGGCTTATCCCTAAGGAGTCCATCTGGAGCAACTGATGTTGATTTCATTGTTCAATCTTGATGTCCACATATGAGTCTCAGTGAGATAGATAACCAAGTGAGTTGATTAAGTAGACTTTTCTGTGTTCTTAAAATAGTTTTGTAAAATTTAATATTTAAGAATTCTTGAGATTTAAGATTACTTTTATTTAAAATTAATTATTTATATTAAAGCATCTAATAATTTATAATTAAATGTCTTTCAAAACTTTTCTTAGAACAACACTAATTCTTCCATAATCTTGTTTCTTTATAAAGTATCAGAATATAGGCTCTAGTAAATTAGAATAAATGAGTTACAGATTTTTTGAAACATTTTAAAATACAACCATATATAAAGTACTTACCATTTAATTTCTGATAATATTATGTTAATATTTCCTATTAATAACCTGTTTTACAGGATTTGTAAGTCAATGTTAGTTAATAAATGTCTTTCCCAAAGATATACAATTCTTTTATAATTATTGGTAAACTTTTAAAAGAGCAATATTCAAAACAAATATAAAAAACATACTATATACTGACACACTGACACGTTGTCATTGTAGCCATTGTTTACATATTGTTTTCTCCAAATAAAATGCCTTTGTTTTGAAATTACTTATAATACAGAAGTATTAATAATTTCTACTCCATTTTTATTTAAATGAAAGGAAAAACATTATAGAGCCCTAAATGTAGAGGCAGCTACAAGAATCTAAGTAACTTCCATTATGTAAGCCATCAAAAAGATTTGCAAAATTGTAACCAATGTCACTCTTCCAAATTTGCTTTTTGTTTTGGATTACACAGTTATTTTCACAAAAGTATTTAATTTATATTAATTTGTAGCACATAACTTATTGTTATTTTAAACAAATTTATAAATTCATGGATTTATTCTCATTTTCTTTTGAATTTGGTAAATATTGATACATGTAAGCAAAATAAATAAAAGCTTTTTATAATCCTGAATAATTATAAAGAATGTAAAGCATGCTTAGGACAAAAAGCTTGAGAAACATTGCTTATGGGCATGCTTTGCATAATTAATGGTCAGTATAACTTCCAAAGAGGTGAAAAATGATTCTTGGAGGTGGGTAAAAACATTTTATTCTTTTTATTTTTGAAATACAACTATATATAGAGTACATAAACAGATATATCATATATCTGTGGTATTAAAATTCCATGTAGAATGGGAAACTGGGGAAAAAATGTCTAGAAGGCCCTTGATAGGGAGATGGTAATAGAAAAAAAAATTATAAACCCTACTTTAAGTTAAAGTCTAAGTTCTAGAAAGAGGTCAAGAGTGTGCTTACTTAGCATCAGGGTTTGTGTGGAAGAGTTCCCCTCCACAGCCATTTTTGTCTTTGATTATAGTATCATTCATTCACTTGGCTGGTCTTTGAGTATGAGACTGTGTGATCAGATAATTACTGTGCCTGACTGTCAGATCTACGTAGGTCTGTCATGTCTTCCGCATCCTAACCTTCCAGTTTCCTCAAGTGAATCAGTACATGCTCAGCCTTCCCATACCTTTCTTGGGGCTGAGAAGCAAAGGGGAATTTACTTGTTCTCCCATACTATGGGGCCTTTCAAAGTGTCTATCTTCTTCTCTTCCCCACACACTTCAAGCTGCCTTTCCTAATTTGCCTCTTCAATGCCATTGTGGCATAAAACCCATATGCAAAGATGGTGCCTCAAAATTTCAGAAAGGAATGGCTTGAAATGATTCTCTGCTCTTGGATCTTCAACTCCTATGATCTGGTGGGCAAAGGAAGAAAATATGCTACCCTTTCTCAATGAATCAGTAACTTCTATGCTCTGGTTATAACATCTCCAATCTTCCTTCATTTTGCTGAGGAAAACTATGTAGTCTTTGGCTGAGGAATGCTGACAAACCACCTATGAATGCCAGTGACTAAAGTCACTGTATGCTTCACTGCAACAGAATTGCCATAAAATAAACAAATATTGTAATGCACTGCATGAGGAAATGTCAGACAACAATAGACCCCTTATGTGACAGTGGTCCAATAAAATTATAATAGAGCTGAAAACTTCCTGTTGCCTAATGAGGTCCAAGCCATCCTAATGTTATTGTACCAATGCATTGCAAATATGTTTGTGCTGATGCTGGTGTAAACAAATCTACTGTGCACAATACTTGGTGATTAAGAGAAATGACTATGTTAGTGGTTTATGTATTTACTATACTATGGTTTTTTTTTTTTTTTTTGAGAAGGAGTCTCACTATGTCATTCAGGCTGGAGTGCAGTGGCGCGATCTCGGCTCACTGCAACCTCCGCCTCCCAGGTTCAAACAATTCTCCTGCCTCAGCCTCCCGAATAGCTGGGACTACAGGCGTCCACCACCATGCCCGGCTAATTTTTTGTATTTTTAGTAGAGACGAGGTTTCACCGTGTTAGTCAGGATGGTCTCGATCTCCTGCCCTTGTGATTCACCCACTTTGGCCTCCCAAAGTGCTGGGGTTATGGGCGTGAGCCACCGTGCCCGGCCTATACTATGCTTTTTATCATTTTAGAATGTAATCTTTCTACTTATAAAAAAATAAATTAACTGCAATACAGTCTCAGGCAGATCCTTCAGGATGTATTTCAGAGGATGGTATTGTTATCGGAGGAGATTACAGCTCCATGAATGTTATTACCATGAAGAACTTCCAGTGGGACAAGATGTGGAGGTGGAAGACAGTGATATTGATGATCCTCAGCCTGGGTAGTCCTAGGCTAAGATGTGTCTTTGTGTCTTGGTTTTTAACAAAAAAGATTAAAAAGTAAAAGTAAATACATTTTAAAATAGAAAAAAGCTTATGAAATAAGGATATAATGAAAATATTTTTTCCATACAGATGTACAATATACTTATGTTTTCAGCTCAATGCTATCACAAAAGTCAAAATGTTTTTAAAAAGTTTATAAATAAAAATGTTAAAGTTAATTTACTATTGAAGGAATACAAGTATTTTCTATAAATTCAATGTAGCTTAAGTGTGCAGTATTTATAAAGCCTACAGTAGTGTAATGTCCTAGGCCTTCACATTCACTCACCACTCCCTCACTGACTCACCCAGAGAGGCTTCCAATCCTGTAAAGTCCATTCATGGTATGTGCCCTTACAGGTGTACCATTTTAAAAAATCTCTTATATAGTATTTTTAATATACCTTTCCTTTGATTAGGTGTGTTTAGATATACAAATACTTACCATTGTGTTACAATTCAGTATAGTAACATACTGCGCAGGTTTATAGCCTAGGAGCAACAGGCTATATTATGTGGCCTAGGTGTGTATTGGGATATACCATCTAGATCTGTGTAACTCTATGATGTTTACACACCAACAAAATTACCTAAGAATGCATTTCTCAGAAGGTATCTCCATTTAGTTTCACCTGGGTATGTCTTTGATATAGACTGAAAATGTATCAATTTTATTAAATCCTAGCACCTAAGAACATGCCATTTTAACATTATGTGTGACAAAATGGGAAGCATGAATAAGTACTTCTGCTACAGCAATATCCAACCTATGGCTGACTCCAGGGACAGCACTTGGGCCATGTTTCAGCTGTAATTTGAATATCTCAGTTAGTTCCACAGAAATTAGAGAATAAGAAACCTTTCTCAATTCAGTACAAGTAGAAGCCTTATACATCAGTAAATGCTAGTCGATACTCTCATTAGTCATATAAACCTAGAAATATGGAAAGAAATCATGGAATTGTCATGTTTTCTTTGAAAACAGTGGAATTATGAACGGGAGAAGTTGAGTACATTGATTTCTTTTCTCATTCTTGCTCTCAGAATGTAGCTACAAAGTACTGTTCATGTAAGGTGACCTTTAAGATTTCTGGGGCCTTTAATTTTTCCTCAGTTTTACATTTGTTATTTCAACTTTTAAAATATTGAACTTATATTTTAAGCTCATTTATGGATAATGAACTTATCCATCATTGCAACTTATAAAACCATCAAGTGACACCCTATGGTTTCATTACATTGAGGAGATAAAATTTCCTGTTTTAGAATTTACAATTTCTTAGGAAAATGTAATCTCTTTAGCATTCATAGCTTCTTTTTATTTGTGATAACCTATTATTCTTAAAATTTTTCATAAGAATTTACAGAATACATATTTGCATCACTATTATTATAGTTAAAAAGTAAGTTTACTAAATTCAGAATAGAGACACACTTATTATTTGATATTATATTAATGATTTGCCTTTTAAGCAGGAATTTAAGATCGTATTCCCACAGGCTATGGCTCTGTAAATGATATTCAGTTTATTTTAATTAAAGAACGCTGTTCTAATTACTAGCTTCCAAAAAGAAACAGTATACTAAAATGTGATATTTTTAGTAAGATTTTTCAAAGATAAGTAATTAGAAGCTATAACATCATTTTATGTCGTGAAAAACAATCTTTTGTGAGACAGATAGTAAACAGAATGATAGGGAACATAGTTTTCCAATTAATACGATGATAGAGAACATAGTCTTCCAATTAATTTATCTGTCATTTTCAACTTACTGGTTGTAGAAGACAGGCATTCAGAAATTTGCAGAAAGCAGAAGTGTATGGGTCAACGAGTTTCTAACTAATTTTTGACTGCTAGATTCTAAGAACAGTTTTGGTTGAAACATAAAAATAGACATATTATTCATCACTTTTTAGAGTATTTACTCCAAAAACAAAAGACTGCAGAAAGAGAGAAATTGGGGACAATGTCAGTAGAAAGTCAGTCTTTAATGCCGAAAATAGTAACATTTAGCACATAGGGAGTGTCATTGACAATCTGTAGAAAACTAGTTTAAGAAATGGTTTGTATATGTTTTCTTATGAGTCTTTAAAAAAACCTAAATCCAATTAGGGCGACCTGATTTTATCAACAGCAGTGTAACTAAAGAAAGTGTTTGCCTAATCAATTTTATTGTAACCTTGCTTTCTGAAGCAATGCTGGGTTAATAGAAGGATGGTGCTTTGCGATGGAAGCTGCAAAAAGAGAGGGTCTTAAAGAATTGTGACGTGTCAGTGTATCTCCAGTCCTTTCTCAGAAAAAGCACACTCTGATAAAATGGATGTAGAATTCCAATTCCCTTGGGATAAATAATTAGAGAGTTAAAGTTTTAGGTCATTATTCTTCATGACTTGTTACTTGCTAATCAAACACCTTTCAGGCATTAATTTGGCCATCCGATATGGACATTATGCAAAATATGATGTAATGACCAGAAAACACTTTATCTTATGCCTAGTAATATTCTGATAATTTTCTTTATTTTCTTTTTTCTTTTTGTCTTGTTTTCTTCCAGTTCTAAAAACAAATTTGAAGAAATTTTTCACTGTCATAACTCTGCACATGGGGACTATTATTTTGATACCTCATTATTAATTTGTAGAATTAGATGACTGATCTTACCACATAATGATAGGCACTGGGAAGAAATCTCTTCTTTTAGATTATATTTACTAATATTTTACCTAATTGCTATGAGAATTGATTCTGATATAAGTTCTCAGTGTTTCCCATTTAAAAACAGAATAAGATACCTGGTAACTTTTCTGAGTAAAACTATGCCTGGGCATCATATGATTTTTGATTCCCAGATTTCCTTAAAATCAAACCTTTGAAAACCAATACAGTCAATTTGGGCTTGACAGTTATCTCCCATGTCACAATAAAGTGAAAGCACAAAATTGAAATTAATTTTTGGTATTTCATATTCTCACACACATATATAACATTTATATTTTGTTTACTTTTCAACTTTTATTTTAAGTTTGAGAGTACATGTGCAGGTCTGTTATATGGGTGAATTGCATGTGGCAGGGGTTTGGTGTACAGATAATTTAGTCATCTGGGTAATCAGCATAGTATCTGGTAGGTAGTTTTTCAATCCTCCTCCTTCTCTCACCCTCTGCTCTCAAGTAGGCCCCAGTGTTTGTTGTTCCCTTATTTGTGTTCACATGTACCAATGTTTAGCTCTCGTTGATAAGTGAGAACATGCAGTATTTGTTTTTCTGTTCCTGTATCAATTTGCTTAGAATAATGGCCCCCAACTCCATCTGTGTTTCTGCAAAAGACCTGACTTTGTTCCTTCCTATGACTGTGTAATATTCTGTGGTATATATATATATCATATTTTCTTTATCCAATCTACCGTTGATGAGCATCTAGGTTGATTTCATGTCTTTGCTATTGTGAATAGTGCTGTGATGAACATACAAATGCATGTGTCTTTATGGTAGAATGATTTATATTCCTTTGAGCATATACCCAATGATGGGATTGCTGGGTTGAATGGTGATTCTGTTTTAAGTTCTCTGAGAAATTACCAAACTGCTCTCCACAATGACTGAACTAATTTAAATTCCCACTAGCACTATATGAGCATTCCCTTTTCTCCACAACTTTGCCAGCATCTATTTTGTTTTGTATTTTCATAATAGCCATTCTGACTGGCGTCAGATGTAGTATCCAATTGTGGTTTTTATTTGCATTTCCCTAATGATTAGTGATGGTGAACACTTTTTCAAATGCTTTTCGACTGTGTGTGTCTTATTTTGGAAAGTGTTCATGTCCTTTGCTCACTTTTTAATGGGGTTGTTTTTGCTTGTTAATTGTTGATTTGTTGAAGTTCCTTATAGATGCTGGATATTAGGCCTTTGTTGGATGCATAATTTGCAAATGTTCTCTCCCATTATTTAGATCGACTGTTTACTCTGTTGATGGTTTCTTTTCCTATGCAGAAGCTTTTTAGTTTAAATAGGTTCCATTTGTCAATTTTTGTTTTTGTTGCATTTGCTTTTGAAGTCTTTGTCATGAAATCTTTGCCAAAGACAATATCCAGAAAGGCATTTCCTAGCCTTTCTTCTTCATATAGTTTTTGTTTCGTTTTGTTTTACATTTATTTAAGTCTTTAATACATCTTTTTTATTATTATTATACTTTAAGTTCTAGGGTACATGTGTACAATGTGCAGGTTTGTTACATAGGTATACATGTGCCATGTTGGTTTGCTGCACCCATCAACTCGTCATTTACATTAAGTAGTTCTCATAATGCTATCCCTTCTCCAGCCCCCAAACCCCCGACAGTGCATGATGTTCCCCGCCCTGTGTCCAAGTGTTCTCATTGTTCAATTCCAACTTATGAGTGAGAACATGCAGGGTTTGGTTTTCTGTCCTTGTGATAGTTTGCTTAGAATGATGGTTTCCAGCTTCACCCATGTCCCTGTAAAGGACATGAACTCATCCTTTTTTATGGCTGCATAGAATTCCATAGTGTATATATGCCACATTTTCCTAATCAAGTCTATCATTGATGGACATTTGGGTTGGTTCCAAGTCTTTACTATTGTGAATAGGGCCACAATAAACATACGTGTGCATGTGTCTTTATAGTAGCATGATTTATACTCCTTTGGGTATGTACCCAGTAATAGGATTGCTGGGTCAAATGGTATTTCTAGTTCTAGATCCTTGAGGAATCATCACACTGTCTTCCACAATGGTTGATCTAATTTACACTCCAACCAACAGTGTAAAAGCGTTCCTGTTTCTTCACATCCTCTCCAGCATCTGTTGATTCCTGACTTTTTAATGATCGCCATTCTAATTGGCGTGAGATGGTATCTCATTGTGGATTTGATTTGCATTTCTCTGATGACCAGTGATGATGAGCATTTTTTTATGTGTCTGTTGGCTGCATAAATGTCTTTTGAGAGGTGTGGCTAGCCAGTTTTCCCAGCACCATTTATTAACTAGGGAATCCTTTCCTCATTTCTTGTTATTGTCAGGTTTGCCAAAGATCAGATGGTTGTAGATGTGTGGTGTTATTTCTGAGGCCTCTGGTCTGTTCTGTTCCATTGGTCTATATCTCTGTTTTGGTACCAGTACTGTGCTGTTTTGGTTACTGTAGCCTTGCAGTATAGTTTGAAGTCAGGTAGTGTGATGCCTCCAGCTTTGTTCTTTTTGCTTAGGATTGTCTTGGCTATGTGGGCTCTTTTTTGGTTCTATATGAACTTTAAAGTAGTTTTTTTTCCAATTCTGTGAGGAAAGTCATTGGTAGCTTGATGGGGATGGCATGAAATCTATAAATTACCTTGGACAGTATGGCCATTTTCACAATATTGATCCTTCCTATCCATGAGCATGGAATATTCTTCCATTTGTTTGTGTCCTCTTTTATTTCATTGAGCAGTGCTTTGTAGTTCTCCATGAAGAGTTCCTTCACATCCCTTGTAAATTGGATTCCTAGGTATTTTATTCTCTTTGTAGCAATTGTGAATGGGAGTTCACTCATGATTTGGCTCTCAGTTTGTCTGTTATTGGTGTATAGGAATGCTTGTGATTTTTGCACATTGATTTTGTATCCTGAGACTTTGCTGAAGCTGCTTATCAGCTTAAGGAGATTTTGGGCTGACGTAACAGGGTTTTTTAAATATACAATCATGTCATCTGCAAACAGGAACAATTTGACTTCCTCTTTTCCTAATTGAATACCCTTTACTTCTCTCTCTTGCCTGATTGCCCTGGCCAGAACTTCCAACATTTAATCCATCTTGAGTTGATTTTAGTATATGGTGAAGGAAGGGGTCCAGTTTCAGTCTTCTGCATGTGCCTAGCCAGTTATCTCAGCACCATTTATTGAATAGGGAGTCTTTTCCCCATTGTTTATTATTGTTGACTTTGTCAAAGATTAGATGGTTGTAGGTGTGTGGCTTTCTTTCTGGGCTCTCTATTTTGTTTCATTGAACTATGTGTCTATTTTTATATCAGTACCATCCTTTTTTAGTTACTGTAGCCTGATAGTATAGTTTGAAGTTGGGTAATGTGATGCCTCCAGTTTGGCTCTTTTTGCTTAAGACTGCTTTGACTATTTGGGCTCTTGTTTGGTTCCAGTCAAATTTATAATAGTTTTTTTCTAATTCTGTGAAGAATGTCATTGGTAGTTTGTTAGGAATAACATTGAATTTGTAAATTGCTTTGGTTAGTATGGCCATTTTAACAATATTAATCTTTCTATCCATGCACATGGAATCACGTTTATATTTTGAACTTGCAAACTGTATTTCAGTTTTTTCTAAAATTTTAAAATGAACATGTGAGCATTATTAAAAATAAAACTATGCAAATATATGGCAATAGAAACTTAATAAACTATTTTCCCTGTCATACCATCCTTTGTTCTCTGAGACTCCCAAGCTATCTTTACAGTTTGCATCTCATAATCTTTTCTTTTAGTTCTTGAAGTCATATAAAATATATTAGCATCAATGGTTTACTCTTGAATTTGTATAGTGTTATATCATACCTTCTGATATTACTTTCAATATAATGCAATTTTTAACATTACATATGACTGAACAATAGGATCTCTTGGAAAAACTAATTTCTATTAATGTTATTGCAGTTTCATTTAATCAAAACTATTTTCACCCAAAAATAAATTTATCCTACATGTATTCTATCTAAATATCTCTTTTTTTCCTCAGTCTCAGACTAAATGCACAGACAAAAACACTGCCAGCTGAAGGCTTTAGAAATGTTCACCCTCTACAAACACCCTGTTCTCATATAGAGGACTAAAAAAACCAACAACAATATAACAATACAAACATGGGCAACCTTTTTTTGAACAAGCACTATATTTTTCCTTTAATGGTGTTCCTCAAACAAAACAGCTAACAGGAATTTGATTTGCCATGTATAATGTCACATTTTAATGTAAACATCAAATAAAATACCAAAATTTTTACTGGAGGGAGAAGAAAAAACATAGCAAAATGTTTTTAAAAGGTTTTTCCTGATGACATAGACAGAAATGTTTGTGGTTATGGCTTAAAAACCAAGAAGTGAGAATAAATTTGCCACCATCTCCTCTTGTCCCAGCATAAGAAAAATATCAGCTGCAAATCAAAAGCAGGAAGGCCAATTGTATGTCACCACACAATTTCCAGACACTGATTTCTGCTATGTTGATGCAGTCTTGCTTTGGAGGGTTTTTACAGATCCTCTAGTACCTAGCCCATGAAAACATAATTGTACTCTCTGAGCTTCCTCAGGGAAGTGAGACATTTTCTAGGGAAAAATGGGGGACGAATAGTGAAAATGAGAGGAAGTTCCTCTTGAGTAAGGATGACAGACAAAATTCAGATGTTCAGTTCAATTTAAATTTTAAATATCAATTTTAATGTATGTCCCAAGTATTATATGTGACACACATATACAAAAAAAACTGTTTATCTGAAATTCAAATGAAATTAGATGTTGTGTATTTTGTGTTTGTTAAATTTAGCACTCATTCCTAGGGAGTTTTTTCTGCAGTTTTTTTTTTCTCTTTTGCCATGTATTTCTGACAAAGTAACATCACGTAAGTGTATCTTGTTCTCAGAATTTCTGACACCAATCTCCTTCTGCTCAGCTTGCCAGCGCCTTATTCTTTTCTAATTTTCTTGTTCCCTGTCTGAATTGCCCTATACCTTTCACATGGGCTCTTCTTCCAGGCTTCCATTTTCCTCCTCACATTGTGCAAGCTTCACAGTTTCCTCTCTGCTGCCTGCTCGTGTGTGCCAACCCAGACACTGTTGTTGCTGCTCCTAACAGCAATGCCCTCCTACGTGATACATGTGAGAGACTGCACTTGAGAACTGCTATCTAGCTCTTTCATTTCCTGTGGCCTTTCCTCATCCTTCAGATCTGTAGCCCAAGATCATGAAGGAAAGTGACCTTCTCTACTGCATCTGTTACAATTAATGAACCAGCACTGTTACATGATCATTAACTAATGCTCACAGTTTACATTAGCCTTCATTCTTAGTGTTGTACAGTTCCACGGGTTTTGGCTAAATGCACAATTTCATGCATCCACTGTTAAAATATCATAACAAATAATTTCAGCGTCCTAAAAATGCCCTGTATACCACCTACACATCCTTTTCTCTTTCCCCAGGAATCCTCACAGTTGCTGACATATTTACTATCTCCATACTTTTGCCTTTTCCATAATGCCACATATTTGGAAACACAGTACATAGACTTTTCAGACTGTACTCACTTACCAATATGCACTTAGGTTCTGTGTATGTCTTCAGGTGGCTTGATAGCTCATTTCTTTTAGGAGCTAAATATTGCTCCATTGTATGGGTGTATGATTCACCTATTGAAGGGCATGTTGACTGCTTTGAAGTTTGGGCAGTTATGAAAAGAATCTGTTGCAAAAGCTTGTGTGCAGGTTTTAGTGTGGACTGAGTTTTCAACTACAAGAGTGATTATTATACAGCAATCATATGTTAGCTTTGAAATACGTTGCTAAACTGTCTTCTAAAGAATCTCTATAGTTTTGCATTTATAATAGCATTGATAAAAAATTGTTTTTGCTTCACAACCTTGCCAGTATACAGCGTTGTCAGTGATTTGAATTTCAGCATTTAATTGGTGGTTAATGTTATTTCATTGTTCTTTTGACTTCTACTTCCCTGATGGCATATGATGGTGTGTGATGATAAATATCTATTGACATTCTTATTTGTCATTTATATGACATTTCTTTAGTTAAATGTCTATTTGTCTTTTTAAATAGGGTTGTTTATTTCTTATTTGTGAGTTTTTTAATGGATTGCTTATTTCTTATTTGTGACTTTTTAAAAAATGGGTTATTTCTTATTTTTGAGTTTTTAGAGTTTTTTTTAATATTTTCATGACAAGTCCTTTATCAAATATATGTTTTGCAAGTATTTTATCCATGTATGTGGCTTGGATTTTCATTCTCTTAACAATGCCTTTTGTCAAGCAGACATTTTTAATTTTAATGAACTCCTACTAATAATTTTTTTTTCATAGGTCATGTTTTGGTGTCATACTTCTAAAAGTAATTGTCATGCACAAGGTCACCTAGAATTATCTTCTATTATCTTCTAGGAGTTTTATAGTTTTGCCTTTAGGTCTGTGATCTATTTTGAGTTAATTTCTGTGAAGGATATAAGGTCTGTGTGCAAATCCATTTTTTTCTGCACGTACATGTTCAGTTGTTCCAGCGTCATTTGTTGAAAAAACTATTCTTTCTTTTTTGAATTGCCTTTGCTCTTTTATCAAAAATTAGTTGACTATATTTACATGTGTCTATTACAAGGCTCTCTTTTCTGTTCTATTGATGTATTTATCTGTTCTTTTTTCCAGTACCACGCTGTCTTTATTGTTGTAGCTTTACACTGAGTCTTGAAAACCAGTAGTGTTAGTCTTACGTCTTTGTTCTTCTTCTGTATTGTGTTGGCTAATGTGGGTCTTTTGGCTTTCCACATAAAATGTAGAATCAGTTTGTTGATACCTGCAAGGTTGCTTGCTGTAATTTTTATTGGGATTGCATTGATTCTATAGAACAAGTGGGAAGAATTTACATCTTGATAATATGGAGACTTGCTATCCATGATCATGCAATATCTCTCCATTTATTTAGATCAAATTTGATTTATTTAGATCAACTTTGATTTATTTCATCAGAATTTTATAGTTTCCCTCAGATAGATTTTGAAAATATTTTGTCACATTTCTCCTTATTTTGTCTTCATTTTCAAATTCTTATTGTCCTTTGCTGCTATATAGAAAAGTAAATGACCTTTGTTTATTAACCTTGTATTCTGCATCTTTACTATAATTACTTATTTGTTCCAGGAAGGTTTTCTTCCCGATTCTTTCAGTTTTTTATATATAAACTTATATCATCTTGTGAACAAAAACAGTTGCATTTCTTTCTTCCCAATCTGTATGCCATTTGTTTGCCTTCTTGTCTCATTGCATTAGCTAGAACTTCTAGTACTATATTGAATGGATTTGGTGGGATAGGAGATACTTGCTTTATTCTCAATATCAGGGGAAAGCATCTAGTTTCTCAGCATTAAGTGTTATTTAGCTGTACGTTCTTCTGTAAATAATCTCCATCAAGGAAACTCCCCTCTATTTCTGGTTTTCTGAGAGTTTTTATCCTGAATGGCTGATGGATTTTGTCAAATGCTTTTTCTGCATCTATTGATTCATGTGACTTTTTTTTATTTAGTCTGTTGATGTGAGGAATTACATTAATTGATTTTGGGATCATTGTTTAATCCACTCAGCCTATGGTATTAGTTTTAGCAGCCAAAGGAGAGTAAGACATAAAATGTTTTTCTATGCTGAGTGATATGGTTTGAATATGTGTCCCCTCCAAATCCCATGTTGAAGTGTGTTCTCCAGTGTTTAAGTTGGGACCAGGTTGGAGGTGTTTGAAACACGGAGGCAGATCCCTCATGAATGGCTTGGTGTCATTCTCTTGATGATGAGTGAGCTCTTGCTCTCAACACCTGAGATCTAGTTTTTTAGAGGTGTGTGACACCCCCCGCTCCAATTGCTTTCACTCCAACCATGTGATGCCTGTTCCCCCTTAAGTTCTGCCATGACTGTAAACTCCCGAGGACTCCAAGAAGCAGATGCAGGTGCTCTGCTTCCTGTATAGCCAAAAGAACCATGAGCTAATTAAACCTCTTTTTCTTATAAATTACCCACTCTTAGGTATTTCTTTATAGTGACACAAGAGTGGCCTAATACACCAAGTTAATACTTCTCACAGAGATCTATTCAGAAATTAAGTAATTAAGTTCAATCAGAGGAATTGCTTTAGAGGAGTCTTATTTAAAAACAGATATTTTAAAGACCCTGCTCTTATCTTTTGGACAAATAAAAAAAGTACTAGAAATGGCAGTAAAATAGGATATGTTTGGGTCCCAGATGAGTTAGTTCTATCTTCTCTGGAGACTCCAGTTTCTCTTTGCAATGACAAGCTACAAAGATTCAGAAATTCCTAGGAAGGGATATAGAAATATCCAGAATGAGAGCCATAAAATTTCAATAGCAGTGTTTTTAAAACTCGGATTATGATATATTTGTGATTTTAAAATTCCATTGTGTAAGTCATGATTAGCTCAAAAATATCAATCAGAATTAAAGAATAAAAGTATCAGAGTGCATGCACATAGTAAGAATAATTATTATATATAGCTTGTTCCTGTTATCTCTGTATGTATGTTTGGATTTACTGGATTTTAATACATGACTTTTTCTTACTATGGGCTACAGTTTTATATTGAATTATAGTTTATTGAACTAGACACAGGAAGGGAGGCTGAAAAAGTCTAATAGAAAATATAATGTAGCATCACATTTATATTTCTAATCCACTAATTATCCCAACGTATCATCTAGTTATGCAAAATGCATAACATAGGAAATAAGTAAAAAGTAGTTAATTTTAATTTCTTCACTTGGTTATTTTTATTTTGTAGGATATGCATCTATAAAACCAGCCACTTTTTCTAGACTTTTTTTATAACTCTTAGGCTTATTACAAGTTGCTAAAATTAATGAATTTTTTCAAGAAAATTATTCATAATTGAAACCAGACTATTGCTCAAAAATAAATAAAATTCAAGAAGATAAAATCTAAAATAAAATAAATACAGTGCCAACACAAATAACTATGACAATTCTTTAAGTGTGTTGTGTTTCAAAATACAGCATTTTGTGGAAAGAACAGAAGTCACTTACAAAATTGACTGTTTTTTATTAAATGATAAACATGATATTATATTCTGTTAGCTCATGGTATATTTAGTAACTGTGCAACTTTTGATACTATATCAAGACTCTTTTTTCTTCTAGGGCCTTGTATTTTTGGGCAATAGTCTACTTTGCTTAAAGTAAGAATAGAAGTCTTAATCCCATTACTGGGTATATGCCCAAAGGAATATAAATCATTCTACTATAAAGACGCATGCACACGTGTGTTTACTGCAGCACTATTTACAATAGCAAAGACATAGAACGAAACCAAATGCCCATCAGTGATAGACTGGATAAAGAAAATGTGGCACATACACACCATGGAATACTATTCAGCCATAAAAAGGAATGAGATAATGTCCTTTTCAGGGACATGGGTGAAGCTGGAAGCCATCATTCTCAGCAAACTAACACAGGCCAAGAAAACCAAATACTGCATGTTCTCTCATAAGTGGGAGTTGAACAATGAGAACACATGGACACAGAGAGTGGAACAACATACACCAGGGCCTGTTGGGGATGGGAGTGAGGTGAGGAGACTTAGAGAATGAGTCAATAGGTGTAGCAAACCACCATGGCACATGTATACCTATGTAACAAACCTGCACGTTCTGTACATTTGTCCCATTTTTTGTCTTAGAAGAAATAAAAAAATCTTTTGTTAATGTTTTACAAAAAAAAGAAGAATCCAATTCCATTCACAAGAGCAAATTAATAGTAATAATAATATACTTAGGAATAAATGTAACCAAATACATGAATGACCTGTACAGTGAAAAGTATAAAATATTTATGAGGGAAATTAAAGAAGACAAAGATAAATGGAAAGAGAGTTCATGTTCCTGGTTGAGAAGAATTAATGCTGTTAAAATGTCTATACTACCCAAAGCAATCTGTAGATTCAATGCAATCCTTACGAAAATCTCATTGGAAATATTCACAGAAATAGAAAAAAAAAATCTTAAAGTTTATGTGAAATCACAAAAGACACCAAATAGCCAAAGCAATGATGACAAAGAAGAAGAGAGCAGGAGGCATCACACTTTCTGAATTCAAAATATATTGCAAAGCTATACCCATCAAAACAGAATGGTATATCATAAAAATGGACATAGAGAAATGGAATAGAATAGAGAGTTCATAAATAAAACTACATACCTATGGTCAGCTGATCTTGCACCAAGGTGCCACATATGTGAACATGCAATTGAGAATGTATAGTCTCTTCAGTAAATGGTGTTGGGAAAACTAGGTATTTACATAAAAATGAATGAAATTTTACACTATATCACACAATATACAAAAATCAACTCAATTAAAAACTAAATATAAGACTTGAAACTGTAAAATTAAGGGAAGAAAACCTAGAGAAAAAATTTCTTATCATTGATCTGGGTAATGATATTTTTGGATATAACACCAAAAACCTAGGCAACAAATGCAAAAATAGACAAGTGGGATAGCACTAAAAAAAAAAAAAAAAAAAAAAAAAAAAAAAAAAAAAAAGCTTTTGCACAAATGAAAGAATCAACAGCCTCAAAAGGCAGCTTACAATTAAATGGGAGAATGTATTGGCATACCATATATCTGATAAGGGGTTAATCTTCAAAATCTATAATGAATTCAAACAACCTAAAGCCAAAAAAATTCAAACCAAATAACTTGATTAATAAATGGGCTAAAAGCTTTAACAGACATTGTTTTCAAAAGAAGACACACAGATAGTCAAAAGTCATATAAAAGGTGCTTAATATCATTAGAGGGGAAATGGGGAGATGTTGGTCAGAAGGTATAAAGTTTTAGTTAGACAGAATAAATAAGTTCTGGAGCTCTACTCTATAGTATGGTGACTGTAGTTAATAATAACGTATTATATACTGGAAAAATGGTAAGAGTATATCTTAAATGTTCTCAACGTAAAATAACCATGTGAGGTAATAAATATATTATCAGGAAAGGCAAATCAAAATGATAATGAGATATCACTTCACACTTGTTAGAATGGCTATCAAAAGTAGGAGAGATAAGTGTTAGTGAAGATGTGGAGAAAAAGGAGCCTTTATATACTGTTGGTGGTAATGTAAATTGGTAAAGCCATTGTGAAAAACAGTATGAAATTTCCTCAATAACTAAAATTTGAACTACTATATGACTAGCAATCACATCTTTGGGTATATTTCAGAAGGAAATGTAATCAGTATTCTGAAGAGACATCCATGCCCGTTGCAGCATTATCCACAATAGTCAAGATATGGAATTGACTTAAATGTCCATCAATGGATGAATGGATAAAGAACATATGGTATACATATACAGTGGATGAACCTAAAGGAAATTATGGTAAATGAAATAAACCACTCACAGAAAGACAAACACAGCATGACCTCATTTATATGTGAAATCTAATAAAGTCAACTTCATAGAAGCTGACAGTAGAATGGTGGTTGCTAGGCGCTGGAAGAAGAGGGGGAATGAAAAGAGGTGGTCAACTGGTACAAAGTTTCAGTTAGAGAGGATATATAAGTTCTGAAGATCTATTGTATAACATGATAATGATGGTTAATAATAATGAATTTTAAACTGAAAAATGCTAAGAGAGTAGATCTTAAATACTCTCAACATGAAAAAAAATAACCATGTGAAGTAATGAACATATTAATTAATTGTTTGTGGCAAACATTTGGCAATGTATATGTATATCAAAACATCATTTTTACACCATAAATAAATGTGATTTTACATGTAAAACTGGCTATAAAACAACAAACACAAACATGATCTCACATGTGAATTTTTTAAGCCAAATTTATCAAAGAGAGTAGAATGGTGATTTGTAGAGGCTGGGGTTAGAAAAAATAGAGACATGTTGGTCAAAGAGTACAAAGTCGGGGTTTTGTGGGACGAATAATTCTGGAGATCTAACGTGCAGCATGCTAACTATACTTAATTCTGTATTATAAACTTGAAATATGCTAAGAGAGTTGACCTTAAGTGTTTCCATCAAACACAAAAAGGAAACCTTAACTCTGTGAGTTGATGAATACGCTGATTAGCTTGATTGTGGTACTCTTTTCACCATGTATACATATATCAAAATGTCACTTCGTATACCTTAAATATGCACAAGTATTATTCGTCAAGTATACCTCAATAAATCTAGGGGGAAAATAGGGTGTAGAAATCCAGTATGATAAAGAATGAATGTACATTTTGATAGTGAAACAAGTGGGGAAAAAGTATTCTTTTTAAAAGATGAGATGATAAGGCTAATAGTCAGGTAGGCATATACTTTTACTGTGACATAATAAGGAAGATGAATTTTTTTCTCTATCTATCTTCTACACACACACACATATTTGTAGACATATATATCTGCATATATATAATATTGACACTATATATATATAGAGAGAGAGAGACTAAATAGCAGATGGCATGCAAAGATTCAAAAATATATAAATACGTGGGGGGTGGGGGCAGTGCCAATTACTCCCAGCCAGAAACAGCAAACTATGCCTTTCAGAGTACCTTTGAATAAAATTCCAGAACAATAAATCCATACAAATGGGCTATCTTGATCTTCATAATAAAGAAAAAGATGAGCTCGTTTTCTGAAATAATAAGTTTTTTGATCCTGGGATTCCAGATACAGCAAATAAAAGCACAGGACATATAGTTAAATCAAAGTTCAGATAAATAACATACACACATATTAATTATGTATAATATACATTATATATATTTTATGTAATATAATATACATTAAATACATTTTTCTATTATTATCCATATTCAGTATATAAGATATACTTGAACTTTTAAAAATGTTGTTTGAATTTAGAATTAACTGGGATGTTCTTTATTTACCAGGAAATCCAAATCCACTTCTGTCTCTAAAACATAATAAATGCTTTGGTATACTTTCACTGACGAGAATATTAGAATTAACCTGATTTTAATGAAGTTATTAATCATAATCCTTAGGGAAACATTGAAAGTGAATTTGAGGGATTTCTGTTTGTGTGTTTGTTTTTAATATGGTCTATCTTTGCAAGTGACTTTTGCTTTCAATGTTTAATAACCTAATATAAAGTAGAAGATAAAACACACTCTTTAGTTCATATCATATTTGAAATTGGCAAAAGTAGTTTAGTGTAACTATTAAAATGCTGTACTTAGCAAATTTAAACAATAGAAAAAATGATTTAATGTTTGTGGAGCAGAGATTAGTTAAGAAGAACATTTAGAAAGAGACAACTGACAGAGGAAATAGTTATCAGATTGGAGGTCTGAATAATGATAAAGAAAATATGAAAAGCAAAAGATTAAAGAATGGAAGTTGGATTAGGAATTGATTAGGGATTGGGGTGTACTTTTCTTAAATCGTAAGTGTAACAGTCAAGTAGTTACTATGTCCAAGGCTGCTTTAGGGTTTTTACCTATATGTTAAATTTTATGAAATAGTGATAAAAGAAAGAGTATAGTGAAATCAGGATCATGAGCAATTTTTATTGAAAATAGAAACTCTTGAAGAATGCTGGACGATGTGTCTCTTAGAAGTTTGTAAATAATAAAAAACTGGTATAAATTTAGAGTGAGGGCAGATAGTCGAATAAGAAAAACTGGTGAGAAAGTGTAAGGAAAAAATTCTTGAGAACGTGAAAATGCCCCTATTTTTCATCTTAGGAATACCAGGAGCGAGAATATTCAGTGTTCAGGTAAAAGTGGTATTTCACTTTAGCTATAAGTAAAAGTTTGTGTAAATAAAAATTTGAGAATACTGAGAAATGTGTAGATAAGCATTGTGTAAGGTATAAAAGAATGAAATAGGTGCAATATTACTAAACAAGGCAGAAGTCAGTAAAAGACAGCTGAAGCAGGATTTTATTGACTGGAGAACTTTCTTCTGAGTCATGATTGTGTATCACAGTAAAAAAGTAAAAAATAATCCAAAGCAGAGAGGCGTGTCACATCAAATACTGGGAAAGATATTGTGCAGAAAACTTTCAACCTATTTGAAGGGGTCAATGATAAATTTCTTGTTTTGCCAGTCCTGGTGTGCTTACATTTTTGAATGTGCCTGTGTAGTTCGAAGATCATTAAAAAATAAACTCTGGGCCTTCTAAAATGACTTTCTACCCTTTAATACAACTGGAATTAATTTAACAGTCTTTGCAAAATATGTGTTAGGAATAATTGACAACCCAAGTAAGAGTGGAGCTCTGACTTAACCAGAAGTTTACATGAAAATTAGCAAATGATTTAATTGGACTGAAAGGTCGATATAAATTACCAGTGTGATAGGACTGCTATACAAACCAACGTAATTTGAGATATTATTAGAAATAAAATATCCAGAAAGATTGAGTGTACCACTGAATTCTTCCCCAGCAGACTTTATTTTAAATATTATTTTCAACTCTACATTCAACATTTGTACAGGTTTATTGCCTAAATGCAAGTGAAGGATAGGGTGATCAGGATAATCTGGTGATATAAAGGATTTCTGAAAGGAAAATTCATGGGTGGTATAGCAAAAACACTATTCCTGGGGGTTCCTGAGAAAATAGTTCTCTTTCACAATTTGCACAATTGTCATATGTTAATTTTTGCATGTCATGCCACATCAAGTCTTTGATCCCTTAAAAAGTAGTGCAATTGTAACATTACACATTGTACTCAATGTAAGAGATTATTTTAAGAGGGAATGACATTCCCTAAAACATAGGATAGGAAGTACAAAGTGCAATAAATTGGGAAAATTTAACAAAGTATTACAAACAAACTCAAATTTTAAAGGATAGCTGGAGGAACAACAATATTCTTTAACTGAGTTTGTTTTTAATATTTCTGTGCCTCTTGGGAACATAATTGTACTTAGCTTAGTTTTAAACTTATGCTAATATGTTATTACAATGTACTATAATGTCTTTGAATTAACAAAGTAAAAATTCAAAATAAAAGCATGGACATTATAGTAAAAAATCCCACATTAGCAATCTGAAACTCTTTTAAAGGAGATTATTGCACTACCTTTTAAGTATGATATTATATTTTGTCCTCTTTTATGTATTTTTTTTTCTTTTTTTGAGAAAAGAGAACCAATCTCAGAGTAGCTGGTCTAGGTCCTTAAAGTACTATATAACACTGAGACAATATCAGATTCTGACACCAGCAAAGCATAAGTTGTACTGATGGCTATGAATTAAAAATTGATGTCATGCAGTCAATAGCAACATATAATGTTACATAAGCTGATGCACAATGTTTGAAAACATGCACTTCAGGTTCACAAAGATCTGTGCAAAATTTGAGTTTTGGCTTTGCCTCTTGTAAAGTTTCTGAACCTAAGCAAATTATCTAAATCTACAAGTCTCTGTGGCTATATATCTAAAAATATAACTTATTTCATAGTTTTGTTGTGGAAGTTCAATAAAATAATGTTTGTCAAATACATAACTTAATAGCAAATGTTATTGCCATGGTTGCTATTTTAAGGTGCTGAAGATTCCCATATTTAAAATTCTGTGACAACATACTAACTAAAGTAAAATTTGAAATTTACGAGGTTTTCCTGGATAAATCTCAAAGTTAATTTTATGCCAATGAGAGCTATATTTTTGTGAATAATGCATTTAAAACAGCAATGAACACATTTTCTTCAATAAAAATGTTCGAGTTTTTTATCCTTAATTTAGGTTGAGTTCATTTTATTAGCATTTCTGAAATATAACACAATGTGCATATAACATTTTTAAATTCATAAATTGATAAAAGAATCCCACAATAAAATACTAATGCCCACACTTGTATACATATGTTCAATCTTTCAAAAAAAACATATTTTGATGTGGAAAATTGGCTTACACTGTTGACTGAGTGACAAGTAATTTAGTTCAGACAAAGGTGAGATAAATTTATTGTATTCATCATGATAATTAAGTATCTCTTAAGTACTGGTGTTTGAGAAACACCACTGGGTTTTAATAAAAGCATTTTTTTTCCCTTGAGCATTTTAAAATAAGAAAAGTAGCATAATAAAGCTCTACTCTTATTAATGAATTTGTGTTTATCAGAAAGCTGTGCATCTTCTGTGTAAAATGGCAGACAAAATAAAATTGAAAATATTGTAGTTTAAGTGGAAAATTCTAAAAAGAAAATATAAATTTTAGCTTCAGATTAAAGAGAGCTGAGAATAAGCAAGCAGAAATATATTAGGAGATTTAAATATTAAAAATTGAGAGGTCACATGTGTTGTATACTGCTAAATAGGCATAACTGACCTATGAAGCAATTGTATTCAAATTCACTTTAATTTAGGTAGCAGTGAGATACGGACATTCTTACTTCTCAAATAGGATGCGTAATAACTAATGAAGGTCAATGCTCACTTTGTTTTCATGCCTACTCACTAGTTTGAGAACTTTCTTTTAAAAGTTAGAATACATGATAAGTAATATTTCAGCTCTCTATTTGTTGTGCCCTCCAAGCATTCACTAAGGATTGAAGTATGGACAGGAAATAATTATGCTGTCAAAAATTGGTTCCCTTGCTTTTTATGTGTCAAATCTTTTTATTTTAGAATTTTGTAATGCATTTTATTTTTACTTGGCTTATTATCTATCATGCTACATATAACATGTAAATTATACATATTTAAGTGGTAAGAGTGTAAAGAATTTCAAATTACTTGGATAGTCACTAGATTTTTGGTAGTGGGTTAAGTTTTTATATGCTTAAATAGTTTATTTTTTTCACAGCACACAGAGTAAAGAGTAATGTCAAAAGTCTTGATTTTTCAGTGATCAACTGCTACACATAAAAATGAATTTCATTTTTTTCTTTACAATAATCCTCTTCAAAAGTGTAAGATTTGTATATGCCAAATAAGTATGGGAAATTTAAAAGAGCAGCTGATTGAAGAAGGTTCCAATACATTTGATTTCATTTTATTTAAAAGAAAGATGAAATTACCACCTTAGTAACGTGAAAAGTGTCTAAGAGTTTTCTACACAATCATAATTTTTTCATCTTACCTTTTAATTTGGTAACCCTGTTTATATTTGTACTGCTAATCAGAATGGTAAGATGAACTAAAGAGGCAGAAGTGTAATTAGGAAACCTTTCATTGTGTAAATATTCAGAAACGTTGAAGTGTTAGCTTCAGCTCTATTAAGAGTTTCATTTCATAATTCTCAATTGATGGATATGTAGTTCTGTCTACATCATGCTTATTCACACAGAATCCAGATAATTAAAAAATTCAGAGAGGCTTAAAAAATTTCAAGATGAGACAACACAGCACTTTGAGGATAATCAGCTTATTTAAATTATTTAATGGTGCAGAAGAGAGACCCATGAAGTTACTGACTTAAGATAAATTGTAGAAGAACAAATTGACTCTAATATTGTAGAAATTAAGAAGATTTTATATTATCTGATACTTTTGCCTGTTGGTAATATCATACCCACATCCTCAAAAATCACCTCTTACTTCAAGGAATAAAGACCTAGGTCTCTTAATCCAGTACCATGCCTGAAGAACAAGATTTTAGACATATACAATACACTATGAAAGAATATTATGATCTCATTTTCCTGTGGGATCATATATCATTCATCTTAAATTCCATGGACATATTTCCAACTGATTTTTTTTAATTTTTGTATGATAATTCATGATACAAAAGAAGCAAATATTTCATTCTTTAAGGTAATAAGCATAAACATATTTCAAAGAACTTTTTATACTTCAGATCCTCATTATTTTCTGAAAACTTTATCTAAAATCATCACTCTTCATATTTGTAGATTTTCTCAACATTTTATATAACATTGTCTAAACAGATTGAAATCTTAAGTAAAGGAGAGCTTTTAAAAATGTTTATGTCTTCAGCATGTGGTAACTATTTTAATATTTCACTTAATCATTACAAATATTCTGTAAATAAAGCATTAATTCCATTTATAGGTTAAGTATCTCAGATGTTTGACACTTATCCCAGGGACACAAAATACATTTTAAACTAAATGTTTCTCTGTTTAATGTCTATGTGTCTATATTTTTAAACTATAGTTTCCCAAACTTAATCACAGATTTTGTATTAAAGCTCTGAAATATAAATGGAAATTCCTTGCTTCTATTTAAAATTGTCTTTCTCCATTGTTTTTACACATTTTATTGTATTCACTCATTTATAAGCTCAGTGCTATCTGGAATCAAAATCAATTCTAAACTTGTGAAGATTTATGTCATGATGCCTTAGACCTTAGATTAATATCAAGCTATTGTTATTTTTCCTTTCAGTTTTTACCGAAATTCTTTGCCTAAATTCAACTTATTGTGGCCAGGAACTAAGTGGAGTTCCTCATCTCAGTTTATTATCTCTTGGATTTGGATCTAGTTCATCTAAATATGCCTGCTCTTGCCTTAGTTGAATTTCTTGAACCTTACCCTTAGCTTGGTTTAATCTGTAATAACTGTCTTCAATATTTGAACCTCTGAAGTTACTCCCAACTATATCAATTGTAAATATGTATTGTCTTAGTTTTGTTGTAAATTCTATTTCTTTAATTATTTCTATTTTCAAGTGAAATTCTAAGTACTCTCTAGTGTTCTATTTTTTCTTCTATTTTTTTTTCTTCTAATTTTCTCCTCACTTTAAAATGAAGGAGCAACAGGGTCTTCAGGCTTATATGATAGTTTGAAGTGAGCAAATTCCATGTATTTTCTCTTCATCTTTTTTTGTTAAATAATTTCAACTTTTATTGTAGATTCAGAAAGTACAAGTGCAGGTTTGTTACATGGCTATATTGCATAATCCTGAGGATGGGAATACAGACGATCCCATCGCTAAGGTAGTGAGTATTGTACCTAATAGGTAGTTTTTCAGCCTACATTCTCCTATTCTCCTCCCCCTTCTAGTAGTCCTGAGTGTTTATTGTTCTCATCTTTGTGTCCATGTGTACTCAATATTTGACTCCCATTAATAAATGAGAGCATCCAGTATTTGCTTTTTCTGTTCCTGCATTAATTCACTTAAAATAATGGCTTCCAGCCACATCCATGTTGCTGCAAAGAACATGATGTCATTCTTTTTATGGCTGCATAGTATTCCATGGTGCATATGTACCACATTTTCTTTCTCCAATCCCCCATTGATGGGGCACCTAGGTTGACTCCATGTCTTTGCTATTGTGAATAGAATTGTGATAAATATATGAGTGCGTGTGTCTTTTTGGTAGATTCATTTTCCTTCGGGTATATACCTAGTAATAGGATTACTGGGGTGAACGGTAATTCTAAGATCTTGAGAAATCTCCTAACTGCTATCCACAGTGGCTAAACTAATTTAAATTCTACCAATAGTATATAAGTGCTCCCTTTACTCTGCAGCCTCACCAGCATCTGCCATCTTTTGACATTTTTACAATAGTCACGCTGACTGGTGTGTAATAGTATTTCATTGTGGCTTTGATTTGCATTTCTCTGAAGATTAGTGATGATGAATTTTTTGTGTTTGTTGGCCATTTGTATGTCTTCTTTAAAGACCTGTTTGTTCATGTCCTTTGCTCATTTTTAAAATGTAGTTATATGTTTTTTGCTTGTTCTATTGCTTAAGTTGATTATAGATTCTGGATATTAGACCTTTGTTGGATGCATAGTGTGTCAGTATTTTCTCCCATTTTGTTGGTTGTCTGTTTACTCTGTTGATAGTTTATTTTGTTGTGCAGACTTTCTTTAGTTTCTTCTTTTTCCTTTAGTTCTACATAGTTCAAAAATGCCATACAGAAACAATACACTTAATTATAATATTATTGCACTGATGCCAGTCCAGGTGAATAACCCCCTTCATTTTATTCTCTGGTGAGATATAAGTTACTTAAGTAAATCAATCATTGCCAAAATATAAATTATATTACAGATTACCAATATAAATACTAACTTCTTCTTAAGACACTAGAAAAAGTAATTTGATCATGTATATTCACATAAAAAATAAAAGTATCCACGTATAGAATTAAACCCAAATGGAATATTTATACTGTTTCTTTCATATTCTTGTCATGTAACTTCACGTAAGTAGGCCAGTCAATTAGCGTACCATTTTTATATTTATATAATTGTTCAAGTCAGCAAGAATAACTCTTTCTTATGTACTTATGTATTCAGAACTAATATTTTATTCTCCTGAAACTTTCATATGTATCAATTTTTTCAGCATGGTTTTGTGATTCATTGTAGATAGATTGATAAAATAGATATATGAATATAAGATGTCAAACCCAAGGGTGACACAGAATGGAAATGTTTTAAAAGTTGTGATTTAATTAAATAATCATTCAGTACAAAACTTATGGTAACATGTTTATTGCTCATTCCATGCCCTGCTGTGTAATGAGACACAAGAGACAGTAAATATGGAATTAAATGCGAATAGGTTGCAGCTTTGTAAACACATAAAATGCAAAATGGCATAAAAGCTCTTGAGTCCTGCTGATGTCTAATTGTCATCTGTGGCATGCTTTATTCTACATTTCTTAAAGTAGCTAATATAACATTAAGCCCTAAATACATTGTATCATAGAAAAACTATTTTTAAATTTGAGGTTCTTCAATTTATAACTTATTTTTGACATAGTTCCCCCATTTCTGTGAATTCTAATTCTATTACTCTTACTTTATAAAACCTCCCTAGGAATTGGATAATATACATGCCATTTATTTATTTATTTGTTTAGTGATATGAAGTCAAATATTAATATAAACCCTAGAACTTTTATGATTTTCTTTAAACTTCTCTCCCAGGAAATGTATTGTCTCTAAAGATAATCAATAATATATACTAGAGGGAATATATTATGATTAATTTGAATTAGACAAGATTAATCCCATCGAGATATCGAATTCTAACCTCCATTCCACTTTTTAGCTGTGAATCCTTAACAATTTTCAGATAGTTCAAGGTTGCATTTGCTGCCCCTTCAGTTTCACCTGGTAAGGTGTTCTCACCCCACTGTACAGCAGATCACTGCCCAGTACATATCTTTACACATTGGGTATACTTCTCATTCAACAAGTTCTCAAGATCCTCTTGCTGCATGTAGACAGCTCACTATATACTCATGCATCTGTGGTAAGGAAAGAGGCAACAGAATAGAGTGGAGAGTGCATGGTCAATTTGAGATGTCACACTGATTTATGGGTCGCTCTTCAATTTACTGTTTTGTTTTTAGTAGCTTTATTGAGATATTTCACACACATGTCATCCATTTAAAGTGTACAGCTCAACAACTTTTTGTATGTTCACAAAGTTGCACAACTGTAACCACTATCAAGTTTAGATCTTTTTCCTTCCTTCATTCGGACTAACCTATGCCCTTAAGCAGTTATCCATTTCCTGTCAACTACCACTAGCTCAAGGCAACTAATAATAAACTTTTGTCTACAGTTTGATTTTAAGAAAGCCATTTCAACCTTATAAAGTTAAACCCTAAGTAGAGTTTTTCCATTGTTATTTGCAAATATGAGAAGGTCCTTCCTTTTCCTCTTGTGCACCATACTCATTTAAAAATAACCCTTAATTGTGCAATTATCATATGTAATATGCATAATGTCTTAGTGTCATAATAAGTTATCAAGCTTCCTTTATTGGTAACACTGGAGTGTAAATGGTTGAGAGACGGCTAAGAATTACTTTATTGATTTACGTAACAAGTTAATGCAGACCTTGAATATTTCTTTAGCAATAGACCTTTCTAGGGGAAATTAAAATTAGAAGTTTAATTATCTTTTTGCCTCCTCTCAATTCCATGGACAAGTCATTTCAACAACAATCTTACCTAGATATAAATCTTAATCTTGAACAAGCATTCTCTTTACTTTCAGACATCTGTGCCGTTGACTATTTTCTCTCCTTTAATCCAGTGGGTAGGAAGACATTGTGATTAACCTGTCCATTTTAGGTGGGTGGACTACATACGTCTATCAGAGCAATACTGTTTTATTTAGAAAAAAACAGTCTGGACCTACAATTTTGTCTCCTGCTAGAGCTGCCATCTTGAAGCTACTACTTAAAGATGATGAGGCTCTATTTAAAGCTAAAGTTCCATGTTAACCAAACTTTCAGGTAACTTACACTGTTGGACATAGACAATGAGCACAATCTTTATTAATAGTAATTTCCTTTCTTCTTCTTTGCCAACCGGCTTGCTCTGGCATAAATCCGTATATTTCTAATAAAATTATTTGAAAAACAGTCAATAGGTTGCTATGGTCTGAATGTTTCCTATAATTTTTCCTGGTGCTACAGCTTCAAATGATGTTTGCACCACGAAGGAACAGCTAGTAACAGTTTAAACAAACATTTTACTACTTTGCTATCTTAAAATAAGAGTTGCCACTTTATGAGTTGACAGCTTTCCAGCCTGAGATAATGGAGGCTTTGTTACCTACTCTCTAACCACCTCAACCACCTCAACCACCTCAATAAGGCAATCACATTTGTTTTGTTTTGTTTTGTTTTGTTTCATTCTGCCATTTACATTACTTGAAAATTACTGAAATTTTGGATGGAGAAGATCCAAAGTATGCTTCTAAAATGTACATGCTGAGATACCTATGTGAATTCTAATTTGTAATATTAGGAAGGCAATTGGATATATAAACCTAAAATTCTGAGGAAAGGCATACTTCAAGATAAAGTTTTGTTGAGTCATAAGCATTTATAAATATGGAGTTTAAGCCAAGAAATTAGTACACTAAACTTTATACTTAAAGAAGGTTAGCTAATAGAACATAGTTAGAATTTTATGGCATTTATAAGAAACTTAACCCAAACTAAGAGTTCAGAAAAGGTGACATAATAAGAAAAATATGCTTGGTAGCATAGTGAAAGCTTTTGGCAATTATTCTCCCAACGATCATAAAAGAAAGGACAGAGAAAGATGCGACACATTTGAAGCACATAATTAACATTCTTAATCTAATGGATATGTTTAAATCTTGACTCTAACAGTCAGTGAACATTTTTCAAGTATTTATGAAACATGTAAAAACTTATTTTTCAGCCAAAAGATGAGTCTCTAAAATATTTTAAAACCTTAATATCATACAGATCACTCTGATCATATGCAAATAAATTTTAGCAATATATAATTAATATTGTTATTAAGGATTTTAAGTATTATTCTCTTAGGCAATAAAATAAAAGATCTATCTGAAATATACTCCTAAAATGAATGCCAGGCCATTGTCCCCTCACAATTCCATAAATATCATACCCTAAACCTCCTATATAGATGAAAAAATAAAAATAAAACAGAGCTTCTGAGTAATTATATGTATATATAAATATTAGCTAACAATTATTATTCATAATTTTTTAATTAAAAGTGTTGTCAATGTATGCAATTTTTAAAATACTCTTTTCATTTCTGGGGTTCTGTTACATTGAAGTGGCATGTGTAAAAAGTCACTAGAGGAAATTAGGACTCTATCAAGTATGCTTTATCATATAGAAAACCACAATATTTTCTTCAAGTATAATGGCAGTGGAATGAAATTAAATCCATTTTTTTCCTTAAATGAATAATAGTGTAGTCTAGAACAATAAGTATAAGCACACTTATGAAAATAGGTTCAAAAAGATATTCCCTATCTGCTATCCCTTGATTCACTGTCTTTACCATTGGGATCAGTATCACTGTTTTCTCTCTTAATTTCAAATAAATCATATGCAAGTACTTGTATATTGGTTTGCAGTGACTTTTGTTACCTTACTGAGAAAAAGAGCAGCCCTGCTTAATTATCTCAAAATTGCACTGCTGTTATTATTAATATTATTATTATATTAGTATTTCTTTACTTGATCCATTCTAGGAAAATAGATTGATAGCAAATATTTCCCAATATAAACTATTTATCTGCATCTTCACATGTAAAGTATTTTTGAAAGGAGACAAAAAATATCAGCCCTTATAAAGCTTAAATTTTATCTAGGGGCAATATTTTAAAAAGACATGTAGTCCTCATAAAATAGGTTCCAAACAAGTTAGCAAGAAATTGTGAATCAGAATTCAGAGTAGGGAAAGTTTGTATTGAAAAGATAGACCTAAATAAGTGGATAAATTATGGTCAGTTTTATATATATATTTAACATCATCATGGGATTGTTGACTAAAATATAGTGTTAAGATATATTTAGATGCAACACACGAAATATTTAAAATGGGAGGAAGAGTGTGGATGCAAGGCAAAATCAAGAATAACAGATAGACCACCTCATAAAAGAAATTGCCTTTTAAATTCCATATATGTTGTTAATATGGATTTGTTTTTAGTGTCATATACAGAAAAAAATGAGAGGTAAAGACATGGGGTGGAGGGAATGGTAGAAGTGGGGTAGTGGGTGTAGTCTAGCCAGAATTTAGGGGGCTCTATATCCCACTTAGAGATGCAAATGATGTTCTGTAATCAAGAAGACTTAGGAAGTTGTGAGTAAAATGAGACTTAAAGGTACAATTGTATTTACACTACATGGAGGACAGCATAGATTTAAATAAAAGTCAGAAAATAAGTGAAAAAATTTGGAGACAAACTTGCTATGTAAGTTTCTAAAATAGGATTGTGACAGAGAAAAAAGAAAAAAAACCGATGTATTGGATATGTTAATTAGGTAAAAGAAAAGACATTGCCAATTGGTTATACATGAATAACCATCTAAGATACTTTTAGCGGTCAAAATTGTAGACCTGAGAGTCAGATTCTATTAAATTGTAGTTCCACCTAAGGACCTTGGGCAAGAAACTTAGCATCTTTATATTTTACTCTTCTTAGCTGTAAAATGCATGTAATAATAGTATTTTTCATAAGATTCTTATGAGATAATATTTTCAAGTATTAAGAAAGTCTGTGGTTTGTGGTAACTAATGCCTGCATGACAAAGCTGTATTTCTACCCTGTCCTACTCTGCTTATCTTTAAGAAACAATATGCCTATGATAAAAATGTCCCTTTGTAATCAGACCAGCTGAGACTGGTTAGAACCAAGATAGCTGACCAAACAAATTCAAAAAGATCTCAGGCTTCATTATAATCTCATTTCTATGCTTAATTACCCTCCCACCAGTGGCATGACATTTGACAATTGCCATGAAAATGACCAGAAGAAGACATAAAAGGACAAAAAAGAAGGCATCTCTTCAATTCTGGGGAGTTCACTGCCCATTTCTGGAAAGACATATTCCTCTCCTCCCTTTTAACATACAACCCCTTCATTACAGGAGCCCTGTATTTTAACCCTTCACTGCTCACTAGTAAAGAGGTTGATTTGTGAACCATGTACTACTGCTTCTCAATTCCATGGCCACTGAATAAAGCCTTCACTGCTTGATACTCACTTTCAATTTCTAGTATTGGCATTGGCATGACACCAAATAGGGAAAGACCCCATCTTTGGGGAAGCCATCATTGTCAGTAACAGTAACAATAATTATAACTTGATTACATTAACAAAAAATGTGTTTATCACAACACATTAATCCTTAGCATATGGATAGGAATTGATCCTCTTACTGCATTTCACTTTCATTTACCTAAATCAGTTTCATTTCTGCTATTGGACTCTTGCACTTAAAACTTAGTGATTTTTCTAATGTTCTTAAATCATTAATATGAAGGTCTATTTTCACTAAACATTTAAAAATTTTCTTTTTAAACCCAAACAATGATGTGTGCTCACCTTAAATTTTATTCTGGCAAACTATATTTTAAAAAAGATGGAAAAGAAATAAGAAATCAATGTTAAAAGTGACACATTGAGTACACGCTTTTTATAAAACAAACGTATAAATTAATTATTCTGTGTTGCCTATTTAATCCAAGCATAATATTAAGTGATTTAAAAATTATTACAAAAATAGGGGTTCCGAGCAAGATGGCTGAATAGAAAGAGTTCCAGTCTGCAGCTCCCAGTGAGACCAACGCAGAAGATGAGTGATTTCTGCATTTCCAGCTGAGGTACCTGGTTCATCTCACTGGGACTAGTTAGACAGTGGGTGTAGACCACAGAGGGCGAGCAGAAGCAGAGCGGAGTGTTCTCTCACCCAGGAAGTGCAAGGGGTCGGGGATCTCCCTCTCCTAGCCAAGGGAATCTGTGAGGGACTGTGCCGTTAGGGACAGTGCTATCCAACCCAGATACTATGCTTTTCCTGAGGTTTTGCAATCCGCAGACCAGGAGATTCCCTCGGGTGCCTACACCACTAGGGCCCTTGGTTTCAAGCACAAAACTGGGCAGCCATTTGGGCAGACCCCAGCACAGCAGTCTTAAGTTGACCTGAGAGACTGGAGCTTGGTGGGGGCAAGGGCATCCCCCATTACTGAGGCTTGAGAAGGCGCTTTTCCCATCACAGTGTAAACAAAGCCACAGGGAAGTTTGGACTGGGCTAGCCCACCACAGCACAGCAAAGCTGCTGTAGCCAGACTACCTCTCTGGATTCCTCCTCTCTGGGCAGGGCATCTCTGAAAGAAAAGCAGCAGCCCCAGACAGGGGCTTATAGATAAAACTCCCATTTCCCTGGGACAGAGCACCTGGGGGAAGGGGCGGCGGTGGGCACAGCTTCAGCAGATTTAAACATTCCCGCCTACCAGCACTGAAGAGGGCAGTGGATCTCCCAGAACAGTGCTCGAGTTCTCCTAAGGGACAAACTGTCTCCTTAAGTGGGTCCCTGACCCCTGTGCCTCCTGACTGGGTGACACCTCCCAGCAGGGGTCGACAGGCACCTCATACAGGAGAACTCCAGCTGGCATGTGGTGGGTGCCCCTCTGGAACGAAGCTTCCAGAGAAAGCTTTGCTATTCTGCAGCCTCTGCTGGTGATACTCAGGCAAACAGAGTCCGGAGTGAACCTCTAGCAAACTCTAGCAGACCTGCAGAAGAGAGGCCTGACTGTGAGAAGGAAAACTAACAGAGAAAGCAATAACATCAACATCAACAAAAAGGACGCAACATCAACAAAAAGGACCCATCCAAAGGTCTTCGGCATCAAAAATCAAAGGTAGATAAATCCACGAAGATGAGGAAACACCAGCACAAAAAGTCTAAAATTCCAAAAACCAGAACACCTCTTCTCCTCCAAGGATCACAACTCCTCGCCAGCAAGGGAACAAAACTGGACAGAGAATGAGTTTGACGAGTTGACAGAAGTAGGCTTCAGAAGGTGGGTAATAACCTACTCCTCCGAGCTAAAGGAGCATGTTCTAACCCAATGCAAGGAAGCTAAGAACCTTGAAAAAAGGCTAGAGGAATTGCTAACTAGAATAACCAGTTTAGAGAAGAAAATAAATGCCCTGATGAAGCTGAAAAACACAGCATGAGAACTTCATGAAGTATACACAAGTATCAATAGCTGAATCGAACTGGTGGAAGAAAGGATATGAGAGATTGAAGATAAACTTAATGAAATAAAGCATGAAGACAAGATTAGAGAAAAAAGAATGAAAAGGAATGAACAAACCCTCCAAGATATATGGGACTACGGGACCCACTGGTGTGCTGTATTCAGGAGACCCATCTCACGTGCAATGAGACACACAGGCTCAAAATAAAGGGATGGAGGATTGTGTACCAAGCAAATGGAAAGCAAAAAAAAAAAAAAAAAAAAAAAAAAAAAGCAGGGGCTGCAATCCTAGTCTCTGATAAAACAGACTTTAAACCAACAAAGATCAAAACGACAAAGAAGGGCATTACATAATGGTAAAGGGATCAATGCAACAAGAAGAGCTAACTATCCTAAATATATATGTACCCAATATAGGAGCACCCAGATTCATAAAGCAAGTTCTTAGAGACCTACAAAGAGATTCAGACTCCCACAAAATAATAGTGGGAGACTTTAACACCCCACTGTCAATATTAAACAAATCAACGTGGCAGAAAATTAACAAGGATGTTCAGGTCTTGAATTCAGCTCTGGACCAAGTGGACCTAATAGACATTTACAGAACTCTCCACTCCAAATCAACAAAATATACATTCTTCTCAGCAGCCCATCATACTTATTCAAAATTGACCATATAATTAAAAGTAAAACACTCCTCAGCAAATGCAAAATAATGGAAATCATAGCTAACAGTCTCTCAGATCACAGTGCAATCAAATTAGAACTCAGGATTAAGAAACTCACTTAAAATTGCACAACTACATGGAAACTGAACAACCTGCTCCTGAATGACTACTAGGTAAATAACGAAATTAAGGCAAACATAAATAAATTATTTGAAACCAATGAGAACAACGACACAACGTACCAGAATCTCTCAGACACAGCTAAAGCAGTATTTAGAGGGAAATTTATAACACTAAATGCCCACAGGAGAGAACACGAAAGATCCAAAATCGACACCCTAATACCACAATTAAAGAACTACAGAAGCAAGAGCAAACAAATTCAAAAGCTAGCAAAAGGCCAGAAATAACTAAGATCAGAGCAGAACTGTAGGAGATAGAGACACGAAAAACCCTTCAAAAAATCAATGAATCCAGGAGCTGGTTTTTTGAAAAGATTAACAAAATAGACTACTAGCCAGACTAATAAAGAAGAAAAGAGAGAAGAATCAAATGGACACAATAAACGTGATAAAGGGTATATCACCACTGATCCCACAGAAATACAACCTACCAGCAGAGAATACTGTAAACACGTCTGTGCAAATAAACTAGAAAATCTAGAAGAAATGGGTAAATTCCGGTACACATACACACTCTCAAGACTAAACCAGGAAGAAGTCGAATCCCTGAATAGATCAATAACAAGTTCTGAAATTGAAGCAGTAATTAATAGCCTACCAACCAAAGAAAAACCCAGGACCAGATGGATTCACAGCCAAATTCTACCAGTGGTACAAAGAGCAGCTGGTACCATTCCTTCTGAAACTACTCCAAACAGTAGAAAAAGAGGGACTCTTCCCTAACTCATTTTATGAGGCCATCATCATCCTGATACCAAAACCTGGCAGAGACAAAAAAAAAAAAAAAAAAAAGAAGGTTTCAGGCCAATATCCCTGATGAACATCGATGTGAAAATCCTCAATAAAATACTGGCAAACTGAATCCAGCAGCATATCAAAAAGTTTATCCACCACGATCAAGTCGGCTTCATCCCTGGGATGCAAGGCTGGTACAACATATGCAAATCAATAAACGTAATACATCACATAAACAGAACCAATGAAAGAAACACATGATTATCTCAATAGATGCAGAAAAGGCCTTTGATAAAATTCAACACCGCTTCATGCTAAAAACTCTCAATAAACTAAGTATTGGTGGAACACATCTCAAAATAAGAGCTATTCATGACAAAACCACAGCCAATATCATACTGAATGGGCAAAAGCTGGAAGCATTCCCTTTGAAAACTGGCACAAGACAAGGATGCCCTCTCTCACCACTCCTATTCAATATAGTATTGGAAGTTCTGGCCAGGACAATCAGGCAAGAGAAAGAAATAAAGTGTATTCTAATAAGAAGAGAGGAAGTCAAATTGTCTCTATTTGCAGATGACATGATTCTATATTTAGAAAACCCCATCGTCTCAGTCCAAAATCTCCTTAAGCTGATAAGCAACTGCAGCAAAGTCTTAGATACAAAATTAATGTGCAAAAATCACAAGCATTCCTATACACCAATAATAGACAGTGAGCCAAATCATGAGTGAACTCCCATTCAAAAGTACTATCAAAAGAATAAAATACCTAGGAATACAACTTACAAGGGATGCGAAGGAACTCTTCAAGGAGAACTACAAACCATTGCTCAATGAAATAAGAGAGGACACAAACAAATGGGAAAACATTCTATTCTCATGGATAGGAAGAATCAGTATCATGAAAATGGCCATACTGCCCAAAGTAATATATAGATTCAATGCTATTCCTATCAAGCTACCATTGACATTCTTCACAGAATTAGAAAAAACTATTTAAATTTCATATGGAACCAAAAAAGAGCCCAAATAGCCAAGACAATCCTAAGCAAAAAGGAAAATGCTGTAGGCATCACACTACCTGATTTCATACTGTACTACAAGGCTACAGTAAACAAAACAGCATGGTACTGTTACCAAAAGAGATATATAGACCAATGGAACAGAACAGAGGCCTCAGAAATAACATCACACATCTACAACCATCTGATCTTTGACAAACCTGACAAAAATAAGCAATGGGTAAATGATTCCCTAGTTAATAAATGGTTTTGGGAAAACTGGCTAGCCATGTGGAGAAAACTGAAACTGGACCCCTTTCTTACAACTTATACAAAAGTTAACTCAAGATGGATTAAAGACGTAAACATAAGACCTAAAACCATAAAAACCCTGGAAGAAAACCTAGGCAATATCATTCAGGACATAGGCATGGGTGAGGACTTCATGACTAAAATACCAAAAGCAATTGCAACAAAAGCTAAAATTGACAAATGAGATCTAAGGGATGTAACTAAAGAGCTTTGGCACAGCAAAATAAACTTTCCTTAGAGTGAACAGGCAACCTACAGAATGGGAGAAAATTTTTGCAATCTATCCATCTGAAAAAGGGCTAATATCCAGAATCCAGAAAAAACTTAAACAAATTTACAAGAAAAAAACAAATAACCCCATCAAAAAGTGGGCAAAGGATATAAAGAGACACTTCTCAAAATAAGACATTTATGCGGCCAACAAACATATGAAAAAAAGCTCATCACATCACTGGACATTAGAGAAATGCAAATCAAAACCACAATGAGATACCATCTCACACCAGTTAGAATGGCAATCATTAAAAGGTCAGGAAATGACAGATGCTGGAGAGGATGTAGAGAAATAGGAACAATTTTACACTGTTGCTAAGAGTGCAAATTAGTTCAACCATTGTGGAGGACAGTGTCATGATTCCTCAAGGATTTAGAACAAGAAATACCATTTGACCTAGCCATCCCATTACTGGGTATACACCCAAGGGATTATAAATCATTCTGCTATAAAGGCATATGCACACGTATGTTTATTGAAGCACTATTTACAATAGCAAAGACTTGGAACCAACCCAAATGCCCATCAATGATAGACTGGATAAAGAAAATGTGGCATATATACGCCATGGAATAATATGCAGCCTTAAAAAAGTATGAGTTCATGTTCTTTGCAGAGACATGGATGAAGCTGGAAATCATCATTCTCAGTGAACTAACACAGGAACAGAAAACCAAACATAGCATGTTCTCTCTCATATGTGGGAGTTGAACCACGAGAACACATGGACACAGAGAGGGGAACATCACACACTGTGTCCTGTCTGGGGTTGGGGAGAAGGGGAGGGATAGCATTAAGAGAAATATCTAATGTAGATGACAGGTTGATGGGTGCAGCAAAACACTATGGCACATATATACCTATGTAACAAACCCCTACGTTCTACACACGTATCCCAGAACTTAAAGTATAATTAAAAATAATAATAATAATAACATTACAAGAAAAAAATACAACATAAAAATGTATTACTGAAATAATGTTACAGTAGGTAGCTAGTCAGACATAAGCAGGACAAGAGAGGGGTCACCCCTGCACACACACCAGGAATGTCAGGTGACCATTAGGTGATAGTTAGGCAGTTGTTAACTGTCTCTCCAAAACAATAATTGATCACAGCCAGTGCCAGGGAATGGTAGTCTCTCAATAAACAGAAACAGTTGAAACTAGTAAATAGCAGCTTCCTGATAAGATCTCAGCAGTTGAGAAAGTGGGCTCAAGCATGTGTATTAAGAGGCAGAATGGTGGAGTTTAACTGGTATATGACTTTCTTGGAACATATGGCTGGTAAGGGAAGAACGCTTCAAGTAAGCATGCATACAACTCCAGTAGACCCACTGTGCCTGCTCCTCTCCCAAGTGCTAGCAGGCCGCTGCACATACAGACAGCCCATCCCAAGGGAAGAATCAAGAGAGAGGTAACGTAAGACCCAGGAAGCATGCCGTCATATGAAACTCCAAGTCAAAAGGTCAAACCACAGACTTGATCTCTCAAGTCACCCACTTGGCCTCTCCCCAGTGTACTTTACTTTCTTTCATTCTAGCTCTAAGGCTTTCTAACAAACTTTCACCCCGCTCTAAAACTTGCCTTGATCTCCGCTTCTACCTTATAGCCCCCTCAGTTCAAGTCTTTCCTCTGTGGAGGCAAGAGCTGAGGTTGCAATTGCTACAGACCTGTACAGATTTGCTGCCAAGTAACAGTAATAGTTAAAACACATAGAAATTCAGAATAATTATATTCGGAGGTGTAGGTGTGAAACTTGTTCACTTTTTTTTTTTTTTTCAGGAAAAATGGTATTCTGAAATGCTACTCTTCTGCTATACTCGTAAGTACATCAAAGTTGACTCACAGGCCTACATGGTACACTGTACATTTCCTACCTTTGGTGAAGTAAAGTGGCAGTCAGTTCTATAGGATGAACTCTTTAACGATCATCTGGAATTGAAATATTTTCGTTTCCTTTTTTAAATGTGACTCCATGGGCCTTAACTCAAACTTAATTCTAACCATTGTCTCAAAGGCAATGCTGAAAAAAAGGTCATCAGGGGAAATTATATTTCTTAAGAAACGGTTAGAAATAAAGGACATTCTAAAACTGAAGACTCAGAACACTCTAGTTTCTATATATAGAGCAAAAACAACCAATATTTACCTATGTGTTTAAGGACAGAAGGATCACTTTCTTTCTGAAAGAATTATTTATTACAGTCTCACTGCTCCTGTGATGTATTGAATGCTTGACATTGTTATAGAAAATCAATTGGATTCAATCTGAGAAAGTTGTGTTATATGCATTCAAACCTGACAGTTGCATAAATCAGTATTTTTGTGTTAAAAACAGCCAAAAACAAAATGAAATTCATTTGTTTACTTTCTTAAACCAGATGTGATTGCTACTTTGTTTCCTTTAGAAGGAATTACATTACAAATTGACTTTGAACTGCCCAGTAAAGTTGAGCTGTGGAAGATATCTCTTTGTAAAAATATGATTAGAAAATAAGTTTTCAAAGTATTTGCATTTTATTCATTGAACGAGAAAAGAGAAGAGTTTTTTTCTGTTCTAGGGAAAAATAACCTTTTTAAATAACACATCAAGTATTTAGTGTAGACTTTTACAAACATCTAATGACAATACACAACTAAAATAAATAATTACTTTGACACTTTCTTTTACAATTACAGTTGAAAATAGCAAAATTGGATTAAATACTGTTTAGCGCCAAAATGGATTTTAAAACTCAAAATTAACCTTTAATCACTACATTTTTCTTAAAGTTTTATGTATCTAGATACTTAAAAGTTACAGTGAATCATTTCTGACCATTACATATTTAGTTCAACCCCAGCATTACTTAAACATCTCTGTTTACATTCCTTCCTCAATGTGTGGTCCAAGCAAGGTTCAACTCTATTAGTATAATCAATGGTCCAGATGTTTTGCTTTGTTTTGTTTTTAATGCAAAACCTTAGGGCTATTAATATGCACTGGGCTTCTTACCTCTTCTTAATCTCTGGGAATCTTACATATCCTTCAATAGAAACTTGAGTTACTAGTTCCCCACAGAATTATCTCTGACAATCTCACCCAACAGTTCTCTCTTTTTTGAACTGCATAAATTTATAATTTTTAATCTATATATTCTGTGTCACTTTAAGTAAGTTGACATAAACTGAAGAACTATTTGCATAGTAGGTGTATAATAAGCATTTTAAGGACACGATTTAACAAGTGTTGTCATATGTATACACCTATAAAACCTACATCGCAATCAAGATAGAGAACGGATATATCACTCCCAAACTTTTCCTTATTCCCCTTATAATTCCCTTTTCTCTCATTTACCCCATCTTCCAGCAGAGGTCATTTATTAATTTAGGTGAGTAGACTGATTTTTACATATGTTTTTCTCATACATTTAGTCTTAGTTTAATCTTTACTGCTTCTGGTTTATATGACTGAGTTCATTAAGAAAAACTATTGTTTAATTTTCTTCTGTACATTTCCAGAGCATTTAACTGTGCCTAACACATATTATGTTCTCAGTAAGTTTATTAAGGAACAAACTAATGAGCAGTTAGTTATAAAAATTTATTAAACAGAGAAACAAATATTAAGGGAAATTATATTTAACGTAAAAGCATAGATTATGGATATTTGATTAGTGTTAGCCAGCAGTGCAAATAAAATAAAAGCTGGTCAGTAGCTATTCAGATTATTAATAATAAATAGGCAATTATAATAAGTATTGTTAAGCATTATAATGAGAAAAACGGTGGTGCCCATGGCATATAAAAAAGGGACTTAGTAGAAGCCTGAACTTAAATCAGGCTTTGAAACAATTGATTTGCATAGGGTCCTTCGTAGTACCCTGTCCAAATGCCATTCTAAGGCACATGCCTTCCTCTAGTTTTATAAGAAAGTGCCAAGTAAACAAAATAAAATCAATCTTAATGCTAGTAATGTGATAGAGAAATAAAACTCATATAGGAGTTAAAATGAAATTATTTAGGCAGATAATGAGGGTAAGGAAGTCCTCAGTGAGGCTTTCCTTTTAATGAAAAACAGCCTCCAAATCACTTTCTTTTCTAACAAAGAGCGGTCTATAAAATCGGGCTGCAAACACAGACAAGCAAGCTAGAAACTTGCCCAGGTAAATGCTGTGCCAATAGGGAAAGGCTACCTGGAGCTAGCCATGTCCAATATGGCAGCTCCATCTTCCCTTCTCTTTGCCAGCCACACATACAGTAAGGAGCGGGCAACATGGGACCAGCCAAGCAAAGACTGCATTTGCATAATAAGAATATTAGGGTGGGGTGGCCAGCTTCCTTGAAACGTCATACCTGGTCCAACTAATCTATGGGTCCTATGTAAATTAGATACTGCCTCCTCAAGCCTGTCTATAAAATCTGCTGTGCTAGGCCGGGCGCAGTGGTTCATGCCTGTAATCCCAGCACTTTGGGAGGCCAAGGCGGGCGGATCACGAGGTCAGGAGATCGAGACCATCCTGGCTAACACGGTGAAACCCCGTCTCTACTGAAAATACAAAAAAATTAGCTGGGCGTGGTGGCGGGCGCCTGTAGTCCCAGCTACTCGGGAGGCTGAGGCAGGAGAACGGCGTGAACCCGGGAGGCGGAGCTTGCAGTGAGCTGAGATTGCGCCTCTGCACTCCAGCCTGGGCAACAGTGTGAGACTCCATCTCAAAAAAAAAAAAAAAAAAAAAAAAATATGCTGCACTCTGGTGCGAGCCAGAAGTCCCACTTGTGCACCCCTCTGTCTCTCAGGAGAGAGAGCTGTTCTCCTTTCTCTTTCTTTTACCTGTTAAACCTCCACTCTTAACCTCACTCCACATGTGTCCATGTCCTTGATTTCCTTGGCATGAGGCAAAAAAAACCTCGGGTATTACCCCAGACAAGGACACTGCTTCAAAACCTGATGTACCAACTCTCACCATATAATTTAATGTAAATATGGAAGTATTACATTATTGAGAATATTGACAAATTAACAACTAATTTATAAACATGTGCTGTGTAATGACGTTTCAGTAAATGACAGACCACGTATACTGCAGTGATCCCATAAAATTATAATGGAGCTGAAAATTTTCTATCACCTAGTGACATTGTAGCCATCGTAACGTCATGGTCCATTCATTGTATTACTCACATTTTTGTAGCTATGCTGGTGTAAACAAACCTACTGCACTGGAGGTCATATAAAAATATAGCACAGGTAAAATCTATAAAGAACTCAAACAACTCAAAAAGAAAAACAAAACATTAAAAGGTGGGCAAAGAATATGAATAGTTCTCAAAAGAAGACATGCAAGATGCCATGAAATATGTGAAAAAGGCTGGGCACAATGACTCATGCCTATAATCCCAGCACTTTGGGAGGCCAAGGTTGGTGCATCACTTGAGTCCAGGAGTTCGAGACCAGCTTGGCCAACATAGCAAGACCTCATCTCTACAAAAAAATACAAAAATTATCCAGGTGTGGTAGCAGGCACTTGCAGTTCCAGTTCCTTGAGGGGTTGAGGTGGGAGGACCACTTGAGCCTGGGAGGTCAAGGCTGCAGTGAGCCATGAATGCATCACTGCACTTCAGCCTGGGCAACAGAGCAAGACCCTATTGATCAAGTGGGAGCTAAACAATGGACACAAATGGACATACAGAGTGCAAAAGTAGACACTGGAGACTCTAAAAGGTGCGAGGGTGGGAAGAGGGTAAGGTAGAATATACTACCTATTGGTTACAATGTTCATTATTTGGGCGATGAGTACACTAAAACCCAGACTTCACTCCTACACAATATATACATGTAGGAAATTTTCAGTTTTATCCCTAAATCTATAAAAATAAAAATGAAAAAATAAGTATAGCACATACAATTATGTACAGTGCATACTTGATAAGAATAATAAATGACTATGTTACCTAAGTATTCACTATACTATAGTTTTATTATTGTTTTAGAGTGTACTCCTTCTACTTAAATAAAAAAAAATTAACTGTGAAAGAGCCTCAGGCAGGTCTTTCAGGAGGTATTCCAAAAGCAGGCATCATTATCATAGGAGATGACAGCTTCACATAGGTTGTTGTCCCTAAAAACCTTCCAGTGGGTAAATATATGGAAGTGGAAAACAGTGACATTGATGATCCCGACCCCGTGTAGGCCCAGGCTAAGATGTGTGTTTGTACCTTAGTTTTTAACAAAAAGCTTAAAAAGTAAGAGAATAAAAAGATAAAGTTTTAAGAAATAAAATCAAGTTTATAGAATAACAATATAAAGAAAGAAAATATTTTTGTGTAGCTTTAAGATGTGTTAGCGTTTTAAGCTCAGTGTTATTGCAAAAATTCAGAATGTTTAAAAAATTTATAAAGCAATAGTAAGCTAAGTTTAATTTATTATTGAAGATTTTTTTATGAATTTAGTGTAGCCTAGTGTTTATAAATCTACAGTTATGTACAGTAATGTCCTAGGCTTCACATTCACTCACCACTCACTCACTGACTCACACAGAGCAACTTCCCATCTCACAAGATCCATTCATGCTAAGTGCCCTATACGGGTGAACTATTTTTTATCTTCTGTACTATATTTTTACTGTGCCTTTTCTATCCTTAGATATGTTTACATTCATAAATATTTACTATTGTGTCACAGTTGCCTACAGTATTCAGTACAATAATATATATACTGCACAGGTTTGTAGCCTAGGAGCAATTGACTGTATCATATAGTCTAGAAGTGTAGTAGGATATACCATTTAGTTCTGTGTAAGAACAATCTGTGGTATTTGCACAATAACAAAATTGTCTAATGAAGCATCACTCAGAACACATCTTCATTGTGAAGCGATGCAAGACTGTATTCAAAGATAATGCAGGTTTGTTGTAATTAGTTTGCTCAGCGTTAGATGTTATCTTGACCAAATGTCATTCCAGGTCTCACGACACTAACATCATAAATAGAAGAGTAGCAAGTGCAACATACTTTCAAAATTATATTAACAAAGATATGTTTTAGAGGATATTGACTAATTGACAATTCAATTACATAGATATAATGTAAGCTCTGTTATCTTAATGTTTCTTTAAGAAAATATTATTTAAATACACTTCTAAGTTGTACTCTGGGAAGCTGTAATTTATGTTACATAAAAGGATCACAATTATAAGCCCTTTTGTGGTACTTAGAAATACTTCATTTCATTTATCCTAAAATAAACTTCTAAAAATTATTAAATAAAACTACTATAATATTTTCTCATTTTAATTGTTGTGTCTTCCAATTAATATGAATGGCAAGCTCTAGAGCTTCAGAGACAAAAATGTTTTGGTTCAAATATGAGCTTGGCCACTTTCTGGCTATATGGCTCTGTGCAAATTCCTTAGCTTCTATATGCTTTAGCACTATTATCTATCAAACTGTTAAAGAAATAGCACTCCTTGAAGCTGTTGGGAGTATTAAAAAGTAATGCAAATAACAAAGTTAGTTTAGTTTAATAAAATGAAGTTAATTATGCTTATTACTATAAAGCATAGAAAATAAGACCTGACCTGAAATTTGTATTCAAAACAAAAAGGTGTTTATAACCATTTTTTAAAAAGTTTCTGTAAATATCATTTAGTAAAAATTGAAATCAATGAATCAATATCAGAAAACTTTGGGACCAATAGCTGCAACTTTCTATTATATTTATATTACTTACTTTAAGGTAAAACAGACAGACAATAGAGGAAAACCTTTACTTTTTAGTGAAGAGATATTTCTTCAGTATATACATTTTCAAATCCCTTTATTTTCTATTTAAACATACATTTTATATGTGCTAATATAATTGCTAGGAACATTATGATAAATATTATTTATTGTGACTCACTTTTGCTGAAATTGTTTCAATAATGTTATTAATCTTAATTATCACTTACTGTGTGCTTACCAAATACCTACCACTTTTCTAAGAGTTTATCACTTCCTACCTTATAAAATCGGTGGTCTTAAAAAGTGAAAATGATTGTCTCCATCTTAGAGAAGAGAATGCTAAAATCCAGAAATTATAAGAAATCTGTTTAACAGCCTAGTGGCTAAGACAAGTTTGGAGTCAAGGCCCTCTGACTTCAAAGTACACATTAGACACATTTAGTAATAGGAACAAAGAAGGATTCAGTGTACATTTTGTCATTGTTTCATTTAATGCACCATTTTTGGCACGCAATTTTTAAATTTGTGTCTATGAAGGACTCTTTTGGGGAAAGAATCTGAATAGTTAGCAGGTATATATTAGTATGTGGACAAATTGCACCAGATGCATTGTTTTTCTCCTGTTGTAAAATCCGACTGTTTGCCAAATGTAAAGGAGAAATTTAATGTGGAAAATTTTAGCCCAAGAGAAAAATTAAATATAGTTTTTTTCTATTTTTCCATAAAATTTAGCTAAAACTTTTTTCTTATATACATTTTTCTCCATCGCTTAGTCTTCTATAATTTAAAACAAAAAATTTCAATATAGTGATGAAGCCAGCTTCTCCTTCAAAAACATCTACAACGAGAAGTGAAGGTAATTGTGAAGTTACGAAAATAACAAAGTGAAAGAGCACAACAGTTCAGTTTTCAGACATGCCCCGTCCTGCTGAGACTTCAAAATGGATTTCAAATAGGGTCAAGTTAAGAAAGAAATATTCATACACTTTGAAAGACTTTTAACCTATGAAATCTTTTGTCACACCCCTTACATGTTATACAATAATATCCAAATGTAATGGTTGTGGAACTTATTAAATAATTAACTTTCAATTAATGATTGAATTATTATAGCATATTTTAAACAAATAAAAATATACACTTTCATGTCACAAAACAGAAAGTAGTATGTCCCATACTAAAAAAAGTCTGCCAAAATCAATGTGCTTATATCTATTTTTTCTTTTAAGGCAGAGCAGAACACCTGTGAATCCCCATAGAAGCAAGGTCAACCACAAAATGGTCAAAGAACGTTTTTTTTTTTCTTTAGGCGTAACAGAATGCAATTTTACCTTTTTAATGTTAGTCTAAGAATGTCATGACTCCTAGGAAACTGTGCTTGCACACTGTCAGTTCATCAATCATTAGCCTCTGTGACTGTCAGCCACAGACACTCAACAGGCCTGCAGTTTTATGTGGCATAAAGGTTAATATTGAATTCTTAGGTAAGATTTGAAAATTTTCTTGATCTTTGGAAAGCATGTGAAAACTAATAATGTTCTAGCCTGGAATTTTTGACTCAGTTCGATCTTATAAGTGGACTCATAGTTGAGAGATCTAGTGAATAAAAACTGAGTACTTTATATAAATATATGGTTATATTTGTATACCATTATACGGTTATATTTATAAACACATGTACATATACACATACACATATATACATGTGTACACATGTATACATATATGCATCATATGTTTACATGATATATCATATATCTATATACACATTTATTTATATATGTATCATATTGTGGGACAGTAAGTATAATATTTAGTAATTATAAAAAATAAAGGAAACGTATACATGCTTTTTTCTCCTTTCTCATTTATCTCTCTCAGTGTTTTCTTTTACGAATTTGCTGGAATACCAACAAAATCATAAAAGTATTGGGCACATATAACCATGCACATTTCCAGCGGCTTAGTGAGTGATATTAAATAAATTAAATATTTTTTCAATTTAATTCATGAATTTAAGAAATTATTTTGCTGGAGTCAATATGTTTTGTGTATTTAAAGGAAAGAAGTAGAAAGAAAAAGCGAAAGTACAAAAGCGTGACAAATTAAGCAAAATTTTTCATCATAAATATTTGAGTCCCATATTTACATTGATGTGTTATGTCCCTTTTTAAAATCAAAATGATGAATTATACTGATGTCTAAATGAACGAATATTTAATCATTCAATAGTGTCTTTAATTCCCTCCACAAAAACTTACAGACTGTGACACTTGATTTTTCTAGTACCACTCCTCAATATTAACCAGCACAATGATTAAAAATCTGACATTTTGTCTCCTTCTTTTCTATAAATATTTTCTAAAATACAACCCAACATATTTTTATATTGATTGTAAATAAGGCTTATATTTATTTTTAGTCCAGAGAATTAAATATGTGTAAAATGGTGTCTATTGCCCAGTCATACAAAATGAAAAACAGATCACTAACAAATTTGAAGACTATAACATTTATTATAGGTTATATAGCATACTTGCTATAAGTCTTTGTAAAGACCTTCAATAAGTATTAACTTATCTTCCAGAGCAGGCATAAGGAGAGGTTTTTGTTGATGTCAATAAGGTCAGAAGACAATATCATTTTTAAATGAACTCTCTCCGTCTTCAAGAATAGCAAGTACATACACATGGACAAAGATCTAAACAATAAACACTGGGGACTCCACAAAGAGGGGAGGGAGGGAAGGAAGCAAGAGCTAAAAAACTACCTATTGGGTACTGTGCTCACTACCTTGATTATATGATTATTCATACCCCAAACCTCAGCATCATGCAATATAGCAATGTAGCAAACCTGCACAAATACCCCCTGAATCTAAAATAAAAGTTGAACTTTAAAAAAAATAAGATAAAATAAAATTAAAAGTTTTTATAAAAACTTTTTTTAATAACTATATATATATATATATCTTGGATAGAAATGTGAAGTATTCTACCATCTGCCTCCTGAGACCTTGTTAGCTTCATATTTATAATAAATTTTACCAAACCATCAATCTTTGCTTTTTAAATCAAGCAAAAACCCAGGGATATCAAGGATCAAAGGGCACTCCTGCTCAAGAAATACACTCCTACTCAAGAAATACGTTGAATATACGGACTTTTCGGTTGCTTCTTTTCTGGTACTTTTAATTATCCTAATCCAGGTTAACTTTTCATCAGAGAGAGGTGTACTTATCAGTGGTTAATGAGTCTTCATTAAAACTGTAGATAATACAGCTAATCACATATTTAAGATATTATGTTTTTTCTATATATTTTTATAATTGACAAAAAATGTGAAAAGGAACGTATCACATTTATAGAGCTGATTGGATATTACCCTATTATTACCTAAGTAATACAAGTCTCTAATTATTTGCTCTAAAAAGCATATAGCATTAATTTTGTGTGAACAAATTGATAAGCGATCATTCTCCCCAAAATCTTGTTGTAATTTTAATACTACCCTTGACCAAAATTATTGTTCCAACTATCCCTTTCATTATGCAACAAATAAGTAGTTTCACTTGGATCTTAAAATAAGAAACACAATTCAATCGCATTTCCTGTAAAATACTTACTTGACAAATTCATTCACAAACCAGTTGCACCAACACAATTTTGGTAACATAAAGTTTCCTCTAAAATTCTCTGTAAGAGTGGTTTTAAAAACAGTCTTAGGCTAGAATATTTACTGTGGACTTCAAAGATGATTCAAGACACATACTTGGAATAGATAGGAAAAACACATAACAATAAATACTCTAAATCAGGCCTCAGTGGTAGTGAACAGAATATTATCTTTTCTCATGATCATGCTCCACATTTTCCCCAACACCAGGGACGAAATGGATTTTTTTTTCAGTGTGAAAATAATGAAGAAAAATAGAAATATTTGTAAAATGTTCTCAAAGTCTATGTCTCAAAAATATATATCTCTTGGATAGAAATGTGAAGTATTTTACCATTTGCCTCCTGAGGCCTTATTAGCTTCATATTTATAATACATTTTGCCAAACCACCAATCTTTGCTTTTTAAATCAAGCAAAAAACCAGGGATATCAAGGATCAAAGGGCACGCCTGCTAAGCCAACAAACTTAATTTCCTTTCTCCTACCCAAACTTCTCCCCATTACATTGCTCAATTTCCTAATTCAGAATCCAGCAAGTTATCTTGGCTCATTCTTTCTCACACTGTGATTAAATCTCTTACCAAAATCTTTGAATTTTTCCTCATTTTAATCCTTGGCTTTTGTAGTTTTTTACCATTCTCAGATGATTCAGTGATAATTTAGACTTTCATTATTTCTTGCCCAAATTACAATGATAACTGTTAAAGTAATTTTCCTGACCTGACCCTAGTTTCTATAACAAAAATTATTTATTTAACTGATCACATATATTCCTTCTATAGGATGAACTTGATTATCTATAGTTTATTGTTGATTTTTTAAAAATAGATATAGTCGGCTGGACGTGATGGCTCATGTCTGTAATCCCAGCACTCTGGGAGGCCGAATTGGGGGTGGATCACCTGAGCTCAGGAGTTTGAGACCAGCCTGACCAATGTGGTGAAACCCCATCTCTACTAAAAATACAAAAATTAGCCAGGTGTGGTGGCGTGCACCTCTAGTCCCAGCTACTCGGGAGGCTGAGACAGAAGAATTGTTTGAACCCGGGAGGCAGAAGTTGAAGCCAAGATTAAGCCACTGCACTCCAACCTGGGCGACAGAGCGAGACTTCATTTTAAAAAAAAGAAAAAAAAAAACCAAACAGGTATAGTTGGCATTATCTTGAAGAGCATGAATAATAAGATTTGGCAAAAACATATGTGTCTTTAGATCATATAGCAGAATTCAACAATTATACCATATATTAAGCATCCACAACTCAGTTTTTGGACATGGTGACTGGAAAAAATTCGTATCTATTTATTTATGGAAATCATAATAGAAATTAGAGCCAGTCATGGAGCATTTTATGTATTAGTTAGCTTACAGGAGTTATATAACCTACATTTGCAAATTGGGCCACACAGGAAACTATATGAAGTGAGGTGATAAATGGATAAATAAGACTAGTCCTGGTAGAAATTACCAACCTGCATTCTTGTCTTTCCAGCAACATAATTGCTCACAGTTACTTTTCAGTAGAGCATTTATTTACCTAGATGAAAACTGCATTTCTTTGCTTCCCTTGCTGTTAGGTACGAACATGTGATTAAATTCTAAGCAATGCAGCATATAAAAACATATGTGCAAATCCCACGTTGCTTTATCAAATAGAAATTTACCTACTCTTTTAAAGTTGCATATATTTAAGGTGGTAGGCATGATGTTTTGATATACCCATATAGAGTGAAATGGTTGCAATAGAACATATTCATTATCTCACATAGTTGCACCATTTTGGGCCTCTCTGTGTGGGCATGGCAAGACCACCTATAATCTATTCTCTACTGAATACAATATAATACAATACCATATAATACAATATAATACTATTATATACTATATACATACACAATATAATACTAATACAATATGATACTATTAACTATAGTTCTCATGTTATACATCAGATCTTTAGATTTGTGTATCCTACATATCTGCAACTTTGTATCCCTTGACCTACATCTCCTAATTTCCCATCATCCATCCTTTCCCCTGGTAACCACCATTTTATCCTATATTTCCATGTATTTGACTTTTTTTTAGTTTCCACATATAAGTGACAACATGCAGTATTTTCTTTTTCTGCATCTGCCTTATTTCCCTTAGCACAATGTCCTCCATATATATATATATATATATATATATATATATATATATATATATACACACACACACACGTGTATATATACACACACACGTAATGGAACAGTATTCCATTATATAATACATAATATTATATAATATATAATTATATAATACATAATATTATATAATATATAATTATATAATACATAATATTATATAATATATAATTATATAATACATAATATTATATAATATATAATTATATAATACATAATATTATATAATATATAATTATATAATACATAATATTATATAATATATAATTATATAATACATAATATTATATAATATATAATTATATAATACATAATATTATATAATATATAATTATATAATACATAATATTATATAATATATAATTATATAATACATAATATTATATAATATATAATTATATAATACATAATATTATATAATATATAATTATATAATACATAATATTATATAATATATAATTATATAATACATAATATTATATAATATATAATTATATAATACATAATATTATATAATATATAATTATATAATACATAATATTATATAATATATAATTATATAATATAATGGAATACTGTTCCATTATAGATATTATAATATATTATATAATATTATATATATATATATATACACACACATGTAAACAACAATTTCTGCATCCATCCCTCCATTGATGAATACTTAAGTTGTTTCCATATTTGGGCCATTGTGAATATGGTAGTTCTATTTTTAGTTTCTATCAGAATCTCCTTACTATTTTCCACAGCAGCTGCACCAATTTACATTTCCACAAACAGTGTATTAGGGGTCTGTTCACCAATACTTATCTCTTGTTTTTTGATACTAGCCCTCCTAACTGGTGTGAGGCAATATCACCTTGTGATTTCGATTTACATTTCTCTGATGACTAGTGACGTTGAGCATCTTTTCATATGCCTGTTAGCCATTTTGATGTCTTCTTTGAAGAAATGTCTACTCAGGTCCTCTGCCTTAAAAATTTGGTTATTTGGTTATTTGCTATTTAGTTGCATCAGTTCTTTATGTATCTTGGATATTAACTCCTCATCAGATATGTGGTTTGCAAATAAATATTTTTTTCTAGTTTGTAAATTGCCTGTTCACTCTACTGATTATTTCCTTTTTTGTGCACAAATGTTTCAGTTGGATATAGTTCCATTTATTTATTTTTTGCTTTTGTTCCCTAAGCTTTTGGTGTGATATCTAAAAAATCATTGCCAAGTCAAATGTCAAAGAACATTTCTCCTGTGTTTTCTTCCCAGAGTTTTATGGTTTCAGGTCTTATGTTTAGGTCTTTTGTCCTTTTAACAAAATTTATTGTAATAAATATAAATTGATAAGTTATAGTTCTATATATTTATTAAATATAAAATGATGTCATGATTTATAATTACAATGATGTACATGATTTATAATTACAATAAATTATAATTATAATTTATAATTACAATGTGGAATAAGAAAATTAAGCTAATTAACATATTCATCACCTTGAATACTTATCATTTTGTGATAAAATTAGAAATTTACTCTTAGCAATTTTGAAATGTACATTATAATTTACTATATTCACCATGCCATGCAACATATCTCAAAGAAAAGCAAAGCTTATTCCTCCTATCTAATTGAGGCTTTATATTCTTTCATCATCATCTCCTATTTTCTCCCTCCCTCCCCCAAGCCTCTGTAACTACAATTCTACTCTCTGCTTCTTTAAGTTCCATTGTTGTAGATTCCACATATAAGTGAGAACATTCAGTATTTGTCTTTCTGTCCCTGGCTTATTTCACTTAGCATAATATTCTCCAGTTTCATTCATGTAGTCACTGTGACAATTTATGACAAAGCAGAATAGTATTTCCTTATGTGTATATACCACATTTTATTTATGTATTCATCTGTTATTGGGCACTTAGAGGTTGATTCTATAACTTGGCTATTGTGAATAGTGCTGCAACAAACACAAAAACTGCAGACATTTCTTTGACATACTGTTTTGAAATCATTTCAGTACGTATTCAGAAACTGAATTGCTGAATCATATGGTAATTCTATTTTTAGTTTCTTGAGGAACCCTCATAGTGTTTTCTATAATGTCTGTACTAATGTACACCCCTCCCAACAGCATACAAGGCTTTCCTTTTCAACATATCCTTGCCAGCACTTACCTTTCATCTTTTTGATACTAGCCATTTTAACAGGTGTGAGGTAATATTTCATTGTGGCTTTAATTTGCATTTCTCTAATGATTAGCAATGTTAAGTTATTTTATATACCTGCTGGCCATTTTTATGTCCCCTTTAGAAAAGTGTCCCTTGATGTATCTTGCCCATTTTTTAATCATTTACTTTCTTTCTATAAAGTTGTCTTACATATTTTAGATATTAAGCCCATATCAGATATATGACTTGCAAGTATCTTCCCCCCAGTCTGTAGGTGGACCAATACTTTCTTATTAATCTTTGTCTCACTGATCTGTTCATTATTGAAAGTAGAGCATTAAAGTACCCTATTATTATTGTATTACAATCAATGTCTTCCTTCAGATCATTTAATATTTTCTTTATATATTTAGGTGCCCCAGTGTTGGGTACATACATATTCTCTTGATGAATTGACCCTGTTATCATTATATAATGTTGTTCTTTGTCACTTTTTTTAGTTTGGAACTTTAACTCTTCTTGTCTGATGTAAGTAGAGTTACCTCTATTCCCTTTTGGTTTCTAATTGTGTGGAATATCTTTTTCCATCTTTTAATATTTAGGCTTATGTATGTTCATAAAAGTGAGGCAAGGCTCTTGTAAACAGCGTATAATTGAGTATTTTTCTATCTATTAAGTAAATTCTTTATTAGAGAATGTAATCCATTTAAATCCGAAGTAATTATTGAAGGTAATGACTTCCTATTGGGATTGTGTTAATTGATTCCTGGTTGTTATACAGATACTTTGCTTTTTTTTTACCCCTCTCTTCCTGTCTTCCTTTGTGATTTGATGGGTTTTTTTTTTAGTAATATGTTTTGCATCTTCTCTAATTTTGCTTTGTGTATCTACTAGATATTTTTGCTCTGTTTTACTATGATGCTTACATAGAACATCTTATTCTAATAACAGTCTGTTTCAGATTGATAAAAACATAATTTTGACCGCATGCAGCAACTCTACACTTTGGTTTCTCCACTCATATTTTATGTTTTTGATGTTAGAATTTACATTATTTGTGATATGTATCCCTTGATTGTTTATCATAGCAATAGTTGTTTTTAATAATTGTCTTTTAACCATTGTATTAGGTATAAAATTACAATACACAACACAATTTCAGTCCTGGAGTATTCTGAATCTTGTTCAGTATTACTTATATGATTGAATTTTATATTTGTGTAACTTTTATGTTATTAAATAGTGGCCTTTTTGCCATCTTAAAGAACTCCCATTAGCAATTCTTGTGAGGACAGCCTATTGGTAAAGAACTCCCTTAGCTTTTGTTTGGCTAGGAAGTTTTTTAATTTCTTCATTTCAGAAAAAATAGCTATACTACAAACAAAAGGAATTCATTGACAGTTTTTTTGCTTCAGCACTTTAAATATATCATCCCAATATCCCCTGAACAAAAGAATTTCTGCTCAGTAATCCACTGATAGCAGTATTGGGACCCCCTTTTTTGTGATATGTTTCTTATCTCTTGCTACTCTCAGAATTTTTTATTTTCTTTAATTTTTGATGGTTCAATTATTATGTGCTTTTGTGAACTCCTTTTTGGATTGAATTTGATTGGAGACTTCTGTACTTCATGTACTTGGATGTTGACATTTTCTCCCAGATTAAGGAAGTTTTCAGCCACTATTTTTTAAAGTACACTTACTGGCTCTTTCTTTCATCTCCTTTTTAAGCTCCTATTATGCATAGATTAGATCTCTTGAATGTGTCCCATAAATCCTGTAGGCTTTATTTATTCTTTTTAATTTTTTTTTTGCCCACTTGATTGGATATTTTCAAATGTTTTGTCATTGAGTTCACTGACCCTTCAGCTTGAGTAAGCCTGCTGTTGAAGTTTTCTATGGCATTTTTCATTTCAGTCATTATATTATCAATCTGTAGGATTTCTATTTTTTGTTCCTATTTTTTTGTCTTTTTCTATTTTGTTCATGTAGTGTTTTCCAATTTTCATTTAAGGTTTTATCTGTATATTCTTATAAGTTACTAAACTTTATGGGAATTAATCTGAATCCTCATTTACCATTTGGCATATCTCCCTTTCTTTAGTGTTTATTTTGAGGAATTTGTTATTTTATTTTAGAGGTTTCATGATTTCATGAGTCTTTGTAATCTTTTTGTTTTTGTGTTAATGTCTGTACCTTTAAGTGGGCATCCACCTTTTTCAGCTTTTATACATGTTTTTGGCAGGGATTGACGTTCACTATGTAGTCTAGACTATGATTCTGGATGGGCCAACTGGTAACAACTCTGTTCAGTCAGTGTTTGCTTTGAGGTTCTATAGATGGCAGGGCTTGTGCCCTTGTTTTCGGATTAGGTGGAACATCTGGCTGGGCCCTGCTATCTGGCAAGACTACTGGCTGAGCTCTGCAATCAGGCTGAGCTGCTGGGTGGGAAACTACAATTACGTCTGACTGAGACTGGCCACAGGGCATGTTCCCTGGCCAGATGGTACCACTATTTGAGATCAGAAGTTGGACAGGATTGCAGTAGAATCCTCACAGTTAGGCAAAGTCTCTAATCAGCATGTACAAGACTAGCTGCTGTGTTGAGTAGAAATGCATGGTTAATTAAGATTTGTCTCTCTGCCTATGTACAACCTTGAGGTGGGCTTTGAAGCTGGTTCAACCACTGTTTAAATGGCTGAGGATGTCAGATCTAGCCCTTGCTCTTTGCCAAAATTTGCTGCAGTGGTTGTCTCCCTCCTTGAACAGGGTCCCTTGGTAGGATCTGAGGCCAGTCTTAGAGACTGGCTGTCTGGGGATTCAAGCCAGCTAGAAACTCTCTCCACTTCTGGGATGAACAGCTAAATTTTGCGGATGGGCTATGCTGTTAGGTGGTAACTGAGTGAGCATCATCGCTGAAAGGTACATGGAACTATTACTGAAAGCTATGTGCTGGTTGCTGTGGGATACAATTCCTTGCTTTATTTCTTTTTGACCCTAGGAGGTCTAACCATGCCATTATTCACTGTTTCCCTTTAGGTAAGAATGGAATGGGCTTCTTTGGAAGAATCTCAAAATGCTGGGGAAGCTTAATGTTCACCTCTGGTTCACTCTTTTTTTTTTTTTTTTTTTCTCTGTAAGAACTGTGATCACTGGAAAACTCTCTTTGTGTGGCACTGTGTTAATTTGAGGGTGGGAAGAGGGTGATGTGATCAAAGTAAGATTTTTTTCTGCTGTTTTCTTTGCAGTTTTTATTCCATTCTGTGGATGACACAGGTTACTCAGGCTTATTCCTAATATGAAGGATTTTCACCAAGGCATAATTGTCTGTGGATAGCTGCTATCTGAACTTTTTGTGGGTAGCAGTAAAGCCTGGGCCTTCCCATTCTGCCATTTTGCTCCTTTAATCCATTTTGACTTGATTATTGTGTATGGTGTAAAATAAGGATCAATTTTTATTCATTTGCATGTAGATACTCAGTTTTCTCCACTCCATTTCTTGAAAAGACTGCCCTCATCCCCATTGTGTCTGCTTTTTATAAATGACCCTTATTATGTTGAGGAGATTTTCTTTGATGCCTAAATTGTTGGCTAGTTTTTATCAGGGAAGTACGTTGAATTTTTTCAAATGATTTTCTGTGTCAATTGAGATGCTCATGTAGGTTTTATCTTTCATTCTGTTAATACAATCTATCACATTGGTTGATTGCTGTATATTAAATCAGCCTTGAATGCCAGAAATAATCTGTTGTGGAATTCCATTTGACAGTATTTTATTAATTTTTTTTTCTATTTTCATCAGAGATATTGTCCTGAAGCTTTATTTTCTGTGGTCGCTTTGTCTGGCTTTGGTATCAAGGTGATGCTGGTCTCACGAAATGTGTCTAGAATCATTTCCTCTAATTCTATTTTTGAAAATGTTTTTTAAAAGATTAACAAGATTAACAAAGGAATTGTTATGTTTTCTGTAGTTTTTGTATTCTTGATTTATTTCTGTTCTGATTGCTTGCATTTTTTATGCTCTCTTTTTGCTTTACTAGTACCTGGAATATAAAATTTATGGTGAATTATTCAGAGAAGAAACACCCATCAAAGTGTTAAAACAAGAAGGTAAAATGAAACTTGACTACTCAATATCCTTTTGGAACATCTACCTATCTACTCCAGCCCACAGCAACCTGTGAACTATCCTATCAGCAAGAAATAAATTTCTAGCTTGTTTGAGTCAGTGGATTCCAGTGGATTTTTGGGTCTCTATGTTATAGCAGCTTAGCTTAGACTTCATGAAGAACATTTGTATGGAAAGAAAAAAATAGATAAAAAGCTGAACATCCAGAAAACTGAGGAAAACATGAAAATACCTTTACAGAAGCCAAAGGAGAGCAGAATTTTACTAAGAGAGTAGTGGTAAGTAGTACCAAATAATGAAGAGACATTACACGAGATGGAATATTCCAAGTATACATTGCAACACTGATGAGATTAGAAAATTGAGGAATCTATTAAATATTAGGGAAACCCTCTTAAGGAAGTGTAGAGTGAGTTATTGAGGAACACATAGAAAGATTATCTGACAAAATTAGAGGCAAAAAATAAATTAGAAACAATAAAAGTAGTGTGACATAAACTACCTGAAAAATTACGTAATTTTTTTCTTAAAATATTCAGCAGTCTACATGTGGATTACTATGTTGAAAGCAAAGAGTATGGATGAATTTATTAGAAATTTTCCATTTCAATCGAGAAGTTGATTGAGTGTATCAGAAAACAACAGAGAACAGAGTTTTTTGTTGTTGTTGTTTTTGTTTTTTTTTTGTTTTGGCCCTCCCTCACACCATTAAATTCCTGGCAGACTCCTACTCCTCCTTCAAGGTCTAACTTAGATCTCTCCCCTTCTCTGCAGGCTCCCTGGCTCCTTGGTGCTGCCTTAGCATCTCTAACCATATTAGTGCTCCTACTGTGCTGTGCTTCACAAGTGTGCCCTCCACTAGATCAAGAGCTCTGTAGGATGGGGACCCAGTCTTAATCACATCTATGGGCCTAGTGCCTAGTGCAAGGCCAGGCACAGAGGAAGAACTTCATCAACAGTTTTGGTTATTAATGCTCAAATCGCAAGAGATGCAATACCTCAGTGCAGGGTCAGAACATTTATGAATTCAATAAACATTTACTAATGTCAACTGTAGGCAGGCTGAGAGGCCTTGACCACAGCAATAGATAAACTTCACACCAACTGCCCTGAAGGGGCTCCTCATCCCTTCTCTACTCTGACTCCTACCGTGTGCCCCACTGCACAAATGGCTATGGCGAACTAGAGCTCTCCAGACTAACTGGTTCAAAAGGCAGAAAGAGTTTAGCGGTTATAGGACCTAATAAGCCTGAGGGGTTTGGAACTTCCAGTGACTGCAGAGGAGGCGTTTCCAGGTCCCCCTTCTCACACATCACATTGCTCACGACCCGACCACACCAAAACCAAGAATTGCCCTATAGACTTCTTCAGGGACCCTGGATCATCCAGACCTCAGGTGTGTTGCCCTCACCAGCTGCTAAACGTTCCCTCTTTTCTCTTCCTATGCAGTGATTCAGGCCAAAATCTCCAGTGAGAAGGTAGTTCCTGCCAGTGTAGACCCTGCTGACACTGAAACAATTCTCCAGTATGAAATCAAACAGATACAGGTACATGGAGGCAGGCTGGGATGTGTAGCCCCTAAGGTTGATGGAGGAAGTGGGGTCTGTGTTCTGTGAGGGCTGGTAGATTTCACTTGGCCTGGCTCATTGATCCTTGGGTCAAGATGCTGAAGTGGAACTGGATGAGATTTGGAGGCAGAACCCATAGAGTCCCAGGGATATTGCAGGGGAGGGCTTCAGAGTCCATCTGGTCCCACCGCTGCTGGTGTATGGCACCACTACAGGTACCTACTGGAATAAACCAAGGTTTAGGTGTTTTTTGTTTGTTTGTTTTATTATTATTATTATCATTATACTTTAAGTTCTAGGGTACATGTGCACAATATGCAGGTTTGTTACATATGTATACATATGTCGTGTTGGTGTGGTGCACCCATTAACTCATTATTTACATTAGGTATTTCTCCTAATGCTATCCCTCCCCTATCCCTAACCCCATGACAGGCCCTGGTGTGTGATGTTCCCTGCCCTGTGTCCAAGTGTTCTCATTGTTCAATTCCCACCTATAAGTGAGAACATGCAGTATTTGGTTTTCTGTCCTTGCGATAGTTTGCTCAGAATAATGATTTCCAGCTTCATCTATGTCGCTAAAAAGAACATGAACTCATCCTTTTTTATGTCTGCATAGTATTCCATGGTGTATATATGCCACATTTTCTTAATCCATTCTATCATTGATGGACATTGGGGTTTGTTCCAAGTCTTTGCTATTGTGAATAGTGCCACAATAAACATACGTGTGCATGTGTCTTTATAGTAACATGATATCTAATCCTTTGGGTATATACCCAGTAATGGGATGGCTGGGTCAAATGGTATTTCTAGTTCTAGATCCCTGAGGAATCGCCACACTGACTTCCACAATGGTTGAACTAGTTTACAGTCCCACCAACAGTGTAAAAGCATTCCTATTTCTCCACATCCTCTCCAGCAACTGTTGTTTCCTGACTTTTTAATGATAGCCATTCTAACTGGTGTGAGATGGTATCTCATTTTGGTTTTGATTTGCATTTCTCTGATGATCAGTGATGATGAGCATTTTTCATGTGTCTGTTGGCTGTATAAATGTCTTCTTTTGAAAAGTGTCTCTTCATATCCTTTGCCCACTTTTTGATGGGGTTGTTTGATTTTTTCTTGTAAATTTGTTTAAGTTCTTTGTAGATTCTGGATATTAGCCCTTTGTCAGATGGGTAGATTGCAAAAATTTTCTACCATTCTGTAGCTTTCCTGTTCACTCTGATAGTAGTTTCTTTTGCTGTGCAGAAGCTCTTTAGTTTAACTAGATCCTATTTCTCTATTTTGGCTTTTGTTGTCATTGTTTTTGGTGTTTTAGTCATGAAGTCCTTGCCCATGCCTGTGTCCTGAATAGTCTTGCCTAGGTTTTCTTCTAGAGTTTTTATGGTTTTAGGTCTGAAATTTAAGTCTTTAATCCATCTTGAATTAATTTTAGGGATCCAGTTTCAGCTTTCTACATATGGCTAACTAGTTTTCCCAGCACCATTTATTAAACAAGGAATCCTTTGCCCATTTATTGTTTTTGTCAGGTTTGTCAAAGATTAGATGGTTGTAGATGTGTGGTGTTATTTCTGCGGCCTCTGTTCTGTTCCATTGGTCTATATCTCTGTTTTGGAACCAGTACCACACCGTTTTGGTTACTGTAGCCTTGTAGTGTAGTTTGAAGTCAGGTAGCATGATGCCTCCAGCTTTGTTCTTTTTGCTTAGCATTGTCTTGGCAATGTGGGCTTTTTTTGGTTCCATATGAACTTTAGAGTAGTTTTTTCCAATTCTGTGAAGAAAGTCATTGGCAGCTTGATGGGGATGGCAATGAATCTATAAATTACCTTAGGTAGTATGGCCATTTTCATGATATTGATTCTTCCTATCCATGAGCATGGAATGTTCTTCCATTTGTTTGTGTCCCCTTTTATTTCTTTGAGCAGTGGTTTGTAGTTCTCCTTGAAGAGGTCCTTCACATCCCTTGAAAGTTGGATTCTTAAGGATTTTATTCTCTTTGAAGCAATTGTGAATGGGAGTTCACTCATGATTTGGCTCCCTATTTGTCTGTAATTGGTGTATAAGAATGCTCATGATTTTTGCACATTGATTTTGTATCCTGAGACTTTCCTGAAGTTTCTTATCCACTTAAGAAGATTTTGGACTGAGACGATGGGGTTTTCTAAATATACAATCATGTCATCTGCAAATACGGACAATTTGACTTCCTCTTTTCCTAATTGAATATGCTTTATTTCTTACTCTTGCCTGACTGCCCTGGTCAGAACTTCCAACACTATGTTGAATAGGAGTGGTGAGAGAGGGCATCCCTGTCTTGTGCCAGTTTTCAAAGGGAATGCTTCCAGTTTTTGCCCATTCAGTATGATATTGGCTGTGGGTTTGTCAAAAATAGCTCTTATTATTTTGAGATATGTTCCATCAATACCTAGTTTATTGAGAGTTTTTAGCATGAAGGGCTGTTGAATTTTGTCAAAGGCCTTTTCTGCATCTATTGAGATAATCATGTGGTTTTTGTCTTTGGTTCTGTTTATGTGATGGATTACGTTTATTGATTTGTGTATGTTGAACCAGCCTTGAATCCCAGGGATGAAGCCAACTTGATTGCAGAGGATAAGTTTTTGATATGCTGCTGCACTTGGTTTGCCAGTATTTTATTGAGGATATTTGCATCAATGTCATTCAGGTATATTGGTCTAAAATTCTCTTTTTTTGTTGTGTCTCTGCCAGGCTTTGCTATCAGAGTGATGCTGGCCTCATAAAATGAGTTAGGGAGGATTCCCTCTTTTTCTATTGGTTGGAATAGTTTCAGAAGGAATGGTACCAGCTTGTCCTTGTACCTCTGGAAGAATTCAGCTGTGGATCCGTCTGGTCCTGGACTTTTTTCGGTTGGTAGACTATTAATTATTGCCTCAATTTCAGAGCCTGTTATTGGTCTATTCAGAGATTCAACTTCTTCCTGGGTTAGTCTTGGGAGGTGTATGTGTCCAGGAATTTATCCATTTCTTCTAGATTTTCTAGTTTATTTGTGTAGTGGTGTTTATAGTATTCTCTGATGGTAGTTTGTATTTCTGTGGGATCAGTGGTGATATCCCTTTTATCATTTTCTTATTGCGTCTATTTGATTCTTCTCTTTTTTCTTCTTTATTGGTCTTGCTAGCAGCCTATCTATTTTGTTGATCTTTTCAAAAAACCAGCTCCTGGTTTCATTGATTTTTTGAAGGGTCTTTTGTGCCTCTATCTCCTTCAGTTCTGCTCTGATCTTAGTTATTTCTTGCCTTCTGCTAGCTTTTGAATTTGTTTGCCCTTGCTTCTCTAGCTCTTTTAATTGTGATGTTAGGGTGTCAATTTTAGATCTTTCCTGCTTTCTCTTGTGGGCATTTAGTGCTATAAATTTCCCTCTACATACTGCTTTAAATGTGTCCCAGAGATTCTGGTATGTTGTGTCTTTGTTCTCATTGGTTTCAAAGAATATCTTTATTTCTGCCTTCATTTCATTATTTACCCAATAGTCATTCAAGAGCAGGTTGTTCAGTTTCCATGTAGTTGTGCAGTTTTGAGTGAGTTTCTTAATCCCGAGTTCTAATTTGATTGCACTGTGGTCTGAGAGACAGTTTGTCGTGATTTCTGTTATTTTACATTTACTGAGGAGGCTTTACTTCCAAACATATGGTCAATTTTGGAATAAGTGCAATGAGGTGCTGAGAAGAATGTATTTTCTGTTGACTTGGGGTGGAGAGTTCTGTAGATGTCTATCAGGTCTGCTTGGTGCAGAGCTGAGTTCAAGTCCTGGATATCCTTGTTAAACTTCTGTCTTATTGATCTGTCCAATATTGACAGTGGGGTGTTAAATCTCCCATTATTATTGTGAGGAAGTCCAAGTCTCTTTTTAGGTCTCTCAGGACTTGCTTTATGAATCTGGGTGCTCCTGTATTGGGTGCATATGTATTTAGGATAGTTAGCTCTTCTTGTTGAATTGACCCATTTACCATTATGTAATGGCCTTCTTTGTCTCTTTTGATCTTTGTTGGTTTAAAGTCTGTTTTACCAGAGACTAGCATTGCAACCCCTGCTTTTTTTTTTTTGCTTGGTAGATCTTCTTCCATCCTTTTATTTTGAGCCTATGTGTGTCTCTGCATGTGAGATTGGACTCCTGAATACAGCACACTGATGGGTCTTGACTCTTTATCCAATTTGCCAGTCTGTGTCTTTTAAATGGAGCATTTAGTCCATTTACATTTAAGGTTAATATTGTTATGTGTGGATTTCATCCTGTCATTATGTTAGCTGTTTATTTTGCCCATTAGTTGATGCAGTTTCTTCCTAGCATCGATGGTCTTTACAATTTGGTATGTTTTTGCAGTGGCTGTTCCCAGTTTTTCCTTTCCATGTTTAGAGCTTCCTTCAGGAGCTCTTGTAAGGCGGGTCTGGTGGTGACAAAATCTCTCAGCATTTGCTTGTCTGTAAAGGATTTTAATTCTCCTTCACTTATGAAGCTTAGTTTGGCTGGATATGAAATTCTGGTTTGAAAATTCTTTTCTTTAAGAACTTTGAATATTGGCCCTTACTCTCTTCTGGCTTGTAGGGTTTCTGCTGAGAGATCCACTGTTAGTCTGATGGGCTTCCCTTTATGGGTAACCTGACCTTTCTCTCTGGCTGTCCTTAGAACTTTTTCCTTCATTTCAAACTTGATGAATCTGACAATTATGTGTCTTGCTGATGTTCTTCTTGAGGAGTATCTTCGTGGTGTTCTCTGTATTTCCTGAATGTGAATGTTGGCCTGCCTTGCTAGGTTGGGGAAGTTCTCCTGGATAATATCCTGAAGAGTATTTTCCAGCTTGGTTCCATTCTCCCTGTCACTTTCAGGTACACCAAATAAATGTAGATTTGGTCTTTTCACATAGTCCCATATTTCTTGGAGGCTTTGTTTGTTTCTTTTTACTCTTTTTTCTCTAAACTTCTCTTCATTTCATTAATTTGATCTTCCATCATGGATACCCTTTCTTCCACTTGATCAAATTGGCTACTGAAGCTTGTGCATGCATCAGGTAGTTCTCGTTCCATCGTTTTCAGCTCCATCATTTAAGGTCTTCTCCATCATTTAAGGTCATTTAAGGTCTTCTCTACACTGTTTATTCTAGTTAGCCATTCGTTGTATCTTTTTTCAAGGTTTTTAGCGTCCTTGTGATGGGTTTGAACATCCTCCTTTAGCTTGGAGAAGTTTGTTATTACCGACCTTCTGAAGCCTACTTCTGTCAACACGTCAAAGTCATTCTCCGTCCTGCTTTGTTCCATTGCTGGCGAGGAGCTGCAATCCTTTGGAGGAGAAGTGGGGCTCTGCTTTTTAGAATTTTCAGCTCTTCTGCTCTGGTTTCTCCCCATCGTTGTGGTTTTATCTTCCTTTGGTCTTTGATGATGGTGACCTATAGATGTGGTTTTGGTGTGGACGTCCTTTTTGTTGATGTTGATGCTATTCCTTTCTGTTTGTTAGTTTTCCTTTTAACAGTCGGGTCCCTCAGCTGCAGGTCTGTTGAAGTTTGCTGGAGGTCCACTCCAGATTCTGTTTGGCTGGGTATCACCAGCGGAGGCTGCAGAAGAGCAAATATTGCTGGAAGCTTCATCTCAGAGGGGCACCTGGCTGTATGAGGTGTCAGTCGGCCCCTACTGGGAGGTGTCTCCAAGTTACGCTACACGGGGGTCAGGGACCCACTTGAGGAGGAGATTTGTCCATTCTCAGAGCTCAAACACCATGCTGGGAGATCCATGGCTCTCTTCAGAGCTGTCAGACAGGGACATTTAAGTCTGTAGAAGTTTCTGCTGCCTTTTGTTCAGCTCTGCCCTGCCCCAAAAGGTGGAGTCTACAGAGGCAGGTGGGCCTCCTTGAGCTGTGGTGAGCTCTACCCAGTTCAAGATTCCTAGCTGCTTTGTTTACCTACTTGAGCCTCAGCAAAGGTGGACGCCCCTCCCCCAGCTAGGCTTGCCACCTGGCAGTTTGATCTTGCACTAGCAGTGAGCAAGGCTTCATGGGCGTGGGAACCGCTGAGCAAGGCACAGGATATAATCTCCTGGTGTGCCATTTGCTAAGACCGTTGGAAAAGCGCAGGATTTGGGTGGCAATGTCCCGATTTTCCAGGTACAGCCTGTCAGGGCTTCCCTTGGCTAGGGAAGGGAAATCCCCTGACCCCTTGAACTTCCCGGGTGAGGTGATGCCCTGCCCTGCTTTGGATTGCCCTCCATGGGCTGCCCTCACTTTCCAACCAGTCCCAATGAGATGAACCAGGTACCTCAGTTGGGAATGCAGAAATCACCCGTCTTCTGCATCCATCATGCTGGGAGCTGCAGACCAGAGCTGTTCCTATTTGGCCATCTTGGAACAGCTCATTTGAAAGTTAGGTTTTGGGTTTAAATTTTGTCATTTAATAATTTTGTAACATTGAAAAATTATTTAACCACTTTAAGTGTTAGTTTTCTCATTTGTAAAATGTGGATAAATTATATTAATACAATATACTTTGCTGTGGTAACAACTCTAACTCTCAGTGGCTTACAATAAAAAAAAACATTAATTATGGACCTGTAGGTTGGCTAGAAGTCTGTACCACTTGGATCTGCTTCTCTTGGCTAGTTTCTGCTGGGTTTGACTTCAGTCTGGAGTTAGCTTCAGATCCCTTTTACCTAGATTTTTAGTCCAGAACTCAGGCTAAAGAAATGACCACTATCTGAGACTTGTGGTACTCACAAAGAGAGCACTTAAGTAAAAATTTGCAATGCCTCTAAGGCCTTTTGCTTGGACATAACATTTTTTGCTACTTTACTTTCCATTGGCCAAAGCAAGGAATATGGCCATGCCAATGATGGAGGTAGGGAGAGTAAATATAGATGTCATAGATCATCATTCAATGTTCACTGATCTTACTGTTATTATTTATAATGTTTATTTGTTACATGTTTATACTGATGAATAATAAGGTGTACATAGTATAAGAAAAGAAGCAAAACAAGAAAAAAAGTGATAGGTTGGGGATGAAAACAGATTATTATAGAAATGTGATCAATTAAAGGAGAGAAGGCTGTGTTCGAAGAGGTAGATCTCATAGTCTAACATTTCTATGAACTCAAAAGAGTTATAGTATTTTGGTAGTTATAGTGATGTTAAGGTCATTGGCATTAAAATAAGCAAGGATCTATTAGACTATATAATTGAATAAATCAGCTACATAGAGCTACAGAGAGAAAAATGACTTTAAAGTGAGTTCTAAAATCTGGACTAAATTAAGGTATTAAATCAGAATTTGATAACTGCAAACGACAAAAATAATGACCTGTAATAACACGAACCACTCAGATATGATGGTTTTAAAATAAAAGGTTGCAAGAATAATGCTTTAGTAATTTTAAAAAAGCATTTAGAAAATGATCAGTTGCTGAACCAGAGCATGGCCTAGCTCACAATCTTTTTCTTGATGTCAGGAGAAAGTCCTCATCTGAAGAGTCTCCAGACAGACAAGAATTTTTGTGTACAAAGAGTTAAGAAAACAAACAAAGAAACTTCTGGGAATAAGAAAAAGTTAACAGGGTTATTCATGAAGAGACTAGAATTTCAGGAACCTGCCCTCCTCCACAGGATAGTTAAGGGCTTCTTGAATTAGTTAACAAATTGAGAGGATAAAAAAGTTTTGTTTTGTTTTTAAAGTTAGTTTAAATTCATTGAAACTTTAACACAAATTAGCAGGGTGTGGTGGCGCATGCCTTTAATCCCAGCAGGAGAATCACTTGAACCCGGGAGGTGGAGGTTGCAGTGAGCCTAGATTGCTCCATTGCACTCCAGCCTGGGCAACAAGAATGAAACTCCACCTCAAAAAATAAATGAATGAATAAACAAATAAATAAATAGAAAAAAGAAAATTTAACACAAATATTATTGCATTGTATTTCCTAGAATTTTGCATATTTTACTTTATTTTTACTAGTTTTATTTTTATTTTGTAATTCCAAGGTATTTATGTTCTCTTCCTACCCCTCAAATTCCTTATATCATCATCACAAGCTCTCAGTTATGTAGAACTCCAGTCTAGTAGAGAGAGTGTAATGGGCTCTGAAGAACCCATGTTTCCTTTGTATGTAAGTAGAGACTATATGAGGCTCATATGTTGATACTGATTCAACCACGGCCTTACCATAAACATTTTCTTCAAAAACGTTTTGTATCAAATGATCTGTAGTGTTTTTAAAATAAACTAAGTAAGTAAATATTTTTATTCAAATTCAAGAATTTTATTTCTGAGGGAACCAGAGTTTTGGGTTTTGTTTTTGTGAAATAACTTATCAATTCAGCTCATAGAGTCAGAGAAAGAGTGCTTTTGACAGTGTATCTTAAATTATCAAAAATTTTAGATCCTTATTTATAAAGCTACTAATATTAAACTTGACACCATCACTGCACTGAATGCCAGTTGACATAAATGCTGGTAATTATTTACTCATTTACAATAAATTCATATTTGTGTTTATTAATCATTTGTTGCACATATAGTAAAATTAATTAGTGAAAAAACAATTATATATGCCATACGGTAAATGTATAGTTATCTCTCTATTGATCTATGTATCTATCTAGTATATCTATGTCTGTCTTTAAAACAAAACTGAATAGTTAGACAGTAGGTTTCCAATAGATTTAATCTTATTCAAAAGCCAATAAAACACTTGGCCCTAATTCCCTTAGATAAATAAAAGGTTGTCCTTGATCTAATGATCACCTCATTTTCATGGCAGCCACTTGCTATGGGTTTTCTGACTTCCTATCTCACATGTAAATAGTGCTTTCATAATTTTTCTTGGATTCCAGGTGACCAATACAAAACTCCAGAACTCATAAAGATTTGTTTTCCCATGATTCAACTGAAGGCACAAATATTGCCTAACTACTCAATTCTATCAACAAATTTTCCTTTCCAGATATTTTATAAAGGCTTGTATAAGCTGACTTCTGCTCATTCTCTTCTTCCATAGACATTAAAATATGAAATGTATGCAAATATCATAATTCAGTTTCCTATCTATTAACTTATTTTCAGATTATAATTCAAACCCTGGTTTCATATATATCACCTGTAACTTTTTTTTGGTATTTTTTTTACAGGGGAGACAGAATCCAGTACAAATGATATCCAAGTTCAAACTAAATTCCAATGCTATATTTTCTGCTTAAAAGTAAAATAAAATAGAACTCCTGTGGATAAGACATTGACATGGTAGACAGACTGCCCTGGGGGTCAAATGAGGGCTGAATCACATACAGTAAAAGACAGATGATTGTGACTAAATTATGTAAGCCAAGACTCAATTTTCATGAGTAAATTATTGTAATATAATTGGTAGTATGTAGTCAAGGTTCTATCTTCAATAAACTATTTCAAGTGCATTAAGAATAATGTTATTATATTATAGAAAGCTATAAACAATTTTTAACTAATTAATTTAAATACTAGCAGAAAATATGTAATACATGTATAATTGTAAAATTCGAGCATTAGTATCTCTTCATAAAAGAATGGATAATAGGTCTCTACCTGAAAAGAAATACATCAAGATTCAGGTCTTTTCTTGTGAATTCAGAGGCATTTCTTGAAAACTTAAACTTTATAAAGTCTAAATTTCCTCCTTTTCCAATCTACTATATTTACTTTATATAAATATAAATATCATCCTGTTTTCCTTCAGAACACTAAACTGCCATCTGCAAGCATTATTTCTTCATTTGTTCACAGGATCATTTTCTGTTTTCCCTGCTAGAGGGCCCAAAAAATTTCATGCACAGAATGAACACTCAACACATATTTGCTGAATGAATGAAACGCCTGTGTCCTGAAGGGAGAGCCAATATTGTTCTCAAGATTGAGAACAGAGACGGACATCAAGTATACTTTACCAGTATCTGTTTATTGAAATATATGTATTTGTTACACAAAATGGAAAGGATATAAAAGTAATTTTTGTAAAGAACTCTTTGTGCAATGTGTGGTTCACAGAAGAAAGTAAAAGTTATTTTGTCTTTTGGGACCTGACACGGTTTTCTTGGATTTCATCATTTTTTTGTGTATCATATTGGTTTATTTTTCTGACTTTATGGTCCCGCTAAGAGCTACTGAGTTTAATTTTTTAAGATAGAAAATTATGATGCCACTGCAGTGATTTCCAGAAAGTGCATTCTATTTGGTTAGAGGAAAGTCCATAAATATGATTGTAAGGTCTGCCTAAACGAACAAAGATAACTGGTATGCTTTGTAAATTAGATAAAATTAAGCTCCTCCTTGTATTCCTCTTCTGCCCTTCCCTGTCCCACCTCCCTCTGCCCCCAGTACACACACATACACACATCACATCAATTCTTGATTGGATAAAGTTGGAAGAAAAAAAATTAAATGCTTTATGATAGTCATTTTAATTATGTTTACTTGAGAGAATTCGAGGAATTCAGATTGATAGCAACACTTTATTAATGGAGGAATGATCATTTTAAATTCCTTAATGGTTACAAATCCCAAAATGTATTATATCAAATATTGAGCTTCACATTAATATTTTACTCAATTCCATAAAACGAATTGTAATTCTTTGTACAGACCCAAGAAATTGCTTTTTTCTCTTAGTTTTCCTATGTTAGCTCAGCTGCAACTTAATACATCTCTTATCTTCTTAGCAATTTCTCAGTCAAACAACATATATTCAGATCTCCTAATATTTTCTAGTAAATCAACTCCACTTAGTCTTTATTTTATTTTTCCAATCTTTATGAATTTCATCTATCTATTTGCACAAATTTAACTTTCCTAGGAACTAAATGAATTCGCCAAGAAGACCTATTACATTTTCCCTACTAAATGTAATGGATTAAGGTGTAACTTTTTAGAAATTTCATTTCTGCTTTTATAAGTGAATCTTTAAATGGTTTCCCTAAAATTGGAATACCCTAAGCATTTTTAATTTCTAGAATTTTATTTCATAAGCCTGTTCATTTGCCTTCACCTAAACATCCAGTGCTTGAATGAAGTATAGTACTAAGTGCTCAATTAAGGTTTTTTGAGTGTGAACTTTGCTACTAATGGTCTTGTCCAGCTTACAACTTTCTTCATTTGTATTATAGTTGGGGTGATTTAATGTTCCTTTGAGTGCTTAGTAGAATGAAAAAATAACAAAACCCACTAAAAGATAATCATATCAGAGTTAAGGAATTGCCACAAAAACTTGCAGAGTAAAACAAATAGGCCAAATAAAACAATAATCAGGTGACATCAGATTGGTCAACAGTAATGTTGGATATTAGAAGACAACAAAATCAAACTTCTACATTTCTACAGGGTAATGATTTTCATCCTAAATTTCTATACCTAGAAAAACTGTAAGCAAATTTTGAGGATATAATTAAAGCATTTTCATAAATGTAAAGACTAAGACTATTTATCATCCATCCCTTCGTGGGATGCAATCTTGGTCCAGTTTATGCCTCCATAACAGAATACCTGAGACTGGGTAATCTAATAAGAACAGAAATTTATTTCTCATAGTTTAGAGACTGGGAAGTTCAAGAATAAGGTGCTGGTGCCTGGTGTCTGGCAAAGGCCTTCTGGCTGCATCCTCACATGGTGGAAGGCGTAAAGGCAAAAGGGATAAATGCTGTGTTTTCAAATGGCAGAAGAGAAGTGCTACCTAGCTAAATGCTACATGAAAACTCTACATAAAGGCTTTCATCCCATTCATATAGAAGGAGCCCTCACGGACTAATCACCTTTAAAGACTCCACCTCTTAATATCATCTCATTGTCAACACCTGCATTTGGGAAGTGACACGTTGAAATATAGTAGAAGTGCTCCAGTAAAATAAGAAAGGTAAAACATGTAGCTTTCAAAGTTTTGGTAAAATTTTTGTCATTCAAAACACTGCCAGCCTGGAATGAGAGGTAAATAAAGAGTACAAGCCAGGGAAAACATCAAAATAAAGAGACTAAAATGTGTGATCCAGAAAACAAAAATAATGAATTAGGGAATCCAGCTTTGCATCAAAGGAAGACTAGATATCAATCAGCCCAGATTGGAGCAGGGGACTCCTGGAAAAGACGGCTACTCAATAGAGTACATCAATATAGGAGGAAAAAATTAGGATTAAATAACAAATTAAGGTTAAAAAACAAAAAGAACTTAGAAAATCTGGTGTAGGGAAGTATTTTAATATGAAATACTTGGATAATTAAAATACTTGAATATAATAATATTAAAATACTTGAGTTTATAGCATGTGGTACTTACAGATTTAAAATTAAATGGGAAAGAATAAGTTGGGGAGGGTATAAAAGAGTTAAAACTGCATATAGTAAAAGAAGAAACAACTCTCTAATTTTTAAAATTGATGAATCAAGAAAAAAACAATATAGTTGCCTTATAATAAGAAAAAATATTTTGGAATGTAATGCTTGGAGAATAAATGATGGGGTGAGATAGAAGACGGTTTCTACTGTAATACTTTTGGGAGCTAAAAATAGGTAGTAATCTAAGATAACTGTCAAAGACCAACATCCTTGTATTATTTCTGGGCATAACCTGGGAATATGATGAGAGATATCCCTTTCACAATTCTGTTATATGAAAAATGAGTTTTGGCATATTTAAGGCTTTGGAATTGGGCAGTGGGTAGGGACTCAAAAAATTTTGAGGAATATGAAAAAAGTCTTGATTGCCTTGAACAAAATTTTAATAGGATTACGTATTTTAAAGATGCTACCAGTGAAGATATAGACAGAAAGTAATAATAGAAAGTGTAGCAAAATTGTCTCCTATAGTTATGTGGAGAGCCAAATTTGTGATACATGTGATTATTAAGCTAAGGAGATTTCTAACTAAAGTGTTAGAGGTGTGGCCTGATTTTTTCCAGTGTGTTCATAGTAAAATAATTTTTAAAAAAGGGATAAGTAGAAGGAAGAACTGTTAAACAAAAATGAATCAATATGTGATGACTTAGAAAATTCTCAGTCCAAATGGCAAAATGTTAAAATTAAGTGGTTGCTTTTTAATATAAATAGAGAGATAGCTAAATGTGTGACTATACAAAATTTTGCTGAAAACTAGGGAAGATTGTAAGGTCAGCATACACAGTCACATAAAGTACGATGGTGCTTTACAGAACTTCTCTATCAAACTAGACGACCTTCAAGATGCTTAAGGTCATTGCCCCATAGCCATCTCAGCCAGGAGATCAAGCATGTCTCCAAATGATTCAATGGGTATCGCTTTTGTTGAATGGATTGAAGCGTGGTGTAGTTTACAAATAACCTGAACAGTTTTGTAAAACTTTTGTCAGCAGAAACACTGCCAGTCTGGAATAAAAGGTAAATAGAGTATAAAAGTGAAGGAAGCTATCTAGTCCCAAGAATTTACTGGCAAGAAACAGGCTGATAAAACTACTCAGTTCATTTGGGAGGCCAAGGCAGGCAGATCACGAGGTCAGGAGATCGAGATCATCCTGGCTAACACGGTGAAACCCCGTCTCTACTAAAAATACAAAAAAAAATTTAGCCGGACATGGTGGTGAGTGCCTGTAGTCCCAGCTACTCAGGAGGCTGAGGCAGGAGAATGGCATGAACCCGGGAGGCGGAGCTTGCAGTGAGTCCAGATTGTGCCACTGCACTCCAGCCTGGGCGACAGAGTGAGACTCCATCTCAAAAAAACAAACAAACAAAAAAAAAAACTGCTCAGTTCAAACAAGTGCTACTATTCATGAAAAAGAAAGGATAATTCAGAGGGTGGAGCTAAGGGTCCAGAGGGAGAAAAGGAAGCCCAGACCTTGGGCTTCACCTCAGAGAATTCTTTCTAGCCCTCCAGACCTCATAAGGGAATTCCTGATGGAGTTTTCTTAACTGGATTACAAAACAGCTTTGAACTGGCAACTCTTTTACCTCCCATTTTCCCACTTTTTAACAAATGTCTGTAACCGTTATCATATATCCATTCCACTACTGTATGTTGGAGTTTTGAGGGCAGAAAATTTATGTCTTTAATTTTGCAGGTTCACAGATGTAAAAGAATTGTGCTCCAGAATGAATTACACCCAAGAGCCTCATAGAAACATGATTTAAATGACCTAGATGATGAGATTTAGAGTTAGAGGAATGGATTTTAAACTTGATCTATACTATGGTCTAAATGTGTGTCCTCTCCAAAATGTTTGAAACTTAACTTCCATTGTGGTGATACTAAGAGGTGGGGCCTTTAGGAAAGTGATTAATTACTTTCTCAAAGGGGGTTAAAAAAGGCAAAAACATAGTTTATCTTTTAGCAAAAAATAAACTCTCTTTTGCCTTTTTTGTCCCTTCTACCATTTGAGGATACCTAGACAATGCCATCTATGAGGAATGTGCTGTCACCGGACACCAAACTTGCTAGCACCTTGATTTTGGATTTCTCAGCCTTCATAAATGTGACTAATAAATGTATACATATATAAATGTATACATATATACATATAAATATATATATACACATATATTTTTATAAATTAACTAAGATGAGCTAATCTTGTCATTGGGAACCTTTTGGAGACCTAGAGATGGAGTCAATGTATTTTGCATGATGGACAGATGTGGAACACTGGGGCCACAGGGCAGATTATGGGAATCAGAATTTTAAGAGGACTTCCAATGGCACTTGCTTCTAGGTACTCTCTTCTTCTTAAACGTGGGTTAAACCTGATAATTTGGTCAGCTATTACTCCTACGATTGTTACATTATGTAGCAAAAAGATTGTGCCAATGAACTAGGATAAAAATTTGATTTACCTTAAAATAGGGATATTATCCAGGTATGCCTGTCCAACCTGATCACACAGTACTTTCAATCAGGTTGTAGTAGTCAGAGATAGATGATGTCAGAGTTTCAACATATATGAGAAGGATTCACTTAAATGTTGCTGTATTGAAGACCTAGGGAGCCATGCGGTGAGGAATGCAATAAGCCTGTAGATGCTGAGAGCAGCCCTTGGCTGACAGCCAATAAGGAAACGGGGACATCAGAGGTAGAACCAGGGACTAAATTTTGTCAATAAGAAAAATTACTTCCAAAGCGGATTCATGCCTAGAGCCTACAGATACGATTGTAACCTTTTTAACATCTTGATGTCAGCCCTTCAGACACTGAGTAAAGAACCCACCTATATCATTCCTGGAGTTCTGAACTAGAGAACTGTGAGTGATTGAATCAGTAATAATTTGCCAAGTTTGTGATAATTTTTTATGTAGCAATGCAGAATTAATAGAAAGCTAGTATTTAACAATGTATATGAACCACTTCTTAGAAAATAACATAATAATACACAGAAATAGTATACAGCTTAAATTGGGAGAAAAGAAAAAAAGAGGAGACCTTTAAGAACATTGTAAATCATAGCCAGGTAGAGACGGAGTGAGGGGATAATATGTCCTAGCTACTGGTAGAGCATATTCATTTACACAAAAGGGGAAAATAAAGGACAACTTTGGGAACTTTAATTGGTGTTTATGGACAAAGTGAAAATATTTATATATATAGCAAACTTGAAATAAGTAAGATATAAGTATTAGAAAAAGAATCTTAAGGAATTGATTTTTTTTTCTTAGTTTTAAAAATATCCCTGGTTCAGAACATTGAAGCTAATTATAGTTCTGGATTAATAAAACAAATAATGATGAGCCCATGCAATTTTCCTTTCTTGTTGCTGATTCATTCATTTATTTTCATTCAGTTGTATGTTTCATCCCTATTCCCCACTCCTTTTTCTTTCCTTCCCAGTGGGAAAACATTTAAATGCACTTGAGATAAATCTTTGTGAATATTAGTGAAAAATCTGTGCTGTTGTTAGACATGAACATATTTAAATATTAATAATTTTTTTTTCTCACTCTGTGGCTAAATTTTTTTACTCGACTTTCAAGTTGCTTTTAAGATCTATCCACATTTCTGTGAGTAAATATTTCTCTTTCTGACTACTGGATAATACCCTATTCTGTGCATCAGGAGAGTTTCACCTAGTTCCTTCTCCACTGGTAAGGCAACATGATCATCTTCAACTCCTGACATCCATAGGAATGCTTAGATAAACATAAATTCCCATGTCCCTTAACAGACTTATATGAGACTATGTTTAGTCTTGGCCAACAAGGATTACGACAGCTAAGGAGAACCAGGTCTTCTAGATTATAGGGTATACATATATAATAGTTTAATTAAATACTGCCAGACAATTATGTTGAATGGTTACATCAAGTTACAGTCAACCATAGGCGTATGAGTACATAGATGTTTCCCCATTCTCATAATGCCACCAGTGCTTGGAGTTACTGGTTTCATATATTTTCCTGGATATTATACTGGCTGCAAGATGCAATCTTATTTTTAGTTTATTTTACATTAATAATATGATTACTAATGAGTTCAGGCTTTTTAGGTTTTGATTCAGTAATTGTTTATTTTCTTTGTCCAATTTCCTACTGAATTACACTTGTTGATTTGCAGAACTTCTTTATACTGTTCTAATATTAGTCTCATTTTAGACTCATTTTAGTTTCCAATTTTAGTCTCATTTAGACTCATTTTAGTCTCATTTTTGAGACACTTAAAATATTTTATTTCCTTGTATTTTCTACATTTTAATTATTTCTGTATCTTCTCTTTATTGAACATAAATATTTAATTTTTAACTAGTTATTTTTGTTTTCATTTTGATGTGAGCAATGGGGCTTTTGGTAAAAAGATTTTTCTACGCACTAATTCAAAAATATCTTCCTTTTATTATAATTAACTTTAATGTTTTATCATCTACAAGTAGCTATTTAATTTACCTGTTGATCATTTTTATAAATTCTGTTAGTTGGTAATCCAAGTAACTAAACTATGTATTTTTCTTTATTTTTTTTTAACACTCTCTACCTGACAATCCATTATTTCAACATGGATTTGTAGTATCGTCTTTACATTATTTTACCAAATGTTCATGGAACTTTTTTCAAGTTATCTACGGAAAGCATAGACAACTTGGCAAAAGTTCCACGTACAGATGGTAAATATTTTTGTGTACTCTTTTTATTAACATGGCTTTACATTATGTCTTAATGTCAAGGAGGTCGAGTTAATCTTATTTTCTCTTTTCTCCAAAGTTTATTATTCTATGTATAGTTTATTATTTCTTCATATAAGATTTAAAATATATATTTTCTTTAAAAATTTCTTACAATTTTTTTGACATTTTGATTAAAATTGCTTTAAAATTTAGACTCAGAAGAATTGATATATTTATAAAACTAATTCTTATCACCCTAGAGTAAGAAACATTTTGAAGACCTGTATTAAAATTTTCAAATTCTGTCCGTAAGTCTTGTATCTTTATGGTTTTCATTGCTGTATACTTTATACTAAATTTGATGTTTTACTTATTATTTCTGTTATTTGAATGGCACCTTAATATTTGTTATATTCTATCTTTATTTATTGTTTATGTAGGAAAATGCTAATAAGATTAATAAGTAGCTCTTATACACAGTAACTTTGTGAAACTTGCTTATCGTTTTTAATAGTTTATGTGTCGCTTCCAAAGGTATTTCTAAGAATACATTCATATCATCTTAAGAACAGTTTTATCTTATCTTTTTAATTTTTTATCACTTTTTATTGTAACGTTGGCCAGAACTTTTAGTCCTAGGTTTAATACTAGTGGTAGTTATTAGAATCTTTCTTTTATTTCTAGGAATATAGACATAGCTCAACTTTAAATGCAGACTTCTCAGTTGTTTTGCAAAGTGCAGATTTAACTAAGTTAAGGGTTAGCTCTACTTTTCTGACTTTTTAAAGAAATTCATCATAAATGAATTTTACCAAATGCTTTTTCTGATAATTGAGATGATCACAGTATTTCTTTCTTTTGAATATCAATATGGTGAGTAGCATTACATTGATAGGCTTTTGAAGGTTTAATTCTGCGTGTTGTTCCAAAAAATAAGAAATATTTTCTGTTTATAAAGAGATATTATTTAATATTTTTCAGTATTTAAGATTTTGCATCTAATATTATAAGTAATACTTACCATTAATTATTTGTGCCACTTTTTCTTTATTCTGCAACAAAATATACAAGGTGGCTATTAACCGTTCACTAAATGATTGCTAGAACACACTCAGTAAAAACCTGCAAGGAGGCCAGGTATGGTGGCTCACACCTGTAATCATAGCACTTTGGGAGGCCAAGGCAGTCGGATCACTTGAGGTCACGAGGTCGAGACCAGTCTGGCCAGTATGGCCAAACCTCGTCTCTACTAAAAATGCAAAAATTAGTCAGGCGTGGTGGTGCAAACCTGTAATCCCAGCTAGTCGGGAGGCGGAGGCAGGATAATCACTTGAAGCTGGTAGGCAGAGGTTGCAGTGAGCTGAGACTGCACCACTGCACTCCAGCCTGGGTGACAGAGTGAGACTCTGTCTCAATTAAAAAAAAAAAAAAAAATAAGGAACATCTGCAAGGGTGTTATTAGAATTATACGAATTCCTTTTATACCTGCATCTCTAATAATTTACATATGACGAATTGAGCATCTTTATTATACAATATCTTGTTTCATCTATGTTGTCATTCTTAAAACATATTTGACATCTTCCTTGTTTCTATACTTAGTCAACCTTTTTTATTCTACATTTTGTTCATTTTTATATTGTGTGTTTTTCCTTGATCATTGTTGCCAAAAGTTTGCTGCTTTTTTTTTTTCAAAAAAATAGTTGTTCTGTTTGTTTTAAAAGTTTCTTCACCACTGATTTTATCCTCTATTTTACTAAATTTCCCATGTTATTTTGTTATTCCCTTAATTTGTTTTGTTCTTTCTCTGAATTGTTGAGTTAAATGCTAAGTTGATTTGCTTAATTGGTTTGCTTATAACTTTTATTGTTTCCTAATAAATCCATTTAAAGCTATGCTATTTCTTCTAAGAATTGCCTTTATTGTTTCCTACAGAATTATCATTGGAATGTTTTTATTGACTATTATTTTGAAGTGTTATATGATCTATATTAGAATTTCCTTTAGAAATCAAAGTTTATTTAGTTATATGTTATTTAATTTTAAACATGTGAGAATATGTTTAGCTCTCCTTTATTTCTTAACATCTAATATGATTGTATCATGCTAAAAATACTCTGGTACCATTCATCTTTTAGAATTAATTGAGACTATTTTTGTTGTATAATGAAAGTCCTATTTTTAAAATTTCTGCATGTTTTCAAAAATAATTTGTATTCTCATTAGTGATGTTGAGTATTTTTTCATATGTTTGTTGGCCATTTGTGTATTTTCTTTTGAGAATTGTCTATTCATGTTCTTAGCTCACTTTTTGATGGGATTGTTTGTTTTTGTCTTGCTAATTTGTTTGAGTTTACTGTAGATTCTGGATGTTAGTCCTTTCCCAGATGTACAGATTGTGAAGATTTTCTCCCACTCTGTGGGTTGTCTCTTTACTCTGCTGACTGTTCCTTTTGCCGTGCAAAAGCTCTTTAGTTTAATGAAGTTCCAGCTATTTATCTTTGTTTTTATTACATTTCCTTTTGGGTTCTTGGTCATTAAATCCTTGCCTAAGACAATGCCTAGAAAGGTTTTTCTGTGGTTATCTTCTAGAATTTTTATTATTTCATGTATTAGTTTTAAGCCCTTGACCCATCTTGAGTTGATTTTTGTATAAGGTGAGAGATGAAGATCCAATTTTATTCTCCCACATGTGGCTTGCCAATTATCCCAGCCCCATTTGTTGCACAGGGTGTCCTTTCCCCCACTTTATGTTGTTGGTTTTTTTTGTTTGTTTGTTTGTTTGTTTGTTTTTGCTTTGTCAAAGATCATTTGGCTGTAAGTATGTGGCTTTATTTCTGGATTCTCTATTCTGTTCCATTGGTCTATATGCCTATTTGTATACTAGTGCCATGCTGCTTTGGTGACTATGGCCCTACAGTATAGTTTGAAATTAGGTAATGTGATGCCTCCAGATTTGTTCTTTTTGCTTAGTCTTGTTTTGGCTATGCGGGCTTTTTTATAGTTCCATATGAATTTTAGGATTGTGTTTTCTAGTTCTGTGAAGAACGATGGTGGGAATTGTTTGATGATGAATTGCATTGAATTTGTAGATTGCTTTTGGCAGTATGGTCATTTTCACAATATTGATTCTACCCATCCATGAGCATGGGATGTGTTTCCATTTGTTTGTATCATCTATGATTTCTTTCAGCAGTTTTTAGAGTTTCCTTGTATAGTCTTTCACCTCCTTGGTTAGGTATATTTCTAAGTTGTTGGGTTATTTATTTATTTATTTATTTTTTGCACCTTTTGTAGAGGGGTTGAATTCTTGATTTGATTCTCAGCTTGGTTGCTGTTGGTGTATAGGTGAGTTACTCCATTGTGTACATTAATTTTGTATCCTGAAACTTTGCTGAATTCATTTATCAATTCTCAGAGATTTTTGAAGGAATCTTTAGGGTTTTCTAGGTATACAATCATATCATCAGCAAATAGCAACAGTTTGACTTACGCAAGTCAATATATGCGATACACCACATAAACAGAATTAAAATAAAAAATCACATGATCATCTCAATAGATGCAGAAAAAGCATCCCACAAAATCCAGCATCACTTTATGCTTAAAACTCTCAGCAAAGTCGGCATACAAGGGACATATCTCAACGTAATAAAAGCCATCTATGACAAACCCACAATCAACATAATACTGAATGGGGAAAAGTTGACAGCATTCCCTCTGAGAACTGGAACAAGACAAGGATGTCCACTCTCACCACTTCTCTTCAACATAGTACTGTAAGTCCTAGCCAGAGCAATCAGACAAGAGAAAGAAATAAAGGGTATCCAAACAGGTAAAGAGGAAGTTAAACTGTCACTATTTCTGCTGTTTTAAAAAGTATATTTATATAACTTCTATTTATATCATTCATTTTCCTGCAGTTGATATATTTTGTTCATAGTATCCTATTTCTTTTACATTTGTTTTACTCTTCCAGTATCTAATCTTTTTGACCTCTGACTCCATTTTTCCCTGGAAGTAATGTTTCAGGGATGATCAAGGTGTCTGTATTCTCCAGCTGTCCCTTAAAAATAACTGAGAAAAAATTTTCAAGCCTCCTACCACTGTGACCACTTCATTGGCTGTCATTCCACCAGGTAATACAAGTCAGGAATTTATACTTCTGGAAATAGGCAATTTCAGGAAGGGGCAGTTTCCTCAGTTTGTAATCTACCAGCCACTGGGGAGGTGATGAGTGTTGAAGAGGGAGGAAGTAGAGAAGTGAACCCTGGAAACCAGCTGATCTGCCCACACTAATTTTATTAAATCCTCAGTAGCTTTATTTTTGTTGCATAATATAACCTTACTGGCACTGACAGGCCATTCCACTTTCCCCTCAGCAATAGGGGGAGAGGTAATGGAAGATTTTAAAGCCTTCTCTCCCTCCTTTACTCCCTCTAAAATCTCCAGCACTGGTTGGCCCCAGGCTGTAGCTCCCAACAGAATCATACAAAGGCCCATGGCAGTTTACCCCAGCTTTCAGGTTCCCCAAATATTTCTCATACCTTTTCAGTAAGTTTTTTGATCCATAATTCTCTCTTGCCTTTGCAATTTCTAGAGTGTTGATCAGGACAGGAAAAATCGTATAGTTTTTTACTTTACCATCTTAAGAAACAAGGAAGCTGAACTTTGTTCTGAAAACTATGAGTTCTAAAAGATTTTAAACAGCAGAATGATGGGCTCAGGTTTCTTGTAGGTGTTAGAGACAGGAAGGAGTATGGAAACATAAAACAAGGAAAGCAAATAGGCTATGCCTATTTGGTGAGAAGTAAACATGCTAGAAATAAAAAGAATTGAGACCAGGCACAGTGGCTTACACTGTAATCCCAACACTCTGGGAGGCCAAAGCAGGAGAATTGCTTGATCCCAGGGGTTGGAGTACAGGGTGGTTAACACAGCAAAACCCTGTCTTTACTAAAAAAGAAAACAACAACAACAAAAAGCCAGGCATGGTGTCACACAGGTGTAGTCCCAGTTACTCAGGAGACAGAAGTGGGAGGATCACTTAGCTCAGGAGGTAGAGGCTACATACAGTGAGATGTGATTGCACGACCGCAGTCCAGACCGCATGACAGAGCCAGACCCTGTCTTAAAAAAAAGAAGTGGCAGAATTTTAACAATGTTATCAGAGAGAATAACGATAACTCTTTTAGATTGAAGAAGAGGCTAGAGGCTAGAATTATCTAACATTTATGTCTCAGTAAAGAGGATAGAAAAGGTTTGGTAAAATTTCCCCAAATTAAAAAAGGAAGAGGAGATAAAATTGTCCAGAAGATGGGAAACAAAATAAGTAATGAGTTTGGGGTTTTTTGGATTATTTTTTACCAGTAGTGTTTATATATTTGTCAGAAATCTAAGTATCATGTTTGTTAGTATTAGACTCTATGAATGCAGTAAGCAAGTGTAGGAAAGAGATTAGCAGATTGTTGAATCCAAGGTCTTTTAGAATGTCTCAGGAGTGCAGAATCTTATATAAAGTGGATACATTAGAGGGATAGAGGAGGGACTCCCAAACTTTCTTGGACATCAGAATCCCTGGCATGTAGAAACAAACAAACAAACAAACAAAACAAAACAAACAAACAACAAAACAAAACAAACAAAAAACAGAAAAAGGAAGGAAGGAACTAACAAATGAACAAATGAAAAAGGAAGAAAGAAAACTTACAGGATTTATCACTCAAGATTCTGATTCAGTGGTGCATCTGATTATCTGGGCACCTGACTCAAAGGTGACAGTGCTGTGCAATTAGGTTTTCAGACTCTTGGGGTAGAGAACTTAAAAAAGTATATGCTGATTTTAGGATTTATTCTTACCTGATGTGCAGAGCTGAGCACTCAGAATATAATATTCCTTTGGCAGATTCTATGCAATGAAAGAAAAGAAGAGGTTGAGAAAAATGGCATTTCCACAAGCTGAAATACAGTGTTTATGGAATTGAGTGCCTCCTGTCTGATATTTAGTATTTTGTTAGTTTGTTTGTTTCATTTACTTGTGTTGTTTGGTAATTGTTATTTGGGGACAGTAATTATAGGTATTAATGTTGTTTGTCTGAGTCAGAGAAAAGATAATTAGGGGGTCGAGTGGAGTGGAAGGGTTTCCCTGTTTTCAGATGGTCTTGTTTACATGAAGTGAAGCCTTGGTAAATATTTAAAAATACAGCTTAAGTATCCTCTAAATTTCAACACTTTGTGTATTCTGCTATTGTGTTTTTCTCTAATCTTAGTTTTTGAAATTGCGAGACGTTTGTCTTTTTCTAATTTGATTTATTATTTTAGATGAAAATTAGTAGAAGCTACCATTGGGCTGGTCAACATGTGTACCATATGAGTCCCTCATCATTATACTAACTTTAAAAATCTTTAGCTATTTCATGTCTCCTTACCCAGTTTCATTTTAACAAATCATTCTAGTTCCCTTGGCTTTTAAAATATGACTAAACAGAGTAAGCAGAATTTCTAATTTCCTCTGGAATGCAAGTTATGCATCCTGCTTGTTTACATTTATTTCAATATGAGCCAAGTACTTCGTTATCTTCTGTTTGTCAATAACTAATTCAACAAGGTCTTCTTCACATCCAAGTTATCCACTGTTCTTGCATTTTTCATGTTAATGACAGATTTTTTAAGTGAGTTGAGGATTTAAGCCATTTTTTGAGTCATTAATTTTACACATCTAGTGATTTATTAGCTACTCTGTATTCCTTGGTAATAACACTGATTCTAAGACTTAGAAATAAAAACCTATCTTGCTGGCTTGGGGGCTGTAAACTTAACTAATATATTTAAGTTTGATTCCATTTTATGTAAGAGTATTATAAATTCATGTTTTTAATGTTACTCAAGCTTTGGGAAACTTGTGGTTTTTTTTAAAAAATGCACATTTTTAATGTAAGTCAACATTTCAGTTAAGAACAGTTGAAGTATGTTTTATTTTAAATCACACAAATATCTTTAAGTTCATATATTGAAACGTATTTTATCTGCTTTCTAAATTCTTGATTTAAATATTCTTTCCAATGTAATATACTAGTGTATAGGGGTTTTCAACTTTTAAAATATAGTAGTAGCTCACATTGATTAAGTCACCATGTTAAACATTTTATATGCATAGTGATATTTCATTTTCACAACAACCCAGTGATGTTATTATCCCTTTTCCTCATGCAGAAACCAAAAAAAGATTGTATAACACCTAACAAGATATGAAGAATCCTTTGTTTAAATAAAAGACAACCAAGAAATAAAATATATAAAACAGATTTTTTAAAACTGCATTTTATAAACACAGAATATGTACTGGAAGGATATTCACTGAACCCTATGGTTCAAAAACCTCTTGCATTATATCATTCCTCAAAAATAAGAAATGAAAGATTCTCTGATATTGTGATTAACTATATTTAGTAATATTTTTCTAAGATAAAACTTTGCCACATACTTACTGAATTTAAAAGTTAAAAGACTTGCTATAATTTCCAGTGTCCTAATTAACCTTTATAAATATTTCTGATGATATGTGTAGGAGAATATCTGAAACAGAAAAAAGTGGCAAGCCAATACTATCAGGGAAAAATGCTGTTTACAAAATTGCATATGCCAAGTATCTTTAAATCATTTCTACAAAATTGTCACTAATTAAGTTTTGAAGAGTAAAGTCATTTGTCAGTTTTAAGGAATTTAATGGGAAGACTGGAACAGGCAGGAAGAAAAACATTCCCAGAAAATTCCGAAACACATAAAACCTTTCTTTCCACCCCCTGATGATTAGATAATTTTAGTCTATGAAACAAAACAGACATAAACTGGGGGGAGAAAAAAGAATAAAAATTTATTATGTGCAAGTACAAGGGAGTCCCACAAAATAACAAAACTCAAAGAAGGGCCAAAACATTAAAGCTTACATATTGTCTTCCTAGGGGAGAGGGAAGTGGAGAATGTAGGCAATTTTAGAGGAAGAGTAAATGATTTTTAAAGGAGATGAGTGGGGCCAAAAAAAAACCTTGGTTCTTAAGAGAGTTTACTTTAGAGAACTGTCAGAATTCTTTTATGCCATACTTCAGAGGAGAAGAGCAGAAGTTCAGAGAGATCTTCCTGCTTCTGCTGTTTTCTTAAATGCTAAGTTTTCGTATTTTGGGGTAGATGTCCTGAACCCCATTTAATTTTTTATTTTATTTTGTTGTGATCAGGTAATTTTTACAGATTTTAATCTTTGTAAACTTTTGCATATTATTTTATGGTTGAGAATATGATCTATCTTAGTGAACTTTCTGTGTGTGTGTGTGTGTGTGTGTGTGTGTGTGTGTGTTGGAGGGGGTTGCATGGTAAAATTTATCTCTAAGTGCAGTAATTTTTTTTTTTTTTGAGACGAATTGTTGCTGTGTCACTCAGGCTGGAGTGCAGTGGCCTGATGTGAGCTCACTGCAACCTCCCACTACCGGGTTCAAGAGATTCTCCTGCCTCAGCCTCCCAAGTAACTGGGATTACAGGTGCCCACCACCACGCCTGGATAATTTTTGTATTTTTAGTAGAGACGGAGTTTCACCATGTTGATCAGCTGGTCTCGAACCCCTGACCTTCAGTGATCCATCCGCCTCAGCCTCCCAAAGTGCTGGGATTGCAGGCGTGAGCCACTGCGCCCGGCTAGACAAATTTTTTTGAAAGTCATCACATTAATTCGAGTCTCAAAATTTGACGCAAAATATATTGTTCAGAAAATTTGTTAAAATGCAGATTTCCTAACTCCCAGAGGAGAGGTAGGACTGAATGCATCTAGGCATCTTCACTTTTTACATGCACATAAAGCTAGACAGGTATTCTGGGAACAGATTCTGTACTTTATTGAGATGCTGCATGTGCCCTTCAGAGATTAAATAAGAATGTCTGTGAAAAATCTTCCTCACACAACTAAGCAAATAAAACAAAATTGTATACTAGGAATAAAAGATTATCTTTTTATTAATTTATTTATTAAATGCATCAGCAATTATTTGGATTACGTCAATGAACAAAACAGATTAAGATCTATGCCCTCAGAAGACTGACATCTAATGGTCATGGTGGACAATAAACTGCAAACACAAAAATAAATACATTATATAATACGTTAGGAGATGAAAAGTCCTCTGTAACAAAATAAAAATAGAACAGAAGAAATATATGATATGCAAGAGGTAAAGGGACAGAAAAGTTAAAGGCTTTAAGAGATTGTTGAGATAGATTTAATTAAAAAGGTGTTATGAGAGAAAAGATTTGTGAAGAGGTGAGGGGTTATCCATATAGATTTTCAAGGGTGAACACTCCAGGCAAAGGGAACCAAGTGCTAAGACTCTTTGATGAAATCCAGTCTCAGTCTTGTGTATCATAGGAATAAGCAAAGAGGATCTGGGGAGAATAAAGGGGAGAGAATAAAGAGAATAAAGGGGAGAGGAGTAGAAAATGAGGTCAAGGATGTAACCTGAGGACAATTAAAGATATTTTGCTTTGAGTGAATGGTTAAACATTGCAGGGTTTTGAGAAAACCAGTGACAGAATCTAAATTAGCTTTTTAAAAATCTATCTTATTACTCTGTTTAATATACATCATAGGCAGCATACAGGCAGGGTAAGTAGAGTTTTAATTTAGAAGGCCATTGCAGTATTATAGATGAGAAATACATAACAGTGGCTTGGACTAGTTTGTAAATAAAGGTTTACAAACTCTGCATTGTACTTAGCAGAGATGTAACCTTGGAAGGGATGAGAAGTGCTCAGAATGTGATTTCCTTACAATTTGAATATGAATTGCTTTACATCAGTTGTTGTTTATAAACAGACTACAACTCTTTAATATATCTAAGACTGGTATTATTTTCTCAGATGATTAATAATGTAGTTGAAGCATGAAGTTTAAATGATTTGACTATGGGCTATTGGCAGAGATAAATCTTGAACCTATCTGACAGTCTTTCAAAGTTTTTAGGTCTACATTCATCTATCAGGTGTCCATGTATATTTTAGATTTTAAAGCATTCAAAGTGTTCTGAAAGCTCAAAACAAAATTAAATTTGATGTTATATTTAACTCTAAATCCTATACACTTGTGGGAAAGAGAGGAAACAATTAAAAATCTGATTATGGATTTATTTTGGTGATGTATTACAAGTTTGTACAACTCAAAATACCTGTACATTTTTATTCTTTAGAATCAACAAGTAATCTGTAAAAGACAACTCACTCACGGAGGTCCTGGAGATTCAACATATTCTGAATAGTAATAGCGAAAATTGCAAAGCAGATTTCTCAGTCCTGATTTAGCAATGTAGGCAACTGTAAAAATCACCTAATCTCTTTTTTTAGACAAGAAGTTTGGCAGGAGCTTTCCTTACTGACAACAAATTTGTCTCCTGGCAGTACTGATTTGTAGCAGCTGCTGCAAATCAGTAATAATTTGGGATCCTTCCATTTCACAGGTGTGGAAAGCCTAGAATTTAAGAGGTTTACAAGCTCTGCACTGCACTTATCAGTAATGAACAACTTGTGTAACTTTTTTTATTTGTAAGATTTATTGTTATTTCAGAATCTCGAAATTTCTTATTTTTCAGGGTCAAAATGATTGGTCACATAAAACTGCCTGATGATTCTAGCAACTCCTTTCTTTTTACTCAACATAGAGGAAAAGTGAGAAATGAGACAGGGTTTTGTTTATTAAGCTTTTGTACATCTTTAAGAACACTTGGGAAGTTAAGGAAGCCTGTTCCTCTTCACAGCTAATATCCTGCATGTGTCACTTTTGTTGTGTTTCTATATTCCTTGCCACTAGATCTCTGTAAAGGCCAGAGGCAATGAACTTATTTTCTTTTTCTTTTTCACACTAGTATTTTTACATACATGACAATATATAAGCCAAAACAAACAGTCAGGTGTGATGTATTATTGCTGCAGCTGATAGACTTACTATTAGATCTTACTCATTTGAACTAAGCCTATCAACCTATCACTAAAGTCTTTTCATAATTACACATAACATTATCCTTTTAATCAGTAGGCAAATTATCAAGGTCATGGCATTTATCTCCACAAATTTATGTCCTAGGCAATTATATATCTCTGTGGCCCAGTGAAATTCTCACTATAGGCCATTATAACCCTTCTCAGCAAAGCAATCTGGAAGTTCACCTATTTAAGAACAATTTGGTTAATCTTTTCTCCTGAAAAGCTCAGAGTAGGCTGGGTGTGGCGGCTCATGCCTGTAATCCCAGCACTTTGGGAGGCCAAGGCGGGTGAATCACTAGGTCAGGAGATCGAGACTATCCTGGCTAACACGGTGAAACCCCGTCTCTACTAAAAATAGCATTAGGAGATATACCTAATGTAAATGACGATTTAATGGGTGCAGCACACCAACATGGCACATGTATACATATGTAACAAACCTGCACGTTGTGCAAATGTACCCTAAAACTTTAAGTATAATAATAAAAAAAAAAAAGAAAAGAAAAGTGCTCACCGAGGAACAAACCTGTCCTAGCTCCTGAGTGACAGCAAGATACATACCTTGTGAAGGTTTAGGGGCGGGTGTTCCTGGTGGAGGGAAGAGCAAGTGCAAGGTTTGGAGGCAGGAAGGAGCTTACTCTGTGTAAGACGCCAAAGGAATGGCAGCATTGGAGTTGGGAGAGACGGGCTTGCTGGAACCACTGAGATCAATTATAATATAAAATATTCGAAAGGGTATGCAGTTTTCTTACTTTTAAGCACTAATACTAATTGGAAGTAGGCTAATACATAACTGTACTGTAGAAATCCTTAGGGAACCTATTTTGATGCATAGAGAATGATAACTATTTGTAATTATCATAACAGAATTGTCTGTAAATAAATGCTTCTAAAAATGAAAAAAAAAAATTAGCTGGGTGTGGTGGCGGGCGCCTGTAGTCCCAGCTACTTGGGAGGCTGAGGCAGGAGAATGGCGTGAACCCCGGAGGCGGAGGTTGCAGTGAGCTGAGATCGCGCTACTGCACTCCAGCCTGGGCGACAGAACGAGACTCTGTCTTGGGAAAAAAAAAAAAAAGGCTCAGAGTAATAACATTTTTCAGTATAGCATAGACAACAACAAAAAAGTGATTAAGTTATTTGATCTGCCTCTTTATTATGCTTATTTCTTTTCATCAACCAGCACTAGATACTAATTTGTTACAAGGTAATACACTAGGTTGCTACATCAATTAAAGGACAATTATTCTTGCGCTTATTTTATCCAGTTCTTGAATTGAAAAAGTGATGATGTAAAAATCTAACATTTATCAAGTGTTCACTGTAGTTTAGGTACTTAATCGGCATTATTTTATTAAATGAATAACTACCTTGTGTGTTCCAAAGCCAGGGTTTGAATTCAGGCAATTTGAGTACAAAGATTTTTGTGACTATACATTTTATTTTTCTGTATTAAGGCTTATTGCTTTGAATATATATGCACATTGCATTTTGTGGCATATTATGCCATGATTACAAAAACATATAGAGGAGGGAGGGCATTATACTAATAACAGCACTGTGATAAAATCTTTAAATATAATTGATAGATAGCATAACATGTGTACATATGTGTATATGTGTGGATGTATACACATATATAATATCTATCCTTTATCTAAAAATAATAATAAACCCAATCAAACTAGTAATTTTCATACTAATTTGTGGAGAACAGTGTTAGAAAAATAAAATAAAACAAATCAAAGCAAAATGGGTTCTCTGAGGAGGATCTGATAATAATGTTTGTATTTACTATACCTAGATGGCTCAAACTTTTGCCTGGAATAATAATGCAGCCAGTGATAGCTACTCAAATAAAATGAAATTAGCTACTTGGCCACATATAGATACCAGCTGATATTTGTAAACATTTGTTTTATATTGCTGCGGTACTGCCATGAATTTTTCTCCCATATGGTGTTTATTTCATGTCCCCTTATGGTTATTGACTCTGCCATCAGTAATTCTCTCACGTTGTGATTCCACAGTGTTCCTTTGTTGTGACTGGCAAAGCCACATAATAGCTATAATGTCTGGAAGGTCCATTCTAGCAGATTTCATAGTCAAGCATGATATTTACTGAAAAGTTTCTTTTCAGTTTTAATGTAATGACTAATATTAAACATATTGCCATAAAATGTATTTTAAGTTATTTTTACGTACACATCTAACAGCAAGATATGAAAATTATTTATGAGAAATGCCTACTTTTAAGTTGTTTTCTATTTTAAATTATAAAATGAGACAAACCCACCTAATCTTTTAATACCTGAGGCCTGCTTTGAAAGTTATCTTTACATTTTAGCATTCTCCTTAATTAACTTTAATTATTTAGTAATGTTGGCTTCCTTATTTAAAAACATTTTATTCAAAGTCTGTATTAGAACCATTAAAAATATATTTTTAAGAAAATAAATCCCAGTTCAAATCAGAAGAGTATAGATTTAATACTAAGTCCCAAACTAAATGGATTGGGGGACCTTAGGCAAGTCCACTAACCTCTTAGTTTTAGTTCCTTCAAGTTTGGAACCGTGACAAATGTCAAATGAGATCAAATGTACTGGAAAGAAGGTTGCACAACATGTCATCAAACTTTAAAACATTAGCAGAGGTAAGACAATATTACTATCATCAATTCCATACTGCATATATTAGTTTGGTGCAAAAGTAATTGCGGTTTTTACCATCACTTATAATGGAAAAAGCCACACTTACTTTTGCACCAACCTAATACCTCATTACGGTGATTTTATTTACTTAATCTGCTTATTGAAAGCACTTTCCCTTCATATATATACTAATGAGACATAAGTCTTTAAAGTTTACTTTAAAAACCTATTAATCTGAAATGGATCTGTAGAATTATTAGTATTATAATATTTTCTTTAAACCAGAATTAATGTTTGAGCACAGTTAAGAGATATACAATTCTGGGCAAATCGCTTAAGCTTCATAACTTCATTTTCCTTACCTGTGAAGTGACAAGTATTATATCAACTGAAAAGTACTGCCATCCAAATTAAATGAAATAATGCCTGTAGAATTTATTACATTGTCTGGTATGTGGTAAATAAGTTTTGTGACTAAGTTACGATTAGAGTAAATATAGCCCTGATTGTTTCTATGTCTCAAATATTTATGCATCACAAAGACTCTGAGAGATCCTTGTGTTAACATATCCCCAAAACTTATCATGCTTAAGTATCAGTGAGCTTCTTTGACCAGTGGGTTTTAAGCTGGCATCAAATTTAGATACGGTTTGCTATTATTTCTTCAAACTTTTTCTGTTCCCCTTTCCCCATTGATGACTCTAATCACATGTATAGTAAGCCCCATGAAGTTGGTCTACAGATCTTTTCAATTTTTTCATTCTCCATTTTTTCTCTCTCTGTTTTATTTTGGATAGTTCTATTGCTATGACTTTAGGTTCACTGTTTTTTTTTTTCTTTTCCCATATCTAATTTTCACTCAGTCTCATCTTGTATGTTTTTCTCAAATGTTCCAGTTTTCATCTTTAGAATATAACTGAGTCCTTTTTATACTTTTTTGCCTCTTTATTTTGAACATCTGGAATACAATTAAAAATGTTTAGTATCCTTGTCTATTCATTCTAATATTATTAGAGCTGGGTTGGTTTTGATTGATTGATTAATTATTCTCCTCATTATGTTTTCATGGATGTACTTTGTATGTCTAATAATATTTGATGGGATGCCAGACATTATGATTTTATCTTATTGGGTGCTAGATATATTTATATTCATAATCTTTATTGTGGGGTACAGTTATTCAGAAAAACTATAATTTATTCAGGTCTTGCTTTTACATTTTGTTAGGGAGATCCAGAGGCAGAGCTCAAGTTTAGAGCCAATCATTGTGCACTTAGAATTAAGAAACTCCTGACTATTCTACCAATTTTCCATAAATTATGAGTTTCTTTAATCTGACTGTTAGGGACAGGCACTATCCTGAATCTGTGTGATAACTGGATACTTTTCTCCAATCCTTTCAAATGATAATCCTTCTCCCCACCACTGCTCACCTCCCAACACACACACACACACACACACACACACACACACTCACACACACACACTTTCAGATAGTTTACTCATCAGCATGCTCTCCTCCGTAATCTGTTCGAAAATCTCTAGCCACCTTGGTATCCTTGAATTCTCACTTTTATCTACTCAACACAAGGATTCCAATACATACTCTACTGGATACTACTCCCTGCGTGGCCTGGGGAATCTTATGTAACTATACGATGAGGCAATCATAGGGCTTCCTTATTTATTCCCCATGTTTTAGAGATCACTGGACTTTATTGCTCATGTCCACTAAATAAAGCACTTTTTTTTTTCATTTTTAAAAAATATTTTGTCTGTTTGCTGTTCGTTTTTTCAGAAGGGAAACTACATTTCATGTTAAACTGTCAAGTGAGGACTGAAACGTGTCTAAGATTCCATCCTGCTTGAAAAGTAACAAGTTCACCTATGATAGTTTCATAGATACTAGCAGAAAGATATGAAATGTCTAGGTCAGTGATAAAAAAAAAACATTTATTACAGTAAGAGCAGCAGCAAAAATAATATTGTAGCAGCTCTTCCTGAACCCCAGTTACATATTACAAGTAATATGGGTAAGGGTCAGGCATTGCCTAAGCACGCAGTGGATATTTGCTGTAAGAGAGGAATTCCAAGTTTAAGAGGGACTTTAAAAAGGGACAGCTGGAAAGCCTGCCCGTCCTTCCCACTTGAGAGAGACATTGCCTTTATTAACTTGAAATGTAAGCAACTCTCTCTGGAGACAGAAGTGACGAGTCTCTATTTTTATTGTCTTGATGGATAATGTCTTCATTTTTACAATCTGGAAATTTAAATAAATTTGCCTTAGGGGGGAGTCCAGGTCTCTATCTTTTCAAAATTCCGTGCTTATACAAACAATCCTGAAAAGATAGTCCTGCAGCACATGGCCTATGACTTCCTAGATGTATAAACATATGAGAGAAACAGATTTATGGATAATTGTCTCTCAACATCTAATTCCTATTTGTCAAGTTTATTTGGAAATGAAAAATTCTTTATAGATTCTTAGGAAGGCACAAGGGGAGATTTTAGGGAGGCTTAGAATTGAGTTTTTAAAGTTGAAATCTACATGCCTTCAAGGTATTAAGGAAGAGAGACATTTAGACAGAACACAACATATCTGCCAAAGCATCACTTTTATCTGTTCAATGTGTGTCTACTCAAGCCCCAATATGAGAATCCCAAATCAATAATGCATGACTATTTAATGGAGCTGTAAAAGTTAAGGGCCTCATTCAGTCAAGATTAACACAAAGATTAAAAACATGTTAATCTTTAATTTGTGCTCATTTTAAAAGCTATCATAGCTGATTCTGATGCACCATTTGAAGTTCATCAGAATCAACTATGATAGCTTTTTAAAATTATAAACACAGCCTTACCCTAGACCAACTGAATAAAAAAAAAATGGACACAGTGTTTTTATAATGAAAACAAAATGGAAGAGAAACAGTCCAGAGGTGGTACTGGTGAATTTAAAATGGAAAGAAAACCTGAAGTTCTGAGAGTCGTATTTCATGACCCTTAAAAGGTAGCAAACAGTACTTAATATCAACATTATAAGTGGATCTCTGAGATAGTTTTTTTTTTTTCCGTAAAGGTAGAAAAGCCACTGGGCAATCACAACATCAATATGTAAACCAAATATAAAATCGTACACCCTCCCCAGCTGACTGAATGGAACCCCCAACCCCCAGGCCAAGGGAAAATCAGAAAAACTCAATTCCCTGAGCATGATAGAAGTAGAGGTCAGACATGCCTTGTTATAACTCCTCAATTTGGAGTTTAGGCACAGCTGACCAGCATTAACATTAAAATAGAGACCATAAGACTGACAAAACAGACTATTTGTGGCAATAAGATACCACGTTTCAGTTGGACTCTGGTATAATATCACCTGCTCTCTGACAGTTGCCAACCTATGAGACTTCATCTACATAACAAGGCCCTTGACTTCCACAACCTCCTTATCTTATCCCAAACATTTATTTCTACTAACTTCTTAAGTCTTTAGACAAAGCTTAAGGCTTACTGTCAATTGCCAGTCTGAAAATGTCTGAATGCACGTATTAACTGTAAACCTCTCCCTTCAAGTAATCCTGCTTCGTTAGGCTGAAAAAATGGACACCTTCCATAAACTCATAATTTATGGGAAATTGGTAGAATAGTCAGGAGTTTCTTAATTCTAAGAAGGCAATAATTGTCTCTAAACTTGAGCTCTGCCTCTGGACTAAGTCTTTGCTTTTGTAACTCCTGTTTCCCTAAAATGTATAAAACTAAACTGTTACCTAATCATCTTGGGCACACTTTATCAGGAACTCTTCAGACTAGTCACTCATTGGCTCAGAATAAACCTTTTAAAATATTTTATAGAGTTTGGTTTTATTTTTTGTCAACAAATATCAGCATGTACAGTAGTCAGACTCCTCGTCAACTCTGCAGAGATTATAAGATTCTAATCTGGCAATGAAAGATGCAGAAATCATTGTGGCCTGTGGTAATGAGAATGTGTCTAACTCTCATGCTAGCACAAGCAGGAAACATTTTAGATTCAGCCTCCATTTGGTCATAAGTGCAAAACTATTTCTGGTAATTAACCCTTTTTCCGTTTGCCCTGAGAATACTCACAAGTGGCACTTGCAGCTGCAGCATTTACCCCGAGACAACTTTGCCACACAACATCTCACTTTTATTATTTTCACGTTCCTCTAGTATATCAACTTTGGGAACAAAAGATGTCATTCTATTTATAGCATTCTGTTTCTCGTAGTGTTATTTCAATTTACAAAATACAGTAATACTTGATCACTGAAAATGTCAAATCCTAGAAAACGTAGCATTTCTATGCGTGATGTTAACATCATTCTCGAACAGTTGTTGGCTGAAGTTTCATTTGATGAATTTGATTTTTCTGAAATAGATGATTCTGGTGATTCTGATGATTCTGATGTTAGTTTTGTTTACAAATAACTCCAAGGATGGTTTTTATATTTCATTTTCACATTGAAAGTCAGTCAGATTTGCTTCAACCTCAGAGTGTGCTAATGTAAAATTAAGTGAGCACTGAAAGCAAGCTGCACTTTTTTTTTTCTAAATGGAAAAGGGGTTAAGAAGTATTTATCCTTTGTAATTAAAAAAAAAACACTGTTATGAACCAGCTCTTTATAACCCTACACAATTCTGACAAAGCAGCTTCAGATTTAATAGCAATTAATTGAGACTCCTAGGGCATATCTTCCGATCACTGACATGAATACACTGTCTGAAGACTGACAGAATGAAAGTACAAAAGATTTAGGGGTGCCTTCAAAGTATATAAAAAAAGGAACATTTTTGGAAAAATGCAAGGAGTAATAGAATAAGATTTGGCTTTATGACAGTACAGAAGTGAATCTTTGAAGAAAGACTTGAGGCACCCAGGTAGAACAACCCTTAGAATAAAGATAATTACATTTTTTTAAAGCTTGGGGTAGGTTAACTGAAACAGAAGAATTAGATATATTAGAAACCCAAGATAATAATACTTTATCTCAATGTTTGGGATATCAATTTTGGTAAGGGCTCAAAGGCCAAAGATAAATAGAAAAGTGTCATCATTTCATTTATGTATGTATGTATGTATGAGTTTTTTCCTCAAGAATATATAGCTTTGGGGTTTTGCTTTTGTTTTTTTTTTTTTTTGAGACAGAGTTTCACTTTTGTTGCCCAGGCTGTGGTGCAATGGCACGGTCTCGACTCATTGCAACCTCTGCCTCCAGAGTTCAAGCAATTCTTCTGCCTCATCTCCCAAGTAGATGGAATTACAGGTGCTCACCACCACACCTGGCTAATTTTTGTATTTTTAGTAGAGATGGGGTTTCACCATGTTGGTCAGGCTGGTCTCAAACTCCTGACCTCAGGTGATCCGCTCACCTCGGCCTCTCAAAGTGCTGGGATCACAGGCGTGAGCCACCATGCCTGGCCTACAGGAATACGTAGCTTTTGTATGTTAGAATTCACTAGAATACAGATTCACTGATCCTAAATTTAATATTTTTCCAATGTCCAATACAGCCTTAAATAAAATACCATAAAGAAAAAATTGTATTTATAATATTATATAGAGAAGCTTGCCATTCTAAACTTAAATCTTAACTGTCTAGAAGCTGTGTTTTCCATATTATTGAAAATAAATAATTAATGCATCAGACAACTATTCTTTTATAATCCTGTTACACAGGATTACACTGCTTCATGTTTTATCTTAACAACTTATAGGTAAATATTATTTTATTTCTAGGTAAGATTGTGAGATGAACCAAAGTAAAACAAGGTATTTATTTCAATTTCATTCTACAATTTTAGGTGAAGTTAAAATACTGAATATCACACCTATTACTATCTTAAGTATTGTACACTTAAGATCTTTCAGGGCATCTGCCTTCTGATAAATTGCACAGTTCTTACTTAGGATGATTGTCAGGGCACTATTTCAATGCAATGAATCTTAATGACTCCAACATTGATTAATTGCTTGCCTAATTGTGAAAACTGAATTAAATAAATTAGGAGCAAGAAGAATCAATTTGTCAGCCCTGCAGCCCAATTAAGTTATAAAGTTGACAAATACAGGTTCCAAGCTTAGAAAAAAAAATCTCCAAATGTCTCTTGGTAAGTTCCAACTTTTCTTTAATTAGAGAGCAAGTTAAATTTCCTTCAGAATGTAGGAGTTACTTTTTTAAAAAAAGCAACTTCTTTCCTTCTTTTTAGCATCAAAATCAATCTCTCAAGCAGTTTCTCAGATTTAATCTTTTTCAACTTTTCTTCCATTCTTTTTCGAGTTTATAATGCTTCCATTTTTGCCCTTATTCTAGTCTTTAACATTTCAAATCATCATGCACATTCTGGCTAATTAGCTTACTGCATGCTCCAGTGGCTTTCCATTGCCTTACTCTGTAAGGTCTATAGCAAGTCAGTTTCCCAACAAGAGTTTAAGGTCACCCATGATCAAATACCAGATTTATCTCAATGCTGCTCTATATACAACCAATGCCATTGTTCAACCATCATAATTGATATTCTCCCAAACATCCCATTCACTTCTCTCCACCTTATTCAATCTTCAGGGATGATCAAAATGACAATACAACAGCTGATTTTTAATTGTAGTATAATCCAGATACTGTTCAAGGAATTTTGCATGTAATAATTCACTCAATATTCATAGCAACTTTATGAAAGTAGTACAATTATTATCACTGCTTCATTGTGGGATAATTGACGTATGGAGTGACCAGCATGCTACGTCTGCTAAAAGATGGAGCCAGGATTAGAATCCCACCAGCAGGGCCGCATTATCACTTATGGACCCTGGGCATTTTGTCTTCATGAACCCCTTATTTTATTAATAAAATCATAAAAATAGTTTATACTGCCATAATATAAAGATGAATATATTAATGGTATATATTAAAACATTTTCCTTAATCTAAAATTTCATTTTTTCTTTTAATTTTGTAAGAAAATAAACATTTTTGTAGGTATCTAAAGGCATGATGAGCCCCAGACTCCGCACTTCTGTGCCTCATGTGTAAGTTAGCCCTGTCCACTAGTTTTATGTCAGTCTGGCTGCTTAAACTCTATGTGTCTTCATTTCCCCTGTTCTAGAGATAAAATGTCTTGCTCCCAACTACAAAATTTTATTACATTCTATATTTGTTTTACTTCAGTTATAGTCATCTTATTAGGCTTCATGATATGATAATCTGTATATGTAATGCTTTCTTAATAAATCATAGACTCCATAAAGATATGCATCATCAATATATATTTACTGTTAATGTCAAGATGCCTAGCAGTGCCTCACATATATTAAATTTCTGAAAATTTACTGAAAAAATTAATAATTTTTACCAAAACATTAGTGTACCAAATATTTATTAATCACTTTTAGTAAGTTGAAATTTTTGTAAATATGACTCATCTTCAACTTTTCTTCCATTATTTATTTTTGTAAATATAACTGAAAGGATTCATATATCATTAAATAGAAGTTTACTGACCTGATATGCCCAGAAATCACGTTGTAATTGTTTTTTTGGGTCATACCTTTTCTCATGTTTTATATTTTCGCTGTTTATAAATCTCACTAACTTCATTTTCAGAAATTCTGAAATATCTAATATTTCATACGGATTTATGCCAAAGGAACTTTGTTTAAAGTTTTAAATTGCCTGTTTTTGATATGTGGCATAATGTTTATAAATTCTTCAGAAAAATATAGCAGTGAATTCACATGTAAAGTGTTCCTTCCATATTAAAATAATAGAATTCTTTTGAATGTCTTTAAAAACACACATGTCTCTTTAATTTTAAGCATTTCTGAATCTTCTATGCATTTACTCAAGTTTTATTCCCATTAGATGTCTTTGCTAGAGCTGCTGTTCAGTTGCTCCTCAAAGATACAGCTTTTGATACCCAGCATCAATTATGGCTGGTCCCATCCTCTGTTAGTTTCGATGTCAAACTTACAAAATAATTATGAATAAATGGTTAAAGGTATTTCTTTTCTCGGATGTATTTAGATATTATTAGAAAATAACCTCAAGTCAGAAACCCTTTTCTAATCTTAAGAATGTCTTTAGAAGGTTACTGAAAGTTTCTTGTACTTGGAGAAGGAGGTATTAACGGTAGATTGGTCTACCCAATATTTTTGCACCGTTGCCACCAAAGCTGTCACCTTAATTTTTTTACTATTCCCAGCAAACGTTGTTGCCACTGTTGAAAAGAATACTGTCTAAAATCAAATTCTAGCACAATAATCACAATATTACTTAATTGGCAAATTTTTGCTTCAGTAGAGATGTGCCAATTAAAATTTTACTGTACTTTTTTTTAACATGCATACTCAGCTCATATCTCAACTTCCATAAACCACTCATGAAATACAAGAATTTTCAGACTCAATTAAGTCTTTTTTTTGCTTCATTAAGTATAAATACATTACCCAATTCCTGTTAAGTTTTATGGATATTTTTAACAGGCTTAGACTTTGTTAGGTGGATTCAGAATAGCCTTAACTATGACATGAAATATGAGGTCAGGGCATTTCTAGTAATAGCAACTCTTTGAAATTGTATTTAAATATATAAATTAAAAATCTTCTGTCTTAGTAAACACTTACTTTAAGATTTACGATATATTCAAGTCTTTAGAGTATAGTAGGTATTGCATGTCTCATGAATTGTTCACGCTTATTTTCTGACATTGAGTTTCCCTAGCACAATATTTAATCTATAGAGAAATCTATTTTGCCATTGGAAGATGAGCTCCTATACACTGAGAGAAATGGAGAACTACTCAATAATGCTATTTAGTTATGCATTTAAATATGATAGCAGAACATTTCAACACATGCTCGTTTACACTTGTTCTAATGAGTTGGTTTCTAACTTTGGCTGATCAAATCAATCATGCATAAAACTGCTCTAAATAGTAATTATCCACCCCTACCCCACTCTAAATAATTTAGTCTCTAAGGATTATTAAATAATTTAGTCCTAAAGGACATTTGGGGAGAGGGCTATTATTCTTGATCTGTACTAGAAATAACATAAAATTCTTGATTTTTTTGTTTCATTAATAGATAATTATTTCATAGGAAAAGAGTCATTTGAAAAGTGTGGTAAGTAAAGGAAATAAGAGACTACTAAGACTAAGGAGAAGAAACCAAAACAAAGGATAAGGAGATTTCAAAGAGAAACCGCTCAGATGGGTCATGGGGCTGTACAGAGAAGCAGCTCTACAGTATTTGAACTTACACCCTAAGCTTATTCTGGCTGGAAGCAGTAGGTAAGTGTTTGGGGCAATACGGGAGTTGTAAAAGATATCAGAAATTACATTAGAGTTGAAGAACTTTTTACCAAAGTTACCTACACATACACACAGAAGAGCACATGTGCAGACATACACACACTTATAAAAAAAGCCAAGATCAAGTCAAAGCCTGAGATTTGAGTTGAAGCTTGTATTGTTCTAACATGACCTCATTAAGATCAATTAGATAAGGTTTGTCCTTAAGGTACATCCTTTCCATATTCAGTGCTTATCTTAAAATGCATGATGGTTTTACTTGTTATCTAACTGAATTCAGAATTATATAGGATATTAGATTAACTCTCATGTATTTTGCTCTGGAAAAAAAATAAATAAGGGATAATTACATTTGGATGAAGCACAATTTTTTGCAGAACAATTCTTTGAAAAATAAATATAGCCATACATGACTACTACAACACACAATATGTGATTCATAATGTAATAAGATTGGATAGAAAAAGTCACATTAATGTAATACATAATTTAATTATAATATTTTATTCTAAAGCAAAATTCTTCATAGAGAACTTTCACCTATATTTTGAAAATATAAGCGATTTTGAAATATAGTTTTAGTATTTCATATAGCAGAGAAATAAAAACCTGGGCCAGTACACAGTAAATACGTTCTTTATATAAAGTATGCATCTAACTTAATCAAGTGACACATAATGTACACATTTTATTTATTTACAAGATAAACACTTATCAACTATATTTTCAGGACTGGGAAATGTTCAAGGACCTGGCCATGCAGAAGTTAAACTATGTTTATTTATTTTTTCTTTAGGCTTGCTGCAATGTCTACAATAAAAAAAGCAAGCATACTTTACAGTGATAGTGTCCAGATAAAATTTGCCTCTGGGTGCTGCAGGTTCTCTGAAAGGTCGCATATTTCAGACTAAACTGGGGATGCAAGAAGTTGCTAAAAAGTTTACATCTGATTTATGTTTTAAGTGATATGTAGAAGATAGCTAGCTGAAACTGGAGTCAACAAATACATTCAAGTAATAATAGTGTAAGTATGCTTCCCACTCTCTCAATGGTAGTTTAAATATGCTCTATAAAACTCACTTTTCCCCCTTCTTTACCTGGGTGAAATCTAAGTTAGGGTACAAAAGTTATCCTCTCATTTTCAGATACAAAATATTCTCTCATATCTAGTTCAAAATAATCAAATAATGAGCAGATATCTGATTTTAGAAATATTTAAAAACTAATTAGTCCAATGTAGTGATGGAAACTAACAGTATTTGAAATGAAAGTTTCACTCTTGTCCTTGCTCCCTTAGTCCTTAAGCTGTATGCTGATGAGCAGGAAGTGAGTCTTGGTTGGCTGATTAACTTCTCTTCCTCTACCTAAATCTGCCTTTTTCTGAATTATGGTTTTCGACTGCTTTTGGGGTCAAAATAGGAAAGAGAGAGGTAAAAGAGACAAAAAAGTCTTTCTTGTAAGACAATCTTGTGTTGGTTTATTTTGGCCATAGTAAATATTTAAAACAGAGGTTTCCTCACAGCCTTTAACACTTCCCCATTTTACTACCTTCACCTTGGACATCCAGCATTAAGCTTTCCTTCCTGGTCCCTGATAGACATGCCCTTTTCATCCCTCCTCAGTGTGCTAACTCCCCAAGGTAGGTTTCTACCCACTGTCACAACAAAATTCTGTCCTATAGGTGTTTTTTTTCTATTTCCTGTTTTGTCCTCCCTCCCTCCTTTCCTTCCTTCCTTCCTTTTTTTTTCTTTCCTCTTTCTCTCTCTCTCTCTCTATGTGTGTGTGTCGGGGTTGGGGGCAGGGGGGCGGGGTTGGATGTGTGTGTTGCCTCCAATGATGCTGTCAGTTTTTCATCTTTAACTCTTTAATTTTCCTCAGGAAAGATGTGAGGTCAAGGGTCACAAAAAATGTTTTTGTCTTTCTTTTCTAATCCTGCACTTATTTGCTCTTTGAATACAAAATAATTGTCACTTTTCGCTTTTAGTTTCAGTTAAAATTGAAATGGAACAAATCCAGATTTAATAAGCTGTTACATAAACAATACTTCTCAAACATTTACCATGTGCTTGATAGTGAGATATACATATATTATCCCATTTAATAGTCTTATACTATCAAGACCATTATTATGGTGAACAAAAGAAGACACACAAAAAAGAATACATATTGTATGATTTCATTTATGTGAAGTTTAGTGATTGTCTGGGCATGGGGGTAGTGGGTGCCAGATTGACCAAGAACATTTCTGTGATGAAGGAAATGTTCTCTGTCACATAGGTAGCGGTTAAATAGGTATATATAATTGCCAAAACTAATACAAAATAAAATTTAGTATCTGTGATTTTCTTATGCATAAATCATATCTTTATTTAAAAAATAAAACTGTAGATTCTCTGCTTAATTGGTTCTTAAACCAGATTAAACAGGAGAGAGTAAGCAGATGGAGTTAAGGAAGAGTGACTCACTGAGAGAGGACAACTAAGGAGCCTGCCACATTAAAAAAGATTCTGGATTTCTGAGTGTAGCAACCTTTCACACTCTCTGCATTTTGGAAATCAGTTAATTAACTGAGATACAGAGAGGAAAGTAATATAAAGTAACCTGTGCTACTATTATCTTTGCAATTCTATTGTAGGAAATCCTTTAGAAAGAGAATAATACTTTATTTTTCCTGGAGGCCAGAAAAAGAAAGAGTGGATAGATGGATGGTTTAAAGGTGGTTGTATCCATCCATGGCCAGCAGTTGAGCCATAATTAACAGACCAAGAAACACCAGAAATAGGAATAGAATAAATACAATAGGAAATCTAAGATCTGCTCACTGGCCAACACCATTCTAGTGCACACACACACACACACACACACACCACAAACCTCTGACTTGAATGGTTTGCTAGTTAAGGGGAATCTCTGGAAAGTACAGTATTTTTACCTCTTCCTTAAGTAAGTTTTATTTTTGAACATTGAACATTAAAATTTCACATACTACAATAAACATGACAAATTATTCTTTCCTAGAGGATAGAACCTTGAGCATATATTCCTTCTTTTTAAAGAAATTATGTATTTAGAAAACAAAGACTTTTTAAATAAACAATAGGCTTTTACAATGGAAACCTATCAAATCAAACACAGGTTTAGTATGTCCTGGGCATTTCTAATATTTAAAAAGTGTTTTTTTTTTAAATTGTAGGGAGGATAATTATGAGAAGTCTCAATGCTGAAGTTTTCAAAGCTATCCCTTGTTACTTCTAGAGGATGAGACATTAAGGAACTAAAGAAAAGGAAAGGGATTTTTACGGGGAATGTAAATTTATATTTAAGCATAGTAATAATGGACACAAGACTTTTATTTTCTCTCTCTGCTTGTCTTTTTGCTCTACATGGGAAAACAGAGCACGTGCATCCCTATCTGTAGGAGATGGTTTTGGCAAGTTTCATAACTTCAGGAAAAGAGATGCTGTACCCTCTGATCTAGTAAGAGAAGGAAAATAGACCATCTCAAAGTAACAATTTCTATAGCTGAAACCAGCATATACTAGCCTTGTAAATAAGAATGCACTCATACAGTAGGATGCCCATTTCCTTTAACAGAGAGAAGAGAGTCATTTCCCTTATTAGAAAATACGTTCAGTGTAAGATGTGTTCAAGGCTCTTAATGTATGTTGAGTGGGTCTCAGACTCAGGGCAGATAGACAAAGAAGATTTAGCAATTTCCATGTCCTCAGTGTCTGTATATTTCCCAGAAACTCTTTGTCCTTGCCCCCGATCCTTATCTGAAGTACAGAGCCTGACATCAGAGGAATTTCAGATAATCAGGTGGATAAGAGCAATTGGACTCTGAGGAGGCTCACATAAATGATATTTTTAAAAGTGTGCTATTGATTGTTTTCCTTCATGTCCTGTTTGACAAGCAGTGCAGGTATTTCCTCTAGGAAAATTTTCAGTTCTGACGATATTGTTTGAGTGTTTTTAAGTGACTAGTTTGGTCCTAAAGAATCTGCTTGATTCACTTCCACATAGAAAACTCATAAAAAATTGAAAGGCTTCAATAATTTTAAATCATTTTGTATTGCTCATGGAGATTTAAATTTCAGTGCTAATTTTTTTATTAGCACTTTAATTTGGAAGATACCAGGCTCCTACAAGATTTAAAATTACTGGAGCATTTCAAAATTTTATAAGCTTTCCAGTAAGGTTGTGGCTGTGATTCTGGGCTTGTAAAGTAAAGCACAATTTAAAGTTAATTTAAATAATTTAAGTACTGCAGTCTTGAGGGGAATTGTTTTGTCTTTCAAACTGGAATCCATGATAGAAAATTAAGATTATGTTACAAAGAGGAAACAATTTTCTAATAAAAATTGTAATAATTCTGGTTCATTTTGAAAGTCAGGTATTTATTTTTGTCAATTCATATTTCAACTTGCATTTTAATAATAGTAATGTTTTTGCATTCTTAATTTTTGAGGAATTTTACTCAAGTAGTGTTTCTGTATGTTTAGCTTTATCAAACTAAATTGATGTCTCAAGTGACAGATCTCATGTCCTTAGTCTGATCTTATTCAGTGGTATGATAATAAATTGGATGATGATCTTGGAAAATGCCTGTTTTAGGGTATAATAGAAAGTGATTAGGGTTGAACTGATTGAATAAGAATATTATTAGTCAAGAAGGCTTTATGATAATGAATTGCATCCTAAAAATATCTTTTTTAAAAAAGAAAAGACTTTCACTTGAAAATAAATATCTAACTGGTACAATTAAGAATTGAAGAAAAATGTTGGCCAGGTGCGGTGGCTCATGCCTATAAATCCAGCACTTTGGGAGGCTGAGGCAGGCAGATCATGAGGTCAGGAGATCAAGACCATCCTGGCTAACATGGTGAAACCCCGTCTCTACTAAAAATACAAAAAATTAGCCAGGCGTGGTGGCAGGTGCCTGTAGTCCCAGCTACTTGGGAGGCTGAGGCAGGAGAATGGTGTGAAGCCAGGAGGCAGAGCTTGCAGTGAGCCAAGATCATGCCACTGCACTCCAGCCTGGGCAACAGAGCAAGACTCTGTCTCAAAAAAAAAAAAATTGAATAAAAATGTTAATATACTTAAGAAAGACAAATTTTTTGTTTATGCTTTTTTGTAGAAGAAGCACACATGAATCATGGATAAAACAACAAAAACTCTAAGTAAAATTATAGGAAATATCAATTTATTTAGAATGGTGTGGGTAGGGGAAGCAGTAATTCCTCTACTGTATATGTATAAAACCATGGAGTAAGTATTCATTGCTTTTTCTTCTTTTAAATATTTCTGGACATCATAAAGTCACATTGAAATACATTCAGATAATTTACATTTAAAATTGCAAAGGATAAAGAAACCTGCAGATTTAGGGGCATTGCACCAGGAAGTAAATGCCCCAGGGAGGTTTATTTATTTATTTTAAATAATTGAAAGGCCATCACTTGTAAACGGTGGTTTGTCTTTTTGTTCAAATTTTTGGCTTTGGACAAATTAAACCAAGACTTGAGAGATGTTTTTATATTAACTATAGTGAAGAAAATTATGAAAGTTGGAACTACTTAAAGCCAAAAGAGACTTTTTAGATATGATTTTTCTGCCAGAATAATCTGCCCAAAAATTAAAGATTCAATTCTAAGGAATATGTTGATTAAGGTAAAATGCTGACTGCAGAAACATATTATATTTGAATTTTCATTGGTTTTTTACAACTAAAGTTTCTTTCTCACTCATCCAGTGAAATGGCAGTGTTCTTGGTTTGGCAACTTTTGATGTTGTCACTTAAGGGACTAGTCCCATTTCAGCTTGTAACTTTGCCTTCCCCTTAACTAGCCCTTCATTGTTCCAGTCTCCTAACACTATGAAACAAATAGCCTTAACTTGAAGTGACTTAGAACGATTTATTATTTTCATTACATTTCTGGTAGTCACAGCTGGGATCATATGAAGACATCTTTATTAATGCATGTGGATTGAGATTACTGAAAAAAATAGATACTGATTGGCTATATTTCTCCCCACATGACCTCGCTATATGGGTAATGTATGTTTGCTCATATAATCGCCATCCCAAGATAGTCAAATTCCTTATATAAACCACTCTCCCAGAGTAAGTATGTAAGGAAATTATAGTAGGAACTGCAACATCTGCAACATTTCTATAATCTAGACTCTATAGTTCCAAATTGTAACTCCTACCACATATTATTGGTCAAGCATGTCACTCAGCTTAGCGCCCAGACAAAAAAAAGAAAAAAAAAAGGAAATTAGTTCTAAACTCTCTAACCTCTCAATAGGAGGAGTGTCAAAAATCTGTGGCCATCTGGATCCTCTGAAAAAAAGAAAGGATAACAATCAATCAAAAATCAGAATTTAGCCGTGTAGCAACAAGACCATACCCAACTAAGGAGAAGGCTAGAAAATAAGAGTCTAGCAAGAGGTGTATTCCCAAAAGAAAAGGGAAACATATTATGAGAACAGCCAGCCAGTTTTGTCATATGCAAATATGCCAAAAATGTTCAATAATTTTGTCGTATATCCGGTTCTGGGGTTTCAGGTTGTTCCAGTTAACCAGCTTTCCCAGGGGTGACTTGTTCCCTTCAATTCAATTAGTGTCAAAGCTGAGTCTTAGGTAGTATCTGATGTCCAAGCAGATTTTTCTGGATAAGTTGGATAGCATGATCAGGCCTGTGGCATGGGCCAGATACAGTCAGGGGGGCAGTAGGTTATATACCCTACTGAACAGGAAGCTCATTCAGAGAAAGCAAGCATGAGAGCAAAAGAGAACACCCAAGTCAGAAAGCACAGTCCAATAGAAACCTGATCTCAGAAGTGATTTCCATCTCTTTTATAAAATTCTATTCATTAGAAGTGAATGGATAGTGTAGCAAATAGTGTATTCCCTTCACATCACATCAGGAGGGGACTATATCAAGGTGTGAATAGCAGTAGGCAGCATTCATTGGAGAGTATTTTATAAGCTACCACAAACAGATACATTAATCTGACATATAACATATCATCATCAAGCAATTATAGATTAAAATATAAAACATTATTTTTTATTTATTCTATCAGATCAATAAAACATCTGTAATAAAGTATCTGTAATAAAATATCTGTTGGCAGGTTTTAAATAGCATAGGGCATAGACTTATATATTTGCTATATAGATTTTTTTTTCTAACAGCATTTTCAACAATGTTTTGAAAACCCTTGGCTTGATTCATTTCTCTTCCACTCTCTGAGAATCTCTCCACATGTCATGGTCATGACACAAGCTTGCAACACTGAATCAGTCACATAGATGTGTACAACAACTCATGTCTTGTTTCTGTTTCTCATAACTTATTTTAATAATAGGTAGTTATGTTGTATCAATACATCTTGTAGAACTGTGTATCTAGAAAAATATTATAGAAGAGTAGTCACAGATATCACCACACTAAAAATAGCAAAAAGAAAGGAAAAAGTACAATATTCCTTCCTTCAATGAACGGTAGCATCTTTGCAAGTTTAACCCTTCAATCAGTCATTAGAGGAGCTAAAGCTTACCGCTAAAATATCTCAATGTACTGCAGACATGAGGACATTATTTGTATATTTAATTGGGTAGTATTATGTATACCTACATAGAATATTATATAAATGTAATTTACATACATAAAATGCATATATGTGTAGGCTATATAATATATATTATTAATACCCCCATGACACAAGTTTACCTATGTAACAAATGTGCAGTTGTACCCGTGAATTTAAAATAAAGTTAAAAAAATTAAAAAAAAATTAAAGGGAAAAATTATATGTATACATAACATATGCACATTATGAATATGTATTTTATATAATATACACATATATCTTGGACTTCCTGGCCTCCAGAACTGAGCAATAAATTTCTATTATTTATAAATTACCCAGTATAAAGTATTTGTAATAGCTGCCTGAATGGAATAACAGAGGAATATATGTCTGGTTTTTCCTCTCTCGGTAATAAGAATAATCTTCAGGTTGAGGTGATGACAGCCAGCTCCTACTTCTACCATCACAACTTCCTCCTTAATAGTTCATTTAATGTTTTCACCAATTAATAATCTTTCCCTGAATCAATTATTTCATTAGGAGTTGCAAAACTTTAATTTTCCTATTCTATTTCTTCCACATGTATTAGCTGGAATTCTATTGTAAAAAATAATTTTACATTGCCTACTGAGGGCATATATCTGCTTATCTTGTGCCAGTGCCACAAAAGTTTGTGGGTTTACTATTACTAATTTCATAGAATTTGTGGAGATTTCTTATCATCAAATTTTGTTTAGGATGTTGCATCAGTTATGATTTTATCAGACAAGTGGAACCACAAGAAGTTATATATAATAAGAAATTTGGTGTACAGATTTGATTTAGACAATTGTGGAAACTGGTTAAACAATCTATAATCATTACTTCTGTGTGTGTGGCAACCTGAAGCAGAACTGGTGGTTAGGAAGAAATGATGTACATGAATGAAGTAAAAGAAGGACAGATTGATCGTTTTTTGAGGATGAATGTCATTCTTGTCATTCTGTCATTACTTTGAAGCACTCAGCCTAGGTAATACTTGATAGTCCAGCTGCCTTCCCCAGGGAACTAAAGGTACACCTTGTCTAAGAGATATAACGGTTGGAGTTGTTGCAAGTCCAGCTTCCTCCTCATCCAACAAAGCAAGATAGCAGATAAGCCACAGAAGCATGAAAGACAACAGCGTCTCATGGTTGGCTCAAACCTGGTAAGTAGAAGAAGAAATCCGCTGCTTCACCTCTGTCTTAAATTTCAAACAAAACATGATTTAGACCTCCTCTTAATTCTGCAGGGAAGGACACTTTGTGAAGTATAATTTAAACTTAGCTAAATTGATATAATACAAAACTACCACAAGTATCTTCCATTCCATGATTTTTTGAAAAACACAAAAACAAATATCCCATTTGGTCTTATTTGGGGAAGTATTTGAGAGAGATTCAAGCAAAATAAAAGTGGCTGCTCTGTCATCTTCTTTTCTTTTATTCCTAAAAAAACCTCAAACAAATTAGTATAAATAAAACAATAGCTTTGACAAGTATTCAGAGTTATGAGCAATTTATGCACAAATAAATGTCAGTTTATGTTGCAAAGAATAAAAAACAACTTTCTTGTTTGATTTTATTGTGTTTAAAAAGACAGTAGAAGCATAATGACTAAAATTATTGATTTCTGAATCAGACAGAAATCCAAAACTGAATCTCAGCTTTGTCATATACTATGGGTATAATCTTTGGTAATTCACTTTACTTTTAGAATTTCAGCTATTTTTTTTTCTGTAAAAATGGAGGTAGGAATACCAGACTTTCACAGTCACTCTGAAAGATTAATGAGAAAATGCCAGCTTATTGGCCACATATTCTGTTTTTAAAAATGATAGTTTTTAAACATATTCTTACTATTATTATTTTTCTCACTAACACTTTCCTTGCCACCCCTTAGAATTTTTAGGAAGAGATTCAGAAATACTTAGACAATATTAACCTAGTACTTCAGTCATTAGCTTGCAGATCATTAGATAGTTACTAGGGACTACTCTTTTAATCCATAATTGAATCAAGAATGACTATATGTAAATGAAATCTTCCATCTTAACATTATAATTATAAAGCCAAATTTTTCAGTTTCAGAATACATATATCACACAGAAATGAAAGCTGTATTAAAGTCTAAATATATTACATTTAGTACTTCTTCCTATACCCCAAGACCTATAATTAATGGAATTTAGAATTTATTCACAACTTCTTCTCCCAAAGCCATGATGATTTTTAACTCTTTGTAAGCTATGATTTCTTGGTATTTACAAATTTATTACTTAGCTGCTTTTTCCAAAGCATCTAGTCAATAAAATAAGCTATGATTTTTAGCATGCAGAACTTTACTTAAAAGAAAATAAAGATGAAGGGTTTTCTTTAAGAATATTCTAATTTTTCAACGTGTCAAATGGACTGCTCATGTTAATAAGCTTCTTTGTTACTATATTTTCAAGTCTGAATGGGTGCAGTCTCATAATGCATCTCATTTATTTTATGATTTATATTAAAGTAGTGAAAAGAGAACTGAAGCAACTCATTCACTCACCAAATCCTGGCTAAGTGCCTGCTTTATGCCAGTTTCTGTATTATGTGAGGTCATTCGCTACCAGAAAAGCAAAACATTTTCTATTCTCAAGGAAATAGTCATGCAGAGGAGACAAGACAGGTAAACGTTTATCCAAAACTCCAGACCATCTGTGAAGAAAACCTTTGATGTAAGTCCAATCAAAAATTATGAAATTACAAAAAGCTAGCCACTATATTTTATTATTAAATTTTCAAAAGATGTTTCTGAGGTAGTAAATTTTAATTTGAGTTTTGAAAAAGGATTTTGATAGGCATTAAAAAGGGGAGAAAAGTTCAAGCAGAAATATCAGGACGAATTAAACCACAGAGTAGAATGTATGCATATCTGCCTTGTAAAGAGTATGTTGAGGTTCTTATCTTTATCATATAGTTAGGCAAGTATGTGAACTGTCAATAAAGACACAAGAAGATCCTAAGTCAGGGGATACATTTAGAGAACATGAGAAAATCTTCCAAAGTATTTCGTAAGGTAGAAGCAGAGTAGGGATTTATCAGGTATAAGATCCCTGGCAAGAACAATAACCACAGGGAAAATCTGAGGTAGGGTATCTTGAGAACCTAATATGGAACCAGCACACAAATACAGAAAAAATATTTATAGATGCTAGAGTAGGCCTTTTATTAGTATGGATATGCTCTGCATATTAGCCTTTTGTAATACACTTTTATTTAAAGTTCAGGCTTTCTCAAGTAGTTGGACATTGAGAGTATATTAAATACAAAATCCAAGTGTATCGTTTACCAATCAGTGGTCTTTATCAGTAGAAACTTTATTATATGACTGAAGCATTGGGAAGAATAGGTGGTATATAATGCTAAAACTTATATCTGAACCATATTTGAAGAGGTTTGTAATAGTGTTTTTTGGTATTTCTGACCAACACATTATACCCCTTTTACAAGAATCCCCTGGGAGGGATAAATTGGCTCTGCGTTGGCTTTTTATATCATTCTGTCTACCAGTCCATTGGTGATCGGAGCAGAAGTATAAAGTTAATCTATACTGGGACTCTCAGTACTTCATCCTTCAAATTTGGAAATGGGAATCAGAAATCAACTAAATCATTGATTGATGGGCTCTGAGGACTTGTACAATGTGAAGCAGCTGTCTTTCAATATATGAAAATAAAGAGATATAAAGTCAAATAATAGATTAAGAGAATGATCTAGACATAAACACAAATGAAGAAAGAGAACATAAGGCTCTAGAAAGATAGACTCAGAATGTATATCCTTTGCTCTCTACCAGCTTACTAGTTTCTTATTCCAGTCCTTAATTCATGCCAACTGTTCCTCTTAACCTCCAGCATTTGAGCTACCCATATATCCACATATCTGAAAAATACATTTCTGTTCTTTTGAGCACACTAAATCAAGAGATTTTTAGGCTGTGTGTGGTGGCTTATGCCTGTAATCCCAGCATTTTGGGAGGCCAAGGCAGGTGGATCAGCTGAGCTCAGGAGTTCAAGACCAGTCTAGCCAATGTGGTAAAACCCCATCTTTACTAGAATTACAAAAATTAGCCAGGCATGGTGGCACATGTCTGTAATCCCAGCTACTCGGGAGGCTGAGGCAGGAGAATTGCTTGATCCTGGGAGGCAGAGGTTGTGGTGAGCTGAAATTGAGCCATTGCACTACAACGTGGGCAACAAGAGCAAAACTCCAATTCAAAAATAAAATAAAATAAAATAAAACAAAATCAATCAATCAAGAGATTTTTGATTATTTGAACCATGCAAGAAAAACTCCCCACCCCTCCACTTCCAAGCAGACTGGGAATTTTAACACTTATTTCATAGAAAATTGGATTATTTAGCAAGCACATAGTATGATTTTAATTATCTTACTGCTTACCATTTATGCTTTTACTGATTATCTTTCTCTTATCCTAAACACTGAGCTTTTTATGTAGATTTAAACAAACTGTTTGAAGCCTATAAAAAAAGGGCTTGATTTGTTTGAGAAACTGAGATAGATAAGAGAATTATGATTAAATTATAATGAGCCAACAGGGGAGTAGAAATAGATTACCCTAAGCAGTAGAAAGAGGCCAGATAATGCATGAACTTTTTAGTCTTGGTAGAGAATAACATAGCAACTTTTGTCTATGTCCAAAGGGAAGACACTGAAGATTTTAAGCTGAGAACAACATGATATATTTTTCTTTTATTAAAGTTATTTTGGTTGCTCCACAAAAAAATGAGAAAACACAAAATGTAGTACTGTTGTGGTAGTTATCTGAACTGAGAATTGTCACTGAAAATTAAAATAGGTGAAGGTATGTATTAGTCTAGTTTTCATGCTGCTGCTAAAAACATACCTAATCTTGGGCAATTTATAAAGAAAAAAAAGATTTAATAGACTCATAGTTCCATGTGTCTGGGGAGACCTCACAATTATGGCAGAAGGCAAAAGGCACATTTTACATGGCAGCAGACAAAGAGAGAAATGAGAACCAAGCAAAAGGGATTTCCCCTTATAAAATCATCAGGTCTTGTGAGACTTATTCGCTACCATGAGAATAGTATGAGAGAAACTGCCCCCATGATTGAATGATCTCCTACCAGGTCCCTACCACAATACATGGGAATTATGGGAGCTACAACTCAAGATGAGATTTGAGTGGGGACACAGCCAAATCATATCATTCCATCCCTGACCCCTCCAAAATCTCATGTCCTCACATTTCAAAACTAGTCCTGTCTTCCCAACAGTCTCCCAAAGTCTTACTCATTTCAGCATTAACTCAAAAGTCCACAGTCCAAAGTCTCATCTAAGATGAGGCAAGTCCCTGCTGCCTATGAGACTGTAAAATCAAAAACAAGTTAGTCACTTCCTAGATACAATGGGGGTACAGGCATTGGGTATATACAGCCATTTCAAGTGGGAGACATTAGCCAAAACAAAGTGGTTATAGGCCCCATGCAAGTCCAAAATCCAGTGAGGCAGTCAAATCTTAATGCTCCCAAATGATATTCTTTGACTCCATGTCTCACATCCAGGTCATGCTGAGGCAAGAGGTGGGTTCTCATGGTCTTGGGCAGCTCCACCCCTGTGGCTTTGCAGTGTACAGCCTCCCTCCTGGCTGCTTTCATGGGCTGGCATTAAGTGTCTGCAGCTTTTCCAGGCACACAGTGCAAGCTGGTGGTAGATCTAGCATTCTGGGGTCTGGAGGATGGTGGCCCTTTTCTCACAGCTCCACTAGGCAGTGCCACAGTGGGGACTCTTGTGGGGGCTTCAACCCAACATTTCCCTTCCACACTGCCCTAGTAGGGGTTCTCCATGAGGGCCCGGCCCCTGCAGCAAACTTCTGCCTGGGCATCCAGGCATTTCCATACATCCTGTGAAATATAGGCAGAGGTTCCCAAACCCCAATTCTTGACTTCTGTGCACCCTCAGGATCAACACCGTGTGGAAGCTACCAAGACTTGAAACTTGCACCCACTGAAGCCATAGCCAGAGATGTACTTTGGCCTCTTTTAATCATGGCTAGAGTGGCTGGGATACAGGACACCAAGTCCTTAGGCTGCACACAGCAGGGGGACCCTGGGCCAGCCCTTGAAACCATTTTTTCCTCCCAGGCCTCCAGGCCTGTGATGGGAGGGGCAGCCACAAAGGTATGTGACATGCCCTGGAGACATTTTCCCCATCTTGGTGAGTAACATTTGGCGCCTCGTTACTTATGCAAATTTCTGCAGTCGGCTTGAATTTCTCCTCAGAAAATGGGTTTACGTTTTCTATCACATTGTCAGGCTGCAAATTTTTTGAACTTTTATGCTCTGTTACCCTTTTAAAACTGAATGTTCTTAATGGCACCCAAGTCTCTTCTTGAATGCTTTGCTGTTTTGAAATTTCTTCTGCCAGATACCCTAAATCATCTCCCTCAAGTTTAAAGTTCCACAAATCTCTAGCGCCAGGGCAAAATGCTACCAGTCTCTTTGCTAAAACACAGCAAGAGTCACTTTTACTCCAGTTATCAACAAGTCCCTCATCTCCATCTGAGACCACCTCTCCCTGGATTTCATTGTCCATATTATTAACAGCATTTTGGTCAAAACCATTCAACGAGTCTCTAAGACATTCCAAACTTTCTCACATCTTTCTGTCTTCTGAGCCCTCCAGGTCTCTAGGAAGTTCCAAGCTTTCTGACATTTTTCCATCTTCTTCCCAGCCCTCCAAACTGTTCCAAACTCTGCCTGTTACCCAGTTCCAAAGTGGCTTCCACATTTTTGGGTATGTTTACAGCAGCACCCCATTCTACCAGTACCATTTTACTGTATTAGTCTGTTTTCACACTGCTGATAAAAATATACCTGAGACTAGGTAATCTATAAAGAAAAAGGTTTAATGGACTCACAGTTCCACATGGCTAGAGGGGCCTCACAATCATGACAGAAGGTGAACAGTATGTCTTATAGGTGGTAAGCAAAGAGGGAAATGAGAACCAAGCCAAAGGGGTTTCCTCTTATAAAACCATCAGATCTTGTGAGATTTATTCATTACCATGAGGACAGTATGGGGGAAAACACCCCCATGACTCAGTTATCTCCCACTGTGTCCCTCCCACAACACGTGGCAATTATAGGAGCTGTAACCCAAGATGAGATTTGGGTGGGGACACAGTCAAGCCCAATCCAGGTAGTTTAGATATATTTTGGTTACAGGGTTGTGAGGACTTGGTGACAGATTGCCTTATATAACAATGAAATGCCTGGCTTGGGCCACTGGATGAAAACTACTACAACTTGATGATGTGAGGAAGTCTGACAGAACAACATGTTAATAAGAGATAATATTGATAACAAAATATTTACTATTACTGACCTATTCTTATAGGATTGTCAGGAAGAAACTTGTATACTTAGAGTACATATCTGAGAATTAGGTCAAGGTAATAGATGTATATTCTTGTATTACATGCCTAGAATCTGCATAATAATTAAAAATATATAAGTGAATGAGGAGGAGACTGTAAAGAAAAAGGGTAGGAAGCCTGAATAAGAACCAAACTATGAAAAACTCCATAATATTAAGTGTGCAGATGTGAGTTAGAGGCCACAAGTGAGAGAAGAAGTAGTAATTATAGACTAGGAAAAGAAAACAAGGACAGGCAAGAGAAGAGAATGTTTAAAGAAGAGAAAAGTGATGTATCACCCCAAATGCTGCTAAGCATATAGTAAAATGAGAACTTTTTTTTTTAATCTATTGGATTTGGCCTCATAAAAATTCTAATAATCCTTGCAAAATCCATGCTTTAGTAGAGTCATGCAAATGGAAGTCTGGTTAGAGTGAACTGAATAAGGAATGAGGTATGAACAAGGAAAGCCAAGTGAACTTGGCAAAAATATGTGATAACAACTAATTTGTCATGGTAAATAATTATAGAAATTTGGCTATGACAAGTAGTAGAGAAACAATGTTTACTATTGAGTGACATTTGATGCTAAAATTTGTTTGATCCTCAAATTAACAATATAAAAAAGCATTTTTGTGCATGTTCATGGAAATTATAAATAACAAAGAAACACAGAGATTTTGCAGAAAAGAGAAGGAACAACCAAAGTAGCAATACAAGAGATTGTGGTAGGCAGCTTCCAAGACGGTTTCCAAGGATAACTGCCTTCTGATAGTCACACTCATATATTTTACCAGGCATAGTCTGAAAAACAAATAGAATATGGAGAAGAGATGATATATCTCTTCTAAATTAGCTATTAGGCTTTAAAAGGTAAAAATTTCTGTTTGAGTTTCTCTTTCTCTCTTTCTCTTTCTGTCTCTCTCTCTCTCTTCCTCCCTCCCTGCCTGTCTCTCTTTTTCTCAGAGAATCAAAATCTTAAGCTGCCTGCAAGAAAAGCCTATGTGGTGAGGAACTGAAGCCTACTGCCAAAAGCCATGCAAGTGAGTTTGGAAGAGAATCCTCTCATATAGTCAAGGCTTCACAAGTAATTCCTGCTGAAATCTCTATAGCAAACTCAGGAGAGACTCTGACATAGACCACTCAGCAAAACCATTCCAGAGTTCTGACCCTGAGAAAATGCAGAGGATAGCAAATATTTGTTGTTTTTAGTTGATTTGTTGGAAGTAATTTATTACACAGCAATAAGAACTAAGGCAGGTACAGAGCATATAGGTCAAGTTATTAGCCTTTCCTGGAAGAAACACAATTTCCTACACAATGCTTATCTTAGTTTTGACAAAAATGCATACTAACGTATGCCAATCTTATAGTACATAATAAATACCCCAATGAAGTAAATAAAAGTACTAATGTTTTTCAGAGCTCATAAGGCTATATGAAGAAGAGGATGTCAAAAATGTGAGGACATTAATACAGTCTTCGACATGATTAGTCTAGTAATCTGTACTGTGTTAGAAGACCATTATCCTGAGTGAATTAATGCAGGAAAAGAAAGCCAAATGCTGCATGCCCTCAATTATAAGTGGAAGCTAAACATTAAGTACACATGGACACAAAGAAGTAAACGATAGACACTGGGGCCAACTTGAAGGTGGAGAGTGGGACACGTGTGATGATTGAAAATCTATCTATTGGATATTATGCTGATAATATTGGTGACAAAATTATTCGTGCACCAAACCCCTGCAACATGCAATTTATTTATGTTACAAACCTGCACATATACTCCTTTAATCTAAAATAAAAATTTGAAAGAAATTAAAAAAAAAATACAAAATAAAAAATCTTAATAATTTTTATATTATAATCAATACACAATTACCAACACAAATTAAATATTGTGTTGAGAAACACACTGAATTAATGAAACATTAATAGAATGCTTTCTTCCAGTAGGATGAAGTAAAATTTTTAAATTAAAATGAAATGTTCTAAAAATGTTCTAGAAATTCAAGCCAAGATGATTGCCTAGATGCAGCCAGGAACTATATCACCTAGTAAGAGACCACACCACTGGGAAGACCGGTAACTTTGAGCAAATCTTCAGTGGGAAGGCACTGAGAATGGATTGAGGGAGGATGCTGACACTGGGCTAAAGGAGGAGGAATCTGGGAATACTCCCCAACATTATCAAACACTGGAACTTGTTCTTGAAAACCAGTGGCTCCTGGGGAAGGGATATGAAGCCAGTCCAACTGAACCCACCTTATACCACACTCAAACTCTCAAGGGCATCAAAAAGTATAAATGCAAAAACCCTGTCCAAAGGACAGCAACTTCAAAAATTAAATGAACATTAGCACACGTAAATGAGAAAGAGCCAGTGCATGAACTCTCGCAACTCAAAAAGCCGGAGTATCTTCTTACCTTTAGGCAACTGCACAGGTTTCCCAGAAGTGGTTCTTAATGAGCCTGAACTGACTAAAATGAAATATATAGAATTCAGAATCTGGATAGGAAGGAATATCACTGAGATTCAAGAGAATCTATTAACAGCAGAATAAACAGCAGATTTTTTCTGAGGAAAAAAATCTCAGAGCTCAAAGACTGGTACTTCAAATCAACTCAGTCCAGCAAAAACAAAGAAAGAGGAATAAGAAAGAATGAACAAAACCAGCAAGAAATATGAGGCTATGTAAAGAGACCAAATATATGACTCATTGGCATCTCTGAAAGATAGGGAGAGAAAGCAAGCAACTTGGAAAATATATTTCAGAATATACTCCATGAAATTTTCCTGAACCTCACTAGGAATCCTGATATTCGAATTCAGAAAATGCAGTAAACTCCTGTGAGACATACAAGATGACCATCTCTAAGAAATATAGTCATCAGAATCTCTAAGGTCAACATGAAAGAAAAAATATTAAAGGCAGCTAGAGAGAAAGGGTAGGTCACCTATAAACAGAACCTCATCAAACTAACAGAGGATATTTCAACATAACCCCTACAAACAGGAAGAGATTGGAGGCATATATTCAGCATTGTTAAAAAAATATTCCAATCAAGAATTTCAATCCAGCTTCATAAGCAAGGGATAAATAAGATCCTTTTAAGACAAGCAAATCCTGAGGGATTTCATTACCACCAGACCTTCTTACAAGAGGTCCTTAAGGGAGTGCTAAATATGGAAAAGAAAGACCACTACTGGCCACCACAAAAACACATTTAAGTATGTAGGCCAATGACACTATAAAGCAATTACACAATCCAGTCTGCATATTAACCAGCTAACAACAAAATGACAGGAATAAATCCACACATATCAATAATATGCTTGAGAGTAAATGAGCTAAATGCTCCACTTAAAATGCACAAAGTGGTAAGTTGTACAAAGAAGCAAGACCCAACTGAATGCTGTCTTCAAGAGATCCATCTCACTTGCAATGATACTGGTAGGCTCAAAGTAAAGGGATGGAGAAAAATCAACCAAACAAATGAAAAACAACAACAAAAAAGCAGGGGTTGCTATTCTAATTTCAGGGGAAAAAAAACCTGTAAGCCATCAATGATCAAAAAATACAAGGAAGAGCATTACATAATTGTAAAGAATACGTAAGAAGCTTAAACTAATTAACAAGCCAAACAAACAAAGAAACAACCACATTAAAAAGTGGGCAAAGGATATGAACAGATACTTTTCAAAAGAAGATATACATGCCACCAATAAGCAAATGAAAAAGTGCTCCACATCACTAATCATTAGCAAAATGCTAGGGAAATCCATCCAACACTCTCTCCCATTAGTCAGAACGTCTATTATTAAAAAGTAAAAAGATAACAGATACTGGAAAGGCTGTGGAGAAAAGCAAATGCTGATAAACTGATGGTGGGGTTGTAAACTAACTCATCCCCTGTGGAAATCAGTTTGCAGATTTCTCAAAGAACTTTGAAGTATCATTTTACCCAGCAATCCCATTATTGAGTATATACCCAAATGAATAAAAATCATTCTACCATGAAGACACATGCACACATGTGTTCATCACACCATTATTTTCAATAGCAAAGACATGGAATCAACCTAACTGTTCATCCTCAGTAGACTGGATATAGAAAATGTGGTACACATACACTATGGAATACTATGCAACCAAAAAAAGAGTGAAATAATGTCATTTGCAGCAACATGGAGGGAGCTGGAGGGTATTATACTAAGTGAACTAACACAGGAACAGAAAACCAAATACTGCATGTTCTCACTTATAAATGGGAGCTTAATGAGTACGCATGGACACAAAGAAGGGAACAAAAGACACTGGGGCCTACTTGAGAGTGGAACATGGGAGGAGAATTAGGATCAAAAAAATACCCCATGGGTACTATACCTATTAGCTGGGTGATAAAATAATTTGTACACCAAACTCTCACAACACATAATTTACCTATATGACAAACCTACACATGTAACCCTAAAATAAAAGTTTAAAAAGAAGTAAATAAAAATATGGATGTTCTAACAATTAAAAATTACAAATGTAATCATTAAAAAGGTAAATATAAAACATATAAATATTTATTAACTGTTCAGAAATTTTATGTAATATTTCACAATTTACTTTAAATAATTTGATAAACACATATTTGGATAATTGGGAAAATTATTTTAGTTACATGTCTGTCAGCAGTCCACATGTATACAGCATGGGTCCAACAATTTTTAATATCAGCTTGAAGCATTGCGGTTTAGTTCTGGTAAAGAAAATGAACCATTTTAAGTGAATAAAGCCATTGCTTGTGACAATTTAATATGATTTTTGGGATCTAAGATTCTTGACTTGATATTAGTCAGAAGGCTGAGAAGTGATTGGTGGGGTGGGGGTTAGTCTAAGATTCTGAAAGGAGAAACATAACCCATTATATAATAATCAATTTGTTTGGGTGAAAAATACGATCTAATATTGAGAAAGTATTTCAAGTAGGAGCAACAGCTACAATTCAACAAATATCAATACTTCTTTTAATTTTAATGTCCTCCACTACAGTACAATAATTATTATCTTTTCTTGTATGTATGTATTTGAATTATTTGAAGAATTTGTAAAAATGCAGAAGACTTGTTCCTATTTTTCAGAAATTTAATTTTATAAGATTTGACATGGGTTACAGTAATACAATTTTCAATGCTTAATCCAGGTGCATGTTTAAGATATTTTACCCTAGAATAACATGGATGCAGCTGGAGGCCATTATATTAAATGCATTAATGCAGGAATAGAAAACCAAATATTACATGTTCTCACTTACCAGTGGAAGCTAAACATTGAATACACAAGGACACAAAATGTAAATGGTAGACACTGGGGACTACTAAGTGGGGAGAGTCAGAAGGAGTTGCGGATAAAAAACTACCTATTGGGTTACCATGCACACTACCTGGGTGACAGGATCATCTGTACCCCTAACCTCAGTGTCACACAATATAGCCAGGTAACAAATCTGCACATGTACCCTTTGCATCCAAAATTAAAGTTTAAAAAGAAAATACAATTATACAGTTTTTAAAGATGTTAATTTAAAAAGAAAGAGAGGGAAAGAAACAAAAAGAAACATCTACTTCATCTGAAATCAGTATGGCAACTTCAATGTTTATAAAATATTTTGTATATTACTTTTTATTTTTAAAATTTTAATGCTTTGGTATCTTTGAAACTAAAGTGTGTATCCTGTAGACTGCCTTTAATTGGATGACGTTTCAAATCCAGTCTGATAATTTGTGCCTTTTGATTAGATGTTTATTTCATTGTCATTTAATGCTATTATTTATATATTTGAATTTACTTATGTCTGGGATTTTACACTTTACATTTTATATTCTCATGCTTTTTCTGTTCCTCTATTTCTGCCTTACTAATTTTTTGTATTAAATACTTTTTAGAGCAACATTTTAATTCCCTATATTTTCACTATACTTTTAAATTACCAGCTTAGCACCTGCTTAGGCATTACCATGTACTTCTAAAGTTGTCAGAATCTACTTTTAATTTACACTGATATAATCCCAGTAATATAGGTATAGATGTAAGTATAGATGGCATAATATGAATATAAATATATAGATATAGATAGATGTATACTTGACTTTATATTTGTGGCTTTCATATCCATGTATTCAACCACCTGTGGATGAAAAATATTTTCTAAAAATTGTGTCTGTACTGAACATGTACAGAATTCTTTCACTTGTCATTATTTCCTAAATAAATACATTATAATAACTATTTACATACCATTTGCATTATACTGGGTTTATAAGTGGTCTAGAGATAATTTAAAATATACGGGAAGATGTATATAGGTTATATGCAAATCCTAAATCACTTTATATCAGAGACTTGAGCATCTGTGGATTTTGGTAACTGTGAGAGTTCCTAAGCTAATCCTCCATGAATATTGAGAGGTGACTACATATATAAAGATTTTTTTTTCTACCTAGTGGTATTATATTTCTGCCTTTTTGTGCTATTTTTAAAACAAATATTACATATATTAATATTACAAACCCAAGACTACCTTATTAAATTTATTAACATATATAATTCTATGTCTTTTAAAGAAACTGAGCCAGGCACAGTGGCTCATGCCTGTAATCCTAGCACTTTAGGAAGCCAAGGCTGGTTGATCACCTGAGGTCAAGAGTTCAAGACCAGCTTGGTCAACATGGTGAAACCTCATCTTTACTAAAAATACAGAAATTAGCTGGGCCTGATAGTGGGTGCCTGTAATCCCAGCTACTCAGGAGGCTGAGGCAGAAGAATTGCTTGAGTCCAGGAAGCAGAGGTTGCAGTGAGCAGAGATCTCGCCATTGCACTCCAGCCTGGGCAACAGAGCAAAAGCTCCATCTCAATTTAAAAAAAAAAGGAAGAAACTTAAAGAAGAAGACTAAGTATAGATTTATGATGTTTGCAATATTAATATTGTTTATTTGCTCTTTGTTTTCTTTATCTGTCCTTGTGGATTCAAGTTACCATCTAGTGTCTTTTTCTCATTCCAACAAAACTATTCTTCCACTCACCTCCTTTGTGCTGTTATTACCAAATGTATTTCATTTCTGTATGTTATAGGCTCAACAAAACAATTATATGCTTTTTTTACACAATTGCTCTTTACTTAACAGAAGAAAGGAGAAAATATGGATTTAGATATTACTTATCTTGTTTATAATGGCATAATTACCTTTACTGGTAATTTTTGCTTCTTTATGTAGATTCAAATTACTATATATGTCTTTGTTTTATCATAAGAATTTCATTTTAACATTTCTTTTAAGGCAGATTTTCTAGGAACACATTCCTCAGTTATTTTTTTATATAGGACTCTCTGTATTTTGCCTTCACATTTTAAGATTTTGGTAGATATAGAATTCTTGTTTGGCTGACTTTTTTCTCTCTCAGCAGTTTGCGTATGTCATACCACTGCTTTCTTGCTTTCATGATGGCTGTTGAGATGTCAGCAGTTAATCTTATAGAATGTTTCTTATAAGTGACAAGTATTTCTTATTGCTTTCAAGATTTTCTCTTTATTTTTGTTTTTCAGCATTTTTAGTATATTATATCCGGATGTGGAGTCTCTTCATGTTTATCCTATTTGGAGTTAATTAATTTTTATAACGTGTAGTTAAGGTTTTTAATCAATTTGGGATGTTTTCAGCCATTAGTTTTTTCTAATACTTCTTTCTCCTCATCTTTCTCTCTCCTCTCCTTCTGATGCCCCCATTAAATGTTAGAGAGCTTAAAAAATGTTAGAGAGATTAATAATATCTCCCATTTCTTCACTTGTAGTTTCCAATGTTAAACATTTTTACTTTAAACAAAGTTGAGGAAGGGTAATTGGGATCCCAATGTTCTCAGCACTGTGTGCCTGAGGTAGGCGATCTGCATTACAATTGGGATTGTGTAGAAGAAGAAAACCCCAGAGCTTGTCACTCACCTGGAGTTTAGTCCCTGCAGCTCTATCTGGGGAGATAAAAAAAGGCTGGTAGCCTTTCCATTACAAGAAAGACACCATGGATCTTCACCAGAAGCTGGGTTAAAGCCAGGTGTTCTAGGATATACCTATCTGAACTTTCCATCATGCTGAATAATAAGGAGAGAGAGAAAACCAATGAATCTTGTTTCAAATGCCATAAATTCTCCCTGTTCTTACCAGGTTTTAACATAGTATTGAATCAATGTTTCTTTCTTCTCTGTTTACCCTCAAGATAATTTTCAGAGACTCTAAATTGTTGTAGGTTTTAAAAATATAATTTTTATCAATTATGCTTATTTTACTAGGGAGCAGGTCTGTAGAGTTAGTTCTGACTTCAAACTGCCATTCTGAAAATCTTTTTTTCTATAATGTATCCCTGTTATCAGTACCTAATTGATAACCATTCTTTAAGCTTTCACAAATTTTATGTAGCTGGAGTCTTGTGTATGAAGCTACCAATATCAAAAACATTGACAACCCTTCATTAATTCTTTGGTGTTCCAGTTCCTAACTTCAGTGGGATATTTCCACAACTATGATCTTTCCTATGGGGCCTAGCTTCATTTTTCTGTGGTACTCTGCAACATTAATCTCACTTCAGGAAGACTTCATTCCATTCCTACTCCTAACACATACATATCTCTTAAGGGCAAAATTAATTTTTTTATAAATATAAACACAATTTATAAAGAGGTGAGAAACATTTTTCTTACTGTCATATCTTTTGATAACTTATTAATTTATTTCAGTGCTTCTCAGACTTCAATTTTTATGCTAGTTCCCTGGAGATCTTGTTAAAAGCAGATTCTGATTTTGTCAGTGTGGAGGGGGCCTATGAATTTGCATTTCTAATTATGCTTTGAAGTGATACCCATATGACTAGTCCACAGGCCACACTTGAAGTGTCAAGGCTTAATATCATTATATCGTTTATTATCTCTTAATTATTCTTTATCCTTTTAAATTATATATTCTTGTAATTGACACTAAGAAGAAATGGATCTATTAATGAACTGTGTGCCTCTTAATATGTGTTATTCGCTACTCAAAGACCTGTTGAACTTCAATGCTGCTAACTAGATGGTCCTTATTGAGTTTTTAGGCAAAAAAAGATCTTTTTTCTCTCTCTTTCTCAATAGGGTTCTCTAACATGAAAATAGGGGAGGCATGAGAACTCTTTTTTTTTGAAATATTCAAAATGTATTTGAAACTTTATTTTAAAATCATTTAAAAACTGTATAATTATATCAAATCTTGGTTGTTGACATTTTCATTTGTGTTTGTAATCCAGACCCTGGTGTGTCAACTCTCCAGTATTAAGTGATTTACTAACTTCTCTGTCAGGGAAAAGTAGAGATAGACATCTAGTTATAGTCGTTGGGGGTTGTTTGTAAATAATAAACTCTATTGAAAAATTATGAATTAAAATATCAAATAAGCAACTGGAGACAAAAATCTAAAGTCATAATTATGTCCTCACTGTTAATAATTCAGAAGTTGGCAAGACTAAATGATATATAAATCATAAGTTATACCACAAGAAATTAAAAAGACTACCAGAATATCAGAATGTAGTTTCAAATATTAGACATATCTGAATGAAAACAATAAGTGCTACATTTTATAAATCATTTTGTTAGGTTCAACTATATGTAATTAGGTTTAGAACATATTTGAGAAGTATTGAAAGACTTAATTCCCAAGAACAAATATCTAATTTGACTAATATTTGATATTATTTGCTAGAGATCTACAAAAGATTGAGCTTCACTTAAAACTTTATGTAATTATGCTTTGTGTATTTTTCAAAACACCTGGTTAGATTTAGATTTATCATTAAAAATGTCATTATTTGATGATAATCAAAGAAAAGAAGAAAATAAAAATGTAATAACAATATCAGCTTTATAGGGTTTTTTTCTCCCCAGGATTAAATTGTAGATAATCTACATATACAGGTCTTCAAACAATGTTTTGAAAATAGTGATCATTAGCCGGGCGCAGTGGCTCACGCCTGTAATCCCAGCACTTTGGGAGTCCGAGGTGGGTGGATCATGAGGTCAGGAGATCAAAACCATCCTGGCTAACACGGTGAAACCCCGCCTCTACTAAAAATACAAAAAAAAATTAGCCAGGTTTGGTGGCAGGCACCTGTAGTCCCAGCTACTTGGGAGGCTGAGGCAGGAGAATGGCGTGAACCTGGGTGGCAGAGGTTGCAGTGAGCCGAGATCACGTCACTGCACTCCAGCCTCGGCGATACAGCGAGACTCCATCTCAAAAAAAAAAAAAAAAAAAAAAGAGAGAGAAAATAGTGATCATTAAATAAATGTTAAATATTATTACCTTTTGGTTTTTATATTTATTAGGACAATGACTTGATCTATAATTCTCAAATATTAACATTCTTACTAATTGCTTGGAAATCTCATTAGAATGCCAGTTCGATTCAGTAGGACTGAATTCGAGGCCTGAAATTTTGAATTTCTAACAGATTTCCAGGTATTTTTTTTTATAATGCGAGTCAAAGAACTACAATTCAAAGAGTAGATAATTATGTTTCCCTGGTAAGTCATTTTGGTGTGTGCAGTATCTGGATGTCATCAAATATTTTTTGGCAAAAAATAGAATGGTTTCACTTACTTATTAGAATTTGAATATGTTTAATGAATCAGTTAGAAACTGATATAATAGTATTCTAATAGTTTTAACATGTAAACATCAATTTTTTCTTAATTTGTTCTAATTTCTATTAGAGATTCAGTTTCACTTTTTCCAAAAACTCTGATGATATAATACTGTATTTTAACATAATTTAGGATGATTATGTAAACTGAACAATTTATAAATTAATGCTAAGAAATATATATCAAATACAAGCCTATACTCCACTCAAAACGTGATAAAATTAAGTTACATTAAATTATATCACATTAAGTTAAAAGCTTTTATTTGCCTTACAAATGATACAATAGATTCTATAATTATTGTCTCCTCTAGTTAAAAATATAACCAAAAGCTAAATTCTCTAATAATAAAAAGGCTAAATTCTCTAAAAGGTATAAAATTATGCGTTTAATGTGTGAAAAAATTAGTACTTACAAGTTATATTTGACACGTATCTATTTTACTTTTCAGGGAAAAGTTGTATTAATTTAATGGCTACTAAAGTAACCCCCTCTCCACAAAAGAAAACTCTTAAACCACTCTACCCAAACTCCTGTTTAATTGGCAACACAAATTCTTACTGACTCTATTGTCCTCCTCAGTACAGGAAAGCTTGTGTTGTATTTGTCCTACCAAAAAATGACTTTGGGGGTCCATTAGGTATTGTTCCAATCAATTCCTCTTTCTCTATATAAATGAGGAAATGGTTCTCTACTCGAAGCCTGTTATGGGTCTTTCTTGCTCATTAAGATTAAACAATCAAGGCTTCTAAACTCTCAGATTAGAAACAATTCCAATTAGTTTGGACATATGGCACCTTCCTGTTGCAATACATATGGGTGACCCTCATGAGCCCTCCCAGGAAATAACAAACAAACATCTGGAAATTACCTGCCCCAAAACAAAACTTTCATTATAACAGTTTTTACAAGTAACAATTTGCCTGCCTGGAAAAACCTGAACAAATCAGAGTCAAAACAAAAGACATTTTCAGGCTAGAAAATAATCCAAAAAAGGAGAGCTGAAAGTGGCTTCTGATTACACCCAAGCAGGCGCCACAAAAGATTCCAATTTTTCTTAGAAAACAATACAAAGCTGTATGTTTCTTACACCTTCTTAGAAAAGAATCAAGAACTAAAGGAAGTTTGAAACTATCTTTCTATTTAGCAAGTTTCTGCTTTAGGAAATAACAATGTCTTTACTGACGTTAAAAAATAGGTTCCAGCTAATGTGATAAATTTAATATAAACTAGTATTTTCATCGAGAGTTAAGGATAATTTCTAATGAAGACAATTTGTCTCTATCTGGTTCCTCAGGGCTGTTTCTAATGATCCAGCTCAAAATGGAGAGTAATCTCATCAGACTGTGACACTGCAGTCACCTTAGATGCAGCCAGTCCTGTGGCCATTTGGCATTTCCAGGTTTCCTTAAAAGAGTTCTGATTGTTAGCAAGAATAAAGAGCTGGAGCATTGATATAAACAAATTATTTGAGATTGCTCCTATAAAAAGAGTGTTGCCAAGTCCAGGTCTGAGCTGGTGAGAGCACTAGGGAAGAAACTGGCAGCCTAATTAGGGTCAGTGTATACTCAGGTTCAGCCTCTATGCTGAATGAGTTCTTTCGCACAATTTTCATCCACCTTCTCATTTTTTCTTAAATGAAACCTCATTAAGAACAGTTCACTCTATAATGTTGACTTATCACCCTCCTAATTTTTAAGCCATTTGTATTATGAATATGGACCACAGAATGGCAAAGATTTCTAAACGATTAACAAGTGAGGTTTCTTCATGCATTTGCATGGTATATTTATAATGTTGTCTAAATTGTAAGTTGTTACCTTAGGACTGACTTCTACTGGCTCTAAAAATTTTCCTAGCAGTCATAGTATTAGGAACATATTACAGGACACCATTTAGAAAGGCAAGACCAGCCTGGTGCAGTGGCTAACGCCTGTAATCACAGCACTTTTGGAGGCTGAGGGGGTAGATCACAAGGTCAAGAGATCGAGACCATCCTGGCCAACATGGTGAAACCCCGTATCTACTGAAAAATACAAAAATTATTTGGGCGTGGTAGCACATGCCTGTAATTCCAGCTACTCGGGAGGCTGAGGCAGGAGAATCGATTGAACCTGGGAGGTGGAGGTTGCAGTGAGCCATGATCGTGCCACTGCACTCCAAGCCATGACCCCCATAATGACTATACACAAGAATTTTATCTAGAGACACAGGATAGCTGAGTCATTGGGGTGAATTATGTTGTCAGCCAAGCTAGGAAGCAACCTTCCTTTAACATAATGAGTGCCCTTCTGAGTCTTGTGAGAAATCTTAATACTTCTTGGTCATGAAGCCAACCCTACTCTGATTCAGCCTATTGTCTATGGAGAATGGAAAAAGGGTACTTATTTAGTATTAGCTTTTTAATTCAACCTATTGTGAATTTTTATTATTAAAATGTATACCAACGAGTGGTTATTAGGTAAAGTTACATCCAAAAAATAAATTTCTGGAAAAACATGGAGGTACACTTTCAATGATCTAAATTTTAGGTTTAGTGCCTATAAATCACAGTAAATAAATGTAAAATAACTCTAAAATTCAAATAATGCTGATATCTTAAAACTAAATCCTTGGTTTTATAAGATGGAAAACACATTTTTGACTTCTGAAGATGTATACGAAAGGAAATAATAAAAGTCAACAGATATAAAAGGACATTATTAAAATTTTCAGACAAGCATTATATTACCTGGACCATAAATTGTTACAGGTTCTTGCAAATCAAAGTAGTTTCAGTATTATACTCCAGAGGAAGATATCTGGATATAAAATTACAATAGATTTTTAATGTATAAATAGACTCTTCTGATCTCTGTTATCAGACTGTTCTGATAGCTCAATCTTTTCTAAATTCATAAAACATACTGTACAATTTCTAACAAATGAAGCACTCATACACAAGTTCTAAATGTGAGGCTCAGATCACAGAAAATCTTCCTTTTTCTCTTTTTTTTTTTTTTCTCTTTTTTTTTGAGACGGAGTCTTGCTCTGTCGCCCAGGCTGGAGTGCAGGGGCGTGATCTCAGCTCACTGCTAGCTCTACCTCCTGGGTTCCTGCCATTCTCCTGCATCAGCCTCCCAAGTAGCTGGGACTACAGGTGCTCGCCACCATGCCCAGCTAATTTTTTTGTATTTTTAGTAGAGATGGGGTTTCACCATGTTAGCCAGGACGGTCTCGATCTCCTGACCTCATGATCTGCCCACCTTGGCCTCCCAAAGTGCTAGGATTACAGGCATGAGCCACCGTGCCAGCCCTAATCTTTCTTTTTCTTTGAAACAGAGTCTCACTCTGTCACCCAGGCTGGAGTGCAGTGGCACGATATCAGCTCATTGCAACCTCCACCTCTCAGGTTCAACCTATTCTCATGCCTCAGCCTCCCGAGCAGCTGGGATTACAGGCGTGTGCCACCATGCCCGGCCAATTTTTCTATTTTTGGTAGAGATGCGGTTTCAACATGTTGGCTAGTCTGCTCTCAAACTCCTGGCCTCAAGTGATCCACCTGCCTCAGCCACCCAAAGTGCTGGGATTACAGGTGTGAGCCACTGTGCCCAGCCAGATAATTTTAAATTACCAGAAAATATATCCTTTTGAAAATTGATCAATTTTTTTTCTTTTTCTGAAAATGTTTTATGAGTTCTGGAAATGTCTCTAAATATTAATAATTAATAGATTTAGGTTTTAGTTTAAAAAGTAAAGGGGAGAAACGATCATGGAATCTGAACTTTGGAAGTAAAATTAATTTTTTAATATCTTGCAATAATTCTTTCTTCCGAGGGGATTACGCTGATATCAGGAATGAGAGATATGACACCTCTATAGACTCTTCAGATAATAAAATAATAGATAATTTTATTCACAAACTTATGTGAAATGAGCAAATTTCTCAAAGGACACAAACTAAAAACTAAAGGGCTTTGAAGTAGAATTAGGTAACATAAAAATCCATATATGTATCAGAGAAATTGACTTTTTAGTTAAAAACTTATCCACAAAGAAAATTTGAGCCTCAGATATATCAAATGGTAAACTCTACCAACCATTTAAAAGTAAATAAAATCAACTCTATACCAACTGTTTCATAAAATTAAAGAGAAGAAAATAATTCTCAAATAATTGTATGTGGCCTGACCTGATTTAATGTTAAAACCTGATAATGGTACTACAGGAAAAGAAAACTACAGTTGAACATCCCTCAAGAATATAAATGCAAAATTTTAAGGAAAATTTTAGCAAATCGAATCTAGCAATATGTGAAAAGGTTAATACATCATGATTCAAGTAGGCTTTAACCAAGAAATAAAAAGTTGGTTTAACTTTAGTAATTCAATAAATATAATACATCATATTAAATGAAAGAGAAAAAAATGACATTCTCACTGGATGTGAAAATAGCATTTGTCAAAATCCAACTTTGATTTCTGATAAACTCTTAGTACCTTAGAAATAGAATAGAATGTCTCCAAACTTATAAAGGGAATCTGTGTGACACAGCTAGTGGTGAAAGGCTGAATCCCTTCACCCTAAGATAAAAAAAAAAGTGTGTGCACACTTATTATTTTTTAAACATTGTACTAGAGAGTCTACCAAATAAAATAAGTCAAGAGTGAGAAAGGAAATGCATTCAGATTTATAAAGAAATAAAACTGCTTCTATTCACAGACAGCCTGATTGTCTATATAGAATATCCATTAACATTCTACAGAAAAAGCTACCAGATTAGTAAGTGAATTTAGCAAGGTTGCTTAAAAGACCAGTATATGAAAATCATTTGTAAAGTTTATACTTTAGCAAAGAATAATTAGAAGTGGAAGTAAAAATAATATTTACAAATATTTTAAAATATGAATTGAATTCCTTATGTGCCTGTCTGACAAAAAGATGTGCAAGGCTTTAACTCTGACAACTTACATATTTGGTAAGTATATCATATATATATATATATATATATATATATATGTTTACATATACTTAATAATATGTCATATAACAAACATCATATACATATGATTGCTGTGAGAAATGTTAGAAGTCCTAAATAAGTAGACCAATAAACATTAATCATGTATCTGAGGAGTCAATATTATAATGATGTTAATGTTGCCCATAGTTCTCTAAATTCAATGCAATCCCATATAAATTCAATGCAATCCCATATAAAACCCCAGAAAGGTTTTTGTTGAAATAGACAAGCTGATCCTAAAATTCACATGGGAATATGTAAGACCTACACTAGATAAAACAATTGTGGAAAAAGAAAAATAATGTTGAAAGGTGTCTATTACTTGACTTACAGATTTATTATAGTGCTAAAGTAATAAAGTCAGTTCATTATTGGCATCAAGGTAGACATATAGAACAAGGGAATGAAACAGAGTCCAGGAAGAGACCCATGCACGCATAAAACAATAAAAAATCAATCATTTGAATAAATAGTGCTCAATTCTGTTTGCACATTATCATCACTTGGATAGATGTTAAACAGCATAAGTGTGTAGGTCCCATCCTAATATTTCTTTTTCTAAGTTGGTTTGGAAGAGGGCCCAGCTATTAGTATTTCTGCAAGCTCCGAAGTAATTGTAAAGACATCCCAATTTAGGTATCACTAATTTAGATGGTGAAACTTTGCCCTTATGGAAGTGCCAGCCCCTTTTTCAGTTGCCGTATCTTTTCTTTATAATTTGAATAGAAAATCAGCTTTTCCTCCAAATTGGTTGTACAACCATCCCAAGTAGGAATCCATGATCTTATTTACCACGAGATGCTTGACACTTCCACATATACTTGGCCTATTCCCAAAGCTTATTATGCTGCTTCTGACACCAGTTACAAGGTTATCACTACCAAAGATTGCTATTAAAAGAATCCATTGCATGCAATGCGCAGCAGTAGTAGAGCCACTCAATCCCAGTGGATGGGAGCATGTGTCTGTACACACACTTCAGTCACAGCTCACATGTAACACAAGATCATATTTCTATTTCTAAGAGGGTTTCCAAACAAATCCATTTCTCAATTGCCTCCCACTTATTTCTGAGACTTCATCTGGGGAAACACATCATCTCCTTTTAGCAACAGTTACTTCATTATTTCTATTAGGCCTAGATAGACTCTAAGTTCAGTCCTAAGACCACCCTAACTCCACCTTAACGGATGGAGTTTGTGGTAAAGTCTGTGGTCAGCCCATCCTGGAGAAAAAGAAACCAGGGCACAGGTGAAAATCCCCTAAAGGGGCAAATGCCCAATAACATGAAACCGTGTCCTCGAGATCACCCTAAGTTCATTATACCATCATTATCATAAAATTTACATGTGGTTTTGCCCTCCCAAATGGGCTTTTCTTAACGAATTATGTGTTAAAACATGTGCAGTGTAACGTTACTTATATAACCGTAAACTACCAATCAAATAACATTATCCTGTCACTCCGATACAGCCCAAACCTCAACTCCCCACAAACCCCATATAAGCATCTTGAGTTTTGTAAAGGTGTGCTGATTTGAAATCAGCCCGCTGCCCTTTGAGAGTGCATTACTATGCTTCGATAAACTTTGCTTTGATCTTGCTTTGTGGTGTTAGTGTGCAATTCTTTGTTCACCATCACAATAACGAAAATTGCTGGTTCTGAGCTCTGGCTCTGTTTATCTCCTTGGTTTGAGAATCTATCTCACCACAGAATTCCCAGTAGCACTCCATACACAATTAATTGAGAATACCCTAAACCTTTGGCTAATGCAACAGGTACGTGTATGTGCGCATGTGCACACATGATTAGTTCCAGGTTAGTTTGGTGATATCTATGCAATGGTTAGGGTAATCTCACAGGAATTTTGATGTGATAACCTCTCCCAACCCAAGTGAGCTCTTATCATGAGCTCTTATCATGAAGCCTGTGGCGCTTCAGATTGTTTGGTAGAGTTTGCCTGGTACTGATAGGTAGAATTCTAATATGTTCCCCAAGATTTTCACTTCCTGGTACACGTGCCTTGTGTAATCTCTATTCCTTGAATGTGGGTGCGATCGGTGAATATGATGTAATATTGTTACTGGTGAAGGGTGTCCAGGTTTTGGCATTTTGAACAAAGAATTAGACAAAATGCACAAAGATATTAAAGAAAAGCACAGATTTATTGAAATGAAAGTATATTCCACAGAGTGGGAGTGGGCTCCAGCAAGCAGCTCAAGAGTGCCAGTTACAGAATTTTCTGGGGTTTAAACATCCTCTAGAGGTTTCCCATTGATTACTTGGTGTATCCTCTATGTAAATGAAGAGAATGTTTCCCGCCATGGCTGAAGTGAAGTTATAAAGTTATTTACTTGGTGTAGAAGGTTGGGATTTTTCTGTTTGATTTAGTTATAGGAAGTCCTTAGGTTCCCTGCCCCCAGACCCTATTCTCCTGCCTCAATATTACTACAGCAATTAGGTCACTTTATATAAAAAATGTGAAGAGATTTTATAGATGTAATTAAGATCCATAACCACTTGAATTTAATTTAATTAAAGGAACATTATCCTGGGTAGCTCCAATCTAATCAGATTGTGTGCTTGATAAAACGATCTGGACATCAGATGCATGAGAAGTCAGAGACACTAATATAGCTAAGACAATCACTCACTGGCTTTGAAGAAACATACTGCTAAGATGTGGAGATGCCACATGGCTAGGAACAGTAGGTTGTCTCTAGGACCTTGAAACTTCAGTACTATAACCATGGAGCACAGAACTCTGCCAACAATCAGTGCGCTTGGAAAAGCACTCAGCCTTAAATGAGACTGCAGTTCCAGTCAACACCGTGATTTCATCCTGAGGAGACCCTCTGCAAAGGATCCACTAATGCAGAGGTCCCCAAGTCATAGGCCATGGACCAGTACTGGTCCATGGCCTGTTAGGAACCAGACCACACAGCAGGATGTGAGCAGTGGGTGAGCGAGCATTACCGCCTGAGATCCACCTTCTGTCAGATCAGCAGTGGCATTAGATTCTCACAGGTGCATGAACTAAGCATTAGAGGGATCTAGGATGTGTGATCCTTATGAGACCCTAATGCCTGATTATCTGATGTAGAATAGAACAGTTAACAATTTCATTCTGAAACAATTACCCTCAATCCCTAGAAAAATTGTCTTCCCTGAAGCTGGTCCCTGGTACCAAAAAGGCTGGAGACTGCTGCACACTAACCTATATCCAGACATGTATCCACAGAAATTGACATATCTAATTTGAGTTGTTTTAAGATGCTAACTTGTGGTAAATTGTTACATAGTAATCAAAACTAATACCGCTGTCAATTCATTTTTATATATTGATCAAATTCCTGGTTTTGAAAGAGAACAGATATCCTTATAAGTTCTTAGAATCCAATGACCTCTGTCATTCTTATCCTCCAAATGTATACCAGAAACTATAATTTTTGCTTTAGGTTCCCAAAGTCAATTATTGAAGACAGGCTAAAAGTATATTTATGCATTCCACACACATTAAAATGTGTAGCATTTTTATTAAATGAGAATATTAGTTATCTGGTAATAAGTTGAAATCTGACAAGGAGCTGGAGAAACATTCAGGCAACAGCTTTTCTCCCAGAATTTAAACACACACACACACTCTTTCACACACACCCACATACACACACACACACATGCACACACACACACGCACACACACACACACATTTGCCTCCTTTCAGGTGACACTTAGTTCCTAATCGCTTAGCTATGGTTAAAGAATATATTTTTCTTATGTGTTTTTCTGGTTTGAAAAGCCCATATCTTATTTAAATTCATTTTGATACTCTGCTAGTAACATATAATTACCTTTATTTAGCTCACCAAGCAAAAACCCTGATGTGTAATCAGACATATCAAATTAGGCAACGTTTCCTAATATGACATTCTAGTTTCTCATAGCTATTACTTCAATGGCAAAATAGTATAAGAGGCCGGGTGCAGTGTCTCATGCCTGTAATTCCAGCACTTTGGGAGGCCGAGGTGGGTGGATCACCTGAGGTCAGGAGTTTGAGATGAGCCTGGCCAACATGGTGAAACCCCATCTCTACTAAAAATACAAAAATTAGCCGGGAATGGTGGAACATGCCTGTAGTCCCATCTACTCAGGAGACTGAGTCACAAGAATTACTTAAACCCAGGTGGCAGAGGTTGCAGTGAACCGAGATGGCACCACTCCACTCCAGCCTGGGTGACACAGTGAGAATCTGTCTAAAAAAAAGAAAAATACTATATGAATCACCCTCAAATTTTAACGGCATATATGTGAACCTTGAGTCTTCCAGCGTCACTCTGCCTCATCACAACCACAAAGGACCTGCCAGTTGTCTTGAAATAGTGAAATGGGAGAGCTCCCAGATCCTTCTCGCAGGATGTGCAACAGGGGTGTGACTCTTCTGTTGGGTCGCTGCCATTGCTCAAACCCTTTGTGGGAGGGGGAGCACATAGAAGGGCAGGTGCAGAGGCCAGGGTCAGTTCTTTGGGCTCTGGCCCCATGGTACTGTTTAGGGGTGGGTGCCTGCAACCTCAGTGTTACAATGCTCTCTTAGCCTTGCTGTCCACAGACAGCTTTAAGTGTTAACCATTTTGTTAACCAGCCCAGTGGACCCTCTGCTTTTTGCAAGGCCAGAGGACCAGTGTGACAGCTTTCTGTATCCTGAGCTCTTGCCCTGACTACTGGAAGAATCAGATCACACGTGGGCTTGAAGGATGAATGTGAGATTTTGTTGAGTGGTTGGGGGTGGCTCTCAGCAGGATGGATGGGGAGCTGGAAGGGTGGGGAAGAAGTGGGAAGATGATCTTCCCCTGGAGTCAGGCCTTCCAGTGATGGAACTCTTCTCTGACCACCCCCAGCTGAATTCCTGGCAGCATTCAGATGTTCCTCCTCTTCACTCTTTCTCTCCTGCATTGTTCCACCATCTGTCTGCTTATCTCCTCACCTTCTTGCCTGCTTGTCTGCTTCTGAAGACTGGAGTGTGGGGTTTATATGTAGGCAACTTTTTGGGCATGAAAACTGGAATGCCTGCCCTGATTTAGGGCCACAAGAATCCAGGCTTGAGGATGGGGCTTTGCAGGGGAACCACCCTCTTCTACCCAGTGTTTCACTGTCTCCTATCTGTATCAATAGTACAGATAGGGTTGTAATGCCTAACTATCTCTGGGGTTTAGGGATTGGAAGGTTCAGTGATAGAGAACAATATCATATATAGCAAAGTAGGCAAGTTAGTGACTTAACATGTCACAGAAAATGCGTGAAATTGGGGACACATAATGAACTTTTGATCACTAATTTAACAAAACAATATTGAAAAGCTAGAAAGAGAAGAAACATAAACAAATAAGAGGAGCATGCCACTTCATTATATCCACTTCAAAGCCTTTTGGGGCAAGCTGTAAAGTTTACCCAAATTGAAGATGCATGTGGATAGTACACAAATATTATTGGTACTGGTGGAGTGGCATCATAAAATGGAAGTAATTCTATTCTAATAGAATGTGCACCTTCATACCAATCCTAGTTGACCAAACACTTAACTGAAAAGCCCAAAAAATAAAGAAAACCAAACATAAAGGATGTGTAAAGGGGAAGAAACTGTAGAGAAGAAAGTATTTTTACTATATTTCTCAAGAGGTAAAATATTGGAATTTATTGTCTTATTTCTGCCTTTCATTTAGTTCTTAAAAAGTGAGCAAGGAAAAATTATATGATTTATGTGATGATGTAAAGAAGCAATAATTATACAAGGCTCATTACCTATTGTGTCTTTCTTTGAGTGGACTGTCCTTAACATTCAGCTCACTCAACTTTTCTCTCCTCCATCATATTGACAGCACTGTAGATCACCATAAAGGTCAGAACTCAAGCCTGCCTTATTGAAACTCTGAATCTCTGTCTCTATTATTGTTCAATATTAAGATGGAATTAATGTGAGTCAGTTATTCTGGAAAATATATATATTTCAATTCTTATTCTCAAAGGCTCATCTTTGCAGAGAAAATATCAAGAAGACCACTTAAATCCACTCATCAAAATGGCATTCACCAGTCCAGCTTTATCTGTAATATAGCCAATATTTTGATTCCCATCTCTCTGTCTTCTCTTTCTGTCATCTTCAATTGATTCCAAATTTGGCAGAGAGAAAAAGTGTAATTACAATGCTTCCATTTCTTTTTCTCATTTTAAGAAAGTTTGTGTAAAATGTCCCACTTAAAATCTATTCTTATTTTAAAACAATTCATTTTCTAAGAAATGAGTAAAAGGAGTTTACTGTGACTGATTATATATGCTATATATTTGGATTTAAGAATGCTAACTATGGTTTTTATTTATCTACTTTTTAATGTAGATAATGTTTCATCCTAAAGATAATAGGTAAGACAGAATAAGTTAAGCATCTGCAGTAAAAACCGTATGGGAGAGAGAGAGGGACGATCATGAAACACCAGAGCAGAGATGGAGTCAGGACACAATAATTAGGGTCTGTGTGAATTGGTTAAGCATAGGAAGTCAGAGATCAATAGGATGAGGATGAGCTAGGCATCCAGGCTTGGAGGTGACCCAATTCAAGGTATCATAACTAAAGTGGAGTAAGGAGAGTATTCATCTAGAAGGGTGGCATGGCACGTGGAGTCAGAACTTAAGTGAATTGAAAAGAGCATCTGTGCATAGGTATGGCCTGATATAGATGTTAGAGCCCAAACAGGGTAAGGAAAGTATCTACATCTAAGTGTGGCTTGCATTGAGTGTTAGAGCCCTACCATGATGAGGAGGATGCCCTTGTGGAATGGTGGTCATTAGTGGGATGTCTAAGTCTAAGTGGGTTGAGGAGGGGATCGATGTGATGTGAAGAGGAGTTTGAAGCCATCAGAAATTCATTACCGCGGTTCATGAGGTCAGGAGTTTGAGACCATCCTGGCTAACACGGTGAAACCCCGTCTCTACTAAAACTACAAAAAAACTAGCTGGGCGTGGTGGTAGGTGCCTGTAGTCCCAGCTACTCTGGAGGCTGAGGCAGGAGAATGGCGTGAACCCGGGAGGCGGAGCTGGCAGTGAGCCGGGATCGCGCCACAGCACTCCAGCCTGGGTGACAGGTGACAGAGCAAGACTCCCTCTCAAAAAAAAAAAAAAAAAGAAAAAAAAAAGAAATTCATTACCTTTCACTACCTCCGGTGACACCGGACAAATAAAGCAACCATATTAAGGTTAATAGGAATTAGTTTTCTCTCTGTTGGAGCAAAATTTACAACTATAGAAATGGAGAAAACTAGAATGAATGTTGTGAGATTTGGGGAACAGTGATAGCCAAATAACAATAAGTACATCTAGCACTTAGATTTTGGCCTCAAAATATAATTTTTTTTTAGTAAAAGAAACTAGAGTTCTTTGGAAATATAGCTGGTTACAGGGCTGAAGCAAGGAAAATGTAAGATGAGGCTGAACATTTTGTCATTCTAGAAAACAAGGAAGTGCTCAAGAAATGATGAGGACATGTCAATGGGACAAGAGACATGGAAGACAGATTGAAGAGGCTCCCACTGACTGATTCTGAAATAATTTCAGTATCAGATAAAATAATTACAAGAGACTATAACCCACTGAATAAAATGGAGAAAATGAACTCATTCTGATTTTAAAAAATAAACACATTAAAGTTTCTTGGTAAATGTAATAGCTACATTATGTTAAAGCATATCCACACAACGTACTTATTTACTAAAAAGGAAAAAAAGAGTACATGTTCACTGGAGAAGTCTGACAGAAATCACCTTAATCAAGTAGCTAAAGTAAACATCATTCTTAATGGAGTAAATCTAAATTGCGCACCATCTATTGGGACACAATAAGAAGATCACAACAATTCCATTGTAATATTTCTGCCAGATCTAATCATGAGAATACATTAGATAAACCTGAACTGAGGGAAATTCTATACGAATGAAACAATCGACAAACTTCAAAGATGTTATAGCCATGAAAGTCAAGTATAGCAAATCAGCTGCCCTAGACTGAAAGCGACAAAAATGACATGACCATTGTATTCAGTACAAAACTGTGGATTGAATGTAATGGTCATATTATAGAGAACTGTATTATTTTTCTATACAAGACATTATTAGAATAAATTTTTAAAAATTGAATGAGATCTGAGGGTTAGATAGCAGTAACACAAATGTAAATTTGCTGATATCCATAGTCTTGTTATGGCTATATAGGAGAGTGTTTTTGTTGGTAGGATATGCACAATAAAACATACGGAGATAAGGTAAAATCAGGTCAGTAACTTACTCTCAAATAGTTGATATATTTTTGTATTCGGTTGCGTTTGTTCTATAAATTTTAGTGTATTTCAAAAATAGAAGAAAAAATGCACCATAAGTTTTATACTTAAAGAAAGAAAATAAACACACACATACAAATAATGAAATGACAGATAACTACTTTCATACTTACTGATTCAATTCTTGAATAAGCATAATTTTGAAAAAAATATATAATAGCATAGTCACATTATTTTAAAAGTAAAATGTGAGTATCAATTAAAATATGAGTGAGGATATTTAATATATATTCCATATATTGGACACGCCTGTGAAAAGCTTTATCTATTCTAGTTCACCTTTCAGCCAATACCATGGAAATATGCTTCCCATTAGTGCAACAAGGTCAAATTTTGTTTCGGCTACACAAAGTATTTCTCACTTTTAAGCCTTGGGCTTCTCTGATGCAATGGTATGGAATTTCCACATACACAAGAAGCACATAAGAAAGAACTAGCAAACCTCTGACCAATAAAAGAAAATAATTTATATAAACACACTCTTCTTCTATTGATTGACCAGAAAAATGTCCGGGCACATTCCCTATGACTTTTATAGGAGCTCTTGAGACTAAGTCCCAGTTGTCCACAGTGGTGACCAGCTCAATAAGCACCCAGGTATGATTTTATTCTCTTTGTTTTATTCATCACAATATTCCACTCTCTTTCCCTGTAATCACTTACTAAAATAAACCGCTGAAGTGAACATCCTTGTCTTGACTCTGCTTTCTTGAGATGACTCAAACTAGAACATCTACTCCTAGAGAACTTCAAAGATTGCTACTTTATCTTTTATTCGATACTGTTTATTTAAAATGCATTTAAAAAGTTTTATTGAGATATAATCCAAATATACAATTCATCCACTTAAAGTGTACAATTCAATTGCTTTTAGTTTGTTCACAGAGTTGTGCAACCATCACCATCCTCAATTTTAGAACACTTTCATAAACCGAAAAAGAAACTCTGTAACCATTAGTAGTCATTCCCCATTTTTCCACCCTCCCCTGAGCCTCTCTCTGCCACCTCCCGACCTCAGGCAATCACTTACCTAGTTTTTGTCTGTCTACATTTGGCTGGCTTATTTTGTGTAGCATAATGTCCTTCAGATTCTTCCATGTTTTTACAAATAAAAATATATTTTTCTTATTAATGCTGAAGAGTATTGCATTGTGAATATACAGTATATATTTTTAACCATTCATCTGTTGATGGACACATAGGTTGATTCCAGATCTTGGCTATTGTGAATAATTTATGTGGCAATAAACTTGGGAATGCAGAAATTTCTTCAACATACTGCTTTCATTTACTTAGTATATATACCAAGTAGTGAGATGACTGGATTATATGGCAGTTCTACTTTTAATCTTTCAAGGGAGTGTCATACTGTTTTTCATAATGATTATACTAATTTATATTCCTACCAATAGTGTTCATGGCTTCTCTTTTCTCCACAATTTTTGCCAACACTTACATTTCCTCTTTTTGATAATAACCATTTTAACAGATGTGAGAACCTAATTGTGGTTTTCATTTGCATTTATCAGATGCTTAGTGATGTTGAACTTTAAAATATATATATATAGACATATACATACATATAAAATTATTGGTCTTTTTTGCCTTCTTTTTAGAAATCCCTATCAGATCCTATGCCCATTTTGTAATGTTTATTTCCTTGCTATTGAGTTGTTTTATTTCCTTATATATTTTAGGTATTAAAGACTTATCAGATGTATGATTTGCAAATTTTTTTTATTATACCATTCCATAAGTTGTCTCTTCACTCTGTTTTTGTTGTGCTTAATCTTTTTAGTTTTATAGAATTCAATTTATTTCTTTTTGCTTTTGTTGTCTGTACTTTCGGATTCATACCCAAAAAGTAATTGATCAGACCAATTGCATGAAACTTTCCCTTATTATTTCTTTTAATATATTTATAGTTTAGATCTTACATGTAAGTCTTAATCAATTTTGAGTTGATTTGATGTGAGATAAGGGTGTAATTTCATTTTTCTGCAGGTAGATATCCAGTTATTAAAACATCACATTGATGAGACTGTCTTTTCTCTATTGTGGTTTCTGGCACCTTTGTTGACAAAATCAATTGACTGAGAATGTGCTCTCTATTCTGTTCCATTGATCTACATACCTATTTTTAATGGCAGTACCATACAGTTTTGATGACCAGTTTTGTAATATATTTTGAAGCCAGGAAGTGTGATGCCTCTAGCTTTGTTTCTTTAGCTCGAGAACACTTGGCCATTCAGAGTCTTTTCTATTTTTATATAAATTTTAGGATTGCTTTTCTATTTGTGAAAAAATGTCATTGAAATTTTGATAGAGATTGCATTGAAACTTTAGATTGGTTTCGTTAGTATGCACATTTGAACAATATCAATTTTTCAAATCAATGAACATGGAATACCTTTTCATTTATTTGTGTTGTCTTCAATTTCTTCACCAAAGTTTTTAGTTTTCAGTGGTCAGGTTTTTCAACTACTTGGTTAAATTTATTTCTATGTACTTTATCATTTTTTGTAAGTATTGTAAGTGGAATCATTTCCTTGATTTCTTTTTTGGATAGTTCTTTGTAGTATATAGAAATGCTAATGATTTTTGTATATTTATTTTAAATCTGGCATATTTTTTGAGTTTACTTATTGTTTATAACGGTTTTTTGGTGGAATATTTTGTGTTTTCCATATATAAAATTATGTCTTCTGCAAACAAGGATAATTTAACTTTTTCCCTTTCAATTTGGATGCCCTTTATTTTTTTCTCTTGCCTAATTGCTCTGGATCCTAATTGCTAGGATTTCCAGTACTCTGTTAAATAGAAGTGGTGAGAGCAGGCATCTTTATCTTGTTCTTGTTTTCAGAGAAAAAGCTGTCAACTTTTCCCCATTGAGTATTATGTTAGCTGTGGGTTTGCCATATATTCCCTATGTTGTGTTGAGATACATTCCTCTTAAGCTTAATGTATTGAATGTTTTTATTATAGAATTCTGTTTAATTTTACCAAATGATTTTTCTGGATCCTTTAAGATGATCATACAATTTTTGTCCCTCATTTTATTAAGGTGGTATATCATATTTATAGATTTATGTATGTTAAACCATCCTAATATCCATGGATGAATCCCAATTGATCATGGTGAATGATTCCTTTAATATGCTGTTGAATTTGGGCTGCTAATATTTTATTGAGGAATTTTACATCTATGTTTGTCAGGGATATTGGCCTGCAATTTTATTTTCTTGCAGTGTTTTTGGTTTGCTTTGGTATTAGGGGGAGGTTGAACACATAAAATCAGTTTGGAAGTGTTCCTTCTTCACTTCTTTGGAATAGTTTTAGGTGAATTAGCATTAATTCTTCTTTCAATTCTTGGTAAAATTCAGCAGTAAGGCTATCATGTTCTGAGCTTTTCTTTGATGGGGTATTTGCTATTACCAACTCAAACACATTACTCTTCAAGTTACAACATACAAAGGGTGAATTATGAAAATCAGAAGATCTGAACAGACCAAAGAAGACTAATGCATTTGAATTGTTAATAGCAAATATCCCATCAAGAAAAGTTCAGGACCTGATGGCTCACATGGTGAAATGCCATCTCTGCTAAAAATATAAAAATTAGCTGGGCGTGGTAGCAGGTGCCTGTAATCCCAGCTACTCAGAAGGCTGAGGCAGCAAAATCGCTTGAACCTGGGAGGCGGAGGTTGCAGTGAGCCAAGATCATGCCATTGCATTCCAGCCTGGGCAACAAGAGTGAAACTCCATCTCAAAAAAAAAAAATTATTCATTTCTTCAGGCTATCCAATTATCTTTCATATAATTATTCATAACAGCCTGTTATGGTGCTTTATATTTCTGTTGTGTCATTTGTACTATCTCCTTCTTCATTTCTGATTTTATTTTTTTTACTCTGCTCTCTTTTTAGTCTAGATAAAAGTTGATTTTGTTTATCTTTTTCAAACTTGACTCTTACTTTTATTGATCTGCCCTATTAATTTTCTTGTTTCTACTTCATTTGTTTCTGCTCTGATCTTTATTTTCTTGCTTCTGCAAATCTGAGTTTTAGTTTGTTCTTTTTCTAGTTTATTGATGTCCAATGTTAGGTTATTTGAGATCTTTCTTCTTTTATGGTGTAGGCCTTTACTGCTATAAATGTTCCTTTTAGAACTGCATTTAATGCATCTCATACATTTGGTATATGTTGTATTTCAATTTTGATTTGCTTCAAGATATTTTAAAATTTCTTTTCTAATTTTATTTTGACCCATTGGTTGTTTAGGGGCACATTTCTTTTTTCCATGTATTTGTGAATTTTCCAAAATTTTTCCTTTTATTGATTTCAAGTTTCATACCATTGTAGACAGAAAAGATACTTTATATAATTTCAATCTTCTTGCAAATTTGTTAAAACTCATCTCATAGTCTAATATAATATATCCTGAAAAATGTTCCATGTGATTTTGAGAAGTTTGTGTATTCTGTTGCTGTTAAATGTTCTGTATATTGGCTGGGCGCGATGGCTCACACCTGTAATCCCAGCACTTTGGGAGGCTGAGGTGGGCCAATCATGAGGTCAGGAGATCAAGATCATCCTGGCTAACATGGTGAAATCCCGTCTCTAATAAAAAAAATACAAAAAAAAAAAAATAAGTCAGGCATGGTGACGGGTGCCTGTAGTCCCAGCTACTCGGGAGGCTGAGGCAGGAGAATGGTGTGAACCCAGGAGGCAGAGCTTGCAGTGAGCCGAGATCATGCCACTGCACTCCAGCCTGGACAAGAGTGAGACTCCGTCTCAAAAACAAAAACAAACAGACAAAAATGTTCTGTATATTACTATTAGGTACATTTGGTCTGAAGCTTAGTTTAAATCTGCTGTTTCTTTATTGATTTTCTGCCTAGATTATCTGTCCATTGCTGAAAATGGAGTATTGAAGTGCCCTACTATTATTGTATTATCATTTACCTTTCCTTCAGATCTCTAAATATGTGATTTATATATTTAGGTGCTCCAATGTTGGGTGCATATATGTTTATAATTGTTGTATTCTCTTGATGAATTGACACATTCATCATTATGTAATGACCTTTTTTGTCTCCTGTGACAGTTTTGACTTAAAGTCCTTTTTTTTTTTTTCTGACATAAATGTAACTACCCCTGCTCTCTTTTGGTTTCCATTTGCAAAGAACATCTTTTTCCATTCTTTCATTTAACATCTGTGTGTCCTTATGAGTGAAGTAAGTCTCTTGCAGGCAGCATATTGTAGGATCTTACTTTTTAAATTCCTTTATCTACACTATGTCTTTTTATTTGATAATTTAATGCATTTCTAGTCAAGGTAATTATGAATAGGCAAGAACTTACTATCATCATTTTGTAAATATATTTCTGTTTATTTTATAAAATCTTTGTTCTTTTCTTCTCTCTTGCTGTTTTCCTTTTTGGTGAGCTGTTTTTTCTCTAGTGATATGTTTTGATTCCTTATATATTTATTATCTTTGTGTATCCACAATATGCTTTTGCATTGTGGTAAACATGAGGCTTACCTAAAATAGTTTATAGTTAAAATAAGTGATTTCATGCTGGCATCAATTTAACTTTGATCACATTAAAAAACCTACACTTTTACACCACACCTCTCCAATGTTTTAAATTTTTTGTGTGAGTTCACATCATTTTATATTGTGTCCTTCATCAAATTATTGTAGCGTTTATTGTTTTTAATAATTTGGGTTCTTAACATTTATATTAAAGATATGTTATTTAAATAACTCATTATAGTAGTAGAGTATCCCAAATGTTATTGTGTACTTACTTCATTCAATATGCTTTATCTAGTCAGCCCTCTGTATCTGTGTGTTATGTATCTGTAAATTCAGACAAACTCAGATGAAAAATTTAAAAAAAAATAATTGCATCTGTACTGAACATGTACATCATTTTTTCTCATCATTATACCCTAAACTATACAACAGCTATTTACATAGCATTTATGTTATATTAGATATTGTAAGTAATCTAGAGATGATTTAACCTTTTTCTCATTTGCCCTGAGATTACGCACAGGCAGTGCTTGTACCTGCAGTGTTTAACCCAACATAACTTTGCCATGAAATATCTCACTTTTATTATTATTTTCAAATCACTCTGGTGTATCAAATTTGGAAACAAAAGACATCATTCTATTTATAGCATTCTGTTTTAGTAATGGTGTTTCCATTTACAAAATATGGTAATTCTTAATTGCTGAAAATGTCAAGTCCTCTAGAAAATGTAGCATTCTTACATATGATGTTAATATTATTCTCGAACAGTCACTGGCCGAAAATTCACTTGATAAATTCTATTTTTTTGAAATAGAAGATTTTGATGATTCAGATGATTCTGATGTTAGTCCTCTTTAGATATAACTCCAAAAACAGATTTATATTTTATTTTCACATTGAAAATCAGTCAGATTTGGTTCAGCCTCAAAGAGTGTGTTTCTGTAAAATTAAATGAGTACTGGCAGCAATCTGCCCTTTTTTAATGGAGAAAGGGTTAAAATATGTGGGAATATGTGCATAAGTTACATGCAAATAATACACCATTTTATATCAAAGAGCAGAGCATCTGCAGATTTTGGTGTCTAAGGCAGGTTGTAGAACAAATCCCACATGGATACTGAGGGATGACTGTACCTTCATATATTTTTGTGTCACTAATTAGTGTCCTATTCTTTTGACTTGAAGAATTCATTTTAGAATTCACAAGAATTCATTTCTTGTAAGACAGGACTAATGTTGATGAACTCCCTCAGCTTTTATTTCTGTGGGAAAGTCTTTTTCTCTCCTTCATTTCTGAAGTACAGCTTTTCCTGGTAGAGTGTTTTTGGTTGGCAGGTTTTTTCCTTCAACATTTTAAATGTATTATCTTACTCCCTCCTGGACTATAAGGTTTCTGCTGAAAGGTTCACTGCTAGACATATGGAAACTCGTTCATTTTTACTCTTTTCTCCTTCCTTTTTTAAAAAATTTCAGGATTCTTTCTTTGTCTTTGATACTTGAAAATGTGATTATAATATATTATGGTGTAATATTATTTGGATTGAATTTGTTTGAGGACCTTTGGCCTTCCTGTACCTGAATATTTGTATCTTTCCCCAGATTTAGAAAGTTTTGTTTTACTATCTGTTTAAATAAACTTTCTATCCTTTTGTCTTCCTCTTCTTTATGAAGTCCTATCACTCAAAGCATCACTCTTTCTAGGCTATCCCATAAATCTCGTAAGCTTCTTTTATTCTTTTTCACTTTTTACTTTTTTCTTTTAAAAATATTTGCAAGTAACCTGTCTTTGAGTTTACAGATTGTTTCTTCTGGTTGACCAATCAAAATTGATACTGTATATTGAAATATTTATTTTATTATTTGCATTATTCATTGCATTTTTAGATCCAGGCTTTCTGTTGAGTTTTAAATATAAACATATATTATATATATATAATATATTATATATATATGTGTGTGTATATATATATATATGTAATTTCAATCCCTCTGTTAAAATTTTCATTTTGGTCATTCATTGGTTTCCTAATTTCATTGAATTTTTTCTCTATTTTCTTGAAGTTCACCGAGCTTCCTGAAAACATTTATTTTGATTCCTTCCTCAGACAGCTTGTATATCCATCTTCATTTCCTTAGGATCAGGTACTGAGAAATTATTGTGTTCTTTTGATGTTGTTATATCTTTTTCATTTTTTCATGTTTCTTGTTACCCTAGATGGTGTCTGTGTTTTAGTTTGTTTGTTTTGAGACAGAATCTCACTCTGTTGCTCAGTCTGGAGTTCAGTGGTACAATCTTGGCTCACTACAACCTCTGCCTCCTGGGTTTAAGAGATTCTCCTGCCTCAGCCTTTGGAGTTTCTGGGGATTCAAGCATGTGCCACCATGCCCAGGTAATTTTTGTATTTTTTGTAGAGATGGAGTTTCACCATGTTGGCTCAGTTGGTTTCAAACTCCTGACCTCAAGTGATCTACCTGCCTCAGCCTCTCAAAGTGCGGAATTACAGGTGTGAGCCACCATGCTCAGCCTGATGTCTGTACATTTGAAGAAGTAGGAAATTATTCTAGTCTTTCCAAACTTACTGTCTAGGAGTGACTTTCACCAGTTGGCTCGTCTAGATAATCTGGGCAGGATGTTTAATGTGATCTGAGGGTGAGCTTACCACTTGAGTCCTCTCAGGCAGGCTGGCCTGGTGCCTATCCAGGCAAAATCCAGGCATTGTTAAGCCTACAGCCTGGATTCTCTGTGTTGGACCTGTTGAATGGGTCTGTGGGGGTGTGCTTGGAGTTTGCATGCAGAGGGGTGGGCTTAGACCTTGGTTACACAGAGCCTAATCTGATCCTGGGGTGGGTCCTGAACTTCAGCCTGCAGGGACCACCCAGGTGCTGGGGTGAGCCTGGTGCCTGGATCCACTGGGACTGGCCTGGAGCCTGCATTCATGTGGTGCCTTAGCCCTTGGATGGGCCTAGAGTTTCAGTCCATGGGGTTGAGGCTGAGGCCTGGGTTCTGCGGGGCTGGCCTGGATCCTGGGTCTTCAGGGAGTGGTTCTCGACCCTTAGTCCATGGGAGCCAGCCTGCTCCCAGTGTCTACTGGAGTAGGCTGGGAACCTGAGTCTGCAGGGGCAGACCTGGAATCTAGGTTCTCTGTAGCCTGGAGCCATGGGGAGTGGTTGGAGCCTGGGACTGGTCTGATGCTTAGACAGATGTGAATCTTGGGACTATGAGAGTTCTTTATCCTGGGATTATGGGTACTTGCTTGGTGCCTGTGGCTGTAGGGATTGGGCTGGAGGCTGGGTGTGCAGGTGATGTCTTGGAGGCAATATATTTGAGGGCTGGCTTCGAAAGTAGGTCCACAGGAGTGATCCTGGCGCGTTTGTGGGGGCAGGTCCAGTTTTGGGTCTACTGGAATGTGCCTGGAGCCTAGGTTTGTTGGGGGAGGCCTAAACTCTGCATCTGCTGGAGCTTGGGACAACAGAGCCTGGTCTAAAGAATAGAACAGCCAGGAATGGCCCGACATTAGGCAGGCCTTGAGCCTCTGTTCACCAGTGTTATTCTAGTGTCTGAGGTCAAGTGTACCTACCTGGCACTGGGGTGGGCCTAAAACTTGGGGCTGTGTGGGCCAGCCTGACTCTGGGCTGGTCTGAAACCTGGAGTGGACCTGGGGCCTGGAGTTGCAGACGCTGGCCTGGAGGCTGGGTTTGTGGGTGCTGGCTTGATGACTGTGGGCCAGCCTGACTCTGGGTTGGTCTGAAACCTGGAGTGGACCTGGGGCCTGGAGTTGCAGACGCTGGCCTGGAGGCTGGGTTTGTGGGTGCTGGCTTGATGACTGTGGGCAAGCCTGACTCTGGGCTGGTCTGAAACCTGGAGTGGACCTGGGGCCTGGAGTTGCAGACGCTGGCCTGGAGGCTGGGTTTGTGGGTGCTGGCTTGATGACTATGGCTGAAGGAGCTGACCTGGTGCTGACAGGGTCTAAAATCTGAGGCCATAAGGGCCAGCCCAGTGCGGGAGTCAATGTGGAGTCCTTGGCTGCTGGGGCCAACCTGGAACCTGAGTCTGTTGGGGATGACTGGTTGCCAGGGCAGGCCAAAAGCCTAGGGAATCTGGGGACCAGTCCAGAGCCTGGGGCCTCTATGGTTAGCCTGGCACAAAGGTGGGCTTAGAGACTCAATCCATAGGTACAGTCCAGGAGTCTTGGAAAGTAGGGCGTGCCAGACACTGGGTTTTCCTGGAGCAAGCCCAGTGTTGGGGTCTGAGACAAAGTTCAGTGCTCACTTCCCTCTTTCATACAGAAGTTATCTCTCTCCACATTGCACTGCCTGGGATTGGGGGAGGGATGATATGCGTCACATAAAACTGTCCTTCCTACTGTTCTCTGAGTTTTTTTTCTTATTTCTGTGTTGTTTGCAGCTTCTCTTGTCAGAAGTGTTTGAACCAGAGCAACTCCATCTTGAAGAGGAGCTGGGTAAAATGAGGCTGAGACCTACTGGGCTGCATTCCCATATGGTTAAGGCATTCTAAGTCACAGGATGAGATAGGAGGACGGCACAAGATGCAGGTCATAAAGAACTTGCTAACAAAACAGGTTGCAGTAAAGAAGCCAGCCAAATCCCACCAAAACCAAGATGGTGAAGAGAGTGACCTCTGGTCATCCTCACTGCTACACTCCCACCAGCGCCATAACAGTTTACAAATGCCATGACAATGTCAGGAAGTTACCCTATATGGTCTAAAAAGAGGAGGCATGCCATCTCACACCAGTTAGAATGGCAATCATTAAAAAGTCAGGAAACAACAGGTGCTGGAGAGAGGATGTGGAGAAATAGGAACACTTTTACACTGTTGGTGGGACTGTAAACTAGTTCAACCATTGTGGAAGTCAGTGTGGCGATTCCTCAGGGATCTAGAACTAGAAATACCATTTGACCCAGCCATCCCATTACTGGGTATATACCCAAAGGACTATAAATCATGCTGCTATAAAGACACATGCACACGTATGTTTATTGCGGCACTATTCACAATAGCAAAGACTTGGAACCAATCCAAATGTCCAACAATGATAGACTGGATTAAGAAAATGTGGCACATATACACCATGGAATACTATGCAGCCATAAAAAACGATGAGTTCATGTCCTTTGTAGGGACATGGATGAAATTGGAAATCATCATTCTCAGTAAACTATCACAAGAACAAAAAACCAAACACCGCATATTCTCACTCATAGGTGGGAACTGAACAATGAGAACACATGGACACAGGAAGGTGAACGTCACACTCTGGGGACTGTTGTGGGGTGGGGGGACGGGGGAGGGATAGCTTTAGGAGATATACCTAATGCTAAATGACGAGTTAATGGGTGCAGCACACCAGCATGGCACATGTATACATATGTAACTAACCTGCACATTGTGCACATGTACCCTAAAACTTAAAGTATAATAATAATAAAATTAAATTAAAAAAAAGAGGAGGCATGAATAATCCACCTTTTGTTTAGCATATCATCAAGAAATAACCATAAAAATGGGCAACCAGCAGCCCTCAGGGCTGCTCTACCTATGGAGTAGCCATTCTTGTATTCCTTTGCTTTCTTAATAAACTCACTTTTAGTTTACTCTACAAACTCACCTTGATTTTTTTTTCTTGCACGAGATCCAAGAATCCTCTCATAGGGTCTGGATTGGGACCGCATTCTGGTAACACTCTCACCTTTTTTGCTCTTGTGAATACTTTTGTCTGTGTAGCGTTGTTCAAATCGATGTTTCTGTAGGGAGACGAGTGCTGGGAAGCCTATTCCTTCATATTACTGATGTCTGTCCTGTACACACTATTACTTAGTGTGCTAATGGAACATTTCACTACAGATATTAAAAAACTTTAAATAACTTTTCTATACAGGTGGAAATCAATGATGGTTTCTATTTTTCCAAAAAAGGACAAAGCATGTTGATGCCTGCAGTAAGAACAGGACTTTTTAGTAATAAAATACAATCCCTCAGTTGTACCTTCCCAAAGCAAAGAACTTACAGCTTTCCTTCAGTTGAAAATGAGCAACAGAAGAGATGCTTTGTGTAGAATTTCAAAAAGAGTGTATTATGTTTACTAAATTAAACACTAACTAAAGATAGAGTGGTGGCCTTTTCCCTTCCTCACGTAAGTAAATGAACAATAGATGATGAGGATTCTTAATGTTTCGGAGAAAATTGATGTTATATTTTAAACACTTTATTAAGAAGAGATATTTGTTGTTTGTTCTTGATTCTAGTGTGCATTGAATTTGATAGGATAGCTTTATGTAATTTTGCTATTTAAAGTAAAATTTATTAGGAGCAGAGTGAAAAATGTGTTGAATATTTTTCTGGGGGAAGAAATTGATTTAAAGAATCACAAATTTTCTTTTATCTCTCTATATGCCATTGAGAATCTTTATCATATAAAATTAAACTTTCTATTCTTTGATAAAATAATTTCAAAATTATAATTTATTTAATCGGGGGTTTTGAGGTTGCTTTTGAAAGACATATATATATCTCTATGTCTACATACACACACACACACACACACACACACATATATATATATATCAATGTTTTGAAAGTAAAATAAGTAAATGTTTTCCAAGCTGTGGTATAAGATATGTTAATAATTTCCTTGAAAATGTGTGGGAACAATACATCAAAATTAAAGTATGTCAGAATGTAGAAACAAATATTTTTAATTAGGGTGAAGATGTATTTTAGAACCTGACTGATTTAACTAATTTTATGTTAATACAAATATGTCTAAATTAATTATTTTTAGGTTTTATGGGAATTATATATAAAAAATTCATGTTAAGCTAGCTTTTTGAAATATTTTACTTTATTTCATCATTCCAAATTTTGATAAAGTTAAAATCTTATACATGCCTGTAAGTACACTTCTTGGTATTTATTAGTTTTAAAAATATAAAAAATAATTTGAGCATATTTCTTTTCACATTAAGCACATATCCTTAGTATTTCATATTAGGGTGTATTACATTGTGGTTTCCTTTTAATCTCTATCATTACTGCCTGATATAGAGTGACAGTAAGAAGTAAGAAACATCCACAAATCATTTGCATTTCAAAATATTCAGTTCAGCTGAATTTTTTCATTAGTTATTTATTAATTTACCCAACAAGCATTTACATTACTTTTAAGAACCTCCTATGTGCCTGGCACTGGGTATTTAATGATGAAACAACCTGGTTCCAGAATTCATGGAGCTAATAATATGGCCCACACTTATAAAGTACTGATCAGTTTATACCATGAAGATTATTTACCATTGATTATTATGTATTCAGGGAATCATTTATAACTTCTAAATCTTGTATAACCTTATATTTTTACCTATCATAAGTCATTCACATAATATATCATTTATTCAAAAATTCATTTATCTATTTTTGCAACTATTGATTAGACTTTTTAGCCTATTATCATAAAGCTGTAGGATAAGAGCTGATATACTATAGTGAGTGCTTGATATCATAATTATGCTTTCTATTATGAAAATACATGTTATTTATAGTTTTTAATTCCAGATATTTATCATATATATTACAAACCTTCTGTTGTTAAAATTAATAACCTTTCTGAAATGCATTTTAACATCTCAATCATATTTATTTTGGATGGTCATCTTTAATACATGACTACACTTAAATAGGAACCATATCAGTAGGTTTTATAAACTTGGAGTTTAAGTATTCATTCTATTGTCATTTATTTAATTATTATTTGAATAGATGTTTGTCAGTTATTTGGCTTCAGATTTTATATGATACAAAAATAGTGGTACAGTGTTACTTTGGTGGCTTGCCATGAAGCATACCATCCGGTATTCATACCTTGTTTAGTCTTCTCTTGTTGAGTATGGGTTTAACTGTTAGTTGATTTAATCAATAGCAGAGGTGCACTATGTTTGATTGTGACCTAAACCTTAAGAAAGCCTGACCATTTAGACTTACACATTTTGGGGAAAACTAGCCACTATATATAAAGTCTGACTCCTTTGAGATGGCTAAGGGGAGAGAATCTCAATGCAGTCACGTTTAAAGAGTACTTAAAGAAATACTGAGAATCCTGCATTATAACCCAGCTAAGCTCACCACTGACAAGGGTCAGGTTACCAGTTATCTACTAGAATCACAGCATCACAGTTTCAGTGAAGACAAGAAAGATTACTTTCTGGCAAGTCAGCACACCTAACCAATTCTGGTAACCTTAAAGAAAACAAAATTTACCAGACTTTATAAATATAACAGGTGTAACATGGTGAAGAAATGTCTTTGTTTTGTTTTCTTTGGTTGGGGGGGAATTATTCCTAATGTCAAGATAAAAGAATAATTAATACAGAATGTAAAAAGTCCATTCATGTAATTATACACAATTTCTAGACAGACATTAATTCTCTGACCTCAGGAGTTGTTCAATATGACATGGTTGAAGGAGTTTCTTTGGTTAACATTTCTTGATACATCTATGTAAATGATCAGGCCAAAACATGACAAGATCAGCTCTTTTGGGTAATTAAGGATAATCTTTGGAGTTTCTTTATGATTTAAATGGGCAGGTTGTTAAGTAAAACATTTTTTACAAATATTTAGGCAAAAGATTAATCATATATTTTTAATGCCATATTGGGGTATGGTTTAACAAATTCACTCAAACATTATTTATTTGGTGAAATATATGCTTTGTGTCATATATATTCTTGTTGGTAAATGCATATGCCAGGCAGCTGTTGAATACAGTGGTAAGAGAATAGGCTCTAGAGTCATTTTACCTGTATTCATATCCCAAATATACTTGTATCTGTTTAACTTTTAGTATATCCTACAAGTTAACACTCATTTAGGGAAGATTTTCACATTAACACAACACTCAGTGAAGGCAGAAAAAAATCGATAAAGGGCCCTGTTCTTCGTCAGAAATGTTAACATTTTCTGAGAAACACTATTGCCCCCATTTCAACTCACCAGCTTTCTACTTAGGTCTAATTGTCTATTGCTGGATATATTGCCACACGTAACACAGAGCATCAGTAGGAGATTTGCTAATAGGAGTGACATGATTGGGTTATACCAATTTGTGACCTATTTCCTCAAGTTGGGCTAGTGTCACCCTGAGCAAACTTGTAGTTTTATCTGTAAAAAGGATGTGAACATTTATTGGATAGATAATTAATAGTGTCTGCTTGGCTCCATCCTTTTGTCTACTCAAGATGCATACACGTGTTATATTCCACATGTACAGTGTATGGGAAATGCATTGATTTCAATTCACCTCCTCAATAAACAGTCTTATTCAGTTTTTGCTTGAGTTCCAGTAATTTTAGAGATAATTGATACCATCAAAGTCTATAAGTGGCTCCATGTGTGGCACACTATAGCCATAAAAGCATTCTATCTCCCCTAAACATCTCTACTATATAATTATAGAGATGGAACATGGTAACTGCAGTAAACTCCCCTGTTCAGAATGGGGAATTTAAAAAACATCTAGAAGTACATTTCAAATAGCCTGATAGAAAAGAATTACAAAAACCCAGAGCTATGTCAGTGGTCTTATTTTCTTGATTCTGTCCTCTGAAATTATCTTTCCTGTTTATTATTCTTCATGGCTACAGCTGAGATGGAGTTATTTTAGGGAATATATAACATTCAGAGTCCATTTTATGCTGGTGAAAATTCATGGATCCAGAAAATGCTTTTAAGTGTTGAAGAGTTAAGAGATGTGTCTAACCAGTCTTGTTTTTGTTCTTTGTGTTGTGCTTTATTAATGTTTTTATATTTTTTCCATCAAATTCCTTCCAATACTTTATAACCATAGCCAATGAGTTTGTAGACATAGTTTTGATGCTGAGGTGTTAGTTTTTGTTTTGTTGCTGGTTCAGTTTGGTTATTTTATCTATCATCCTTTGCATTCTGCCTTTCCATTAGTCTTAGCTTAGCTTAATGGACACTGTCTTCAAGTATTTCAAAACAATAACCTTTTGACAGAAGGCAATACAGTTAACTTGACATATGCTGAACAAAAATCTTTTAATGTTAGGTACTTAACCTAATTTTATTTTATATTTATTTTGTTTCTTTATCATAATTTCAGCTTCTATTTTAGATTCAGGGGTACACGTGCAGGTTTGTTACATGGGTATTTTGCATGATGCTGAGGTTTAGAGTATGGTTTATTTCATCACCCATATAGTGAGCATAGCACCTAATAGTTTTTCAACCCTCGCTCTCTTCTCTCCCGCTTCTAGCAGTCCAAGTGTGTATTGTTGCCATCTTTATGTCCCTGAATACCTAACATTAACTCCTACTTATAAGTGACAATATGTGGCATTTGGTTTTCTGATCCTGGATTAATTTGCTTAGGATAAGGACCTCCAGCTGCATCCATGTTGCCGCAAAGGACATGATTTTCTTTCTTTCTATGGCTGCATAGTATTCCATGGTGTATATGTACTACATTTTCTTTATCCACTCCATCACTGTTAGACAACTAGGTTGATTTCACGTCTTTGATATTGTGACTAGATCTGTGATAAACATATGAGCGCATGTTTCTTTTTGGTAGATATATATTGACCCAGCAATCTCATCACTTGGTATATATATATGGTAATTCTGTTTTAAGTCCTTTGGAAATCTCCAATCTGCTTCCCATAGTGGCTGAACTAATTTACATTCCAATCAACAATGTATAGGTACTCCCTTTTCTCCACATCCTCTCCAACATCTGTTGTTTTTTTTTAATTGTTAATGATAGCCATTCTGAAAGCCATTCTGATGGTATCTCATTTGCATTTCTCTGATGATTAGTGATGTTGAGCATTTTTTTCATATGCGTGTTTGCTGCTTGTATGTCTTGAATGTTCCTGTCTTTTGCTCACTTTTAAATGTGGTTGTTTGTTTTTTACTTGTTGTATTGTTTAAGTTCCTTACAGATTCTGGATATTAGTCCTTTGTTGGATGCATGGTTTAAAATAGTTTCTCTTATTCTGCAGGTTATCTGCTTTCTCTGTTGATTATTTTGTTGTGCTAAAACTCTTTAGTTTAATTGAATCCCACTTATCAATTTTTGTTTTAGTTGCCATTGCTTTTGAGGACTTAGTTATAAATTAATTCCCATTATCGATGTCCAGAATGGTGTTTCCTAGGTTTTTTTCTAGGATTCTTACAGTTTGTGGTCTTACATTTAAATCTTTAGTCAAGCTTGAGTCATTTTTTATGTATGGTGAAAGGTAGGGATTCAGTTTTATTCTACTCCATATGGCTAGCCAGCTATCCTAGCACCTTTTATTGAATAGGGAGAACTTTCTCAATCGCTTATTTTTGTCAACTTTGTCAAAGATTAGATATGTAAGTATGTAAGTATGCAGCTTTATTTCTGGGTTCTGTAACCTGTTCCATTGGTCTATATGTCTGTTTTTGTATCAGTACCATACTGTTTTGGCTACTGTAGTCTTACAGTATAGTTTGAAGTTGGGCGATGTCTCCAGCTTTGTTCTTTTTGCTTAGGATTATTTTCTGCTGAGGCATTTACTATGTTCAGCTTGCTTTATAAAATGTGGATTTTTCAACCCTGCAAGGCTATAGGCAGAGATTGACTATTTCATAAGATCTTATTTTCCTTAATCCTTGATTTCAGATTGATCACTTATAACTTACACACTCCAATGTTTTATATTTATTTTTCTTATTATACATTCTAGTACTACATGCTTCTTCAGCCTATATTCTGAGATCCAATGTATAGCAGTAATAGCTTGATGAAATGTTTTGCCACCACATAAAATGAGATACCAACTTTCAGCTGGGGATGGCTATCCATTCACTAACATTGTTTTATTATACATACAGTAAGCTCTACATGTAGGTTTTATAAATTGTACTAATTTCTGATACCAAATTCTATCCTAACTTGCTTGATTACAATTGTTAAGAGGAAGTAATGAAAACATTCACATAAGACTGTCGTGAAGATCAAGTGAAATTATCTGTATATATCACTAAGAGATACTGTAGCATACAGTCATTTATCATTCGTTGGCATATTTAGAAATTTAGAAATATAGTTTCTCAGTTATTTAATGTATATAAGAAAACAAATAGGTTAAATTATTTCTGATATTCAAGTGTTAAGAGCAAATCTCAAAAGGAAGTGTAAAGAAGTTATCAAGACAAACATATATTTAAATTATTTATCTTAAGCACATCTAATATTTGTTTCTTGTTTTAGACCCAATGTACATGGGGCTAGAAAAATGTTGTTTGAGGACAAGTTGTCCTTTCCACTGAACAGCCTGCGTTTGGATATTTTGATTTAGAGTCCAAAGAAATCTAGGCAGTACACATAACTTGATTTATTTTTATTTAAAAATGTACTATTTTTCCCCTTACTCTTTATTTCCAAGCCTCCACCACTCTGCATTGCTGGTTGGTTCCAACTAAATTGAAGGAGAAAAAAACACTAATACATTCACTTTGAGGTGAAGTAATTTAATATTATCCCCCTGTTGCATCAGGCAGCAGTAAAACTAATGAAGAAGGGTCAGGCTTATGTTTTCTAGCTGTTTATTAAACCCATAATAAATCTAGGCCCATAATAAATCTAGGTCCATGCTAAATCATAAAAGCATACGGTATATGAATTTGAAATAATGACAAAATAATATGTAATGTCTATTGGTGAGTGTAATTGCTAACTGGAGTGTATATTCATTTTGTAATATAAGATATACAATAATTCAGTACTTGTCCCCAATAGCCTGCTCCCAGATTGGTAAAGTTATCTCTTTACAGAGGTAAAGGATAAAATGCTGCCTAAATGTAACTATTAATAGCAATTCTGGGAGCTTATCTATGTCAGGAATTCTTTTCTGGTATGAGGAAAGCATTCCATAACAAAGTTAGCAACTTAAAATGGATGGTGGTCAGTGGACTATAATAAGATAAACATAATATCTGGCTTTCTTGAGTAGTAAGGTGAATTCCTACTTTTCACTATATTTCACTGGGTATTCAGAATAATACAAATTATATCAGTATCATAAGAGAGAGTCATCATGTCCAAATTTTAGGAAGTATGCACATTTTTTATCTCCTAGAGTAATAGAGTCTATTTACATTTTTATTGATACATAATAAATGTACATATTTTGGGAGTATATGTGATTTTTTGATGCATTTGTATACTGTGTAAAAATCAAATCAGAGTAATTGAAATACCCTTCACATTAAACATTGATTTTTTCATTATGTTCCTAAGATTCCAAAATAGCTCTACCAGCTATTTTGAAATATAAAACAGATTGTTCTTTATTATTTTCACTCTACTGATTTATCAAACATTAAGTCTTACTTCTTTTATCTAACTATATTTTTGTATACATTAATCAACCTCTTCATCCCTCTCTTCCCGCTATGCTTCTGGACTGTGGCAACACTAATACTATCTATTTTCATGAGATTCACTTTCTTAGCTCACACATTTGAGTGGGAACATGTGATATTTGTCTTTCTATTCTTGTCTTATTTCATTTAACATAATGACCTTCAGTTCTATTTACATTTTGGATGTTTGAGGGCTAATAACTTTTAAGCCTCAACTCTTACTGTTCCTCTTCTGCTTCAGATCAGGGCAAGCTGAGCAGAAAGTTTGAGTTTTTCCTTTGCTGGTGTTTGGGAAGCTCAAAACTTGCAACCCCTTACCCCATGCCACCCTCAATGCATGTGGGACCCTCACACAAGTCAAGACAGACTCCTTTCTCTGCTTTCTTAAGAAGTTTCAGATCTGCTTGGGAGCTTCCACATTCTCTCCAGAGAACCTGGTTGTGTAATACATTTCTTCATATCCTTTTGGTGTGTATGAGGCATCATCAGTCTCAACAACCAAGACAAGTTTTGCTAAGCTTATCTTAGCAAGAGTTTCCAAAGGATGGCACTAATTAGATCAAAATAAACATTTTTTTGCTCCATAGATATTTTGAATATCTATGTATTCAAAATATGTATACCAGAGTTGATAACAGAGAACATAAAGAAACACAAAAACAAAACAGTTCTTAAAAACACATATCTCTTGAAAATAATTTTTCAAATCATTTTTAGAAACCTATCTTCATTTTACATATAAAAATGAGTGTTTATTGAAGTAAAGTGTTTGCAGACATAATTAAGGGAAGTGCTAGACTGGTTTTCAGTTTACTTGCTACTGTGAAAATGTGACTGAATCCAGAAAAAAAGTATTTCCTCAGCCTAACCTTACAAGGAAACAGCTTTATAATTGAGGTCTAGATGCACAAATAGATTAGAGTCAATGGAAAAAAAATGAAAACAAAATCACTTTTAGGTTTTAGAGAGCTAAGATATAAGTTCATTTGATATTTCAAAGTGGTAATTATGAAATCAGTTTTACACACAGTTTTAGTTTGGTGTTTTAAAATTAGAATACAGAAAGATAAGAGTATAAACCTACCTTTTATATGCTTGTGTATGTATTTTTAAAATTTGTGCTGAATAACTAGAAAAAGAACTTTTCATATATATTTAAATTATTCAAAGACTGTTACAACAAAATTATGCCTTGTTACTGTAAGCTGACTCAGAGCTATGGCTGTAGGTGTTATGGTCATAGTGTAATTGTGCTCCCAAACACTAAAGCCAAATGTGTGGTTTCTTTTATAAACAGATTCTATATTATGCAAGAGTTTATTATTAGAAAACTGGATAAACTTAATTAAGTTATAAAGCATTCACTGTGGAGGAAACAACTTTTCATTTGCATATACTATGGTATATTTCATATTATATATTATACCATATTTTCTATATATATTCTCTATTTTTGTTAAGTGTCTTAATACTTGTATATATTAATATATAGTCAACCCTCAGTATCCATGGGTTTTGCATTTGTAGATTCAACCAACCAGAGATTGAGAATATTCACAAAAAAATTGTACTATGGTGAACACGTACAGACCTTTTTCATCATTATTCTCTAAACAGTACATTATAACCATTATTTACATAGCATTTACACCGTATTAGGTATTGCAAGTAATCTAGAGATGACTTAAAGTATAGGAGAGGCTGTGCATAGGTTATATGCAAATACTAAACAATTTTATATTACAGATCTGAGTACCTGCAAATTTTCATATCCGCATGAGGCCTTGGAACAAATCCCCCACAGATACCTAGGGAAGACAGTATATGGGCAAATGATTACACAAGTACACTGAGGGGCTGCTGTAACACTACTATGGACTACTTTAATAATGATCCTTCACTGTGGTATTTCAATCATTTGACCAGAAGCAGATAGATCAGTGGTTTTCTGGAAAACATCATAAATTTGGATCTAGGGTCATCTCCCAAAGCAGTAAAGTTGCTTGGAATTCAAATGTTTTATATTTGACATCAATAAAAATGTAAAATTTAGTCATAAAATGTCTGTTTGTTCTGACGTAAAGTATTCATTTTAATCATTAACAGCCACTGGGGATTCTTTTACCTTTTGTTCTCGTGGTTAATAACTGAGAAAGTTGTCACTTTTCCGAATCCAAGCTGCATTCAGAAATAACTGCTGCTAAATATTACAGTCAGTGTTCCTTCTGATTTTAAGCAATATCAATTTACCCTTCGTTTCCTTTACACATTAAGAAGTTAGTACCCCCTTAATTTTGTTTATATCCTGTCCTTCACCTCTCATCTTAAAATACTATTCGATGTGTTATTAAATTTGAATACAAGTCAAGACCTATAAGTGAGTTTTTACACCTGTAATTTTATATTATTTCAATATTTTGATGCCAATACTTAATAATAAATGAAAATTATATTTTGAAAATTGCAAATTAATGGACTGATTTTATAACTACTTGATTATATAAATATTAATCCCAGAATAATCAAAATATATATTAGGATATATGTAAAAAGAAATGTGCTACAGTCTATGCCACTAAAAACAGGATGTTACATAGGATATAGAGAAATAATTTAGCAGGATGTAAGGAAGGATAAGTAGACTACAATATGTTTTCTTGTTTTGATACACTTTGCTCACTCACATTATCCAACTTTTAACTTACTTATGAAAAATATATTTCCTCTTTTGTTATATTTTTCTTTCAGCTTACGAACTTTTTATACTGATTTGAACTTTGTCATCTAGTCCCACAGAACAATTTATTCCTTTACATTACTTTTTTTAGATTGATCCATTAGTCTTTGTCTCTGTTTAGTCTCGTTTTTTGGGGGACAAGGACTTTTTTAGGTTTTTAAGGTCTATCATCAACTAATTCATAAAAATATATGTGTGAGAAAAATATTTGAGTCCTTGCCTGCCTAAATGTGACTCTATCTTCTGACTATGCTTGATTGGTATGTTTCTAGAACAAGAAATTCTATGTTCAAAACTCTTTTCTCTTAGATCATTGAAGACATTGCTTGATTTACTTTCAGAGATTGTGATGACAATCTGATGTTAATGTGGTGTATGTTCCTTTTTAATGAACAAAACACACTCTCAGAATAATTTTCATGGATTTCTCTTTAGCCCTCATACTCAAAAATTTCAGGTAAACGTGTCTAGTTAGAACATAACACCCATATTCTCCAACATGTTTATTTATTTTTTTTGAGACTCCAACATGTTATATGACACTTGTATTCTCTAAAATGTGAATGGCTCTGACTTTCTTAAATTATAAAATTTTCTTAATATTTTAATTATTTTCTTCTTTCTATGCTTTTTGTCTCTTATTTTTCTTTCTTAAATGCCTATTTGCTGTATGTCAATATTCTTAAGATTATCTACTTGGACATAATAACCTTCCTCTTGTATTTCCAGTTACTTCCTCTTTTAAAAAAATTTATCACAGGAAAATTAAAAATGCCACAATTTCCTTTAGTTTTTATTTTTTGTTGTTTTATTTCAACAATGTATTATAAATTTTACAAAGTTTTTTTTGCTATTTATTTTTTCCGTAATTGATATTTACTGAAAATTTTCTTTACATCCTATAGCTATTTATTCTTGCCTCTACTCATGATTATTTATGAAAAAAATCAGAGGTTGGTTTTTAGTGACAGGTCTTCTCTGCTTTCACTAACGTCACTTTCGAGTGATAATTTATTGCAGTTTTTAATATGAAGTTTCTGTATTTTGGGCTGAAATTTTTAACTTTATGTTGAATAGATGAGAAGTAAGGAGACAGGCTCCTCTCTCACATCCCAATCCCAAGTCAGCTACAGCCAAACATAGAGCATCTTTGGTGGTGCCACTTTTCCGCGTGGCAGCACTAATCCCTCCAAGAAAGATTACATGAAATATTCTTTTTTGTTTTCAGATAGGGATATATGTCACTGAACAAGTAGTGATGAAGAAAGCAGTATAAGAATGGCCAAATAACGCAGATACTTTGAAGACTTGTTTTTTTCAATTACTTTATTTTCTGACCCTACTTTCTCTGAAATTCTCAGTAACTAAGCAACAAGGGCTCTGCAATAAGCCACGACTCACTATGAAAAATGTGTCTGTGTGTTTCTTAGCTATGACTCTTTCATATCGGTGGTATCTGCCTGGAATATCAGTATGATTCCAGCTGCCTTTACTGAGAGTTTCATTAAAATAGTTAGTTCATAGAGACTCCTGTTCTCCATCAACAGTATTTTTGCAAATAAATTTGCCTTTCTAATTCTGTACTTTCATTTCAATGGCTTATTGGAGGGGAAATAAACCATGTATGCTCATCTCACCATCTTCAAACAGATGTCCCCATTTTTAAGGCAGCACATATTCAAAATAGATATTTTCCTCTTATAAATATTTTGGAAAATCTGAAAGGGAATATTATGTTATTATGTTATTCTGTGCATATACTTATTCCTGGTACTTTGATATGTTTCTTTGGGATTATAATAATCCCAGTATTTTTTATTATTCTCAGAGATTTTAATATTTGCTTTTGGGTTTTAGATAATAGTTATTTAAAAACTCCTCTTGCTCCCTTAAAGACCCACTGCATTTCATAATCCTTATCTTTATTTCCATTATGTAATTCTTTATATATATGTATATATACATGTATATATGTATATATATGTATATATATGTGTATATATATGTATATATATGTATATATATGTATATATGTGTATATATATGTATATATGTGTATATATATGTATATATGTGTATATATATGTATATATATGTATATATATGTATACACACACACACACACATATATATATAGTGAGAATAGTTAAGGCTTCTTGTTTCATAGTACTCTTTATCATTATGTAATGCTCTTCATTTTTCTTAATTTTTATTGGTTTAAAGGCTATTTTATCTGATATAAGAATAGACACTTCTGGTCTTTTTTGTTTTCCATTTGCATGGTAGGTATTTGTTTCTTTATCCTTTTCACTTAGAGCCTGTGGGTGTCCTTACACGCGAATGGGTCTCTTGAAGACAACAGATGGTTGAGTCTTATCTTTTATTTAATCTGCCACTGTGTGTCTTTTAAGTGGGGTGTTTAGCCCATTTACATTCAAGAATAGTATTGATACATGTGGATCATTATGTTGTCAACTGGTGACTACATAGACTTGATTGTTTAGTTGCTTAATAGTGCCTTTGGGTTATGTGCTTAAGTCCTTTTGCTGTAGTAGGTATCAATCTTTGAATCCATGTTTAGCACTCCCTTAAGTTCCTCTTGTAATGCTGGTCTAGTTGAAATGATTTTTCCTTCAGCAGTTGCTTATATGAGGATGATGTTATTTCTCTTTCATTGAAAGTACCAAAGCTATTTTGGCAGGATATAAAATTTTGTGTTAAAATGTCTTTGCTTTAAGGACACTGAAAAAATGCCCCCAATCTATTCTGGTTTGTAAAGTTTCTGCTGAGAGGCCTGCTGTTATCCTGATGGGGTTCCATCTGACCTGCTCTTCTCCTTTAGCTGACTTTAAGATGTTTTTTCTTTTGGATTGACCTTGGAGAATTTGATGACTATTTGCCTTAGGAAGGTCACCTTGTATAATAAATCTGGCTAGAGTTGTCTGTATTTCTTAGATTGCCATGTTGACCTCTCTAGTGATATTAGAAAAATTTTCATGGACTATATCCTCAAATATATTTTTCAAGTTGCATGTTCTCTCTCATTCTCTCACAGGAATGCAAATGAGTCATAGATTCGGTCTCTTTACATAATTTCACATTTATTGGAGGTTTTGTTCATTTTTCTTAATTATTTTTCTTTATTTTTGTCTGACTATGTTGATTCAAAGAGCCCATATTTGATCTCTGAGATTTCTTCAGCTTTGTCTATTCTTCTGTTAAAACTTCGGAATGTATTTTGAAATCTTGTAGTGAATTTTTCAGCTGAGCAGATTCAGTTTGGGTCTTTCTTAATATGGCTATTTCATCTGTCAGCTCTTGAATCATTTAACCTGATTGTTTGGCTTCCTTGGATTGAGTTTCAACTTGCTCTCTATCTCAATGAACTTTCTTGCCATCCAGATTCTGAATTCTGTGTCTGTCATCCCAGGAAGCTCAGACTAGTAAGCACCATTGCTGGGGAGCTAGAGGGCTCATTTGGAGGTAAGGGAACACTCTGGCTTTTTGAATTAACAGGGTTCTTGCATGGATTCTCTTTCACCTGGGAGGGCTGGTATTTCTTTAACTGTGGTGAAAATTGATAGTGATTTGGCTTTGTTTCTGGAAGTTTTCAGAGGGCTAATACTCTGTACAGGGTTTTTGTTTGTTGTTGGATTCTTGCCCTTGGTTTCACAGCAGGGAAAATTAGCAACATGATTATTGGTGTTGCGGTTTGGGCTGCAATCCAGTAGATAGTATTTCAGAGCAGTGAGCAGTACATAGGCTCTTACTCAGCCATGCAGTTCATTTGTATATCCTTGTGTTTGCAGTTATGTTGTGTGATGTGATGGGAAAGGGGTGACTCCCTCACCAGGTCAGCTCATGGGCCTTAGGGGAGCTATCTCCAATCACTGGTACTGTGCCCATGATTTTTATCTTTGTTGTTGTTGTTATTAGGTCTTTCCAGCCTCAGGCCTCTCTTGGGGGGAGGTCTGGTAAGAAGAAAAGCCATACCCTCACCAGATCAGCCCTTTTCAGAGAGGCATCCCTAGACCCCACGCCAGCCCATAAAACTCTCAGTTTTCTGAGGGTGTAGGCTGCTCTCCTATTGGAGTGTCAAGCATTGATCTCCACTCAACACTCCTGAGCCTCTGGATGCAGCCCCGGGGTGCCAGGACCTGCCAGTGGTTCATCCTCCAGATGTTACGATTGTGTTCTGGGTGTGGTGGGGGATCCAAAGGGCTCTCAGATTGTAGGACTGCACTCAGATGGAGCAGACTACACAGCTGGGCAGTGAAGATTGCACTGTGTACATGCTCCTATGGGGTGGCCTGGCAGGGTCCCGAGGAAGGACTGGCGGGCAAGGGAACCTGTAGGACAAATGTGTCCCAGTCTTGTGGGGAAGTGGACCCTGCTATCTCCCCAGTATTTAGCTGGGACCTCAGCCTGTCAGAGAGAAATAGGCAGCCCTGAGCGTTGGGGTCTTATGACCAGGCTCTGTGGGAGCTGACACAGCTGGCACCGCCCTCCCCAACCCCTGAAAAGTTCCTGGCTCTGTGCCCACTGCAGTTCCGTCTTTAATCTCCAAGGAGATCCCCCTGGCAGCTCATACATCTGTGAGGGTGTGTGTTCCCCTGCAGCTAGGATCTCAAAGGTCTATAGCATTCAGCCACCCCAATCCGGCCTCACAGCTTCCCCAATCCGGCTTCCCAGCTTCCCCCCTCTTCAGCCTCAGAATCTGAGTCTTTTCTCCAGACATATTTGGTGTTTTCTCTCTGGAGATCTGCTCAAATTATGTTGATGTAGTTGAAATCATGGTCTCTCCCTATGGGAGCAGCATTTCGGGCTGCATCTAGTTGGCCATCTTGCCCATATCCCAGTTTTTTTGTGTTGTTTTGTTTTGTTTTTATTCCTTAACTTCCTTTTGAGAACAGTTTCAGATTTACAGAAAAGAATGTGAAGATAGCACAAAATTTCCATACCTAGCTTATCCTATTTCTAACATCTTACATTGGTATGATACATTTGCTATATTTAATGAACCAATATTGGTATATTATTATTAATGAAATTCCATAACTTATTCAGTTTTGTTAGTTTTTAACCAATCTCTTTTTGTGTTCCAGAATAACATCCATGATACCACACTACATTAACCAAACAATCCTTAGGCCAGTTTCTCAGAATTCCTTGCTTTTGATGAGCTTGACCCTTTTGAGGAGTGCTGATGAGGTGTTTTGTAGAATGACCCTCAGTGATGATTTGCATGATGCTTTTCTCATGATTAGGCTAGGATTATGGATTTAAGAAATATCTCAATTTTAAAATCACATATCTATGCTAGTTTCTAACTTATTTTTTCTCTTCTGTATTTACAGTCTACTTGTATTAATACAAATTAGAAACTTCTTTGTATTTAAGGCTTTCTTTAATAATCTTTCAACACTTCTAATTTTTTTATTTCTAAATTACATAGTTTCTTACTTGAATACCATTTTAAGAAAATTATATTTTTATTAAAATTTACTCTGTAGTAATTTTTGATTGCTGAAACTATATAGATACTGTAACTGCTGAAGATTCAATTTGTCCCACTCCTACTCTTGCAAAATGCTCTCTCTCTCTTTCTGTCTCTCTATGTATATATACACACACACACATATATACATATTTACACCTATATCTATACATATATACACACATATATCTATATCAGTACACACACACATACACACACACACACACACACACACATATATATATATTTTCCCACTAGGAAAGGTCTATTTTAGATTAACTTTGAAGTTATTTATAGAACTTCTAGCTTTAAGTGGAGAAAAAAATGGTTTCCATGTTTAGTGCTATTGAGGAGTCCATTGTTCATGGACTATTCCTCACAACTGTTTCCAAACTTCTATGTTTAAATCCCTTCCAATTACTGCACCTGTTTCTGACTTTCACTGTTCTCTCAAAATAATATATTTATATATTTTTAATGCATCATTTTTAATTATACAAATTTGCACACCTATTTCTGGAAAAACATTTTGGAATATATGGATACTTTAGAAAAAGTAAAAATTACTTCAGCAACCAGAAATATAAACTGAAAACATATTTAAAAATTCACATAGGTAGAAGACATACTCATACCTCATGTATCTATAGATACAAATATATTCAAACTTAAACATGCATATATATAATTAGAGTCATTTTCAATATTAATTTAAATCCTTATCACATAACATTATTATTTCATGTTTAATTTTCTTGAATATATTTCTTAACATAATTTTTAAATAACTGTATAATATGCTATTGTAGAGATGGACTACTTTGTAGAACATTTCCATATTAAACACATTTGGGTATTTAAAATCATACCATCAATAACATTTTATTACTTAACTATTTAAATTATATTCCCAGAAACAAGGTTAACTTTTCAAAGTGAATAAACATTTTAAAAACTTAAACTAACTGCATTTGGCAAAAATTATACAAATTTATCTTACCATCATAATTGTTCTACTCCTTTTATCTCTTTTTCCATCCCTATTTTTAGAATAATTATTTCTGAATACAGATATCCTCTAGCATCTTTATCTTAAAAATAATTTCTTCACCTTAAATAAACTTTTGTCTACTGACTCATTTATCTGCTCTTTCCTTCTTTCTTTTTCTTTATTTTGCTCTCTCATAAAGATAGAATAATAAAATATTGGCTACACCTCATATTTCTGAAAAAAATCTTATCGAACTGTGGTTCTGCTTCTACAGTGCATCCAGAGATTTCTTATTCAGGTCAATATGGGTGTTCAGGTTGCTAAATACAAAGATGACTTTTGTATTCTTCTTTGATTTCTCTGCAGCATTTGACCTATCTGATTACTACCTTTTTTGAGATTCTTTCTTACCTTGTTTTATATGACCCTACACAACTCTCAGCTACCACTTACCCAGTATCTGGCAGTCGCTTTTATCTGCTATTCCTCCCCTTTTGACTTCTTACTGGCAATCTAGTTCTAGGCAACTCATAGAAAACGAATCCAAGAGGTCCCTATTGAATCTGTTCTTTCTGAGTCTTCTGGATCTCAGCATGTGATACTCAGTATTATATGTCACATTGGCTTATGCTAGAACTTAATGTCTCTAAGATTCCTTGCACTGGTTTCCTCTCCCCTTACACTGGATTTCAACAGCACCTGTTGGCTCTGCCTTCACCCAAATCTGTTTACTTCACTCTATCTTTATTGTTCCCATCCTACGTAAGCCAGTATTACTGGTTTCCTTCCTTCTAACCTTAAATATAGTTAGGTCATATCCCTTTCATTTTCAAAACTCTTCATCACATTTAAGTAAAAGCTAACAGGACCTACAAAATTCCCATTTTTCTATAACCCTCTTTCATGCTGGTTTCACACTGGCCTCATTTCTGGGGATGCTTAAATTGACCCTTGCTTAGATTCTGTGTTGTAGTTCTAGTTATTTCCTGTGCTTAGGAAAAATAAAAAATAAAAATACACAACCAAAACAAAAGAACAACCAAAAGAAACAAACAAAAACCCTACTTTCCTCAGTTATTTGCAAGGCTGGCTTTTTGTCATTAACAAAAAGCTAAAAGCTTTCGTCAGAGAAGCTATCACCAAGTACTCAATCAAAATACTTCCTTCCAATGTAGTCATTCTCAAGCATATCACTCTGTTTAATTTTCTTCATCGAATTTATTTATTCCTGAATTTATTTTATTCCTCATTTATTTAGGTGCTTGTTTTCTGTAGCCTTTCACTAGAAGACAGACTCTATGAATGCATGTATTTTGTTATGGTTATATAATATATATAGCTCAAACATTTCAAAGTAATGTTAGATAGCATGTGCTGAATACATATTGAGAAATAAATGAACCACTGTCTCTTTATGTTTTGTGCATTTTTAATAAACTTTTATAGAAAAATATTGTACCTTATTTATTTATTTTTATTTTTTTGAGACAACATCTCACCATGTTACCCAGGATGGAGTACAGTGGAATGATCATGGCTCACTGCAGCCTCAAATTCCTGGGATCAGGTTATCCTCCAACCTCAGCTTCCCAAGTAGCTAGGACTACAAGTGCATGCCACCACATCCAGCAAATTTTTATATTTTTTTGTAGAGACAGTGTTTTGTCAGGTTACACAGGCTGATCTTGAACTCCTAGGCTCAAGCAATCTGCCTGTCTCTGCCTCCAAAAGTGCTGGGATTACAGGCATGAGCTACCGTGCCCAGCCTGTGCTTCATTTAATTTGCATTTTTGTTACTAGTGTGCTTGAAAGGTTTTCTTTTTTTGGTGTATTTGTGTATGTGTGTGTCTGTGTGTGTGTGTGTGTGTGTGATTGTGATAGAGAGAGAGAGAGAGAGAATTAATGTTTTAGGTTTTTGTTTTTGTCTTTTACATTTTTCTTAGTGAGAAATCCTCATAAATCGGGTGGGTAGAAATATAGATTAAAAAATATATTTTAGACCATCCCTCACTCTACATATCACATAGTTTTTCTTTACCATAAATACAACTTTGATCATTGATAAAATGTACTTTTGGTAAATAAAAGCGAGAGGTTTTTTGAGTTATTAGCACCTAAATATATGAATTAGCTCAAATTGTCTTGCCTGGTATACAAAAGCGATATGCTATTATGATACTAAAATATTAACTTAGATAGTTTTCAGCATGGCCCTGAACACCTCTCTCCATCATGGAAGTACCAGGATGAAAAGAAAGACAGTTACTGCTCAATTAAATGAGTCAAAATCTGAGACAATTTACTCTTAACTAGAAAATGAGAGCTACTATGAAAGCTAATTAAAGAAAAGAGATTGATAAATATTAAGCATCAGAGAGGGTTGAAATCAAGAAAGTAAAATTCTAAGTTCAAGGATTCGACTTTGCTACTGATTTTTGGTTATCTTAGTTTGCTATACCAATTCACACTCTAGTGAGTCTGAGTCAGATTGACTTTTCAATTGCTCTGAAATATCCACTCTCCACACTAGGGGAGATATGACTATGTTAACATTGCTCAAAGACCAGCATGAACATTGAAAGACATATCGTTTTTTAAATTATGAATATTATTCTTGTTTAATATCTGTGGCATTAAAATGATAACAGCAGTATTTTAATTATGTTATGATGCTAGATGGTAAAATCATAGCTTTCCAATGATATGCTCCACATGACTTAACATTAAAAAATTCAGTTCCAAATATCCTCATAAGAGAGATATTTATGTTCTACAGTTTTTTGCAGATTTACCAGAAAGCATGCCATTCATAAAGTGCAAAGGTGCTTGGATGTTTCCCACAGCTAAGGAGCCCTCTAAAAATAGATTTTCTCTTATTACCATACACATTTTAGAATAGAGATTCAATGGTAAAACCTGTTCCTCCTTTATCAACTTCTACCTTTTTTAATCTAAAATATCTGCTATACTGTAAACATAAAACTGTTATAACCCACACAAAGATAAAGCAACTTTTAAGTGTTGAAATAAAGCAGATAGAGTTCAGCAAATTAACAATTTTGACATAATATGTAATGTTTCCCTTTGGTTCATAGGAGTTGATTTTATACGTACATTTATGTGTATAAAATCATTTACATATTATATTATGTGTGTTATATATCATATATATGATATGGAAGGGAATTGCTGGAAAGGGAAGGGTGTGGTCCCTTTAAATGATCGGAAGCGGGGAAGGGAAGTGCTGGGTAGAGGAGGGCCTGGTCCCTGGCTAGGTCTCCAGCCCCAGGGACCTAGGTGAGGTCAGGCATTTCCTGCACAAATGTTGCATTTCCCAAGACCACCCTGGCCTGCCATGCCCCCATCCTCTGCCTATACAAACCCCCAAGACCGTAACAGGCAAGCACACAGGTGCCCGGATGTGGAGAGGAGCACATCAGCGGAGGAACACACGTGCGACTGGACGTATGAGGAACGCACTGCCATAGGAGTACACTGGCCATGGCTGGAGGAACAGCGCAGAGTTTGGCCAGGGCGATCGGAGGAGAACCCGGGGCGCTGAGTGGCCTGACACCAGCGGAGGACCATCTCGCTTCTTGCTCCCCCATCTACTGAGAGCTACTTCTACTCAATAAAACCTTGCACTCATTCTCCAAGCCCAAGTGTGATCTGATTCTCCCGGTACACCAAGGCGAGAACCCGGGATACAGAAAGCCCTCTGTCCTTGCGATAAGGGAGAAGGTCTAATTGTGCTGGTTAACACAAGCCGCCTATAGATGGCAAAACGAAAACAGCACCCTGTAACACACGCCACTGGGGCTTCAGGAGCTGTAAACATTCACCGCTAGTTACGGCTGTGGGGTCGGAGTCCCACGGCCTGCCTGTCTGCATGCTCCCCTAGAACTCCGAGCAGCGGGCCACTGAAGAAGCGAGTCCTACCCCCATCACACGCCCTGCGAGGGGGACAAGAGAACTTTTCCCGTTTCATATATAATTGTATATAAAAGTTAAGTTTATATGTCTATCTGTATCAACTCATATGATCCAAGCATAAGCATTACATATATATCTATTTGTATATAAAAGATCACACACATATATATACATACACACACATACACAAACATATATGTATACATGTAGTATGTGTTTCTTAACCTTACATTAAGGTTATACCTTAGTATACTTTGTATACCACAATATAAACCTTATGCTTTAGTGTAAGGTTTCTTAACCTTATTCTAAAGATTGTATGTATGTGCATTTATTTATTTGAGAATATTTTACATAACATTCTTAATGTTCTCCAGAGAATTCATTTGCACATTCAAATGCTAATGATAAGAATCATATTTTAAAAATTTCTGACCAGACACAAACAATTCGGATTTATTGGTCATTTCTATGGGCATTTATCTGTGCTGAGTTGACCTTAATTCTAAAAAAGAATATAAAAATAAACAGAGAAAGTTATGTTTTCTCATGGGCGTTGCCACTAACTTAAATTTAATCCACTCTTAATGATAATAAAAATATGACAATAAAGATATTAGCTACCATGTATTGAATCTCTACCATGTGTCAAGCATTGTAGCTTGTGCTACAGTCTTAGGAGTTAAGTTTATGTAACTTCTCTTAGAAATGTGAAAACTCAAACAAGTTAGATACCTTTCACAAGTTTATGTTTCATAACACGGTCAGAGTATTTAACTTTTAATTTTAGTAAGTAGGGTAGAATGAATCCTAGTGTTAAATCAAGGCCAATTTGCTGTCAGATATTTTATATTGAACTAAACTTATCTTGCTGCTCCTAAATAAGGACACCTACAACATGCATGATGGGTGTAGTTTATGAGGATCTTAAATATTGTATAGTCTAATATTATAGTAGAAAAATAACAATACGAATACCTTAATTCACATTCAGTGTAACAATGTTCAGTCTGGAAAGCCCTACTTGGTTCCACAGACCAGGTAGAGAGCCTCAACTCTGTTTCCTTGCAATTTGCAGAAATCATTATCATAAACTTCACAGAATGTATAGAAACTATGAAGTATCTCTTTCCTCTAATAGACTGTGAGCTTGCATTATAGCAGGGAGTTTATTACATTCATTTTCCTAATACCTCTGAACATTCTAATGTCTAATACATAATAGAATTTCAATTATTAGTGTTTAATTAATGTATTAATAGACATTAAATGCTTTAATTTTTGTATTTCTCATACATATTAAAGAATTCATTTGCTAAGTGGACATATTATCCCATGAAAAATTTGAAGCAATATTTCTGCATAAACATTTGGAAATGCCAGTGATAAAAAAGAAAACATAACCAAGGAAGAAAATTCAGATATTTACAAGTGCATTTATTTGCTTAATGGGAAGCCAGCATTTAAGGTCTGACACTTTTAGTTTCTTAAATTAAGTATTCGCCTATTCTGTCTATTTGTTATTTAAACATTTTTTTAATGTAACATTCAACAAGTACTGTTTTGCACTTGTTTTATTCCTCAGTTATTATTAAGGCATAAACATTAATAATAATAACAGAATATAGCATTTATATGATGCTTATAACAGCCTCATTTTAAGTGCTTTACATATAATCCTCACAATATTCTAAATGCTTTATAAATATTATTCCCAACAACACTGTGTTATAAGTACTATTATTATCTTTAATTTAGAGAATGGGAAAATGACAGAATTTTAAAGTGTCTGCCCCAAATTATGCTTCTAATAAATATCAGAGCTGAGATTTAAACCTGAGCAGAACGAATTTAGCTTCCATGCCCTTAAACAATAAGCCACATTGCTTTTGCTTATGTAAGAAAATCTTATTTCATTCAAAGGGTTTTACTTAATTCCCTCTTTATTATTTCAGATGGGCACATGTTTTCTTATGCTTTAAAATTCAGTCTTTAAAGAAATGTAACTAAATATCTTTTGTCAGTTCTAATCATATAAATACAAGAGTTAATTGTATTAACTTATGACATTAAAAAACTGTTATTACATAAAAATTTATTTTTTCCCAGAAGACTCTAGTGAAACATTTATTATCTAAGATTTAAAGTGCTATTATTGATCTACTTTATAGGGGAGAGTTAATCAGTTTTTATAACTTGGATTGAAATGAATTTTATAGTCTGATTTTACTCGTTATAAATAAACATCAGATTTTAAAATTTCTTAATACAGAATTAATTCTAAAACTTTTTTGTTCATGCCTATTTCTCTTCTTTCTTTCCTTCTTTATGTCTACTGTTGTCATTTAATCAGAAATAATGAAGAGATATTGGGTCAATTTGAACTGGGAAGCTATTCTGAATGGATTCAGCCTGAAATGTCTCTCGAGTGTTCAGAGCAATGAACCAATGTCCTAACAATCCTTATTGCACTTTATTGGTTCTATACTCTTCACACTTTCCTAAGCAAAATTGCTTTTCCAATTGGTTCCTTAAAAGATTTAAATTTTCATTTATATATTGGCATTTGCACAATGCTACCTAGAAAAATGTTTACTGATTATAACATAGTTTACTTGTTTAGCTCCAACAGACTTAAAGTGCTGCTTTTTATGAGAACTGAATTGTCCTTCAAATTCAGTATTTATATCATTGAACTTCAGAAAAATTGCAATGAGTAAAGTGAAGAACTGAAAAAACAGAAAACAAGTCAGTAATAAGATGGAAAGCTGAATTTTTTTCTTTGATGAAGAGTATCGCAGCTCAGTTCTGCTCCTTTTATTCTCAGTCATTATTTTTCTATTCCACACCCTTCAGTGGTTTCAACATTTGTACATATTAAAGTTATATTAAAGTCCAAGTATCTCACTATATATATAGTCAAGTATTTGAGAAACAGATGCTGAGACAAAGATTCATGTGCAAGTAACTTGGTGAGAAAGTAATATCAAAAGAAATTGATAGGGAAATGGAGGAAGCAAAGGAGAGAAAGAGAAGTCAAGTGAAGATGCAATTTCTTTTTTTTTTTTTTTTTTTTTTTGAGACGGAGTCTGGCTCTGTCACCAGACTGGAGTGCAGTGGCGTGATCTCGGCTCACTGCAAACTCCACTTCCCGGGTTTAAGCGATTCTTCTGCCTCAGCCTCCCCAGTAGATGGGACTACAGGTGCCCGCCACCACGCCCACTAATTTTTGTACTTTTAGTAGAGACAGGGTTTCACCATGTTGGCCAGGATGGTCTTGATCTCTTGACCTCGTGATCCGCCTGCCTCAGCCTCCCAACGTTTTGGGATTACAGGTGTGAGCCACTGCTCCCAGCCGAGGAGGATGCAATTTCAATCAAAAACCTTTATCACAGCTTGATCACATGAAACTCTGTAACATAAAGTATACCTCGGTGTTTGTCCTCCCTGTAGGCAAGCGTGCTGGACTTGTGGGGTGGGTGCTGAGAATCACTGTGAATAACACACAGGATCAGTTGTCAATTAGATGCACACTAATGAGAGATCTTACCCAGTTTAAAGCTTTAGTAGTAATGTTAATGATACAGAACATCAAGAGGCCTCAACCAAGCAGAAAGAAGTCTGGGATATTGTCAACAGCTCCCCTTGATACCTATAAGGCATTCACCTCTGGTCTAGAATAATAGGTATTTAAGTGAGGTTTCTGGAGTTACCTCACATAGTAAAATAAATATTTAAATGACAAGAAAAACTAATGTTATACCTCAGAAAGGCTAGTACCTTATGTGATATCCATCAGGAAGCTATGCCCTATTGATTATGGGTTAATTTACCATGAATGGCATTTTATCTGAGGTCATTCAATAGATAAGCTCTCTTTATCCTAGGAAATACCTTTAGCTTATTTACCTGGAAGGCTAGTTGACATGAAAGTAGATTAGGTCACCTGCTTTTGTTCCTTTACCTCAGGATAGCCCAGAGTGAGTGAATCATAGACCAATTGGTTTAGCATCTTCCTTCCAAGGTAAAAGAGATTTAAAGAGATCTAGACAGAGAATTGATAGTAACTAGTGCGTGGAACATCATAACCAGACCCCAATCTACATTCCAGACTCCTTCCAATGCCTGACCTGTACATTATACTCCAACTCTAACAAACTAATCGAATTTCTTTAAATAAAATTTGCAGATCTTATTTCTTTCCTCTTGAGTGTTTTTTCTTAAGTAGTGTTGTATGGGAGAACTGCAGATCTCAATGCTAATATGATTTCCATTGTGGAGTCCTCTTCAGACTCACAGGAACCAGATGGTCATCCTTCTCTGTATTACCACTTTGTATTATTTTTAGTATAGCATCTATCATAATTGTGTTAGAATATGATAGATGCTATACTAAAAATAATGTAGAGTGGTGATACACCTAAGCAAATACTTAGATGAAAATAATTTGAGTATATAAAGTTTTTTTGGATCACTGATTTAGATTCTGAACATTTTCCTAAGACACATAATGCATTTTATTTCTATAAAGAATATGGCACCAAAAATCCCTGAATCTCAATCAAGGGCTGAACACTCTGCTAAAAAGATATTAGTTTATTGACAATAGACTATTTGATTGATCATTTCACATTTGGTGCTCATCTTAATCACTGAATATATATTTGGTGTGGGAAGGTAATTTTTAATACATTTCATATCCCTTTACTTAGAGTCTGAGCTCTCTTTTCCCCAAGTAAGTAAACCACATTCATCATCAAACATCTTACTTCCTATTGGATTTCTTTTTTCATTAAACAAAGAGTTCACTTTACTATAGGCCAGATACTGATCTCAGTATCTGACACACAGTGACTCTACGAACACTCACTGCAAGCCAATTAAGTATTTTCTACTGTTTTCTCCATGTTAAAAGTAAGAAACCCAATGCCTAGAGGGCATGTACATTTCTCAAGGTTGCAAAACTACTAAATATAGCACGAAGATCCCACATAAGCAGCCTGATTCTAGAGTTCCCACTTATTTTTTGTTTTAGTTTCTGATTTTGTTGTTTTATTTCAGTTACCAAAAAATAAATATATGCTCATATATGTGGATGCGTATGTGTGTGCATGTGTGCATATATGTATTAAGCACCTAGTCTCTATCAACCTAAGACGTAAAATGTTATAAATGTATTTGAACCTTCCTGTATTCTTTCCAATCATATCTTTCTTCCCACCAATCATAACCTCTATTTGATTACTTATTGCCATTCCTATCTCTCTACTCTACTCCACATGTATCTTTAAACAATGTATATTAATGTTTTGTTGTAAACATTTACATATATGTTTTCATACTGCATGCATTTTCTACAAGTTACTTTTTTTCCTCAGTTTGGTGTTTCTGAGATTAGTTTAACTTTCAAAGTTAAAAGTTAAACTTTAAACTTTTTTGTTTATTTGTATCTCAAATGAATATGTCTAAACTTTTTTTCCTCACTCTACTTTGGGTTCCCTATTTTGGTGAATTACACAATTTGTCTTATTCCCATTATAAATCTAATCATTCTCATCTCCTCTTCATTCACATCCTTCCATCCAGCTGAGGTCAGGAACTCAATATATCTACTGCCTTAAAAACCCTTAGATATGTTCCAGCTTCTTTATCGTGCTGTTTCTTTCTTTATCTAAACTCTCATTGTTTTAGCTTGGGAGACACACCTCTAGATATGATGTTTCAAATCCAGTGCATTTATTGGTAGTACACAGATACTTGTAAACACAAAATTAATCATATTATTCCATGGCTAAAATTTTAAAAATTACTTCCCACTTACTATACAATAAGAACATGCATGCTATAATACCATGCATTTGTATTCCCAAAACATTAAAAGAGGTTGGTGTCAAAATACTCCTTTATGGGTTAAATGAGTGATTAATGCTGAGTAAACAAAGTAGAACACATTTCTTTACTGGATTATTTCCCAGCTTGAGAAGCTAATGTGCGCTGGAAATTTCTAAGTGGAAATTCAGGCTTCATATTTTTCTATTAGGATCTCGTATTTTAAAGAAGTAATTTTTCTTATTAAAAATATTAAAAGGAATACTTACTTCACTTCTTATAGTCCTTATTAAAGCAAAAAAAAACCCACCTAAGCAGTAAAAAGCTATAGTACTTAAATTTAATAGATAAATGCCACATTATTTCAAATATATCAAACATACATCCTTTTTTGCTCTTCCTTCAAGAAAATCCTTCCTATCTTTTTGCTACTTGATCATCTTTTAAGAACAGCTGAGATGAAGGATAAACTCTTCTCTGAAAGAACAACTTATCTCTTCACTCTAATAATTGGTAACTCCCTTCATATCTTGCAACTATAATAATAATAGCAATAGAATTTACCAAAACTAGCAGCTCTCATTTTTTTAAAAAACGCAGGACATCTTCCACTTTAAAAAACACTATGGACTTCAAAGAATTTTTGTTTATGTGAATAAGGTCTATCAATTTTTTCCGGAAATATAATTATTCAGAAATTGATAATATATATATTTATTTATTTTAAAGTATCAACGATAAACTTACTACATGTCCAAATAAATAAATTTTTCATAGTTTTTGTTAAAAAGCTAAACTCACTAAAATAAACATGTAGTGAGAAGAGTTATATTTTCATTTCTGCAAACATTTTTAGTAATTGCCTTGATAAAAAACATCGTTTTAATGCTCAGATTGTCCCAGAAGTGGCCAGAGCAAGTTGCTCTAGCTGGCCCTGTAAAATAATACAGCTGTGCTTGTGACATGCTGCATTATTTTATTGAGCACCTCTTTATATCCTGGTATAACGAACTGTTCCAGGCTTCTCTTTAGGTCTCACCCTGAACTCAGTCACTTCTCACAGGAGCTTTGGCTTCTTTAATGAGGAATGGTTATTAGAAACACAAATTTGGGGCTGGGCGCAGTGGCTCATGTCTGTAATCCCAACACTCTGGGAGGCCGAGGTGGGCGGATCACGAGATCAGGAGATGGAGACCACCCTGGCTAACACGGTGAAACCCCATCTCTACTACAAATACAAAAAATTAGCCGGGCATGGTTGCGGGCGGCTGTAGTCCCAGCTACTCGGGAGACTGAGGCACCAGAATGGCGTGAACCTGGGAGGTGGAGCTTGCAGTGAGCCGAGATTGGTCACTGCACTCCAGCCCGGGGGACAGAACGAGACTCCGTCTCAAAAAAAAAAAAAAAAAAAAAAAAAAAAAAAAAAAAAAAAAATCGAGTGTTAGATATATTCTTTACTATTAGAGAGTTCTTTCTCCTAGGCCTTTTTAGTCCACACAACTCAAAAATATATATATGTCTAGTCATCCGTACATATGCATACATACATATATACAAACATACATATAGAGACATGCATACATATATATACACATGCACATAAACAGTCAATTCTCATTATTTATGGATTTCATGTTTGCGAGTTTGTCTACTCACCAAACTGTATCTGTAACCCCAAAGTCAATACTTAAGGTACTATTGCGGTTATTTGCAGAAATTCACAGAGCAGCAGAGAGACAAGCATTTTGAGTTACTGACACACAGGTTCCCAAGTGAGGTCAAACAAGGTTTGACCCTGCCTTCTTGTTTCAGAGCTCATACTGTAAACAAGTGTCTGAGGGTCTATGTAGTGTCACATGTATTTTTTTTTTGCATTTTTGTGCCTTCTGTTGTTGATTTCACTGTTTGAAACAGCACACCATGGTAGTGCTGAAGCAAGTGATGTCTAGTGTTTCTCTATGCAAAATAAGCTTAGAGTGCTATTGACCACAAGTTCAGTGTTAATCAATCAACATTATATGCTTAATAACATATATTTAAATAGAAACACATATAAAACTAGTTTATGTACTGATCTATTGATAGAACTATTGAGACTACAGACTTGGAGAAACCTAACCATGCTTTCCATCTAGGAAATTGGAAATTCAGTATGCCAACTTTATGTAACATACCTTCTGTGAATAATGAGTATTGACTATGTGTGTGTATAGGTATATATACTTTCACAAATACATACTTTAGAAATCTCAAGTTAATATCAAGGATTCCAATTCTAATCCGAGCTTTTCTTGGCCTTTCCCTATCTGTATCTGTAACTCTGTTTTTCCAAACTGAGAGCCCTGACTCCCAAGAAGATTAGCACGTTTACTTATTTTCTCAATCTTGTAATATATACAAAATAAATCCAATATAACTTAATCTATAAAACTATACACAAAACTACTGAAAAAGAATTCAGGACTTATTTGCAGTAGTCAAGTATTTCATCCTGCCCCAAATTAAAGGAATGTGGTTGACTGTCATATTCATAAATATCTTAATTATTGTTGTTTCTTTCTCTCTTTTCTTCTTTCATCAGTGGCCTCTTAGTGTTCATTTGTAAAAGTTAGGCCCATTTGTTTCAATTTATTTTTATTTTTACATTTTTGGTCTCCCCTATAATTATTTAAAATTAATTAAATTTGTTTTAAATATAAAACAAAATACAAAATGATATTCTCAGAGAAGTGTCATTTCTTTTTTTTTTTTTTTTTGAGACGGAGTCTTGCTGTGTCACTCAGGCTGGAGTGCAGTGGCAGGATCTCAGCTCACTTCAACCTCTGCCTCCTGTGTTCAAGCATTTCTCCTGCCTCAGCCTTCTGAGTAGCTGGGATTACAGGTGCTCACCCAGCTAATTTTTGTATTTTTAGTAGAGACAGAGTTTCACAGTGTTGGCCAGGCTGTCCTCAAACTGCTGACCTCAGGTGATTAGCCTGCCTTGGCCGCCCAAAGTGCTGAGATTACAGGCGTGAGCCACTGCACCTGGCCCTCATTTCCTTCATATCTCTTTCACCCCATTCTCTAGCACTTGCAGTTAACCAGGTCAATTGATTTTTGATTTATTCTTACTGATTTTCTTTTTTGTGTGTAAAGGCCAGGTAACAAATATTTTATGCTTTTCAGGTAATTTATTATAATATCTGTTATAAGTACACAGTCTGCCACTGCAATGCTAAAGTAGCTGTAGACAATAAGTAATTGAATAGACATCATTGACTCTAATACTTTATTTCTGAAAAAAGGGTATGGGCTCCATTTAGCTTGTGGGCCAGTTTGCAAACCTCTGAATTAGACTAAAGTATAAATAGGACTAAATAAATATGTGGATTGGCATGTGCTACATTAAAATAACAGATTCACATCTCATCTCATATCCAGAAATATACAAACTACCTTATTGAGATTTCTGCCTAATACCCTCAGCTTAACTCTAGATGTCCTTGTGAATAAGAATGGCAAGAATTATCACCATATTTGGTCCTATGGAGCCCAGTAAAACATTGGCATATTACTTTACTTTCATCTGCGGCTTGCTGTCAGTTTCCTTGAGTATCAAAGTATTTCATTCTCTCATTCATTAATTTAACAAATATTATATGATACTTACAGGGAAATGACAATTTTTTGAGGTCTGTATTATAGTGAAAAGGACAATTTAAGTCTCTGTCCTTGGTTGCTTACATCCTAGTGGCCCAAAACACAACAAAATATTGCTGAACTAGGCATCAAGAGAACCAGCATGATCTGACTCTGCTGAAAGCTGTTATTTGATTTGGGGCAAAGCCACTTCACCTGATCCAGTTTCAGCTGTTTAACTAGAAAAGATAGAGTTTAAGCAAGATGCCATTAATAGTTTCAATATTGCATGAATCTATGTTCTTGGGTAATGGCTGGCTCACATCCCCAGACCCACAGCCCAGTGAATTTTAAGTCTTCTGCAGGAAACTTGGCAGGCAGAATTATGGTCTCCATGAAAGTCACATCTTAGAATATGATTTTTATGTACACTGTACTTGATGAGATGTTTTAATTGGCAGACTGACAAAATTTTTTATAAGGGGCTAGGTAGGCTTCATTCTCAAAGATATAATGGTAACATTCTAAGCTTTGAAAGCAATATATAGTCTCTGTCATATATTTTTTGTTATTATACCCTAAAATATACATAAAAATTAGTTCTTGATCCATACAAAAACATTCTGTGGGTTAGATTTAACCCTTGGTTAGTTGATGGCTGACTCTTGCTCTAGAGAATTTCAGGATATTCTACACTCTTATAATTGGATGGAACCCACAGAATATCTGTTAATTGGAGATAAATTAGTGTAAAAGAGAAATAAAAGCACCATCTTCGAAACAGTTCATACACAAGTTTCTTCACTTGAAACAGAATCTATCTCTAGGGAGAATAAAGTGTAAGGGAGATGTTTTTGGAACAACATCCTAACTTGTTTTACTAGGCAATGCTTTAAGGAATTTCTAGAATTGAATAGAATGAGAAGGATAAATGTCTTTCTGGTCAGGTAGTATTTGTGTTGAGCTAGGAGACACACCAAATGTTTCATGTTTTTTATGCCACATTCCTCATAAGCTAATAACATTTTATTGTCTCACACATTGTGTCACCAGACTCTATTCTGTTTTCTTTGGATTCATACATGAAAAACACAAGGAAGAGCAAAGCTATGTAACATATGCAAAGATTCTTTATCCTGAATTGACACCTTGCTTTTCATTCCATTCAATACCAAGTTATTAAATTATAGTGGTCATCTCCAACCTTTATCTATTATAAGTGCCCATTGTTAAGGCCTATTCTCCTATGTAGACTGCACTAGAATAATATAATGGAAGACAGCTTTTTTCCCTAAAAAAGTCATGGAGTATAAAAGAAGATACATAACTACATAGAAAAATATGAAAAACAGAAAATATGCCCATCATGTAGCACACAATGTGTACTGGTATGCATTAATTTGTCATAAAATATTTGTGTGCCCAAACATAGGTTAAATAAATATTCAGAGCCTAATTAAGGAAGATTTTCTGGAGGCATACATGAAGGGTGCATATAAGGGCATGTAGTTTATGATTGCTGTATGTTAATATATGATATATATTGTTGTACGGATACAATAGAGACACCTATATGACCCTGCCAGAACCAGTTCCTTGCCACTCAGAACATTCTGATGCTTTAGGAAATTGAATGTTCTTTAAATATCCTGGAAAAACTCTGCCTTTCTAATATATTTCTGTACCTTGTGCCTCGGCATCAGCTCCCACCTTTTTTTTTTTTTTCCAGTAGTTTTCCTGTCTGTAAAATGGAGATAATGTTAATTATCCTCTCCTGGTTGCTGAGAAGATTGATTTATAATAGTAAAGCATTTAAAAATGAAAGGCACTTGTGAATGTTATTCACTGTAATATTGGCCAAAAGAAAGAGTCATTTGTCTGAAAACATGTATTATAAGCAGTGCAGTAGAATTAGCAAGGGCTGCAATTGAGAAATAATAAATTGTAGAAACAAATACAGGAAGGAAGGATTTTAAGGACTTTTTTTTCAGGGTCCAAATCTCCTAAAATGTTTAAGATTCTTCTGTTTTTACTATGCTCCTAAGAGTTTTTCTATGTCCTATATATTTAAGGAGAAAACTTTTATTTTCCATATCAAACAGAGAATCATTATCTTCAACTATAATGAGCCCAGGCTTTCTAGTTTAAGAAGTGTCTGAGTGACGACTGAAAAAAAGCATTTAATCTTTTCTAATATATAACTGCAAAAGAGTGTCTTCATTTAGTTTAATCTAAATCATATACATTATACTTTACTGTGCTAAATTATTTAAAGACTTAGTGATTATACACACAAAAATTACTGTTTTCTCAAAGACCGATAAGGAAATAGAATTGAAACAACCATGAGACATATTGATTACGTTTGTCAAAGGTATCTCTTGTGTCTCATGCTCAGACAAAAATAACGACGGCAATATCAAGGGCCTAACACTTAGATTTTATATATTCTGTATTGTAAGTACTTGGTTACAGAAAGGAACTTGTCACTGTAATTTCACTAATGTGTCATCATTTAGTTTTATTTAGTTCTACTGATTTACTGTTCTTTTTTTATTAGTAAGCCAGTATTTATTTCTGTTACAGTATCAATCAATTATAAAGCCTATTGTACAGTATTAAATATTTGATGAAACAGAATTCTATGTTCAGCTAAGATATAAAACTAAGCAATATAAGAACTTTCTGACAATGGTTATGTTCTATCTGTAAGAGAAAGCAAAACACAATTTCAGCAATTAGTCAATAAACTTTATACAGAGATGGAGAAATATAATAAGCATTTAAGAACATTGAATAGTTTTGTTAGATAATTGTGTTTACTTTCATTATTGAGTCTTCTAAGGATTCCAAGATAAATTTAGTAAAATTAGTAAATGTTGTAAATGTTAATTTAGTAAATGTTGTAAAGAGTCAAAAAAATTGATCCTATGGACTGAAGCAAAACTGCGAATAACATTCAGATTGATAAAAGTATTATTATTTCAGTGATAGTTACTTACTATTTTATTTTCAAAAGAAAGAACACATTTCTTTAAAATTAAGTTGGTCAATTATAATTTTTATGGTATTTAGAATATACTATTTGATGTGGGAGAAATATATGTATGTATAAATATAAATATATTTATAAATAAATATAAATTTATAAACATATTTATAAATAAATAAATATATGTATATAAATATGTATATGTATATATGTATAAATATATGCACATATAAACATATTTATACATGTATATATTTATACATATATATATAATATTTGCTTTTATTAGGTATATGCCTGGAATAAAGTGGCTCTGTGCAGAAACAGATATATTTCCCAAAGTTTTGTTTTGTTTTCATTTTAACTCTTCAATGAACTGTGAAAGACTTCCTGAATAGACTGCCTAAATAATTATATGCTTGCTAAAATCATGTGTAGTCATATTTTTAATAATTTATTCAAATAAGCCATTCATACTTTCATTTCATTTTCATTTTCATGTTGTGTGACATAAGAAGATCTTGGATTAATTAGCACTATTTTTCACTATCCTTCTATTAGTATTCCACTGAGGAAATGAAGAAAAGTGTTGTATTAAATTGTAAGGATTTAGGAACATTAGGCAACCATTCAGTATGCAATACTAAGATATTTCCATTAACCCAAATTATGGGTTTTCATTGACCATGCTGATAAGATAACTAATAATTTGTATTTGATAATGACACCGAAACTTAGAGTACAATAAATAACGAAAGATGAAAAAAGTAAAAAAAAGATAATATAAATATTAGCAACAAACATTGCAACAAAACAAACAAAAAAATAACCTTTCTTTGTAAAATTTAAAATGGTTAACAAGTATACTGTTAACATTGTTACTTGCTTTATAAAGTGTGAAATTTCTCTTTGTCCAGTTCCAGTTCTTATGGGTAGTGCTTTCAACTTTTTCCCAAGTGGTGTGATGTTCGCTGTGTGTTTGTCATGTATGACTCTTAATATTTTGAAGTATGTTTCTTCAATGCCTAGTTTGTTAAGGGCTTTTATCATTAAGGGATGTTGGATTTTATCAAAAGCCTTTCCTGCATATATTGAGGTAATCATATAATTTTTTGTCTTTAATTGTCTATGTGGCAAATCATATTTATCAATTTGCAAATGTTGAATCATCCTTGCATCTCTGGAATAAAATCCACTTGAATGATTTGCCTTTTTAAAATGCTGTTGGATTCAGTTTCCTGGTACTTTCTTGAGGATTTTTGCACCTACGTTCAACAGGAATATTGTGGCTGTTGGGTAGAATGTTCCGTAAGTGTCCAATAGGTCCATTTGGTCTACAGTTCAGTTTAAGTACAGGGTTTCTATGTTGACTTTCTGCCTTAATGACGTGTTTAGTGTTGTCAATGAGATGTTGACGTCTCCTCTATTATTGTATTGCCATCAGTCTCTTTTCTTATGTCAGATAGTACTTGTTTTATGAACATGGGTGCTATTGTGTTGGGTGCATTTATATTTAGGATAGCTAAATCTTCTGGTTTTATTGAACTCCTTTTGAATGATATAATGCCCTTCTTTGTCCTTTTTTACTGTTGTTGGTTTAATGTCTGTTTTATCTGATATAAGAATGGCTACTCTTGCTCACTTTTGCTTTTCATTTGTGTGACTGTGACATATTGTTTACAATCTCTTTACTTCGAGCCTGCAGATGTCTTTAGCCATTAGAGAGGTCTCTTGTAGGCAGCCGAAGGTTGCGTCTTCTTTTTTTTAAATCTAATTTGCCAGTCTATATATTTTAAGTGGAGCATATATGCCATTTATGTTCAAAGTTATATTTATATATAAGGTTTTGTTCCTGTCATAGCTTGCTAGCTAGGTTCTTTGGAGTCTCAGTTGTGTAACTGCTTTACAGGATTTGTAAGGTTTCTACTTATGTGTGATGTTATGATGGTGAGTATTTTACTTTCATATCCATGTTTAGATCTCTTTTGAGCAATTTGTGTAGTACTAGTCTAATGGTGACAAATGTCCTTAGTGTTTGCTTATCTAAGGAAATATTTAATTTCTTATTCATTTATGAAACTTAGTTGGGCAGAATATAAAATTATTTTGGCTGGCATTTTTTTTAAAGAAAGCTAAAAATAGGTCCCAATCTCTTCTGGCTTGGAAAGTTTCAACTGAGAAGTCAGTTGTTAGTCTAGTGGGATATTATTTATAGGTGATTTGACACTTCTCTCTAGCTGCCGTTAAGACATAGAGTTTCACATTGACCTTAAATAGTCTAATGACTATGTTCCTTGGTGATGTTTACCTTACATAGTGTCTTCCAGGTGTTCTCCAAATTTCTCGTATATGGGCATCTATGTCTCTAGCAAAGTTGAGAAATTAAAAAAAATTATTTCCTCAAATATATGTTCCACACTTCTTACTTTTTCTTTTTTCCCCTTAGGAATGCCTACAAGTTGTACGTTTGGTTGTTTTCCATAATCCCATATATTTGAAAGCTCTGCTCGTTTTTTTAAGTTATTTTTTTCTTTGTTTCTATTTGACTTGATTAATTCAAAAGACTGGTCTTCAGGCTCTGAAAGTCTTTCTTCTGCCTGGTCTAGTTTATTGTTAAAGCTTTCAACAGCATTATTGAAATTTCTTCAGTGATTTTTTTTTTATTTCCAGAGGTTGTGTTTGTTTTTCTAAAAAATATATCTATCTCTTCTTTCATCTCCTAAATTGTTTTTCTGGTTTCTTTTTGTTGGCTTTCAACTTTCTCTTGGATCTCATTGAACTTCCTTACAATATGTATCTTAAATCTTTTATCATTTCAAAGTTTTCATTTTGGTTAAAATCCCTTTCTAGAAAGCTAGTGTGACCTTTGGATGTGTTATTACATTGTTTAATCATAGTACCTGAGTTCTTGTGCTGACTGTTTTTTATCTGTAGAAGCTATTACCTCTTATTTTTCTATTTGCTTTTGTTTGGGTGGGATTTTTTTCCTCATTTGAGGGTGTGACTATTGTGTACGTTGGGCATGGTCCTTTGGCTTTGCTCCCATGTGTTTTTATAGGGTCAACTCTCTGTATAAAAATTTTGTGCTAATAGATAGCCTTAATGTAATGGATTTCTCAAATGCTAGTTTTTTTGTTTCTCTGTCTGTTTTTGTAGATTGTGGTAGAAGTCTACAATAAGCTCTGTATGTGGTGAGGCTCACTGTCTTCAACAGATATGGGGAGGTGGAGGCTTGAGAGGCTTATTTTGTTCCCCAGTACTGTATACTTTTGTCAGCAGTAATTATATTTGGTTGTACATCCCACACCATATGCTAGTTGGTGGTGCTTGTGGGTAAGAGCTGGCTGAGCCTTGTACACTGATGTCAGCAGAAGTTGTCATGGGCCATGCAGTTTGACCTCTTGATCAGTAGTTGGCACTTGCAAGTGACAAGCATATGTGCTGATGGCAGTGGAATTCTATGTGACTTTAGTTGATGGGGGGAAGTATCAGAGTGTCCCTGGCAATGGATGGGGAATGGGGTTCAATATTATTGCCTGGTGTTCTCCCACCAAGATGGCAGGAATAGATAGGGTTGGGTTGGGTGCAAGTCCTGACCTTGATGGGGTTGTAGAGGCAGCTCTCAGGCCACTCGGGCAATCCTCTAGGGAATGGGGGAGGCACATCCTCTTACCACAGTGCCTAATCAGGGAAAGAGGGGATAGTCTGGGGCTTTCAGCCTAGCAAAAGGCCATGGAGGCTACCCATTTACTACTCCCCTGAACCCTCAGGGGGCTCCCTCCAATGTCTAACCTGAACAACAGACCCGACCAGCTAAGCTCATCTCAAGCATTCACACCCAGATCACCATGCTGTCCCAGGTGTTACAGATGGCGAGACTCCCTGTAGAAGAAACTGAGAATATTAGGCCTCACTCTTGGCAGTCTGGTTTCATAAAAGAAGGGGCACACAGCTCCTGCACCATCATGTGAGCGTGTGTCATGCTCTTCTCTGTGTTCTAACACAGGGGGGCCCTCTCCAGCATGAGATCAGACCACAGTTCTCATCTCTATACCCCTAGGTAGTGTGCTTGACTACTGGGGAACTGGGACTAGGCCAGCAGACTTGTCCTTTGGCCTTTTGGGGTCAAGCACTACCTTTGGTGGGGAAGTGAACTGCTCCCAGGCTGCCCAACAAACCACTCAGGTAGGGCAATGAAGCCTATACTGTGGGCTGCCCCTGCAAGAAAATCCAGGTAGGCAGTAATGGGAGGTACCAGCAGCCATGGGAGTTTGTGGTTCAGAATGCACCTCAGTCCCAGAGCAATGGTGCTGTGGCCTGTCTTGGGTACCTGAATGTGCACAGGCCCCACTCTCTCCTGGTCCAGCAGACAACATGAGCTACAGTTGTTTAGGGCAGGACACAGAAACTTGAGAAGTGGGCACTGAGTCATGTTTTACTGCAGCTGCCCAACACACTGAAATCTTTTGGGCTCCCAGTGAGATTAGGCAGTGCCTCTATGTGTTCTCCAGGTAGCTCCCAGACAGTCCAAAGGTTTGTAGGTGTTGTGGGAACTCTTTTAGCTAGGATCTCAGTGGCCCAGAGTAGGAATGTGGTGCCATGGGGTTCCTTTACTCACCCCTTCCTTGGGTTTGATCTAGGTCTGGGCAGTCTTGGCACCCAGTGATGCCAAGCAGGAAGTCTCCTACCTCCCTCTTCAATCAAAGCATCTTCTGTTGCCTCTCTATTAAATTTCAGTATTCTCTCTCAAAAGATCTGTTGGATGTGTCAAGATTTACTCAATATTTTGGTTCCTCTTGTTGAAAAGGAGTATCCCAGCTGTTTCTAGTCAGCCATCTTTATTAATCCTAACATTTTTCAGAATGCCCTTCCTATAACTCAAAAAAAAAATGTGTAAGAGCTTAAAAAAAGAGGGAAAAAAAGGTGTAAGTAATAAATGAATAAGTGGTTCCCCATTATATCTAATTTAACTTAATGAGAAATATTCTTAACTTTCAACCAACTTCAATATTTCATAATATTAAAAATAACTTTTAGAGGAGTCTTTTAAAACTAGAATAATAGCCCTTTTGCAATTTATCCCCTTGATAATAGAATTTCTTCTTTAGCACTACATTTTTGAGAAGTAATTATTAAAATATGTGGCATTAAGTCTGTTTTTATTATAAAACTTTCATATTAACTAAGAATTGTCTAGGTTGTCAAGGGAATTTACCAATTGGTGTCAATCATTCGGCTTCATAATTAAGTTTGATTCTCTTTTTGAGATTTTCGTATAAAATCTGCAGTTTTCTGTCATGGGGGAAAAAGAAACTAGATCTTAGATACATTATATTGGTGATTAGCATGCATCCTTAAAAAATACAGTAGGAAATCACTGGTTTGTTATAAATTATCTCAAAGTATGCTGGTCAATTAAGCATCATGATGCTGAATAGCAGAATATTTTAATTCCAGGTACAGATCTTTTTTATAGAAAACAAACTCAAGTGAGGTGGAAAATGATGATATTCTTCTAATAAGAGAAAGCTCAGAAATCAGAGCTGTGAGAGTGAAACAGAAGGAAAGTTATGATTTAAAGACGGGTAGGCATGATGTGATGAGAAGCGCATTTTACTTCTGTGGTATTGTTTTCTGAAAATTTATTCACTCCAGTTAATCATGAGAAAACAGCAGAAAAACCCAAACTGAAGGATATTCTACAAAATGTTTGATCAGTATAATTCAAAAGTGTCAAGCTTACAAAAAAATAAAGAGTGAGAACTCATAACTGGAGAACACTAGAAAAAAATGCAACATGGTATCATAGATTAAATACTGAAACAGAAAAAAAGGATATTAATGGAAAAGCTGATAAAATCAGAATAAAGTCTGCAATTTGATTCACAGCATCATACGAATGTGAATTTCTAAGTTGTGATAAGTGTTTCATGGTTGCCTACAATGTAAACCTTAGAGAAACATGAGTAAATGGTAAGAACTCACTATAAAATTTTGCAACTATTCTGTAAATATCAAAATAATAATAATAAAGAGGAAATAGTAGCAAAACAAATGAAAACAAGGGAGTAATACAAAGAGTGGAAATAAATTAAAATGGAACAAAGGGGACCAAACTACATAGACACAAATTAAAACTGCAACATTACCTAAATATTTCTTAAAGATATTAAGCTTTACATATAAAGATTATAGAAATTCATATCTACCTTGATTTTAATGACATAATGTGTATATTAAGATTAATCTGGGTTGTTGTACATTTTCTGTATATTTCTGAATTTGCACATTGCCAGAATGAGTAACTGGCTTTGCATTATAATTAACTCCTTGAGAAATTTATTTAGAGGAATAAAACAATATATTTTGCTAAGTCATAGAATGGACAACTCAGTTATGCTTCAGGTTATCTTAGTAGGGAGTATGTGGGTGAGAGGGTAACAGATATACAAATCACATCCTAGGGTTAGACTTACTGGGAAGATCACATGGGATCAGAAATGGAAGTCAAAGTTTCTGTTATCAAATTTTGGTGACTCCAAAAGGACAGGAAAGACCAGAGATAAGCACTCAATGAGAACAATAAATAAGCAAAAAGGTGTGTCCTACCGATTTCAATATTCAGTGAGTCTATAAGAAGGACCTGAGCCATCGAGCCTGGCCAAAATATTGGATTCTAATTAAAGAGTAGAGTGAGGAGGGGCACAGAGGACAGCCTCCAAGGGGAGGCCGCACTGCAAGCATCCCTGGAGTGGCGAAGGTATGCACTGGATGGATGGCAGCAGGCGCTGCACGGGGAGCTGAGCACTGCCAGGAAGAATCCAGTGAGTGATGGCGTTTATATCTCCTGATGATGATGCACAGCCTTCAGTGGGGGACATTTAATACGTGGAACACCGGGTCCAGGCTGCAGCTGCGGGACTCAGAGGCAAAGCTTGAGTGGCTCAGGAAGGACGAAGAACCACCCTTGAAAGAAGAGGCAGCCTCACCGGCGTTGGCGGCCCCACCACTGCCACATCTGCCAGGAAAGAATGCTGCTAGCGACATTCAAACTGTGCTCCAGGAGCTCCTACAGACACATGCGCAACATGAAGGGGCTGAGGCAACAGGCTGTGAGGGGGCATCGGGCAGGAGCTTAACCGGAGGGCCCTGGGGGCCCCACCCCAAGCGCTTGGATTAACCAGGTTCCGCGGCGGAGCTCTCTGCTTCGTTCTCTGCTGGAAGAGACTCTCTACCCGGGTGCGGTGGCTCACGCCTGTAATACTAGCACGTTGGGGGGCCGAGGCGGGCAGATCATGAGGTTAGGAGTTCGAGAGCAGCCCGACCCACATGGTGAAACCCCATCTCTACTAAAAATACAAAAATTAGCTGGGAGTGGTGGTGCGGGCCTGTAATCCCAACTACTCAGGAGGCTGAGGCAGGAGAATCGCTTGAACTCGGGGACGGGGGGGCGGGCGGGGAAGACTCTCTACAGTGACCAGGAGCTGACCTATCTCCAGCAGTGGGGAGGAGGCCATGCAGAAGGCCTTGGGCATCCTTAGCCCTCGGCAACTACGAGGGCTGGAAGAAGGAGAGCCAGCAGGACAATGGGGATAAAGTGATGAGTAAAGTGGTTCCAGATGGGGCAAGGTGTTCCGGCTGGAAGTCGTGGTGGACCAGCCCATGGAGAGGCTCTACAAAGAGCTCGTGGAGTGCATGGAGGCAATGGGGGAGTGCAACTCCAATATCAAGGCGATCAAGGTCTTGCAGAAGATGATCAGAAAAGATACATTCATTGCCCATGAGCTGGCTGCAGAGGCAGCAGGAAACCTAGTGGGGCCTTGTGACTCTGTGAGCATGTGCTGTGCCAAGCGTCAAGGCTCCACCTGTGTGCTGGCTGGCATGGCCACAGACTTCGGGAACATGCCCGAGCAGAAGGGTGTCATCAGGGGGAGCATGGTCCCACTTGCATGGTGCTTCACCTGGTGACTGGAAGTCCCTCCAAGACCAAACTTACATGACTGCTCAGCATCGACCTCAAGGGGTGGCTTCCCAAGAGCATCATCAACCAGGTCCTGTCCCAGACCCAGGTGGATTTTGCCAACCACCTGCACAAGCGCCTGGAGTCCCACCCTGCCTCTGAAGCCAGGTGTTGAAGGCCAGCCTGCTGTTCCCAAGTGTGTCCAGCTGCACTGCTACACACGCTTATCAGGAGAATCCTTGCTGGAAGCCTGCAAGCTTAAAATCTCCATCTGGCGACAGAGGAATAGGTGGGGTTAGTGTATAGAGTATGATACTAGGATTCAGACTGGTAAAAGTTTTTAGTACCAAGAAAACAAGGATGAGGCTCTTTGATTAAAAGGTAACTTCATTCACTGACTAGCTATGACATGAAGGTTGAGGATCCTAAAATAATTGTAAAACTTTTTTTCTGGGCCTTTATGTGCCCACCTAAAACCATCTTTAAAATGCTAGTGGCTGATATGTGTGGGGGGATGCTAGTCACAGGGCCTGAGGAGTCTTGCTTTATGGGCTGGAGAACCCCATGCCCTGAAGGCAGAGCATGTGCACAAAGCAGAATCTTAGAGGGTCTCCTGCAGCCCTCCACTCCTCCAAGTCGCTGCATGGCAACACCAGATAACAAGCAGCACCCCACAGTGGGTACCTTCCAGAAATATAGTCCAAGCTTTCTCTATGGAAAAAGACAAAACTAATTAGTAAATAGGTTTCCCTATTGAGTCCATAGGCACCAGTCAGAAAAAAGAATCATAATTCACACACAAACACACACACACACACACACACAAAACAAGGACCTGAGTTCAGAAAATGAAGCCTGTAATCACACACTAAAATGAAAACAATAAATCATGTGTAAACAGTTAATAAATGAATAAAATGTATTGCTTCTATAGCCTTGTGATATGGTTTGGCTGTGTCTGCACCCAAATCTCATCTTGAATTCCCATTTGTTGTGGGAGGGGCCTGGTGGGAGGTAATTGAATCATGGGGGAGGGTCTTTCCCATGCTGTTCTAGTGTTAGTGAATAAACCTTACTAGATAGGATGGTTTTAAAAACGGGAGTTTCCCTGCACAAGCTTTTTGCCTGCTGCCATCCATGTAAGATGTGATTTGCTCCTTCTTGCCTTCCACCATGATTGTGAGGCCTCCCCAGCCATGTGGAACTGTAAGTCCATTAAACTTCTTTCTTTTGTAAATTGCCCAGTCTCAGGTATGCCTTTATCAGCAGTGAGAAAGCAGACTAATAGACCTTGGGTTTTGTTATTTCAATCCCTGCTCATGCCCTTGGCTGGAAATCTAAAAAGGTCTTATGAGTTATGTAATTACTGTTAAGTAATATAAGAATCTCACATCAATAATTAATAAGTCTACATCAATGATATAAATCAACACATATACACATGCATGTACACACACATGCATGCACACACACAGATTTAGTTAGAAATAAATGTTCTTCCCCAGTTTATTCTACTGTGTATTAGCCACCAGCAATCTCCATTGTTTCTGACACTTCAAAAATCTGAGGTAGGACAAAAATGTGCCAAGAGTATATGAAAAACATTTCTTTTCTCTTAATAAAAAAATTAGTTAATATAAGTAGAAGCACAGGTATAGGACACAATTCAAGATCTGGTGATCCACTGGCTCATTGATATCTCAAGGAACTCAGTATCTTTATCTCTGTGCTGTACCATCTGAGGTGTCAGAGCAATTACTCTGAGTTATCAGACAGCAGCCAGTAGCAGTCAAGTCTATATACTGCCTTATATACAGTGGGAGAGAATACATTTGTCTATACTTCCCCAGCAGGCATTCTAAAATTCTTTTTGGCTCCCACCCTCACCTGAAACAACAGCCGTACCCAAAATGAATTTTGTTAAATGGCCAAAGCCTACCAATGTTTACCAGTAAAAGCAGGAAAGGGGTATAAAATCAGTTTCATCCAAGGAGAATGGAATTGGTATTTAGTACTTTCTCTGTCTTCAACTTTTTGGTTGACCATGGACAATTTCTTCAATTCCCTGAACTTAGGGTACTTCATTTTAAAAAATTTAAAGATAAGATTAAGAAGCTTCTGAGATTTCTCAAGAGAATGTGATTCTGAAAACTTAGCTTCTGAGAATTTTAATATTTTAATAATTCAACATTTCATATTATGTGATAGACATGGATCTAAAATCTGCAATTACTGATCATAAAAGACAAACACTTTTTATCTCATGGAACATACATTCTAATGCAGGCAACAGGAATAAGTAAAATTTATAGTAAGTTGCTAATAAAAGACACTAAGTACAAAAACAAAGTATAAAAAGATACCAAGAAATGCTGGAGATTTTGAAATAGCATGTGGCCAAAGAATCCCTTTCATGAGGTGATATGAGAACAAATATTAGGAATGTCATGGTAAATTTAAGAGATTAGTGTCCATAAATCAGAGAGAAAGAGACATTATCATGTAGGTGATGGTATTGAGAAGTAAGGAGGACCAGATCTTTGAAAGTCCTTACAGGCCATTAAGAGGTTTATGGTAACAATTTAAATCTTGAGGAAAGCCTATCAGAAAAAAATGGACTGAGAAGAGTCCTTCTTTCTCCAATGTTCAGCAACAAGTTCAACCCTGTGCTCACTCACAAGAAAGCAGTAGAAACCGGACAGCAGGGAATGACATTTTATTACAACCCATGTGTCAACAAAGAGTTAATTGTGTTGCTAAAAGTTCCTGCTGTTTATAATGCCCAAAAAACAATAAAATGGAATTTATATGTGACATTTTATAAATACTCAATTAAGGACAGTGACTTTTAAGCTGCTTTTGGTCAAAAGGTTGCAATAGCATTACAGAGTTCAAAAGATTTACCAAAAGTAAAATACATGTTCCAGACATTGCTGTCATGGCCCTTGATTAACTTGCCATACCACAAATGTTTTCATCTCTAAAATGCAAAGCACAAATGCCGAGCAAACTGGGCTTGTGAAATTTACGCCTCAGAGTATCGTGATTAGCTGATGTGCAATATCCAAGGAAGGTTTAGTTAATTCTGTAGAGTAGATCCTCAAATAATATGATTTCATTTGACATTGTTTATTATAATGTTAATGAGATAAAAAAGTTGATTCCCAGAGGCCCACTGTCTGGTGAGTGAAGTTTGTACATTCTCCCTGTGTCTGCCTTTGTTTTCTCCAGGTACTCTGGTTTCCTCCTATATCCCAAAGATGTACACATTAGGGCAACTGGTGTGCCTACACGGTCCCAGTAGGAGTGAGTGCGTGTGTGTGTATCTGTGTACCCTGTGATGGGATAATGTCCTGTCTAGGGCTGGAAGGCTGGTTTCCACCTTATCCATGAGATGCCAGGACAGGCTCTAGCCACCCCAGGCCTAGAATAAAGGGTATCGAAAATAAATACAAATGATTGTCAAGTAAAAATTTGCAAAGTCTACAATAATCACGCAAAAGCACGACAATAAATGATATGACACAAAAGTGCTCAGCTAGCTACCACATTTGTTACTGTTTGTTAGTGCTCAGCTAGCTACCACATATGTTACTGTTTGTTTTTGAAACTTCAAAGAAAAAACATTCTTAATAATCATACTTTCAAATTAAAATAAAATATGTTTCTATTTTTTTCAGCACACATTGACTTTAATAGATTTTTCTTTCTGGTCACAATTTCCTTAGCATTTCCATTAACCAACAAAGTATTTGTGATGTGTGTTCAGTGTGCCCATTCTTAATGCTTTTACTTTATTCTAATCTGATTACTATTGTTGGATAAAATAATAATAAATCACAAATTATAATCACTTTTATATGCAAATTTCAGAGAAAACTGTTGAGATAGTAAAGAGTAACACAGTACTGCTAAGAAGATTTTAGTTTCTGGCTCTCTTCAATGTGACTTTTTTTTTTAAGTTCTGAAGTTTCTAAAGTAAACGTAGATTAACCTTCCAACTTCTGGTTCTTTCAGTTTATTAAAATTAGTTTTCTCCAATAATACTCTTTTCCACTATATTTTAGTATCTAGGTCTTATGGTCATTACAAAGGTCTTGATGTTATCAAGAATTTTATACATACACTATATTATCATTCGTTACATTCTCTGACAAGTTATTGTCCTTTTAGCTCTAATCTTCAGGTGACTTGAATCTAGCAATTGTTTTTCTATTCTTGAGATGGAGTCTTGCTCTGTTGCCCAGGCTGGAGCGCAATGGCGCAATCTCAGCTCACTGCAACCTCTGTCTCCCAGGTTCATGCGATTCTCCTGCCTCAGCCTCCCAAGTAGTTCGGATCACAGGCTCCTACAATTCTTTAACTTCATCTGGACCACTGATGTTTTCATCCTCTAAAACTCTCAAGTCTAGATTTCCTTCTTACCTATTTTATATCTTCTTTTCAATGATCATGATCACTCTGTCCTGTAGCAATTGGCTTCCCTTGCCCGTATCTCACTCTTGAGTTTGGTGAAATTGCAGAGATGGTTAGATGTAACTGTCTATCTCCTGTTCAGGTACTCATTCAGATGAATATGAGAAACAAATGAGGCTTTACTCCTGTTAGATAATCATACTCGAAACTCTGTTTATTTCCTTATTCCCTCAGATAACTGTTGTATATGTTTTTCTTTTCCCCGAAACCTCCAATACCTCCTTAGCTGATCTGCGTGTTCAGAGGATGATCTTATTTTCTAATTAACTGGGAAATTTTCAGTAATTTGAAAACAAATCTAGTAAACTACATTCATCCACCTACAAATATCTTTATTCATAAGCTCTATCTTCCCACCTGCTCCTCTTTAAAGACAATCCTTCCATTTACACAGCAGATACTATCTCCTCCCACCTATTTCATGTCATTTGTTAGCAATTTTTCCCTCTCTTTCCTATATCATGAATTCTCCCTTCTCTACCATTCCCCTCAGTATAAACAACCAATTATTTATTCCATCTTGAAATCCCGTCTTTGACACTTGTCTTCACAGATGCTACTCTACCTCTACTCCTCTTCATAGCAAGCATCTCAAAAGTGTTGTCTGTACTCACTGTCTATATTCTATTTAAAACCACTCCACTGAAATTGCTTTTGTTAAATTCAACTTACATGCAACATATTTCTAAATATATTTTCAATTTTCTGTGTTCAATATAATCAGTATGCAACTTTTATCAGCAGGATATGATACAATCAATCCCTCTAACCCCTCAGAACACATTCCTCCTTTGGCTTTCATGAAACCAAGAACTCAGTTTCCTTCCTGTTTTACTAACCACTCATTCTCCATCTTTTCTCATAGTTCATTTTTCCCCTTTTTTGTTTCAATTTGAAGAGTTCCAGGGCTCAGGCTTTGATTTCCTTCTTTTCAGTAGCTATAATATTTTCCATCTGATCTTGTCTATTTTTCTGTCTTTTTATCTGTTATAGTTTGTTGCTCAGAATTAATTTCTGACCTCCAGACTCATGTATATCACACTGCCTGCTTGACATTTCTATTTGAATGTCTAACAGAGATTTGAAGCTCTACAAGTCTAAAATTGAATTTCTGGTCTCCCCCCTCAAACCTACTGTCTTCACAACTTTTTCTTTCTCAACCAGTTGCATCTACACCAATATAGTTGCCCTAAATAAAAAAAACGTGAAATTATTCTAGACAACCCACTTTTCTTATATCCCTATACTTGTTTAAAATTCTGTGGTGTTTACCTTCAAAATATATAAAGAATCTGACCCATAACCTCCAAATCTCCTATCACAAACAGTGGCTGAACCAACAATGTCTTTAGCCTGGATTTTAGCAACAGCCTTCTAACAGGTTTCTCTACTTCCACTCTGAACTCTCTAGAATCTGTTCTTCATATAGCAGTTAGAGGGGTTAATTTAAAATAGAATTCAGATCATATCACTACTCTACTGAAAACTATGCAGTGTTTACCATTTCACAAAAGCTAAATCGTAAAGCTCGACTATGCCCTTTGAGAGCCTACTTAATTTCCCCCAGTTACGTCTTTAATCAATTTCCTGATCGTTTCCATTCCATTCACTCTACACCAAACACAACAGCCTTCTTTCCAGGCCATGAAAGTATCAGGTGTCTCTGCCATAAAGCTTTTCTGCAGATGGGTCCCTCTGTCTCAAATGGCTCACATCTGAGCACTGCACAAATGTCACTATGTCACTAAGCCTCCCTTAGTGTTTTAAAATTACATGTTTAAAATTACAACCTACCTGTGCCATTCCTGAACCTCTGAACCTTTTCTGTCCAGTTCTACATAGGTTTTTTTTCCCATGGCCCTTATCTTCTAACTTACTTATTATTTGTTTTTACATTGTAAGTTACTTCTGTAATTTTTGTATTCCCTAATACATGTTATCAAAGAAGCAAGGATATTTGGTTTACTAATATATCCCAAGGGCCTACAATATTTCCTGATATAGAGTAGGCACTTATTTTTTTAAACTAAATGAAATAATAAGATGTAATGTTTACTGAGCACTTAATATTTATTAGACACAGTGCAGTACTAAGTACCTTGCAGGTCTTGTAGATAGTATTGTGTCTCTCTCTGTCTCTCTGACTCACTGTGTCTCTGTCTGCCTGTCTCTCTCTCTCTCTCTCTCTCTCTCACACACACACACACACACACATACATATGCACACACAAAGCAAGACAAAGCGAGACAGAAATAGATAATGCTGTAAGGGCTTTGGATCACTAACTCATTTTAGCTGAACAGCTAACCATATTAGAGTTGGTATTACTATATTTTCGATTTTGTCAAAGAAGAAAACTGATGTCCAGAAAATTTTGTAACTTGCTTAAGGACACATAGCCAATACATTGTGAAGTTGATATTCACATGGCGGCAGTCTGGCTCTGACAACTGCTTTTAACCACATGTATACAATCTTATGCTAGAAGGTAGGAGAGCTGAGATTTGAAGGCAAGTGGTCTGATTCCAGAGCCCACATTCTTAATGAACCACATATATTTTATTCAACACTAGACCCCTATTGGCCAGCTGAATGTGTTCTTTTTCAGTCTTATTAAGTTGTCAGTAGGCAGTAGATAGAAAGAATAGAGTGCTATAAAAGTATTTAATGTCCACAACGAGTTTGAAATACGAGGACTTAACTTCCTATGCTTATGAACCCAGTAAATCTATGTCTTCACTGAATGTTATCCTAAGTGATATGTAAACAATAATAAATACCTGTAAGAACATAAGCATGTCACGTAATCACTCTAGGCTTTTTTTTTTTAATTTCACTAAGATGTGACAAGTTTGATCTTAGATAAATTTTAAATTTCTGATTTTAGCATGTTGTGACTATAGGTGGTAATATGAATTTACATTATTCCTTTACTCTTTTTCAATTTAAAATGAATCATTTCACACAAAATTTATAAATTATTTGCACAACAATCATCATAATCTTCAGCATGTTCACAATCATCATCAAGATGGGAACTATTATTTACATCCACATGTTGAATTTAAAAATTAAGTAAGCTATTTATATTCGCAGATGACAACAATAAGAAAGAATAAATTAATAGCAAGAATTACAATTAAGTCGGCTTGCATATTTTTCTGCAATGTGACTGATTATGATTTATCCTTTGCAGTTTATTTCATCAAAAAATCATACTCCGTTGTTACAATTTGTTCAATATGTTCCATCAGAGTTATGAATTTTAGGTTTACGGCACTTGAAGACTTCACAGGAGATATATATATATATATATATAATATAAAATATTTAAATGAACACATTTAAATTCTAAATTCCTTATAAGTTTTATGAGAAAGTTGTGCAACTGTGTCAGATAATAAACAAAATAAAATTTACCATAGAGAAAAGAGTTTCATAGAAATATCTGCCAAGAGCTTGGCATGGAAATTTAAGGAGCTTATTCTGAACATTTTCAGAGCATGCTATTGTTTGTCAAGGCTATCTATGCAGATTTACTCATAAATAATTGAAATTTAATTTTTCTTCTCAACATAGCTTCAATTTAGAATTATGCATCCCAAACAAAGTAACTGGGAGTTTTCATCCTAACAAGGGTACACTTTAAAAGCAGCTGTTGTCATTTGGAAGAAAACTTAAACATAACTTCATGTTTTATCATTATTTTTACATTTCCTAAGGGTTGCAAGAATTCAAAGAGAAGCTGCCTTCTCAGAAATATAAACTATGAAGTGATCATCAGATTTTGATGAGCATTTTTGAAACATATGATGATATCTACAATAGAGCTTATAATATAATTTGATATTCATGTTGCATAACATTTTTCAAAATTCTCAATTTTTATTTACTAAAATGTACAATAGATAGAGTGCTACATTTGGAAATGGACACTAATAAAATTGTTTATATAATTTCTGTTTCCATTTTTGTAAGACTGTGTCCATTTAAAAAGTTTATGTGATATATTGTGAAAGTTGTGGATACCAATATGAAATCATTTTTTTGTCAGATCCAAAGAAGCTATTGCTGGGAGAGCCTAAAGTGGGAAGGCTCATTCTTGCAATTCTGAGATAAAGACTGTCTCCAGGACTTTCTAAAATAACCTTACAAAACATTTTTTTCTTTAGGGCTGCAGCAATTCATATAAGATATTCTCAAAGGGGCATGTGCCCAGTAACGTAGCTCCACCAATGAACGGATGCCAACTTCGACTTGGGTCTCTGGAACCAACAAACTCTGTTTCCAAGCAGCTTACATGAATTTCCTCTTTTGCCAGTAAGTTTCCCTTTATCCTCCCCTGTTTCATTGCATACGCGTCTTGCCGTAGCTGTGCATGTTAGGCCATAATCCTCTTTTCTAATTCCCAAATACATTCAGCATATTTGGAGGGTTTTTCTCTCATTTTTGCTTTTTTGGTTGGCAATATAAATACACATACAAACACCTATAAAACACACAGATTGAATTTTCATAGGTCAAAAGTGTTCAAATGTCATACATGTGTGTACATATAAATAATTATAATATTTATATATAAATATTATCAATAAGTATATGTAATGGTTTTAGCATGGTTTTAGATAAATGAACATTTTATAAAATGACTTCATCAAATTTTGCCAATTATTAAATAATATGAAAATAAAACACGAAAAAACAATAGAACTTAGGTTTATATTTTATTCTATACTATATTACAGATAGATTTTTATGTTTACTTTTCAAATTAAAGGATAAAATACACAATATTTTTAAATATTATGAAGATATAAGTGACACACAAGTCCTATATGAAAGGAATTTATTAAACTAATAGATGGATTTTATTTAGAAAAAATCTTTTTAAGATTTAGGACTAGCACTTAAAATAATTATTAAATTATATTCAGCATATATATTTGAATATCTCTGTTAGCCAATTCTTTAAAATTTTGATTTTAAGGTTCAATTAGTTAGATACTTCCTGAGTTTGGAGGAGGGAAAATTAAAGATAATTTAAAGTCCACTGTTGGATTTTACAATCTGTCTGATGCAGTAGAAGAATCTTTGGTAATATAATTCTAAGACTTGGTGTTAACCACTGTCTCAGCCACTTCCTTATGAGCAAGCAGTAAAATCCTTCAACCTGTTTCTTTAAATATGAGGCAGATGTAAACTGGTTCTGAAATTGATTTAATGTAAAATAACATATAGTCACATTGTTTACTGTTAAGTACTGAAAAGGTAAAAGGTCATTATTTACTCCTGCAATATCAATTTTAGTCAGACACAAAATCATATTTGTAAAATGTTAATATAATGGAATTTAAATTTTGTTAATCTCACATTCTTCAGCTTATTTTAAAAACTGTTGAATCCATGTTCATATGTTAATTGGTGAAGATCTGACTCACCGTCAAGGTTACCGAAATCATACTTTCTTATCTATCAATTATATATTTTGTGATTTTAAAATATTATATATTTTTGAGGGGAGATGAAAAGTGGAATTTTAATAATACTTCTATGTGAACAAAAAACCATACATCTAATATATTGCATAATATCAAATGTTTTGATATTTCTTTGTATAAAGTCAATGTTTTAATTTATGTATCCATTTAGAGTTGTCATTTTTATTTCATGACTATTAGAAAGGCATGCATTAAGGAAGATCTAATATTTTGCATAATATCAAATGTTTTGATATTTCTTTGTATAAAGTCAATGTTTTAATTTATGTATTCATTTAGAGTTGTCATTTTTATTTCATGACTATTAAAAAGGCATGCATTAAGGAAGAATAGCTAGTGGATGCTGGGCTTACTACCTAGGTGATGGGCTGATCTGTGCAGCAAACCACCATGGCACACATTTGCCTATGTAACAAACCCGCACATCCTGAACATGTACCCCGGAATGTAAAATAAAAGTTTAAGGAAAAAAAGGCATGCATTTCAGAATATCAGGTTTTGTTTTATTTTTCCGAAATCCTTATGCTTATTTCATATACTGGAAGTACTGTATACATAATTCTTATGGAGATCCTGGACACACACATTTTTTTTAGAAAATTCCCAGCATTGTTTGGAGTTGCACATCTGTCTACGAGCTATATGTTTGCTGCAATATTTAAATAACAAATTGTGAACATTCCCAGCAATAGACAGCCCTAGCAGAACAAGTAAGTGTTTGATATGGTGATAAATGTTTATTATATAAAACCTCATTTAATCCATACAATAATCCCCATTAGATCCATTTTCAGATGAAAAAACTAAGGCTTTGATAATTTGAATGACTTGCTGGAGGTTGGTGCTGAGGTTCTAATTCATTTCTGTGTGAATATATGTATATTTTTAATGAATTCAGTGTAAGGGATAAAAGTAAAAAAAAAAACTAGTAAATTAAACATATGGGATTGTAACAAACATTTAAAAAGTAAAACTGAAAACAACACAAGTAAGTTATTTTGGAAATAGGTAAGAAGAGTGGAGTTAAGAAGAATTGGGTAAGAAGAGTGAAGTTAAGTTACGTAACTGTGTGCATCAGGGACAGGGTTTTGAAAACGATGGATTTCTTTGTGCAAACACACCAGGAGAAGCTTTCATGTAGTGCTGTTCAATTGGATAAGGGAAGGATGCTCCATAAACTTCCTTCTGATGTTTCTGTTTACATTTCTGGAAATCTCTGAGGCATTACAACCGTATGGAAGAAGCAAGAACTAAACTTTGGAACTTATAAAGAGAGAAAAGGTGGTTCCATTTAAGTTCAAAATACTACTACAATGCAATTTCTTGTTTTAATGAATTTGGATCTTTAACACGCTAATACACCAAGTAACATAGAAATATTATGGATTTTGTCTTATCACTATACGTTTACATTGTTGAGGGCTTTATAGCAAAAATTATCAAGTATGGTAATACATGGTTGCATCAGTGATATTTAGTCTCTAAAATTATCTAATATGTTAATATTAAGGCATGTGTTTATTGTAGCTTAAATATGAGAGTAATACATACTACTTATTTCTAAACTTGATTTCATTAAATTTTGTATCATGGCAGTTAAAATATATCAGTTTATATTTTTAAAAGATGATTTTTTGGCCTGTTTAGGTTCATGGCAAAACTAAGTTCAAATATGCTCCCTCTCCCCACAGTCTCCCCAACATTAACGTTCTATACCAAGATGGTACGTTTGCTATAGTAGATGAACCAACATTGGCATACCAGTATCCCTAAGGCTATAGTTTACATTAGAGTTCACCTAGATGTTGTACATTAGTTTTGACTAATGTACCATAACATGTACCCATTGTTATAATACCCTATAGACAGGTTCACTGCTCCAAAAATCCCTTATGCTCCACCTGTTCATCTCTTCCTCTTCCTTATCCCCTAGCAACCACTGATATTTTTACAGTCTCCATAATTTTGCCTTTTCTAGAAAGTCATATAGCTGGAATCATACAGTATATAAAAGTTTTAGATTTGGTTTCTTTGTAATATGCATTTAAGTTTCCTCCATGTCTTTTTATGTCTTAATAGTTCATTTCTTTTTAACAATGAATGATATTCTGTTGTATGAATGTACCACAATTTATTTTTCCACTCACTTACTGAAGGACATCTTAGTTGTTTCCAAGTTTTGACAATTTTGAACACGGCTGCAATAATCATCTATGTACAGGTTTTAGCGTGCACGTTTTCAACATACTTGTGTAAATACCAAGAAGTACAGTTTTTGGATCATACGGTAAGATTATGTTTAGTTTTGCAGGAAACTGTCAAGCCATCTTCCAAAGTGGTTGTATCATTTTGCATTCCCATCAGCAATGAATGAAAGTTACTCTTGCTCCACAGCCTCACCAGTATTTCGTATTATCAGTGGTCTGGATATTGGCCATTTTAATAAGTATGCAGTAGTATCTCAATGTTGTTTTAATTTGCATTTTCCTTATAAGATATGGTGTACAGCATATTTTCCTTTTAAATTTATTTTTAATTGACAATAATTAGATCTAGCTTATGGTATACAAAATGATGTTTTAAAATATGTAAACATTGTGTAATAGATAAATTAAGCTAATGAACATATGCATTACTGGAAATACTTTTCATTTATTTGTGGAGGAAACTTAAAATCTACTCTCATAGCAATTTTCAGGTATACAATGTATCTTTTTAAAACTATAGTTACCATGTTGCACAATAGATCTCTTGAACTTATTCCTCCTGTAAAACTGGGATTTTATATCCTTTTGATCTGAAGCATCTTTGCATATGCTTGTCATTTGTGTATCATCTTTGGTGAGGTGTCTGTTAAAGTCCACCAATTTGGCTCAATTTGTAACTGCATTGTTTGCTTCTTTATGGTCGTTTCAAGACTTCTTTATATTTTAAAGCAGGGGTCTTCAACCCCTGGGCCATGGACAGGCACCTGTCTAAGACGTGTTAGGAACTGGGTGGGAGCACAATAGGTGAGCAGTGGGCCAGTGAGCATTACCACTTGAGCTCCACCTCCTGCCAGATGAGCAGTAGCATTAGATTCTCACAGGAGTGCCAACCTGTTGTGAACTGCACATGGACAGGCACCTGTCTAAGACGTGTTAGGAACTGGGTGGGAGCACAATAGGTGAGCAGTGGGCCAGTGAGCATTACCACTTGAGCTCCACTTCCTGCCAGATGAGCAGTAGCATTAGATTCTCACAGGAGTGCCAACCTGTTGTGAACTGCACATGCGAGGGACCTAGGTTGCATGCTCCTTATGAGAATCTAACTAATGCCTGATGATCTGAGATGGAACAATTTCATCCCCAAACCATCTCTCCTCTCCATACACGGAAAAATTGTCTTCCTCCAAACTGATCCCTGATGCCAAAAAGTTTTGGGACTGCTATTTTAAAGAATAGTCCTTTATCAAAAATAAATTTTGATCACCGTTGTCGTAATGTTTGTGAAGGATGTAAGGTTTATGTCGGAAATCATTTTTTTGCCTGTGAATGCTCAGAAATACTTGTTGAAAAAAGTATCTTTTCTCCACTGAATTTCCTTTGATATTTTGCCAATGATCAGTTGACTATATTTGTATGGATCTGTTTCTAGATTCTCTATTCTGTTCCACTGATCTATTTCTTCTATTCTTTCACTATTTCTACTCTCTTGATTATTGTAGCTTTACAGTGGGTCTTGAAGTCCAGTAATGTCAGTGCTCTGACTTTATGCTTCTTTAATATTGTGTTGACTATTCTGAGTCTTTTTCCTCTCTTTATACATGTTTGAATCAGTTTATTAATATCCACAAAATAATCTTCTGAGATTTTGATTGGGTTCTCAATGAATGCATAGATCAAGTCCTGTAGACTTGATATCTTAAAAATGTTTAGTCTTCTTGTTCAGGAACATGAAATATCTCTCTATTTATTTAGTTTTATTTGATTTCTTTCATCAGAGTTTTGTAGTTTTCTGCTATAAATCTTGTACATATTTTGTTAGATTTATACCTAAGTATTTTTATGGGTAGCTAATATAAATGGTGTTGTGTTTTAAATTTCCAGGTTAATTTTTCATTGCTGGTATATATATATGTATGTATATAAAATTTATTTATTTTTGAGATGGAGTCTCACTGTGTCACCCTGGAGTACCGTGGCGCAATCTTGGCTCACTGCAACCTCTGCCTCCAAGGTTCAAGTGATTCTCCTGCCTCAGCATCCTAAGTAGCTGAGATTACAGGCGTGCACCACTACACCTGGCTAATTTTTATATTTTTAGTAGAGATGGGGTTTCACCATGTTGGTCAGGCTGGTCTCAAACTCCCGACCTCAAGTGACCTACCTGCCTCAGCCTCCCAAAGTGCTGGGATTACAGGCATGTGCCACCACACCCAGCCTTGAAAGATATTTTAAATGAGCAAATTTTTGCCTTCACTAATATTGTAGTTTTTAGTTTCTTGATTTCTTCTCTAATTATTATTATTTATTTTGTTCTGCTTACTTTGGCTTTTATTTTGTCTTCTTTCAATTCACAATTTTGCTATCTGAAAAGTGAAAGAGTAGAATATCTTGTGATCTCTTGCTCTAGCCAACTGGATTGTTCAAATAAACTTGAAAACACTAAGATACATGGTCACATTTAATTTGTCAAGAGAAAAAATTTGCTCTGGCAGGCCTGAGTAACACTAAACAAGATAATTAAGTTGATTATGAGGCCATTTCTATTATATATATTTATATATAATTAAATTAATATATTAATTTGTTAAACACATGTTAATTTAGGCTGGTAACAAGGGTGACCAAAAGCTGATGCAATCTTTCCTTTTAAATAAAGATCCAATGACTCTTAGGAAACAATCTAATGAGAAAGACAAGCATGGATCAAATAATAATAAATATATACATAAAATTATTGTGTTTAATTTGCCTACTAGTGTATCCCCAAAGCTTAGAACAGTATATGATACATAGAAAGTTTTCAATAATATGTACTGAATAAATTAGTTAGTAAGCAAAACTGCAATATGGGCTATGAAATCATGTTGCATAGTCCCATGAGAGTGCATAACAGTAATAGTTTATGCTCAAAATTAATTTGGGTGGTCCAAGGTTTTGCATATGTAATAATGCTTGAACTAGTCTGAAAAATTAAACAGTATAAGAAAAGGGGACATTACAGATATAGAGTATTTCATTTGCAAAGAATTTGTGGATGGAAGGAACATGAGCATGAGAAGTGCAATGAGACCAGTGCACTCCAAGAACATAGCACCAAGCATGAGGAAGAATGATGAAGAGGTAGGTAGGGGACAGTCCATCTTGGATTTCATAGATAATGTTAAATATGTTTTATGCTCCTATTTATAACTTAGATATACGTAATATTTCTTTCCATTCTATAAAGCCAAATGACTGCAATTTTTACATTACATAATTGATTAAAAACCTCACTTGGTAATATAATATAAAAATATGATATAATACTTATTTGCTATTATAAGAGAAGTAGGACATGGGAAATCTAACTTCCCCAGTAATGAAATTGGAGATAAAAGTAAAAATAAGCCACAGAATGATTATAAGGAAATTAAAAAGCTATGTATGCTTCGTTGTGTGACTTACAAGCTTTTATTTCAGCTGGTAGCCAGTATGTTATCTTGAACTAACATAATGCATCAAATTGTCAAGTTAGAATCTCAGAAATCAGGCATCTTTCCAGAATATCAAGCTTTACTTATAATTACAAAGATACTTACAACCAAAGCTGATAGGCAAAGCAGGAGATGTTGCGATAAACAACATGGTTCCCTAGGTCCATTTTTTTTTCACAGACACATGCTGTCTCATCTCTCTCAGGTAAGAGATGTAGTCTCTGTGTGAGATTGATGTGTTTTTCTATACATCAAGGTTTTGAAATACTTTCATGGTATATTTCAGATGAAGTAAAGCACTTAGCTTATGTGACATTTCCAGGTTTCACCCACAGCAAGATGATTATAAACACCCTGTATTCTGTGTGCTTGAGTAGGGACTTGGTGTCCTGTAGTGTCAACCAAGCCACACTATCCTAACTGCAATCACTACAATTTTCAAATTGTCTTTCATTTCCCTCACTGAAGCTCAGACCATTTCTAAGTCAAACTAGTGCTTGCTTTGAAATAACATTATCTGCTCTATTTATCGTCTTTCCTCAAGACGTGAACATTAGTTCCTGGACACTCTCCCCAGCAAGTGTGGTCTGATTCACAGTTCTTAACAAAGAACTGCTAAGAAGGTGGTTGACACCACCACCTTAAGTGTCAACAGTATTGTTAACCACCTAAGTGTTGTCTTTTCTTAGAAGTCTCTGTTGATATCACATCCACTCAGCCCCTAAAGTTCAGATTCCCTAGGAAGACATCACAGCAAATCAGGTCAAGCTTATTTTTTCTATGATATTTTACACACTGATTTAGGATGTCGGTCACTTCGCTCAGAAGCCAGATTTTTGACCACAACCAATTTCTCTGCCTCTGACATTTTCTCTATTCTTTCTCAATTTTTAGCTGGTCCTACCTGGGAACTTCCAGGTTAATATACTCTTAGTGAAGTATCTTTACATTTGCAAACTTGAAAATACTTTTGATATACGCCAGTCAATATTAAAATATCTCAAGATGTAGAATTAGTGAGTAGGTACATAAGTTGCTATGGTAAAGATTATATTCAGTTCGCTTTTTACTTTGCTTAATTTAGGATCTGGAGAAAGGAGCTTCACCTGAAAGAACACAAAAATTATTTGTAAGAAACCGTTATATGTGCTATGAGTGATAGAAAGAATGAAAAGACATGATTCCCATTGTGATACCCTGAACATAGCAATTATAACACTCCTTTAGGTCCAGACTTATATTCACTTATTACAAAGACAGATAAATAGAATGTGTTGATATTCTTGGATGACTTCTTATAGATAGTAAGCAATATCTTAAAACAATTTATTAAACAAGATCTGTTTCAGATACTTTTTTATAGCTGAAAGAGGTGTTACTACAAATTCCTAATGATCACTGTAAAATAACTAAAACTGGATAAAATCTGATCATATATGTTTTATAAACCAACATATGTATGCTCATTTTTCTAAAAATAGAACCTCTCATATTTTTCAGGGAACATTCATCCTTTTTGAGGCTGAACAAATTCAAACACATTTGATGACTCAGTCCCTCCAAGCAGGGAAGCTCTTGTATCCAGGGAAACCAGTCCGGGTTGCCAGGACCTAAAGATAAGACAGGAGGAGCCCTGCTGTCTGGGATGTAAGGAAGCAATCTGCTATCTATCTCTTTCAGTCAGGGATTCTTTGTGCCTGTGATGCCTCCTGACCAATCTGGAAACATACCTGTGCCCCTAGCATTTCTGTTATCTACTGCATCACCACCCATTCCCACACTCCACCCATGGAGATGATGGTTACAATGAAAAGAAAACTTTTTCAGATCTGTGGTGGTGTCTGCGGCCCCACATGCAGGCATGGAAACAACAGCAGGAGCAGTAGTTGTCTTTTTTGAATCACAGTGTGAAACTTCTATGATCTTCACTTAGCAGCTGTTTTCTTGGAGTCTCTCAGTCAAAATCACTGGCCTTTGTTCCATATAGGGTAAGAACTCAAGTTGTAGAGTCAGACTGACCATGATTTGAAACCTGACTTTGCCATTTACCGCCTTTCAGATCTTAGTAAATTATTGAGGCTCCTTTATCTCATGCAATAAATGAGGGTAAAGGTACAGCATCATATATACAGATGTTGAGTGGATTAAATGTGATTATGTATTTAAAGGGCTATCATAGTGCAGAAATGAAATTATAACTATTTGTAATAATATATGCTAATATTTTGTGTTATGCTCACCCCTTCAATCCTTCTCTTTTTTTCCACATCTGAGTATACAGAAAAAAATAAGGAGCCAAATATATTGGACAATGGGATTTAGGGGAAATGGGGAAATGCGGAACTATTCTTCCTTCCTTCCTTTTTTTTTTCTTTTTTTTTTTTTTGAAGTTTTGCTCTCACTGCAAGCTCTGCCTCCCGGGTTCATGCCATTCTCCTACCTTAGCCTCCCGAGTAGCTGGGAATACAGGCGCCCGCCACCATGCCTGGCTAATTTTTTTGTATTTTTAGTACAGACGAGGTTTCACCGTGTTAGCCAGGATGGTCTGCAGCTCCTGACTTCGTGATCTGCCCGCCTTGGCCTCCCAAGGTGCTGGGATTACAGGCCTGAGCCACGCCCAGCCCGAACTATACTTTCAAAATTCCATGAAAATATTAGGCTTAAGATCTGTACCTTTAACTGCAACTACAGGGGAAAAGAGTGAGATAATTGGTCCCCAGAACAAATCCTGAGTTTGTTCACATGACCCTAGGATAAGGCAGTGGGTTGAACTCTCACTCGGGCATTGACCCAAGAGGCGGAGATGAATGTTCTGTCCTTATGCTTAACTCCTACCTAAAAAAATTGCCTAATTTATGACTTGGGCAGTAGTCTGTGCCTGTGGGAGAAAAAACAGGTATCACATGACCCCAGCTTGGGTCCTGATTCTTATCAGTATATTAAGGAAGAAGAGTTAGTAGAATGAGGGAGAGAAATAAAGTGTTGTGGCGAATTGTTTGGGCTCAGGAGTTTGAGACTAGTCTGGGCAACAAGGTGAAACGCTATCTACAGAAAATACAAAAATTAGCTGGGCATGTTAGTGCATGACCGTAGTCCCAGCTACTTGAGAGGCTGAGCTGGGAGGATTGCTTGATGCTGGGAGGCCGAGGTTGCAGTGAGATGAGTTTGTGCCACTGCACTTCAGCCTGGGTGACAAATCCAGAGCCTGTCTTTGAAAATAATAATTAAAAAACCCTCTTTTACTCTAATAAGTCATGGCCCAATGGGTGTCAGACTCTGCACTATCCACTCCCTTGTGGAGGCAAGGGTAAGACAGTAAGGAGATGACTGAAAGTCCCCTTCCCAGTGTTTCTCCTTATGAGGAAAGATTTTCTTTCCAGATAAACCAAGACCCCTCATAAGAAAAGATGCATTAGCCTCTTCATTTCCCACGTCACAGATAGACAGACAGATAGATAGATAGATAGATAACCATCATCCCATCTAATTACTACTTTTTAATTATTACCCGATTAACTGAGATCTATGCTCACTTTGATCTTTCACTTACAGATGACTGTGAAAAAGAACAGAATTTTATCTACTACAGAAGAATGCCAAAAAAATAGTCAACAGGGGCCGGAGTTCCTTCTTCCACTCTTCTAGGAAATATTCCATGATTGACACCTACATGGACCTTGTAGGCACAAAGTGTCCCAGGCAACCACTTGTCACTCCTTGACACTGCCCTCAGGCAGGTCCAGTGTACAAAGTTTGCTCACATAAATCACCTATATTTTGTTCATTATTTACCAGCATAAAGTAAACACACATGTGAAAATATAAACAGGTTATTTTCTAATAAAAAAGAAACTGCCAGAAAAAGAAAGATGACATAAATTGTAAAATGCGCCATTATTCATACTATATTAAGGAGACTCCAGTGAAAATTATTTTAATTAGAACGTTATCCAATATCTCTTAATAACATTAATTGTGAGATTTAAAATTATTTAAAGGTTGCTAAAATGTGAAAAAATATGCATCTTAAAAGGAATAAAATGCAGTACATCAGAGTCTATAATACACATGAGTATAAGTGTTGTGTATATCATTACTACCATATGAATGTAAATGATGTTACTTCTCACCCATTTAAGTAATACAAGTACTAATTGAGCACCCATTGTTCACCAGTTACTGTACTATAGTTTGCAGAATGAACAGCAACTTATTCACATAAATTATCATTGAGGAGGTCATTCTTCTCTTTGGGGAAACATTTCAATAAAATGACGGCCTAAAGAAAATCAAGAATGGGTGGTTAGTGACATTACAATCATTCATGCAGTGCAGACGCTGTAGGAAGCAAGCAGGAAAATAAAACAGATAAAGCAAGGGAAAGTAGAGGCACAATTTTTTTCAACAACGTTTCATAAATTTCAGTACTTGATGTACAATGCACTGACCTTAAGATCAACAATGATTCTGCTACTCTGTTGGCTGCAGACATTTTCTGTACCCTGTTTTGTTCTGCCATTTTTATGAAAGGATGTGAGACATTTATTTTATTACTCGGAAGTAGAATGTTCTGTAAACCACTGATCTTTTGCCTTATATTTAGTAATTTTTTTAAACTATATACTTTAATTAAGGTATAATACCTCTTGGTTAAATTTTGCTATTTTATGTTTTCATTAAAAAAATTTTTTGAGGCCAGGTGTGGGGGCTCATGCCTATAATCCTAGCATTTTGCGAAGCTGAAATGGGCAGACTGCTTGAGGCCAGGAGTTCAAGACCAGCCTGAGCAACACCCCATCTTTACAAAACATAAGAAAATTAATCAGGCCTGGTGGCTTCTGTGGCATGTGCCTGTAGTCCTAGCTACTTGGGAGTTTGACGTAGGAGGACTGTTTGAGCCCATGGATTCAAGGCTGCAGTGAGCTATGAGATCATGCCACTGCACTTCAGCCTGGACACAGAAAGAGACTCTGTCTAAAACAAACACACATACACACACACACACACACACACACACACACACACACAATTTTAGTTAGCTTAGAAGAATAAATACAGGAGATCTATTCAACAACTTGGTAACTGTAGTTAATAACAATGTATTCATTTTTGAAAATTACTAAGAAATTATTAGATTGGTAAAAAATTAATCGCATTTTTTGCCATTACTTTCAATGCATATGTTAATTAGCTTAAGCCACTCCACTATGTGTATATACATGTTTCACAATACTATTTTATACATAAAAATGATATATAATTTTTGCCAATTAAAAAATCAATTTAGGAAAAAATGGACAAAACATTATTTTAAGCATTCTACCAAAGTACTAATCAAAATATGTGAAAATAAATTGAACACCAGTAAGAAAAGCTTGTTTGAATTTTTAAATATGTAATATGTTTAATATGGGAACTACTATTTAAGTAATGGTCATATTGAAATGAATAATTAATATATCAAACAATGCATGTGATGAAGAGTATAATTTAATGAATTTTACAAAGTTCTCAGTCTTAAATGTATTTAGGAGTGTAATTTCAAAATTTTTATATCCGGAGATATATGACACCCTTAATTAATGGGCTTTTATCAATCAGTTTTTGTTCTTTGTTTGTTTTAGCTCTATGGTGAGAACATTGGTTTAAAGACCTAAATGGTTATTTTTAATGTGAAGATGCAATAGATTATCTGATGTTTTTCTATGAGGAAGAGTATGTATTGCTAGCATAAAAAAGATAAACTTCTTATTTTTATGCAATCTACATGAGTTTGGAGCTTGCATTATTTATTGTTAAAAAGGTTTTCCACTATAGTTTGCCCATATATAATGTACAATAGTTTGTGTCCAATAGATATTTCTCAAAAGAAGACATACACATGACCAACAGATGTATTAAAAAATGTTCAACATCACTAATCATCAGGGATATGAAAATCAAAACTACAATAAGACATCACCTCACTCTAGTTACAATGACTACTATCAAAAAATCAAAATATACCAAGTGTTTGTGACGATGTGAAGAAAAGGAAACCCTACACACTGCTTGTGGGAATGGAAATTAGTACAGTCATTATAAAAAAACAATATGGAGTTTCCTCAAAAAATTAAAAATAGAGCTATCATATGATCCAGCAATTCCACTACCGGATATATATATATATATCCAAAGACAATGAAATTAGTATGCCAAAGAGATATCTGGACACCCACATTTATTGCAGCACTATTCACAATAGCCAAAATATGGAATCAACCTAAGTGTCTATTAAAGATTAACATATAAAAGAAAATGTTACATATATATAACATATATATAACACATATATGTGTTATATATATAACATATATATGTGTTATATATATAACATATATATAACACATATATGTGTTATATATATAACATATATATAACATATATATATATATAACATATATATGTGTATGTGTATATATATACACACAGTGGAATACTGTTCAGTCATAAAACATGAAATCCTTTTATTTGTGATGACATTAATGAACCTGGAGGACATTATGTTAGGTGAAATAAGCCAGGCAGGGAAAGACAAATACTGCATTAGTTCAATCATATTTGAAATCTATTAAAGTATTCTCATAGATGTAGAGTAGAATGGTGGTTACCAGGGGATGGGAAGAGTAAAGGAGAGAGAGGATGGAGAAAGATTGGTCAATGGGTATAAAGTTGCAATTAGATAGGACAAGTAAGTTCTGGTGTTCTATTGCATAATAGTATGACTAGAGTTAACAATAATGTTTCACGTATTTCAAAACAGCTAGAAGAAACTGTGATGTATTCATCACAAAGAAATAATAAATGTTTAAGGTGATGGATATGCTAGTTACATTGCTTTGATCATTACACAATGTATGCATGTATGGAAACATCATACTGTATCCTGTAAATATGTACATGTCAAACATCAATTTAAAAAAATAAAATAAAATAAAATTTTATCCAGCATCATAGTTGTCCTGAAAACATCTTACAAGTATTAATCTCTCTTTATATTTATGATAGAAATCAGTATATTTTAAAGTTGGACATACACATACACACCCGTGTGTGTATATGAAATAATCTGTTGACTTTGTCTTTGAAATTGTAAACTAAATGTTGATTTTGGAGTGCTTCAGAATAGATGGCCCCTTAATTGTTTTACAGTCTATGAACTCTGGCCTCCATTTAGATGATGCTCATGCCTCTTAAAGCAAACTAAAATAAAAATATAAAAGGATTAAGCAATTAAAAGCCTGAGAACAAGGAGATAGTCCAATCTTAACATTAATTGTAGTTAACATTAATAAATATTTTATTTATAAAGTTTAATGCTCCAAACAAGTAGATATATTAGATGCCCATTTGTTCATTTTACATGTTAGGAAACTAGGTCACTAAGTGTACATTACCGTAGGCTATCTGTTAAACCTTTGTATTGTAACCTTAAAACTACACTATTTACTACTACAGTAGTATATACTTATATGCTCCCAAAGCATGTGTGATAATAACATTCACCTCTTTGTATTAATTACCCATGACAACTGTGTACAAAGTGTTAAATACCACACAAATACAGTAATTTTTATTTAATTGTATTTATATTTCACTCAATTTAATTGTAGGCAATATTAAAACAATTTTTAGGCAAGCTGGTTTCACATTATACTCAAAATAAAACTATGTTATTTGTTTGTATTCCCTAAATATAATATTTTGATTTTCCATTGTCAGAAAAATGTTCTCATAATCAATGTACTTTGAGATTGCTACCTGAGTCTTAGCTAATTTATTTTGTTTTAACAAAATTATTATGTTGTAATTACCAGAATATGTTTAAAGCAACATCAATTAAGTCACAAAAAATACAACTTAAATTATCTTTCAGATATATATTTATAATACTAAAAGACATTTTTAAAGTAAAAATAAGTTCAAAAGGCTTTTATTTACAACCTGTCACAAAATACAGTAATTTTTATATTTTTCAGTTTTTTTTCTAAACTTCATTCTTTGTGAAAATGTTTTTTATGTCACTAACAAACTACTTTTAATATAGATTGCACTTATGTGCATTCACGCCACTATATTCAAGTGCCACTCTATTTATGGAAATTCTTAGCAATTGTCACATCATCGTAGGACTTCTAAACATTCTTTCTTACTAGTCAGCTATCCTGGCTTCATATTTTGTAGGTTTTCATAGTGGTCCACACTACTGGGTTAGAGGTAGAAATGATTTATTCCAAAATACCAGCATTATTATTTAAGACTAGCCATTTATATAAAATTTGTATACAGGCATGCCTTGGCGATATCGTGGGTTCTGTCCCAGACTACCACAACAATGTAACTTTACATTGACATTCACATATTTGAAAAACAGCTACCTGTCTTTCATGTTTTATGAACATGCTTCAAATATGAAAGTACCTTCACCAATTAGCCCTTCTAGAGTTTCTGCGGACCTTTCAAACATTTTATGTGTATATGTCTTTTCTTTGTGCATGTATATCCCTAATTAGAGTCACCAGTTTCTTATTCAGTAATTTGTAATCTCATAGTCTCTCTAGTGTCTGTTTGCTATATAACGGTTCCTGTAGAAGCATAGTACACCACCCAACTCTTTTTTTTTTAGTTTATTTTTAGTGCCTCCCAGGAATCTAGAATATGCTGGGGCCATCAACACCCTGAGAGGCAAAATGGAAATCAGTCTCTTGGACAGGCCCCTAAAATCCACAATGTAGCACACATGCTCCACTCTTTTCTTTGCCTCTGAGAAAGAGGCCACTAATCTGAATCCCCCTTTGCCTGCTCTGGATCAACAGCATGCCACCCAGCTTTCTGTTCTTGTTGTTGTTTTCTGTGGCCCCAGACATCTAGAGTATTCTATGTCCCATAGGCATTTCAAGACACGCAAGAAAGAAACCATTCCTTTAGGCAGCTTCCCCATTCCCCCCAAAAAAGGTCCAAATATCAGATGTATAGTCTAGTCTTCTCTTTTCCTTCTCAGGAAAAAGCCAGGAGCTGGAATTTTTCTCCTGATCATGTAGCACCATGCTGGTGGGAAACACTATGGCAAGAATGTACAACAAATTGTCCTATTGGCTTTTATGAAGCTGGTATCATGCTTTCCTCAGGTGTAGAGTACTTTTAACTGGTTTCTGGATTTCTTACCGAAGAATTTGGTAAGTGTGTTGTTGTTGGATCAGAGTCTCTGTGGCAGGAAGAATGGTCTGGGTCTTCCTATTCTGCCGTATAGATATTTGTCAATTGTCAATGTGTCAATTAAAATAAAATACAAAACCTAAGCATATTATTTCAAAAATAAAAAAAAAATCTTGTTTTGTGATTTAACATGTGATCTAACCTTGAGAATATTCCCTGAGCACTTGAGAAGTGTGTGTGTTCTGTAGCTGTTGAGTGGAATGTTGTGTACCTGTCTGTTAAGTTCTTTTGGTCTATAATATTGTTCAAGTCTTTTATTTCCTTATTGACTCTCTGTCTAGTTTGTGTGGCAGTTATTGAAATGGGGTTTTAAAATATTCTACTACTATGTTGTTTCTATCAATTTCTCCATTAAGTACTGACAATGTTTGCTTCATATATTTATATACTCTAATGTTGGGTATATACATATCATTGTAGTATCTTCCTGGTGAATTGACCCTTTTATCATAACATAATGTCCCTCTTTGACTTTTATGACACTTTTTGACTTAAAGTCTATTTGTCTGATATTAAGTATGATGACTTCTGTTCTCATTGAGGTACCAGTTTCATGGAATATATATTTTAATCCTTCCACTTTCACTCTGTGTTGCCTTAAACCTAAAATAAGTCTCTTGTAGACAGCACATATTTGAATCTTGTGTTTTTTTTTTTGTTGTTGTTGTTGTTGTTGTTGTTGTTGTTGTTGTTTTTTTGGGGGGGTGTCCATTCAGCCACTCTATGTCTTTGAGGAGTTGAAACCACTCACATTTGTAGAAATTATTCACAGGGAAAGATTTACTATTCACGTTTCCCTTGTCTTATTATTATTTTGTTCCTCTTTTTCTTTCTTGCCTTCATCCTCTTTGTTTTATTGAGTTTATTTAGTGATATGTTCGGATTTCTCTCTCATTTTCTTCTAGCATCTTATAGGTATTTTTGAGGTTACTATGGAGCTTACTTAAAACATTTTATAGTTACAATTTAAAATTAAGTTGATAACTATTTAACTTTAATCACATACAGTAACTCTCCACTTTCATATCCCTCCTACACTTCATGGTATCAATATCACAAGTTACATCTTTTTATATCATTTATCTATGGAAATATTTTTTATTTTTTATATTTTGGTTATTTTTATATGTTTTAATTAAACTTTTAAAACAGAATTGGAAGTTATTTATACAATATCATTACAATGTTACAATATTTTGTATTTTTACATATATTTATTTTCATCAATGAGTTTTATACTTTCATATACTTCTGTGTTGCTATTTATTACTTCTGCCCCCCCCCCCACTCTTCTGATTGGATAATATGAAATGTTACTCTTGGAGTATTCTCTTGTATATGAAACGTTGTTTTTGTCTTGCTACTTTCAAAATTCCCTTTGTCTTTGACTTTGACAATTTGATTATAATGTGTCTTGGTGGACTTCTTTGGGTTTATCCTGTTTGGCAATTTATTAGATCTTTTGAATCTAGATGTTCATTTCTCTCCCAAATTTGAGCAATTTTGGCCACTGTCACTTTAAATAAATTGTTTGGCCCTATCTATCTCTTTTTCCCCTAAGACTCCCATTTTATGTGTATTTGTCCATTTGATTGTCTCCCATAAGTCCCCTAGTTATTCTTGATTCTTTTTTATTATTTCTGCCCCCCACCCCAACCTTTTGATTGGATAATATGAAATGTTATATTTTGAAGTTGGCTGATTCTCCTACTTGATAACTTCTGCTATTTAACTCTTGGAGCAAATATTTTATTTCAGTTGTCAGTTTTAAAATGTTTGTGTTTATTTATTAATATATATTTTCATTCTCTTTGCTGACATTCTGATTTGTTTATGCATTGTTTTCCTGGGCTTATTGAATATCTTTATGGTAGTTATTCTGAATTATTTGTTGGGAAACTAATATAGTAATGTTTCATTAGAGTGGATATCTTGAGATTCATTTCATTCCTTTGATATGGCCTTGGCCTCCCAAAGTGCTGGGATTATAGGCATAAGCCATGGCACCTGGCCCACTCTCACCATTTCTGGACAACATAATACCTGAGGCTGTATTAGAGCAATTAGGTAAGAAAAGTAAATGAAAATTAACCATATTGAAAAGGAAGAAGTGGGATTATCTCTGTTCACAGAAGACATAATCTTACACGTAGAAAACGCTAAAGATCTTTTTTACCAAAACACACAAAAACCAGTTAGAATTAATAAGTTCAGTAAGTTTCAGGATACAATATCAATATAATAGGATGAGTTACATGACTATGCACTAATATCAAACTCTGAAAAAGAATTTAAGAATATAATCAAAAAGAATAACATACTTAGGAATAAACTTAACCAAGGAGGTGAAATACTATACACTGTATTTTTTAAAAAAATGAAAGTAATTAAGACATAAATGAAAGAAAATTCTATATTAATGTATTAGAAGACAATATTATTAAAATGTCTATACTACACAAAGCAATCTAGAGAGTCAATGCAATATAAATAAAAATCTCAATGACATGCTTTTACAGGAACATAAAAAAAAAATTTTGAACTCACAGGGAACCACAGAGGACCTTGAATAACCAAGTTGATAATGAGAAAAAAGAATAAAACTAGAAGCATCACTTTTTGGTATTTCAAAACATGTTATAATGCAATCTGAGCATCTCTAACCTGAAAATCCAAAATCCAACATGCTCCAAAATCCAAAACTCTTTGAGTGCCATGTTGACCCCACAAGTAGAGAATTTTACACCCGGCCTCATGTGATGGGTCACAGTCAAAATGAATCCAAATGTTGCTTAATGTACAAAATTATTTAAAATGTTATATTAAATTAATTTCAGACTATTTGTATAAGGTATACATGAGATATAATTAGTTTTGTGTTTAAACTTGGTTCCCATCTCCATCATATCTCATTATATGCATGCGAATGTTCCCAAATTAAAAAAAAATGCAAAACACTTCTGGTCTCAAGCATTTTGAATAAGATATTCAAGCTGTATAACGCTACAGCAATCAAGAGAGTATGGTACTGGCGTAAAGACAGACATAAACCTGCTGAATGGAATAGAGGGCCCCAAAATTATATAAATATATATATAATATATATCTTGGGGGCTTAAAATTATGACACAAAGCTGTAAAATTCCTAGAAGAAAACAGGTTTTTTTTTAATAACATTGGTTTTGCCAGTGATTTCTTAGATAGAACCCCAAAAGCACAGGCAAAAAATGTAAACATAGGCAAATTGGGACTATATTAAACTAAAAAGCTTCTGCAGAGCAAAGGTAACAATCATAAGTCAAAAGGCAACCCGCAACATGAGAGAATGTATTTGCAAATAATATATCTGATAAGGAGTTACTATTCAAAATGTATAAAGAAATCCTATAATTTTATAACAAAAAAACTGATTAAAAATGGGCAAAGAACTTCCATAGACATTTATTCAAAGAAAAGTTATGAATGGCCAATGGGGATATGAACAGATCCTCTCAACATCACTATTCTTCAGGTAAATGTAAATTAAAACTGCAATAAAATGTCACTTCATACCTGTTAGGATGGCCAACATTAAAAAACACAAAACAAAAACAAAAGAAAAAACAAGTATTGACAAGAACGTGGAGAAAATGCAACCCTGTGCACTGTTGGTGAAAATGTGAAATGGTATGGATATTCTTTATAAAAAAATAGAAATATCATATTATTAAAAAAATTTGATTTCTAAGTATGCAAAAGAATTAAAATCAAGGTTTTGAGGATATATTGCATTCACAGCAATCACACCATTATTCACAATAGTCAAGAGGTTGAAACCACTTAAATGCTTGTGGATGAATGAAAGGATGATGAAACTGTGGTTCATACATACAATTGAATACTATTCAGCCACAAAACTGTAATGTTATTACACGGAAGCACCTTGTGAACATTTTGCTATGTGAAATAGGCCAGCCACAGTAGGACAAACACTGCATGATTCCACATATATGACTTATCTAAAATAATCAAAATCATCAAAACAGAAAATGGTAGTTACCACGTGCTAGCAGAAAGGGAAACGGGTATTGTCCAATAGATATAAAGTTTACATCATGCAAGATAAAAAAATCCTAATGATTTGCTGTGCAACATTGTGTTTATAGTTAACAACACTGAACTGTCCATAAGAATATTTAAGAGGGTAGCTCTCATGTTATATATTTTTGCTACTTTACAGAAATATTGAAGGGCAATACATGTTTAAACCTCAAAGACTTAGAAAAATTCTAAAGAACAATAATAACATATTTGACTACCCTTAAATGTTAAAATGCCACAATTATAATGAAATGAGAAGTTAAAACAAGCAAACTGATACAAAATTAGGACAGATATATAGGACAAATTAGCAATAACTTTAATGTGTAAAGAATTCAGATAAATCAGTGTACTACAATATTATGTTTTCACTTATAGAGCAAGCAAAGATGTAACAGAAAATCATCAAAAAGAGGCATAACAATTGATTAAACCATGATACAAAATTTTGCCTGTGTATTATATGAAGCTGTATATTAGTCACCAATCTAGAAAAATTAATAATTGAATATCAAACCTCATTATCCTATATGAATTTATCTCTAATAGCCCTGTTAACTGGCTCAGCTTGACGGAAAACAGTTGAATTTTATAGACCCACACACACAAACACACACACACACACACACACACACACACACTCACAGAGTTGCTGTAGTAGCAAAGCTTATACTCCCAAAAAGTGAATTGGTTGGGGAAATGGGTGGTGATTGGGCAAACTCTTCTCAGATAAATGGAGTGAGTGAGTGAGTGAGTAATGCTAGTGCTAGGCTGAGTATATAAAAGTTGGCAACATTAATTAAGAACACTAGAGTTGAAAATATATGAAAGAACCCAAAGTTTAAGTAAAACATTAGTTTAAGGCCTGGCGCGGTGGCTCATGCCTGTAATTCCAGCACTTTGGGAGGCCGAGCTGGGCAGATCAAGAGGTCATGAGATGGAGATCAGCCTGGCCAACATGACAAAAATCCCATCTCTACTGAAAATACAAAAAAAAAAAATTAGCTGGGTATGGTGGTATGGGCCTATAATATCAGCTGGGAGGGTAAAGCAAGAGAACCGCTTGAACCTGAGAGGCACAGGTTGCAGTGAACTGAGATTGTGACAGTGCACTTCAACCTGGGCGACAGAGTGAGACTCCATCTCAAATAAAACAACAACAACAACAACAAAAATTAGTTTAAATATAAACTATACTAGAATGTATTACAGAATTCAAGAAAAACTTTAATAAATAAGCATCAAGATAATGGGTCTAAATATCTTATCTCTTCTTCCTTGGTATATTGGCCTTCTGAGTCTTGAAGCCAGGCTGAAAATTTGGGCCAAAAGTCCCTGGATAGAACCCAGCTTAATGCATAAATGCCAGAGACATAAAAAGACATCTATGAAATATCTACAGTGTTAGAATCTAAACAGTGAATACAAGTGGTTAGAGAGACAGAAAAAAATGTCTATTACAAATATGTTGCAACTGCATTTTTTAGGAAGATAGGAGGCTGACTGAAGATATTCCAAATGAAACAAAATGTAGATATCTTTTTATAATATGCTTCTGCATTCACCTTTAAAAAAGTATAACATTTGAACATTTACTTGCACAAAATAGTGTTTGATGAGATAGCAAATGGATTGTCATGATGTCCATGATTTCATCAAATACACAAGATTTAGGAAGTCACTAAAAGAAGCAGAGTGTAACCATTTTAATATATTTGCAATGAAAGATCATAGAATTCTGATATTTCTGGAAAACTCTACTGATAATCCTTACATTGAAAGGTTAAGTTACAATAAGATGCTGTTTATCAAGACTTATTTTAGTAAATCAGAATGTCACTGTTTTGAAAAATATTTAGGAAGGTAAAAAGTCTCCATAGAAATTAGTTGATAAATACTCTACTTAATGCGTACTGGGAGCAATTGACTTACAAGAGATTGAGAATAACTTGCAAACAATAGGGATAAGGGCCCTAAAATTAGAAAATTAAATAGCATGAAGCACAAAGGATTTGTGGGGGAAAATTGGATCAGAAGAATCTACCGGCATAGAAACTATTCTCTTGGGCTCGCCAGTAAACATTTCTACACATTATAATGAAGAAAAGCTGAACGTATTCATCAGAAGCCTACTATTTATTCATTAAATTTACTTCTACATAATTATGTTATATAATAAAATACATTTAGTTCTCAATCCACACAGAGAGTTTTATATTCTCTATAAAACTATTTTTGTCATTTAATGATCAATGGTTACAAAAAAGTCATTCTGGACTAGATAAATATTATTAAACTGATATAGTAGATAGTCTAGTGCATAAATTGAGAAACATAGTTAATAATGATTTTATATAATTCAACTTAGTAAGACATCTTTCAGATCTTAGTAAGACTATAAAATCATAAAATAATATAGTAGTTATTTTTGGATTGAGGTTGGGTGCTTTCAAAAGTTTTATTATTATTTTCAGTATTTTTCAAATGTTGAGAAATAAATACATAACACTTTAATGTAGAAAAGGGTAAAATAAACTTTGAAAATAACTCTGTATATGTTTGAAATGAGTTACATATTGAAGCTATTGATGTTTCCATTATATCTTGACTGATAATAACTTTCTGTTATATGTATATCTGCAGTGTGGTGGTTGCAAAATATGTCTGCAAATTTCTCGACACAACATTAATTAGGGGAGGGGGCTTATATCCCCTTTCAGTTTTAGTAACTAGTTTTCAGCAGAAGTTATACTCTGACTTCTGAGCACACTCTTGAGCTGTTTATTCTAGGGCCAGAAGTCTGCCCACTTTGAGACTGTCATGCTGGAAAGGCCACACACATTTTGACACTCAGATTGACAGCCCCATATGACCACTCAGCAGACAGTATCAATGCCCAGCCAGGTAAGTGAGCATTTGGGATGTCTGCAGACTAAATCACCATCTATGGCAATTAAGTTAGAGACTCCAAGCCAGAACTGCCTACTGAGTTATTCTGAAACCTAGGGCAATAAAACAATAAAATTATTGTTTTAAGACACTAAATTTCTGGGTAATTGGTTGACAGCAATAGTAGGGGAATAATACTTTTATACAGGTAGCAACATTTTTGTTCAAAACATACACAACAGAATTGAAGGGGCTATAACATCAAAAGGTAATGGTAACAATCGAATATTCAACAAACTCATATAATAAATTTGGAATTCAATGCTACTTACCCAGTTTAGCTCTATATATTTAAATATGCAGTTTGAGCAATGTTAATTTATATTAAACAACAATCATCATTCCATATCATGTGTTTTAAAATTAAACCTACTTGTAGATTCCAGCTTTACCAGTTACTATTCTTATTACTTAGGGGCAGTTATTTAACCATTTTTAGACAACTAGTTTCATATATGAAAATCACTGATAGTTGTAAGAATGTTTAAAAGTATGTATTTGAAGCACTCAGTAGTGTGACTACAAATAATATATTTGATAAATGGTAGGTATTATTAGCTATAACAATAGTAAAATGATGCATATTCTCAGGACATGTATTCTAAAGATAAAAAAACACTGTATTCTTGATTGAATCCATTATGTTTTAATAATGTTTTCATGGAACAAAAGAAATGGTGGTTCTTTAGTTTAATGAGTCATTTATTAATGGTTCTGAATAAAACTGATATTTTATTGCATTAAATAAATCATCTATAATATTTCCCATTATTTTCAAAGACACAAGACTTTAATTAAATTATACATATATTATTTGTTCTGTCAAATAGACGATTTTCTTTATGATATCTGTAACTCATCCATAAAGTAATCTTATTTCTTAACTTCTGGTATAGTTCTTAAAGGCCAGAATGCAAAAGAAATTATTTTTTTCTGTAGTAAAGTCATACTGTAGTCTACAGAGTGTGAGCATGACACTCATATATTTTGACCATTATACTATATTTTCAGCCATTAACTAAATATAATAAGATCCATTAAGGTTGCTTAACAAACAGGTCATTTACTTAAGTCATTAGAGCTTCCATATAATGAATGGTAACCAAGTGCCTTGAAACAGTTAATGTGTCTTTTTGGACACATAGCTTGCCAACAGAGCATACCATTTACAATGGGAAAATTAGGATTTACTCCATGCAAGCCAAAAAAGTTTCTGCTTCAAACAGAAACAAACAAACAAGCAAACAAAATCCAACAAAAGCATACCTTTGTGGCTAAGTTACATATCAGAACAATAGCTGATTTTTAAAATAAGTTTCCTTCCCTTATTTCTAACCCATTTGTACAAAAAAAAACTAAATTTTTTATTTCTACTGTCCATTCTGCATGAGAAATATTTTTTAAAAGACAAATTATGGCAAATCTAGTTTTGCAGACTTAACTGGCTTTTATTGGCCATCCTAAAATCAGACAGTAGTCTAGACCAAAAATGGTTCAGAATGCTCTATCCCAACACATTCGTAGATTATATTCATAGCCAGAAAAAGGAAATAACATACAGAAAACAGAAGTGAGGTACAGAGAGAGCTGAGTTGGTTAATGCTTAATTTTGCCTTTAACCTGGTTTGAACAGTTGGCCTCCCGCCACTATTGACTGAAGCTCAACTGCTGTGATTGGCTGAGCTCTTTGTTACAATGACAAATTCCTAAGTTAGGTTTTGAGTTTGTTTACATACTAAGTTAGGTTGCAGTTTGCTATGTAGGTTTCCTATGGAGATTTCTAAAATTAACACCTCCTCCCCTTTTGGTTAGCCTCTCAATTTTCAGAGACTGACCAAACGTTTGAGCATTGAAGTTATTCTTTGTCACCATTGTAAATGGACTTCTTTGGTCTCAGCTCCCACTCTGCAATAGCAGAACAGTGGGTTTTGTAAGATGGACTCAAGGAAAGGAAACAATAGAAAAACTAGGAAAAAAAAGATTAGTCAACATCGGGTTACTTCAGGTTACTTTTTTGTAGGTGGTAAAGCAGAGGGGAGTTTCCTATTATGCTGACTCAGGTAGAATGCATAAACTAAAAATAAAATCCTAAAACCCCGTGACTGGATGGACTCCCCTTTGGCCAAAGGGACCCCAGGAAAACCTTAATACTGAGTTCCTGGTCATGATGGGATGGGAGGTTGGACATGCCTTGTTAAAACCTCCTCCCTTTTGTGGTTTACACACAACAACTGACCAGAATGAATGTTAAAATAGAAATCACAAGACTAACAGAGCAGACTCTTTGTGGCAATAAGACTCCACGTTATAAACAGGACCTACGTCTATGCCAGGCAAGGGTTAATTTACGCACCCCTACACTTAAAGAATAAACCATGTTCTAACTGCCACAAGGTTTATTTTTTTTGTTTTTGTTTTTTCCTTAGTGTTAAACAAGCACTGGCCTTGAGATAATATTAAAACAATTTGTAGCTCCACCAGTTGCTGACTAACTTACTTAACCCCAGCTCCTGTTCCACCAGCCAAAAAGACAGCTTTCTTTGGGCAAGAGACTGATTTCAATAACTTTCTCAAGATAAGAAGACCATGAACCATGGACTACTTCTGGCTGGTTTACAGAGATTGTGCACTTGTGTGCCTTAGTATCTGGAAAAGATACTTTGATGTTAATGCTTAATTGTAATACATTTAAATGTTAAGTCTCCATCCAGAAGTGAATATGGGTCATAGAATGCATGCGTTTTTGTTTAATATGCAAGAATTGGAACCACCCTGATGAGTAATCGTAGCTCCTCCTGTAACCTGTTGAATATGTTTAATTAAACTGTTCAACATAAAGCTCCTACTCTGACCCCTCCTCCTTTGAAGTAGATGTCTATTGACTTGGCTGGAGGTATGCTTCTCAGCCTGGGGGATGACCGCCTTGCAGGCTGTAACCCTTTAGAAGAAATAAGGTCTCCTTTCCTCCTTTCCAAATTTGTAAAATATTGCATTTGTGTTTTTAAATGTTAGCAACTGGAATCTTCTGTTTTCAGTAAATAAATAAATAAATAAATAAAATAAAAAAACACTGATATGTTTGGGATTGATCTCCTTCCTCAATATTTCTGTTTGATTATATGGCATTTAGCATGAATGACTCCAGTTTGGTTTAGTTTGGTCTCTTGGGGCCTAATGATAAAGTTCACAACAACAGACTCCTATAATTTTGTTTAACATATTCAGCGTATGTATAAACATAAAGGATTAAAGGCTTTCAGGCTTTTCATACTTTCAGGGCCACTTGTTCCCCTACTTAGAAACTAGACAAAATGGTGATGGGTATAGGGGAAAAAGAAGGTGTAAAGGCACATACAGTGAGAGAAAGATGCAAGTCCTTTAAGTAGAAAGAGAAAACTGCTTCCTGAAGAAGACCAGAGAAGAGAATAGAAGTGACTTTGGGTTGAAATGTCTTCAAGTGTCTTCCTGTGTCTCAATAGTCTTTGATGTTCTGAACAGAGAGTAGAGTGTGTGGATATTTTTCTGAGGATGAGACATTTAAGGAGAACCTTTACTGGGGGAACCCACCCCCAATATTTCAATGTAAGTTCTTTCTATTTTCCGTAAGTGTCAGCCGGCTGAGAAATAAAGAGAGACAGTACAAAGAGAGGAATTTTACAGCTGGGCTGCTGGGGGTGACTTCACATATCAGTAGGACTGTGATGCCCGCCTGAGTCTCAGACCAGCAAGTTTTTATTAAGGGTTTCAAAAGGGGAGGGGGTGTAAGAACAGGGCGTAGGTACAAAGATCACATGCTTCAAAGGGCAAAAAGCAGAACTACTAGTAAGAGTTTAACAAAGATCACATGCTTCTGAGGAAACAGTACAAAGGGCAAAAGCAGAACTACCAATAAGGGCCCAACAAAGTTCACAAGGCAAAGGGCAAAAGCAGAACTACTGATAAGGGTCTATGCTCAGCAGTGCACATATTGTCTTGATAAACATCTTAAATAACAGAAAACAGGGTTCGAGAGCAGAGAATTGGTCTGACCACAAATTTACCAGGGCAGAGTTTTTCCCCACCCTAGTAAGGCTGAGGGTACTGCAGGAGACCAGGGCGTATCTCAGTCCTTATCTCAACTGCATAAGACAGACACTCCCAGAGTGGCCATTTATAGACCTCCCCCGATGAATGCATTACTTCCCCAGGGTATTAATATTAATATTCCTTGCTAGGAAAAGAATTTAGCGCTATCTTCTGTACTTGCATGTCCATTTATAGACTCTCTGCAAGAAGAAAAATATGGCTCTTTTTGCGCAACCCCACAGGCAGTCAGACCTTATGGTTGTCTTTCCTTGTTCCCTAAAAATTGCTGTTATTCTGTTCTTTTTCAAGGTGCACGGATTTCACATTGTTCAAACACAAGTTTTACAATCAATTTGTACAGTTAACACAATTATCACAGTGGTCCTGAGGTGACGTACATCCTCAGCTTACAAAGATAACAGGATTAAGAGATTAAACTAAAGACAGGCATAAGAAATTATAAAAGTATTATTTGGGAACTGATAAATGTCCATGAAATCTTCACAATTTATGTTCCTCTGCCACGGCTCCAGCCAGTCCCTCCGTTTGGGGTCCCTGACTTCCCACAACAAACCTTAACTGCTAACCAAGTTGTTACTGTGTAAAAGAAAAAAAATGGGTCAGGTAGCCTGGACCCCTCATCATTGTGACACTTGAATCTGGGATTTGATCAGCAAACCAAATCCACATTATAAACTGTGTATGTATTACAAAAAAGCCCTGTAAATTTTTTAATATTTTTAAATAAATAAAATTTTTAGATTTTTATTCTCAAATATCTAAATTTATTGTTTTGCTTCTATATTTAATATAAGTAAAATTTACCTTTGTTATAGTTGTTTTTGTTAAGAGTAAGATACTTCTATTATGATTACCTGTTTCTATCATTTATATGCTATTTGTCCATGGGTATTACATTAACTATTCTAATCCACAGTTTTCTCTCTTTAAAGTAAGTGTAATAATATTTACAAGGTAGCCCTATGTATTCATGGGTTCTGCTTCCATGGACTCAGCCATAGACAAAAACATTATTTTTAAAAGTGGATGGTTAGGACTGTACTGAACATGTACAGGCTTCTTCATTTCTTCTAATTATTCCTTAAACAATATGGCAAAACAACTCTTTTCATAGCATTGACATTGCATTAGGTATTATAAGTAATCTAAAGATGATTAGAAATATGCAAGAGGATGTGCATAGGTTATATGCAAATACTACACTATTTTATATAAGGAACTTGAGCATCCATGAATTTTGGTATCCATGCAGAGTCCTGGAACTAATTCCCCATGGATACTGATGGATGATTGCTCTTTATAAGGTGATGTTAAGTATGACAGGAATTAAACTCTGTAAAATATGTAAGACAAGAACTGGAAAATGAAGGAAAAATTTTATTAGTGAAACTTTCTTTAATATTATATACATATATATATATTTATTTGTAGCATAAAAATACATTGTTGCTATTGTTTGAATTCCCCTCCAAATCTCATGTTGAAATGTGATTCCCCAATAGTGAAGTTAGGACCTAATGGGATTAGGGGGTTGACCTAATCCCATGGGGGTTGACCCCTTATGAACAGGTTAATGCCCTTCCTGAGAGTAGGGGAGTGAGTTTTTGCTATATTAGTTCCTGTGAGAGCTCATTTTAAAAAAGACTGACTGCCTCCCACTCTCTCCTGCTGGCTTTCTCACCACCTGACCTCTGGAATTACCAGCTCCCCTTTGCCTTCCACCATGAAAGGCAGCAGTTGGAGGTCCTCATAAGATGCAAATGCTGGTGCCATACATCTTGTACAGCAGAATTGAGAGCCAAATAAACCTAATTTCTTTATCAATTACCCAGCTTTATAGCAACACAAAGGACTAATACAACTATGTACACTTAATGATGCTCATATATGTATATTAGATTATATGGATAACACTACATTATACTCTGTACTATACATATAATACTATATTATATATGCATTTATGTCAAATATGTGTATTTATAATAAATATTTATAATGCTGTAATTGTCAATCAGTCTAACTATCCCATTCATGAAACCCTAACTATTCTTATTTTATGATAACCTATCGACAATGGTGGCCTGGACATTTCCCTCAGTTTGGCCTAACTTCAGACAGGTTTCTTCCTGACTCTAGGCCCCTGACTTTACTATCACCTCCAACCTTACAGAATGGAGATGACTTAAACAGGCTACTGACCTCTGTTTCCGTAGAGCATTTACTTTAGAAATTCTTTCTCTGCTCCTTTCAGAGGCAAGTCTTTTTAAAAAGTTCTTGACAATTTTACAATTCAGGAATGTCTTTCTCAAGGACCTGAGAGTAATCCCTTTGAAATGTAACCATCAAATAGGATAGTGCCTGATATGGTTTTGCTATGTTCACACCCAAATCTCATCTTGAATTGTCATTCCCATAATTCCCATGCATTGCGGAAGGGACCTGGTGGGAGGTAATTGAATCATGGGAGCAGGTCTTTCCCATGCTGTTCTCATGATAGTGAATAAGTCTCATGAGATCTGGTGGTTTTATAATGGGGATTTCCTCTGCCCAAGCTCTCTTGCCTGCCGCCATGTTAGACGTCCCTTTTTTCTTCCTTTGTCTTCTGCCATGATTGTTAGGCCTCCCCAGACATGTGGAACTGCAAGTCCTTTAAACCTCTTTTCTTTATAAATCACCCACTCTCGGGTATGTCTTTATTAGTAGCATGAAAACTGACTAATACAGTACCTCTGTCTCCTAATTTCTATGGGAGGGTAGAAGCCTGATTTCAGGCACCTTTCTTCAAATTGTGAAACTATCTCCTGTCAGGAACTTATTAATATTTGCTTTCCTTTGGATAAGGCCAATTAGCAAATATAGGTGTTCTATGATCCTCCTATCCCATCTCTTAAACATACTTTTTGCTTGCACAGTATCTTTTTAATCAAAAAAAAGCAGAGAAAAATGAAAAATTATATTATCATGTCATACACATTAGCAGAACTTTGAAACTAAAGCTCTTTTTAATCATTTCAGTCCTTAGCTTGAAAATTTATCATTGAATCAGTATAATTACTGCTGATCTGCATTGCAGAGTTGATGACAGATTTTATCAAGAAGCTATAATAAAAATTATGATTATTTAGTGAGCATGACGTTCATGTAGAATATGCTGCTAACCATGAAATTAATGGCCATCCCTAAATAGTCTAGCTGAAAAACTTATCTCCAAACCTAAGACTTATCCTTATATGAAAGTATCATATTTCTTTATATATTAATCTTGCTATTTTGTTTATTATTTCTGTTGTTTTTAGTAGAGTCCCTGGAAGTGGGAACATTGTCTTTTTTGTTCACTATGGTATCTCCAGGGTCTGGCCTGGAGGAAGATTAAGTAGGTATAAAGTGATGCATAAATGACTGAGAAAATGGAACCTAAATATGATCAGCACTCAAGTCTCTGGGAAGCTTATCTCTTTCTCATTTATTTTTTCTACCATAGGCAGTGTTTGATTCACTTCTTTCTTTTTCTTTAAGCTGATTCTCCTTTTATTGTATGCACATATTTGATGTAGGCTAAAACATAAACTGATATAAACTCAAAATTCCTGAGTTTATATAATTCAAAATCAATCCACTTTCAGAGATGATTAATGGTTTCTCAGACCCTATTCCAAATTCTTAGAAGACAGGCTCTGATTAATTTATTCTAGGTCAGTACTTGTCCACTGGCAAAGTAACTGATCAAACAAGTAAAATCACATCACCAACCTAAGCATTAGGACTCTATACCTATAAATTGGAGAAAGTCTCAGCAATATCTTTGATAATACATTTGTTAACAAAAGATCACAGTTAGTATTCTGGAACTTAATGCAGTTGTTAAGAGAAGTATGTTAATGAAAAATTTAAGTGGCAATTTAAAAAGATGGCTCCCCTTTTCTTTATTCCCAACTCATCAAGAGTAGAATCTATGATGCCTTGACTTGAATTCTCAAATCTGGACTTTGTAATGCTTTGTAAAATCAAGAGTGACACTAGATACTTTACAAGTTCAGACCTTAAGAAGCTGGCATCTTTCATGTTATGTCCCTTTAGATGTTTGCACTTAAAACCCAGGTACAAGGAAGACCAATTGGCCCCATGAAGAAGTCCATATGGGGAAAAGAAGCTACCACCAATGATTTGCCATCCATGTGTGTGAGCCATCTTGGGAGTGAATTCTCTAGCTCCTTTTGAGCTGCTCCAGCGGACACTATGTGGAGAAATGAAGAGCTACCCAGGTGGACCTTGTCCAAATTGCAGATTTGTGTGCAAAATTAATATATTTTTAAGCCAACAAGGGTTTAGTTGATTTGTTTCACAGCAGTAGATAATTATACCATAAGCCAAAAGTGGCCATGTTCTATGCTCAATTATTAATACTGTATATATGATAGAACCTACCCTGCATTTACACTCTAATTTCACCTTATTTAATTAAACATTTAATCAGTTCAATTCTTGCTACAATTATGTATTTGAATTTAGTTGTTAGGTGAAGGATAATTAGGTGCTTTTTCATAGGGATCTCAAAAAATGCAAATAGCAATGATTTTTCTCTTTTGTGTTTTAGGACAGGCTCATTGGTAACAAAAAGGGCCTAGCTGTATCTTTTGCATAATGATTATTCTTAATGATGATTGATATAACAGGGTGTTTTTAACAGTATTTTCGCAGAGTTCTAAAAACAATTATTTGGTGAGTATTGATTGACAGATTGATTAATTTTACAGGTACCTTTTGCAGTTGCTGCTTACAACCTATAAAGTGAAGGTCAGCAATGCTTCAACACATGGAGCAAAATTGAAAAGAAATCCAGCCTTGCCTAATAAAGATACTAAGAAAAACTGGAAAATATTAAGCATCTCTGGGTGAAGGTGGGGGACTTCAGTCTATTTAAGTTGCTGCAATACAGGTGAACATAAAGAGGGAAATTATTTCCATCATCTCTATCAATGAGTGTAACAGCTGAAAAATATGCCTCTTATACTTCAAGATGATTAATAATTATGTTACAACTTCATTACCTCCTGCCACATTATATGACACTGAACATATAATTAATATTTGCAAAAGATATAATAAAGTTGAACTACTTATAATATTCCATTTCAAATTTCATCAGGGAAAGAGGGAGATTGATCTGGTGTTTTATAACAGAATTTCCACATTCACCTGCCTGAACAAGCTGAGCATAATTGTAGATGGACATTTGTAAAATGAGTGTTCCATACTTTTCAAATATCTATGTTTCAATGCCTCATAAATTGAATGGCCTGAAAGAAGGCAGATGCAGTCTTATTTTTCATTGTGCTTCTTCTCTGTTTGTTGAGGTTGGCAAGAATAAATACAACACTTAACTGAAAAAGCCACAATCAGAAATCAGCACACAAAAGCTTCTGAACAGCAAAGAAAATAATAAACAGAGTGAAGAGACAATCTAAAGAATAGAAGAAAATATTTGCAAACCATACATCTGACAAAGGCTTAACATGCAGAATTTATAAGGAACTGCAATTCAATACCAAAAATCAAAAACAAAAACAAATAATCTTATTTAAAAAATGGGAATAAGAAATGAATATATATTTCTCAAAAGAAGACACACAAATGGCCAACAAGTATATGAAAAAAAATGCTCAACATCACCAATCATCAGAGAAATGAAAACCACAATGAAATACTGAAATGGCTTTTATGCAGCAAACAAAAGGTAATTTTTGGCAAGGATGTGGAGAAGAGAACCCTTTCACACTTTTGGTGGAAATATGTAAATTAGTACAGCTGTTATGAACAACAGTACAGAGGTTCCTGAACAAACTAAAAATAGAACTATCTTCTGATCCAGCAGTTCCACTACTGGCTATATATACAAAGAAAATGAAATCAGTATGTCACAGTGGTATCTGTGCACCCATGTTTATTACAGCACTATTTACAATAGCCAATGTATGGAATCAACATAAATGTTTATCAGTGGGTTAATGGATTAAAAAATGTGATATATATACACAATGAAATATTTTTCAGCTATTAAAAAATAAAATGTTGTCATTTGTCACAACATGGATAATCTTGGGATATACTATCTTACGTAAAATAAGCCAAGCACAGAAAGATAAATATTGCATGATCTCACTCATATGTGGGAGCTAAAAATGATCTCATAGAAGTAAAAAATAAAATAGTGGTTACTAAAGACTGGAAGGCACAGCGGGGAGGGACATATGGGAACAGGCTGGTCAATGGGTACAAAGTTAAAATGAGTAGGAACAAGTTCTAGTATTCTACTGTACAGTAGGGTGACTACAGTTAACAATAATATATTGCATATTTCAAAATAGCTAGTAAAGGGGATTTTGAATGTTCTCACCTCAATAACATGATAAATGCTTGAGGTGGTGAATTTGCTACTTACTCTAATTTAATCATTAAACAACATATACACACATACATCACATTGTAGTACACTAATAACTTATGTCAATAAAAATAAAATAAAACTTGAAATAAGAAATCAGCCTACATAGGTTTACAATTTTTCTTATTCATATTGGAGGCTAATATAATAAAGTAAAGAACATTTTTAATTTAATTGTAAGCTGGATAGAAATACAATCTTTCATATGGATAGAGAATTATACCATTTTATTACAACTAGAAATAACCAAATCACAATTGCAGAAGCTACAAATATTGCAAGTAGGAACTATAGAGGGAAAACTCTGAATAGAAAAATATGCTCTGTAGTAATGAATTATAATTGAATTTTTTAACTCTCTTTATTAAAAAGAAAATATGAAATTTAATTTTTATCCAAACACACAAAAAGCCAGAGAAAAGATAGAATTTTATGCACAAATGAAACACATTACAGATTCTAACAACTTTTTTGAAAGATCATGACTAATATATTTTCTAATATTCATCAGTCTGTTTAAATACATTGTGGGTTTTACAAATGTATGACTAAAAAGACAACGTGAATTCATGATTTATGCAGGTAAAACAAATGGTAGAGAATTTACATTCGAAATAAAAACTTCAAAATATGATTTTCTAGAAAACAGTGGCTTTGTGGAATATTTTAAGTTTTACACGTTGGTATGTTATTTAAGTTGCATTATGGTACAGGTGATCCATCAAACAAACAAAAGTTTGTAATAACATTATAAATATAAATATCTTTCCATATCAGGGTCAATTGTGGACTGCCAGCATACATTGATAATGTAAAAGAAAGTGTGCCACACTCTTTCCTGGTGTAATTGCTTTGTAAATAACTGAATTTGTTGACAAAGTCAGTCTTATTTTGTGATATTCAATTGGACATATTTATGTATCCATTCTTTTAAGATATTTACATAATTTTTCTCCCTAGGAGATTGAATTGTTATGTTATTTAGTGACATTATAATAAAAATTAGAGAATTCTTTATTAGTTTTTAAATAATTTACATGTAATTAGACAATAATTAGTTTTAATTGAGTTATTAAGTAAAGACCAACAAAGTGAATAATATTTATTTTATATCTGGCCAATAGACAGAGCAAGAGATGGCCTCATATGGTATGATGTGCTTTCGACATTGTATTTGAAACTTTCTTATCATCTATAGCATATATGGAATAATATACTCTGAAAGAGAATAAAGGAAACAATGTAATGTTATTTTATAAAATAAAAGCAATTGAGGAAGAAGTCTGAAGCAAGATACACAGAATTTTGTTTTTAATCTAGATCTTATTATACATTGTATTTATAATTAAATATTCATTTTTTAATATGTTTTTATTTATTTATTTATATATTTATTCATTTATTTATTTTTAGAGACAGGGTTGTGTTCTGTCCTGCAGGCTTGAGTGCATTGGTATGTATAATCATAGCTCAGTGCAGCCTCAAACTCCTGGGATTGAGCTCCTACCTAAGCCTCTCGAGCAGCTGGGACTACAGGTTCATGCCACCAGGCCCAGCTAATTTTTATTTTTTTACTTTTTTCCAACTTTTGGATTGAGAGAGTACATGTGCAGGTTTGTTACCTGGGTATATTGTATGATGCTGAGTTTGGGATACAAAGGTTCTCATTACCCAAATAGTGAGCAGAGTCCCCAGCAGTTAGGTTTTCAACCTTTGTCCCCCTTCCTCCCTCCCACCACTATTAGTCCCTGTGTCTATTGCTCCCATCTTAGGTCCATGAGTAAGCAGTGTTTAGCTCCCACTTATAGGTGAAAACATATGGTATGTGGTTTTTCTGTTACTGAAATAATTTGGTTAGAATAATGGCCTCCAGTGCCACCACGTTGCTGCAAAGGACATGATTTCATTCTTTTTTATGGCTGCATAGTAGTCCATGGTGAATATGTACCACATTTCCCTTATCCAGTTCACTGTTAATGGGTACCTAGGTTGATTCCCTGTCTTTGCTATTGTGAATAGCACTGTGATGAACATCCAAGTGTATGTGTCTTTTTGATAGAATGATTCATTTTCTTTGATCGCTTTACATGCTTTCATACTTCTTGAAGATGTCTTTCATTTCTTTCTTTTTTCTTTTTGTCTGGGTTTGTTCAAAAGACTTATGTTTAAGCTCTAAAATTCTTTTTTCCTTGTATTTTGAAATTCCTTAAGTGAGATTTTCAATTCTAGAAGCTCTGAGTGATTTTTTAAGATGTTTATCTCCTCCTTCACTTCCTGGGTTGCTTTAGACTCTTCTTTACATTGATTTTCAACCTTGTGTTGGATCTCATTGAGCTTTCTTGCAATCCATGCTTTGAGTGCTTTGTCTATCATTTCTGAGTTTCCATTTTGGTTAGGGACTCTTGCTGGAGCGCTCGTGTATTCCTATAGTGGTGTCCCTGCATTCAGATTTTTCATGGAGCCAGCTTTCTTGAGCTCGTTGGTTTCTTCTCATCTGGAGATGCTGGTACTTCTAATTTTTGTAATTATTTTCATATGCGTAGGATGTTTTCTTCTTTCTTTCCCTATACTGTTATAATTACTTTTTTGTTCCTTTCCCTCCTCCCTAGGGGAGCGTGACTATAGAGAATACTGTGTAGGGTCTTTTGGCTTTGCTTCTGTAACCTTATGTACTTCTTTTGGCAGGGTTCATTTGGGACTGTGGAGTCTGACCTACAAGCCAGTAGATGGTGCTTATAGGTAAGAGCCTCTGTGGCCAATGTGGCTGGGTATAGAGTTGATCCTTGTTTAATGGCAGAAGCTCTCTGATACCACAGGCAATGGGCTCATTTGTGGAATGTATAGTGCTCTGAGCTCCCTGCTCAGCCCATGGGTTGAGGGGCCATGAAGGGCAGGGTTAAATTGGGCAGGTCTGCCTATACAACCCTGATGATCAGCACTGGCACCAGCACGAAGGAAGAATTTAGTGGGTAGCCACCAAGTGCCCAGATGTGTGCCGAGACATGGAGCTGGGAAACCACCTCAGCTCCAAGTTGTCTGCAGAGGGGTGAGGTCAGTGTAAACTCCTAATCCAGGAGAGTGGGTGCTCCAGATGCCTAGAAATCTCCCTGGGCATGGAGCAGAAAGGGGGCCTCTGCTCTAATATCTCTGCACAGGAAGGATAGGGTGACTCAGACTGCTGAACCAGGTGAGCAGGTGCTCTGGAGATCAGCCTGGGCATGCAGCAGAGAGGCCCTCCCTGCCACTACCCTGCATGAGGATCTCTGCACAGGAAGGGTGAGGTGGCTTAGGCTGCTGATCCAGGTGAGCTGGTGCTCCAAATACCTGGAAATCTGCTTCAGCATGAAGTGAAGTGGGCCTCATTGCACCATAATCTATGTCTAGGAAGGGTGGGGCAGCTCAGGGCGCAGAACCAAATGAGCAGGTGCTCTGAATGCCTGGCGATCTGCCTGGGCATGAAGCAAGGAGGGCTCCCCTGATCCAAGATCTCTGCACAGGAGGGGTGGGGTAACTCAGGCTACTGGACCAACCAAGCAAGTGCTCTGATATGATTAAATATTTGGATGGATATTTAATAGGCACATTCTTATGCCTTCCAGATAGTACAAGCTAAAGTGGGTTCTGAAGTAAGAATTAGGTTAAATTATCTCCACGAGGGAATGAAAGGTTAGCAGAAAATAAATTTGGCTCTTACAGGGTAAATTTGAACTGTTACATTCATCATTTTTAGCAATGAAGCTCTGGAAATATTTAATCAAAATATGCTGCATGTAACATTACTCTGTGATGTTAAAATGTGTTCCTCAAAACAAAGCAAAACAACACAAAAAGGTTGGATAATCAAATTGGTTTGAGCAATGCTTCCAAACATATACGGGGATTGCAAATCACATTGTGAAACTGAATATTAAGTTACTTTTTGTGGTAAAAACTTATAACATAAAATTTACCTTAAAAATCTCGTTAAACATTTTGTAGTATCAAGTATTAAAATGTTACAAAATAGCCCTAGAACGTTTGCATCTTGCAAATCTAAAGCCCTACCCATAAAGTAACTCCTTTTCTCCCTTCTCCCAGACCCTGATGTCCACCATTCCACTTTCTGTGTCTGTAAATTTGACTGCTTTAGATACCTCATAGATAGTTAACAGTTTTCTGCAAGTTCTGTTTTATTTAAATCTGTTAGCACAGTATTTTCCATATATATATATAACCATAAAACTGTTTTCCCACAAACACATCCAATGTCACTTGTGGAACATAATCTTGTAAAACACTACTTTGAGAAACAACTATGAGTTTTAGAAAAGAACAGTAGTAACACTGACACTGCATTTTGCTTTGTTCGTTTTTAGCAGAACACTTTACAAGTAAAATTTACAATCTAGAGAAATATAAGGAAAGTTGAATAGAATTATTAAACAACAAATCAGTGTGCGGTGGGAAGGATCATTGATATTTAGAGTGAGAAAAGAAGATTTGGGGATCACCTTATAAGCTTATACCAATTATTTAAAGCTATAAATTTTTTAGCAGAAAATTGAGTGGATATATAAGTCCAGAGAAGCTAATTAGCTTTAAGTCAGTGACACAGATTCATATTAACAAAAAGAAGTAACAACTTCTAAAACAATCTGGCTTTCTTTTACCAGAGTTTAAAGTACCTGATTATATGAGTTACTTTAAGTAACATTGGTAGAAGAGATTCTTAATCAGATATAATTAGGTCAAATTCCCCTTAAGTTTATCTAAAGTTATTTCATGAGATTTTAAATCCTAAATTAAAAAAATGAATCATGACTGTAAGAACTAAATAGGATATGTATTGGATAATTTTTCTTTTAAAGATAGTTAATTTCTCTCCATTTTAGTTTTTAAGAATTTATGCAACTATGATACAAATTAATGTAATTTCTAATTAAGTAATTTTTGTGTGTGTCAGATATTCTAAGAATTTATGTATCCTTTTAATCTTCAGATACTTAACTGTGAATTATAACACCTATTTCTGTGAAAAATCTCAAGACCTGCTCCCAGTAGGTTTAGCCAATGCTCATGTTGCTATTCCTGGACTATATTCATCTTTCCTAAAACATATCAGAGTCAGTGTAATCTGTTAATGGCCAAATGTTTCCTGGAGAGATTCAGTTCTCTCAATAAATTAGTTTTGTTAAGTGTTAATTGTAGGAGTCTCTTTATAGACCCAAGAGAATATAGTAATATATCCCGAGTGTTTTCTTTAGTGAAATCTGACTTGTGGGTAGCTTTCTGCTTATATGCTATTTCAGGATCCTAAATGATACACAACCAGTACATTTTCCATGTCTCCAGAACTCCTTCTTCTTAATTGTTTTTCTCCAAGGAGTAGGAATAATATTCTTTATGCCAATGTAAAACTTTAAAGGCAATACTAAAATTAAAAATGAAGGAACATGTTTGGCAAAATCATCTCTTGGTATCTGTACTTTTTATAAATATCTGTCTTTCAGATATATTTTAATTGAAATGCCATACTCAACTCCAAAACTCTACTAAGGCCCTCAAGTGTTAGGTGAAAGGGGTATATTCTATTTAGATGGAGAACAAATCAAACATCTTCAATAATTAAAATACCAATAATGAGGGCACTGATTTTATTTTTTATTTGTTTTTAGAAGCTCTGATTTTACATGTATTTTACCTTTGTGTACATATTATAACCATCTTTGAGAAAAAAAGTATATGTTTTTGATTTATTTTGCCTTTCAGTTTATGCGTCCTTGAACAAAGTATAATGAATCAAAATGTCATGGTAACACCACAGTAAATGGAAAGATCGTGACAGAGAACCACCGGGACACAAGAGAGTACACTTGTACTTGGCAGTGCTCTGTGAACATTTCCCATGCAAGTAACAAAATCATAAAGGCTTTTATTTGGTGGGAGTACAGAATGAGAAACTGATTTGACTCTTGTACAAAATGTTCAGTGTTTCTTGGAATCATTGCCTGTATCTCAATTATATTCTGTGGGGGGAAATGAATTTGGCTATTATTTGAAGTGACATAAAAGGGTAGAATTGAAGAGTTCCATTTTTCACTAGCTCCTATGGACAGTGAAATGGGAAAATGAGTGGCTAGAATTTACAAACTCTTACTTGTTACAGGCTGTGACTGCTGCAAGGACAGACTGGTAATCAGCTTGTCATGAGTGTGCAGCTCTGAGAATACCAACTTTTAATCCCTTCCATTGAGGGAAAGACATTTTAGGAAACTGGAAAGCTTTATTTGCATTTAAAAAGTGATGTTGTATAAATTCAAAGTGAGTTCGTTGCAAAGACTATGTAAGAAAGTGCTCAGAGTGATTAATAGTTCATTTTCATCTGTAAATGCCATGTAAAGAGAAATAAAACAGGAAGTTACTGCATCAAAGTGCAAAGTCAGAGTTGCTGAGACAGTGGAAATATTCAAGATAAACAGGCTTAATATGTTAATCACTTAAGATGTTGGATACTTTTGTCCATGGGTCACATTTCATAAAAAAATAAAATGTACTCAATGACCCGAGCATATAGTGTGCCTTTTATGATTTCAGAGATTAGAATAAAGTGATTTTATTTTATGAAGAATCTATACAAAACGGTGATGAAGTTTTCAATTAGTGCTTAAAAATTCTTAGTTTCACTTTTAGTACTCATTCTGTTAGGATTGTTTTTCACCTACAAACTGAGCATGGGTTCCGTTTGGACCTAGCCTCTATACTATAAATACTTTCTGCTTCACATTTTGATAGAAATGATAAATACTCTAGGTTTATGAAGTGAATGAGTGTTTCTGTCATTAGTTACTGGTATCCTCAGTTTGAATAATGTGCCACCCTTATTTTAAAAAAATAATAAAATGTGTGCTTTTTTAATTGATTATCACTTAATATTGACATATTTGTTCCAATGAATGTTGAAATAATTACTTATAATTATTTTATATACCCTATAAACATTTCAGTTTAAAACAGCAAATTAGAAAATTGGCTTGTATGCAGAATTTTAAGTACAGCTATAAAAATACACCTGTAAACTTCCCATCTGGCACAAGGGTGCTAAGTAAAAGCAAAGTCTAAAGTAGAATCTAACAAGAGTTTGTCAGTGATTCTGAGCTTGTTGCTCAAAAGGCTATGATCCTCACAGTTAATGAGGATCAGAATGCAGTCGGAGCAGCTGGTTTTCAATTTTGTGGGTATTTTGTAACTCCTAATTGTGCTTAATTAAGATATCATTTTCAATTGGGGTTCTTGGCAAACTCCAATTTGCCAAACAATATATATGGTACTTTGGAGATGCAAAGTTCGTAGAGCATTGGATTTCAACAAGTTTTTAACAGAATCAAAGAACTTGGACTAAAAAATTCCTCAATAGTCAGGGTCCTTAAGGGGCTTCTCTGTTCCAACCCTCCAAAATTGTCCTGTAGTTGTCTTCTAGCCTTAGAACACCTCCGATGCTAGGAATTCCAAACAGATCACATTATTTTATAACTCTCCTGTATCTTGTTACTTACAGTAAACTCAGATCTCTCTTGCATTCTGTATTTTTTGGAGCTACACAAAAGATTGAGCACAAACTTAATCTGGAGAGTGAGTAGTCATTTAATATAATTAAACGTGGAACATGTTAAAAAACACAATTTCCAAGCCTTATTATGAACACATACAAAATAATCTTCTAGAGCAATCCAATCTAGTGAATTGCAAGTGAATTCAACATTCAAGAAAAATGTCAAGATGACAAGCTAAGTTGACAACTCTTCTATTTTTATATATAATAACTATAGCATTCTCAACTCTACTCTAAAACAATGCCTCAGGCCTGAACTTGAGGAACCACCTATAGGGAACAAGATATTTAAATCCCTGCTGCCTCAGTTTAGATGCCAGAAGGGTGCCAGTTATGTCAACTTTTTTTCCAGATAATATTTAAGTATTTTATGCAGACTATCTGAGGGTGATGGTAAGATGACAGGAAACTGATACCTAGATCCCTCAGCTAGATATGAACAAAGGATGAACCAAAAAAGTCTAGATTATTTTTCATTTCTAATTTTAAATTTAAACTCTGATTTTTATATCTGTATGCATTTCTGAAAGATTATTTTCAGTGTTTTTGTAATGAGTAACAAAATTTCAGCAGTGTTAAAAGATACACACTGAATGTATAATAAATATGAGTCATGCAGTGTACTAAAATTCTCATAAAAGAGCTACATGATAGACATATTATCTCTAGAACATTTATTTGGAATCATTATATAGTAAGAGGGATAAGTTTTCTATAACTGTGCTCTCTTCTCGATTAATTCAGTTCCAGAAACTGAGAAATGTTTTGGGGCACTTATCTCTTTATGCAGGAATGGAGTTTATGATGGTACTTAGATATAAGTTAGATGTGGTTATCTATGTTACAGATAGATATATTGCATGATTGATTGAACAGACCTTTTACATTCTACTCCCAATAAACATTTATATCACACTAATTCACAATACACAACAAAACAGAGTGAGTGAAATTTGAGTTTTAGTACATATTTGAGATAAAACAATTGACTAGAGAGAGAAAAATGATCTGAAATTCTCATCATAGTGTATGTTCATGTACTATGATGAAAATATTCATTTTCCCAGATTTTAATGCTTATACCTATAAATAAAGGTAGATTCTTCAGGAGAGAACATGTTTATAAATATACAGAGATGAGAGAATATAAAAATACGTAAAAACTAAAAGACAATGGCCCCAAAACTTAAAAACTAAGAAGGATGAAAAATTAAAAGTGAAATAAAGTAAAAGCATCAAGTATTAATGGAATTATTTAAAATAGTTGCACACAAGTGAAGATTTAGTTCACTTAACTGGTGTTTTAAATTAGACATAAGTGCGACTGCCAGAGTGAAGAAAAAAACAAAAGAATAACTACTCTTAGCAAATGATAAGCAGTGGACTTTATCATAAAGAATATGTACTTTGTGAAAGATAACCATTTTGAGATGTTATATTTAGGCTACTTCAACATCATTTTTGATAGATTCTCAAGTTAAATAAAATAGAACCCTACTCAAATTAATTACATTAATGAATTCTTATTTTTAGGAGATATGTGGAGCATAAAGAACAAGAAGGGCTTCAGAAACACAACCACACTTATTGGAAAGTTGTTTGTGAGATATCAGACTTTGATGACTCTCACCACAGTCGCTTTGGTGGTCTACGTCTGACCACTTATTCCTAAGCAAGGGGCTCCAGTGTGACATGTCATATTCTCACATACAACTAGAAGATTGAGCTCCTGAATATAACATGTTTGAATCAAACTCTATTAATTTTTAGCTTAATAAACTCATTATTCTCATCCATTAAAAGTAAAAGTTACATCTACCAAACTAAAGCAAGCTTAAATGTGATATTTATTAATTATTGTTAGTTTTTAGCCATTCCATTGTAATCATAACTCAGTTTTCTACCTTAGTAGTTCCCCTATTTTCCTTCATTCTACTTTCTCATGACTTCCTCCTACTTTCAGGGACTCATCACGTACACCCCTATTTAAAAAAAATGTATCTTTAAACAAGTGTTCAGATACCTTGGGAATATTCAAATCCATTATGGTGGATATGACTTGGAAAGGATATCTCCAAGTAATTTTTCAGATCCTTGTCTTCCTCATGTACTAGTCCCTAAATGTATTCAATCAGAAATCCTTCCTGCAAAATTTAGTAGATGTATGGTGGAAACTTAGTCTTCCTCTGAAAAATCCAACAGAAGAAAATGAATATCAAAAGTGAATTAAATACCTCTGAAATGAAAATACCAAATGAGAAATTAAATATGGCTTACTCCAAATCTTGTATGAATATGAGAAAAAACAGCCAAGACAAGCAGAATTGGTATGACAATCCATTATAGTCTAGGCTGTTTACATACTAAAATCAGGGACGAGGATGTAAGACGTAAGAAATTAGCACGAAGTATTTATTCCCAGAAGGCAAAGACCTCACCATGAGTGGGAACTACTGTAAGCAGTAAAGAAAAAACATTAAGGACACAGAATATACATATATGTCTATATTTATATATATGTACACATTTATACACACATACATATATACAAAACATTCCCTGTTTTTAAATATATGTATGTACATATACACACACATATATGTATGTGTGTGTGTATACTGAAATTATATTTGTATAAGTTTATATATTATATTCATCATATATACAGTGATAATAAAGAAACAGATAAAAATGTGATAAAAATAATGTATCGATTGGAGAGGGAGTCCAAGCCATAGAAAGTAAGTGACACCACACACATGCACACACACGCACACACACACATGCACACACACGCACACACACACATGCACACACTATTTAAGGACACTTGAAAAGATAACCAAACAATACTCCAGAAATGTTTTGAAAAATATGATAATTATATGAAAAAACAGAAAGTTCAAGATAATTTAATGATATAATAAACCGTATTCTAGAGAAAACTGACCTAGAGCTGTCCACATTGAGACTTTACTGATGAATAATAGATATGCAAATTTAAATACAAAGCCTCCTTTGGGCAGCAAGGCAAGCTGATTCAGTCACTTAAAGATGAGAGAAATTCATGTAAGCAGAGATGTCTCCACAGCAATATATTTACTTAGATTCTTATGTTTCCTGAATATTGCAAAAAGTACCACACTCATAAGGAAATGTCTCAGGACAACAAAGCAAATACACATCAGTGAAATATAGAACCCCCAAATGTCTTTTATTTTTCATATGGTTAAACAGAAGGAATAATTTTCAGCTATTATAAGACAGCTTCTGGCAACCAAATCAATATTGATTAAAGATACTGACTGGTTTTAAATATATTTGACATATTTAAATTGGTACTATACACACACACAAACACACACATACACATACATAGACACAATGCTTTGGGTAAAAATACATAAAACATTACATGATTTATTTCTATTTCAGTGTGCATTATTCAATAAAATACTTGAAGATACTTTATTGTATCTTTCTGCAATATATTCATTGTAGATAATTTATTTTATTCCATGGTAAGTGATTGTTTCTGCTTCTTACAAAATAAAAATAAAAATTGAAGACTGTTTGCCAGATAGATTAGTTTTAGCATAAACAAGCAAACAAACTTCACTCTCTTTTTTAATGCAGAGAAAAGACTTAACCACAATATCTGTCAGGAACTATTAAAGGTTTGAGATTTTACTATACTTGCAAGCTAACAAGTTAGCCAGCCACATTTGCTAGATGCTGGCAAAGACACAAGACTTCTGTGTTAGAGATAGTTAAGGATAGTTTATTATCCACAGTAATAGCAGTAGACAGAGTTTCAGCATTTGTACTGGTGTCCTGAGAACCAATTCCCAGGTGACATGAAGAGGGCACAATAATTCCTGCACACAGCAGAGTATGCAAGGGAGAGGAAACCTGGGCTTAGAAAACCCCAGCATTTTATAATGGGCAGTAAATCTACAGGATCTTTGCCTTTATCTTTATCATAGCAGAAGCAACGGAACCTGCCCTTTGCTCAAAGGAAGACACTACTATAGCTCTAACTTCCAAGGCTGTTTATGATACAACCATTTATAAAAGATAGTCCAGAACAAAGTTAGCTGGTGCCTGATCACAAGACAAGAGCATGAGACACTCACAGAGAACTGCCTCCTAACAGCATCTAACAAAATTGCTGAAAATGTATCTAAACATTGTTTAAATTTCCCACTAGAACTACTTTAGAATTCTGTTTGATTTCAACCGTACCAATATTAGATAACATTTTACTTTTGTAACTGTAAAATTGATAGTTTAAAATTATAATCTATATGAAAGTTAAAATTTTTAATCGAGTTGATCCTGTGCATTTCTTTCACTCCTGAAGAGACTTTGTGTGTGTGTGCATGTTTGTGTGTGTGTATGAATTAATTAAAAATGCTGTCCACTCTTGAATTCAATAAATGTTTATCTTTATTTTATTCTTGTTTCTTAATTTTTTCACTCATCATTAAAATAATCTGGAATCCATTTTAGCTATATAGTATGATTAATAATAAACAAACATTTGAAAATATCTAGTTGCATCAGGCACACTTTTGGTTCATATTTTTGTTTCTCAATAATTTTAAACTTTAATTATTAAAGAATTAAAGAGATTTAGCGTGAGATCACCCCTCTCTTCTATACATCTCACAATATGGGCATTTTATTGTATCAATTGGAATTGCGTCATTATAACAAGAATCTTCCTATTCAATGTTTGAAAACAATGTAAGATTATTATTGTATTTATCAGACTATTATGACCTGTTTCTTTGTTTCCACCTATTATTAAATTCCTCTTTGCAACTCCAAGAGGTGCTGCAACGACAATAGTAATTTTCCAATGTTTTAATTCTAAATTAAGTAATTTAGAATTAAATAAATGAATTAACGAATTGAATAAATACACTAACATTTTGAATGAATTAAATAAAATAACATTTTATCATCTAATTATTGATTTAAGACTATTAAAGTTGTTATAACAGTTTCGGAAATGTCATAGAGATGCAGATAAACAAATTACAAGTATGCTGAATAAGTTTACAAATGTTAAAATAAGACATATTTTATTTGACTTGAGGCATGTTGTATGATGAAAAATGACTCATGTTTCCCTGAACTTATGATTATGTGTAGAAACTAGTGCAATCATACCCTTTACTATTTAAATCCCAAGAAATATTTTCTCATTGCAACTTGTGAAGAAATATTATGTTTTAATTGAATGTGTAATTGGAGAGACTGTGAATCTCCAACCAGAAATAGACATCAGAAAATCATTTAGAAGTGATCACTATAAAACTGTATGAACCTTAAAGTCGTAACACTAAGTTACCCGAAGCAAGTGTATGACATAACCAAAAAACTGTTTTTAGAAGGTGATACTTTTTAGAAGGTGAATGAGAAGTGATTATATTGCCACTTCATTATCACACTAATTTCCTTCCATTTTAACTTTAAAATCATTAATCATCTGAGGGACTGGAATAATATAAGTAACTGTAGATTAGATAAAAAGAGATGATGTGTTGGAAGGCATGCTACAACTCTAAGAATATCAGTAATATGACTCTGGACACTAGTGAGTAAAAAGAGAAATGCATGTGTTGAAATATATGTTTCACATTTATAGCTTTTATGATTTCTTAAATATTTACAAGAATATGTAGTTTCCTAATATTACATATTCTGTAAAACTTCATCTCTCCTAACCAAAGTTTTAGTTGACTAACTGTGCTCATATAGTCATCTTCAACAAAGCTGACAAAAACAAGCAATGGGAAAAAGACTCCCTATTCAATAAATGATTCTGGGGTAACTGGTGAGATATATACAGATTGAAACTGGACATCTTCCTTACATCATATACACAAATCAACTCAAGATTTAAACGTAAAATCCAAAAACCAAAACTATAAAAACCCTGGAAGACAACCTAGATACTACCATTTAGGACATAGGCACAGGCAAATATTTCATGACAAAGACGCCAAAAGCAATTGCAACAAAAGCAAAAATTGCGAAATTGGGATCTAATTAAACTAAAGAGCTTCTGCACAGCAAAATAAACTATCAACAGAGTAAACAGAACCTACAGAATGAGAAAGAATTTTGCAAACTATGCACCTGATAAATATCTAATATCAAGCATCTGTAAGGAACTTAAACAAATTTACCAAACAAAACAAACAATCCCATTAAAAAGTGGGCAAAGGACACGACACTTTTCAAAAGAAGACATACATGTGGTCAATAAGTATATGGAAAAAAAACCCTCAACATCATTAATCATTAGAGAAATGCAAATCAAAACCACAATAAGATACCATCTTGTACCAGTCAGAATCGCTATTATTATAAAGCCAAAAAAAAAAAAAAAGCAAGTGCTGACAAGGTTGTGGATAAAAAGGAACGCTTAAACACTGTTAGTGGGAATGTAAATTAGTTCAACCATTGTGAAAAGCAGTGTGGCAATTCCTCAAAGATCTAAAAACAGAACTACTATTCAACCCAGCAATCCCATTAATGGGTATACACCCAAAGGAATATAAATAATTCTATCATAAAAACACTTGCACACGTATGTTCATTGCAGCACTACTCACAATTGCAAAGATGTAGAATCAACCTAAATGTCCATCAGTGGTAGACTGGATAAAGAAAATATGGTACATAGACACCATGGAATATGATGCAGTCATAAAAAAACAATGAGATCATGTTATTTGCAGGAACATAGATGGAGCTGGAAGCCATTATCCTTAGCAAACTAATGCAGGAACAGAAAACCAAATACCACATGTTCTCATTTATAAGTGGGAGCTAAATGATGAGAACTTAATGAACACAAAGAAGGAAACAACACACATTGTGGCCTATCAGAGAGTGGATGGTGGGAGGAGGGAGAGGATCAGTAAAAATAACTAACAGGTACTCTGCTTAGTACCTGGGGGATGAAATAATCTGTACAACAAACCCCATAACACAAGTTTACCTGTATAACAAACCTGCACGTGTACCCTTGAACTTAAAATAAAAGTTAAAAAATGAAACAAAAATAAATCCTTTTAAATACTTCATTTTTTTCCTCTGGACTATTTTTAAATTTTATATCTCTCTGAAATGTATTGAATAGAAATTCAAATACTTTTGCAGGATGCTATTCACCATTTAAAAACATATATATACACATATATATATATGTATATATATATGTGTATATATATACGTATATGTATATATATATATATATATATATGAAAATGAAAATCAGCTTTCTTCTAATGAAAAATTTAATTATGATTTGGAGTGTAGACACCAAGGATATAACAATTTGTAACTGTAACCCACTAATAAATATATAAAGTTGAATTTTAGTACATGGACATGAAAACTTTTTGTGGTATGTAAACCTGTTGAAAATGTAAGTCACATATACATACCTTAATTTTTTTAAATTTAAAGATAGTGTTCAATTCCTAATATGCCTATCTTTTCCTATATTTATGCACATTTTCTCACACTTTACACATATATACACACGAAATTATCATTCTTTCTTTATATGCATATATAAAGAAAGAATACATGTATATAAAGAAAGAATAATTACTCTTTTTACAAATAATTATAATTTTGGTTTTTTTTGTGGCTTAGATTTTCCTTCCTTCCCTCCTTCCCTCCCTTCTTTGTCTCTCTCACTCCCTCCCTTTCTTTTCTTTCTTTCTTCCTTTCTTTCTTTTCTTTCTTTCCTTCCTTCCTTCTTTCTTTCTTTTCTCTTTTTCTCTTTCTTTCTTTTTTTACTTCAAGTTCTAGGATACATGTGCAGAATGTGCAGGTTTGTTACAGAGGTACACAAGTGCGATGGTGGTTTGCCGCCCCTATCAACCCATCATCTAGGTTTAAGCCCCACATGCATTAGGTATTTCTCCTAGTGCTCTCCCTGCTCTTGCCCCTCAACCCACCGAGAGGCCCCAGGGGTGTGTGTTGTTCCCCTCCTTGTGTCCATGTGTTCTCACTGTTCAACTCCCACTTATGAGTGAGAACAAGTGGTGTTTGGTCTGAGAATGTTAACTTTGTAGGCATTTGTTTCTCATTTCGCAGTTCATTGGAATGTTTTAAGAAAACATTTTCCAATTAATTAGTTAATAACATCAAGAATAATTCTGAAGAACAGTGAATTTACCATCTTAAATAATGATATTAATTTCTTTCCAAAATACTTTCAATTTCACACCCTTGAAACATTTTTTTTGCTGTTTCTTTCACTTTTCACGGACACCACATCAACTACATAACATTGTATTTTATTTTACTCATTCAGCTCAATACTTAATCTTTTTGCATGTTAAAATTTGTGTGTTGAAGTCACGCTTATGCTATTTAATTTGACTAAGTTCCACTGAATGGGTATATATTGAAGTGTTTTACTAAATATATGTTCTCTATATGGTAAATTACTTCATAAACACCTACCTGCCACTCACCCACCCACTCAAGGAGTTTCACCCTTAACTAATTGCTAGTAGAAAAACAACAGACTGTTTTATTTTTCTAGCCATAATAATTACTAGAAAATTAGGATAAAATTAGTATCCACTCTCCTTCAGGACACAAATAAGAAGAGTGCCAGATATTCTCTTACCTGGGATCTAGACACTCTCGCCTCTGGTCTTCAAAGTGCTAGATTATATTTAAACAAGTTCTATTAAATAACAGTGGAAAATATGTATCATATTAATAAAATATATCAATCAAGCTCTGCTTTTCTAAGACTGAGACTGGAGGTTGTATAGTATTTTTTTAGTAGAACTGACTGGGCTCTGTATCTTGAGAGGTTTATCCTCTTAAAAATCCAATGATAAATGCCACTGCCATCATAATCTAGATTTAGAGAATCCTTCCTTAAACCCCTCACTCAGGTTTAATGTTGTACCCCTTTGTTTTCTGAAATTAAATGTCAGATAAATATGGGACATTTTAACAAAAAGTGTAAGATCATAGTAAAAATTAAAAAGAGAGAGAATGCCATTTAATTGAAGAGTAGTTACACAGTATAATTTAATCATCTTCAGGTTGTGAAACAATTCAAGGGTCATTGATCTGTGGCCCCTAGATGGTCACCTGGCTAGGAAACTCCTGTCATCCACAAGGAATCAACTCAGACCAAGCTGAAATTCTAATAGTGTGGTTCTGAACTTGGGGTAAAGTCCCCCAGAGGATGTTCAGCAATGATTGAAAACATTTTTTGTTGTCACAATGGTGAGGGGTAGAAAGTGGGAGGGATGTACTACTGGCTTCAATAGATAGCGGCCAAAGATGTTGCTAATCATCCTTAAATGCACAAGAAAGCCCCCAAAACAAAGAATTATCTGATCCCAAATGGCAATAGTATCAAGGTTGGAAAACTCTGTTTCAGCTTAAAGTCCAGGTCACATGGTGTAAGATTTCTTTCTCTTAGAAAGATACTAGTAAGGAATTCCCTCTACCACCTTCCAGGGTCCTTTCCAAGTCTTTGTTCCTGATAGAAAGTAATCTCTTCTCAAGATAATTGAAAATGGGAATGCTTTTCCCTTTTGTGTTGACTCTGCTTTTACTCACAAAAAGCCTGAATCAAATGATGATCACAGCATAATATGAAATGTTTATCCAAAATTTCATCCAAGGACACACATTATTAGGATTATTTTACATGATTGTCTTACCTTCCAAATAATGTTTTAAAAAGGAAAACTTACCTAATGTAAATGACAAGTTGATGGGTGCAGCAAACCAACATGGTACATGTATACCTATGTAACAAACCTGCACGTTGTGCACATGTACCCTAGAACTTAAAGTATAAAAAAATCATGCTAATAAAAATTAAAATAATAAAAAAGGAAAACTTAAGATAGGAGAAATTTAGCCATAATTATGATTATATATATGACAGTCATCTCCCTATCAAATTAGAAAAGACTTGCTCCTAAAGACTCTATTTAATACGACAATGTCACATTTTTAGATCTCACTACATTTCAATTGTTCTGAAAGTCATATCTTGACTTCCAGAATTCATCTTGACCGAGATCTTAAGTCTTGGAAATAACTCAGTTCCATTCCTAAAGGACCAAAAAGTTTACAGAGATATAGCTATGCCCAAATCTAAGATGATATAGATGAGAACATCCCAAGTCACTGGGATCTAATCTAGTGAGATATTTTTTCTTCAAGTAAATCAAGTGAAGTAAGAGATAAAGAAAATGAAAAACAGAAGTGTCCTCTGATGAAATAAATTAATTATGATTTGGAGTATAGGCACCAAAAATATAACAATTTTTAACTGCAACTCCCTAATGAATAAATGGAATTGAATTTTACATGACCATGAAGACTCTTTGTGGTTTGTAAACCTGTTGAAACTGTAAGTCATATGTATATTCTTTAATGTTGTAAAACTTAAAGATAGTCTGCAAATCCTAATACGACTATCTTTTCCTGTGACTTTTTACCCACTCTTTCTTATACTTGAGTGTCATAATTATAAGTAGACTGATGTAAAGCCAGCACATATCCAATGTAGCCAAAGTAGACATTCTCCTTTCTTCTGTAAGACAAAAGAGAAAACACTTTTCCTCTCTGTCAATCTTCTACCAGATTAGTGATTTCTGCAAATGCTTTACTTATATGTATACCGTCTGAGGGACTTAACTTTATGGAGACTTCTTTTTTATTTCTTTTTAAGGTACTGAATTTGTTACATGAAGGGAATTCCTCCATTATATTTTTCATTTCCTTTACTCACGTTCCCGATATTCACACTGGTATTTAATGTTTCTCCTGGATTTCCACAAAATCTTTCTAGTGGCTGAACTCTCATGAAGCTTCTAACTTTAATTCTCCTGCTTCATTTGGCTAGTTTACTATCTGTATCTCCCTAGGACTAGCTAGAGACTGCCTGTTTCTAAGTCTCCAAAATCCCTTTGTGTTTGCTGTTCCACAGTCAATTTTGTTTGTTTCTTTATTTTCAAACATCTTACTAGCTGAGTTTTCACTTCTATGGCAAAAACTCCCGCAAAAGCCATGCTTACACATTTGTAGTCTTGAACAGAGGCTACCCAGAATTGATTCCATTAGTGTTATGATTGTTTTCTATTCTCCAAAAAATACTATTTATAAAGCTGACCAAGAAACTCAATCCCCCTATTAATCACTGTACCAAAAAAACCAATTATTATTATTTCTCAATACAAAAAAAAAGCACTACTTTTCCAAGGTAGGAAAATAATCTGGTAGCTGGACCTGAGACTTGATTGTCCTGACTCTTGTCTCTATAAATTACTCATGTCTTGTGATTCTGGCTCATTCCTCATGCTGCAAACATCGTGGACTCAAGGAGCACTTTTCCTCCTTTACTTTCTCTCTCATGTACAGATCCAAAAGAAAAAGTGTCTTCTCAATAATATTGCTAAGATAAGCTAAAATAGTTAAAATTCACCTGAAATATGGAATTTTTTTTTGTATTATTTTACCCTCACAAGTGTCTACTCATGTCTTTGATATTTAAGTGTCTATTTATTGGATACTCTGCATAAATAGCTTTGGAGACCTCTTTACATAGTAATAATCACTCTTCTCTTCTAAGGAGTTCCTTTCCTGTGGTATGCATTTGAGGATTCCTCAGCTGTTATCAAAAAGAGGAAATAGACTAGGGATAAAAATTCCCTTAGGGTGTCAAGAACATGAGAAATTGCATATTCAAATTCAAGAGTTTATTTGGCCCACCTGGATGAATTTCTACCTTATTCTCACTTGGCAACTGTATTACAGAGGCCATCTTTCTCACCTTCAAGTATTTTTTAATTTCTAAAATTTCACAGCACAGACGATTGGCAGAGAGAGAGAGAAAGAGAGGAAGACAGAGAGGTAGAACAAGAAAGAGAGAGAGAGTAACAGAAAGAAGGAAGGGAGGAAGAGAGAAAGAGAGGTTAAGAGAGAACTAACATTTTCTCTCTTGTCAGCCTTAGTCCTCCCTTGTGAATATTTTGGTTTCCTACTTAATAGTTCCCTAGGATATTGACTCTTAGCAAAAATAATAATAATAATAACTCAGGAGAGATATTTTTGCTTCTTATAGGAATACAAATTTTTCTAAAATATAAAAATAATAATTTTTCATAATATAATACGGTTGTCTCAGCATTCAATTAAAAGTTACACATGTAAAGAAATACAAATATTTTGGTTTAAATACACTCCTCAGATTCCTTATAGTTTTAGAGAAAATGCTCATATGGTTAAATGGCTAATGGGACTCCATTGCAATATATTATTAACTTGGTATAATTTATAGATTATCTCATATATAGATATTTTGTTTTATTATATATGATCCTAAGTTTTCAGTAAATTTAGTAAAAAAAAATCTAGCTATATTATCATTTATAAAATACTATATTTAAATAAATTAAATGATTTTCTTTTTAAAGTGACTAAAGAAAAATTTTTGAAAAAATTATATTTATCTGTGTGGTTTACAGTCAAAAGGCTAGGTACACTGCACTCTTTGCAAAATGATATCTTCAAAAACCTTTTTGTAACTAGGCTATCCTACAGTAACCAGTATGTGAATTTTTTGTAGTTGAACATAATGAAAATTCACTGCTAACATCAGAGTCCAAATTAGTGAGCTAAGAAGGGCTATATTTAAAATCTATTGTACTGTACTTAATTTCTCAGACCTGAGTCTCTCTCTCCTGGACTCATTATTCTCAATAGAAGGCCATCGGTGTTGCTATGGAAGACGAAGAAGGAGAAGAATCATACACTGAACATGTTTTATTTGCCTGGCCTGGAAGCGATTACAACACTGTCACTTAATTTCCTTTGGCCAGGAGTAAGCCCATGACCCCACATGGACACAAAGTACCAGAGAAATGTAGTCTTCCTTTGAGCACAGAAAGAAAATGATAGTTTACTAAAGACAATGTTGTCTTTTCTACTAATAAACTGCTATTATGTGGTTTTTGTCTGTTTTATTTCACTACCTGTCAAAAATTATACTTGCTGACTTTATTCCATTATGATTCTCCTTTCTAAATAGGAGATGCTTCTCTGCTTTGCCCAGGGATTAGGAAGTGGTGAGGCAATGACAGAATGGGAAGCTGAGAGAAATGGAAGCACAAACAAATCCCTCTTGAATGTTGATTGTCACAGGAGGGAGAGTATTCTGATTAAAACAAAATAAAATTGCCTTGAACAAATACAGTTCAAATTAAGAGACATTTCAAATAGAACATGATTGCAAAACAAAGTTTTAAGAAATATATTCTTCAGACAAAAATTTTCGGGTGGTCCGGGCATGGTGGCTAACACCTGTAATCCCAGCACTTTGGGAGGACGCGGCAGGTGTATCACCTGAGGTCAGTATTTCGAGACCAGCCTGGCCAACATGGTGAAAGCTTGTCTCTACTAAAAATACAAAAAATAGCCAGGCGTGGTGTTGGGCGCCTATAATCCCAGCTTCTTAGGAGGCTGAGGCAGGAGAATCACTTGAACCAAGGAGGCAGAAGTTGCAGTGAGCTGAGATCTCACCATTGCACTCCAGCCTGGGCCACAGAGCAAGACTCTGTCTCAAAAATAAATAAATAAATAAAAAAATCTGAACAGTAAAACACAAGTTATCTTATGTTAAAATGTTGCTTTTGATAAAATTTCTGCTTTAAAACATTATGCCCAAAAATTCCCTTTTGACTGCTTATTTTGAAGTTAAATGAGATTTCCGGATGATAGCTGTAGAAACTGAAAATGTGCTCATTATTTGTCCTGGTTTACAGGGTAGAACTTGAGATTTGTATTAATAAATATAAATTAATCCCAGAGTACTATTTTCATGTAAGAATTCTGAGTTTGCTAACAATGTCTAAATAGCAAATTTAGACTTCATTTAAACGCCATAAACGAATGTTTCATGTCGGCTTATTCACAGGCTCAAAGGTGTGAATGTGTTTTCCTGGTTGAAAGGTCCTCTGACACAGCACCTGCTGCAAATGTTCACTTTATCACTCTTGCCAGTGGCTGTACACACAAGAAACTAATTTCTCTAATTTATTTCTAAATCCACATTGGAGACATTATCTCACTAAGCTTCCCCAAATCCCTATTATATTTATATTACTGATGAGGTAAGTAACACAGAGAGCACTAAAGGACTTTCCAAGGTTATATGTATAAAAATGGAGGAGGCACCATCCCCCATATTTTCAGTTGCCTGGTTTGCAATCCTATCTCTTTGCTTTAGTTACTTTGCCCAAAGGAAAAGGTGTCCTTTATAACAGACACCTAAACTTTTCCCAGGAGGGAAAACAGTTTAATAGCATCATTTTTTAAAATACTGGTGCTTTCAAATCCAACTTTCTTCATATCCTACAGGAGAATGCATTATCAAATGTCTAATCTCTCTCTCCTGCTATCAATCACTCGTCTAACGCTCAGCCTTTGATTCCATTTTAAACAAAACAATGATTTATTTTAAACAAAATCACTACTAAAACTTCCTTTTGATCCAGTACGCCTTTATATATTGTATTATTTCCCTCTGGCCTTTCAAATAAAATGAATATGTGGTTTAAATATACAGCATATATGTCTATCCTTCCCTTACTTCTTGATATCGTACTGTATTAGAATGGTCCCCTAACTTCATTTTGAATTTTTTCTAATGAAAAGTACCATTGACCTGTTAATTAACAGCACCGATAGTTTCTATCCAGTTTTACCCCTTATATTCTCTCTCTTTTCTTGATTTTTTTCCTTCCTGTAATTTATCGTCTTCTTTTCCCCCTCCATTTCATGACTTCTTGAATGATTTTCTTTAGAACTGTGAAGCATAACATTGAACACAATACAAATAAAATAAAATACACTAGAAAACTATTAAACGTCCCTCCTCTTAAAGCCCCTTCTCTGAAAGAATCACTTTTAAATATTTGTAATTTATATTTTTTTCAGGTTGATATTACCGTAATTTTAGATAATATGATGATCCTCTATTAATTTTTATAATGTGTAGTTTAGTTTATGGAAAAGAGATCACTCTAGATATTTCAAATAAAGCAAATTACACACATAGAATTACAGGGGCACTTTTAGTTTCTAGCATGGCATAGAAGGAAGTTACAAGTTGTTCCTCTCATCCACATTAGAAAAATACTAGGCCAGGCGTGGTGGCTCACACTTATAATCCCAACTTTGGGAGGCTGAAGCTGGTGGATAGCTTGAGCCCAGTGTTCAAGATGAGCTTGGGCATATGGCCTAATGCCATCTCTACACAAAATACAAAAAATTAGCCAGGCATGGTGGCATGCACCTGCAGTCACACTTACCCAGGAGGCTGAGGTGGGAGGGTCGCCTGACTCTGGGAGGTCGAGGCTGCAGTGAGCCATGATGGTGCCACTGCACTCCAGTCTGGGTGACAGAGTGAGACCCCATCTGAATAAAAAAAGGAAAATAAAGAAAAATGCTAAACAAACTGAAAATCAACAATTCTTTGTAAATTCATCACAGAATTGAGGTCATAGGCAAAATGGACTCTGAAAATTGAAGAGAGAGACAGGGAAATAAATAAAAAAAAAAAAAACTCGCTAGAGCAAAAAACTCCACAGAAACTAATACCAGGGTAAAAACATCTAAACTGAATTGATGAATTGCTGGTGGCCCCGAGTGAACAAGATTGACAGTTAAAAATCCCCAGAATAATCTCAGCCTTAAAGTTGTCTCCACCATATTGTGAGTTTGACCTTCAGTAGCTCTACCAGAATCTCACAGTGTGGAGAAAAATACCGTTTGCTTCTAGCAGGAGGATGGAAAAGGTAGCCATTTTGAAATACACCCAGGGTATTCTATTCTTCTGAACAAGGCTTGCCCTCAAGAAAAACTATTTCACTAGACCCCAACTGACCTGGTGTAAGGGAAATACCCAATCCCAGTCTCTTCTAGCTTTGCTAACTCACCTAAGGTGAAAAACAAACAGATAAACTGAGAAACATGTGCGAAAGTTAAAACCCAAAGCACTAACTCACTAAAAGACTGAGAACAAATCATAGGATTACAGAATACTTCCTTCTCCCCTCACATCTTAGAAGCTCCTGTATGGTAACAAGATGACACTATAGAAAGAACTGCACATCTCTGACCTTATGTAAGAATTCACTAGAAACACCCAAAGCCAAAAGAAACAAAACAAAAACACCACAGGAAATGTTAGCCTCTTACATAATAACTGGAGAAAACAGTAGACACAGCGTAACATCTAGCCAGGTAAACCAAACCACAAAGTAAAAGCCTATGTGCCTCGGTTTATTTATGCCACTATATTATGTCTAGCTTTGAAAAACAATAACAAAACAAAATGCAAGGCATACTAAAAGACAAAAAAAATCACACTTTGAAGACACAGAGTGAATATCAGAAAGATAAGGAATTGTGTACAAACGTTGGAAATGCTAGAAGAAATAAAGATAGGAGATGAGGCTGAATAATTTGTAAAAAATAAAACGAATAATAAAATAGTTCAGATGGTGCTAATACTTCTCAAAATGGATGTTGAAAGTCTTCAACAGCTGCAGCACTATAGTAAATGCTTTTTTTGTGCAACTACTATTTGAAGTGGCATCGGGAATTTTAGCCAGTGCAACTAGATGAAGGTATTTAAAGAGATAATGATTGGATGAAAAGTTATGAAACTCTGTGACAATAATCAAATTGAATTTTCCAGGAAGGGGGCCCCAAAATACGTGAATAAATGACTGAAAACAACAATATAATTGAGATAAATAGGAAGACTTAAAATTAAATGTATGAATTAATGACACACAGATAATAACACCCTACTTTTAAAAATAAAAAAGTGAAGATGAACTTTTGGTCTAACTTAGCAGGAAATGTGCACAAACTAAGGAAAACCTAACCACTTCATAGTTAGACCAAAAGTAAACTTTCATAAGTGGTCTTTCATAAACACTCACCGTTCTAAAGATGTTAATTAACCTTAGGGTCAATAAAAATTTTATATTCAAACATAAACATAGACAAACATTATACAGAGCTAGAAAAGATTATTTTAAAATGCATAAGAATACTAAACAAGTAAAGGAATTTAGTTATATATTGAAAAGAAAAAGTAATGAGGGGTAGTAGTGGGGGTAAACTCAAATATTAAAAATTACTTTAAGTCCCCAAGATTCAAACTTTGTGGAATTCGTTGATGGCTATGGAAGAAAACAAATAGAATTATAGCAAAAATTTGAAAAGTACTGAATATTATACATATTATATCTCATATTAATTGGGAAATATTAAGTTTAAAAATTAAGATTATCACAAACTGAAAATTTAGATAAAAGATAGAAGTGGGTCTATACCTTATTCTGTACACTTGCATAAATTCCCAATAATTAGATATGTAAATAATAAAGCTAACAAATTTTTTAAGAAAACATGGACGCATTTGTTACAATATTTGCATGAGGCAAGTTTAAAAATCCTCAACAGTTTTCAAAAATCTACTTAAAAAGGAAAGACAAGTTCAACTATATTTTTTTAAATTCTCAAAAAAAAGTAACTTTATGAGAGAAATGGAGCAAAATGATGGAATAGGAGTCTAAAGCAATTGTCCCTGCTGCTAAAACATCAATTTGAAAACTATTCATGTACAAAAAATACCTTCATAAAAGCCAAGGAAATCAGATAAAAGATTATAGTACCTGATTGTAGCACAGTAATAACAAAAATATACATTTGAGAAAACAGAAAGGACAGTTTTACATTCAGTTTACATTCAGTTTTACAGTACCCAAACATCCCTTCCTCAACTCTAGGCAACACAGAGTGGAGAGAAATACACTTTGCTTGAGGAGAAGACAGGGAAGTGAGCACATAACTTTTCCTTGGACCACTGCAGTAAAACCCTGCACTGAGCAACTCCCATGGCCTCATATTCCAAGTAAGTTCCATAGATGGAACCTATAGACCGCCTCTAGCAGCAGGTAGGACCGCACGGGCTTAGGCTTCAGGCTTACAATGGCAAACTTGATCTCTGGCCCACACCACTACTGAGACAATGTCAGTGGCCCCAGACTCTTTTAGCAGCAGTAGGCTTCAGCAACCCCTGGTTTCAGGCATATGCCTGTGATGTGCTGCACCCATCTTGGGATTCTGGTGACCCCAGTACAGTGACTACTACGAGGATTTTCCAGACAAGCATTGCTGAATACTTGAATAAGTACCTACATCTTCAAATATGCAGACATTAACTCATAATCACAAGGGTCAAAAATATTCAGGAAAACATGTTATGACCAAACAAAAAATCTCCAAATGGAGACATAGGAATGCCTGACAAATAATTCAAAATAACTGTTTTAAGGAAGCTCAGCATATTTTAATAACATACAGAAAAACAATTCAACAAAATGAAAAAAATATATATAATTAATTAAAAAACAGAAATCCCAAATATAAAAAATGCAATGTGATAAATGAAAAATGCAACAGACAGCATCAAAAGCAGAACTTATCAAGCAGAAAGACTATATAAAACTGAAGACACGTTATTTGAAAATATATTGACAGATGAGAAAAAAAGTGAAAAGACCTTGAAGAAAGAAAGCTTACAGGATTTATGGAACAGCATTGAGAAAGCAAATATTCAAGTCATTAGAGTAGAAAAAGTAGAAGGGAAAGATAAAGAAATAAAAGCTTATTTAAATAAATAGTAGCATATAATTCTTCAAACCTCCAAAAAGGTGTAAATATCCAGGAACATGAATGTCAAAGATCTCCAAATAGAATCAATCCAAATAAGACTAGCTTAAGACATAGGATATTCAGTCAGACATCAGACAAAGAGGATGCTGAAGGTATCAAGAGAAAATAAGGAAATAATACACAGAAGAATTACAATACAACTAACAGCTGACTCTTCAACAGAAACCTTATAGGGCGGGAAAGACTGGGTGAGGTATTCAAAGTGTTGAAGGAAAGAAAAAGAAAGAAAAAAAGAACCTATAATTAGCAAAGCTTTCCTAGAGATATGAAGAATAGACAAATACTTTTCTGTTCATCACCACTAAACCTATCACACAAGAAATGCTAAAGGGAATTCTTCAAGCTGAAATGAAAGAACAATGATGAGTAACACAAACACATGGTATTTCAGTGAAAGGCTGATCAAAGACTCAGAAGAACGCAATGTTTGTCTCTTATCTCCCCACACCTTTTAAAAATTTATCCCACTTTCCCAATATCTGCCCTTTTCCCCTTAAATATTGAAGCCCTGCAAATTATCTTTGAAGGAAGGAATAGACCTGCCTCCCAGGCACTCCTTAACCTTGGCAAAAAAACTTAGTAAATAGATTGAAAAAAAAAAGTGTAAAACTCACTAGTAAAAATAAGTACACAGTCAAATTAAAAATACTATAATAGTGTAATGAGAGTGTGTAAATAGCTTGTCTTTTTAGTACAAAGGTTAAAAGACAAAGCCAGTAAAATAATGTTTGCCACAATAACCTGTTAATGAAGATGCAATATAAAAAGATGTAAATTGTGACACAAAAATTCAAAATATGGGGGTGGAAGTAAGATAAAAGTGTAAATTTCTTTTGTTTTGTTTGATTTTGCAATCAAAGTTAAGTTGTCAGTCAAAAATAACCTATTAAAAGATGTTTCTCGTAAGACTGAAGGCAACAACAAAAACAAAAGCCTATGGTAGATACACACACACACAAAAGCAAATAGTCAAAACTTACTACTAGAGGAAATCACTTAACCACAAGGGAAGTCAGCAAAAAAGGAAGAAAAGAATGTACAGAACAGCTAGACAACAATTAACAAAACGGTAGTAGTGAGTTGTTACCTATCAATGATTACCTTGAATCTAAATGGATTAAATTCTTCAATCAAAAGACAGGCTGTTTGAAAGGACTAAAAACTAAGACCCCATTATATACGTCTTACAAGGTACTCACTTCACTTGTAAGGATACACATAGACTGAAAGCAAAAGGCCAGAAAAAAATTGCACAGAAATAAGAAGCAAAAGACAGCAGAAATAGCTATACTTACATAAACTAAAATAGATTTTAAGTTTTAAAAACTTTAAAAAGAGACAAAGAAGGCCATTATATAATTATAAGTAACTCAATTCAGCAAGAGGATATAACAATTGTTAAGTATATATGCAGCCAATATTGGAGCACCTAAATATATTTAAATCAATTATTAATGGATCTAAAGGTAGAGACAACTGCAATACAATAATAGCAGAGACTTTCAGCCCACTTTCAACAGTGGGCTGATCATTCAGACAAATCCTATAAAGAAACATAGTACTTAAATTACACTCCACTTTATCCACAGCTGCAAAATATACATATTTTCCAAGTACACATTAAACATTCTCTGGGATAGATGAAATGTTTGGCTGCAAAACAGGACTTAGGAAATTTAAGAAGTTTGAAATTATATCAAATGTCCTTTCTGACCACAATGGAATAAAAGAAGAAATTATTAACAGGAGAAATTTCAGAAAATTTATAATACATGGAAATTAAACAATATGCTTTTGAAAAACCAATGGATCAATTAATAAATTAAAATATTTTTCAAAGAAAAATGAAAACACAGCATACCAAAAGCCGTGGGATATAGCAAAAGCAATCTGAGAATCTGTAGGCAATAACTGCCTACGTTAAATAATTAAATATCTCAAACTGCTTCATTGTGCACTTCGAGAAACTAGAAAAACAAGAAAATAAAACCCAAAGGAGGGAAATACTAAAGATCAAGGTAGAAATAAATGATGTAGAGACTAGAAAAATCATAGAAAAATAAATAAAATTGACGAATCTCTAGTAAGACTAAGGAAAAAAAGCAGACTATAATAAATGAAATGAAAAAGAAGATATTACAACTGATATCACAGTAATACAAAGGTTCAGAAGAAGCTATTGTAAGCTATTATGTGCCAAAAATTGGATCATATAGAGGTGAATAAATTCCTAGAAATATACTCTCTACCAAAACTGATTTAAAATGAAATAAAAAATCTGAACAGACCAATATCAAGTAAGAAGACTAAACACATAATTTTTAAAAAAGAAAAATCCAGCACCAGATGGCTTCATTGCTGAGCTCTACCAAACATTTTTTTTTTCTTTTTCAGATGGAGTCTTGCTCTTTTGCCCAGGCTGGAGTGCAGTGGCACAATCTCTGCCCACTGCAACCTACACCTCCTAGGTTCAAGCAATTCTCTGGCCTCAGCCTCACAAATAGCTGGGATTACAGGCATGCATCCCCACACCTGGTTAATTTTTGTATTTGTAGTAGAGATGGGTTTTGACAAGTTGGCCAGGCTGGTCTTGAACTCCTGACATCAAGTGATCTGCCTGCCTTGGCCTCCCAAAGTGCTGGGATTAGAGGTGCGAGCCACCGAATTCTACTATTTAAAAAGGAACTAATATCAAGTCTTCTCAAACTGTTGCAAAAAATCAAAGAAGAGCCCTTCTGAACTAATTTTATGAGGCCAGCATTACCCGGATACCAAAGCCACTTAAAGACACAATTTAGGAAATAAATTAATTACAGGCCTATATCCATGATGAACATAGATGCAAAAATCATAAACAAAATACTAGCAAAGCAAATTCAACACCACATTAAAAAGATCATTTGCCACAATCCAGTAGGATTCATTCCAGAGACACAAGCATCATTCACCATGTGTAAATACATAAATGTAAATACATTTAACAAATTAAAGGACATAGGATTACTTCAATAGATGCAAATAAATAATTTGACAAAATTTAATATCCTTGCATGAGAAAAGTCTTCCACAAATTAGGTACAAAAAGAATGTACCTTAACACAATAAAAGTCATATATGGAAAAATGAAATGTAACATCATACTCAAGGGGTGAGAAAGTTAAAGCTTTTCCTCTAAGATCAGGAAAGGGACATGCATGCTCACTCTTGCCAATTTTTTTTTCTTCCTTTTTTTTTGAGATGAAGCTTTGCTTTTGTTGCCCAGGCTGGAGTGCAATGGTGCAATCTCCACTCACAGCAACCTCTGCCTCTCAGGTTCAAGCAATTCTCTTGCCTCAGTCTCCCTAAAAGCTGGGATTACAGGCAGGCGTCAGGACACCTGGCTAATTTTGAAATTTTAGTAGAGATGGGGTTTCTCCTCCAGGAGTGAGGTCGGACACTCCCAACCTCAGGTGATCCCCCCACCTCGGCCTCCCAAAGTGCTGGGATTACAAGCGTGAGCCACTGCACCCAGCCAGTCTTGCCATTTTTATTTAGTATAGTACTCTTATGTCATAGAGAAACCAGGCAAAGGAAAGAAATAAAAGGCAAGCAAATTAGAAATAAAGAAGTTAAATTGAATTTGTTTGTTATCAGGGGAACCAGCCCCCAGTATTTCAACATAGGTTCTTTTCTATTTTCCATAAATGTCAGCCGGTCTGAGAAATAAAGAGAAAGAGTACAAAAGAGATAAATTTTACAGCTGTGTCTGCAGGGGTGACATCACATATTGGCAGGTTCCGTGATGCCCACCTGAGCCAAAAAAGCAGCAAGTTTTTATTAGCAATTTTCAAAGGGGAAGGAGTGTACAAATAGTGTGTGGGTCACAGAGATCACATGCTTCAAAGGCAATAAAATATCACAAGGCAAATAGGGGCAGAGCGAGATCACAAGGCCAGGGCGAAATTAAAATTACTAATGAGGTTCCATGTCCTGCTGTGCATGCATTGTCATTGATAAATATCTTAACAGGAAACAGGGTTCAAGGGCAGACAACCGATCTGACTAGAATTTTGCCAGGCTGGAATTTCCCAATCCTAGCAAGCCTGCGGGCACTGCAGGAGACCAGGGCATATTTCATCCCTTATTTACAACTGCATAAGACAGCTACTCCCAGAGCGGCCATTTTAGAGACCTCCTCCTGGGAATGCATTCTTTTCCCAGGGCTGCTCCTTGCTGAAAAAAAGAATTCAGTGATATTTCTCCTATTTGCTTTTGCAAGAAGAGAAATATGCCTCTGTTCTGCCCAGCCCCACAGGCAGTCAGACCTTATGGCTATCTCCCTTGTTCCCTGAAAATCGCTGTTATCCTATTCTTTTAGGATGCCCAGATTGCATATTGTTCAAAGACACATGTTTTACAAACAATTTGCACATATAACACAATCATCACAGGGTCCTGAGGTGACATACATCCTTAGCTTACGAAGATGACAGGATTAAGAGATTAAAGTAAAGACAGGCATAGGAAATTATAAGAGTACTGGGGAAGTGATAAATGTCCATGAAATCTTCACAATTTATATTCAGAGATTGCAATAAAGACAGGAGTAAGAAATTATAAAAGTATTAATTTGGGGACTTAATAAATGTCCATGAAATCTTCACAATTTATGTTCTTCTACTGTGGCTTCAGTTGGTCCCTCCGTTTGGGGTCCCTGACTTCCCACAACAGTTTGTAGACAACATGGTCTTTTATATACAGAAACACTTAAAGGATTCCACTAAAAAGCTGGTAGAACTAGTAAACACATTTGGTAAATTTTCAGGATACAAATTATCGTACAAAAATCAGTAGCATTTTAATACACTAGTAGTAAACTACCTGAAAAAGAAAAAAAATGCCATTTACAAAATCTACAAAAAATAAAATACATAGGCATAAATTTAATGAAGGAAGTGGAAAGTTCTCTATGCTGAAAACTGTAAAACATTGAGGAAAAGTTAAAGACACAAAGAGTTCATGACCAAGAACCCAAAGCAAATGCAACAAAAACAAAGGGACTTAATTAAACTAAAAAGCTTCTGCACAGCAAAAGAAATAATGAGCAGAGTCAACAGACAACCCACAGAGTAGGAGAACATTTTTGCAAACTATGCATCCAACAAAGGACTAATATCCAGAATCTACAAGAAACTCAAAACAAATCAGCAAGAAAAATCCAAATAATCCCATCAAAAAGTGGGCTAAGGACCTGAATAGACAGTTCTCAAAAGAAGATACACAAATGACCAAGAAATATATGAAAAAATGCTCAACATCACTAATGATTAGGGAAATGCAAATCAAAATCAAATGCAAATCAAAACCACAAAACCTTACTCCTGCAAGAGTGGCCATAATTAAAAAATAATAATAATAACAGATGTTGGCATGGATATGGTGAAATGGGAGCATTTTTACACTGCTGGTAGGAATGTAAATTAGTACAACCATTATGGAAAACAGTATGGAGATTCCTAAAAGAACTAAAAGTAGATCTACCATTTGATCCAGCAATTCCACTACTGGTTATCTACCCAGAGGAAAAGAAGTCATTATATGAAAAAGACACTTGCACACACATTTTCACATGTTGCACAATTCACAATTGCAAAAATATGAAACCAGCCCACATGCCCATCAATCAATGAGTGGATAAAAAAATGGCATATATATATATATGCCATATATATATCATTATTTCATATATATATATATATATATATATATATATATATATATATATATATATATAATGGAAAACTATTCAGCTATAAAAGGGAACAAAATAATGGCATTCCCAGCAACCCGGATGGAGTTGCAGACCATTATTCTAATGAAGTAACTCGGAAATGGAAAACAAAACGTCATATGTTCTCACTTATAAGTGGGAGCTAAGCTATGAGGATGCAAAGGTAAAAATGATACAATAGTCTTTGGGGATTTGGGGGAAGGGTGGAAGGAGGTGAAGGATAAAAGACTACACATTGGGTACAGTGTACACTGCTTGGGTGATAGTTGCACCAAATTCTCTCAAATCACCACTAAAGAACTTATCCATGTAACCAAGCACCACCTGTTCCCCCAAAACTATTGAAATGTTAAAAAAAAAAAGGCACAAGTAAATTGCAACTTATTCTGTGTTTATTAATTGGGAGAATAAATACTGTTAAAATTTCCATACTTTTCGAAATGATCTACAGATTCAACACAATCTCATCAAAATACCAATGACATTCTTCACAGAATCAGATAAACAATCCTAAAATTTGTGTGGAACCACAAAAAACCCTGAATAGCCAAAGCAATCTTGATTGAAAAGGACAAAGCTGGAGGCATTACCGTATGTGACATCAAAATGTACTACAGGGTTATAGTAACCAAAACAGCACGGTAATGGCATAAAAAAAGACACATAGCACAATGGAATAGAATTGAGAATCCAGAAATTACACCATGTACTTACAGAAAACTTATTTTTGACAAAGGCATCAAATACACACATTGTGGAAAGGACAGTCTCTTTAATAAATGGTGCTGGGGAAAATGATGTCAGCATGCAGAAAAATAATATTAGGCTCTTATCTTACTCGAAATGGCTAAAAGAATTATTAACTCAAAATTGATGAAAGACTGACATGTAAGAATTGAAACTATAAAATTACTAGAAGAAAACAAGAGGGAAAACTCTGTGATCTTGGTCTGGGCAGACATTTTTGATGCAATCCTCAAAGCATGGGCAACAAAAGTAAAAACAGACAAATGGGATTATTTGTCTAAATACACTAAACAGCTTCTGCACAGCAAAGGAAATACTCAACAGAATGATGAAACAGTATACACAATGGAGAAAATATTTGAAAATTGTATGTATGATAACAGGTTAATATTGGCAGGCTTCGGTGGCTCACACCTGTAATCCTAGCACTTTGGTAGGCCCAGGAGGGGGAATCACTTGAGTCTAGGAGTTCGAGACCAGCCTGGGTCACATAGGGAAACACTTTTTCTAAAAAATAATAATAATACTAATAATAAATTAGCCAGGTGTTCTTGCGCTGGCCTGTGGTCCCTGCTACTCAGGAGGTTTAAGTGGGAGAATGGCTTGAGGCAAGAAAGTCAAGGCTGCAGTTTGCTATGATTGCACCACTGCACACAAGCCCAGGTGACAGAGCAAGACCCTTTCTCAAAAAATAATAATAATAATATTGAAAATATTAAAGGAACTCAAGCAACTCAAAAGCAAGCGAACAAATAATTCAATTTAAAAGTGGACAATGGAAGTTAACATATATTTCTCAAGGAAGACATATAGATGACCATCAGATTCATGAAAAAATGTTTCACATCAGTAGTCATCAGGGAAATACAAATTAAAACCACAACATGATATCACTTTGCACCTGTTAGAAGGACTATTATCAAAAGGACAAAAGATACCTGTTGGTGAGGATGTGGAGAACAAAAGGCTCTTGCATCCTTTGGGTGGGAATGTAAATTAGCTTAGCCATTATGAAAAACAGTGAGGAAATCCCTCAAAAAAATTAAAAATATAACTACCATATGAACTGGCAATCCAACTACTGGGTATGTAACCAAAGGAAATAAAATCAGTATATCAAAGAGATATTTGCACTCCTATGTTTATTACCTCATTACTCACAATAGCCAAGATAGGGAAGCAAACTGTGTCCATTGACAGGTGAATGGGGAAATAAAATGTGATATATGTACATACGAAATGGAATACTATACAGTTTCAAAAAGGAAAGAAATATTGACACTTAGGACTGCATAGATAAACTTGGAGAACATTATGTTAAATAAAACAAGCCAGGTACAGAAAGACAAATACTGGAAGATCTCACTCTGAAGTGGAATTTTAAAAAGCTAATATCATTAAAGTAGAGAGTAGAATAGTGATTGTCAGAAAGCATGATGTTTAGCAGGGACAGAGATTTAGGGAGATGCTGATAACAAGATACAAAATTTCAGTTAGGCAGTAGAAATAAGGTCAAGAGATTTATTGTGCAATGTGATGACTACAGTTAATAATACATTACATCCTTGAAAATTTCAAGGAGAGTGGATATAACATGTTCTTAACACAAAATGCTAACTATGTGAAGTAATGCATAGGTTAATTAGCTAGATTTAGTCTTTCCACAATGTAAACATACTGCAAGATATTATGTTGTATGCAACAAATATATGCAATTTTATCTGTCAACTTAAAAAAAGAAAAATGAAAATATTTGTAAGTCAAAAAAAGACCCTTTAATCAATAGAAACAAACCTGGAAAAATATTTCCAACTAATATTACAAATAAAATATAATATCTATATCACATACATAAATCTTAAACATAAAATAAGACCAATAAAATTATTTTGAAAATCAGAAAAATTTATATAATTAGATAAGTTTACAGTAAGAAAAATAGAAAAGTTTCTTAAATGTAGTCACAGAAACAACAAATAAATATTCAAAACTTTGGTAAAGTAACATTTTTAAAATATAGAATTTCACAAATATTTAAAAGTTTTTCATTAGACATCGTGGCCAAGATTATAGAAAACAGGTAATTGCAACTTCTGGGGTGAAAATTTTCTAAAAGCAAGGTACAGTGGCTCACACTTGTAATTTTGGCAGATCAAGGCTGGAGGATTGCTTCTGGCTAGGAGTTCAAGACCAGCCCGGTCAACATAGTGAGACCCTGTCTTTACTAAAAAGAAAAAACTAGCCAGGCTTGGTGGCTCATGACTATAGCCCCAGCTACTTAGGAGGCTGAGAAGGGTGTATCACTTGAGCTCAGGAGTTCGAAGTTGCAGTGTGCTATTATTGTGCCAAGAATGAAAACTTTGTCTCAAAAAAAAAAAAAATTCTAATCTCTATGATGGATAACTTAACGTACTTCATTGCAATCCTATTCAAAATCTCAAATTTTTTGTATATCAACAAATTATTCTAAAGTTTATATAGAGAGACAAAAGACCCAGGGTAGTCAATGCAATATTGAAGGAGAACAAAGGACTGACACTCTGTAACTGCAAGATTTCACATAGAGCTATGATAATCAAGACAATATGGTATTGGTGAAATAATAGATCAATAGAGATTAATGGAACAGATGATACAGTCTAGAAATAGACCTATGTATATATAGTCAACTGATCTTGCAATATCATGTCAAAGGAGCAAAAGCAATACAGTGGAGAAAAGCTAGTCTTTTCTACAAAATGGTGCTGGACCAACTGGACATGCAAACAAACAAACAAAAAAAAGGAAGAATCTAGACACAGACTTTATACAATTTGTAAAAGTTAATTAAAATTGATCACACACCTAAAGATAACAATCTAAATTTAAAATATCTATAAAATACTATAGTAGAATATCTAGGTAAAACATCAAAGGCATTTTCTATGAAATGAAAAATTGATAAGCTAGACTTTACTAAAATTAAAAATGCATGTCTTACAAGAGACACTGTCAAGATAGTAAAATTAAAAGCCAGCCGGGGGCGGTGGGTCATGCCTGTAATCCTAGCACTTTGGGAGGCTGAGGCCGGCAGGTCACGAGGTCAGGAGATCGAGACCATCCTGGCTAACACGGTGAAACCCCGTCTCTACTAAAAATACAAAAAATTAGCAGGGCTTGGTGGCGGTTGCCTGTAGTCCCAGCTACTTGGGAGGCTGAGGCAGGAGAATGGCGTCAACCTGGGAGGCGGAGCTTGCAGTGAGCCGAGATCGAGCCACTTCACTCCAGCCTGGGCGACAGAGCGAGACTCCGTCTCAAAGACAAACAAACAAACAAAACAAAAAAATAAAAAAATAAAAAATAAAAGTCAAGGGGAGATGGGAACTCTGTACATCTCACTTAATTTTTCTGTGCACCTAAAACTGCTCTAAAAAAGTAAAGTCAGTTTAAAAAATTATGTACTGTTTTACATTTTGACTAAGCAATCCTAAATGTATAAATATAACCCAAAGATATAGTAGAAAAAATGCAGATATTTTTGCATCATTATTTATTTTAGCATTTTTAATAGTAAAAGATTGGAAATATTTAAATGTCAATCAATTGGAATTGGTTGAATACACTATGATGCATCTGAAATGTGAAATTTTCTAAAATTGATAAAATGAAACTAGAATGTTTAGGATATATTGTAGAAAGCATTTTTAGAATATACTTGAAAAAATCAATGGAAGGATAATTTTAAAAATAATGATAATTTATGAGTACAGACTGGTAATAAAATGGGAAAGACATAGAAAAAGATTTTTAGAAATATAATTCAATAAAAAAATTTAAATTTGTATCCTGTAAGTAATTTATATATTCAAAAAGTCAGTTGATTAAAAAAGACAACACTTTGGGAGGCCGAGGCTGGCGGATCACAAAGTCAGGAGATCGAGACCATCCTGTGAATGGTGAAACCCCGTCTCTACTAAAAATACAAAAAATTAGCAGGGCTTGGTGGCGGACACCTGTAGTCTCAGCTACTCCGGAGGCTGAGGCGGGAGAATGGTGTGAACCTGGGAGGTGGAGCTTGCAGTGAGCCGAGATTGCGCCACTGCACTCCAGCCTGGGTGACAGAGTGAGACTCTGTCTCAAAAAAAAAAAAAAAAGACAAAAGCATCTCCTAATCTCTGGAATTAATGTCTGGCACAAACACCTAAAGAATCATTTTAAGTCATGTATTAAACACTGTGTACTCTGAGAAAAATATTGTTGCAAGAAAATTCTTAATCTCAAGCCACAGTCTTATTGTTAGCAGTTACACACTTATTTAGAAAAATATGTTTCATATATTTTGTATATATATATATATACAATATATGTAGAGAGAGATTAATGAAGCAAATACCTAATTTTATTAAAGCTGTTCAGAACCAGCATATGAGCATGACATGAGATCAGAAAGTATAATATAAAAAATAATTTAAGTAAACTCTAAATTTTAAATATTATAGAATCTCATATTGTTTTCAAAAATAAATGGCTAGCTCTGCATATATAAACATCAAGATGAAATTATAGCTCAGTAGCAATAAGAATAATACTTCAGTTATGGTTCCCAGAAAAACTCCCCCCCTTAAAAGAGCCAAAGATCCTTAAGGAAATTACAAACTCTGGGTTTTCATCAGGATGTATGAAATTAACCTGGAATATCTTATGCCACAAAGCAAGTGACTTATCACAGATAGATTAAAGGGGTTCTCATTAGCCAATGATAGGGTAGTGTGGACATTGAAAAGAATGACTAGCATCTGTTCAATATGTTGAATATATAAAAAATCCAATTCCTCCATGAACAGTTAACTAGGTCACCAAATGCTGTAATCTTAAAATTGGCAATCAAAAAAAATAATTAAAAGTTTATCTTGTCTTTTCTGAAATAACTGTATTTTGGGATAACAATATAAGCTCTGTTTGATAAGAGAAATTCTTCTCTACAGAAGTCCAGTTACTAATTGTGGAAAGAATTAGAAAATAATAATTTTGAAAGCCCTAACAAAAAACTAATTTAAACAAAGCTTCTTAATGTGCAACTGTTTTACAAAGTGCTTACAGAAAACTTTATACATCCAATAATTGGGCTTAACATCACTAAGAATGAGGCAATTATCTGTGATGTGACAAAATATGAAGTTCATAGCACCACTCCTAAAGTGTTTGTAACCAAAACATTTTAACTAAAATCAACCACCAGAAGTAACATTTAATTCCTATTCATAGGAATATTATGAGTAGAATTTTAAATTAACATCACAAAGGAGTGAACAATGTAAATGCTGGTGCAAACAAATGAACATGTGAAAGAATATTTTCCAACAATTTGGAAATAAAATGAAATGGATATTAAGTGACACCAATAAAATATTTTGAATTTTGTTATGGGTGATGATAGTATTGCTGCTATGTGATAAAACAGTTGTTTTTTTCAAAAATGTAAACTGATTGAGAAGGGTTAATGGCAGGATGAAAGGGATTTGCTCTAAAATATTTCAGCCACAAAAACCTAACAAACACATAAAAAGGGTGGAAAAAGCTAGAGCTCCACATTACTGATAGTTAATTATTCTGGGTGATGAGCCTTTACAGGTTTATTATAACTTTCTTTCTATTTTTATATTGCATATTTGTAATATTACACCGTAAACAAATAAATTACACGTAAACAGATATACAGCTAAAAGAACGACATGGAAACAGATTGGCAGAAAGAGAAGAACAGAGAGTCCCAGTTCAAAATGAGCTCTGGAGAAGACAAATTAAGATCAATGCCAGGAACCTTAAGTTTATAGTCAACTAATAAAAAAGAGCAATGATAAAATTGGGAGCAAGACAAAAAGAAAATCTATCAACGCAATACAGTTAGCTCTCCCTTCAACTCTCTATCTTGAGAGACTGTAGCAAAGATATTTTCCAAAAAGTTTTAAAAAGTGTTGAGCTGCTTTATACATAAACTATCAGTTTGGCTAATGCTCTGATATAGGATCCCGGTATTACAGAATGGATCTTGAAGTATCTCCAGCTATTTGTAGGAGAACATAGGAACATAAAAATATAAATGGAAAACAATAACTCCAGTGGAAGTCCTAGGATAAATTCCTAAGCACAGATCATAGAAATTAGAGCTGAGACACATGAATACTAATGTACCTGGGGCCAGATTCATGACAATGCAACTAGTTAAATGAGAATTTCTAAAAGGGACGTGAAATCTGAAGGTCTCAAAATCGAGAAACTAGGATACCTATACTGCACAGCTGCCACACATCCATTCACCTTCCCATGGACAATAGAGAGAAGCTACGTCTCTTAGTCTTACAAAGATCAATTACTCCAAAGGTGAATTTAAGAGAAGGTTCATTTTTCAGGGAATTTAAACAAATTATCAATATACGAAGTAACAATACCAAAAATTAACAATGCTTTCCGGCTACCCTTTGACCCACAAAAGGAGGGACTGGAGGACCACTAGGTTTAGAAAACATAAAAAGTTATTATTTCAACACTCCAGTAAAAACTGAGCAGAAGGTGGCACAGATCATTGAGATTAGCTGTGGATTCTGCAAGTCACAGGGGAAGGGAGTTAATTTTTTTCTAGTCAGGTAAGCATCACAACTTTACAATGAAGTTCTAACAGGTTTAAAAAAAATATCACTGACAAGAAATCCTTTATGTCAACTGAAACTCCATTGGAAATAAATACATATGATGATATTCTTAAAGGCCTAAATAATTGTTATCATCATAATTCCTAGTACATCCCTACCATGCAAAGTGTGATCTATGTTCCCAGCATCACCATCATGTGAGCATGTTTTAGAAATAATGATCTTGGACCCACAACAGAAACACTGAATCAATATCCTCAATTTAATAACATCCCAGATAGTTTCCATATAGATTAAAATATGAACCACACTGGTCTAGAACATCTATGAAGTTAGGAGCAAGGAACACACTGTAAAACAATCTAGCAAGCCATTCAAAATAAATTAAACCAAATACACACTCATATGTTGCAAACACAGCATTTATACCTTAAATTATACCACATTATAAATAAGTTGCACTAACCTGTTTTTAATTTATCATCCATAAGTTTCAGCTAATATTGTGACCAGAGAGAGAAAATCTCAATATATAGTATTACTTAATTTGGAAGTCCAGGACATAAAAAGTTTTGTAATTGGAATCCTAAATGTATTTCTATATACTACTATTTATTTATACATTATAACTGGCATATAAATATATTACTAAATATACTACTATAATTAAGTCCTACATTTACAAACAAGGCAACAGTGATTTTCAATTACCCAAAAAACTCCGAAAATTATAAACTGAGAAAATCAAATTAATGAGTACCAAAATTAAAGAATAGAAAGTTTAACTCTAAAAAAAAGTCTCAAGTGAGAAATTAAAAATTTTAAGTGTTCTAATAATGTTGTAATTCATATCTATAAAATAGTTAAAATAAGTTGCTACATAGTAGAAATAAGGTAATTTTTGACACTTTATCATATTTTTCTAAATATGGGGAAAAATTAGTTAATTGTCTGAATAGCACTATGAACGTAGATGATGAAGAAAATCTAAGTTTGAGAAAAGAAATTAAGTATTCTTCCAAAACGCAGGTGATATAAGCAAAATATGAAAAATCTGAATAAAGACAGTAAGATCCCAAATAATTCAATATTTATCTTATCTTTCTAATGAAGTTACATGGGGGAAGAATGAAGTAATTAAGATAATATTAAATTATAAAAAAATTATAAAGCAGAATACATTAAATCAAACGAAAGCAGCAACACATGCTTATAAAAATGCTTCCAGAAAGAAGAAAATAGTTATGTACAAAGGAAAAAAAATATTTTCAGCAAAAATATTTTCTTTTTTCTTTTTTTTATTTATTTTTTTATTTTTTGGGGACAGAGTCTCACTCTGTCGCCCAGGCTGGAGTACAGCGGCGCGATCTCCGCTCACTACAACCTCTGCCGCCCAGGTTCAAGCATTTCTCCTGCCTCAGCCTCCTAAGTAGCTGGGATTACAGACCCCTGCTACTGCGCCTGGTGAATTTTTGTATTTTTAGTGGAGATGGGGTTTCACCATATTGGTCAGGCTGGTCTTGAACTCCTGACCTCTTGATCCACCCACCTCGGCCTCCCGAAGTGCTGGGATTACAGGCATGAGCAACTGTACCCGGCAACAATATTTTCAAAAGCCACACTGGACACAAAAAGATTTTCAATCAGAGTTATCTTTTACCTACAATAAAGGTTAACACTGGTTTTCTTAAATCAATAAGGGTTTTATGGGTGTACTATAAGTGGATCATATAACTAATGTCAATATAGATTAGTAGGTTTAGAAACTGGAAAAAAGATATTACACTGACTATAGAGATAATTTGGCCAGAAAACTGTCACTATCATTGCTAGGTACTGCCCTTACCACTTACAGCTGTGAACAGGCAGCTCCACCTCCCTCAATACCTCTCTCTCCTTTTCTCACTTCAGCATCAATGCCCTAGAAAGAGCAATGCAATTAACTGATGTGACTTCCGATGCCTGCACTTTAACTATTTGTTGCTGATAAGGAGGAAAATCTGTCCCATTATGATCTGACGGGTGAGGTACAACAGAGCATCACACTAGATTATGGAACATGGAAAACTACTACCAAATATAAACAGTTGCCCTAACTTTTATCACTTTAACTTAATTCAGGTTGCTACCAAAGATTTCCATAGGCTAGGTGGCTTAAGCAACAAACATTTATTTCTTGCTGCTCTGGAGGCTGCAAGTTTAAGAGCCGAGTGCCAGCATGGTTAAGTTCTCAACGAGGGTTCTCTTCCTGATTACGTCTTCATATGGCCTTTGCTTGGTGTGAGCATGAAGAAAAAGGGATCTCATATCCTTTCCTCCTTTTACAAGAGCATTAATCTAATCATGGGGACTGTGCATTCTTGACCTCATCTAAATCTAATCACCTCCCAAGGGCAAATACCATCACATTGGAGATTAAGGCTTCAATATATGAATTTAGAGCAGGGGGTGGTGGGGGCACAAACACTTAGTCCATAGCACAGCTGATATGATATAATATTGAAACTCAGGAATCCCTGAGTTTATATATATTCTATTCACCCATCTCTACAATTTCACCATATAAAAGAAATCTTCCTTCCTCTTTGATCTTCAGGATTGTAGATATAATTGCACATGTTTTATATTAGCTGTGTCATGAAGATCTCAAAATAGCTCAGCAGAAGGCTCAATTTCCAACAATGGTGAAACAATTATTGTGATCCATAATGGAAATATAAGCAGATTCTAGAACCACAGGGAAGAATAATAAAAATAATATTAGTGACTAAGAAAATAAAATTGTTACAAAAGTCATCCCCAGTTCCAAAATTTGGACTTCATCTTACTCTGTTTGGGCTGCTATATCAAAATATTATAAACTGAGTGGTGATTTATAAACAATTAACAGTTTATTTCTCAAAGTTCAAGGTTTGGGTACCAGCAATTTGGGTGTCTGGTAAGGGCCTGTTTCCTGGTTCATGCATGATGCCCCCTCACTGTGTTCTCACGTGGTGAAAAGGTGAGGTAGCTCTAGTGGGTCTCCTCTATAAAAGGAAAGTCATTCATGAGGGAGCCACCATCACAAGGTAACCACCTCCCAAAGGCCCTATTTCCTAACGCTGTCATCTTAAGGGTTAGAATTTCAACATCTGAATTCCCAGGGAACACAAACATTCAGTTCAAAGCAGGTCTCAAATCTATGAAATCTCAAAATGGGAAGAACAGAACTCTACTTTGTTTATTGTCAGAAAATGTGCAGTATCCTGAGAAATAGAACCTTGTAGTCTTGGAAGCTAGAAACTTCTAACATTTCAATAAAATACAGGGCCATATTTTCTGGCTGATTTAGCATATAAGAGTGGTAAATCACAAGAGCTCAAGTTTTTTTTTATTTCTTTCACTGAAAAAAGAGGTTTTTTTTTATTCAGAAGCAACATTATATGGTTTAATAAGGTTTAACAGATTCAGAAACATATGAATGAAACTAATAATGAAACAGGATGGATGGGATAATATGTCTAATGAAGAATATGTCTAATTCTACTAATATGCATAATATGTATAATCTCTCACTATTTTGGAAAGTGTCCAGTGTAATTAATTAGTTTCTATCTGTTCTTCTCCCAAGGTACCTGCAAAGAAAAAAAGGAAACCACAGCAGGCATGTAACTTATTCCTTTCTTCCTTGGGGACACCTAAGTAAATGTGGAACTAATACATTTCCTTGTAAACATGCTAAGGTTATTTTATGAGCAGGAAGGTAGCCAAGGAAATTATCTAAAAATATTTTTAGCAGGATGTACCTGATCTATCTAGACTGCTCTTCTGAAATAAATCTGGCTGTAGAGTAGAAGTTAGTCATGGAAACCCTTTTGCCTATGTGATTCATAGAGCATAAAAACTAAGGAATTCCCAAACTTAAACAGCATCCTCTGAATTGACACCTACCTTACATTATTGCATTCGTGCTGGACTGTTTCTCTGAAAGCAAAGTAAGTATTAATGCTGAAAAAAAATTCAAAAATTGTGTCTGATTAATTTAGGCCACTACAATAGAGAACTGTTATTTCCATGTCTACATTAGTTCATAACCTTTTCTATTATTCATATATTTGATGACATATGAGATTGATAACTTCTGAGAATATGTAACAATTTAAATGTTGTGTCAATAAATATGTTATTGTGGAGTGGGGATGAGGTGGACGATTCTCCCACAAATGAGAATATATTCATCAATGGCATTATCAGATGATATTTTAAGCAGCTATATTATTCAGCAAAAGAATTTTCTCCTTTCTATAACCATAACTTCTTATTCACAATTTCATTAGTTGGCACATTGAATAAATACTCAAATTCATTATGTTTATTATGAAAAATTTATCTCCCTTTTTCTATCACTGTATGGATCACAAATACATACTAAGATCCTGGACTCAGGCTTACTAGTCCATGAACTGTCAATCTATCTCTTTCCCAAGGCTCTTTATTACAATTTTCCATTTTTTCCAGCCACAATAGCCTGGGGAGAGGGGAGGGATTACTCTTTTAAGTGTAGCCAACACCAAATACAGAGCTTTCCATTATCCTCACTTCCCCCAAGTTGGCATTATTGGTAGCTGTCTTAGTGTGTTCTAGTTCCTATAACAAAAGTAATACAGATTGGGTGTCTTAATCAACAAACATGTTATTTGTCACAGTTCTGGACGTCCAAGATCAAAGCTCCAAAATATATAGTGCCTAGTGATAGCCTGCTTTCTGGCTTGCAGACTTCACCTTCTGCATCTATGCTTGCATGGCCTGGAGAGAGATAATCTCTCTCATGCTTCCTTATAAAGGCACTAATTTCCTTTAGGAGGGAATCACTCTCATGGCATAATTATTTCCCAAAGGCCCTACCTCACTGGGGAGGTAGGCTTCCAAATACTATCACATTGGGGATTAGGCTTCAAACATTCAGTCCACAGCAGTGGTTCAGTAAATTAGGTAAAGCAGCATCCACAAATATACTAAACTCTAAGCTATACTGCAATTGTACATCTTCATCATGAAACCATTAGTGTAACACTGTGATATTAATTTCCTCTTTGGAAAAAGATACAGAAAAAGTTAATTGTTTATGTGAATGTCCTCGGAAAAGTAAAGTACAGACTATTAAGACAGAAGGACAAGTCATTATAGATATTACCAACAAGGTAAAGGTAACATTTATTTATTATTATTATTATTATACTTTAAGTTCTAGGGTACATGTGCACAACGTGCAGGTTTGTTACATATGTATACATGTGCCATGCTGGTGTGCTGCACCCATTAACTTGTCATTTACATTAAATATATCTCCTAATGCTATCCCTTCCCCCTCCCCCCACCCCAAAATAGGCCCTCGTGTGTGATGTTCCCCTTCCTGTGTCCAAGTGTTCTCATTGTTCAATTCCCACCTATGAGTGAGAACATGCGGTGTTTGGTTTTTTGTCCTTGTGATAGCTTGCTGAGAATGATGGTTTCCAGATTCATCCATGTCCCTACAAAGGACATGATCTCATCCTTTTTTATGGCTGCATAGTATTCCATGGTGTATATGTGCCACATTTTCTTAATCCAGTCTGTCATTGATCGACATTTGGGTTTGTTCCAAGTCTTTGCTATTGTGCATAGTCCCACAATAAACATATGTGTGCATGCGTCTTTATAGTAGGATTTATTATCCTTTGGGTATATACCCAGTAATGGGATGGCTGGGTCAAATGGTATTTCTAGTTCTAGATCCCTGAGGAATTGCCACACTGACTTCCACAATGGTTGAACTAGTTTATAGTCCCACCAACAGTGTAAAAGTGTTCTTATTTCTCCACATCCTCCCCAGCAGCTGTTGTTTTCTGACTTTTTAATGATTGCCATTCTAACTGGTGTGAGATGGTATCTCATTGTGGTTTTGATTTGTATTTCTCTGAAGGCCAGTGATGATGACCATTTTTTCATGTGTCTCTTGGCTGCATAAATGTCTTCTTTTGAGAAGTGTCTGTTCGTATCCTTTGCTCACTTTTTGATGGGGTTGTTTCTTTTTTTCTTGTGAATTTGTTCATTGTAGATTCATTGTAGATTCATTGTAGATTCACTGTAGAGTTCCTTGTAGATTCTGGATATTAGCCCTTTGTCAGATGAGTAGATTGCAAAAATTTTCTCCCATTCTGTAGGTTGCCTGTTCACTTTGATGGTAGTTTTTTTTTGCTGTACAGAAGTTCTTTAGTTTAATTAGATCCCATTTGTCAATTTTGGCTTTTGTTGCCATTGCTTTTGGTGTTTTAGTCATGAAGTCCTTGCCCATGCCTATGTCCTGAATGGTATTGCCTAGGTTTTCTTCTAGGGTTTTTAAGGTTTTAGGTCTAACATTTAAGTCTTTAATCCATCTTGAATTAATTTTTGTATAAAGTGTAAGGAAGGGATCCAGTTTCAGCTTTCTACATACGGCTAGCCAGTTTTCCCAGCACCATTTATTAAATAGGGAATCCTTTCCCCATTTCTTGTTTTTGTCAGGTTTGTCAAAGATCAGATGGTTGGTATTATTTCTGAGGGCTCTGTTCTGTTCCATTGGTCTATATCTCTGTTTTGGTACCAGTACCATGCCGTTTTGTTTACTGTAGTCTTGTAGTATAGTTTGAAGTCAGGTAGCATGATGCCTCCAGCTTTGTTCTTTTGGCTTAGAATTCACTTGGCAATGCAGGCTCTTTTTTGGTTCCATATGAACTTTAAAGTATTTTTTTCCAATTCTGTGAAGAAAGTCATTGGTAGCTTGATGGGGATGGCATTGAATCTATAAATTACCTTGGGCAGTATGGCCATTTTCAGGATATTGATTCTTCCTATCCATGAGCATGGAAGCTTCTTCCATTTGTTTGTGTCCTCTTTTATTTCGTTGAGCAGTGGTTTGTAGTTCTCCTTGAAGAGGTCCTTTGCATCCCTTGTAAGTGGAATTCCTAGGTATTTTATTCTCTTTGAGGTAATTGTGAATGGGAGTTCACTCATGATTTGGTTCTCTGTTTGTCTGTTATTGATGTATAAAATGCTTGTGATTTTTGCACATTGATTTTGTATCCTGAGACTTTGCTGAAGTTGCTTATCAGCTTAAGGAGATTTTGGGCTGAGACAATGGGGTTTTCTAAATATATGATCATGTCATCTGCAAACAGGGACAATTTGACTTCCTCTTTTCCTAACTGAATAAGATCAGAGTACAACTGAAGGAGATAGAGACACAAAAAGCCCTTCAAAAAATCAATGAATCCAGGAGCTGGTTTTTTAAAAGATCAATAAAATTGATAGCCCACTAGCAAGACTAATAGAGAAGAAGAGAGAAGAATCAAATAGATGCAATAAAAAATGATAAAAGGGGATATCAACACCAATCCCACAGAAATACCATCTACCATCAGAGAATACTATAAACACCTCTATGCAAATAAACTAGATAATCTAGAAGAAATGGATAAATTCCTGGACACTTACACCCTCCCAAGACTAAACCAGGAAGAAGTTGAATCCCTGAATAGACCAATAACAGGCTCTGAAATTGAGGCAATAATTAATAGCCTACCAACCAAAAGAAGACCAGATGGATTCACAGCCGAATTCTACCAGAGGTACAAGGAGGAGCTGGTACCATTCCTTCTGAAACTATTCCAATCAATAGAAAAAGAGGGAATCCTCCCTAACACATTTTATGACACCAGCATCATCCTGATACCAAAGCCTGGCAGAGACACAACAAAAAAGGACAATTTTAGACCAATATCCCTGATGAACATCGATACAAAAATCCTTAATAAAATACTGGCAAACTGAATCCAGCAGCACATCAAAAAGCTTATCCACCATGATCAAGTGGGCTTCATCCCTGGGATGCAAGGCTGGTTCAACATACGCAAATCAATAAACATAATCCAGCATATAAACAGAACCAAAGACAAAAAACACATGATTATCTCAATAGATACAGAAAAGGCCTTTGACAAAATTCAACAGCCCTTTATGCTAAAAACTCTCAATAAATTAGGTATTGATGGGACGTATCTCAAAATAATAAGAGCTATTTATGACAAAACCACAGCCAATATCATACTGAATGGGCAAAAACTGGAAGCATTGCCTTTGAAAACTGGCACAAGATAGGGATGTCCTCTCTCACTACTCCTAATCACCATAGTGTTGGAAGTTCTGGCCAAGGCAATCAGGCAGGAAAAAGAAATAAAGGGTATTCAATTAGGTAAAGGTTACATTTCTATTGCTGACTTTGAGCCCTTTCTTTTATTCATACATGCACCCAGCCTGATCCAATACTGTCAGAATAAACATTGACAATTTTGAAGTTATGGGCAACACCAAATAAGATTAAGAAGGATTAAGTACAGGTTACCCATACTCTAGTCAATAAGGAGATAAGATAAAAATAAAACCAATAATGAGTATGTGTTTCTCCAAATTAGAAAGAAGTGCTTCCTTCTTCATAACAGTTTCCTACAACCAATAAAATGATTTCCATAATATATATGTGATACATGTGATATTAATGATATCACATAAGATGGTACAGTATAACACTAAATAACTTTACATGGTGTATATAAACGTAGTACTTATATGTATTATTTTTCTCTCCTATGTTTACAAGACAATTATAAATATTAACTATATCATTTTTTCTCTTACCTTTTTCTCCTGTATAATCTAGGTTATTTTAGTGGCTCTGCATTCTATAAAATAATAATTTAGAATATCTAGAAGAGTATTTAATGAGTACCTAGTTATGGATAAAATGTCAAATATGATTTTGGATCTCTCCTATGGATACCAGATTGAGTGTGCTTTCATAATTATGCAATTATGTATGCTAGGGAAAAGTATGCTTTATTATTACTGGTTCTGTTTTGAAGTTTCAGTAGAAATATTTTCATGGATTTTGAACAGGCAAAAATATAAAATGTGCAGATATTTGTGATATGCCACACTACACTCCTTCCAGGATGCCTTCATATACCACAGAGGTTTTAAAGTTTGAAAACTGCACTTCCCAAGTTCATGCATTTCCATGAACTTCGTGGCTAGAGTTATGAATATAAATAAGGCTTTTACAGATTTAGATGCATTTATACAAGACATGGAAGGCACAATTAACATAGAGATTATTTTCCTACTTCATTCTGCAAGTTTTCTGCTGTTATGCAAGGTTTTGGAGACATCAGGTTACCCTTTGCCATTATTGCAATCACCATTGTCCATCTTCAACTTCATTCTGAAGCAGTGGTTTTGGCTTATTTTTTATCCTTTTATATCAGCTATAGTTAAAGGGGTCTTAAATTCAGAGTTCTTGTGTTGGCTTGACAAGTGGAACCTTATTTGATGGGTAATAATATTATAATATTTTATAGGATTCATTCATGGTGTCCCTGTCTAAAGCCTGGTCCTTTATCCCTTTCAACAATATGGTAAATATATAATACTTTCCAGCTAAATGTTTTGTAATTTAAAACACCTAAAATTCCTTTTATTTATTGTCCTGAATCCAGGCTGATATGGTAGGTGATACCAAAAATGGGTTAAAATATAAGGTATTGGCTAGTTATTGGTGGCATAAGGCAAAGAACCTGAGTTATTTGTTAGTCTACTGCAAAATATTTGGTGAAACTGAAATTTGTGTTATTCTCAGTAGCTGTCCATGTTACTGAGAGGTTGAGCATTAGTAGGACTAGTTTGTAAGTCTCAAAATGTAACTGTGTGCCGGCTCCTGCTTTTGACTTGAACAAATTAAGAAGAAAATTAAGTGAGGCTTATTGTAATAGGTGGCTATGGAGAGGTAGCCTTAGTAAGAGATAATACAGCAAGGGGTTTTAAGGCCTGAATATTTGTCACAGACAATTGGAGGCAGTCCAAAGCCAAATACCAGGTATAAGATGTTACCTTCCCACCGAAGTCAGTAATTTTAGATACCCTGAAGTTTGCCACCATTAATTTAAGAAAGATGAAGGAAAGGGATCAGCACAAAGGCATTGATGGTAGACAAGAAGCATTCAGTGTTTTGTCTAGACAAGCCCTTTGGCTACGTTCATTTGCCCGAAGAACTGAATGAAAGAAAATAGGTCCAAAGCCAAGTCAGTTTCTAGGGTCTTATGTTGCCAAAGACACCACAAGTCTGGCCTGCAAAATATAATAGTTGTTCAAATTTTAAAGCAAACCCTGGGCTCTAAACCTGCACCAGATGGAAGCCTGTTGGGAAAGCTGTGCAGCCTCATATTTCTGACGTGCCTGCATATGAGACTGAGCGAGAATAATTCTTCCAGTAAGCAAAGCCAGGGGCTACGGAACACAGCAGAAAACAAAGTCAACCCAGAGAGCAAAACCAGTTTGTCCACAAATATCGTGGTCTACTGCCAAAGCAGGGACTTTTCAAAATTCCTGCCCACCGGTATTTTATAACTCCTATGAACAAGAGAGTGTTGGGTGTTTCTTATTCTTTTGTTCTCTTAATGAAAATTTTTGTTGAGCCTACCTTGTTCATACAGCATAGTTGGATATTAGCTATAATTTCCATTCTATTATAAGTCATTAGACTACAAATAGCTTCATCTAAACTCATGAAAAGGTCTGCACAACACTTAGAAATCTTAAACTTAGATGAAGATGTGATCATTACCAAACTTTAGTTTCTTCATTTCATGGAGGGTTAAGTTTGTGCAATTACAAAAGTATTCATGGATCTTTGGGTAGCAGAAGCAGAGCTTATTACTATTCCACATGCAATGTCTTCTTTTTTCTATTTAGTAAATGCTCCTGAATTTTAAGTAGGCATATGGTGACCAAGCTAGGCCAGACATACTTTCTCCCACTGAAGCCAGAAGTGTCAATATGATAAGTTCCTGACAATGAGGATGTGAACAGAAATGACCAGTTTTTAACAATAGTATAAGAATTTAAGTGGCAGAGATACAATTATATTTTCATCCCTATCCTTTCACCAAAGCTATAACAATACTTCTTTATATTTACTTTAAATTCATAACACTTAAATATATTCTTAAATATTTTCACCCTCCTTCTAATTTTGTGAATAAAAATTTAGGTGAGAGGGTATAAATAGGCCAGACATACTTTCTTCCATTGAAGCCAGAAGTGTCAATACGATAAGTTCCTGACAATGAGGACGTGAACAGAAATGACCAGTTTTTAACAACAGCATAAGAATTTAAGTGTAAGAGATAGTTATATCTTCATCCCTATACTTCCACCAAAGCTATAGCAATATTTCATTATATTTACTTTAAATTCAAAAGACTTAAATATTTTTAAATATCTGCCCCTTCCTTCTAATTTTGTGAATAAATAAAAATTCATGTTAGACGGTAGTGACTGAGGTGTAGAACAGAGGGAGATCAAATAATAAGAGAATGCTGGAGAGACTTCTTTTTTGGTCACAAATACAAGACATTTGAAGAGTGATAACTTTAGAGAACCTTCCTATGGACCATGAAATCTGGAGAAAAGTGAAGTGTTCGCCATATTCATGTTTCAGTTATACAGACATAATCTAGGTAATTAGTTTAATCAATGTAAAAAAACTCTTATGTATTTCATCTTTTGTTTCTAAAACATGGAAGGGTAGAGCTCTTTTATGACACTATTATGTTTGAGACAATAAAGTAAACATCTTTGAAGTCTGACATTCCTTGCAAAGACTAATTTTTGTGTTTTTTAAAAAATATTTTCTTTGCAAAAGCGAGAAGTCATTATAAATATGTTTTTAAGAGTGTTTAGTATTTACAGAAAATACAATGACATATTGCCATAGCTTCTATGAAGGAAAGGAAAGGCATACCTCTGTCACTTAGCAACTTCACATAGTGTCGGAATCTAAATCTTGTGTAAAAGTGACTTGCATTTATGGCAGAAACTCTGCAAACTATTAACTGCTTTGTGTACATGTATAAGCAGCTTTAAGTAATTTGTAGTAAAAGCCACACTGTTAATAAATTTCCATATCTTAAATGACTCCATGCCAGTAAATTTGTGGAGCCATTTTTAAAATTTCAACCTAAAGACAGTTTTATCTGTTCCCTGCTTATTTTTTTCTTTTTACCCCTCTATTCCCAAGCTTAGTATATTTAAATATATTTAGTTATTTACTCTTTTCATTCTTCACAACTCAATCTCTATTTCTGTAGATAGTCTGATGAATGCATAAGTACCACAAGAACTATGAAAATGTAAATTTTAGGAGGTACTCTTTCTGCAAATAGGCTAGTGAGCATGGCAATTGTACTAAATCTACCTTTTCTGTAGTATTCCAGCAACTTGAAAATACCCTGACTAGAATAATTATTTGACTATACTATAAAATTAACAGAATGCTATATATTTTTGGGCATGTGAACCAACAAAATTTGTTTGCATTGTAGTTAGATACCCTGTGAGTGTTTGTGCATATTTTGTCTATTAAATATGTACATGGATGCCTGTTATTAAAAACAAATTTGCAAGGAAACTTTATTCAGTGCTTGGGGATAATAAGAGTACATGAAATTTTTATATATTAACAAAATAATGTGTATAAATAAAAAATTTAAAAATAATTATTTAAATGGTTATATAAAAGTATTTGTATCTCTTTCTTCATACACATATTACATATATAGTTGTAAACTACATATATATAAACTATCTATTGACTTCCCATCTTTGGAACATTACTGCTTATTTCACTAATAGTCACTCTACTATCATTCATTTCCTATATTCATGTTATTAACATTACTTATCTAGTTAGCAGCTAATTCAACTCAGTTAGTTAATTTAAATTAGCATATTTTATAGACTATCTGGATTCAGATCCTGACTGAAACTCTCTCTCTGTTTCACTCTCTCTTTTATTTACTTTGCTCTGTCTAGATAAACAGACAAGTGATATATAGATATAGATATATAGATATAGATATAGATAGATATATGGGTGTGTATTTACAATGTATTGAATTTGAGCAAGTTAAATAATTTTTCTCTGCCTTGGTTTTCTATTCTGTAATGTCAAGTCAACTACCTATGTTCAAGGCAGTTATGTGGATTATGTGAGAGAATGCATATGATTTAATTAGAACCATGTCTGGCACTTTATAAATACTTAATATAGTTATCTAACACTATAATCAGGATTACCAGTAATCCTATAGAAATATACTAATACCTCTACAATAATTGCATTCCTGTTTTTGGTTATATCTACTTTAGACAGCCGAGCATCAGGTCATGGTGACCTCCTTGGCTTCTCCTGTTACTCTCTGTCCCAGACAAGGTGACTTCCAATTAAATTCAGGCACACAATGACTTTCTGAATTATTAAGATACAATAATTTAATATTTATTTCTATGGATGTAATTAGACTTGTCATGCTTTGTAGATGAATTGACTTTCAAAATTAAAAATCTTTGAAAATATGATGCTTCCTGCATTATGACTAAGCAAAGGTCGTTGAATACATAATTCCAATTGATGAATAAACTGGCATTGTCTGTATAATGGCTTCATTGCCTCCTTTCTTACATAGTTCAAGAGAAAACACCTAAAATGTTAATTTAAAATATTTTTGAATTGTCTATCTATTAATCAAACACCAGTTCTATTTGCTTCATAAATTGGCCATACCTTCTTTTTAAATATTCTCACTTAAGATTACTAATACTCTTTTGCTTATACAGTGAACAAATGTCTTCACTCTATTTGAACTGTCCATCTACTAATTAAAGCTGTAATTTCCAGACCCTTTATCTTCCTGCTTCATCCTGCCCCAGCTGCTTTCTAGAACTAAAGTGTGTCCAAATCCAGAGAATTTAGTTCATTACACTTTTAATGTGGTCTAATACTTAATTTTTATGTGAATCACAATACTTAATTTTCTTATTTTTTAACTTTTTCTTGTTTGCCTTCACATGTGATTCCTATTTTGGTTATTATTTAATGAAAAATCCCAAGCCATTTTCTTTTAAAAAGTTGAGGATATTTATCCATTTTGTTATAGAAAACTGTGTAGACAATCTGATTTTAATTTTTACTTGTTGGTGGTTACCTAATTTCTTTCTTAAACCATTCAGTATTTTTTATTATAATTCTGAATTTTCAAGGAGTATATGCTTGTGTGTCAGACTTTTACTACGCATAACCTGACATTCAATGAGATATTTTTCTTTGAACACTTAGGCCAAACTTCAAAGCAAGAATACCATATATTTTTATCAATTCAAAATTGCCTTCCTTACTTTTCTGTCAGATTTTTTTCTGAAACTGATATTAAAGTAAACCTCCATAACATTAAGTTTTACAATATTTTTGAGGTATAGTTGACATGATAAAATGCACATAATAAGTTGCAACATTTAATAGGAATGTTTGTGTGTGAATGAACTATTCACCATCAAAATAACAAACATATCTACACCGGACAAAAGTTCTGCTTTTCATCACTGTAAATTACTTTGTATTTTCTACATAAATTAATTCATATTTTCTATATTTTTATATAATTGAAATAATTTTGTATGTTTTTTTTTTTTGGTCTGGCTTCTTTCCAAAGCATAATTATTTTGAGCTTTATGTTGTTATGTTTATTAGTCATTCTTTTCTTTTTTGCTAAATATCATCACTCTGGACAGTCAACAAATTATTTAGATATATAGCTGTCTTAGCTTATTTAAAGTGTTTACAGTTTTAATGATAACAAAACTTCTCTGAATATTCGTGCATAGATTTTTGTATTGACATAAGTTTTTTTTCTCTTGAGTAAATAACTGTATTACATACACATTAACTTAAGAAAAAGTCAATTGTTCAGTAATTGTACCATTTGCCTTCCTCCCTCTTTCCATCCTTTCCTTTCTCCTTCTCTTTTTATCTCTGTTTTTTTCCTTCTTTTCCTCCTTCCCTCCCTCCTTCCTTTTTTCCTGCCTTTCTTTTGCTTTCTTTCCTTTTCTTTCTACATTCTTTCTTTTATTTCATTCCTTCTACTTCTTTCTTCTTTTTCTTTCCCTCTTTCTTTCTCTCTCTTTTTTTTCTTTCTTTCTGGTGGCTGTTGCCTGAGTTTCTTTTTTTATTCCTCCTACTTATATTCTGTTTATATCTTAGCAACCAAAGTTTCAGTTATAAATAATGCCTTATTAAAGCATTATTAAATAATGGTTTATTTTTATCTAATGGTATGTTGTTTCATAGCGTTTGGTTCTTGTGTGAGTTAATGGGTAAAGGGTGGTATGATTCCTCAAATTTTACTAACTATATTCACATATTGTTTATAAATGCTATTCTCCTCCCTTATTGCTTCATTTATCTTGTGTTCACTTTCTATGAGTTTATTTTTATCATTCTATTTATTACTTTTGATTTTCCTGTAGGTTTATCCTCAACAATAAAGGACTAGGTAAAAAACTAAAGGAAGCTGTAAGTGTGCAGTACTTTTTCCTTCCTTTCTATGCAATTATAAGATCCCTCAATAAGTGGGTGTTAAAAATATACAGATTGCAAACTGATCTAAATTTTTTGTTGTTGGTGGTTGTAAATTGCAGTACAAGCAATATTAAGTGATTGACTCTCTAAGAGGTGGAAAAATATATCTACTCTTTGTGAAACAAAAGTAGGGTTTTACATAAACTAGAAGAATCACATAAAATAAGCCAATTAAGTAGTAAACATAAACAACATCTATTTCCAATTTCTATCGTAGGGGAGGCGAAATTGTCCCTCCGCTCTCTTAGGGTTTTCCGTTGGGCCCGAGAGTTAAACTGATGTAAGACAAATTAACAGAAGAAAAGCATAAAAATGTATTTAATTAGAGTTTTACATGACATGGTAGTCCTTAAGGGAAAAGGAAAATCCAAAGAAACAGAATCAAACACTTATGTATGGGTTGGACACAGAGTAGTACATTGTGGAAATGTGTCAAGGCAAATGGGTTTGGACTAGGGTACTTAATTGGGTGAAGAAGTAAGTAGGAGGATAAGGGATAGTTTTAAAAATTTTATTGTAAAGATTTCTCCCAGCTTCAACTTCCTGCCTTTGATGATAAGAATGTTACTTTGCTTTTGTTCTAGAGAGGACATCTTCCAGAGGAGAGTTTTATTTCCTGCATTCAGGAAGGAAAAAGGAAGGGTCAGAGAGGTCTTTTTGCATCTACTTTTCTTTTTTTAAGTACCTTTAGCTCAAAATAATCTTTATTCCAAGGTGACATATTTATGTTCTGAACTCCTACTCTATCTAGTGTCTTATCATTATAAACATGTATTTCGATGGACTCAATAGTGTCGGCAACATAAAATGTACTAAGAGACATAAACCTATTAATTGCACTGTAATTACCATTCCCTAGTAGTCTGATGTAAAAGCAGAAAATATGTTTTTGGCAGCAAAGTGTCCTCAAAATATCTCCTATGCTTCTGTGTTGCTGATACTGATATTCATCATTTGAGATTAACACCGGGGTCTTATTCTTAGTCATTCAGGAAGTTTTCTTGTGTAGATTTTTAAAATACAGAATCACTCCATAACCACTAATTTAAATGGTGCAAACTGGGCGCAGTGGCTCATGCCTGTAATTCCAACACTTTGGGAGGCTGAGGTCAGCAGATTGCTTGAGCCCAGGAGTTTGAAACCAGCTTGGGTAGCATGGCAAAACCCCGTCTCCACCACAAATACAAAAAAGTTAGCCAGGTATGGGTGTGCATGCTGGTAGTCTTAGCTACTTGGGAGGCAGATATGAAAGGATTGCTTGAGCCCAGGAGGCAGAGGCTGCAGTGAGCCAAGATTGGGCCACTGCATTCCAGCCTGTGCATCAGAGTGAGACCCTGTCTCAAAGAAAAAGAAAAACAAACAAACAAACAAAAAATGCAGTGCAGAGGAGAAATTAGGTGGCTTTATATTTTAAAAGTTTCACAATTGTATTATTCTTACCTAGTCAGAGGTAAAACTAACTTTCCCGAAGAATTATTTTCTATTAAAATACAAATAATGAATATAAATATTACTCATAACCAATTACTTATAATTAGCAATGTAAATAAACATTTCATTATGCTCTTAGATCCTACATATGAAGAATTCTAAGTCCCATTGGGGATGTTTTGTCTTTGCTCTATGATGAAAGGGCTTCAGCTATGACTTGAATAAATGCAGGTAGTATAAGAAGCTAAGGGGTGGGATTATCTAGATACATCTTCACTCATGTGTATGGTACCTGGGTTGAGATGACTTCAAGCCTGGGATCAAACAGCACCCTCAAATGAATTCTAATTGCAGATTTTATATTTTCTTTGGGCTTCTCACAACATGGCAGTTGTGAGAGGCAGTATCAAAAGACACAGCAATCAAAGAACAAGTTTTCTACTTGAAAGGCATGGCCTTTCTGACATAGGTTAAGAATTTATATATAACGTCTTCCACCACATTTTTTTTATTCATTTCTCTTCTTGCTTGTAGAATGACAAGGTGACACAGCAAAAGAGCATGTGGGATGGGCAATGTTATGTCCATCTTTGCAAAATGAAACCCCTCACAATATCCCAGGAAGGTTTGACTCATTAAAATGATAAACATTATTCACAACTCAGTTAAACAAGTAGCACTTATTATTTAGTCTCATAATAGCTGATTATAAGAGATTTAATAAAGAATTTCACCATAAATAGCATATAATAAATCAAATTTGCCTGCATAAGTTGTGATAGGTAAGCAAAAATTTGATTACTCTATATTACAAAATAATGGAATGAAAGAAATGCTTATTATAGGCATCTGTATAAATTTAGACTTACTTTCAGTAAAAGCTATAGGCCTAATAATCTTTTCAATAATAACAGAAAATATAATAAAAATTACTTAAATATTAACTTTTAGTTGTTAAAAAATAACTTTTATGGAAACAGAAATCACAAAAGGAAGGAATTTTTAAATATAAACAAGAAACAATTAATTAGTGATATGGTTTGGATATGTGTCCCTGCCCAAATCTCATGTCGAATTGTAATCCCCCGGGTTGGAGGAGGGGCCTGGCTGAAGGTGATTGGATCATAAGGGCGATTTCCCCCTTGCCGATCTTGTGAGAGTGAGTGAGATTATGATATCTGGTGGTTTAAAAGTGTATAGCATGTCCCCCTTCTCTTTCTTCCTCCTGCTCCAGCCACTTAAGACCAGCCTACTTCCCCTTTGCCTTCCACCATGATTGAAAGTTTCCTGAGGCCTCCTCAGCCATGCTACCCATACAGCCTGTGGAACCATGAGTTAATAAATTACCCAGTCTCATGTATTTTTTTACAGCAGTGAGATAATGGACTAATGCAACTAGAAAGCTGTTATGACAAATTGATTTAAGAACTACTGGGGCCAGGCGCGGTGGCTCACGCCTGTAATCCCAGCACTTTGGGGGCCCTAGGCAGGCAGATCACTAGGTCAGGAGATCAAGACCATCATGGCTAACACGGTGAAACCCTGTCTCTACTAAAAAAATATTAAAAACTTAGCTGGGCGTGGTGGCGGGCACCTGTAGTCCCAGCTACTCAGGAGGCTGAGGCATGAGGATGGCATGAACCCGGGAGGCGGAGCTTGCAGTGAGCCGAGATAGCGCCACTGAACTCCAGCCTGGGCGACAGAGCAAGACTCCATCACAAAAAAAAAAAAAAAAAAAAAAAAAGACTACTGGTATAAAATGAATAGATAAAAATTAATGAAGAAAAGTCCAGAAATAATCAAAGTTTATGAGAGAAAGACAAGACATATGATCACATTTATCAAGTAAATTAAATACTTGAGAGTGATACTTTTCTACAAATGCAACTAAGTAAATTTGACTATTTTGTTTTAATTAATTACCTGAGAAGGTAAATGAAAAAATAATTCAAGAAAAACTTTAAATATCTAAGTACATTTATAACTATAAATATTAAGAAAACTCCCTGTATTAGTTTGTTCTCACATTGCTTTAAAGAACTATCTGAAACTGGGCAATTTACAAAGAAAAGACGTTAAATTGACTCACAGTTCCACAGGCTGTACAGGAGGCATGGATGGGGAGGCCTCAGGAAACTTACACTCATGGTAGAAGGTGAAGGGGAAGCAAACTCAACTTCACATGGTGGCAGGAGAGAGAAAAAATGAAAGAAGTGCCATACACTTTTAAACCACCAGATCTCATCAGAACTCACTTATCAAAAGAACAGCAATGAAGAAGTCTGCCCCTTTCATCCGGTCACCTCCCACCAGGCCCCTCCTCCAACTAAGGTTGGCAATTTGAGATGAAATTTGGGTGCGGACACTTAGCCAAACCATATCACTCCCTCACAAAACTTTTAGGGATAGGTAGAACCTATACCTTTTTAACTTGTCTGAAATAGCAGGGAAGAAAGAAAGTTGCCAATGGTGTTTACTTACAAAGTTAACTTTATCTGAAATAAAAATATAATGGCAAAAATACATAATGGTATTACACAGATTAATTTCACTTACACATATTGATGCAAAAGTTCTAAGCATTATATTACCTCCTAGTAGCTTACAGTGTGCAAAAAGAATAATAAATGTGCCATCAAGAAATGGGTTCTCTGGGAGGTGGAGCTTGCAGTGAGCTGAGATCGTGCCACTGCATTCCAGCCTGGGAGACAGAGCAAGACTCCGTCTCAAAAAAAAAATAAATAAAATAAAATAAAATGAAAAGAAAGGGTTCCTTCATGGGTTGTGGAATATTTAATATTTGGATACTCTACTCATACATTTTATTGTATTAAACAAGAAAAGCATATTGATATCTGCTGAAAAATCATTTGAAGAAAAAAATTTGTTTTCACAAATAGTTCTTTCTCTTTCATCTCTTGCACTCTCTTTTGACATTATTTATAATATTGAGAGGCAGTAAAATGATTACTGTCATCAAAAGTTTAACATCACTTAGAAAGCTAAAACAGTGAAAATAATAGACTTGAATAAATATTATAAATTTAGTTACATAATGATGATTATTTGCGAATATAAAGAATTTTCCACCTCAACTATAGAAGATAATCAACTGAAAAACCAGTAGAGATAAGACACTTCATTAAGATACAGATTTAACACAATTAAATTTAAAAATGCTTCTCTGCAGTAATCATGCTTGAAAATATATTAGCACTATAGCAGATGGAATGCTCAGAAAAACCTAACCTAATGTGATATAACTAAAATGATAACTATTTGATATTGTTGGAAAGGCATTTATTTAAATGGTTACAGAGATAGAAGAAAATAAGATGATTAAAAATATTATTTTGGCCAGGCACAATGGCTCACGTCTGTAATCCCAGCACTTTGGGAGGCCGAGGTGGACAAATCACCTGAGGTAAGGAGTTCAAGACCAGCCTGGCCAACATGGTGAAATCATGTCTCTACTAAAAATGCAAAAATTAGCCGGGCGTAGTGGCATGCACCTGTAATCCCAGCTACTCGGGAGGCTGAGGCAGGAGAATTGCTTGAACCCAGGACGTGGAGGTTGCAGTGAGCCTAGATTGTGCCACTGAACTCCAGCGTGGGAGACAGAGTAAGACTCTGTCTAAAAAAAAAAAAGAAAAATTATTTTGATAAACTGCATTTGCACATAGGAGTTATTTATTATTCTCTAAAATATGTAGGCAGGGCCACTGTTTCATATGAATGCTCTAAACACCAAAAAATTTAAATACAAAATATGTAGTAAAGAAATATTTTCTTCAAGTGAAGTACTGAACATAAATTTGGAAATAATTATACATGTTTATACTCTAAAATGAAAAATAAAACATGATGCCTACCAATTTCAAAAAAATGAAAACAAATGAGAGATTTTCCATGAAATTAGAGGAATTAATCAATGGAATGTGAATGCCAACACTATGTAAACCAAAGTGTTATTTTAGTGAAATATCAATCAAAAAAATATAGTGGTTTTTTTGTTTGTTTGTTTTTTTGTTCTTTTTGACAGTCTCACTCCATCACCCAGGCTGGAGTGCAGTGGCACGATCTCGGCTCACTGCAACCTCCACCTCCCAGGTTCAAGCGATTCTCCTGACTCAGCCTCCCAAATAGCTGGGATAACAGGCATGCACCACCACACGCAGCTAATTTTTGTATTTTTCGTAGAGACAGGTTTTTGCCATGTTAGCCAGGCTGGTCTCAAACTCCTGACCTCAAGTGATCCGTCTGCCTCGGCCTCCCAAAGTTCTGGGATTACAGGTGTGATTCCACGTGCCTAGTCCAATAATTTTCTAATGGAGGATTGAGCCTACATTAAAAGCTGCAACTTTTTTGAAACCTCTACGCTTCAAGTTTGATATACAGAAAACTCTAAAATAAAAATAAATATTAATTATTAAGTGAAGAAGAAAGGCAGGGATAATTTTCAATTAGTGTATGCCTTGAAGAATAGTTTTATCAGCTATGTTTCTTGTGATATGTTTTTAAACACCGTTGTAAAGTTTTGTTTTTGTCTGTTTGTTTTTTGTTTGTTTGAGACAGATTTTCGCTCTTTCACCCAGGCTGGAGCGCAGTGGTACGATGTCAGTTCACTGCAACCTCCGCCTTCTGGTTTTAAGCAATTCTCCTGCCTCAGTCTCCTGAGTAGCTGGGATTACAGGTGTCCACCATCACGCACGGCTAATTTTTGTATTTTTTAGTAGAGACAGGGTTTCACCATGTTGGCCAGTCTGGTCTCGAACTCCTGACCTCATGATCGGCCTGCCTCGGCCTCCCAAAGTGCTAAGAGTAAAGTTTTTAAAAATCAGCACCTGACCTAAAGAAATCATTAAAAACACCATGTAGAATATATTTTGCTTTATTGTCTCATTCACAATATTTAGAAATGACATTTTTTGTAAAAATAAATGCTATACTAAAAACCACCTTGCCATTTGTTGCCCAAAGAGTTAGGCTCCATTTAGCTCTTTTCTTGATGAAATGACTGGCCTCCCTAAGGCAATGCATCTCAAAATGTATCAAGACAGTGTCCTTAATGCTGGAGAAAAGTAAACTTTCACTGCTGATTTGTAGCCTGAAGGGACCTTCCACACGCAAAAAACTTTCATCAGAATTTACTCTTTTACTTCATTTTTTTTTTGTGGAATGTTACGTTTTGCTATATAATGTAAGTGTTTGCTACAAAAATGTCTTAAAATATTTTCTGTGAAAAATAAATGTTGCCATGAATTTCTTTAGGAAATGTTTCAATTTTAAAGTATTAATTGTTTAGAAGAAAAGGAAAAAAAAACCCATAAGCAAATAATACAAACCTCTACACCTCCATAGCCAATGGATTGTGAACTGGACAACTGTCATTTAAGATAAAACATTTCTGGCTTTTGACTCAGATTGATACAAACATTGGTAATTACATTTATCTACAAAACATTCGTGTAGTCTATAGTAACCAAGTACAGTAATGATGCTTATGGTTTGTATGTTACCTACTACACATTAGTTTTGCAAAACTATGTAGTTTAATCAATTGTGCAGATCAAGTGCAATATGAATTAAAGTTGGATAATTTTTTAATTAAAAGAATTAAAACTTGTATACACCCTTTCCTATGACTTTCCCATATCTTGCACATTTTCTCTGATTCCTGCTTTACTTTCCATGTTTGGATGCCGTACCCCCCATCTGGCTTTCCTTTCCTGGGAAAGGAGACAAATAAAATAGGATGCATGCACAGCACAAAATACTACACATTAGTTGGAAGCAACACATTAGTTGCTTGCATAGAGACAGGAATGACTGTAACACATTGTAAAAATAAATAAATAAATACATACATACATACATATATACATATATAGACAAATACATAAATAAAGTAATGGACTAACTTAAATCTATAACACAATTCTATATATGTAATGAAAGCAGGTTGCTTTAAAACCATTTTTATTTTTAAAGATTATTTTCAAACTGCAAATACACCATCAGGTTACACAAATTGTAAAATTTTTCCTAACTCAAACAGTCCATTTGCTACATCTCTGCCAACCTTGGTTATGATCTGACCTCATCTATTCTTAACCAGTTGTCTTTTTCAAACTATACTTCATCTCTATTTTCTTATTTTGTCTTTGTATTAGCTATGGTAATCCAAAACTACTGTAAAAAATAGACTTAAACTGTACAACAGTTCTAAAAAGAGAATCTATTTGACACTCAAAGTTCATAGCACTGCTCTTGGATAGCAGGGGCTTTGTTACGCATGGTGACTCAGGGCTCTAGTCTCCTGCCAACCTTTGTCTCTACAGTCCCTTATGATGGCATTTTCAAATTTTGCTGTGACCCCAAAGTAACTGGAAGACATATTGACACAAAGATTGCTTCCACCCCTCATGTCCTCCCACCCAGTAGTATTTTATTCACAAAGTTAGAGGCAGGTCAGATAATTTGCTTCTAGCATATTTCTAGATCCTTCTAATGTTGTTGCACACTTTGAAAAATCCCAGTCCCAGGGCATTGGCTTTCTCTGCATTCTGCTAGGGAAAGTGGCAGGAGAATGCAGAGAAGCACAAACACTCTTTCTCTCTAGGCTTGGAGATGATTTACCTAGCTCACAAGGAATTTCAGGGCAATCACTGCATTCTACGGAAAAGCAGCACAAATATTGTGAGGCAGTTTTTCCTTCTGGCCACCAAAACCTGAATATTTCTTCATACACAAAGAACATCTATTTTAATATCACAGCTGTTATTTACTGCAATGGTTCCCCTAGTCTTTCACCAAAGACTACAGCCATATGCTCAGGGGGTCCTACACTGGGGAAAAGGCAACTCCAGTTACTGTGAGGATTATCAGACAAAAGGTCTGATTGACACTGACCCTCAGAGACACAAATTTTTTGTAGCTCCTTTATTAGAAGGGGGTCTTATAAGGATAAATAAAAATGAAGTCCCAGCTAAAGTAGTTAACAGTGAGCCAACTAGGTCTGCAGACTTACCTAGTAGTCAATCCCTTAATCCGCAAGGGTGTAATTAGTACTGTGAGTTTTGCCAGTAGGAATAATTCCTACATTGATTCCTTAGCCTGTGGAGTAAAACTACAATATTGGACAAGGCCAAATATAACCCTGAAACTAGTCTCTTCCTGTGTGAGAACATAATCTCTGCAGGATAGGCTTACATATCTTTTACAGAAGAGTTTGTGGCATATCACTGAAGCCTAGTTGTATTAATCTGTTTTCACACTGCTGATAAAGATATACTTGAGACTGGGCAATTTACAAAAGAGAGAGGTTTAGTGGATTTACAGTTCCACGTGGCTGGGGAGGCCTCAAAATCATGGTGGAAGGCAAGGAGGAGCAAGTCACATCTTACATGGATGGCAGCAGGCAAAGAGAGAGCTTGTGCAGGGAATCTCCCATTTTCAAAACCATCAGATTTCATGAGACTTATTAACTATCATGAGAACAGCATGGGCAAGACCTGCCCCCATAACTCAATCACCTCCCACAGGGTTCCTCCCATGACACATGGGAATTGTAGGAATTACAATTCAAGATGAGATTTTGGTAGGGACAGAGCCAAACCATATCATTCCCCACAGCCCCTCCCAAACTTCATGTCCTCATATTTCAAAATCAATCATGACTACCCAACGGTCCCCCAAATTCTTAACTCAAAAGGTCACAGTCCAATATCTCATCTGAAACAAGGCAAGTTCCTTCTGCCTATGAGCCTGTAAAATCAAAAACAAGTTACATACTTCCTAGATACAATGGGGGTACAGGCATTGCATAAATACAACTATTTCAAATGGGAGAAACTGGCCAAAACAAAGGGGCTACAGGCCTCATGCAAGTCCGAAATCCAGCAGGGCATGTTGTGCAAGCTGTCGGTGGATCTACTATTCTGGGGCTTGGAGGACAGTGGCCCTTTTCTCACAGTTCCACTAGGTGGTGCCCCAGTAGGGACTTTGTGTGCTATCTCTGACCCCACATTTTCCTTCTGCACTGCCTAGTAGAGGTTCTCCACAAAGGCCTCATCCCTTCAGCAAACATCTCCCTGGGCATCCAGGTGTTTCCATACATTTTCTGAAATCTAGGTGGAGGTTCCCAAACCTCAATTCTTGACTTCTGTGCACCCACAGGCTCAACACCATGTGGAAGCTGCCAAGGCTTGGGGCTTGCAGCCTCTGAAGCCAAGGCCCTAGCTGTATCTTGACCCATTTTAGTCACAGCTGGAGCAATTGGGATGTAGGGCACCAAGTCCCTAGACAGCACACAGCAGAAGGACCCTTAGCCCCACCCACAAAACATTTTTTCCTCCTAGATCTCCAACCTTGTGATGGGAGGGGCTGCCTCAAATTCTCTCACATGCCCTGGAGACATTTTCCCCATTGTCTTGGTGATTAACATTCAGCTCCTTGTTACTTATGCAAATATCTGCAGCAGGCTTGAGTTTCTTCTCAGAAAATGGGATTTTATTTTCTAAAGCATTGTCAGACTGAATTTTCTGAACTTTTATGCTCTGTTTCCCTTTTAAAACTGAATGCCTTTAACAGCACCTAAGTCACGTCTTGAATGCTTTGCTGCTTAGAAAATTCTTCCACCAGACACCCTAAATCATGTCTCTGAAGTTCAAAGCTCCACATATCTCTAGGGCAGGGGCAAAATGCTGCCAGTCTCTTTGCTAAAACATAACAAGAGTCACCTTTGCTCCAGTTCCCAACAAGTTCCTCATCTCCATCTGAGACCACCTCAGCAGATCTCATTGTCCATATAATTATCAACATTTTGGTCAAAGACATTGAACAAGTCTCTAGGAAGTTCCAAACTTCCATATTTTCCTTTCTTCTTCTGAGCCCTCCAAACTGTTCCAACCTCTGCCTGTTACCCAGTTCTAAGGTTGCTTTTACATTTTTGGGTACCTTTTCACAGCATCCCACTCTACTGGCACCTATTTACTGTATTAGTCTATTTTCACACTGCTGATAAAGACATACCCAAGACTGGGCAATTTACAAGAAAAAGAGGTTTAATGGACTTACTGTTCCACATAGCTGGGGAGGCTTCACAATCATGGCAGAAGGCAAGGAGGAACAAGTCACATCTTACATGGATGGCAGCAGGCAAAGAGAGAGCTTGTGTAGGGAATCTCCCATTTTCAAAACCATCAGATTTCATGAGACTTATTAACTATCATGAGAACAGCATGGGCAAGACCCACCCCATAAGTCAATCACCTCCCACCAGATTCCTCCCATGACACATGGGAATTGTGGGAGTTACAATTCAAGATGAGATTTGCGTAGGGACACAGCCTAATCATATCACTAGTAGAGACAGAACACTTAAGCAGCAAGTGATTGTGCATATGGAACTGATATTACAAGCTGCTTTCTGCCAGACTTAACAAGTTATGAGGTTGGAGAGACTAATCAGTAATCATAATGCGGGAATTATATATCCTGGACTAAGCTTGAGCAATAGAAGACACAGATACACTTTCATGGCTGGATAGCCAAGACTCTTATTTTTACCACTCTAGTTACAAAACAAACAAACAAACAAACAAAAACTTTCTTCCTTCACATCTCTCTTTGTATGGATGTCCCTGTGTGTTATATTGAAGAAGAAGGCATAAGTCCTAGGTTCACTTATGAATGGGTTCACTCAGTATGTGGGTGCTAACTGTACATGGATGACATCAGCATTACAGCCACATTCAGTTGGCCAGGAATTACAGTTGAAAGAAATTTATTTCCCAGCAGTCAGAGCTAATGAAAGTGCTAGTCTTCTACAACTCATCTGGCCAGAGGCCTAGAAGAAAAGGAGAGACAAATCAGAGACAAATTTCTCTGGATAGAGTCACATGGATGGGTGGCATATGGAAATTAGCACCAAGTGTGGATGCCCATTATAAAACACCACCATGGAAGTGTCACTGGATTACTAAACAAACAGAATGACATGGCCAGTTGATGTTGGCCAGACTTCATCATATGCCATTTTGAACTGGCATGCATCAATAGAATGGCCATGTTTGTGTTTTCAAGGTTAATTACAGCAGGTTTGTCATTATCTTGGGCTGCTTTGCTAACGTTCGTTTATGACAATGACCCTTACTCGAGGCACAAAACATACTGATTAATAGTATTGCTTTGCAACCATGGGTCTGAAGAGTTTCTGGACCATTCATTCCAGTTAGTTGGGATTGTTTATTGATAACAATGAGATTGATGATTTGCACCTGGTTTCAGTGACACTCTGGAGGATTCTGCTGATAAAACTGGTTATGTAGCAGAAATATGTTGCATAGCCAGCCAAATAAAAAGTCTCCAGCCAAGATACCATTTTGAGCTCCCAAATTTCAAGGTGTTCCCTGCACATATTGGTGGTTTCTGATCCAAGAAAAAAATGCATCCATTCATGGCCTTTTGAGATGGATTAAAATAGGAGCTCACACCTGATGTCTCCAGACCCCTCGCCATGAGCTAGCATTTGGCTATAATGCGTATGTTTTCTTTAATACTGTCACTAATATACTGTACCCTTTTCCTAGAGTAAACTATATATTTTTAAGTATTTTCATTTATGTCCTGTGCATCTTATTTAGCAATAGAATCCGACTTCACAGTGCAGTGGCAGTAATAAACACAAATAATTTACTCAGCAACATGGACATTCACTAACCAAGACCAATCTAGCTACTATCTCTTTGGAATGTCCAATTTTTCATAAACAGAGACCTGTTCTGAAGCACTGAAATAATGCTATTCCTCAAGTATACCAGCAAGCTACTTAGTAGCAAACAGACTACATTGGGCCTTCACTTTTATAGAAGAGCTAAGTTTGTCTTCATAAGCATGAATAGATATTCCAAGTATGAATTTGGCTTTCCTGCTTACAGAGCTATAACCAATGTTACTGCATGCGAGCTTTCACATGCCTTTTCCACAGGCATGGAAGCTGCATCAGTTTTCTATTTCAACATTACAAAATTTCACAAATTTAGTAGTTTAAAATGACATCCGTTTATTTATTTACAGTTTCTGTAAATAAGATGTCCAGGCATAGCCTAGCTGGAATCCCTTCTTAGAGTCTTACAAAGGCTGAGCTTGAAGTGTTTCCTGTGCTCCTTCCTGGAGCTCAGAGTCTTCTCCACGCTCATGCAATCATGGACAGAAATTTGTTTCCTTGTCATTGTAGGATAGAGGACGCTGCTGGTTGTCAGCTGGGGGCTACTCTTGCCTTCTAGAGCCTGCCTCTTATTTTCTGCCACATGATTTTTAATGACATAGCAGTTTCCTTTCTTAAGACCAACAGGAGAGCATCTGATGCATCTTCAAGTATCTCTGACTTATATTCTCTCTGTTCTCTATACCCATTTTTAAAAGATACATCTGATTAGTTAAGGCCTACCCACACTCAAGTGGAGGATATTGCCAGTTTCAACTGGCCTGTGAAGTAAGAGCTATCATGGTGTGGGAGGCCAAAAGAAACTATAAAACCATGTCATCCCCCATCAAGGACATAACATCTGCAACAGAGATTAATATACCATGAGATATTTCCAAAAAGGCACATAGAAAGTCATAAAATTAGAATGCTTTGTTCTCTATTATGTAGGTGTGCATATGAAGTAGTACGAGTCTTGGGGATCATCTTCAAATTCTGCCTACAACTGGGTACCAGACTACATTGTATGAAACCTGGAGACTCACTTCATAGCAAAGTGAGTATGAGTGTGGTTATCCTGTAACCACAGGATCCACTTGTTGTACCATCAGTGTACTATTCAGAAGCAGACAATGTCATGGAGCTGCCTTCTAAAAGCATAGATCAACCACAAGCTCAAAGGCAAAAAGGCTTTCTATCTTTTACAATACAGAATATAAGCTTCGAATCAGAAGCTTCTATATAGCTCTGTATGCACAATAGGAAGAATAAATTGCTCTGGAAACAATGTGGTAGAAGTAAGAGTGTTCCCAACATCATTCCCCACGATGCACGTGGGCTTTTTCTGCTTTCCATTCCTCAGGGATGGATGTTCTTTCCCCAAATACCCCAAATAGGGCTTTTTTTTTTTTCTTTTGCCATGGGACACAGACAATGTTTGATTGAATGACAGCTTCCACCTGAGCACTGTGAACCTCTTGTGTTCAAGGACCATCAACTAGTGGAAAAGACATCATTATGGTAGGCATAATTGACTAAAATAAGCAGGAAGAGGTAGGGCTGCTTTACATAATGAGGTCAGGTTAATATATATATATGGAATCCAGGCAATCAACTAAGATGCCTCCTAGCACTCCCTTGTCCCACTATTTCTGAATGGACCCAATCTAAAAACCCAATCTAAAAACATATTTTCAAAAGCTAATTTTCATTAGCAGTAACCCAATCTAAAAACATATTTTCAAAAGCTAATTTTCCGCAAAGATGTAGGTTTGGATTACACCATCAAGTAACCTACCAAGACATGCAAGGAGATAAGATGAATATGAACAGAATTTAGAATGAATAGTAAAGGAAGGCAATAAGTACCATTGGTGGCCTTGATACTAACTGCAGCAAAAGGGGCTATATGTATTGCACAGATCTGCCCCTTCCAAGTTTCCTCGTAGGAAGAGATGCCCAAAAGAGCCATGGAAGGGCTGTTTCTGGAAATTGTGTGACATATATCAGTACAACCATGAGTCAGTCACAAGTGGTGGATTGTAATACCCATTGAAATAAGACTCTCAGAAATTCTACATAGGGAACCTCTTGATTAATGGCCAAGGAACTACTAGTCTGGATTCATCCCTGCTTTTGTGCTAAATCCATGTTTCCCGAAGGTTGCTCAACTTCCCAATGCCTGACCAAAGCCGTGGTACTAAGCAGGACCAATTTTAGAAGACAAAGAATTCTTCTAACAGGCAATTTTGGCTCAAGGATTCATTTGCCTTCCTGAAACCTTCTTAAAAAGCACTGTTGCAGTCTGAGAAACTTCTCATCTAATTCCATTTTTACCTAATTTCTGGCTCTTTCACAGGAGTTTGGCATGTATTACAGGTGGAAGGTGCTCCTTGCCTATTCTAGATGCCCTTCACTTTTCTTTAACTAATAAATCTCTTGCATGTGTAATTGTGTGTAGGCATTTCCTTCTTGGACAAAGAGAACTAACACATTAAGTTTCTCCCTAAAAAGTTTACTTCACTGTTAGGAAGGATAACAGGGAGGTGAATAGCCTATGCAGGAAGAGTAGAGCAAAAGCCTCAGGGATCCCAAGCACAGCAGCTGAGGTTATTGAATTGCACAGCATTTCAGATACATGTAGTCATAGGATCAAGGCTAGATGAGTGATGGTTACCTCAACACAGTGATATCATCAACTATGAGGTCTCTTCAGCTTTTGAATTATCTAGTGAAGTAGGATCCTAATGAGTATGTGGTCCAATCCTCTTGTGCTGCTATAACTAATCAATTACAAGTTACTAACTGATTACAAATTACACCAAAAAAGAAAAACACCAATGTTGACAGTGAGGTACAGCTACTAGGTCAATACATAGTAATCTAAGTATTTCCAAAGATATAGGTATAAATACCTTGAGTTAGAGTTAAAGAAGGACTAGAATAAGAATTAAGTCTTCGGGCATCCTAAGGCTAGAGAAACAAGTTGTTAAGCCCTTCCTTCCAAATCTAGTTCTTGCAACAGCTTTAATAACACTGTTTACTATGTATGACTTTTAAATGAATATTCTCTAATTTGATTTATTTCTTGGCTAATTTGATTTCATCACATTCAATAATTTTGACTCAAATATCTGTATTCTTTAAATTTGATTGCTATTGTTTTTACTTTGCCACTTTATGAAGTTATTGGTTGAAAATAGGCTATTTGTCTATTGGAGTTCTCTTTCACATTTAATCTGAAATAAATTATCTCCTGCCTTACTGCAAATCTGTTATTCTATAAGCTTCTGTCTACTCACTGGGAAGTATATTATACATTCTGGATTCATATCTTTTACTTTGGTTTAGTATCTCATTTTGAAAAATGCATTCTATAGAACTTCCTAAGATAATTGTAAAGGGTGAAGTTTGTGAGCACTTGAATGTCCAAAGTTGATAAATAGTTGAATATTAGTTTGAAAGACTTTTCCATAAGAAATTTAAAGCATGATTTTATTATCTTCTCAACAAACACTGTTGCTGATGAGAAGTTTGATGCCAGTCTGATTCTCATTTCATTGCTATTAGTGTTTTAACTACAAAGAACATTTAAGGCAACTTTCTTTGCTTTGATACTTTGATTTTAATAATGTAGTATTTAGAATTTTTAACAAAAAAATCTATTCCTGGAAAATGAATACTTAATAAAACCTATTGTTTTGTCTTCATTAACCAGAATGTTTATTTGTCTGTTTATTTAGGGTTAACTCCTATATTGTCAGTTCTTAGAATTTATCAGTTGTTTTACTGTACTGTAGACATAGATTTAATATAAATGAGGCAACCAACAGTTACGGGGAAATTAGAAAAGTTAAATTTAAAATTTCCAGTAACATTGCATTAAAAGCATTCCCATAAAAATATATAGTTAGGTCATAAATGAGAAATGAAACACATCTGGTAAAGAAGTACTTGTGGGTGTATAAAACCTTCTTTCATATATAGTCTGTCTCTAAAACACCCAAGATAATTGCTTAACCAGAATTTTATGCTGGCATTAAAATGCTGGACAGAAAGGGGAAATGATAAATTTGTTTCAAATATTAAATATAGGGGTAGAAGAAAATAAAATATCAGTCTACTGTTGTGCAGAAACTATTCTTGATTAAATAAAATTCTATTCTTCTTCAAAATGTTGATGTTTTAGTAAAATACTCATTTTTACATTAATGATAAAAGCATTATGGAAACCACACTTGAAATTTACTAATTTGTTTTGCAGTTATCTGATATAAACAATGCTAATTCTCTTTATATGGTAATGTTAAGCCTTTATTAGATTTGCTCATTAGGGAGCTTACAGAAAGACTGACCTTGAACAATTTACTTTAGAAGAACTACCTAATATATATAACACAGACCAGATGGGATGTGATAATTTTCTACTTTGTAGTCAAACGCTGTGAAAAAGGTACTAGTGCTTGAAAATGATTACATCCATATTTACATTGCATCTCCTAGGCATGCTTAGAAGTAATTCTCCCAAATTCTTTGTGTTTTAGGATTCTCTAAATTGCTACACACAATTTGACCTACTGTACTTTAAGCAATCATATGGTTAGGATAAGTAGCTTAGCTAATTGAAAAAAGAATTGAACTAAAATAAAGAGATATTAGTTTAGCTTCTGTCATCAACATTATCTGTTACTTGAAAACCTCCAAACATAACCTAGTAGATGCTCAAAATCTATTTGTGAATTTATTTATTGCTGTGGTCTGAATGTTTTGTGCTTCCCACCCCTTAGTTCACGTTTAATTGTTTAATCCCTAACGCCCATTATGATTTTAAACCCATTAAGCTTCACCTTTTAAGGTGGAAGCTTTGGGAGGTAATTGGGTTTGAATGAGTTCATAAGGATGGAGCCCCATGATGGGATTAGTGTCCTTAGAGGGGATGAAGATACCAGAGCTCGCTATCTCCACTATGTGTCATACAAGATGGTAGGCACCTTTAAATGAGGAAAAGGGGTCTCTCAAAAAACTGGTCCATGTTGACACCCTGAACTCAGACCTCCAGCCTCTAGAACTGTGAGAAATATATGTTTGTTATTTAAGACACCCAATCTATGGCATTGTGTTATTGCAGCAGGGACTATTAACTTAAAATTAACTTAATTAAGAAATAATTTATGTGGTTCATCTTACAACAGTTATATATAACGGTGAAGTTTCTGTGAGGATAAATAAGAAGTAGATATTTTTTGAGACAAGGTCTCACTGTCACCTAGGCTGGACTGCAGTGGCCTGATAACGGCTCACTGCAGCCTCGACCTCCTGGGCTCAGGTGATCCTCCCACCTCAGCCTCCTGAGTAGCTGGGACCACAGGTGCATGTGATCACATCCAGCTAATTTTTTTTTTCTTTCTCCTTTGTAGAGACAGGGTTTCACTGTGTTGTCCAGGCTGGTCTCAACTCCTGGACTCAAGTGATCCCTCTGCCTTGGCCTCCCAAAGTGCTGGGATTACAGGCTTGAGCCACCACATCCAACCAAGAAGTAGAGTTTTAAAATTATGTTTCACGTTAAAAATAATTGTCAGCATTTTTTGAAATATAAAATTTCAATATATAAAGAGTGAAGTGGTACAGGCCTATCTGAGATGGAAAGAGTGAAAATCAGCATGGCCTGAAAGAGCAAAGCAGACCTGCCATTGATCAGGCTGGGGGCACAAATACAGATAAAACCAGTGCGAAATTAAGAGAAAACCTTACTTTTTCCAAAGCTATGCAGTAGTTGCAAAATGCCTTAATATCTCCCCTTTTGAGTGATTTCTGCTTTATCATCAGTGATGACTCCTCACTTGGCCATTTTCTTGTACCCATGGGTAGAAGAAATCCTGTATATCCATGGGTTCTGCATCCTTGGATTCAACCAAGCAACCATGGATAGAAGATATTCAGAGAAAAATAAGGGCAGTTGTTTCTGTATTAAACATGTACATACTTTTTTGTTATCATTATTCCCTAAAAGATATAGTATAACAACAATTTACCTACCATTTGCATTGTATTAGGTATTATAAGTAATCTAGAGGTGATTTAAAATATACAAAAGGATGTATATAGGTTATATGCAAATACAGTGCCATTTTCTATAAGGGACTTGAGCACTTGTAGATTTTGGTATGTGCAGGGGGTCTTGGAATCAATCCCTTGTGGATACCAAGGGACAACTGCATTTATGAGAATACTCAATGGTTAAACTCTCCTTGCCTTCTGGCAGCACCCAATTCCTAGTTAATCTCAATTTCTCCTAAACTCTCTTCAGAATTAGGCTGCTTCACTCAGACCTTCCTCAGAATACTTCAACATAAAACCAAACCTTAAGAAGAAGCTTTCTTTTCCTCTCTTAGAGAGGCATTCTGCTTTTCCTCTGGAAATATGTGGCATGCAGCAAGTCAGCAAATATCATTTAGTTAGACTACAGGCTTTATCCTGATGATCTCTGGCTGATCAGTCTTTGTCAAAAGAGTGATTCCTTTAAGAATTCTTGTGTGAGCAAAGCAGTTTGGCCAACAGAGTTAGTTTAGAAAAAGCTAATGTGGACCACTCACTCTATAAGTTATTGATTTTAGAAAACCAAATTAGGAAAAAAATATTTTTAATTCCATAAATTTTAAATTATGTGCTTATGTAAGTTAAATTCAGATTAACTCAAAGACAATGGAACTCAAAAAGCAGTTGTTGAACAAGATATGTTCTTTCGGTAAAGGAAGTGAAATAACTTCCAAAGAAGAAAATCCACTTTCGATTTTGATTGCTATGAAACAAAAAATAAACCTCCAAAACATAGCGCCTTAAAGCAGCACACTATTCATCATTTCTCTTGATTCTGTGGATTGAGTACATTCAGCTGCACAGTTTTTTGCTCAGCATTTCTTGGATGGCACTGGAGTCATCTGGAAGCTTGGGAAGTACAGCAGGAATATGGCTCAGCTGGGACACTGGGATGCATGGAATCAGCTGGAAAACTAGAGAGTTAGTCTTCTCTCAATGCAGTTACACTACTCTCCTTTTTCACATGGCCTCTCCAATTAGATAGTTGAACTTTTTACGTAGCATTTCAAAAGCGTATAAGAAAAAGATGTCAGGTTTCTTAAAGTTCTAGCTCAAAATTTGCAGAGCATCATTTCTGCCACATACTGCTAGTTCACACAAGTCATATACCAGCACAGGTTTCATATTGAAGAGAACTACCTAAGGACATTAATACAGGAGATATGGTTTATTGAGAGGCCATGTTTGAAAACTAGTCACCATAGTCTTCCCTTTGAGCCCTAACAATTCACACCCTCATTTATGCCAAGTATCTCATTCCCAAAGTTTTATTTGTTTAGGCCAGCAGGCTTAAAATCTCATCATCTGAATCAGGCCAGTTGCAGATGAGGATCCTCTAAGTGTCATGCTTTTTATTTACACATCTGTTATATAAAGACACAAGTTATCTGCTTTCAAACACACATACACATCTGATATACAATGGTGAGATGACACAGGCAACACTAGAACCAAGATAGGCACTTGCATTCCAAAGGGGAAGGGGGTGTAGAAAACTATACTCATCACTGACCCCTAACAATATTAAATCCAGTGAAGAGCACGCAGAAAAGTTCCACAGCTCAGGAGGTGAGGTATCGCTACAGATTATGCCCTCATACTGTTTGTCTTGGCTCCTGTTTCTGAGTCATCCTCTATTGTCTGTTTTTAAATTTTTTTTTTATACTTTAATTTGTGGGATACATGTGCAGAATGTGTGGGTTTGTGACATAGGTATACAGGTGCCATGGTGGTTTGCTGCACCCATCAGCCCATATCTACATTAGGCATTTTCCTAATGCTATCCCTCCCCTAATCCCCCACCTACTGACAGTCCCTGGTGTGTGATGTTCCCCTTCCTGTGTCTGTGCGTTCTCATTGTTCAGTTCCCACTTACGAGGTAGAACATGCTGTGTTTGGTTTTCTGTTTCTGTGTTAGTTTGCTGAAAATGATGGTTTCCGGCTTCATCCATGTCCTTACAGAGGACATGAACTCATACTTTTTATGGCTGCATAGTATTCCATGGTGTATATGTGCCGCATTTTCTTTATCCATTCTATCACTGATGGGCATTTGGGTTGGTTCCAAGTAGGGTGAACAGGCGACCTACAGAATGGGAGAATATTTTTGCAATCTATCCATCTGACAAAGGGCTAATATCCAGAATCTATAAATAACTTAAACAAATTTACAAGAAAATAAACTCCATCAAAAAGTGGGCAAAGGATATGAACTGACACTTCTCAAAAGAAGACATTTATGTTGCCAACAAACATATGGAAAAAAAGCTCATCATCACTGGTCATTAGAGAAATGCAAATTAAAACCACAATGAGATACCATCTCACGTCAGTTAGAACGGCAAGCATTAAAAAGTCAGGAAACAACAGATGCTGGAGAGGATGTGAAGAAATAGCAACGCTTTTTCATTGTTGGTGGGAGTGTAAATTAGTTCAACCATTATGGAAGACAGTGTGGCAATTCCTCAAGGATCTAGAAACAGAAATACCATTTGACCCAGCGATCCCATTACTGGGTATATACCCAAAGGATTATAAATAATTCTACTATAAAGAGACACATGCACAGGTATGTTTATTGTGGCACTGTTCAGAATAGCAAAGACTTGGAACCAACCCAAATGCCCATCAATGATAGACTGGATAAAGAAAATGTGGCACATATACACCATGGAATACTATGCAGCCATAAAAAAGGATGAGTTCATGTCCTCTTCAGGGACATGGATGAAGCTGGAAACCATCATTGTCAGAAAACTAACACAGGAACACAAAACCAAACACCCCATGTTCTCCCTCATAAGTGGGAGTTGAACAATGAGAACACATGGACACAGGGAGGGGAACATCACGCACCGGGGCCTGTCAGGGGATGGGGGGCTAGAGAAGGGGTAGCATTAGGAGAAATACGTAATGTAAGTGATGGGTTGATGGGTACAGCAAACCACCATGTCACGCGTATACCTATGTAACAAATCTACACATTCTGCACATGTACCCCAGAACTTAAAGTATAATAAAAATTTATTTTTTTGAGAGCAAAGAGTAATTTGTTCATGAATAAGAATAGAACCATGTAGAATTAAAACTTATTCACTTAGGAATCACATAGATATACAAAGTCACATCTCATTTTTACCACTTTAAACATTTGCGTCTTCAGGTATATTACATGCCTCTTAAATATTAACTATTCATCTGTAAAATGGGTACATTAATAACCCTTATTCATACCATTGTTATTAGAATCAAATAAAGTAATAAATGTAAAGCCTTTAGAATAATGCCTTAGAGATAGTATTATTAAATAATGGCAGTTACATTGGTAACTGTAGTAGTAGTACTAATTAAAGTAGTAGCTTAAGTTTGTATTTAACAGTGTCCATAAAAGTGTTAGTCAAGTGAATGAAACAAAAAATGAATTAAATATCGACAGTAAAAACTCATAAAACTAACTACTACATTTCTGCCACGATGGGATATTGACCTCCAAGAGAAAGGAACAAATAGTGGCACTTTTTATAGTTTCCTCTTCCTGTGGTTTGGTAGGCGATGCTCTTACTGCACGAAATCATAAGTAGACTTGATGACAGAAAATGAAATACAAAAAGGAGTATTTAAGTGGCATTGGACCTATTTCTCTGCATATGTTGGATGGATGTGCAAGATCACTTCCTCCTCCTTAGCAATAATCCCATGTTTCTAGATTTCTCTAACCTGATATGCCTCTGTACACTATACAAAAACAACAGAAGATTGGGAGCTTTTCTTTTTCTTTTTTCTTTTTTCTTTTTTTTCTTTTTTTTTGAGACAGAGTCTCACCCTGTCACCCAGGTTGGAGTGTAGTGGCATGATCTCAGCTCACTGCAACCCCTGCCTCCTGGGTTCAAGCAATTCTCCTGCCTCAGCCTTCTGAGTAGCTGGGACTACAGGCGTGCGCCACCACATCCAGCTAATTTTTGTATTTTTAGTAGAGACAGGGTTTTACCATGTTGGCCAGGATGGTCTCGATCTCTTGACCTCGTGATCTGTCCACCTCAGCTGGGATTACAGGTCTAAGCCACCACACCCAGCCGAGCTCTTCTATTAGGAAGAAGGGCCATAGTAGAAAGCTACCCACTAAGGTGGGGAACTGACACTGGATCTTATGTATTATCTTTGCACTGTTTTTTCTTTTAGTAATCATGTGGAAGGAAAATAACTTTATCTGAATCCTTGTTACCATCGCTTTCCAGTTTGGCCTGACCACATCAAATGTTTATGCCATTTTTATTCTAATTGTCCACTAAGTACAAAAGTAAATTATTTGGAAACCTTTTTCCAATGTGTGGGAAGGAGGAATCAGAATGGTCACCAATAATTGGGTTACACAAGCAGAATTGACTAAATATTCTATTCAGTTTCTTCACAAAGGATGGTCATAAAATTATCACATAGCTGGATCCCTGAAATCTCTTTTCCTTGATCAATAAAACGCTAACCAATTATAAGTATTCAAAGTATCAATAACCTTGGAAAATACAATGCTTTTATTTAATATCTTGCATGTAATTCCCTATGTGGAAGAAAGTGTGTATGTTTAATAGAATGCATTGGTTTGGAAAGAATACTTTGAGTATAGAATTTTTAGAAAATATAGACAATGTTAAGATTGAAAAATGAGCCAATAGTAGCATATAGCTAAAAATATGTCAAATATTGTATTATTTTACCTAGGGCTTTTTGTGTATCTATTACTATATAAATGAATGTGATTTTTCCAGTGATGAAATATGTACATGCCAAGTGGAAAACATGAACTAAGTGGTTTACAAATAGTTTCATCTTATCTACCTCTATGAGAATTATGATTATTTCACAAGGAAGAATCAATACTTGACTGGCAGCAAAATGTACATGTTGGCATTTGTATTCTTAACATCTGCTTATACAAGAATTATTTAGTGAAAGCAGAATTAAACTGAGGGTGAGGCCTTTAACTTCCAACATCTTCTCCATTTTCTGATGATAATTGTTGAGCTTTTCCTTTAGAGTTAACATTTACATTGCATTCATACAAATGATTGGAAAGTTTGGGTTGAATGTATGCTTGGATGAACATCGGTTTTATTTCCCTTAGCGTAGTCCCAGCCTTCAGTACCACCCAGAAGCTTCTACCTAGGCTAAATTCTGCGGCTCAGCAACTAAATGATACAAGCCACAGGGAGTGCATAATACCAATTTTCCACAGTCTGCACTGCCTACCCATTTGCTTAAAATTGCAATTCCAAGATGTTGACTTTACTCTATAAAGCTCTAAATAGTTTAGGCTCCGGCTCCCTCAGAAATCCCTTCTCTCCCTCTGCCATACAATGACAACTGAAGCCAGGCAGTATGCTCCTGAAGAGAGTTCCCACATTTAAGGCACATGAAGCTTTATTTAAAATGGTAAGAGCATTCCACATTGGTCATGGCTTTCCTAGGAATCCAGTGCTGCAATAGCCTAAATCAGTCTCATTATGTTAACCTTCTGGACACCTCTTTCTAATGACCTTTACTTAAAACAGTTACATGTAACAATGCTATTCTCTAATAGTTTTCAAAACACTTTCCTGAATATTTAATATTTTAATTTCGTTTTGCATTTTCATCTTCTATGTTTCAATTTTTAACACTTTTATAAAGAATACAATTTAAATATAGTATTTAAATTTCTCATCCTTAAAACTTTCTAAAATCAGCATAATGGCAGGATTTAGCACATGTAAAAATATTTTAGGCCTTTTATGGGGTAATTGCAGTTGTGATTGACAAAAATGTTATGACTGAACCGTAAAGAGAGTCATCAAAACATATCACTGAGGCCTGAATAAATTGTGGAATCTTTTGATATGTGCCAAGGAACAGCATACACATATTTTTTTGCCCTTCTGTGAACAATATACTTTAACTAGAATATAATTGTTCAAAAGAAACTAATGTAATAAAACACAGTTTTTTGTCACACTTATGTATTATATTTCAATATATTCTTTTAACAATCAATATTACATTTAAGTAAAGACAGATTTTGGGATTCAAATTTAACAACTGAAATATTCTAAGAGCAAAAAAGCAATAATCACGTAATCATAAACTACTCTTAGTTTGCATTGATCTTCTTTTCTTTTATATTTATAATTCAGCCTATGTGCAATTAGGTTACATTACTACAATTCCTATTGCTTTATATTTAACTTTAAAATATGCATAATATGCTTTCTTGGGCACTTTAAAACAATGTACTCTTTTGGGGTAACAAACTTTAGTTTTAATTGAAAATTACGGGTATTTAGACTTAAAAATCAAGTTCATGAAACCAATATTAAAATGCATAATTTTAAGATGGTCAATAATATTTAATCCCCTGAATGGCATAACTGGGAAAGTATTCTCCTGCATTTAAGAGCATTTGAGGGAATACCGAGCATTCTTTATGTTTGGAAAAATTTGAGAACCTGTGGAGCTACGCTGAAGCTAAGCATTTACTGCTTCATGGATTTACTACATCAATCGTTCTCTCAGTCTCATCTTTGAATCATCTTAACATTTCCTTATATTTAATTTTACCAAGCCTTGCCATGTTTGCTACTGGAAATTCAGATGATTTTGTCTTTACCTATGCATTTCTGTCATTTTTCCCAACCATCAAATTCATAGCTTTACCACTTCCCCATCTAGAATTTTGTATCTGCCCCTTTACATACCCTCCATCTTACTCCAATCACTTTCTTCCAACTGAATTCTGCTGTCACATGATTCTTCTTATCACATTATTGTCAGGTTATTCCCTTGCTTAACAGTCTAATAATTTTCCAATATCTGTTTATTTTCTAGCATGTCTACTTAAATCCTCTATTCTCTTTCTCAAGATTCTCACCTTCTCTTGATGATCTGTCTCTGAGTAATTACTTTTTTAACCTTCAGTATTCAGCTCAATGTTATTTTTATTAGTCCTGGTTACTTTGATCATTTCCCCCTTTAAACTCTTCCTGCATTGTAAGCTTGTAAAAAACTATTTAACTGTTCTCTAATATATTTGACATATTTTTACCTGTGCTTATCTCCCCAAGTTAATAAAAATTTGAGGGTAGGTGCCATGTCTTATTCAATTAAATCTCACAAACAGAATCTGCTCCATGGCATAAGATAATCATATAAGTATAAAGAACACAGAAACTTTTGCACAATTCTGTCAATCAGTGAAGATATCCTGGCATTAGCAACATTTTAAATGAACCTTGAAATTTAGATAGAATGTCTACAGGTAAGAACATGGCCAAATCAACTTCCGGAAGTCACCATTTTAGTCATTTTCAAGCATGTGGCTGGTTGGGTGAGAAAATTCTCTCTCTTACTCTATCTCTCTCTCACTCTCTCCCCATATATATATATATTATATTTCAATATATTCTTTTAACAAATTACATTTAAGTAAAGATAGATTTTGGGATTCAAATTTAACAACTGAAATATTCTAAGAGCAAAAAGCAATATATGTATGTATATGTGTGTGTGTGTGTGTGTGTGTGTATATATATATATATAGAGAGAGAGAGAGAGAGAGAGAGAGAGTTAGAAATTTCTATATGATTGTGATATCCACAGTCAGCTTCCTGCCTTTTGGAGGGAAATTGCAGAGGCCTATGCCTTCAGAAAAGCCCAGTATATGGATTAATGCTCTGCTCCTTTGCCAACCTGAAATCCTTAATAATAATTTAACACAGAACACTGCATTTTCATATTGGGCCCAGCTAATTTTGCAGCTGGTCATAGAATTAGGGCAAATTTTCCCAAACTTAGGCTGCTCATTTTGGCCTCAGAAAGGGCTCAAAGCAAATATTTTGTATAGGATTCTTTCTTTTTTTTAAAATTATACTTTAAGTTCTGGGATACATGTGCAGAAAGTGTAGGTTTGTTACATAGGTATACACAGGTCATGGTGGTTTACTGCATCCACCAACCTGTCATCTATATTAGGTATTTCTCCTAAAGCTATCCCTCTCCTAGGCCCCCAACTCCCAACAGGCCCCAGTGTGTGATGTTCCCCTCCCTGTGTCCATGTGTTCTCATTGTTCAACTCCCACTTATGAGTGAGAACATGCGGTGTTTGGTTTTCTGTTCCTGTGCTGGTTCGCTGAGAATGATGTTTTCCAGCTTCATCCATGTCCCTGCAAAGGGCATGAACTCATTCATTTTTATGGCTGCATAGTATTCCATGGTGTATATATGCCTCATTTTCTTTATCCAGTCTATCATTGGCGGGCATTTGGGTTGATTCCAAGTCTTTGCTATTGTGAATAGTGCTGCAACAAACATACATATGCATGTGTCTTTATAGCACAATGATTTATAATCCTTAGGGTATATACCCAGTAATGGGACTGGTGGGTCAAATGGTATTTCTTGTTCTAGATCCTTGAGGAATCACCATACTGTCTTCCACAATGGTTGAACTAATTTACACTCCAGCCAACAATGAAAAAGCATTCCTATTTCTCCACATCCTCTCCAGCATCTGTTGTTTTCTGACTTGTTAATGATTGCCATTCTAACTGGCGTGAGATGATATCTCATTGTGGTTTTGATTTGCATTTCTCTAATGACCAGTGATGATGAGCTTTTTTTTTTTGTATATTTGTTTGGTGCATTAATGTCTTCTTTTCAGAAGTGTCTGTTCATGTCTTTTGCCCACTTTTTGATGGGGTTCTTTGTTTTTTTCTTGTAAATTTGCTTAAGTTCCTTGTAGATTCTGGATATTAGCCCTTTGTCAGATGGACAGATGGCAAAAGTTTTCTCCCATTCTGTATGTTGCCTGTTCACTCCGATGATAGTTTCTTTTGCTGTGCAGAAGCTGTTTAGTTTAGTTAGATCCCATTTATCCATTTAGGCTTTTGTTGCCATTGCTTTTGGTACTTTAGTCATTACGTCTTTGCCCATGCCTATGTCCTGAATGGTACTGCCTCCACTTTCTTCTAGGGTATTTATGGTTTTAGGTATTACGTTTAAGTCTTTAATCCATTTTGAATTAATTTCTGTATAAGGTGTAAGGAAGAGGTTTAGTTTCAGTTTTCTGCATATGGCTAGCCAGTTTTCTGAATACCATTTATTAAATAGGGAATCCTTTCTCCATTGCTTGTTTTTGTCAGGTTTGTCAAAGACTAGATTGTTGTAGATGTGTGGTGCTACTTCTGAGGCCTCTGTTCTGTTCCATTGGTCTATATATCTGTTTTGGTACTGGTACCATGCTGTTTTTTTTTTTTGCTGTTGTTTGTTTGTTTGTTTGTTTTACTGTAGCCTTGTAGAATAGTTTGAATTTAAGTAGTGTGATGTCTCCAGCTTTGTTCTTTTTGCTTAGAATTCTCTTAGCTATACAAGGCTCTTTTTTGGTTTCATATGAAATTTGAAACAGTTTTTTCTAATTCTGTGAAGAAAGTCAATGGTAGCTTGATGGGGATAGCACTGAATCTGTAAATTACTTTGGGCAGTACGGCCATTTTTATGATACTGATTCTTCCTATCCCTGAGCCTGGAATGTTTTCCTACTTGTTTGTGTCCTCTCTTATTTCCTTGAGCAGTGGTTTGTAGTTCTCCTTGAAGAGGTCCTTCACATCCCTTGGAAGTTGTATTCCTAGGTATTTTATTCTCTTTGTAGCAACTGTGAATGGGAGTTCACTCATAATTTGGCTGTTTGTCTATTTTTGGTGTATAGGAATGCTTGTGATTGTTGCACATTAATTTACTATCTTGAGACTTTGCTGAAGTTGCTTATCAGCTTAAGGAGATTTTGGGCTGAGACGATGGGGTTTTCTAAATATACAATCATGTCATTTGCAAACAGAAAATTTGACTTCCTCTCTTCCTATTTGAATACGCTTTATTTCTTTTCTTGCCTGATTGCCCTGGCCAGAACTTCCAATACTATGTTGAATAGGAGTGGTGAGAGGGCATTCTTGTCTTGTGCTGGTTTTCAAAGGGAATGTTTCCAGCTTTTGCCCATTCAGTGTGATATTGGCTGTGGGTTTGTCATAAATGGCTCTTATTATTTTGAGATATGTTCCATTTACTGACAAGTAAATGCTGAGAGATTCTGTCACCACTTGGCCTGCCTTACAAGAGCTCCTGAAGAAAGCACTAAATATGGAAAAGAAAAACTGGGACCAGCCACTGCAAAAACATACCAAATTGTAAAAACCATCAACGTTATGAAGAAACTTCATCAACTAATGGCAAAATAACCAGCTAGCATCATAATGACAGGATCAAATTCATACATAGCAATATTAACATTAAATGTAAACTAGCAGAATGTCCCAGTTAAAAGACACAGACTGGCATATTGGATAAAGAGTCAAGACCCATCGGTCTGCTGTATTTAGGCAACCCATCTCACATGCAAAGACACACATAGGCTCAAAATAAAGGGATGGAGGAATATTTACCAAGCAAATGGAAAGCAAAAAAGAAGCAAGGGTTGCAATCCTAGTCTCTGATAAAACAGACTTTAAACCAACAAAGATCAAAAAAGACGATGAAGTGTATTACATAATGATAAAGGGATCAATGCAACAAGAAGAGCTAACTACCCTAAATATATATGCACCCAATACAGGGGCACACAGATTCATAAAACAAGTTTTTAGAGACCTACAAGAGACTTAGACTCCCATACAATAATAATGGGAGACTTTAACACCACACTGTCAATATTAGACAGATCAATGAGAAAGAAAATTAACAAGGATATTCAGGACTTGAACTCAGCTTTGGACCAAGAAGACCCAATAGGCATCTACAAAACCCTCCACCCGAAATCAACAGAATATACATTTTTCTCAGTATCATGTGGCACGTATTCTAAAATTGACCACATAAGTGGAAGTAAAACACTCTTCAGCAAATACAAAAGAACGGAAATCATAACAGTCTCTCAGACCACGGTGCAATCAAATTAGAACTCAGGATTAAGAAACTCACTCAAAACCACACAACTACGTGGAAACTGAACCACCTGCTCCTGAATGACTACTGGGTAAATAACAAAATTAAGGCAGAAATAAATAAGTTCTTTGAAACCAATGAGAACAAAAACACTATTTACCAGAATCTCTGGGACACAGCTAAAGCAGTGTTTAGAGGGAAATTCATCACACTGAATACTCACAGGATAAAGCGGGAAAGATCTAAAATTGACCCTCTAACATCACAATTAAAAGAACTAGAGAAACAAGAGCCAACAAATTCAAAAGCTAGCAGAAGATAAGAAATAACTATGATCAGAGCAGAACTGAAGGAGATAGAGACACAAAAAACCCTTCAAAAAATCGAGCCCAGGAGCTCATATTTTGAAAAGATTAACAAAATAGGCTAACAATGAAGAAAACAGAGAAGAATCAAATAGACACAATAAAAAGTGATAAAGGGGAGACCACCACTGATCCCACAGAAATACAAACTACCATCAGAAAATACTATAAACATCTCTATGTAAATAAACTAGAAAATCTAGAAGAAATGGATAAATTCCTGGACACATTCATCCCCCCAAAACTAAACCAGGAAGAAGTCGAATCCCTGAATAGATCAATAACAAGTTCTGAAATTGAGGCAATAATTAATAGCCTACCAACCAAAACAAAACAAAACAAAACAAAACAAAAGCCCAGGATCAGACGGATTCACAGCCAAATTCCACCAAAGGTACAAAGAGGAGCTGGTACCATTCCTTCTGAAACTATTCCAAATAATAGAAAAAGAGGGAGAGCTCCCTAACTCATTTTATGAGACCAGCATCATCCTGATACCAAAACCTGGCAGAGACACAACAAAAAAAAGAAAATTTCAAGCCAATATCCCTGATGAACATTGATGCGAAAATCCTCAATAAAATACTGACACACCAAATCCAGCAGCACATCAAAAAGCTTATCCACCACGATCAAGTTGGCTTCCTCCCTGGGATGCAAGTCTGGTACAACATATGCAAATCAATAAACATAATCCATCACATAAACAGAACCAATGAAAAAAATCACATGATTATCTCAATAGATGCAGAAAACGCCTTCGATAAAATTCAACACCCCTTCATGCTAAAAACTCTCAGTAAACTAGGATTCTTTCTATATAAAAATAGTTGATGAACATATATATTAGAAAACCAATGGATCTATGGTAGATATAGGGATTTATCACAGATTTAGAATAAAGTTTTACCGTATTAGTCAGAACAAGTATCTATATAGAGAGGTACTGCATTAGTCAGAACAAATATTTATATATATATCTTTTTTGTTCTGAGTAATACAATAACACTTTATTCTAAATATTTGATATAATTGCAATAATGCAATAAGAGATAGATAGACAGACAGACAGACAGATAAGAAAGTATTTATTATAGGGATTGACTTAACCACTTATAGAGACCAAGAAGTCTCATGATAAATTATACACCAGCTGGAGACATAGGAATGCTGGTGGTTTAATTCAGTCTGAGTCCAAAGGCTTGAGAACCTGATATCTAAAGGCAGGAAAAGATGAATGTCCCAGCTCCAAAAGAGAGAGATAATTCATCCTTCTTCCACCTTTTTGTTCTATGCAGGCCCTCAGTAGAATGGATAATGCCCACCCATATTAATAAGGACAGGATTTTTACACAGTGTACTGTTTCAAATGCTAATCTCTTCTGGAAACACTTTGACAGACTCACCTAGAAAGTAAGTTTTATCAGCTATCTGGGTATCCCTTAAACTAGTTACGTTGACACATAAAATTAACACAAGTATTTACATACCTTTTATCTTAATGTCTAATTAGTGCATGTGAAGATTTTCTGCAGGGTCTGGGCCCCATATCTTTCTGTTTAGATCCAGGAAATATTTCATTCTGTCTTTTATTGATAAATGGACTAATCCTGGTTAATTTCATATTTCCCAGAAGACAAAATTAATAAATTATTGATCACATCCCCATTTTTTTGAAATCTGTGTGAATTAAACCAATACAGGTCTTAAAAATAACCAATGCAACCTGTAATGGCATTTTTAAATGCTTTTAACGACACGGAGTGCAGTCCACTGTGCAGTGATTATTTGTTTCCGATAACTTTCTCACAAGTTTTTGAGTGTGCTTCTTTGATGATGATCAATAATGCAAGTCTTACCCAGGGTATGTTAAATAATATAAAATTCATTCTTTTTGTTAAATTTGCCTATGAGAATTTTATAGCATAAAGGCAGAACACTACATCTTCCAATCAAGTCTTCTCCTAAAATTTTCAGGATGTGTACTCTGCATTCCTAAAACGTGGCCCCCAAAGGAGACTGCAGAGGTATGGCATTGGGAACAATAAAAAGAGCAACTGTATAGCAATGGGGATGACCTCTCTTAACTCTAATGGATTTGCTCTTCTTTGTATGTCTTAAGCCTGTGCCGGAGGACAGATAAATATTCCTTGATATACAGAATCACAGCAACCCAAAAGGACCATCTGACATGTGGCTAAAGCCTGTGAAGATGGTGAAGAGATTGCCTTTGGGGATCAGAAGCAGCAGGTGCATAAGTTAAGGGGTACCTGTTGCAACCACTGTAATTCTAGGGAGCTGTACCAGAAGTGGCACCAGGGTTAGAACATGGGTATGTTAGAGCCCATATGGGGAGTCACAAATGTGGCTCAAGCTAAAGATTAGTGATTGGACTTTGGTGACCCAGAGTGCTGACAGTGTACTAAGTATAACCTGTATCATCATATTGGGCCAATAGAGAATAGAAGAGCACCTAAAAGAGAAGAAACACCTCAGAGAGCACCTTAAAGAGCACACTCAGGTCCCACTCTGGGCTGAGTGAAGCCAACCAAGATGGCACTAAAAGCCCAATCAGTCCCAGTCCACCAGAGGTGCTTAAACAATGTCAAAGAAGGTACTCCAGAGCTCAGGATCTGAGTTACAGTCCATGCTAGTTCAAGCTAAGGAGCACTGTACCAAGCAATTGTACAAAGACCTGAGACTATGTGCCTTCTTAAGATATATCTCTGATATTTCCTTATCAGAAATAAATCACAAGGCTGGGCATGGTGGTTCCTTTCTATAATCTCAGTGCTCTGTGAGGCTGAGGCAGGAGGATGACTTGAGACCAGCAGTTCAAGTCTAACCTGAGTAACATAGCAAGAACTCACCTTTACAAAAATTTTAAAAAATTAACCAGGAGTGGTAACATGCAACTGTAGTCCTTGCTACTTGGGAGGCTGAGGCAGGAGGATCACTTGAGTCCAGGAATTCAAGGTTAAAGTGAGTCTTGATTATGCCACTGCACTCCAGCCTGGGTGACAGAGCAAGACTGTCTCTTAAAAAATGTAAATCACAGAACCTCAGTTTCAGTGAGTTTCAAATGTAGGTCTGGGTATGTATTAGTCATGATTCTCCAGAGGGTATTAACCATCACAGGGTAGATTCTAGAATTCTTTATTTTTTGGAAATTTTCTGGTAATTCTTTGGTTTTCTGAAGCTCGGGAATTATAATATTACAATGATACTGACATATTTCTGAATACTTATTTTTTAGCTCCAATAAAGCTAATACATTGTTATCAAGAAAGAGACACAGATCAGAATAATATAGAAATCTCACAGTAGCTTAAATGTCACCTCCATCATGAAGCCTAAAATGAACCCCAGTACTGAATTCAGGGTTATTTCTGTATACTCTTGTAAGACCTTTTGCTTACCTGGTGTATTAGTTTCCTATGCCTACAGCAAGAAATTACTGCAAACTTGGTAGCTTAAAACAACAGATTTTAGATTTTCTCTCCCAGTTCTCAAAGCCGGAAGTCTGAAATCTAGTTGTCAGCAGGGAAGCACACCCTCTAAAATCTTTGAGAGAGTTCCATTTCTTACTTCTTCCAGATTCTGGTGGCTGTTAGCATTCCTTGGTTTGTGGCTTCATCACTTCATTCTCTGCTCCCATCTCTATACAAACTTTTCCTGTTCTGTCAGTCAAGCCTCCATCTGCCTCACTCATTGCGTTTAGGATCCACCTGTATAAACCAGGACAAACTCCTTCTTTCAAAATCTTTAACTTAAATATCTCCTTTGAAACATAAGCTAATATTCACTCTTTTACCACATATTCACAGGTTCCAGGAATTATGGTGTAGAAGAATCTTTGAAGGCCATAATTCATCCTTTGACATCCAGTAACACGCAGTCATATTGCTCTTATCTTCACAAACCGAGGAATTCATGACATACAGTAAGCACACACAAATACTTTTTTAAATAAAAAGGGTCGATTCTACAAACGCTTTTTTACATGTATGTGTAAGCACATATTTTTAATATGTTTCTACTGACAATAGAGTTTAAAGGGGGAATTCTAATCTTTATAATTTTAGACAATACCAAAGTTGAGTTGTCACCATGAAAAGTTTAATATTTAAATGGTGGATGACCTGGCTGATACAGTTCTGCCTCTGTGTTATCATAATACTAATTCTTATGCTTAATCTGTTTGAAAGGAAATAATGGATCAACTACAATGAAGCTGAAGCCAAATAATTCATTTTGTGTTTAATAAATCTGTATGTGGACAGAAGATAAGACATTAGGATTTCTAACCAGAATAGAAACTCTCCAAGATACTTTATTGCCCCAATAGTGGAGATTAATATATTTCAGAAGAAACAATTAATAGTGTATTTATCTATGAGGAATAAATATATTCAAAACCTTCTACTGTAAAGCAATAGGCTTTGACCTAAGGATAAAATGATAAATATGAGACAACCACTGGTGTGCAAGAATTCTGTATTTAAAACTGTTACATTTAGATATATAACTAATTCAGGAATTAGTAAAATGATTAAAATCTAACAGGAAAGACATAGTTTCATAATACAGGAATTAGTAAAATGATTAAAATTTAACAGAGAAGACACTTTTCATGGGAGCACAAATTGCATTGCTTCAGTTGCAAATGGCTTCTTTTTCATCCTACTTAATCTATAAGGATTTAGATACTTACATTTAGACTCAATGAACAGAAGATAAGATGAAAAACTCACATTTTGCAAATAAAAAGCCCAATGCTCAAAAAAGTTCAAATCATCAAAGAAGTTCAAATCTTTCAAATCATAAAACTACCTAGGGACAGACTGAAGACTAAAAGCTGACTAACTACTCAGACTAGTTCAAATTTCCAGGACATAAAACTGTAATACTGAAAAGTGTTTCTTTAAAATTTCTTTTTTTTTTTTTTGACTTATACTAAGATCAAAACCAAGGAGAGGCACACCCTCAATATCTCTTCCACAAAATGTGTAAGTCCTCTGTACCATGTAATGTTTTTTTCTTGGTTAATTTATTTGTATGCAAGTCTTTGTCTGTATGCATACTACTCTTTATAATGCTGTATTTTAAGTTTTATAGCTCTTCAAAGGCAAGGACTACTAAACATTTTTGTTTTTGTTCTTTTGATCCTGCAACATATGGTGGTACTAAGGCAGCTCAGGCTTTTTATATCACAGTTCATGAAAATAGTAACATCTAAAAGTAAAATGGATATTAAACATGTTAGAAATTATGATAATTTTTTCAGTACAATAATTTTGTGGTTGACTGAAAAAGCTTTAGGCACAATAAAAGCAAAAATCACAAAATAAGTATAATAAAATGAACCTATTCAATGAGCAGGCACATTACCTCTGTTACAAACATTTTCACTTGGAAATTTTATGTTCAGTAAGTTCACATTTTGAATAGTTTAGTCCTAGCTTAAAATGTTGGACTTTTAAATATTTTTACGGAAACTAATTTTAATTTTATTACTAACTAATATTCTGACTAAACATACAAAAGATCTGAGGAAACAGTTAATCTATTTTAAGTAATATTTTTATTGCTTGACGAATTTGCCAATATGTTCCATTAAATAAAATCCTGCCAAAGCTTACCACAAAAGTAAAATCTGGAAATGAGAGAGGGCTCTAACACCTAGCACACGTGTAAGAGAAATTTGGAGTAAGAACAATTATTGTATTAAATTTATCTAGCTAACAAAGGAATGCATACGTCAAATGTTTAAGTTTCTGTTTCCAGGCAGGATTTGCTACACAATTTGAGGGTAAAAATAGAACGTAGAAACCCTTGATCAAAAAGTATTAAGAATTTCAAGATTACAGCAGCAGAGCATTAAACCAATGCTGGGGCCCTTTAATGTGGGAGGGACTGTGGACTTCACAAGCCACATGCTCATGATCATGAAGCTGCTCCTTTTCACCAATTCCTACATAGTTTTCCAATATCAATATTAATGATCAATTCTTCCATTTCTGTCCTTTTAGAGAGTAATATCTTATCATTTAACAAATGGCCTATTTTCATTACAATAGGATACTCTTTTGCACGTGTGTTCTGAAACTTAGAGATTTTTAATAAGTAATTTTCTGATGCTACCATTGTTCCAACTATACAATTACTATATATATCTTATTCATGGAAAATTAGACTTAGTTGTTTCCTATTTGAGGTTCACTTTTACAGACAATTTTCCATCCAGTGCATATTTATTGAGTTACCACCATATTCTAGGCTAAGTGATTGCAGTTGGGGGTGAGGGGGCAGAAACAGACAAAGGAAGTGCTTTTAAGGATCCTATTCCAGTGAAGAACACAGGTTATAAGCAAAAAACTATATAACATCTGTAAGCAAGAGCCTTGTAAAAAAATAAAGGGAATAAGAACATTATAGGGGCCACTGAAAAATTTATGCAATTCAAATATAATAGACATTAGAGATCCTTTTACTGTTAATGTATTTCAGTCAGCAAGTAAGAAAGGAAAAATTGATGATGCAGGAGAGAGAAGATAGCCACACAAGAACAAATTTATTGAGTAGATAAAGAGAAAATAATTCCTATGCATAAGTGGAATGTCTGGCCTTAGTAGCTGGTTTACAGATTTCATTTAAACTGGAAATAAACCAGAAAATAAGAATGCTAGATAAAATAGATGGATCAAAGATGAATGGATTTTGCAGGGTGAAGATGAAGTAACTCTCTTCTTCATCTTCTATGAAGTAAGAAGTCAGATTATTGTCAGTATATCTTTATTTCATGTGTGTGTAAGTCAGGGATCTTTTAGTTCTCTGGTAGACTTCTTAGAAATGCATGAAATACACAATATTATAAAGGATAAGAAAAATTATAATTATACTAAAAATTATTAGTGTCCAAAGTTTTAATAGAAACTAGTTTTGACATAACAATAAATGTGCATTTTTATTAATATATTCAATTACAGGATTCAATGGCAGATTTTAAATCTATTATCACTTTGAAGCAGTGATGAAGATACGACATATTTCAACTTTGGCAACAATTCTAATGTGCTATTAAATATATGCATTTTCTATAAAGTTCAAAGACACAGTTAAGGCATCAAGGGTTATTGCTACATTCTTAGTTGAAGAAAAGGTTAAATTTCACTTATATATTAGTCAAAATATTTCATTTTATTTTCCCATTCAAGTTTATGAAAACCTGAATTTTCTCCACAGACCTCAAATGCTTCTCTAAAGCACAGATTCAAGAATCTCAGTAGCATGAGGAGGCAGAACAGGTATAGAAATATTTACCATGACAAAATAATACAGAATTTCTATTTTTGAAATTGAGAGATTAAATTGACTCGGGAAACATATTGAAGTGTAATCAGCTTAGGAAACATGAAATGTGTCATATATTTAAACTGCACTAACTCAGTGCAGAATGCATTCTGCTCTAGTCATGTTCGGCTGCTCCTGTGACTACACAGGTGGAATGAAGTTTAACGGTCAAAGCACGAGAAGAAAGAGCTAGAGGACATGAGGGTTACAGATAAAGAAAAACTGGTAGTAAGAACTGGCTAGGACTCCCAAAGGGGGTAAACAATTATTGCAATGGAATTACTAGAATACGTTAGCTAAAAAGAGCAGAGATGGACAAAGACTAGGACGCCTGAAATTAAAATTTTGGAGCATTTTATACTTTTTAAAAATTTAGTAACATTTTCCTAATTCAGAGACAGATACTTGATACTGTTCATGTTTAAATGCCAACTTAATTCATTTCACAAGTTAGTTTTGTTGTTGTTGTTGTTTTGGGACAGAGTCTTCCCCTGTCGCCCAGGCTGGAGTACAATGGCGTGATCGCGGCTCACCACAACCTCTGCCTCCCGGGTTCAACCGATTCTCCTGCCTCAGCCTCCCAAGTAGCTGGGATTACAGGTGCCCGCCACCATGCCCAGCTAACATTTGTGTTTTTAGTAGAGATGAGGTTTCACCATGTCGGCCAGGATGGTCTCGAACTCCTGACCTCGTGATCCGCCCACCTCAGCCTCCCAAAGTGCTGGGATTACAGGCGTGAGCCACCGCACCCGGCCCTCACAAGTTACTTCTTTAACATTAATTCAGATATTAACGCTTCCCCAAATAGCCACAGTAACTACCCAAAGAGCATATGAAATCTTATGAACTTAACCAGATTCCCACAAGCATTTAAAGAGGATGGAAAACTTACTTAACTGCTTATAAAATATAAAAATCACAAATTATATATATGATTTTTATGTGCATAAGAAATGTACAAAATCTGCATAATTTTTAAAAAGTACAAATACAGTCAAAGTCTTATTATATAGATTTAAATATCTTTCTTCATCAGTTTTTCTTCTTAAAGTTTATTTTTATATTTGTCATGGTTACCTTCTATGTTTTAAGGAAATTTACCAGATAAAACATTTGTATTTTGCTAAGTTTTCAATATTTAAACCAAACCTAAAAGCAAAATGGAGAAAGGACGGCAGGGAGGAAGGGAGGAGAAGAGAGGAAAAGGGAAAGCAAGAGCAGAGGGAGATGGTGGGAGAGGAGGAAGGAGAGGAGGAGGGAGAGGAAGAGGAAGAAAGGAAAATAAAAAGAGAGAAAGAATAGCCTCATATTGGCTGAGGATGTTGTTTTTTATGATTCTTAGTCTGCTTATGGTACTTTTGCAATGGAGGATTAATTAAACATGACTTTAGTTTTCTTTAATAAAAACATTGCATTTGTTTTATCATGAAAATTTTAAGTATTTGAATTTCATATAGATTTTAAGTTTTTTATTTGTGGTAGAGTTCCCAGAAAAGACATATTATTTGAGTTTTGTGAGGCCAGAATTACCTAACTTAAGGTTCTGTCATTGTAATATATTCACTTAGCATATTGTTATCATGAAAACTTATGTATATCTTAAGAATATCTCTGTAAAAATAGCCCAGTGGCCTAGGAATTTTATTTCAAGGGATTATGACAGCACTGTTAGCCTTTGTCTTTGGGATTTGTAACTAATATATTATTTTGGAACACACCTGTTGCAGTTCCTGCTTATCTAGAACTCTGATTTCTTAATAATTGTCTTTTTTCTTAACATATAAAAATGTGTATATTTTACACACACACACATATACACACTAATGTACTTGTGTAAGAAACAAAATAAAATATATTTATAAGTAGACATTTATTAAAATAAAGAGTAAATGTCTAAATAAATAAAACATAAAATTAAATGTATGTTATCTCCACTTTTCTATGTTATTTCAGCTTCATTTTGATCATATCATAGTGAAATTCTATGCTTTCAGGCATGTTAAATCATGGCCTTTCATAAACTCAACTTGTTAGAATTAAACACAGTTAAATTTCTATTCTTTACTTAGAAATTCATCAGAGGCTTACCCCTTATAATTGTGCAAATCTTCGCTTTCTAGAAGCAAATGCCTTAAATTTTTCAGAGACATGAATTATCTCTTCCTCTTCTTTTCGTTTTTTTGGTCCTTCTTTGTTCTTGAGCAATTACACTTAAGAGAATATCAAATAGCTGTAGTTTTAGATATCAGTCTCATTTGTTGTTTATTATAATTCTCTTTTGCCATTTAATGTTTGATGTTTTAATTTCTCTATCGTGTTCTTTGAACAGAAAATTTAAATAGCTTTTTTTACTTGTTGGCTGGTTTCTTTGTTTGCGTATTGACTTGTGGGTTGGATAGCAAAAATGTTCTCTTAAACTTACTTCTATCAAATTTATAATTTTACCTTTCATAACTCCACTATTAAACTTCTAATTCTTCTGTCATTTTCTAATGACATTTGTGCCTATCAAACTATCTTTTTTTCATCACCATTCCTGATATTTTTCTTGGTGACTTTATCATTTATGAGCATTAAGTATCAGCAAGCTGTGGCCTATGGGTCAAATCTGGCCAATGGTCTGTTTTTGTAAATAAAGTTTTATTGGAACACAGTCACACTTATTTGTTTATTTATTGCCTAAGACTGCTTTCATGCTACTATGGCAGAGTTAAGTATTTATGACAAAGGTTATATAGCCCACGAAGCTTAAAATATTTGTTATCTGGTCCTGTGCAGAACAAAGTTTGCCAAACTATGATCTCAAAGAATTCTTGTAAATCAACAAGAACAGACAGGAATTCTAATTAATAAAGGATTAATAACAATACCGGAAAATGTTTATAGAAATTATAAACCAAGAAAGCTAACAATTTGCAGAAAAGCTCAAAATGTGGTATGCAGAAAATATCACTTAAAAAAGCAGTAAGATATCACTTTTTACCCATTAGATCAGCATAAATCAGAAAGCGTGATAACGTCAAGTGTTCCAAGGATGTTGGGACATGAGATCCCTTATATTCTGCTAATGTGCATGTAAACTGGCACAACAGCTCCAGGGAGAAGAGTCTTTGGTACATAATAAATTTGGCTGCATGTATCCTATTGCTTACCAATGTTGTTACTGAATACAACTAAAAAAATGTCTTGCTTAGAACACACAACAACAACAAGAAGCACATTTATCACAGCACTGATGTGAGGTAAGGTTGTTGAAAGGCATCTATCACTGTTAGATTAAATAGGAAAAATGTAGAGGATATTTTTCTATCGTCAAATTCTATCCTCCAAGTTCTATCCTCCAGGTGGGAATGATAAATCAGGTCTAGACATGTAGGTGAATTTTATAACTATAATGCTAAGTAAAAAACAAAACCAAATGATATATATAACTTAATATTTATATATATTAAAATGAACATATACAGCAATATACATTCTACAAGGTAATACACATTAAACATGTTGCAATTACATGAGTTTGGGGGTAGGAAAAACACAATGATGGTTGGAAGAAAGGAGAAAATTAACGAATCAAACAATTCTGTACAATTCAACTTGATTTTTTTCCCTAAACTTTATTGGTACCAAATTTACGTACTCAAAATCCTTGATCAACATTAATTATTTTCACCTAAGAAGAAAAGACTAAATTATATTGTTATTTCTCTTATGGGTTTTACAATGAATGAATAAGGTTTCTTATTCTTATATTAGGTTTGTTAGTTACAATGTCTTGAAATTTTCTGATTTCACATAAGAGAAATCCACTGCCATATTAATAGGGGAGGACAATATTTTAATAGCTTCTAAATGATAACATTAATGTGATTATAATGTCTCAATCAGCACTGTATCTTATTGAAGTTAAAAGTATTTTCCTTAAACAGGCAGACATATAAATTATTATAATAGGGAAAATATTCTATTAAAATTGCTGTTAGTGCCTTTGCTTTCTTTATTATTAGAATTTGCTGTGAATTTAATGTATGTTTCAAGCCTTAAATAAGCCATGGATGTGTAAACAGTGAAGAATTGAAACCATGATCTCTTTGGGCCTTATCTTGATTTTCATTTTCTATACTTAGAAGCACTTCAATTTTTCTGAAGACATCCTAAAATGTAAGAGATGTGAACTAAATATGTTTTGTACTCTGGAAAGGTAAGATTTTCCACAACTAGGATTCAGTTCAGAGCTTCTGAAAGGCACTTTGAACTAAATGAAGCTCAGTCAATGTGCTACACATGATTAAGAGGATAAGCAGAGTCATTAACTAAACTGACTAATGGGCTACAGAGCGCTAAAACTCCCAAATGCCGTCATGATGAAAGGAAGACATTTACTTATTAATTTTCTTTCATAGATCTTATTTTGATAGCAAGAGATTGGATTCATTGCTTTACAGCTTCCCAGACTTAGTGTCATTGGTCTGAAATGATATTGCCCTCCTTATCACATTAAAAAACCTATCATGTACCTGTTCCAGGTATAATTTCAGACAACCTGTCTTATCTGTTCTTTTTCAGCAGATACAATTTCATGAAGATTTCATATTAGTCAACACTGGATAGCAGACTCTATTTTTTAGTACAGAATTCATTAAACCATGTAAGGTCCTGTTGGGCTGAAACTCAGAGCAACAAATATAGGTGATCATGCAAACATAAGGGCCTTATTTAAAAAATGAAAAAGGGGTCTACATAACTTATTCCATTTTAAAATATAACATCTAGTTGTGTGGAGTTACATATTTTGCAGCTCACATTTTTTACAGCATCTTTCTTTATACCACAATTACAACATAATAAATTGTTTCAAAATACTATAATTTTGTTTCACAACAATAAAATAAACTCCTCCAAAATAGTGTATACATGTCATATGTGTATATTATATATATACATATATATACACATCTATATTTATCTATGTATACATATATCATTAACAAGAAACTTCAATGTAGTTGTAGAGGTGCACAACATATTAGGTCACTGATGAGTTACAGAGGTAGAAGAGTGCTTTTTTTAATAGAGGATGCTGTAGGCTAGAAGGTTTTTTGACACTACCAAGAAGACAAGCGCTACTGGATGCTGGATGAGGTGGATGGAGTACAAAATAAATAGATGTGAGGTAAGCATTAACAAGTCCCTAGAGATTTTATAAATAGAGAGATGCTGACCTGGTTCATAAAGTGAATAAAACCTATTGGAAATAAGTATGTGAGGATGACGATAATGAGTTGTGGAGAGAGTCTCTGTTACTTAATGCAAGTGAGAGTTAGAAAGGGCACTGGTACTGTTGTTAAAGAGGCGAAAAAAACTCTACAGGTAGAAGTAATGTAACTATAAAGATAGAACTAAATTAGAAGCCAGAAGGCCTAAGTTTTAGTTCAATCTCCACACTTTCTTAACTGTGACCTTTGTCTACTAGCTGAACTTCACTGGGTCTCAGTTTCTGCATGAGAAAAATATCACTTACAAGATTGTTGTTAGGATTATATGACATATGAATGACAAAGAGATTGATAACTTGAAGTACTTAGTGATTATGGGGATAAATTTGTTCAGAATAGAGTACTAGAGAACAAGAAACCTGTAACTATGCATTAATGTACATAAACTCATATAAATAATTAGGCATATATGTAATAATTTGGTGATGTCAAGAAATGAGCACATTGATAGTCATATAATTGGTGTGACCCATTGTTACCTATGCATCAGAATTTTCACTAAAAAACCAATACTTTTTCTCCCCTGATACTTATGATAATGCTACACTTATCCACAATGCAGAGAAATCTAAAATAGCTAAGAAGCCTCAAAGTGTGTAAGAACATATGAGAATTTCATTAGTTTTGGAAGAAAAATATGCCCATTGTTACAATCAATGGGGAAACTGAAAATTTTATTTAAAAAATTATATTTAATAATATTTAGCAAAGACAAAGTATCATCTTCATTTATGCCAGAATCACTAGATAGATAAATATGATTTATTCACAAAATATTTAGGTTTTTGATACCATCACTCTTACAGGTAATAAATGCCAACTAAATGTCAAAATAATGTACTTATATTTTAAGTCTCTATGGTCTTATTGCTTTATCTATTATACAAAAGTAGTATTTATTTTTGATGCTACTCTTTGAGTCTAATGAAAATAGTCTCTTTACTGATACAGTGAGACATTTCAGGCCCAACAATGTACTGAAAACATTTTCTGGTGTTTGATTACATGACCATGCCCTAGAGATTCCATTGTTTTCTAATCAACTATTTACATGCAATACTAGCATATATAATACATTCTAATTACATTTGACAATGATTTCCATTTTAACAAATCACTCATTTTTAGTTATATTTGATGATGAGCTACTTAAAATCTATTAAGTTTGCAAGAAATCATAGTTCTTAAATAGGTATGCCCATTTAGATTACATTTATTTTGATTTTTAAATATTGTTTTAGTTTATTAAGGAATAACAAAAAGTAGAGACAATAAACTGTTCAAGAAATAGGAAAATTAATTTCTAAAGAAAGGAATTTTATAGATTTAACGTAGCATTTTTCTAATTTAATTTTTAGCAAATAAGCAGATAAATGAGTCTATCTTTACAAATTATTTTTTTACATTTTCTTGAAAAATTGAAAGTAATTCTATTTTAAAGATTTGAAGTTGAAAACATGGAGTTAAGAATTAGAATCATGTCACAAGGCAAGTATTCAGATGAGAAACTATTACTTCCCAACTCTTAAAACTTTAAGCTACATGTTCTGCTTGTTTCCAATTGTAAAAAGAAAGATACATACATTAAAATCTGAGAAAGACAGAACACTGCTGAAAGAAATATATTCAGAAAAGTAATCACAGTTTGTCTGCTGTCATTTTTACGTTTCTCTTAATGAATTAATTTATATTTTATATGTTTTTAAACATCCTATAAAATAATACTTTAAAACATTTCTGGTCATTCTGAATATAAAAAAAGTTTCAACTTCGAAATGTATAACTGAAAGTCAGAAACAAATTGTTATTTATTTTACAGTTTTAATTTTTGTCTATTAGCTTCAAGACTTAAACCATAAAAGAGCAGATATCTTAACTATGATTTATCTTTGTAAATTAGCTAAATGTCAGCTACTACCAGAGCAAGAGATATTTTTTAAAAGCTTTAATATATGATCCTTAATTTATTGTATCAATGTGAATGATATGAAGTAATACGTTATGCTTTTTTGAAACCATTCCCATATATCATGTCACTGCAGAACAATTCGGCTTATTTATTATTTTTTAAACAGTCATCGAATATAGTGTACTGACATGTTTTATTTCCCAAGCAACTTGGACATGGTGTGTGGTTTTTACATCAGTCCACAGTTACCAGAAGTTATTTTCCATAGGAAATAATAACAAAAGTAATTGACAAATTGTGTTTGCTTCTGGCAACAACATTATATTATTTTCTATAATGAGGCAGCTAGAATACTACCACTGATCAAAGTCCACAAAAAAAGTAGTAAAGTATATTTGTTATAACTCAAGCCTGATAATTGTCAGAGCACAAGAAAAACTTATATTCACTTGTAATAAGCCCCAGAATGGCGGAGCTCTGTTTAAGTCTGATGTATTCAGTAGAAAGGTCCGTGAGGCAGCAAAAGCCAATTATTTTTCCATAGTTGAACCCATATTGATTTTTACACCTGAACTTGTTTAGTGGCTGGTCCATGAATATCTGCAGAATGTATTTTCATTTGGGACCTCCTGGTAGGTAGATAGAGAAACTGATAGAGCAGATAGAGCAATAAAACTGTCAACTTACAATGTCTAGGAATATTTTTTTAAATGGAGCAGTGGAAGTGGCTCCCTTCCCAAATGCACCCATTAGAAATCAGAAAGAGAAAGATCATATAATCAAGACACGGAATTTTCAGACCATAGAAACCTCTTATTTATCATTTTAGGGTAAGTTCTTTTTTTCCCCCATTTAGGTTGTCTAAAATACTTATCCTTAGTCATAAAATAGGTGCTTAGCTCTGACACTAAACCTGTAAAAGGCACAAAGTGTTCAGATGAGAGAAAATGACACAGCTGGGGCCATTAAGTTTGCACATTTACATATAAAAGAAAGAAAAAAATGGTAAAATGTAACAATATCTGACCCTATGATTTGGATTGAAATTGGTTATTATTATGAATCACCAATGTACTCTACCCTGATAAACCATAATTTAGAAAGTTAAAACAAAATCAACTACAAAAACAAAGTTCTTAAAGATCATTTATACTACTTAATCTCCCACCCCCGTTTCACAGATGATGCAAATGAGATTGTCAGTTTCCAAAATTATTTCAGCTAATGATAGAACAAAGTCTAGAACCAGTTCATCAAAGCTCTGTGGACACTGCAGTGTGTTTGCCCATCTCTGTGTGTACATCCATGCCAGTGATGCACACGAGTGTGCATGAGTGTTCATGCATATGTGCATATGTGTGTGAGACACAGAAACAAATAAATGTCATGAATAAATGGTTTTACGTGTATAGATCTCATTTTCCAATTGCCCATTTATAAGAAGCACTGACTAAGCACAAACTGTCTGGGACTCTCCAGCTTTCTCATCGCTGGACTATGATTAAGTCATCTAAAGTCCCTGGGCCTCAGTTCTGTCACTAGTAAAAGAGATGTATTGATAGTACCCATCTTAAATTGTTGCTTACAATTTAATTGGAAGAAAATAAGTGCCTTTAAAATATTAGCTATTATTTTAAAATTATTGTCTGATTAAATGGAAACTTGGGGTGTTTAAAATTTTTCAAAAGTTTCACTGAAATCATGACACATTATTTACCCTAAAAAGAAAAGGAATCGACAATAACGAAATTTCTGTCTTTATGTCTTATATCTAAAAAGCAAATAATTAAGAGAAATATTTAATGCTATCCCAAAATTTCATTCAGCTATTCAATTACTCAATGTGGTTGTTAATTAATAAAAATGTCTTTTTTCTTCCTGGTTGTAATTTAGATTTTATGAAAGTATTCTCTTTGGGCAACATAGGTGATAATTTCAAAATGAGTGACTTTATTCTAATTAATATTAAGAGAAAATATCATGATTATTGTCACCTATTTAATGGCTCATTGAATTTAGCATCCATACCAGTTTCCACTTCTACAATTCCATGAGAATGGATATAATAAAGTCTAGTAATAAAAGTTAAAGAATGTGCAGAAATGATGACAGGCTAGCTTTGCACTGTGCAAGCGTTTAAAGAATTTTCTATAAGCTTAAATTTGTACTTTTTGTATTTTGCTCCATGTTTTTATATAACATATTTATACGCATTAAGACATTTGAAGAAAGTTTTAAAGTTGTCACATGTATTTCACACTATGAATAAATAATTATAATCATTTTTAAATAATTATTTACATTAGAATTAGATTTTTAAAATATGTCCCCTCCTCATAAAAGAAATGTAAAAATAAACGGGTTAAGCCAGCTTTAAAACTTTACATTAATATCCTTTAAAAAAGCCTGAAATATGTTTTGTTTGTTTATTAGAACAGGTATTGACAATCTATACCTTATGGGCCAAATGTGGTCCACTGCCTGCTTTTGTAAATACAGTTTTGTTCGAAGAACAATACTCATTTGTTTATAGATTATCTATGAGGCTTCCATGCTATAACATCAGAGGTAACAGAGATAGTCTAGTCTAAAATATTTACTATGAGGCACTTCACAGAAAAAGTTAAGAACATACAGATTTTTTACCTACTTTAAACTATTTCAATCTAGTCAGATTTTTAAAAAAATCTAATTTAAACTATTTTTATCCAGTTCAATTTAACATAATCTTTCTCTGGATTCTTGCATAGTTACGTATTACTTAAGAACAGGGATACATTCTGAGAAATGTGTCATTAGGCAATTTCTTCTCGTGTAAATATCATACTGTGTATTTACACAAACATAGATGGTATAGCTTACTTCACACCTCGGCTATATGGTATAACCTATTGCTCCTAGGCTAAAAACCTGTACAGCTTGTTACTGTACTTAATGTTGTCAGCAATTGTAACACAATGGCAAATATTTGTGTATATAAACATACCTAAATGTAGAAAAGGCACAATAAGAATATGGTATAAAAGATGAAAAATGGGACACCTGTATGGGTCACTTACCACGAATGGAGTTTGCCATGCTGGAAATTGCTCTGGTTGAGTGAGTGAGTGGTGAGTAAATGTCAAGGCCTAGGATATTATGGTACACTACTGCAGATACTGTATATGTAGACTGCACTAAGTTTATTAAAAATATTTTATTAAGAAATTAATCACAACTTACTGTAACTTTTTGCTTTATAAGCTTTTTTCTATTTTTAAATAACACTTAGCTTAAAACAGAAACACATTGTACAGTTATACACAACATATTTTCTATCTTCATTATCTTTATTCTATAAGGTTTTTCTTTTTTTTTTTTTTTTTTTTTTGAGATGGAGTCTTGCTCTGTCGCCCAGGCTGGAGTTCAGGGGCGCGATCTCGGCTCACTGCAAGCTCCGCCTCCTAGGTTCACCCTCCACCACGCCCAGCTGATTTTGTTTTTGTATTTTTAGTAGAGACGGGTTTTCACCGTGTTAGCCAGGATGGTCTGGATCTCCTGACCTCATGATCTGCCCGCCTGGGCCTCCCAAAGTGCTGGGATTACAGGCGTGAGCCACCGCTCCCGGCCTCTATTTTTTTTTTTTTTTTTTAATTAACTTTTAAAACTTTTTTTGTTAAAAAGTAAGAGATAGCACTTTGGGAGGCCGAGGCAGGCGGATCACTAGGTCAGGAGATCCAGACCATCCTGGCTAACACGGTGAAACCCCGTCTCTACTAAAAATACAAAAAAATTAGCAGGCCGTGGTGGCGGGCGCCTGTAGTCCCGATCTACTCTGGAGGCTGAGGCAGGAGAATGGTGTGAATCCAGGAGGCGGAGCTTGCAGTGAGCTGATCGCACCACTGCACTCCAGCCTGGGCGAAAGAGCGAGACTGTCTCAAAAAAAAAAAGTAAGACATAAACATACACATTAGCTTAGGCCTACAGAAGGTCAGGATCATCAAGACATCACGATGCAATAGGAATTTTTTACCTCCATTAAAATCTTTGGGGCAACCATAGTAAATGTGAATTATCATTGACTGAAACTTTATTATGTGGCAAATGACTGTAAAAGCATCATAACTAGTCTATCCAAATACACATTTTTCTCTAATCCAGTATCAAAAAAAAAAGAATGCTGAGAGCACTGAAACCACATCACTCTTAGAACTTTTATGCTGTAAGTTACTTTGAATATAGAAGTGTTTAGTATACTCTATATGTATAAATTGAGAAACATTCTTTCTATACCTACTTTTTTGAGCATTTTTATTGTGAAAGAATGATGAATATTGTCAGATGTTTTTTCAGCATCTATTGAGATGATCATGTGGTTTTTATTCTTCACTCTTTTATTCCGGTATGTCATATTCACCGATTTGCATATCTTGGACCACGCTTGAATCCCGAGGATAAATCCCACATGATCATGGTATATGATATTTGAATACGCTGTTGAATTCAGTTTGCTGGTACTTTGTTGGGAATTATTTGCACCTATATTCATTAAGGATATTGTACAATTTTTTTTAGTGTCCTGTTTTTGATATTAAGTTAATGTTGGCCTCATAAAATGAGTTCAGAAGTTTACCCACCTCTCAGTTTTTTGGAAGACTTTGAGAAAGACTGACGCCAATTCTTCTTTAAATGTTAGTAGAAGTCATAAGGTTCTGAGGGGTCTTTTTTCTTTCTGAGATTTTTTTATTACTGATTTAATCTCTGCACATGCTATTGATCTGTTGAGATTTTCTATTTCTTCATAATTCAGTCTGAGTATATTTTATATTTCTAAGATTTTATCCATTTCTTCTAGGTTATCCAAATGGATAAAATCTTAGAAATGTAAAAAATACTCAGACTGAATTATGGCATAAATTGTTAATACCCATCTCTTATGATCTTTTGTATTTATGTGGTATTAGCTGTAATATACCCTTTCTCATTTTTTATTTTATGACTTTGAGTCTTCTTTCTTTTAATTTAGCTAAAGATTTGTCAATTTTGTTTATCGTTTGAAAAACAAATGCTTAGTTTTATTTACTTTTTCTATTATTTTTCTAGTCTCCATTTCATTTATCTCTGCTCTGATAATTTCCTTCCTTCAGCTAACTTTGGGCTTATTTTGGTCTTCTTTTTCTAGTTCCTTGAGCCAGCATTAGGTTGTTTATACGAGCTGTTTTTCTTTTCTCAATATAGACATTTTTTTGCTTTAAGCTTTCCTCTTAGAACTGCTTTTGCTGCATCCCATAAGTTTTCGTATTTTGTGCTTCCATTTCGTTTTTTTCTTTTAAAGGTGAGGTCTCACTATGTTTTGTGTTTCCATTTTTATTTGTCTCAAGATATTTTTTAATTTCTGCAAGAACCGTTCTCCAGGTGACCTTGGTCCAGCCCAGTTCTTCTCCCATTCTTACTTGTAATTCCCAAGAATAATTGTAGAATACGCAGAGAATGCAATATCCTCCATTAGGGAAGAACTGTCTGTAAAAGCTCAGGTCTTGTTTCTGTTCCTCCTAGGGAATGTAGCCTCTTGAATTAAGGAGCAATAATCAAAAAAATCCTGGGGTTTGTTTCTTTCTCCCCTAAAAACAGGATTTCCTTCAATACTTTTCCCAGTGTGTCTCATGACCTCTGACGTATATAACCCCATGTGGGCTGCATTTTTTGGTCCCACAGCTGTGAGGCAAAGTGGGGGTAATATTCAGCCTTAAAAAGGAACATTCGTCATTTGAGACAACATGGATGAACCTGGAGGTCATTATGCTAAGTGAAATAACCCAGGCACAGAAAGACAAATATTGCATGACCTCACTTCTATGTGGAACTTAAAAGAGTAAAACTCAGGAGTGCAGAGTAGAATGGTGGTTACTAGGGCTGTGATATGGGAAGATAAATTGTTTAGAAGGTACGATGTTTCAGTTAGATAGGATGAATAAATTATTGAATGTACAGCATGGTGACTACAGTTATTAACACTGGATACTATACTTGAAAATTGCCAAGAAATTCAATTTTAAATGTGCTAACAGCACACACAGAAAATAAGTATATGTGGAGATAGATATGTTAATTAGCTTCATTTAATCATTTTACAATGTATACATATATCAAAACATCATGTTGTACACTTTGAATATATATATTTTTGTCAATTATATTTTAATAAACTTGAGGAAACAGTAGTTTGGCAACTTCTCTAAGAGAAAATTAAGTACAACAGAAAAAGCTAAAAACGGTATAAATTAAATATTATTTAATTGAGTAAAACTGAAACACAATACAGTAGGTTGCATTTATGTTTTCATAAAGAGCTAAAGGAAGGCAAATAAGACTATGAATATAATAATTCATATTTTTAGACAGTTAGGTATCCAAAAATAAGAATGAAGAATTATGTTGAGCGATGTGCCTAATTATTAAGCCAAAACCTTGATTTATTTTTTAAGAAAGAAAAATGATTATATCCAAAACTTTGCTTAATACATAATCATCTGCAATGGAAAAAAGGTATTAAACAATTCGAGTGCCCCTACTCATGTTCCTTGAGGCATATTATTTAGATAGACTTTTAAGCTCGATTGTATCAGAAACTCTCAGAATCTGATGGCAAATTGAAATTTGAAACCAAAATTTTTAGCATATAGAATTACCAGTTAAGGAAGATAGGAAGTATAACTTTATGTCTTGATCTTTAAAAATGGCTGTTGGCAATGAGAGTGTATGATAGTTTGAGAAAACTACTGATAGAGACAGGAGACAGCCAAGTGCCACCCAGGTCATTGTGTATAGGGGTCTTGCTTAAACATGCCCATGATGAAAAATTCCGTCCCTTAACTCATGTTCAGTAAAGGGAAATAATCAACACGGAGTGGCTCACACTAAGGGCCCGCATGTGCACTGGAAGAATGGAGTGGAGCCATGGGGAATTTGTGCCTTATGCAGTGGGGGAGACGGGCCTCTTCAGCTCGTATGTGCTAGCCTGGTATCCAATCTGTGAGATGGGAGCCTGTTGGCAGAACCTCCTTCTATTTGCTGAGAGCTTTCTTTTAATAAATTCCACTCTCCTCACCTTTCAATGTATCTGCGTGCCTAATTTTTCCAGGTCATGAGACGAGAACCTGGATTGTAGCTGAGCTAAGGAGCAAAAACTCCTGCATCAGTACCAACGTGCCTCCACAGCTACCTCTACCCACACCCAGCACATCCCTACTGAGATGAAATGTGTGGCAAAAAGTTTATTGAACAAAATCCTATAAAACTTTGCCAATACCTCATAATTTTGAATCTGAGTGGGTATTTTAGACACCTCAGGGTAAAGACACAAATAAACCTTCAAAGTAAAAGTCATTCCATACTACCTCTATAATGTAGGAGAAGATCTTAAAAACAAATGAAAACAAAACAAAATGAAAGGACAACATAACTCATTGTTTTGAAATTTTCTATGCTTGATGGGATCTGAAATGAAGAATTATTATAATCACTCAGGACTAAATATCTTCAGGAATAAACAGAATTTTTCACTGTAGAATAAAAAAGAAAAAAAATCATCTGAAGAATGCCTAACTATACAGAGAAAAAAAATCAGAAACTAAGCTTAAATGAAACAATCAAATCTTCACAACTAGAGGATAGGACATATTTGGTATATAAATAATACGACTTCATTTGTTTAATTCTGGTAGAAATATATGGAAACAAAAGAAGTTTATGTTCAATGATACCCCTCAGATAAATGTGTGTTTTCTCTGTCACAGGGATGGAAGCAGAGTAAGGTGGTAGACATAGGTTTGGTACAACCCAGAGGGATTATAATTATAAGGGGGTCTTAATCAAAGTATCTTCTCTGAGTCACAGTTTTCTCCTTCATCTTGCTTTTCTCTCATCCTATCTTCTACCTCAGCACAACATACACAAATACGTTATGGAGACATACTTGGAGTTTTATAAATACATCAGATGTGAAATTAGGAGAACAAACAGCCTTTCCCTTTATTGTTAGTTTCTCATAGCATTGCAGACGAAATTTTTGTTTAAATTACTGCTTATGTGGAAAGTGAGAAGAGAGTTATTTTTAAAGTGATTTTTTTAAACTTTAAGATGTTATAAAAAATATTTTTATAGTTTTAAGTTATTTTAGTTATAACTATATTTTTAGATCTGTTTTTCTCCTAAAACATTCTGTTTTATCATTTTCAAGAAAATGTAATAAATCAATCTAGTCAAAGGTAAAATGCCCTATTTCATAAAGATTAAATGCCAATTACTGTAACGTGGATTAATGAGGAAATGTTAAAATGATGTGTCCGCTATTAACTTGATCCATGGTGATTTAACAAAAAAACACAGGAATGAAGTTTTATGGTTCTAAACCCTAAGGCAATCAATTGAGATCATACCATAAAGACATAATTTGCCAGTCCCTCGTCTTTTATCTGCTGAGTCCATTCTAAGTTCTGTTACTTGCTGAGGTTTTGGAAAGGTGGTGATTTCAGTGGTTAGCATTTGCAGAATCTTCTGATAATGTAATTTTAAGTGCCAAGTGTTATTTTAAAGGACAAACAAAGAAAAATTGATTGGGAGAATTTAGGGGCAAAAGAAAAGAGCTTTAGTATTTTTATTATTAGCATAGAGTGTGGCCAGAAGCTTATACTTTGATGGACAGAAAGTATTTTTACAGAAGATTACTTTATCTGTACTCTTCCAGTATTTCCCAGTTTTTCAGGCTTTCTTGCCGAAAGCTACAGAACAAGATCTAATCTCACTCATGATCTGTTTTATGCACAGTAGTAGCCATTCATGTTGAATATTGCAAACAAATACTATTTTAAAATTTAATCTTAGCCCAGGATTTTATCTTTAGCTATTTTTGACAAAAAGATTGTTAATGTTAACCTATTAAAAAAGTGAAATAGGTAGACATAGAAATAATCGCCACCTTAAAACATGTCTAGAAAAAACAATATAAACTGAGTCAGATTAAAATTTAACATTTTCTTTTATGGATAAAATATTAATTCCTCATTCTACAGCTTCAAGTGCACATTGTTATTTTTGAATGTTTGGGTCTCACATTGCTAGAATTCTTTTTTAAAAAATAAAGGGTAGATGGATAAGACCAAAAAAAAAAGATTCCTTTATAAAAGCACAATTTTATGCCTATATTTGTTTACATCACGCTAAGAATGTTCTGACCTTATGAATTTCTGCTAAGAGAACTTTTGAACACATGGAATACACTGGTTACATAATGACTTAGACTATGTTAACATTGAAGTCTTCAGTTAAGTTTTGCATAGCATAAAAAAACCAAATTATTAATTTGGTTAGTTTAGTGCTATTAACAAAGTTTTTTTTTTTCTAAACTTCATCTGAGTTTACATCACTAGACTAATGGCTTACTAAATATTCTATTTCTAATATATGAGTCATATAATGTTTTTAAAATGTGAGAACCAGGCCATTTGAGGTGGTTCACGCCTGTAATCCCAGCACTTCGGGAGGCCGAGGAGGGTGGATCACAAGGTCAGGAGTTTGAGACCAGCCTGGCCAATATGGTGAAACCCCATCTCTACTAAAAATAGAAAAATTAGCTGGGCATGGTGGAAGACGCCTGTAGTCCCAGCTACTCGGAGGCTGAGGCAGGAGAATCACTTGAACTCAGGAGGCGAAGGCTGGAGTGTGCTGAGATCGCGCCACTGCACTCCAGCCTGGGTGACAGAGCAAGGCTCTGTCTCAAAAAAAAAAAAAAAAAAAAGTGAGAACCAGAAGAAAGGTGGGATGAGCTATTTGTTTAAAAAGGAAGTTTAATGTATTTTCATTGAAATTATTGTGTTTCAAATGCTTTTTAGGGAATTACATTTCTCTCTCTAGGACGAGGAAGCTAAACTGCAGAGCATATCTTAGAGTGTTTGCTCCAAGTTTGTGGTATCATTATACTTTCTACAAGAGGGTATCCATGAGACCTTCAACAACATAAATGTCACATCTCAAATGTTTTTCTAGGAGTTTTTTGTGATGAATATCCTCCAAATTGCAATATCTGACCTCCCCGCATTCCTAGAAGAAGGAAACACAGTTTTTAAAAAGATCCCTTGGTTTGTGAGGCTCCAGTAGTGATATCTATCCAGATTTTTTTTTTTAGAAAATATACTGAGTGATATGCAATTTTAATTATATTTGTTATAAGGAATAAGATAGGTGTTCTCAATCAGTACTTGCCAGACCACCATGGGTTATGTGTTTTATTGGAAATGACCTGGGTTTAAGGAGAAAATGTGATATTCAGTGAAGTTAATAGGACTGCTCTTACTAGATTTCTGCATATTGCAAGGGGGATTTTTGGATGATATTATTTTATTTCAATTAAACTCACCTTTCACAACTAAACAAAATATTTTTAAAGAATTTCTAAAAATGAATCACTATCTGAATACAACAAGAATATGACAAAAGTGATCACGAGAATGACAGAGCCAAAATTTCTATTCCAAGTAGATATCTTAGCCTCAGTAAAAGTAGAATAGTAACAAATTTACCTAATATTTTGTTAAAAGTTGCAAAAGACCATGAAATTATGTAAAACACAGAATTGAATCAATAGTCACCAGTAATAAACTTTGCCTAACACTTACTGTGTGTTCAGACAATGAGTAATCATGTTAAAGGAAGTGTGTAGTTAATAAAAATTTTTAAACATTCAAAATAGGAAGGAAACTGAAACACTTTTTTCTGCAATAATTTAAAGCCATGTAAAACTCAATCCAAAACTTAAAATATATATATAATGTAATGGTTAGAATGTTCTTTCTATGTTTTATACTTAATGACCACAGGACAGTTTACTAAGTTTTATACTAAATACATTCATATGTTGGAAAGCACTTTTGGGATTACTTACTTACAATTAAAAGAAAGATAACTTATATTCTGACTTATTTTAAAACAAATGGCTCAAATCATACTTAGAAACTAGTATGCCATGGGAAATAATTTATTTTTCAGCAAATAAATTTTCTGAAGATACATAAAAATATCTCTAATGTTTAGAAGAATCAAGTTTTTTTAAAATGTCACACATGATGAGAGATTCTTCACAGTGTTGGATAGAAGTACTCTTTCCAGCCAGTCAGAGCGTAGTATTTAAAAATTTGTGTATCAATAACAAAGTACATGAAAAAAATATGATTGAGGTGAGTCATTAAATAAAAGATACATTGGGAAAGATATATTTTTAACAGTAAACAACTTATTAAAAAATTCAGTATTTGTTGCAAAGCCAAGTATGTATAATTGCAAAGTGGAAAAATGCTTCTGTGATTATAATTTTAAAAAATCATGGTAAGGTTATATAGCCCACACTGTAGACAACACTTAGTTACTATATTATTAACAAGGAAACTATTACAATTGAGAAGCTTGAATTCCTAACTATATCATGTCTACAGTACATCTTATTACCGAGTTTTAGTTAAGAGAGGGGGAAAGAAGAGAGAAAGAGAAAGATGGAGAGAGAGAGAAACCTAAAATACAGGAGACTTTGTACCTGAAAGAAGTTTCTTAGATATCACGTGAAAATTGTTAAATATACAGATATGTTATTTAGTTTTTCTTTAGGAATGTGCAATTATCTTTAAGTTGAATATCTTTTATAATGATGATAGAGCCTATCATTTGTATATTACTTAGTAGATATTTTCAATCTATTTTTTCACTGAAGATAAAGGTTATTTATTAAAATTATTTAACTTTTAATTTTGAAATAATTATAGATTTATAAAATTTTACAAAGATAAATAGTACAGATCGTTTTCCAATACCTTTTTCTCTATATTAATGCAAGCATCTTACATAACTGTAGTACATTTGGAAAAAAACTAAGAAATTACCATTAGAAAAACACTATTAAACAAACTACAGATTTTTTTCTGATTTCGCAGATTTTCACTGCCTTTTCTTCAAATACCCAATCTAGGAAACCAACTTGCATTTGACCATCAAGTATCTTTAAATTCCTCCAATCTGTGGCAGTTTCTCACTTTCTACTTGTTTTTCATCATCTTGAAAGTTTAAACAAGTACTGGTCAAGTATTTAATAGAACATCCCTTGATTTGTATTTGGCAGGTCTTTTTATCATGACTAAACCAATAATATAGATTTTTGAAATAATACCACATAGGAAAACTGCCCTGCTCATTGCATCACCTCACGGTCTACATGATAGTGACATGTTTAGCCATTTAAATCATTTTATATTTTCTCTTTTGATGATGATTTTATTTATTTATTTATTTATTTATTTATTTATTTACTTCGAGACAAGTTCTCACTCTGTTGCCCAGGCTGGAGTGCAGTTGCAATAATCAGGGCTCACTGCAGCCTCAACCTCCAGGGCTCAAGCCTCCTGGGTAGCTGGAACTACAAGTCCATGCCAACATGGCTGGCTAATTTGTTGTGGTTTTAGCAGACACAGGTTTCACCATGTTACCCAGCCTGGTTTGCAACTCCTGGACTCAAGCAATCCACTTTTCTTGGCCTTCTAAAGTGTTGAGATTACAGGCGTGAGCCACTGGGCCTAGCCAGTCACGATATTATTAAAGTAGTGTGAGTAGACAATTCACTTTGTAATACATTTATAAATGAATTGTTCTAGTTTATAATTTTTAGTATTGAATGTAGAATTCAGATAATTTTTTAAAAAATAAGTCCAATTTCTGACTCCCAATAAAGCTATTGAATGATGATTTTAAATTTGTAGTACACTCTCTATGCTACATTGACAGGAGTACAGATGTGTAAGCAATCCTAAAATAAAACACATAGCGTATATTACTTGTAAAGGTTAAATTTTCCCCATATCTCTACTCTCTTTCCATTTTTGATAACTGAAATTATTGACAGTACTAATATTCTCAAATTTGCACATAGATTTAAATCTGGTGATAATCCTAAATTTTTACTATACGTACTTAGTCACTGGGCCCTGAAAATCTTTATCTCAGCCACAAAAACTGAAAATTAAATTAACAAATTTGCTTTTTTCATTCTGTTTCACCCATAGTCATTATATAAATAAAGAGTGAAATGAGCAGCAAATTCATCAAACTTTAACAGTAACAGAAGAGAACAGAAACAAATACTGCCCTGGTTATTAACATTTTACCACTTGAAAAGGCAGTATAGCAAAAGCAAACAGTTTTTTTCTTTTCAATTTTTCTAGAATACAATAGTAAACTGCTATTTTTGTTGTTTGGGGGTTTTATGTATTTTATTTTTGTTTCTTTTTAGGATGATTGCTTTTTTCTCCCACACATTTTTATAAGTGTCTTGACTTACTGATGCAATTCTTGACCACAAGCTCACTGCTTTTATTATTAAAGCAAATGGATTCATTGCCTGATGCGCTTGAAGCCGGTACTATGACACCATGTTTCTGAGAAAGGGAAAGCTTTATATTGAAAGTCAATTCACAAAGAGACAAAGGTCAAGCTCAAATCTGTCTTCCTGTGCTGGCTTCAAAGCGGTGTTTTAATTACAAAAGTTTCAGGTAGTAGAATCTGAGATTAGCAGGTTAAGTGGTGGAAGGAAAGGGGAGGTCTGGAAAGTCCTTGGGCATGCACAATTATCTCTTCATGCTACCTGATCAGTCACACGTACAATTTTGAGAGTAGTAAGTATAAAACATATGGTGGAAATTCAGGCTGTGCCATCAGCAAGCTCATTCTTCACAAACTCCAATTGCCCATCTTAGTTTCAGTAGATTTCAGCCAGTTTTTTCTTGATCTCACACACAAGGAAGAGGGAGTTTCAGTAATTTGCTTATTTTCCTTTTTTTTTTTTTTTTTTTTTTTTTTATGAGACGGAGTCTCACTCTGTTGCCCAGGCTGGAGTGCTGTGGCGCCATCTCGGCTCACTGCAAGCTCCGCCTGCCGGGTTCACGCCATTTTCCTGTCTCAGCCTCTCGCTGGGACTACAGGCGCCGGCCACCACTCCCGGCTAATTTCGTTTTTGTATTTTTAGTAGAGACGGAGTTTCACCGTGTTAGCCAGGATGGTCTTGATCTCCTGACTTCGTGATCCGTCCACCTCGGCCTCCCAAAATGCAGTTGTTTATTTTCTTATCTGGTATCCTGCAACCTCAAAAGTTTTTCTTAGTTACTGGTTTCCTACACTTTGAAGCAGTTTCAGTTTCAGCTTTTCAGCAAGTTGTTTCATTTTTATCTGCTACCTTGTAAGCCCAATAATTTAGTCATTGGATTATTTAACTCTTTGAGGCAAGGTTTCACTTCTTTATATTTGTCTGTTAGATTATAAAGAGCTCTTAACATTGAAGTTTTAAAGTCTTAGATCTTAGATATGCAGGTTATTTCCTATGTGAAATATGGTAAATCATTGAGCATTTCAAAGTCATTGTTCTCACTTGTAAGTGTAAACCAAAATAAAATTCTAAGTCCCCCAGCTGACTAATGGATCCTCCCCTCAGCCAAGCTCAAGTGGGGAGTCAAACATGCCTCACAAACATCAACACGAAGACCTTAGGAGTGATAGGACAGACTCTGTAAGTCTGATATAAAATATTTACAATGTATTTTCTCTGAAGCCTGCTACCTGGAAGAGTCATCTGCATAATAAAGCCTTGATCTCCACAACCCTTTATTGTAACCCAGACATTTCCTTTCTATTGATTCCAGATATTTAGATAATTCATTTAACCAATTGCCAAACAGAAAATGTTTAGCTCTACTTGTGACCTGGAAGTCCCCCGCTCCAACTTGTCCCGCCTTCCCAGAAGGATCCAATGTGCATCTTATTGATTTGTGTCTCATGTCTCCCTAAAATGTATATAACCAGCTGCACCCTGACCACCTGGGGCACATGTGGTCAGCACCTTCTGGGGCTGTGTCAGGGGTGCATCCTTAGCCTTGGCAAAATAAACTTTCTGTTGATTGAGATCGTCATAGGTACTTTTGGTTTACATAAGGAATTGTTATAATATTGCTTTATTCCTTTGATGGGTTTGCCAAAAGAAATAAAAAGTGTAGATAATATTTATTAGTAGTAAAACAATGTGCAAATATGTAGGACTGCCTGGCTTGATGAATGGATAAATAAAAGGATGGAAAAAGGACTGGCTGGATGAATGAACAAGCAAATGGGTGTAAGTAACAGATATAATTCAAAGTCACCTGCAATGGCTGTCACCTTGGGACACCTAGGCTTACTTCGTCACCCTGACAGACTGATACGATCTGATGTCATAGTGGAGGTATAGAATTTTCATCCTTTCTACATTTTCTACCTGCTGTTTGGTCAATAGTCCCAAATACGAAACTGAAACTCATCTGTGTCTCACGTAGCCTGTCATTTCAATTTGATTAAAAATCAAAAAGAGGCCTGGCACAGTGGCTCAAGCCTGTAATCCCAGCACTTTGGGAGGCTGAGGCAGGTGGATCACGAGGTCAGGAGTTCGACACCAGCCTGGCCAAGATGGTGAAACTGCGTCTCTACTAAAAATGCAAAAATTAGCCAGGCGTGGTGGCGGGCACCTGTAATCCCAGCTACTCAGCGGGCTGAGGCAGGGAACTGCTTGAACCTGGGAGGCGGAGGTTGCAGTGAGCCGAGATTGTACCACTGCACTCCAGCCTGGGCAACAGAGCGAGACTCTGTCTCAAAAAAAAAAAAAAGAAAAAGAAAAAGCCAAAAAGATCTCAGCATCTGTTTCTTCCATTGTCATTAAACTGTATTTTTAATTAAGGTTATAATTCCTCTCTCACCATTTTATAAAGTTTACTTTAAGATCTGTGTGACTTTGATTTATAACTCTAAGATATCACTGATCCACTTTAAGTGTTCTTAATCCCTTTTTCTTTTTCTGTACATATTACTTACCACTTCGGCCTACTAATCAAGCTGCATTTAAAAAGAATGTTCTAATCACCTTTTCCCTCAAAACTGATCTTCTAATATGTTAGGTGATACAGGCATTCCTCTTTTTAGGAAAATATTTTCAGGTTTTATGAACATTTATTTTTTGAGATTACAAAGTTTCAACTGAAACTAGATTAGATTTTGTATCCATTGGAAAACAGAGTTCTATAACGTAACCTTAAGGAATCTAAACTTTTTCCTAGTTTTGTCTTTGGTTGCTATGTGCCTTCTTCATGAAAATGTACACTTATTTTCATGCCTAATCACATAGACACACAGCTTGCTACTTATTTTCTATTGCATTGAAATGAATGTGTTTATTTTACAAATATTATTTCTTCATTTATTAAGTGCATGAATGTCTTGAAAATGATTTTCTGCCTTTCAAATTGTTTTATTTACCTTTGGAAAAAATTACTCACAAGCAGTGTCTAATATATTCAACACGTGGCTGGGTATCATATAGACGCTACAATTTTCTCTGCACTTACGGAAATGATTTGTCTTACCATTTTTGAAAGCAGCTTCACTTAGAATGCCTGGCTCACCCTAGAGAAAATCTTTCTGAGTAAGCGTAATGGATGTAGGTGTGCTATCTTGATATTTATACACTGTTCTACTTGGCTTATATGAATAGCAAGAATGCAATGTGGTCAAAATCAGAATGAAAGTTGATGTATTTTATTATTTTCACGTTATGAATCAGTCATTTAGACATTTTTTTTCTTGATAAATTTATGAACGCAATTAATTGGCTTACCTGAAAATACCACTTGTAGCGTTCCAATTGTTATTCTTGTTGAGTCAACTCTTTTAAATTCCAAAAAGCAACTAAACATCTTCTCCTGACTGATCTCTGTTTGTGTGTATATACATATCGAAGTTAATAAATGGCTGTGGGGAAACTACATGGTTTATAAACTTGTTTTCTAGTGAGAATAGTATTTAGCTTTTGTGCAAGCTTTTTACAAATTTGTTATTGATTTCTCATTTCATTGGCTATGCCACAAAATAATTTATTGATGCAGCTGTTATCATAGATACTTTTGTAGTAGTTTAGGTTTTGAGTATTTCTTCAAACATCTTGGCATAATTAGTCTGCATAACAATATCTCATTTCTTCAGGGTTCCTGGACCAGATGTTAAGGTATTTCGTTATAAACCAAACCCCTTCTGGTTAGCTGAGTAGCACTGCACAGGTGTTACAAACACTATTGTATGACATAAGGCTTGCCTTCTTAAACAAACACTGTACATTGAATTTATAGAGAATAAATGGTATTTTAATTAAAAAAAGACAAAGGACTTTTTGGAGCAGGAGTATAGATAGAGTAGTAGGCATATACATTGTTGTTGAATGTTTTATCTTTTTCATTCAGCTTCCTAGCTTTTGCAAGATCACATTAACAGGAAAAAAGACTCAGCAACTGAAAATATACTCTGAGCTTCATCCCTTTGTAAGCAGTAGAAACTACTACTATTTATATATATAAAAAAAGTTTCCGTTCATGAATACAGGAAAGACTTGATTTACAAATACATGAATTACAAATCATTGCAATCCTTTCCTCTCCCCAAGCCACCCCAACACTCTGGCCTAGCATTCTCTCTCCATACCAAAACTCCAAGTGTTGCCTCTATGGGAGCAATTAAGAGACTGAGACAAAATGAAACAAAATAAGAGAAACAAAACAAAATGAAAACTTGAAGTTTTAGAACTCTATGAATTTTGATTGAGGAAGTTAAAAATGTTTAGAATTTGGAAAAACTTAGGTATTGAACCCTGAGAGCTCATTCAACTGGCTGGAGAAAATAATTCTACCTCATATTTCACAAATGCTTTTACTTTGTTTCTTACACCACTTTCTAATAAGCACATTAGAAATTGTAAAAGCAAATTTGGTGTTGGACTCGTGTATGCAACTTAAGAATGTTATGCTTGATTTAATCAATGCTCTAATGTTTTCATTCTAGCTGATTAATTTCTACATAGTTTATTAAAATGTCATAAATGCCTACATACATACCAGAATGGTTAAAAATGCAAACAAAAATACTAAATGTTGGGAAGTACACAGAGTAACTCTTCAACCAAACTCCAAGTAGATTAATACACACACAAACATGCACGCATGCATGTGCACACACCTACTTACATTGATATGTTAGAAGGACGCTCCTTTTTGGACCTTTTGTGTTCGTGCACGTTTGTCTTCACAAAAAGGGCGGCCTTGCTTATTGCTTTCTATAAAAGTGGCAGATTTCCTCAGCTGCCGTTCAAAGACTCCATGTGCTTTGTAGTTATTTGTGACTGAGAGGTGACACCGTTCTGGCAGCCCTCGCTCGCTCTCTGCGCCTCCTCAGCGTTGGCGCCCGCTCTGGCCATGCTTGAGGAGCCCTTCAGCCCGCCACTGCACTATGGGGGCGCCTCCCCGGGCTGGCCGAGGCCGGAGCCAGCTCCCTCTGCTTGCGGGAAGGTGTGGAGGCAGAGGCGCGGGCGGGAACCGGGGCTGCGCGCAGCGGAGTTCCGGGTGGGCGTGGGCTCCGCGGCCCCTCACTCAGAGCGGCCAGCTGGCGCCGCCGGCCCCAGGCAGTGAGGGGCTTAGCACCCGGGCCAGCAGCTGTGGAGGGTGCGCCAGCTTCCCCAGCAGTGTCGGCACTGCGCTCGAATTCTCGCTGGGCCTCAGCTGCCTCCCCGTGGGCAGGGCTCCGGACGTGCAGCCCACCATGCCCGAGCCTCCCCACCGCCGAGGGCTCTAGGGGTTAAGACTTCAACATATGAATTTGTGAGAATACAGAATGCAGTAAGTAACAGAGATTAATTTTTTGTTTGTAATATAGGCATTTTATAATAATGGGTGTTCTCCTTTGATATCTCTTATGCTTCCCCACAAGTTTGCCAATAAGTTAGCTGTTTGTTTGTTTGTTTGTTTGTTTTGAGACAGAGTCTCACTCTGTCGCCCAGGCTGGAGTGCAGTGGTGCTATCTTGGCTCATTGCAACCTCCGCCTCCCGGGTTCAAGTGATTCTCCTGCCTCAGCCTCCCGAGTAGCTGGGATTATATGTGTCTGCCACCACACTCAGCTAATTTTTGTATTTTTAGCAGAGACGGGGTTTCGCCATGTTGGCCAGGCTGGTCTCAAACTCCTGACCTCAGGTGATCCACCCCCCTTGGCCTCTCAAAGTGCTGGGATTACAGGTGTGAGCCATCATGCCTGGCCATGAGTTAGTTTTGATAAGACATAAAACCTAAAAAATTTTGCTAGATTATATTTATACAAACTGAAAATCTAAGAAAGTAACATCTGTAGTTTTTCTCATTTTTGAAGTGTCTCAATATAAGAAATATATGGACTTGAAAAGAGAAGTGTAGATTATGTAGGTAAAATCAAATTGGAAGGCCTCATTTTCCTAGATCACAGCACATGCTATCAGAATGATGTTCCCATGAAAGGAAGGAGTGAGGAAGAGAGGTACCTTATAAGAACTAGGATAAATGTATACATCACAAGGCTTACCAATTTGACTTGCAGAGATTTTACCTAAATTTGAAAAAGTGATGGAAAAATAGGACTCTGATTAAAATATGTATTTGCATTCAGTGACAGCACATTTTCATGAAAAAAAATTCTACTAGAGAAGACTAAATCCATTAATTTTCAAAGAAAACTAGAATCAAAAGGTTGAAAATATTTTGATTTTCTGTGATTGTTATGTATTAATTATCAGAATATGGATATCTGTCACCTAGCCTGGAGGCAGTGGTATTATCATAGCTCACTACAACCTCAAACTTCTGGGCTCAAGGATCTTCCCATCTCAGCCCTCCTAGAAGCTGAGATTACAAATGCACACTACCACACCTGGTTAATACATTTTTAAATTTTTTGTAGAGATGGGGTCTTGCTATGTTGCCCAGGCTAAAATTTTAACACATAGAAGGGAATATACTACTCTAGGCATAATGGTATCTTGATAGATACATAAGAATAATATAGCAATGAAAGAAATAAGGAGTAATTTTAAAAAATGGTCTCACAGGTAGAAACTGAGAACAAAAGCATAAGGTCTTGAAGACTTTATCTTTGACTACATTTTCAGTATCATTGTATACCACTGTACCTGATATTCTATATGCCAGCATGGCAAATGTTTGCATTTTCTTAGAAGGGTAGACCTTTACATATCCCTATGTATTTGCTCTTGCTGTTTCTTTCCTGCCACTCTTGGACTAGCAAATACTTCTCTTCATTAGTGGCTCACGTATTACCACCGAATCATTTTCTCTCTCTGTGAGTGATATTTCCACTTGTATTTCATGCCCCAACCCCCTCATGCACAGTTTGCTATAAAGTATAGTATTTATTCACATGGGTCAGTCTTTTGCACAGGAATTATACAAGATTAGTTCTTATTTCCCCAGTGGGTAGATTAGTATCTACCTGAAGGAGAAACTCAGCAGGTATCTGGTGAAATAATAAAATAAATGCTCTGTGAAATAATACATTTTGTGGATTTGCAAATGTTCAAGGAGCATTAATGTCTATCTTCTGAGTCGGGAGTCCTGAAATAATAGGTAGTTTGAACTTAATATGTTTTTAAGTCTATTCCGAACTTAAGAACTCTATGCATTCCAGATTATACTAAAATGTAATAATAATGTTTTATATATATATATTTCAATATAATTAAATAACACTATTTTGCTTTCTCCTATATTAAATTTTCTACATGTAAGCTATTCATATTAATTAATACAAATATTTTACACATTACTGATTTAAATATTTTATTGCAATTGAAGCTATCTTAAGCAAACACAATATGACACCTCACAAGGTGCCATTTGTTTAAATACATTTTTACACTGACATTTTTACAGATATTGTAAGTTGATATTTATCAAATTAATTTTTCCCAATGTGAAAATGTAAGACACATTTTGTATTATAATTTCCATATATTTATTTTAATTAGATGAATTGTTTATTTGATTACATGACATCACTAACATGATAATTCTTTTGTTTACTCATAACTAGAAAACTGTTTCAGATATAGCTATGAAATGGATGTACTAAGATATGCAGAAAGATGGAAAGGACAAGTTTAATAAGAAAATTTATCTATTGATTTGGGTTTATAAATATACATGATGATAATATATATCAACGTATTTTATATTTTTCTATCGCATAGTACGTTAAAAATAAAGGATGGATTTCCATAGATATTAACTAAATGGATGGCTATAACATGACCAGCTAAGTTTTAAGAAATGTCAGTCTAAGGAATAAGGTCCTGTTTGTTAATACTGAGAAGTTTAGAAATGCTGAAGAAATAATGCATTCTCCTCTCAAAAACATTCGTTTATAATTATAATCAGTTTAGTGTCAAAGTATTTTGACCTCACGAAATCAAGTTTTAAAATAATAATAATTGTTTACCACTGAATTAGAATTTTAAAACATGGGAAACTATATACTTTGCCTTAAATGCAACTCTGTAGATTTAGAATAAGCAACATTACCAAGAAACTGATGTAAGAGATTAAAGAGAATTAACAAGCAATACCTATTTCCATTGCACAAGAAGAAAAACTAGGAAACTAATTGTCTCTTCCACTGTTGAACAGAAAGCGTGTCACATTTTCTGAAACTCTTTGCTACATTTGGTACAGTAATCTCCATCAAGAGGCAAATTGGCTTTTCTTTTACAGACCATTACCAGCCACATTCAGCCAATGGGACTTAAGATAAAATACTTATAGAACAGTCTCTGAATTCTAGCTTTGATTTGTGTCAACATTGTAAAAGATCTGAACAAAAAGTTACCAGATAAATATTACTTCCTTATATGTGATTCATCCTTCTTTATAATGGATTTTTAATTTTAAAAAAAAATTCCAAATAAGTAAAACCATTACTTTGGAAAAAAAAATTCATTTTTAAAGAAATGAAGAAGGACTACATTTTCTTCATTAAAATAAACTTAAAATAGAAGTTTTTGTGAACATGATTAAGAAATTAACTTCCAAAATAAAAACAATAGTTTGAAAAGAATAATTATTGCTCTTAGAAGTAAAAGTAGTTTAATTTTGAGATAAAAGCTTTCGGTCAGGCACAGTGACTCCTGCCTGTAATCCCAGCATTTTGAGAGGCTGAGGCAGGTGGATTACCTGAGGTCGGGAGTTCGAGACCAGCCTGACCAACATGGAGAAACCCTGTCTCTACTATAAATACAAAATTAGCCGGGCGTGATGGTGCATGCCAGTAATTCCAGCTACTCGGGAGGCTGAGGCAGGAGAATCACTTGAACCCAGGAGGCGGAGGTTGCAGTGAGCTGAGATCGCACCATTGCACCCCAACCTTGGTAACAAGAGTGAAACTCCATCTCAAAAAAAAAAAAATTCAAGTAAATTTTTCTTTCTGAAGTAATCAGTGTAAGTGCAAACATATGTTAGAATCATACTATGTTTACAATGAATTAATAATGTAGTTTTGATGTCCACTTTTTTGTGCTGAGGAAAGATTATTAAAAATAACATTTATTTATCTGTGACTCCTGAATTTATGTGGTTTATTGTGCATCAAACCACATATCAAACTGCCTATTTAGTGTCACAATGTGGAATACCCACAGATAGTTCAAATTTAACATGACCTTGGCAGTAGCCTTGACCTTCCAAATATACTCACATTCATATATCTAGTGTAGCTCCCTCCATCTTGTCTTTCCTTCTTGCCTAAGTTGAAAACAGGAGCCATTGATGGTCCTTTTCTACAGTGTCCAAATCAAAGCCATTAGTCTTCTTAATATTCCAAAGTTATTAACCTCTCTGAGTCTCCACTACTATCAGCCTAAACCAAGCCACTATCATTCTCAGAATCATTGTAATTGCCTACATATTTTCCTCATACAAATTTTTCCCGATATTATTTTCATCCACGAATTGGAGTGGTTAAAAAAAATTAGTCTATGATGTTTTCAACATTAAAACATCCATTGTCTTCCCATTGCTTTCAGAATACTTTATTCCCTGTGTCTCTCAACTTATCTCTATCACTCATTCACTAAGTTGTAGACACATTTCCTTCCTTTCTTTCTTTAGTACACAAAAATTGCTCTCACTTTGCCCAGGTGCGCATGTTCTTGACTATGCCTAAACCTAGGTGACTAGATATTTTCACAGCTGACTGCTTTTAGCCACGACTGCCTCAGTTCAAATGTTATTTTCTCAGTTTGAAGCCTTTTAAGACCAGCCAATCTAAGTCAATCTTCCCGGACTTGTCACATACATCAATCAAACAATTTAATTAGTCACACTGCTTAATTTCCTTCATATCATGTTTCACAGTTTGAAATTGTCTTGTTTGTGTATCTATTTAATTGATTAGTATCCATCTATTTCTTCTGCAAAACCAGGCTCAAAAGATCAGTGTCACATATTCCAAATAAAGAAACATTGGCTGGTATGCAAAAGAGACTCAATATTTTTTTAATGAATTGATATTTAGTGAGTACTTACTATATATTTATATAATGTTGAGTATAAGAAGCTATAGAGATAAAAGACTTGGGCCTTATTAAAAATGTTATTAAAATTAACTTGATGAAATAACACTAAGGCGAAGGAAAAAATGGAAGCCATTATATAATATAGAGTATATACACCCAAAGAAAAATAAATTGTTCTACCAAAAAGACACACGCATTTCGATGTTCATTGCATAGCTATTCACAATAGCAAAGACATGGAATCAACCTGGGTGCCCATCAATGTTGGATTGGATAAAGAAAATGTGGTTCATGTACACCATGGAATACTATGCAGCCATTAACAGGAACAAAGTCATGTCCTTTCCAGCAACATGGATACAGCTAGAGGCTATTATACCAAGGGAATTAACATAGCAAAAGAAAACCAAATACTGTATGTTCTCACCTATATGTGGAGCTAAACATTAAGTACATATAGACATAAAAATGGGAACAATAGGCTGGGTGCAGTGACTCACGCCTATAATCCCAGCACTTTGGGAGGCTGAGGTAGGCGGATCACGAGGGCAAGAGATGGAGACCATCCTGGCCAACATGGTGAAGCCCTGTCTTTACTAAAAATACAAAAATTAGCCTGGCGTGGTGGCACATGCCTGTAGTCCCAGCTCCTCAGGAGGCTGAGGCAGGAGAATCACTTGGACCTGGGAGGCAGAGGTTACAGTAGGCTGAGATCATGCCACTGCATTCCAGCTGGTGACAGAGTGAGACTTCATCTCAAATAATAATAATAATAAAATAGAATAAATAATAAATAAATTAATTAATTAAATAATAAAATAAAAGAACAACAGACACTGGGGACTACTGTTGGGGAGTGAAGGGGGTGTGGATTGAAAAACCACCTATTGGGTACTATGCTCATTACCTGGATGATGGGATCCTCGGCACCATGGACTATATCTATATAACAAACCTCCACACGTATCATCTAAAATAAAAGTTAAAATTATAAAAACCTGTAGTATTACTAATAATGGAAATCAAAGCCTTTAAAAATAACACATGAATGTGCTTTAACTGTTATGGAGTCATGTGCTTTCCATATTTAATTTTTACAAAAAGAAAAAGAAAACAATAATTATTATTAAAAAGGCAAAATATAGAGTGTAAATAATGTATCAATTCAGTCTTGGTGTGATTACATGAACAGAAGGGTTTGAAATTGGATTTAAGCAAAAAGCAAAGGGGAAAGATTGTAGTTTCCATAAGGAGCAAGTTATGCAGTCAAGAATATATATAAAACAAAAGGCATTTCAAGGAAAAGAAATAAAAAGACTTGCAAAGTAATTACATTTTTAATTGACAAATAGTGGTTGTATGTGGGGTACAATGTGATATACACACATGCACGCAATATGGTATGATTAAATTAACCTAATTAACACATCCATCACCTTGTTTGCACAAGAAGAAAAATACCACATGATTTCACACATAATTGAGAAATAGAGTTGAACTCATAGAAGTAGAGAGTAGAATGATGACTACCAGAGGCTGGGATTTGGGGTGGGGAGTGAGATAATGAGGAGTTGCTAATCAAAAGGTACAAAGTTTGAGATAGACAGGAGGAATTGATTTTTGAGATTTAATTAAATATATTTGATAGAGGAGAAGGCTGAGAGAAAAATAACCTCATCTTGGATGACAGATAAACAGTGGTTTCATAGATAGCAACAGAAAAAATTGAGAAGAGATTATCCATGGACAATCCCTAAACTCAATTTTAGCATATGGTGTCAACTAACTCTCTTACCAAGCTTCTGAAAGTATAACCACTGAAGAGATTTGTTTCCTGTAACTTCCCCCTTACCAAGTGTTTCTAAAATGATAACAATCAGATCATAAAAGGTATGTTGTAGGGATAGGCATGTAATCCACATTTTCTTCTCACTAGCCAGACATTTTCTCGTAGTTCGGTAGCCTACGAGGCCGGTTACCGCACAGTACTTTTCATTGTCTAAATACAGAAGTTTTATAGACAGGTTTTAAAACTTTTGTAAATGATGCTTGCCCTGTGTAGAGGTGAAATTTAAAGTAAGAGAAAGATTATTTTAAAGTATATAAAAACAACTTCCTTATTTGTCTTTACAATTTTTATTTTGACATAATACTAGGCACAGAAAGGTAGAAAAAATAGTAGAAGGAATTTTGACCTCAACTTCACTCAGCTCCCCCAAATGTCAAACTTTTACCAGGCCTGCTTATCATTCTCTCATTCTATATATTTTTTAAGTTGTTTAAAAAAGCAAAAAGTGAAAGGGAAAGACTACAGTTTTCTTAAGGAGCAAGTTATGCAGTCAAGAATATATATAAAACAAAAGGCATTTCAAGGAAAAGAAATAAAAAGACTTGCAAACTAATTACATTTTTAATTGACAAATGATGGTTGTATATGGGGTACAATGTGATGTATAGATATACACACATACACACAATGTGGTATGATTAAATTAATTAACACAGAGTAATTTGAAAGCATCACCTCACTTTACTCTTAAATACTTCACTGTATGTTTCCTAAAACACAAATATTTTCTTGTATAGCCATAGAATAATTATCAAAATCCTATTACATAATCTATAGTCCTTATTCAGGTTTCCATTTTCTCAGCAATGCTACAGTAAAAGAAAACCCTGGATCACGCTGCACTTCTTCAGTCTCCTTTAATGAAATAATTTGTCAGTCTATCTTTGCTTTTGTGGCTTTAATATTTTTGAAGAAAGCACACCCGTTGTTTTGTTTGTTTCTCAGTGTATGTTGGTCTGATGTTCCCTCATGATTAGATTTACATTATGCATTTGTAACAGGACTATCACAGCAGCAATGTTATGTTGTCAGTGAATTCTATCAGCAGGCATATTATATTAATGTCTTTCTATTGTAATATATGTAGGTAGGTTCATTGAAGTCATCTATATATTACTCATCAAATTATTACCCACCTGTTTTATCATCCATCTGGGTTCTTGGTTGAATCAATTATCATGATTGTTACCACTAGTCATTTTATAACTCACCACACATTCTAAATTTATATGGTGGTTTGATAATGCAATGAAGGACATGTCCTTCTCTTTTACTTATTTATATGAAATACGTATTCATCTACTCTTATTTATTTCAGTGGGTCATAGTATCATTATTTATTCCATGTTCAAATTGTTCCAAATTTGGTCAGCAGAAACCTCATCATGTTGACTTTTGTGTCTCTTTGAAATTTTCTCCTCATTTTTGACCACTATCTTACTTTCTGGCTCAGTAAGATGCTACACAATAATCTTTCATTTTCCTCCCTCAGGCCTGGGATAAACTATTTCTCCAAGGAACATGGGTTCCTGTGAATACGGATTGGTGTATTAAAGTAATTATTTGCTTCCTCGTTGTGCTCAATGCAACTGGGGTTTTATTGCTTCTAGGAACTCTCGGTGGTCCACATTATCAGATGTGTGTGTGTATGAGTGTGCACACACATGTGTTTGTGTCTGTGCATAATTATGTATAATCTATTTCAATACCTCTGTTTTATGTATCTGGATTTAGATCTAACTCTGTAACTATAGATATGAAAAGCCATGATTTTATACTGGCATTTCCAATTACAAGCCAGTACCATGGAATTCATCCTAGCCTTTCATATATATATATATATATATATATATATATATGTAATTTTTTTTTTTTTGAGACAGAGTCTCGCTATGTCGCCTAGGCTGGAGTGCAATGGCACGGTCTTGGCTCACTGCAAGCTCCGCCTCCCGGGTTGACACCATTCTTCAGCCTCAGCCTCCCCAGTAGCTAGGACTACAGGTGCCAGCTGCCACGCCCGGTTAATTTTGTATTTTTAACAGAGACAGGGACTCACCGTGTTAGCCAAGATGGTCTCTATCTCCTGACCTCGTGATCCTCCTGCCTCAGCCTCCCAAAGTGCTGGGATTACAGGCATCAGCCACCGCGCCTGGCCTAATAAAACTTTCTGTATTAAAAATTACACCTAAGTAATTTATATTTGTTTGCTATTTAAACAAAGAGTAAGCATTTGTAACTAAAAGTACAATTTCTGTTTTCATATCCTGATATAATGACATCATGCCCGCAAACCAAAATAGTCCTTATAGAGCCAGAATATTAAAAGTATTAATTAAATATTCACTGGATAAATGTGGAACAGATAAACATTTCCTAACCACCAACACTGTCAGTCTACTCACAGGAAATATTTTGCGTAAGATACCATACGTTTGAATAAGATTTAATGGTTTGAATCATAATCACAATCTCCTGTTATCTCTTTGCTGTGTTTTTGGTACTTTTATCATGCCTATATTCAAGTTCATTAATTTTCTCTCCAGCTACGTGAAATCTGATGTTTGAGGCTTCAAGGGACAATAATTTTGAAAACTGTATTTTCAAATTTATAAGATTTTTTTTTCTCACAACTGTGTCTTGGTATTTAATAGTTATTTTATTTTATTCCTTATTGGCTTTCTTTCCTTATTTTGTCCCTTTGATCACTTTAACCTACTTATGTTGATGTTTCATACTTTTCTTTTAGATTTATTTAAATTTATGTAACTTTCTAAAACTCCATAAGCTTATAGTTAGCATGCATGTAGTATGTTCCCTGAAATAGTCCATGAGGTCTTAGTTTTAGAATAGTATCTATGAAATGTTTTTGTGTTTATTTCTTCTCCCTACGTCACAAATTCATATGTTAAAGACCTGAACCTTAATGTGATGGTATTTGGAAATGGGGATTTTGGGAGATAATTAGATTTCAATGTTTCAGTAGGGAGGTGCTCTCATGATAGAGATAATAACCTTTTTACAAAAAAACACCAGAAAATTTCCCTGTCTCTCTTTCTCTCTCTTGCGCCTGTATGTGCACCTGCTCTTTGTGTACACATTGAGAAAAGTCCATAAGAGAACACTCTGAGAGAACCGTCATCTCTAGGGCAGGAAGAGAGCCCTTACTAGAAATTAGCTCCAGAACTGTGAGAAAATTTGAACATATTATTGCAGTAATTTACCTATAATTGATGTATCACATGATTACTGAAATTCAAAAGAAAGGAAAACAAATACCAAGCCAAAATAAACAAAAATATACCCAGTTACATTGCAGCAAAACTATAGGAAAAATAATAAAAAAGTGAGATCTTAAAAATAACTAATGAGAAAGGGAAGATGATCCACAAAGGATGACAATTTGACTTTAAATAGCAGATAATAGTAATAATGAAATCACCAAGAGTCAATATAATCTTCAAATAGCTGCGGGCAAATAATGGTCAATATAAGCTATCATCCTAAAAGAGAAGGAAATAAAGACAGTTTTATATGAACAAAATCTGAGACCTTAACTAAAAGATCTTCAAGCTGATTTATTTAGTGAAGAAGAACAATATTCTATTAGAAAGGACTATAATATAATTTTTAAGAGGCAAGCAAATAAATGTTGAAAAGCATAAGGAACAATTTGATTATAAAACAATAATTATATTATTGACTTAGTTGTCTATTGCTGCATGAAGTCACTGTAAAACGTAGACTTCTTTTGTACTTACATGATTCTTTAATTGGGGCCATACATAGATGTTCTTCTGTTCTCTGTAGTGTCTAACAGTACCAGAATGTTCAAGATGGTGTTTTCCTTCATATGTTTGGAGCCTCACATGAGATGGCTGGAAGATTTGGGGTCTAACTGAGGATCTATTTTCTACATGTGGATTCTCCAACAGGGTTGTTGGAAATCTACACATGGTAATTTGGAGATCCAAAAGAGCACTCAGAGTACAAACTACAATGTGCAGGCAGTTATAAAGCCTCTGTTTGTATCATTCTTGCTAATGCCACCTTGATTAAACAAATCACATGACCAAGATGAGCTGATATGTGAGTTCACTACACAAGGATGCATATACCAAAATGAGCGGTTCTCAAAAACTACATATTTTAGTATATGCATCCATCCTTGTAGAGTTAAATAAAAATATGTAATTAGATTTATGGCAAAAATAATATGCAATAATGAATGATATGTTGAAAATTAATTGTCATAAACTCAGCTTTATTTCCACATATGGAGGCTTTCAAGAGTTTTCAACAGATCATTTGATAAAATGGCTCACTAGAGATTATGTAATATATTTTGAGCCCATTAATTTGTTGTTTGTTTACTAAATTATAAATAAATCTCTAATAGCACCTTTTAATAAAAATTATAATTCACTGCAGAATTATATACTGTAGATGTAAGTTTAAACCCTTGCTATATCACTTATAATCACTGCCTCCTTTGATAATTTGTATAGCATTTTTCAAACTTAAACTTTTATCTGTACAGTGGAAAACATAATATATAAAATACTGCTATATTAATTGTAATTAATATATTCAGATGTTCAGGCTTCCTAGCAAATTTTCTGTAAAAGTTCTGGACGATAGATAGTTTGTATTATTACTTGGGTCAAAAAGCAAAAAGTAAAGAAGCATGTTCTAAGGTACAGAGTATAATAGTGTATAAATATGCCTTTTAATCTTCTTTTCCTAGGGATTTCATACACCTTCACTATTCTGCACTCACTACACATAAACATGCATACATTCAAATACACTATATACTTAGCTTCTTTTATTAAAGTAAAATTAATATCAATTTTGACAAAAATATAGTAGAGGTGAACCATTGTAAAGGAAAGTTGTTACTTGTTGATTTGTTTTTCTCTATGTATACTACCTTTATCCAATCTTGGCATGAGAAGACACACACTAGAAAAGAGTAAGATAAGTAATACTGAGCTATGTATTCTTATTGAGGTATGAATTCATATTTTTAGACAGATATCCAAAAATTTTTTTAAATGATCTCTCAAATTAACATTCAATAATTCTACTCACGGTTACTTAGAGCTCAGATTATTGTGTTACAATATAGAGATTGGATATTATTAGACAACTTCATAGAAACTGGATTTTTTTTTTTTTGAGACAGAGTCTTGCTCTGTTGCCCAGGCTGAAGTGCAGTGGCACAATCTCAGCTCACTGCAACCTCCACCTCCCAAGTTCAAGTGATTCTCTTGTCTCAGCCTCCCAAGTAACTGAGATTACAGGCACACGCCACCAAACCCAGATAGTGTTTTTTGTATTTTTAGTAGAGACAGGGTCTCACCATGTTGGCCAGGCTGGTCTTGAACTCCTGACCTCAGGTGATCCACCTGCTTCGGCCTCCCAAAGTGCTGGGATTACAGGTGTGAGCCACTGCACCCAACCAGAAATTTGAATTTTTAAAGCATGAACAAAATCATACATTATTTACTTAAAAATTTTATGAACATGTGCTGCCACTTGTTTACTGTTTTTTTTTTCTTTTCTTTTCTTTTTATTCTTTGGCCATTTGGCCTAAGATACAAGCAAACTAACACAACCCCAAAATAACAGCTTTACCCAAAGTATTTAAAAATATATTTTGCAAAGCAAAAAATATTGCCATGTTGTGAGTGACTTCTGGAATATTTCCCTCATTCATGTGTGCAATAAATATATTTTGTAGCTAACATTTTTACAATATGATAATTCTCCAATGATTTCTTTCTAGATATGAACACCATATGCAAAATTAGAAAAAACAAACGAGCAAATGTGTATTTACCAACATAAGAATATAATCATGATAATGCTGCTGAAATATAATAATATAAAAATGATAATTGCATGAATAATCATTAGGTCACAGCACTGTTGTAAGCTCTTTCATGACGCATATTATTTAGAATTTCCAACAATACTGCGAAGTTCTCTTGTTCTCCCAGTTTTAGAGAGGAATAGTTAAATAATTTTCTCTAATTAATTGTACTGTTTAGTTGGGGGTCTGGCAATACAGTTTGCAGTAATATACCAAGCAAAAGGATTAGAGGTCACATGGCTCTGTTTACTAAGTACATTTTTAACAATAGTTCAGCCAATGGCTAAGTTGAAAGAAGTAAACTATATTGACAAGATTAAGGATAACCTAAAACAAAAGAAAGTGGCAAGGTGCCCACTAAGAAATTTTTACTCATACCTCATGTGGAGTTAGAATAATATCTAAGAGTTAAAGCAGTCATTCTGGCATCTGATGTGATGAGTGAGGGAAAGCATCTGTGTGTGGTAAGGTATATAGAGGCACAGAGAATGAGTGGACATCACAGCACCGACACCACAGTAGACACACATTTTATGGTCACTATACTTATTTCAAAACAAACCAAGTAGTAGATTGAGGCAGTCTTTATAAGATGGTTTTAAAATTACATGAGGCTGAACTTGGGTGTAGAAAGGAGTATTGACTACAGCTGGATGAGCTGGTAAAGAAAAACAAATCTAGTAATATATTTACATATATGAAATGAGGTAAATAAAAGTAAATATTCTCAAAATCAGATTCTATCAATATCCTGGTAGGAAGTATATCTTACAGAGCTTTGTGAAAATAACTGTATTCTGAATAACTTTCATGTGATGCTTTTGGTTTTTATAGTAGATTGACTCTATCTATTCTAGAGAGGTTGCAGAAATTCCAATATTGCAATCAATCATACAATATAGATAATTGTAGATAAAAGAAATGTAGAATAATTTTTGGTGCAAGGGTTAGATACATGAATTAACTAAGTACAAAACAATATTCAAAATATCCAAATACTATTATATTAATATTTTTGATACATCTAGTAGGTGAAGAACAATGGATAAAATAACAAATGAGTTAGATCTAACTCATAAAAGATGTTTTACACAATCCTCTTTCACTTGATCTAATCAATCCGAATACCAGGACTTTGATTTCAGATTATTGGAACTGTCTGTTTAAGTAATTGTCTTAATATTTGTAAGGAGTCTTTTTTTAAATATTAGGATGGTTTAGGTAATTTTGAACAATTCTTTTTTCCAAAGAACATTCAGAAAATCAGAACAAAGTATTCAAAATAATTTCATTGGTGACAAAGCTAAAAATCAATGTTTTAAGAAGAGTTCCAAAAAAGAATAAAATTCAGACAATTGAAGTCATTATTTGAGGCCATCTTTTCCTGATGGATTTGGCCATGCATCCATAGGCAGCTGAAAGATTGTGAACCTGAGGAGATCTTTTGCCAGACTAATGAGGCAAGACAGAAAATGGAGGCCTGCAAATTTGGCCACACTGGAATTTTACATCCATCAAATATATCCTAAGTGATGAGGTTGAAATAAATACATTTTTAGAAAGACTAAAGCTGAAAGATTGTCACATGCAGGAGTCAACTAAAGAGAATAGTAAATCATGCTCTTATTACAGAAGATACTGATTTCAGATGGAGGTTTATAGGTAGGAAGGAACGAGAAGAATGAAAGTAAAATTAAGTGGGAAAATCTAGGTAAATATTTACAGCATCAAAATAATATTTTCTACAGTTCAAATAATATTGAGTTGATATACTTGAAAAATATTCCATGAGGGAGCATTCATATTATGTGTTATAAGGTCCTAAATGGAACACGAGGATTCTAAAAGTTTGAAATAATATTATTGATAAGCCACACATGTATGAAGTAATCTTAATGGTAGGCAGTAAAAATATGTTTAAAATATGACATAATTATGAAGTTGGTAGTGTACACAAATGAATAATTAAAATGAAAATAGCACCAGTCAATTCAATAGCAGTCAATAGAAGTCTGTAAGTTTTCTGTTGTCACAGAACACGAACTTAGAAATTTAAAACATAAAATGTATTATCTCAAGTTTCTGTGGTTCAGAAATCTAACATGTTCTGGATGGATTCTCTGTTCGTCTCCTAAGACTGAAATCAAGGCATTGATCAGATGCACATTTAAACAGATACATAACCAGTATCAGCAAAGAACAGTCTACAGAAACTCACCCAGGGAGAGGTCTTCTTCCACGATCCCTCAGATTATTGCAAGATTAATTTCATGATGGCTATATGAATAAAGTGTCTATTTTCTTTCTATATGTTGGCCAGGGATTACTCTTACCTCTAGAAGCCATTCTTGGGCCCCTACCATGGAACTGTCTTCATAATGTGGTGAGTTTCCTCCATCAAGGCCAGTAGAAGACATTTTCTTCATGTTTCATCTGTTTTTTAAAAGGTTCATCTGATTATGTCAAGCCAACCCAGAATAATCTCTTTTGACTAACTAAAAATTGACTAAACCATAATCTTATCATAGGAGGGATATCTATCTCATCATATTCACTGGCTTGCCCTATACTCGAGGGAAGGGGATTATATAAGGCAAGTACATTAAGGAATGGGAGTCTTTTGGGTTATTTTAGAATTCTCTCCACAAAGGGAGAGAAAAAGTAACATAGAACAAACAAAGACAATAAGGAAAAAAAGTAGTATGGTAGATTTAAGACCAATTATATTAGAAAACTATTAAATGTAAAAGTTTCCAATTATAAAACAAGAAAAAAATAATTGTATGTTGTTCATAAGTACCATGTCTAAAATATAAAAATATAAATGCATATTTTGCAAAATGTAACAAAATAAAGCTGTTTATAGCTTTCATCTCAGAAAAACATAGATTCTAAAATAAAAAATGCTTAGAGAAAAATGACAGATATATAATAATACAGTTGCAATTTATTAGAAATATGACAGTCCAAAATTGCTGCATATATAATAATATAACTTCAAATATATATATATATGTATATGGCACCCCAATTGAAGCCTCTTCAAGGGCAGAATGACAACTATACCATAATTGTAGGAGATTTTTAACACTTTTCTTAGTAAATGTTGGATCATGCAGAGCAAAAATAAAATTAAGTCAAAAATGTAAAAGACTTAGGCAATACAATTAACTATTTGATCTTATTAAAATATACAGAATACTTAAGTTGTAAAACATGGTCTCTTTTCAAGCACACATTAAACAATTACAAAATTGATATATGCCAAAAAGCCTCAAAAATATAAAAATGTTAAAAAGATACATAGTATTTTCATCAACATAGCATTATTTAACACAGAATTATTATTTTAAAAGGATAAATGGGCCAAATATACTACACGATAGACAAATGAGAAAAATATAATACAAATTAGACAATATATTGTATTGTAGGATAATAAAATTAATAGATATAAAAATGTGTCTCACAACTAGTGCCATGCTTAGAGGCAAAATTACAGCCATAAATTATTGTATTAGAGAAAAATAAAGGATAAAATGCCATTAATTATGAATCTTTTAAGATGTAATAGAAAAGCAGCAAATAACCCAAAGCAAATAAAAAGAAGTGAATGCAAGGAAAACATCGTAACTAAAGTGATTCAGCCAAGCCAACATTTGATGCATGACAAGAAAAATGAATTAGTTAACCATGTCAAGAAAACTATTTTTTTATGAGATAGCATAAGGAACCAGTGTCAGCAAAGAACAAAATTTTGATTGGTTATGGTGTGAAGTGATTGAAGATGTTAGAAAGTAAGGTGGGAAATTAGCCTGGCTTGGTGGCACACACCTATAGTCCCAGTTACTCGGAAGGCTGAGGCAGAAGAATGGAATGTACCCGGAAGGCGGAGCTTGCAGTAAGCAGAGATCGTGCCACTGCCCTCCAGTCTGGGCGACAGAGCAAGACTCCGGTCAAAAAAAAAAAAAAAAGGAAGAAAGAAAGGAAGTAAAGTGGGGCCAGGTTATGAATTGAGATTCTTTCAGTCTAAGTTAAGGAACTAGGGTTTTCCTAAAACACATTAAGGACCTCAGTCTCACGAAATATAGATAAAGGAACATTTAGGAACCTTACTGAAACTGATAATAGGCATAATGAACACAGACAAATTCAGAATGATTAAAAAGGTTCAATAAGAACGATTCAATAAAAAAGCTGAATATTGAGGTTGAGAAGGAACAGATAATAATTGTAAATCTTTTAACGTTATTAACAGGATGGCTAAAAGTGCATTAATTTACAAGATTAGTTGGAATGAGGAGGATAAAAGATAAGCAGATAGAAAATTAAGTGAGATGAACCAATTTTGGAATATAACAGATTAAAGTTGCCTGCAGCCATTCAAGCTAAAACTGCATAAATAGCTAAAAGTGAGTTTGCACCTAAACATTTTTAAGATACTATAGCTATCTGAATCACAGTTTCTGAGTTTCTCTTTAAATAGATTAAATAGTGAGACTTTGTACAGCAAGTCTAGATAGTGAAAGATCCTTTGTTATCAGTATCTATTTGGTTCCTGAGTATCAAATAGAAGGTAGAAAGAGTATGAAATATGGTGGTTACTATAGAAGTAAGTAAAACCACCCAGTAATCAAGTGCATAGTAATAAAATACTAGGGCTGAGGAAAAAAAATCTAGAGATTACTGAATTTAATGTGACAAGCAACAGAGAAGGAGACTTTAAAAGAAAATGAGAATAAACCCTCTGAGGAATAGAATGTGGTAATAATGGCTCTGAGAAAAGAGTAGAATTATCTAATATATGAAGTTAACTGCCCATGTATGAGAGAATAAGCTCAGAAACTCTAGTAGAATTTGAAGTGATAGATTTAAGACAATTTTAAAGGGTAATATAAACAGTTTGTGATATCTGAGAGAAAAGTAGAAAGAGGGGTTGAGAATTAATCCCAGATTTTTGGTTTGCATGATAACTGGATGGTATTACCACAATAAGCAAAAGATTGTATAGGTGATTGTGCTTTCTTTTTAGGGGAAATGGATGAGTTTTTCTTAAGTTATATATTTCATTTGAAGGGTCAAGTAACTAAAAAGCAAGATTTTGGATATTTATTACTGAAATTTGAGACAGAAATCTGTGCTGGATACTGTAAAGGACCAGTGTATTAAACAGCTTTTGCTAGTGTATTAATTTCCTAGGGTTGCTATAACAATGACCACAACTTGGGTGGTTTAAAAAGAAACCAAAAAATATTTTTCACAGTTTTAAAGGTTTGAAGTCCAAAATCGAAGTGTGGACAGGGCCATTCTCCTTCTGAAGCCTGTAGGGAAGTATTCTTCTTTGCATTTTCTAGGTTCTTTTAACCCCTGAGATTCCTTGACTTCTGGCAGTGTAATTAATTCCATTCTCTGCCTGGTCTTCACATTTCACATGGTTGTGTAGCCAAGGTATCTATAACTGGTAAAAATTTGATTTTCCCTATTAGGACACTAATAATGTTTTATTAAGGGACCACCCTACTCCAGTAGGACTTCCTCTTAACTAATTACATCTGCAAATAACCAATTCCCAAATAAGTGCACATTTTGAGGCACTAAGAATTCGGATTCAAGGTATCTTTCTGGGAGACACAAGTCAACATATAACACCTCAGTTTTGCTACATATGCCAATAGTCAACAGAATTTTCTTCTGAACATGCTTTTTGCCCACTTATTTGCAGGTAACTTGAACTTATTATCATGCTTCTTTGGAAGAGAAATGTATTTAGTATCATTTCTCCAAATCTCTTGTCCTGAGTAAATAACCTGCTAAGAACCAACTAAATTAATTTAGATATTTAACAAAGCATTTCTTGGTGAAACTTTAGATTTTGTGTATTTCCTGAAGCTGAATGTTTAGCAACCTTTGACACTAGATTTTTATCTTTGATTCATTGGCTGAGTAAAAATTGCATCTCTCAACCGCGAAAGTCCCAGAATTTCTCACGTTTTACTTTTATTCTCTTTGCCATCTGGCCAATAATTTTCTCAGCTCATGCCTTTCTTGTAGCTCATCTCTTTCATGTTAAATGCAGCTTACCTCACCAATACATACTAAATACGCAAGTTCATTTGATGTATGAATTGCTACCACATGATTGCTTTTGGCACTACTATTTAAAGATTCTCCATTGTGTAACATGTTTTTCCATTTGTCTGGCCTCCAAAACTGTGTCTTCCAGTACATTTTATATACTATTATTATTTTTTTTACAGATTGCACTGTGGTAAAACAACAAACAAACACAATTAGTAACAAGATCAAACTTTTATCTCTTGTTTTTGTTACATGTTGGCTACAGTGAGCTGTGGCTCTGTTCATTTGTCTTCCTGATGAAACATTACTCTATATCCTGACTTAAAGTTCTTGTAGCAGAGAGAAAAGGTAAAGGATGGAAGCAGACAGTGGTGCTGCAGTGCTTAACTTTTCTGCTAGGGCATACAACTGATTATTTTTGTTCATTTGTATTAACTAAACCAAGTAATATTTCTAAGCTGGGAAATGAGTTGCAGAGTGTTACTTCTCACAAATGAACACAGCAGTAACTTGAAAATTAACAGGAATGTATAATCCTCTTACACAATGGTCAGTGAATCTTTAAGAATTCAGCAAACTATATATTAGATAAATCTATTATAAATTACATGAGAAGTAAAGATATAAAAATCAGGAAAATAATTACCTCTTCAAGAAGTCTGGATGAAAAGAGGAGAGAGAACAAGTTTAATAAATAGTGGACTGAGTCGGGTATATATGTATTTGTGGGTGTTTCATTGTAGTTCTATGGTTTGGTGTGGTTTTAACAAAAACATAAAAAAGAATATACTTACAGACTGACAAGGAAGGAGGAGAGGCTGAACATTCATTTTACACAGGAAAAAGAATAAGTATTAGGTCAATTGCTTAGTGGAAGAGTTATTTATTCAAGTGAGAATAATCACTTTAATAATAGATAAATCACTATGGGTAATAGAAGAAGTAGTTGAAAATCTACAAGTAAGAGGATTGCTATGTAGAACTAGAAAACCAAATTCTACCCTTTAGAACTTGACATTGTAGAGTTACCAATTGAAACAGCACAATGGTGTCATCAACGTTTAATTGATAAAATGTAAAAAGAAAAAAAAAGAAAGGTACTAGTGCTTTTAGAAAAAGAAATATAAACAGTAAAATGAGAAGGTATAAAACAGAAATGAAGAACATGTAATTGAAGCATCATTTCAGATGTGGAGAAAGAGAAGAAAATTGAAGTTAGAAATGGTGTTAAGAAGATATTTTCTTTAGATAAACAGAAGGGAAGCATAGACAATTATTAAGAAATATTACACGACAAATTTTTGGAACCCCTACAGCTGCAGCGGGAAAAAAAAATAACAACCCTAAATGTAGCCAAAGAATAATGAACCCAAATTGTGGCAAACCTATTAATGGCCCCCCAAAATTATTACCAATCTCCTAATTTCCTTTTACAATAACATTTATGCAAAACTCGAAATATTGTACAGTTAGATTTCTGAACCAACAGGTGTGCACTAGATGTATGTGTGTACATGTATGTATGTGACATCATTCACCAAGAAGGTGAAAGAAAAATCTCTACACTAAAAACTGTAAATGATTCATAAAAGGAAGTAAAAAAATACACAAATAAAGAAAAGATATCCCATATTTATGGATTGAAAAATTAATATTGTTAAAACATTCATAGTACCTAATCTACAGATTCAATGTAATCTCTATCAAAAGGCCAGTTAGTTACCTTTATCATAGAAATAGAAAAACAAAAACAAAAACAAAAAAAATGATTTTAAAGTTGTAAAAAACCACAAAGGAGCCTTAATAGCTAAAACAGTCTTGGGCAAAAAGAACAAAGCTAGAGGAATCACACTACCTGACTTCAAAATATACTACAAAGATATAGTAACCAAAATAGCATGATACTGGCATAAAAACAGAAATACTGACCAATGTAACAGAATAAAGAGCTCAGAAATAAATCCATGCATTTATGGCCAGTTGGTTTTTGACAAAAGTGCCAAGAACACACAATGTAGAAAAATTTTAACAGTTGGCAAAAATTATTTTTTAAAATAAAACTCTCTTCAACAAATGATATTCAGAAACTAGATATCCACTTGTAGAAGAATAAAATTAGACCTACCTTACACCATGTATAAACATTAACTGAAAATGGGCAAAAGACTTAAATGTAAGACTCAAAACAGTGAAACTACTAGAAGAAAATATATTGGAACATTCCATTACATTGCTGTGGGCACGATTTTTTGGATATGACTCCAAAATCACAGGTGACAAAGGGAAAAATAGACAAATGGGATTACATCAAACTATAAAGCTTCTGCACAGCAAAAGAAACAGTGAAGAAACAACCTACAAAATGGGAGAAAATTTGTAAGTTATGCATCATATAATGGGTTAATATCCAAAATATATAAGGAACTCAATTCTATAGTAAGAAAACAAATAACTGAATTTGAAAATAGGCAACATACCTAAATAGACATTTCTCAAAATAAGACATACAAATGGCAATTGGTTATGAAAAAAAAAAATCCTCACCATCACTAATGATCAGGGAAATACGTATCAAAACCACAATAAAACAACACTTCACACCTGTTGGAGTGACTGTTATTAAAAGACAAAAGATAATGAATGTTAGTTAGGATATGGAGAAAAGTGAACCCTATCAGTGAGAATGTAAATTAGTACAGCCTTTATGGAAAACCATATGGAGATTCATTAAAAAATTAAAAATAGAAACACAAATTAATTTCTTAATTTTTATTAAAAATTAAAAATAGAATTAAAATAGAATGTAAATTAGTATAGCCTTTATGAAAAATTACATGGAGGTTCATAAAAAAATTAAACATAGAACAACCATATGAGCCACCAATCCTACTACTACTGGGTACACATCCAAAAGAAATGAAATCAGTATGTCAAAGAGAGAGCTACACTTCTACATTATAGTTGTAATAATATTCACAGTAGCCAGGAAATGGGATCAATCTAGGTGTCCATCAACAGACGAATGGGTTGAGAAATGGAATATATATAAATAATTGAATAATATTCAGTTATATAAAAAGAATGAAATTCTGTTTTTCAGTAACATGAATTAACCTGTAGGACATTATGTTAAGTAAAATATGCCGGGCACAGAATGACAAATACTGCATGATCTCACTCATACATGAAATCTAAGAAGTTTCACATAAAAGTAGAAAATAAAATGGTAGTTAATAGGGGATAGTGTGGTGGTAGTGGGAATGGTAAATATTGGTCAAAAGATACAAACTTTTAATTAGATGAAAGAAAAAAGAATAAGTTCAAGAAACCTATTGTGCAACATGGTGACTATAGTTAATCATATGCTATATTCTTGAAAAATGCTGAGAGTAGATGTAAAGTATTTTCACCATAAATGTGAAACTAAGCAACATCTGCATATCTTAATTAGCTGTATTTAGTCATTACAAAATGTATACACTTCAAAATATCATGTTGTACACAATAAATATATATAATTTTATCTGTCAATCTAAAACAGAAATAAATAAAAATAAAAGTTTATTCAAAAAAGAAATTTATTCATGAATAAACTGTAAAGATTGCAGTGAAAACAACTTATATTTTTTAAGTTAGGATGTTTGTGTTATCTGTGACATAAAAATATAAAAAATTTAAATTCATGAAATATTGAATAGCCAAAGATTTTTTGCCATCTATTTATCATCTATCTACCTATTCATCCATCTATCATCTATTTACCTATACATTTATCTATCATCTATCCTCTATCTATATCTATCATCCATCCTCTGTATCTATCATCTATCTATGATCTGTCTATTCATTGTTAATCTTTAGTGCACAGGAGCTGACAAAAAAATGTTTTGCAAAACATAATGTGTTTTCTTGTCTCATAGGCATGTGTTGGATCTCCTGCATTATTGAATGAGGACATTTTTTAAAACTTTTTCATGATTGTCAGGCAACTTCCATAGCTCAAGTGGTTGCCAATGATGTTTCTGATTAAAATGATAATTGATCAAATGAAAAATGCAGTATGAGTCCTAGTCTTTACGTATCATCATAACTCATCATAACTAGTGTTTAGGTATCATCATAACTTAATGCTATTGTTCTCTCACCTTGGCAGTGTTTTGCCTAGATTGTACGTGTTTTCTATATGAATTAGCCTTTTTCATGACTAGTTCTTTATTTTTTCTGGAATTTTATTTGGTCTATGTGACAGCAGTGGAGTTGATCCAGGAAAAATGGGTGGTGGTTTAAGAATAATAGATGATATAGATACAGTATAAATCTTAAAAATTGTTAAATACTTAGAATTTTCAAAGATTAATTAGTTGCATGAAAATAATTAATTGCATGGAAATATAAGGTTTTTATGGTATACATAAAATCATTGCCCAGAAGACTACTTATAAGCACAGAAGAATAAGATAATATAATTACTAATGTGGTATGTTTTTAGGGAAGGCAAAAATACCTAATTAAAATTTGTATCCCTGTTATTACAAATCATTTTACCAACTTTATGACCCTGAGAATAAACGTAACGTAGTGGCTATTTGGTAAAGTCATTTTCTTCCTTTACTTTTTATTTTAAAAAATCACAATGACTAAAAAGTAACAAAATTAGTATGAAGATACTGTCGAGTACATTTCATTTATATATTCTTCATCTATTTATTAATATTTTATTAGTACTCTATCATTCTCTTACTCTCATATGTGTGTATATGCAGATATATAATTACCCATTTAAAGCTAAATAGTTAAATGTTTATTTCCCAAAAAAGAAAGTCCTCTTCTATAGTATAACCATTTAAAATAAGAAAATTTATATTAATATTTGCTGCTGTCTTTATAGCAAATGGATGCAATCTAGATTCAGGAGGATTATCTTTTCACATCTCTTGAAACAATCAATGTAAAACTATTCCACAGTCTTTTCTTGTCGTTTAGAATCTTAAATTTTCCTTATAGGCTAGTTATTTTGTAAAATGTTCTTCAGTTTGGGTTTGTATAATGCTATGTCATGATTAGTTTTACATAATGTATACCTTTATTATAACTTTATTATACATTATGTAAATCTAATTTTACATAATGTATTATGTTATAGTATAACTATCACAAATGCACTTCTGTGTTCTTCTTCTTTCTATAGCACATGACATACGATATTGATTTGTTTTATTACTGACAACATTAATATGATCACCTTTTTGTAGGGCTGCCTTCTATTTTATCCATGTAAAGTTTCCATATTTTCTAGTGTAATTAATAAAGAATTTTATGGAGATAATTTAGGGTTATGAAAATAGGCTTTTCTCATCAAACTATTTAAGTTTTAGCATCTATTTATAAATCTTTGCTAAACAATCAGTGCTGTTATATTATCCCAATAATTATTTTCTAATTTTATTTTTTCCACATCTACTATTTGCAATAGTACTATAAGTAAGAGCTAACTTTTCTTTCCATTTGTTTCCTTATTTAAATTATTATGAATGCATGTATTATTCATTAAATTATAATTTGCTACTCTATTTATTTTGTTGCTTAAATTGTCCTGGGTTTGGCCACTGGGAGCCGTTTTAAGCTGACTTTTGTTTTCCTTGGACAAGACTCCATTTTTTCTTGACATTCTGTTACTTTTTGGCACATTTTCCCAGCTTCTTTTCCCCAGTCCTGGAATCAGCAATTTTTCATAGAAGGCCTGATTCTTTTAAGTAAAAGGTGATATTCAGAAGCCAAGATCTGTGCATCAAGTATGATTATTGCTAATGTACTATAGCTACTCTCAGGCCCTATGTATACATGCATACATGTGTGTTTGTATACATACATGCAAACGTACAATACAATTCATATCTCTATCAATCCACAATGGTAGCCATATTTATATTTATATCTATATTGTGAAATAATGAAAATTTGCCCCATTACTTTCAAGTCTAATCCAACATTACAGGGTTTATTGTAGTCAACTCCCTTTGTATATTTGTTACATGCTTTCCTGATAGTGAGAAACTTGATTTTTCTATTAGTTTTTTGTTGTTGTTAAAACAGATTACCCTAAACTGAAGGGGTTAAAAGAAGACAAATTTATTATCTTACTGTTCTAGAATTTACAAGTCTGACAGGTTTCACTGTGCTAAAATCAAAATGTCAGCAGGGCTGTGTTCTCTGGAAACTCTAGGAAAGAATTGTGTGTGTGTGTGTTTGTTGTTGTGTGTTTTGTTTGCTCTGTTGCCTTTTCCAACTTCTAGAGACTAAATTCCTGAGTCAGTAGCTTCTTCCTCCACTGAAAGCCAGCAATGGTGTATTTTCTTGACTATCCTTCTATAGTCACACCAGTGCCTCCTTGGCCCTGACCCGATGTAGTCTGTTGCTTCACTTGTTACCTCTTGACTGACCCTAACTCCATACCAGATGCTGATTTTCTCTATTACCTCCCTGTTTGGCTCTGACTTCGTTCCAGTGGCTGACTCACAGGGCTACTTTTTCACTTGTCCCTTCACCTCAAGACAGTTGATGCCCTGCTTGGCCCCCTCCTTGTTCACACAATCTTGTTCTCAAGCACACTGCCCCTCCAATAAATATGTTTCAAGGGGAAGAGGAAACAGGAGGGGCAAGGGGTAAGTTTTTATTTCAAAATCTAAGGGTGATGTGAAAGCAACATATAAAAAAATTGAGTCTACTATTTACTGTTGTTGTTGGAGAAGACAATTACATATTTTTCTAAACTTCAATTGTTTCAACCATAAAGTGATAGGTTTGAATTATGTTACCTTTAATTGTTATTCATGACTAATATACAAGTATACTATCAATTGTGTTTTTTTAGGAACTTATACATAGTACTTGTTATACATTTCCATTTGCAGACTCATCTGCCTATAAATACACGCTTGGAGAAGAAATATGTTTGTTTCTAAATTCAAAAATGCTTGCAATTAGCCTATGCAAATTTTGTCCTTCTGCCCCAAGATAATTTATTCTGATTTTTGTTGGTATTATAGAAGAATAGAAGGAAAGCCCAATTTTAAAAATTGATCTCGTATTTCTTATAATCAAAGAAATTTCACATAATACCTTGTATTAGTTTTCTGGAGTTGCCATAACAAGATGCCACAAACTAGGTGTCTCCAAGCTACATAAATGTATTTTTTCACATTTCTATGAAAGTTGGAAGTCTGAAATAAAGATTTAAGAAATGCCATGATCCCTCTGAAACTTATAGGGAAGTGTTATTTCTTGCCCTTCCAGTTTCTGGAATATCTCAGCCATACTTGATATTTCTTGTTGCAGCATAATCATTCCAATTTCTGACCCATGTCGCATGACCTTCTTCCCTGTGTGTATTCTGTATGTTTGTCCTACAGGTTACTTGACTTAGGACCCACCCTAATCCAGTATGACCGTATGTAAACTAATAACAGCTGCAAAGACCTTTTCCTAATAAGATCACATTCTGAAGTTCTGGGTAGACATCATTGTTTTTAATTCAGGGGTACAAGTGCAGATCTCTTACATGCATATATTGCATAGTGAAGAAGCCTGGACTTTTAGTGCACAATCATCTAAATAGAGAACATTGTACCTAATAAGTAATTTTCCAACCCTCAGTGCCCTCCCCTCCTCCTACCTTTTGGAGTCTCCAGTGTCTGTTATTCCACTCTGTATGTCCATGTGTACCCATTGTTTACCTCCACTTATAAGTGAGCACATACAATATTTGACCTTATGTTTTGGAGTTATTTAAGTTAGGATAATGGCCATCCACATTGCTACAAAATACATGATTTCAATTCTTTTGTATGGCTGAGGAGTATTTCACAGTGTGTATATACATTTTCTTTATCCAATCATGTGTTGATGGACACTTAGGTTGATTCCATGACTTTCCAGTTGTGAATAGTAGTGCAATTAACATATGGGTGCTGGTGACTTTTGGATATAATGGACTCTTTTCCTTTGGGTAGATACCGCCTAGTGGGATTGCTGGGTCAAATAGTTGTTTCAGTTTTATTTCTTTGAGAAATCTCCAAAAATTAACTCACAGTGGATTGAAGGCTAAAATGCAAGATCTGAAACTATAAAAATCCTACAAGTAAACCTAGAAAAAACTCTTCTGGACATGGCCAAGACAAATTACTCATGACTAAGACTTCAAAAGCAAAGGCAACAAAAATAAAAATAGACAAATGGTACTTAAATGAAAAATTTCTGTACAGCAAAAATTAATAATATTAATTAACAGAGTGAAAATACAACTGCAGAATGGAAGGAATCATTTTCAAACTATGCAGCCAACAAAGGACTAATATTTGAATGTACAAGAGGTAGTACATGGACACCGTGGATAACTATACAGCCATAAAAAGGAATGAGATTGTGTCTTTTGCAGGGACATGGATGGAGTTGGAAGCCATTATCCTCAGCAAACTAACACAGGAACAGGAAAACAAACACTGCATGTTCTCACTTATAAGTGGGAACTGAACGATGAGAACACATGAACACATCCGGGGAATAACATACACTGGGTCCTGTCGGAGGGGGACTTGGGGAGAGGGAGAACATCAGGAAGAATAGCTAATGGGCACTGGGCTTGATGCCTGGATGATGGGATGATCTGTGCAGCAAACCACCATGGCACACATTTACCTATGTAACAAATCTGCACATCCCGCACATGTACTCCTGAACTTCAAAGTTGAAGAAAAATAAAAGTAATATGCTAAGTGAACAAAGTCATTACACAATATGGCTCCATTTATATAACATTCAGGAAAAAGCAAAATTTAATCTTCAGTCAACAGATCAGTAGTTTCCTGGAGTCTGTCGTAGAGTTGGAGGATTGGCTACAAAAGAGAACAAGGCTATTTTTTGAGAAATAACACTATTGTATGTCTCAATTATGGTGACACAACTGTGTATGCACATAAAAATGTATAGAACTGCATACTTTAAAAGCATGGATTCTACTCTATGTAAGGTGTTTCTAAATACACCTGACAAAAATACTGCATACATTCATGCATTATCAATTGATTTTACTTTTTTGTCTTTTAAATATATTATCAATTTTTAAGAAAACTAGTATTTAATATATTCTTTACATTTCTTAGAAATAGCTTCATTACCCATTTTTACATACTGAGCTGTGGAATACAGATATCTAGCCATTCTCCTGGGAAAGTAATTTCTAGATCCTAATTCTAGGCAGATCATATTTTCTTTTCAGTGCATTAAAAAGTAGAAAAAAAGCCAAATATTTAAAAAACTAAAAATGGTGAAAGTAATTTTGAAATATGAATAATAGTAGAAGGGATAAGAATGTTCAAACTTTTCTATTAGATAATTTGGCTTCCAGAAAGAACACCCAAACCTGTGTTAGAACACTATCTACCTCTCCAGTTTTAAATTAAATGTGTAAGTATCATATTTTGTATAACCCTTACCTTGTAAACACTTGGGTTATTTTCTATACCATGTATTATTAGTGAAGTTTTAAAAATGTTTTATTTCCAAATGTTTCTTAATATTTAAAATAATATATTTACCTGTGGTAAGCAGAATAATGAGCCCACACTAAAGATGCCCACCTCCTAATCCCTGGATCTGTGATTATGGTAGGTTATATGGCAAAGGAAATTAAAGTTGTAGATGGAATTAAGGTTGTTAATAACATGACCTAGAGATGCAGATATTATCTTGGATTATCTGGATGGTCCAAGGATTCTCATAAATAGGTGAAAGAAGGATAAAGGGAGAGAGACAAAGAGATGGCAATATGAGAAGTATTTGTTTTTATTTGCTAGCTTTGGGGTTAGAAGAATGGGACTCAACCAAAGGTACACAAGTGAATTTCAGAAGCTGGAAAAGACAAGATAACCATGTCTCACTAGAGCCTCCGTAAATAAATGTAGATCTCTCAGCACCTCAGAATTAGCTTACTACGACACATTTCAGATATCTGACATCCAGAATTGTAACACAATAAATTTATGGTTTTTGAAACACTAAGATGTAATAAATAGTTGCAACATCAAAAGGAAACGTGTACATTTTCTACAATTATTTTGAGATAATGTAGTTATAATTATTAATATTTTTTATGAGTTCTATAAAATTTGGAAGTCAGCTATCAATTAGCCCTTAATGATGTTTATATTTTTATGAGACAAAATATCCCATAGAAAAGATTTTTAAAATTTCAACATTATTTAATTATACATTATTTTAAAACATATGAAACGAAGTGTAAAAGTTTGGGAGTTTGGAATAAAGATTGGGGAGTGGCGGAAAAGTGATTTTGTTTAAAATGTATTGCATTATGAGATAGGGCGAGTGTTCATTAGTCACATGAAAATATTCATTGGATCTCAAAAAGCAAATTTACTTACAAATCTGAAATTCTTACCTATATGATGCTGGCTATTTATATGTTCAGATCAGGAAAGTTTGAGAAAATGAAACAAAAATAAAGAAGAAAATACATAGGAGTTCTAGGAATGAAATGAACAAGCAGAATAATATTATATTATGACCCTAGGCATGGAAAAATCATAATAGATAATTATTACAATAACCTGGAAAAAATACTTTGAAGGAGCACATTATGATTTTTCCAGTAATGTGGAGAGGTTGAGAACAAGAGAAGTTTGCAGAATTTTGCAGCTGTAAAACTTTGATTAACTTGAAAGAAATAATTTCAGGCTGGACATGGTAGCTCACACCTGTAATCCCAGCGCTTTGGGAGGCTGAGGCAGGCAGATCATCTGAAGTCAGGAGTTCGAGATCAGCCTGGCTAATATGGTGAAACCCCATCTCTACTAAAAATACAAAATCAGCCGGGCATGGTGGTGCATACCTGTAATCCCAGCTATTCAGGAGGTTGAGACTTGAGAATCGCTTGAACCCAGGAGGCGGAGGTTACAGTGAGCCTAGATTGCACCATTGCACTCCAGCCTGAGCAACAAGAGTGAAACTCCGTCTCAAAAAAACAAAGAAGAAGAAGAAGAAATAATTTCACAGTTTTGAAGACTTAACTTTTACACAGTTTTGAAGATTGATTCAATGGCGAGGTGGAGAAAGACATTTCAAACATTGGAAATAAACCATTTTGTGGGGTTAGGGAAAAGAAAGACTTCGGTAGGAACACCAAGGACAAACCTGATGCAGATACTTAGATGATTTAAACCCCTGTCATCTGTAGCAAGAACTTCTACTCTACCTTCACCTACCACACAAAATCCTCCCCAAGGCCCATGGAACTTGGCTTATTCTCTGACCTTATTTCCTACACAGCTCTCCTTTATTCTCCACAATCATATTAAGACCAAACATATTAGTCTTAATACAGTGTCTCACCACTGTATATTTAAAATCCATTTTAGGATGTTTGCACCTATTCTCTCTACATAAAGGTATGTGGATTTAGAGTGTTATTCACCAGAGGACAATATGAAAAAATCACATGTGGCTTAACCTCCTTCATATCCTATTAGCTATAATTGGCCACATGAACCCTAAGAAAATCCGACGCAGGTTGACATTGCTTCCAAATGCCCAAGAAAGAAAGGATGAACCATGTTTAATGAGCACTTACAATCTCTATTCCATGGGCTCTATTTTTCCCCAATAATCTATTCTCTATAACCTTATAAATGCTATTTTACTAAAATGTGAATTCTACCAAGTCTATTTCCAACTTAAAATCTTCAATGGTTCTATATTGGTTGCAAGATTATTTCCCTAATACCTGTTCAATTTCATCATTCACCACATTTTATAATACTACCTATAATTCAGCCATTTCTGTATATGAACTCAGTAAATACAGCATGTTTGTTTAGTTTATGCCTTGTTTTTCTCACACACTGTTGTCTTACCTCATATTGTCCTTCCTCTTGTTTTATTTTTTGGTTGTTGTTGTTTTTTGTTTGTTTGTTTTTTTAATACGGCCTTGTTCTGTTGTCCAGTCTAAAGTGCAATGGCAATTGTAGTTTACTGCAGCTTCTATCTCCTAGTCTTTAATTATCCTCTCACCTCAGCCTCCTGAGCAGCTGGGACTACCACCTGGCACCACCACACCTGGCTAATTTTTTTAATTTTGTTTTTAAATTTTTAGTAGAGATGAGGTCTCGCTATATTGCCCAGTCTGGCTCCTGTATTATTGAGCCCATTTCAAAATCCAGGAGAGGTCCTTGTTTCTTGTAATCTGTTTTATCCCTGAGAAAGTCAATCACTATTTTTATGTGCAACACGATACTATTCATTTTCTTTACTGTTCCATTTTTATACTGTTGGAAAACAAATAATGTATTCACACTTTAATGCAAATACTAGAGTATGAGTTTCCTGTAGGTTCTGTCCATTTCTTATTTATTATGACTCTATTACCAAATCCCAAGATCTACTGTGTAAGAGATTGTAAAGTATTTACTAAATTTGATCATAATTAATGAATAAATTATTGAAGTATGTGGAGTCTTTAAAAGGATATTTTGTTTGAATTTCTGTGTTGGGTAAGTTTAAAGGAAATAATCTTTTAATCAACAAGGAAAATCTACATTAAAATATTAAATATTGAAGTATTACTAAGATAAAACTATGCAAAAAAGATTTTGAGTTGATATAATTGTTTTAACATCTCAGGAAATAATAAGTTTTTATTCCAATAATCTATATAAGGACATCAACCATATCTCTTTTTAAAATAAAAATATATATTTGTTCATCTATATTTATTTAACATAAATTTAATAAATACAAATATAAATTTTAATATAATTGTTTTATTCTATTGGGGAAAGATTAAGAGTTTTTTTCTATAAAGAGATCCAATTAGCAATTCAGATTTTGTAACAGTGCTTTCTTAATAAAAGCATTTGAATTAAATATAGAAAATAGCATATACAAGAAGAAATAAGCCTAGAAGATGCAAATAACATTATGAATTTTAGACAAATGTATTGTCATTATCAAAAGCTTTTTGATGTTAATTTTAGTATTTTTAAAACTGACCATTTCAAACTTACATATATTTGAAGTTTAAAAGTAGCTTATTTTAGATATCATAAGGCTTTTGTACTGACAGTTTTAAAAATTGTAATTGAAGCAAAATGGTCACTTGTAGAGACTAACAGAGGCAGTCTTTCATCTCAGAATAGACAGTACCTGAACATATGTATTGGGAGTTTTAAAATTTGAAGAGCAAAGAGGGCAGAGATGAGGACAGATCTCATTTTGTTTTGTTGTGATATCACTGTTATTGATTAGGTTTTACTTATTTATAACAATAATAAAAGAGAGAGAGATTGCAATATTAGAAAGGCAAATGTAGATTTATAAAGCAGGTATCATAAGGTTAAAAGTCAATATTTAGATTAGAAAATTGTGGATGTAAATAGAAAAGCTTCACATCTTATGGTTGCTGTTTATTTTTGGAGATTAGATAATCCACAGCTCTTATCACCAGCGAACATTTGAGTAGGTTTATCAATTATGTCAATTAGAACAGAAACAAAGCTCCTTTATGTTCAGATAATCACTACTCAACACACATGTAAATCTTGGTACTAGATTTGATTAAGATACTTTTGTCCTGTTTACATTTCTTCATTTCTGAAGTCCTAATAATTTCTTTCTTTGCAAAACAAATAATTTAGAACTTTTGGGGAAAAAATAAATAGTTTTTAATACTGTTTTGATTACCTGTTAATGTTTTTAAAAGAGTATCTATTAATTTACTATTTTCTGCAGGATTTTAAAATTGCCTCCTATTAACATAAATGGTTTACTAGAAATTGAACAACCTACTCTTCACCTTCTTTCTTTGCATAGTGGATTGCCAATGGGTGTTTGAAAATTAACTGGTCATATTAAAATGAATGTGGATTTAATCTCTGATCTATACTCTGATTTAAGTTTAACTCTCAGCCTGTATCAATTTTACTTCAAAATTGTTGAGAGATTCTAAGTGGAGTTTCTGTGTAATGACCACAATATGGTCTATATATAGTTTTTCATAATCAATGTACTGCATACTTTCACAAATTACTTCATGCCTGCAGTCACTCCATTGCACAAATTGTCACATAACTTCAACTCTCAGGCTTACTAAAATATTTGTCTAAAATTGACTTGTAAAGATTTGCTTTCGCATTATCTTGAACTGCACATGACAATTTTGTTTAAAAATACAAACTTTAATTAGGTATATCTAGCAACTTTTGAAATGTGTTCCAGAATCTATAATATCATAATTGATATTTTTATTGACATAAATGGTTATAATATCTAATTTGTTAAACACTAATTATTGGCTGAAGTATTAAATGGCAGAGAACTTTACATGATTAGTATAGTTAAACTTTGTCCTTTGTAAAAGTAAAACTTGAACTTAAATTTTGTATCATTGTACCATATTTAAGAGAGTCTCATATCTGATAGCATTCTCAGATGAGAATAGCGTGTAACTTCTATTTATATACTCACAGATCTAATATTCGTAGCAAAGCATTCTGTGATTCGTGGGTTAGATGCTAGAACACTATCACAGTTTATCAAACGCTAAATGCACAATGACTGGGCACAGTTGAGATGAGTTTCTCTATATTATGGTTTTAAATTTGATAAATAATCTTGTTCAATTCCTTTTGTGTGTTTGGTTCAATAACAGAGCAAATAAGAGAGTAAGTTATTGAACCAAAGAAAGGAATTTCAGTGATTGTGATACACATGATGGTATGGTGCTCCGGATACAAAGGACTTGTAAGTTATTTAGGAATTTGAGCACAATAACTGTGTATCAGGCCTTGGTTTTCTAAGCAGTTCTGTTTAAGGCACTACTTCTTAAGCTACCTCAGGGTAAAGAAATATAGTATCTACTTGACAGGTTAGAAAGAATAACATCTAAAGCTCTGTATATTCTTGTCAGCTATGTGCAGCCATTCATCTGAGTTGATTTCAATGGTAAAGCAACAAAGTGAATAAACATTACTTTTCATGAATGAACTGATCATTGGAGAAATTTTTATGTGGTGCAAAAAGTACAGATTTAGGGTTTAAACAAGTCTTGCATCTTAGCTCTGTTATAAGCTGTGTGACCTTGGAAATAGAAGAAACTACAGCATTCAGAACTTTAATTTCCTCAATTGTTAAATGACAATGACAACCTTAATTTCACATTTGGTGAGTGTTATATGGAATTAGGCAAGGATATTGACCAGCTCTTGATAATTACTAGTATGTTGGATATATGCTACTCTTCATCATGGACACATTGTGACACAGACTATCAGAGTCCCCTAAACCTTGTGCTAAATGCTAATGTAAAAAAAGGACTCAGTGCTAGTTATATATACAGTATCTACACCTTTCTGTCTATAGTCAAGAGACTTCATTTCTAATAGAAAAGTTTAGAAATAATAGATTTTTTTTAATCTCAGAAGATCATTTTTTTCCCAAACACAACCCAAATTATGTGTATGCTCCTCATGTTTTAGCTATATTGGGCACCCATTTGGAGCAAGGGAGAACCATCATTGTTAATCTCATGCTAGATACTCAATAAACACACTCATTGAATCAGAAAATATGTTCATTATTCTGTACTTTATGGTTAAGCCTAATAAAATTTTGCATTAAGTAAGACTCTATGCCTGGATAATAACTGTTTGCATATTAAAATTTTGGATCAAACTGAGTCTCTGATGTAAAATAAAAGGCTTATGGAATTCAAACTTCATTCTGGGATTCCCTAAGAGATTGACCAAGATGGACTTATAAAGTTCTCTTCAGCTTGATTAAACTTCAGACATAATTTTTGCTGACGCTAGGCTCCTGATCTCTCTTTTCATAAAGCATTTTCTTTAGAAAATTTGTAACTGTAAATTCTTTCACTGCCCCTAGAAAATGTAAATCTTTATATTACCAGTTTTAAAAACCAGGAGTGCTTTCTTTTTTTCTTTTATTTTAAATTCAAGGGTACATGTTTAGAATATACAGGTTTGTTACACAGGTAAATGTGTGTCATGGGGGTTTGTTGTACAGATTATTTCATCACCTAGGTATTGAGCCTAGTATCCATTAGTTATTTTTCCTGCTTCTCTCTCTCCTCTCGCCCTCCACCCCACAACAGGCCCCAATGAGTGTTGCTCTCATCTATGTGTCCATGTGTTCTCATCATTTAGCTCCCTCTTATAAGTGAGAACATGTGGTAGTTGGTTTTCTGTTTCTGCACTTTCTGGTTTCTTGGTTTTCTGTTTTTGCTTTTGCTAAGGATAATGATCTCCAGATCCATCCATGTCCCTGCATAGGACTCCCATTCTTTTTATGGCTGCATAGTATTCCTTGGTGTACATGTACCACATTGTCTTTATCTAGTTTATTATTGATGGGAATTTGGGTAGATTTCACATCCTTGCTACTGTGAATAGTGTTGCAATAAACATATGTGTACATATTTCTTTATAATAGAACCGTTTATATTTCTTTGGGTATATACTCAGTGATAAGATTGCTAACCAGCAGACCCAGGAATGCTTTTTCAGTGACTGGAGGGACATCCCTTTGAAATGTAATCATCCAAAAAAACAGTGCCCCTATCTCCAGGTCTTTGTAGGAGGGTAGGAGCCTAATTTCTGTGGGTGCCAATTAGCAAATACAGGTGGCCTAATTATAGAGAAAAAAATGCAAACTCAGTGATTACTCGGTGTGCTAGATACATGCCATTGATCAGACTCTTCACAAACATCCTCCAGTACTTTGCCACAGCTGACCCCAGCATTTAAAAACTCTTCTCCCTTTGTTTCAATGAAGTTGAGCTCAGACTTAGTTCCGATCTTTCTCTCATGTTAAAATAGCCATGGATAAAGACTTGCTTGCCTGTTAAACTTTGCCCAGTGCAATTTTTGCTTTGAAAATAGGTTAATTTCCTTTTAGGCAAAAGGAGCCATAAATAAAACTTAGCCTAATTCAAAATAAAATAGATCATTTATTTTGTTTCTAATAAAAATCTTTTTCAACTTTTGTAATATTAAATTACATATGTATATGTATGTAGATATACCATATGGATATGTATGTGTGTGTATATATCCATATATATATATTTTACACACTCATATATCCCTTCTATTTATCACTTAATGAAAGTATCAGTGGTGGATTTGCCTTTGAGTATAGTATTGGTATAGTAATACCAATTCAAAAACCATACAATATATATTGTTCAAAGGCAACACCATAGACAATTAAACACAGAATCTGCAATTTTCACTGAAATCAATTAATGGGTTTAAGTGTTGGTGTTTATCCTGGTGCCACAAGATGTAATCAAGAATAAGTTTCACTATAATATGAGGTGTATTCAATATTTATTTGACAAAAATGAAAATATTATATTGGACTATATCCTCAAAGGATTGTTTTTAAATTTAAAGTTCATCTTTCTTAAGAATTATTTCCTGGACATTTATAAATATGATATATTAAGCTGTTTCAATTATTTTTCTAACTAATTATAGTTGACTAATAGCTGAACAAAAAAAGAACCTAATTACACATCAACTCTTAGGGTCTATTATTTCTTAAATCATGGGAGATTTTGATTGCATTTTATCTATCAAGTATGTGCATCATATATACACATACATAAATACATATGTATATATAGTGTAATACATTTAATATATAATACATGTATGATAGATCATATATGTTATACACATGCACACAGAAAAATATGTTTAATATTTTATGTTTACTGAATTTATTCAATATAAAGTTAACTTTCAAACAAACTTGATTTGAAAAATGAAATTGATAAATTTGAATCTAATATTTCTTTATTTAGGTGCCTATGATCTTTATATAATATGTTTAGAAATATGTATTACTCAGAAGCCTATTATCATTAAAAACATTTATAATTTATTTTATAAAAAAATATTAAATTAAACCACACTCTTGAAATACCAGAATGTTGTCCATTGTTTTCAGCCTGTCACACCATCTTCTCAGAAGCAACTATAAAAACCTAAGCAATAATTTAGGATAGAATAGTATTTAATAAGGCTGTAAAAAATAACTTTATAATGTACTCTTAACTCCTTTAAGACATACTGGAATTCTTTGTGATCTGCAAGTCAACTGGTAAAATTTCAGAAATATTCCCTCTCCCTGACTCATACCACTGAAATGTGTCACCGTGTAATTCATCCTTCAGAGATTCAGGACAAGACTCTTAAAATATAAGGGAGAGAGTATTTTAAGAAATTACAGTCTTTGTAAAAATAGCAAAAAAATACTTTTTTAAGCAATAAAATTTTTCACAGTTAAATTACTACAACAAATGACATAAATGCCATTGATTTCCATGACATTTGGATTAGATTTTCAGTGTCTAAAATTGTGGTGAGCTGAATCAATACAGAGTGACGAATAACGTCCCAATAATTACATTCCTTCTTCTTTTTGAGAGGAGAAAGTATGCAACTAATGCAAACACCAAAACTGGTGTACACAGTTTGTATTAGTTAAGTGTTTTTGGCTATAAGCAATAAAAAACACATCTAACATTTTTTTTTTTTTTAGATTGGGATATTTGAAACATTACTGGAACAAATCACACAAGAGGAAGGGGATGTACATTAAAATTTAGGAGGTAGCTAATAAGGATCAACTCTCTGGTAGCTCAGCAGTAAGGGCCCTGGAGCCCTTTTATGGATCTCTGACATGTGAAGTGACTCATTTCCAGTGAGCTCAATATTACCGATTACTTTTTTCCACCTGTCTCAAAGACTGGGTAGAGAATCTGATTTGCTTGGTCCCAATGCTTGTTTAATCTCTATTCTTGGAATAACAGTAACAGACAAGGCAATCTGATAGTTATGTTGCAGACATGTTCAGAAGCAGCTAGTCTCTCTCTCTCCACACACATCCATACACACATACACACACACACACACACACACGCTTGTTTATTTATTTGTCTTTCTCAGAGAGGGAAAAAACAGCTGTGACTTAAGAAGCTTCAAATGTATTTTCTACACAGTGAAAACTGGTATTTAATTAGCTTTGTTCTACTTTGTGAGGATAAAGGATAGTACAACTCATGTACCCTATTAGATAAAAACCTCTAGGCAATGCTCACTACCTTGCCTTAAACTTGTTTTCCTTTTTTGATGATTTCTGAAATATATTTAAAAGAAAAAACATATAGTTAAATTTAACCTGAAAACATTCGTTTTAATACATAGGAAATATATGAATAACTGAAAAAATCCTTTAAAAAGGCAAATGCTAATAAATATAATGGATGGACCCTGTGGTAATGTTGATACTTCCAGATGGGGAAATTTAAGTGTATGATGATAATCTAATAAAATGATACTCTAAACTTGGTTTGTGTTATAGCAGTGGGAAGAAAAGTGTAACAAAAAGGCTAATGAACAGTACATTAAACCACTTAACTTTGAGTATTTACATAAGTGGAAATATTTGTGGATGTTCAGTAAACTGTAAAAAGAAATTGTAAAACTTGTATTTAATAGGAAAAACTAAACTTCATATGACAGAAGCATTATATGCAATTGTGTCAATTAGAAAATACAAACCAGCAAATTTAAAAAATGTGTAACTCTTCTTTAAAATCTCTTGTCTCGTTTTAGTCTTCCAATCTGTTTCCATTCTCCCTTTCCCTCCCCTCCCATGTTCTCCCCTCCCTCCCACCCCCCAACCTAAATCATACTGATGATTGTAAGGCTTACATGCACTTATGCAGAATGATCATCTTTCAAATCTTCTGGTGATTATTGGTGGTTTAATTTAGGTTGTTGTACTTTGCTACTCCCTTTTCCTTGTCACCTGGAAGTTATTATATTTCTAAAGGGCTGATGGATTCCATTTAAACAATTTTGGCTAGAATCCAACATAGGTGATATGCACTTTATGATGCACCACATTAGAAGACATAATAACTAATAGACTCATATTCTAGGTGCTAAGATTGGCCATTGAATTGGCATGATTATATTTTGCTTCTTCTACTTTAAAGTTATTTGCAAGTAGAAAGTATAATGTGTAATGATATTTTGGCATTAAATGACCATTCGGTTTCTTATCAACCACTCTCATCTAATGTTTTAAAACCATTAAATATGCTTGCCTAAATAAATGCCTTATCAGGATTGTAAAAGGAATTGTTGTATTTGTTTAATTGTGTCATTTCTTTCATGTAGATTAGCCTACTTCTATACACTGTAAATCATCCTCATCAAGTAAAATATTAGGTTATCCTAGAATATTGTCACCAATGGAAAGAAGACACTTGTTTATTTTTTCCCTTATCAGATTTCAAATAAAGCAATTGTATGAACAGCCTTTAAATGTGACATAAATGGTATATTTTTTAGAACCGAAGACAAAAACATTGTTTACTAATTGGTGACAATACTTTTTCACTAATTTGGGGTCTAGAATTGAGAAATGCTCTACTGTGGGAAGTTCAAATTAATGGTGCAGTTTCTCTTCATTTACATACTAACAAGATATATACATTGACATAGCTATTGCTTTTGATGTAGCTATATATTTTATAAATAAGAAAATAAGTTTTCATACCACAAAATACTTAATTAGAGGTTGTCCATGGTCTTATGAAACAATTTTACAGGCTTTAAATTATCATTCTATTTTAACTTATCTGTGGATGAATGCAATCTCAATCAAAATCCCAATAACATATTTTGTAGATATCAAAAAAATTGATTCAAAAATTTACATGGAGGGGCAAAAACCTCAGGATAGCCAACTAAGTATTGTAGAAGAACAAAGTTGAAGAACTGATGTTGCCCAACTTCCAGCCTTCCTATAAAGCTGCAGTAATAGGGCAATGTAATATTGGAATAAGAATAGATAAACAGGTCAATGGAGCAGAATAGAGAGCCCAGGTATAGACCTATGTAAATATCATCAACTTATCTTTGACAAACAACAAAGGGAATACAATGAAGAAAATATAGTCTTTTCATAAAATGGTACTGATCAACTGGATATCTATGTGCAAAAAAATTAGTAAATACACAAATATAGACACAGGCCTTATAATAGTCACAAATAAAACCTCAAGATGGATCACAGACTTAAATGTAAAAAAACAAAACTTTAAGACTCATAACCATAGGAGAAAATCTAGATGCCTAAGATTTGGTGAAGACTTTTTAGACACAATCTTGAAGGGACAATACATGAAACAAAGAATTAATATCACGAACTTTATTAAAATTAAAAAATCTTCCTCTTAAAAAGACACTGTCAAGAGAATTAAAAAAATTCATAAACTGGAAGAAAATATTTGCAAAATACATATCTGATAAATAACTATTATCTAAAATATACCAAGAACACTTACAACTCAACAATGTGAAAACAAACAACCTGGTAGCGAGACTGCTTCTCTAGATTCCTCCTCTCTGGGCAGGGCATTTCTGAAAGAAACACAACAGGCCCAGTCAGGGGCTTATAGATAAAACTCCCATCTCCCTGGGACAGAGCACCTGTTGAAAGGGGCGGCAGTGGGCAAAGCTTCAGCAGACTTGAATGTTCCTGCCTGCCAACTCTGAAAAGAGCTGCAGATCTCCCAGCACAGCGCTTGAGCTTTGCTAAGGGACGGACTGCCTCCTTAAGTGGGTCCCTGACCTTCATGCCTCTTGATTGGGAGACACCTCCCAGCAGGGGTCCACAGACACCTCATACAAGAGAGCTCCGGTTGGCATCTGGTGGGTGCCCCTCTGGGAGGAAGCCTCCAGAAAAAGGAACAGGCAGCAATCTTTGCTGTTCTGCAGCCTCCAATGGTGACACCCAGGCAAACAGTGTCTGGAGTGGACCTCCATAAAACTCCAGCAGACCGGCAGCAGAGGGGCCTGACTATTAGAAGGAAAACTAACAAACAGAAAGGAATAGTGTCAACAGCAACAAAAAGGACATCCACTCAGAGACCCAATCCGAAGATCACCAACATCAAAGACCAAAGGTAGATAAATCCATGAAGATAGGGAGAAACCAGCGCAAAAAGGCTGAAAATTGCAGAAACCAGAACACCTCTTCTCCTCCAAAGGAACACATCCTCATCAGCAAGAGAACAAAACTAGACAGAGAATGAGTTTGACAAATGGACAGAAGTAGGCTTCAGAAGGTGGGTAATAACAAACTCCAAGCTAAAGGAGCATGTTCTAACACAATGCAAGGAAGATAATAACCTTGAAAAAAGGTTAGATGAATTGCTAACTAGAATTACCAGTTTAGAGAAGAACATAAATGACCTGATGGAGCTGAAAAACACAGCATGAGAACTTTGTGAAGCATACACAAGTATCAATAGCCAATAGCCAAATCAATCAAGTGAAAGAAAGGATATCAGAGATTGAAGATCTTAATTAAATAAAGTGAGAAAACAAGATTAGAGAAAAAAGAATGAAAAGGAATAAACAAAGCCTCCAAGAAATATGGGACTATGTGAAAAGACCAAACCTACATTTGATTAGTGTACCTGACAGTGATGGGCAGAATGGAACCAAGTTGGAAAACACTCTTCAGGATATTATCCAGGAGAACTTCCCCAACCTAGCAAGATCAACATTCAAATTCGGAAAATACACAGAACATCACAAAGATACTCCTCAAGAAGAGCAACCCCAAGACACATAATCATCAGATTCACCAAGGTTGAAATGAAGGAAAAAAATACTAAGAAAGGTTGGGTTACCCACAAAGGGAAGCCCATAAGACTAACAGCAGATCTCTTGGCAGAAACCTACAAGCCAGAAGGGAGATGGGGCCAATATTCAACATTCTTAAAGAGAAGAATTTTCAACCCAGAATTTCATATCCAGCCAAACTAAGCTTCATAAGTGAAGGAGAAATAAAATCCTTTACAGACAAGGAAATGCTGAGAGATTTTTGTCACCACCAGGCCTGCCTTACAAGAGCTCCTGAAGGAAGCACTAAACATGGAAAGGAAAAATCAGTACCAGCAACAACAAACCAAATTGTAAAGGCCATTGACACTATGAAGAAACTGAATCAACAAACAGGCAAAATAATCAGCTAGAATCATAATGACAGGATCAAATTCACACATAACAATATTAACCTAAAATGTAAATGGGCTAAATGCCCCAATTAAAAGACACACAGACTGAAAATTAGATAAAGAGTCAAGATCCATTGGTGTGCTGTATTCAGGAGACCCATCTCACGTGCAAAGACACATGTAGGCTCAAAATAAAGGGATGGAGAAATATTTACCAAGCCAGTGGAAAGAAAAAAAAAAAAAGGGGGAGTTGCAATCCTGGTCTCTAATAAAACAGACTTTAAACCAACAAAGATCAAAAGAGATAAAGAAGGGTATTACATAATGGTAAAGGGATCAATGCAACAAGAAGAGCTAACTATCCTAAATATATATGCACCCAATATAGGAGCACCCAGATTCATAAAGCAAGTTCTTAGAGACCTACAAAGAGACTTAGACTCCCACACAATAATAGTGGGAGATTTTAACACCTCACTGTCAATATTGGACAGATCAACGAGACAGAAAATTAACAAGGATATTCAGGACTTGAACTCAGCTCTGGACCAAGTGGACCTAATAGACATCTACAGAACTCTCCACCCCAAATCAACAGAATGTACATTCTTCTCAGCACTCATCGCACTTATTCTAAAATTGACCACATAATTGGAAGCAAAACACTCCTCGGCAAATGCAAAAAAAACAGAAATTATAACAAACAGTCTCTCAGACCACAGTACAATCAAATTAGAACTCAGGATTAAGAAACTCACTCAAAACCACACAACTACATGAAAACTGAAAAACCTGCTCCTGACTGACTACTGGGTAAATAACGAAATAAAGGCAGATATAAATAAGTTATTTGAAACCAATGAGAACAAAGACACAATGTACCAGAATCTCTGGAACACAGCTAAAGCAGTGTTTAGAGGGAAATTTATAGCACTAAATGACCACAAGAGAAAGCAGGAAAGATATAAAATCAACACCCTAACATCAAAATTAAAAGAACTAGAGAAGCAAGAGCCAACAAATTCAAAAGCTAGCAGAAGACAAGAAATAACTATGATCAGAGCAGAACTGAAAGAGATAGAGACACAAAAAAACCTTCAAAAAAAATCAATGAATCCAGGAGCTGGTTTTTTGAAAAGGTCAACAAAATAGATAGACCTCTAGCCAGACTAATAAAATAGAAAAGAGAGAAGAATCAAATAGACCCACTAAAAAATGATAAAGAAGATATCACTACTGAAATCCAAATTGCCATCAGAGAATATTATGAACAACTCTATGCAAATAAACCAGAAAATCTACAAGAAATGGATACATTCCTGGACACATACACCATCCCAAGTCTAAACCAGGAAGAAGTCAAATCCCTGAATAGACCAATAACAAGTTATCAGATTGAGGCAGTAATTAATAGCCTACCAACCAAAAAAATCCAGGACCAGACAGATTCAGAGCCAAATTCTACCAGAGGTACAAAGAGGTGCTAGTACCATTCCTTCTGAAACTATTCCAAACAATAGAAAAAGAGGGAATTCTCTCTAACTCATTTTATGAGGCCAGAATCATCCTGATACCAAAACCTGACAGAGACAGACACAAAAAAGAAAATTTCAGGCCAGTATCTCTGATGAACATCGATGTGAAAATCCTCAATATAATACTGGCAAACCAAATCCAGCAGCACATCAAAAAGCTTACCCACCACGATCAAGTCAGCTTCATCCCTGGGATGCAAGGCTGGTTCAACATAGGCAAATCAATAAAGGTAATCTATCACATTAACAGAGTAAATGACAAAAACCACATCATTATCTCAATAGATGAAGAAAAGGCCTTTGATAAAATTCAACAGCCCTTCATGCTAAAAACTCTCAATAAACGAGGTATTAATGGAACGTATCTCAAAAAAAAATAAGAGCTATTTATGACAAACCCACAGCCAATATCATACTGAATGGGCAAAAACTGAAAGCATTCCCTTTGAAAACTGGCACAAAATAAGGATGCCCTCTCTCACCATTCCTATTCAACATACTATTGCAAGTTCTGGCCATGGCAATCAGGCAAGAGAAAGAAATAAAGCACATTAAAATTGGAAGAGAGGAAATCAAATTATCTCTTTTTACAGATGACATGATTGTATATTTAGAAAACCCAATCATCTCAGCCCCAAATCTCCTTAAGCTGATAAGCAACTTCAACAAAATCTCAGGATACAAAATCAATGTGCAAAAATCACAAGCATTCCTATACACCAAAAATAGACAAACAGAGAGGCAAATCACAAGTGAACTCCCATTCACAATTACTACAAAGAGAATAAAACACCTAGGAATACAACTTACAAGGAATGTGAAGGACATTTTCAAGGAGAACTACAAACCACTGTTCAAAGAAATGAGAGGACACAAACAAATGGAAAAACATTCCATGCTCATGGATAGGAAGAATCAATATCGTGAAAATGGCCGTACTGCTCAAAGTAATTTATAGATTCAATGCTATCCCCATCAAGCTATATTGACTTTCTTCACAGAATTAGAAAAAACTACCTTAAATTTCATATGGAACACAAAAAGAGCCCATACATATAGCCAAGACAATTCTAAGCAAAAAGAACAAAGCTGGAGGCATCACACTGTGTGACTTCAAACTATATTACGAGGCTACAGTAACCAAAACAGCTTGGTACTGGTACCAAAACAGATATATAGACCAATGGAACAGAACAGAGGCCTCAGAAATAACACCACACATCTACAACCATCTGATATTTGACAAACCTGACAAAAACAAGCAATGGGAAAAGGATTCCCTATTTAATAAGTGGTGTTGGGAAAACTGGCTAGCTGTATGCAGAAAACTGAATTTGGACCCCTTCCTTACACCTTATACAAAAATTAACTCAAGATAAATTATGTTTAGGTCTTAAATGTAAGACCTAAAACCATAAAAAAATCCTAGAAGAAAACCTAGTCAATACCGTTCAGGACATTGGCATGGGCAAAGACTTCATAACTAAAACAACAAAAGCAATGGCAACAAAAGCCAAAATTGACAAATGGGATCAAATTAAACTAAAGAGCCTCTGCACTGCAAAAGACGCTATCATCAGAGTGAACAGGCAACCTACACAATGGGAGAAAATTTTTGCAATCTATCCATCTGACAAAGGACTATTTTCAGGAATGTACAAAAACTAAACAAATTTACAAGAAACAAACAACCCCACCAAAAAGTGGGCAAAGGATACGAACAGACAAGAAGACATTTATGCAGCCAAAAAACATATGAAAAAAAGCTCAACATCACTAGTCATTGGAGAAATGCCAATCAAAACCACAATGTGATACCATCTCATGCTGTTAGAATGGCGATCATTAAAAAGTCAGGAAACAGCAGATGCTGGTGAGGATGTGGAGAAATAGGAATGCTTTTACATTGTTGGTGGGAGTGTAAATTACTTCAACCATTGTGGAAGACACTGTGGCGATTCCTCAAGGATCCAGAACCAGAAGTACCATTTGACCCAGCAATCCCATAACTGGGTATATACCCAAAGGATTATAAATCATTCTACTACAAAGACACATGCCCACGTATGTTTATTGTGACACTGTTCACAATAGGAAGGACTTGGAACCAACCCAAATGCCCATCAATGATCGAGTGGATAAAGAAAATGTGGTACATATACACCGTGGAATACTATGCAGCCATAAAAAAGGATGAGTTCATGTCCTTTGCAGGACATGGATGAAGCTGGAAACCATCATTCTCAGCAAATTAACACAAGAACAGAAAACCAAACACCGCATGTCCTCACTCATAAGTGAGAGTTGAACAATGAGAACACTTGGACACGTGGGTACAGGGAGGGGAACATCACACAGTGGGGCCTGTCAGGGGGTGGGGTCCTAGGGGAGGGGTAGCTTTAGGAGAAATACCTAATGTAGATGTTGGGTTGCTGGATGCAGCCAACCACCGTGTCACGTTTATACCTATGTAACAAACCTGCACATTCTGCACATGTATCCCAGAACTTAAAATATCATTAAAAAATTAAAAAGAAACAAACAACCCAATTAAGAATGGACTAAAGACCTTAACTGTCACCTCACCAAAGAAGATACACAGATGGCAAAAAAAGCATGTGAAAAGATACTGTACGTAATATTTATCATATTTCATTAGGGAAATGCAAAGTAAAACAGCAATAATACACCACTACAAGTCTATTAGAATGGCCATAATTCAGAACACTGACACCTCCAAATGCTGGTGAGGATGCGGAGCAACAGGACCTCTCATTTATTGTTGGTGGCAATGCAAAATGCTACAGCTACTTTAGAAGACAGTTTGGTGGTTTCTTAACAAAACTAAACATAATCTTAGCATATGATTCAGCAACTATACTGCTTGGCATTTATCCTAATGATTTGAAAACTTATGTCCTCACAAAATTCTGCACATGGCTATTTACAGCAGCTTTATTTGTAATTGTCAATAACTTAGAAGCAACCAAGAGCTCTTCAATAGGTGAATGAATAAATAAACTGTGGTACCTCCAAACAATGGATTACTATTTGGTGCTAAAAATAAGTGAACTATTAATTAATACATGAAAAGATATACAATTAATTTAAATGTGTTTCTAAGTGAAAAATCCAGTCTGAAAGACTACATACCATATGATTCCAACCATGTGGCATTCTGGAAAATGTAAAACTACAGACACAGTAAAATGATGAGCAGTTTCCAGGAAATGGGGAAAGGATGTGATGAATAGGTGTGACATAGGGGATTGTTAGAGCAGTGAAAATACTCTGTATGATACTATAATAATGGATACATTTTGTTATACACTTGTCCAAACTCATACAATATACTACACCAAGAGTGAAACCTAATGCAAACTATGGACTTTGGATGATGTGATATTGGAAAAAGAGTAGATAAACAGGTCAATGGAACAGAATAGAGAGCCCAGAAATAGACCTACGTAAATATCATCAACTGATCTTTGACAAACAACAAAGGCAATACATTGAAGAAAAGTCTTTTCAGAAAATGGTACTGATTTGGTTGATGATTTGTCAATGAGACTATCCAGGGGTGGAGCTGAAGGACATATGGGAAATCCCTGCACCTTCCTCTGAATTTTGCTGTGAAATTAAAACTGCTTTAAAAAATAAATTCTTAAAAAATTATTATTCTATATTTATTTTACCAATATTTATAGAAACTTAACCTGAAGAGCACTATTACAGATACCAAAAACTCAGAGGTAGATTCTGCCTTTGAGGTACAAGAAACAACCAAAATTGTATCGTATTATACCCAAATGAAAAAAAGTCATAAAAAGAATAGAAAAATGATTTTCAGAGACATTCTAAGCATACTAGGACGTTTGGTAATTAATTGCATGCTTGAACTTGGAATAGTATATGTACCCCCACATCAATTTGGCATATACCAAAGGACAATTATTTGGCCCTACATGCTCATAAATGAGGAGAAATACATTTGAATATAGAAATTAATATATCTTAAACTTGTGAGTTCCCAAGCATGTTGTACACAGCCTACATAACCACTTTAGTTTTTCTTAATTAAGATGATCTCTATGAAGAGTCACATATGCTGTCACATTCTACTTATAAAACTATATTTGCATATTTCATTAATGAATTAATTGTTAATATCACAAAGGCAAAGAGACTATTTGCTCATACCTGGAGAGAAGAATATCATATATTCTCAACAATTCTTTTCAATTAAATGATTCTTTAGTTATTGTGGGAAAATATTTTTTGAAGTATCTATTTTGTGGTGGTGAGGTTTAAACAGTGAAGATAAAGAATGTTTAAAATGTAAATCTTGCCTTGGAGAAAAAGTTAAAAACAGGATAAATGTTGGCATATCCCTGCTTCTTCTGCTTTATAACTTATTAGAGTAGATGTAGGATAGAAAACAATGAGCTAGAAAGTATTTGGGTTAATTACTGACTTGCAAAATATGTGGAAACATTTAATGATGTAGGTGTTCTACAGCTATTAGCTCAATGAATCAATGAAATACAACAGTGCTGAAAGTAAAAATGTGTTTCTAATGATTACTTTCATGCTTACATTGCATACTCTTTATACCACTGGCAATATTAGATATAGGTAATCATGCAGTCATTTATTTGTTTTCAGACAAAGCCCTGAATCAAGGCCCCTATTCCATGCCCACTTTAACATTCAGGCTGCAGTTTATCTTCTTCTTCTCCTACCTTGAGGTTTTTGTTACCTAGAAGTTACTTCGTATTAACTTTTACCCTCTAATGTGTTCTTCCATATCAATTATGCACCTTATATGTAATATTTATGAGTTAGAATTCAACTGAATACTAATTAAAATGATGATGTTATTTCTATATACTGACCAATCAAATCAGATACTTCTTTAGGTCTATAATTGCTCTTATTTTTTTTAAAGTTCAAATTGGCATTCAGATTTTGTATTAAAACAATAACTTACCAAATCACCTTGGAAATTAGTTTTCAGAAATCACCATTACCTGAACTATCAAATTTGATAGAAAAATATACATTGTTTCATTCTACCCATTCAAGCCTTCTATTCTCATAATTAGCCAAATTGAATACCTACATTATAACTATCCTAATACATTCTGCATTTTCAATGATTGATCAAAGCAACCAAAGGCAGTACAAGGAAATCATGATATTTATTTCCTAGAGATTTCTAGAAATACCACTAACCTAACTAAGGAGGAATATTGGGAACACTGTTTCTGAGTTGCATCCCTAGGCCTGAACAGCCAGGCACTTCCACAGCTGAAGGTTTGGCTTAACTCCACATGCACTAGCCTGATTACTCTGCTACCATCCCCAAATAATAACATTAGAAGAAGAAAGAAGGATCTTTTGTCAACCAGAAAACTGAATCACTTGAGTATGTTTGAAGCTACTTTCAATCTTACCCAAGATGCTATCAGAATATCTGCTTTCAGAATATCTTCTTTCATTAACAAGCCATCTTTTTTTTTTTTTTTTTTTGAGATGGAGTCTCGCTCTGTCGCCCAGGCTGGGGTGCAGTGGTGCGATCTCAGCTCACTGCAACCTCCGCCTCCCAGGTTCAAGTGATTCTCCTGCCTTAGCCTCCTGAGTATCTGGGATTACAGGCTCTTGCCACCACGCCTGGCTAATTTTTGTATTTTTAGTAGAGACGGGGTTTCACCATGTTGACCAGAACAAGCCATCCTTTAAGGGCAAGGCTGCATCAAATGAATTTATCCCTCATCCCTTGAATGAGAGCACTGTATCTCATAGATTAGGCTTCATGGCTGGATCACACCTCGGCTTTCTGATTTCAAGTATTCCTGATACCAACAGTGAACTTTTGCAATGATATCTGCTGACTCCTGGTACCCATCCTGGCCCAAATTACTGCCCACACTTGCTTTGTATTACCTCTCACAGTTCTGGCTGTGCTGTGTCCCATACCAATTCCCTGACAAGCACCCTGCTTCCTGTTAGATCTTAGCACAATACCAGTGTTTATTTTTAGCAGACACCTTATGTTCTTTATGTACAGATTACCTACAGACTGTTTTTCTCACCTTGCCCTTTTGTAACTGATATCATCAGTTAACAAAAAGACAAACTGAGTAGAAATTGAAGTAAGAGTTTTCATGAGGTTTTCTAAACTCATCTATCCTAATCTGATAGAAACTGAATCTATTGACCTTCAAGTGTAAAATACACGTCTTTGGTCTCCTGTTCTTAAAAACTAACCCTTCTTTCAGTTTTTAAATCTGGACTGCTATAGCATTGTTTTCATCGAAGAAAAGTATTATTTTAACAGAGTAACTGAAATCTCTGACTACTTTAAGAATATTCATTTGATAATTTTCTCAAAATAGTCTACAATCTTTTTGTGAAAATTACAATATTTTCATTTTCTTCCAAAGTGCACTTTGAAGAAGTATTTCAGTAGAAACGAATAGTAATGCTATCTTGATCCAGAGACCAGTTACCCATTCCCATGCTTTTTGTAAGTGTTGGAGGGTATGTTAGCCAGAGTGTATATAAATGCTTCTGAAAGTTAGCCTTGCTAAGCACATTTTAGACAGAAATTAAATCTCTAATGTCCTCCTTTGCCTTTAAAATATGTTTTTTTAATTTTTATTTCATCTTTTTATCACTCATGAGAGCTTTACAAGCTTGTTAGAATGGAAAACCAATTAAGTACATTTGGTTGAGTAAATCTGTGTGTGTGTGTGTGTGTGTGTGTGCACATGTATGTGGTTAAAATGTATTCTTCACTTTAAATGGAGTGAAATGTTAACATGGAGTAAAACATAATGTTTATATGCAAATCATGAGAAGATGAAACTTTTATTTCTACATTTTTAAACTGTAAAAGTAACAAGAACTGCACTTAGATACTTTTTAAAGCAACAAAATAATCTTTATAATTAAATGAATCAAAAGTATTGAACATTAATGCCTTATGCTGATATATATTCTCTCTAGAAATACTTAAATCGAGATCCTTTATAATTCCCTATCAAGGAGTTTACTTCAAACACATGAATAGTTTAGAAGATCCAGCAATTGATCACTAACACTCATCAGAATAGAAAGAATTGGGAAACAAAGTTGAAGTGCATGCTGTGTCAGTCTTAGAAAATTAGTAAACTCTAATAGTACAAGTAGTATTGCCTAACCTAGTTGCTTAGAATCAAGTAGGAACCCAGGCATATATATAACAATTCTGACGATATTGTTAATTTTATCTTTACTGTTTGCGTCTACCTATGACTGGGCATTAATAATCTGGCAAAGGAGGTAAGTTATGTTTTCTAGGCAGCAAGCTTGTTCATTGTTGCTAAAGATATAACCTTAGTTTTTTTTTCTCCTTTCGCAAGAGAGACCGACGCTACTCACATTAAGTGTAAATAGATTTTACCTTTGCTTAGTGATTGTATGTAAGCAGAATGTGACTTCCTGGAGACGCTTACCCATTATCCTTTGGTTTAAGTCTAGGAAAGAAATCAGTATAGTGATTGATAAAATTTTTCTTTCTCCTACTTCCAGGAAAAGGGAAAACTATTTCTTAAAGAAGAAAATTAAATGTCTACTTTATAACTTATTCTTTTGATTACAATAATTATATTTGCTTAATATTTTAAGTGTGTTTTTTTATTACAGTTTATATTTGACCTTTATAGATTAACTTATTAAATTTTCTTAACATGTCCCTCAAGGCATGTGAATATAGGCTTAGTGAGTAGTCAATAGAATGCTTTCATCTCTGAGACGCAAGGTATGTCAAAGGCCATATAGGTAGTACTGTGCTTACCACCAAAAAGAGACAAAATATATGTGTAATAAATGTTCCTTGCATAATAAGATGTTAGGAGAATAAAGCCTTCTAATGTTTCAAAATATTCTCTTTATCCCCAAATGGTCTTCTGAATAACTTTAACAATTTTAAAAAGGCACAATTAACAATTCAAAAATAGAATACACCATTCCCCACCCTTATGTCTCAAACATAGTTACTTTCTGGAGAATCCTTATATCCTCTGATTGTAGTACCAGCTGCCTAATCAACCGAACCAGAAATCTGGAAGTCCTTCTTTTTACCTTCCTCCTGCTTATTTTCTACAACAAATTAATATTTGGCTGAATTCACCTCCTGTCTTGTTTTTTATCTCTCTAACCTAATCTGCATTGCCTGTACTTATTTCAAGATAATGTACCATCCCACTTAGAATATTGCGTTGCCTCCACATTGACTTGCTTCTTCATTGTCTTGAACCGCTTCAAACTTTACTTTCATTTTTATAAACAAGTTAGCAATCTAAATCTCAGATTTTACTGCTACTTTTTTACTTCAGAGCCATCAGTGACACCTAATTCCTTTGTAGCACTTATGGCCCTCTCTGGTATAAGCTCTGCCTTCACCCTCAGACACGTTATTTTGCCTTAAGGCATTCTTCTTTTGATAAGTAAAATTCTTCTTCTCCTTAAAGCTCCATCTTTTAGTCAATTCCAAATTGTCAATCAGTAGTCAATTTAAGTTAATTTTCTGGTAATTCTGCATTTGAATTTCCCCAAATTTGGCAACTCTTCTCTCCTTTCCTAAAGAAAGGCTATTATAGTCCTTAACCTAACTGTATTATTTTTAAAGTGATTTTTTCCTGTATATAAATAATTTAATGGATAATAAATACCTAGAAATCAGTAAATTTAACTAATTTCTGGCATACAGTCAACACATAATAATATTGCGTTCAATTATATAACTAATCTAAACAAAAAAATGCAATAATTCTAGTTCCTTTGTAAATTTACAGGTTTACTATTCCTAAGGGTTTTTTTTTTTTCAGTTTTACAGAGGTTCTCAGCATGAATTATGTATGATTATGAATTCGGTATTGTTTAAATAGCAATGTAAAGTTAGATATGGATATAGGTTTAATGGTAAAAGTGTGGATTGGTTTTTGGCTTAAATATAAAAAGGGGAAAGAGATATGTACATATATATGTATGTATATATATACACATGTATACACATATCTATGTGTGTATATATATATTTCATTTATAAAAATGAAAGTAAAGTCTGAAGCAGTTCAAGACAACGAAGAAGCAAGTCAATGTGGAGGCAATGCAATATTCTAAGTGGGATGGTACACATACATAGATACACATATATCTATGTATGTATATATATATATATATATATACCCACATATCTATGTATGTGTATATATATATACACATATAGATGATGTCGATATATATTTGGACTATCTTCATGGCCAGAATAATTATTTTTTGACATCTATAAAAATTAAAACAAATAAAATAGTGAAGAAAATTAACCTCAAGTTAAAATAAAATCTTTATGTACTATATATTCAGTATTTAAATAAATCTATTGCTTAATTAGCAAATCTAGAGTTTTTATTTTTAAAGTCAAAATTTAGTAAGGGATGAGCTTATTATCACAATTCCACAAGGCAATAATTCTCTAACTTCAGTCCAACTGAGGTGTTTAAAAAATTGAAAGATGACCGGGTGCAGTGGCTCAGACCTATAATCCCAGCACTTTGGGAGGCTGAGGCAGGAGGATTACCTGAGGTGAGGAGTTCAAAACCAGACTGGCCAACATGGTGAAACCCCATCTCTACTAAAAATACAAAAATTAGCCAGGCATGCTGGCATGTGCCTGTAATCCTAGCTACTCAGGAGGCTGAAGCAGGAAAATCACTTGAACACAGGAGGCGGAGGTTGCAGTGATCCGAGATGGCGTCATTGCACTCCAGCCTGGGTGACAGAGTGAGACTCCATCTCCTAAATAATAATAATAATAATAATAATAATAATAATAATAATAATTTTCATGGAAATCTAAAATTTCTGTTAAATTTCAAAGTGCACTCTTGGGAATTTTTTTTTTTTTTTTTTTTTTTAGAGACGGAGTCTCGCTCTTTCGCCCAGGCTGGACTGCAGTGGCGGCGCTATCTCGGCTCACTGCAAGTTCCGCCTCCCGAGTTCATGCCATTCTCCTGCTCAGCCTCCCGAGTAGCTGGGATTACAGGCGCCCACCACCGCGCCCAGCTAATTTTTTGTATTTGTAGTAGAGACGGGGTTTCACCGTGTTAGCCAAGATGGTCTCGATCTCCTGACCTCGTTATCCGCCTGCCTCGGCCTCCCAAAGTGCTGGGATTACAGGCGTGAGCCACCGTGCCCAGCCCACTCTTGATAAGTTTTAAGGATTTGCAGGGATGCTTGTGTTTGTTTAAAAAATTCAGTATGTTCATTCAACAAAATTGGCTTATTACCTCGAGGAATATTATAAACACTGAGATAGTCGTCAATTTATGGTGGCTTGACTTATGATTTTTTGACTTTATGATGGTGCAAAAGCGATACGCATTCAGTAGAAACAGTTCTTCAACTTTTGAATTTTGATCTTTCTTCAGGCTATTCATATGCAGTAGAATACTCTTTTGTGATTCTGGGCAGCAGCTCCCTGTCAGCTACCCGATGAGAAGGATAAGCAACAGATGCTTGACAGTGCACTGTGTTGCCAGATGCTTTTCCCCAACTGTAGGCTAATGTAAGTGCTCTGAGTACGTTTAAGGTGGGCCAGGCCAAGCTATGACATTTGGTAGGTTAGGTGTATTAAATGCATTTCAACTTAAATTTTTTTCAGTTTTTGATGGGTTTATAGGAATGTAACCCCATCATAAGTTGAGGAGCATCTGTATTTTTACTGCTGTTTCATTTACTTGAACATTTTGTTTCAGTGTTTCTACCAAGAAATTTCTTAATAAGAAAGCATGTAAAACAATTTTTGAAAACAAAACTCACTATGCTTATTGGCACAATTTTGAATGACGGTTAATTTCTGAATTGGCGACAAATACTTCTGTTTTATGTGCTCTAGCATTTTTTCAATTGCTGATGATATGATTGGAGAACACAGATGTGCCTAAATATTAATAATAACAGTTACTGCATATTCAGAGAGTGTGTGCATAATTTGGTAGAGCTTAATTGCAATACGGAACATATAACCATTTGTTTATCTATGAAAACCAAATAATATCTGTTCAGAGAAGCATTTCATTAGCTTGCTTGGCAGTGCTTTTAGAACGAATCAATGCCAGATGTGGACACAAAGGAGAGAAGTGGGAATTAAACCAAGGAAATTCTTGGCTACTGTAAACTCTTCATTTGTGCCTAAGGATATTTGCTTGCTGTGCTTTTAGTTTTTAATATATACAATTTTTTTTCTCCAGATATTTTCATACACTAGAAAAATTATTTTTATTCTAAATACTGCATCCTAGAAAATAAAATCTGCTTTTGAGATAGTTTCTCTCATGTGAAATAATGATATCATGGCATGAGATGAGGTAATGCATAATGAACTTTACTTCATGATATTTATTTATCATTTCATATTGTTTCTCTTTATTTGGGATTATATATGTTAAATTTTTTGAGAAAAAGCCCAAGGTATAAACTTATTGTTAATTTAGCCTATAAAAATTTCTCCTAATTTTTATCTGTGACATTCGTTTGCTTTGAATGGAAAGAATATATGAATCTGCATAAATTAAATTACAAATACATCTATCCCTTGTCACAAGATACTCAAGTATATATTTCTTTAATAAATATACAGTAAAACTTGATAGGCATACAGAAGTCATGATATAGATAATGATAAATTTAATAGTCTTATTCAACACCTACAAAGATGAGACAGTAATATTTTAATATTTCAAATAAATGATATTTAGTCATTATTGATTTGCATTATTTTATAAGTTCAACCTAAATGAATACATTTAAAAACCCATTCACAAAATTATCACATTTTAATACAAATTTAAATTGGCAATTAATATGGAGCAATAACTTTTATACATGAATGTAAAGCAGAATAATGGAGTATTTTTGAAAAACATAAACTTTCTGCCTCCCTCAACAACTACTGAATCACAATATTTGAAAGTTAGAGATTCACAATATGTGTATTGAAGCCCCCTTAGCTGATTTTCTTTGCATTGTACAATAGATCAATCCTATTCTCTGATTAAATGGGTATATTTGTTGACCCTTATTTACACACCTCTAATGTACTCCAGGTTTTTTTCTTAATTTCAAATGATTCTATGCCTTATAAATGTTGTTAGAGTCTTCAGAGGGCTTTCCTTCACTACAACATAAATATAAATAGCATAAGTTAAAAATAATAACTCTAGTATCTCAAAAGAAGTAAAATAAATGATAAAGGTAACAAATAACAAGTCTAATACCTGAATAGAAGTAAAATAAATGAATATTATCTTTTAATATATTTTAGCTATGCAGAGTGACATGGGTGTGTATGTATGTGTGTGTATCTGTGTGTGTATTTGTGCAGCAGATTTTTCTATCCACTTGAAGATGTACAATTTTGACACATCATTGAAAGTTGCATTAAATCTCTATTATATTATTTTATATTACATTGTCTAATCGTGTTAAATGGGCATCTATTTGTGGCACAAAAATGAAATAATTGTACCAAATTACAGTTGCATAATGTTTCTTAAGTCATTCTTTCCAGAGCATGTTTTAAAGCAAGCAGATGCATTAAAACTTCCAAAACACCTTAGCTATGACTGAAATTAGCTACAATACTTTTAATGAAAAAGTTCGAAGTATATTTTCATAATTTAAAAATAAAACGATAGCATGATTCATTCTGTGCCAGGGTAGTACTGATAAGGTGCATTTGAGTTGAAAATCTCATGCATAGTTAGTACAAGTCACATCAGGAGTATCCGTCTCTCTGAGCATCAGCTGTTCTCATGCCTGGATTATCATGGATCAGATCTTCCTGCAAACAGCACTGCAAGATTGATGAGGCAAAATGAAACAGCTGAAGTATGCAGATGTTAAAACAGGCAGCAACACCCCAGTATGCTTCCTATTAATATAAGAAAAATCTAGTACCTTTTGATAAATTTTTCATTTGAGATACTGTATTTGTTGTTGATCAGCTGGGTCAATCAAAATATGTGGTGCTGCCATTATTTGTTACTGTAACTAAATTCAAAATTTAATTATAAATTAAGATACTATTTAATTTTATTTCTTGTGAGATTTTCTCATTTCGAAATAAAAAATTATTGAAAAGAGTTCTGATCTTTTATTAGTATGAATATAGTCAATGGCTGAGAATAATATCTTATAGTCCCCAACAGGCAGAACATCATCTTTAGCCCACTCCTCATTCTTCTATTCCATAGTAAGGACATAGAATAAGCTAGAGGCAGAATTTTATATCTTTACTAAATGTAACATAAGTTTTTCTTTTGAATTTCCATGAATCAAGTTATGGTTTGGTTGTGTCCCCACCCAAATCTCATCTTGAATTGAATTGTAACTCCCACAATTCCCACGTGTCATGAGAGGAAACTGGTGGGAAGTGATTGAATTACTGGGGGTGGGGTCTGTTGGCTGCACTGTTCTTGTGATAGTGAATGAGTCTTACAAGATCTGATGGTTTTTTTTTCAGATAGGGTCTCACTCTGCTGCCCAGGCTGGAATGCAGTGGCGCGATCTCAGCTCACTGCAAGCTCCACCTCCTGGGTTCACGCCATTCTCCCGCCTCAGCCTCCTGAGTAGCTGGGACAGGTGCCCACCACCACGCCTAGCTAATTTTGTTTTTGTGTTTTTAGTAGAGACAGGGTTTCACCGTGCTAGCCAAGATGGTCTGGATCTCCTAACCTCGTGATCTGCCTGCCTCAGGTCATTCTCAACTTCTGAAGGCTATCTTCATTTCTTGGCTTGTGGTACCATCTATCTTCAAAACAAAAAAGGATGTGTTAAATCCTCATGTTTTGAATCTCTCTTAATGTTGGAGGTGGGGCCAGGTGGAGGGTGTTTGTGTCATGGTATGGATAGATTCCTCATGGCTTGGTGCTGTCCTCATGATGCCGAATGTATTATCATGAGATCTGGTTGCTGTGAAGTGTGGCATCTCCCCACTCCACTCTCTCTCTCTGCTTCTGTTTTTCCATGTGTCATGCCTGCACACCGTTTTACTTCTTCCATGATTGTAAGCTTCCTGAGCCCTGTCCAAAAGCCAATCTGATGTCGGCACCCTGCTTCCTGGAAAGCCTGCAGAACTGTGAGTCAATTAAAGCTCTTGTCTTCATAAATTAAACAGTCTCAGGTATTTCTTTACAGCAATGCAAGAATGGCCTAACACATATGCTATAATATTTTGTATAATATACAAAACCTTTCTTGACATTGTGTCTTGATCCTACAATACCAAAACCATCTGAGTGACCTTTAAATAAATCCTTTCCATGAAGTCAATTATACTCACTTACTTTACTTCCTCGCCTTCCACTACCTCTCACTCTGTTCTGGAAATACTTTCATTTCTACTACTCCAATTAAAATTGTCTTAAGTAAACCAAAGAATCTGTTTTGTAAAACCCATACATCACTGCTAAGGTCTCATTTTAATCTCAGCATCATTTAACACAATCGTTGACTTTATTCATCTTAAAAGGTGTCCTTTACTTGACTTCCAGAATCCTGTATTTTCCTTATTTATTGCTATTTCATTAGTCACTTATTCTAAGTATACTTTATTGGATCTCTCTTTTATTTTTTATGTCACAATGTTCAAGTCCCCTAAAACTTGTTTTGCGGATTTTCAACATTTATTATAATCATTATCACATGAAAGGTGGTATATAGTGATTTAGTGCATGTGATCTGCAGGCTTGATGATTCAAGCTTGATTACTTATTAGCAGGTAACCCTGGACAAGATATTTAATCTCTCTGAACATATTTTTAAAATTTTTTTAAGTGAAGACAGTAATAATGTCTACTTCTTAGGGTTGCTGTTTGAAATAAGTGAATAATTTTTTAAAAATTATTTTAAAAAATTAGTAATAGCTAGTATGGACGTTAGTTACTGTTATTAAGATACTTTCTGAGGCGGGGCATAGTGGTTCACATATGTAATCCCAGAGCTTTGAGAGGCCAAGGTGGGAGGATTGCTTGAGGCTGGAAGATCAAGATCACCCTAGGCAACTTAGTGAAACTCTGTCTCTCCAATAAATTGAAAAAGAGAAAAAAATATCCAGGCATGATTGCACATTCCTGTAGCCCCAGCTACTCTGGAGACAGAGGTGGGAGGATAGCTTGAGCCCAGGAGTTCGAGGCTGCTGTGAACTATGATTGTATCTCTGCATTCCAGCCTGTGCAACACAGCAATACCTTATCTCTACTAAAGAAAAAAAAAAAATAAGATGTTTTCTGGTCTTGTAACTCTATTCACCATTAATCTGCTCACAAGGTCAAAGTTTTTATCTCCAGTATAAACCTCATTCCTTGGCTTCCAGTCTCACATTACTTATTTAGGAGACATCTCAAATTTTACATTTCTATAAAAGAAATATTTTTTTACTTCAAAAAATGTCAAATTGTCTCAATATTTCTTATCATTAAATAGCACCCACATTCATACAGTTGTTCTGGCAAAAATATGTTTATCACTATGAAGAACCAAGAGTATCTACTTTAGGGCAGGAAGGTGACTAGAATCTACTACCTTAAGGCATTTCTACTAAGTTCAACTTCTCTAAGAATCTCTCTTTTTTTTTCTGTGTTAAGACTGTGTATCCCTTCACAATAGACCATCTCACCCTCCCTCACATATTCATTAACATTATACACTATAAAGACACTGGGGAGAGATGAAACATATCATAAAGACAACCCTGCTAATTCTTCTCTTCAGAAATGAAAATGCAATAAGAAATAGAAGAGAGATTAAAAAAATTATAACTTATTATCTCATCAGCCCTGAACAGTCAAAGCCAGTAAACTGGAAATTGGAAAAATATATGTTGTTGATCATGTTACTCTTTGGAAGCTGAAGCTCTTACTAGGTCTCAAGGTCTATGCCAAAGTTTTCCACAAAGCTCTTGGCTGACATTCACATGCTTCAAAGCTAAACCTTTCTCTGATGAAGAAAAAACATTGAGTTGGCACTCAATCCACACCCCCATCTGCTCCTGCCTTTTCCAGCTGCTTCCCTTATGGTCCATGGATTGGGAAGAGGCATAAGGGTCTAATTTAACTGAAATGGGAGTGGTAGCTCCTTCCTGGGCATGCTGTTTCTATTACATCATGAATTTAAATTCCTGACTGGAAACCTGTGGAATTTTTATTAGTTCTCTTCTGACTATTGACAATCTAAGGTATGGACCTTAGATCAGATTCACATAGAAAAAATTCAGTGAGTTTATGAAAAATTTGAGTTGCCCTAGAGGTGACTTTATTAAGTTTTCTTTCTTTGCAATATAGACTAAAGCAAAATTCAATAAACATTATTGAATATCTACTATGAGGAAGGCAGGCAGCCATTTATTAATCTAGAATATTTATTTGCTAATTCACATATTATAGAGAGGTATCCAATGAATAATCACATACTAGTAAGAGTGTTTAGGGAGCTGCTATTCACAAATCTATGTGCTTAATCAGATCACTTTTCTAACAGTGTCAGGGGAATTGGAGATTTAATGATGGCAGTGGGGTGAATAATTAACATGGGAGTGTGAAACACTTGAGCAGAGATATGATTTGTTTGTAACTTTGGATTACATTGAATTTCCAGAGTTTTTCATTGTCAGTCTAGGCATGAGGAATGGAGACATGGGGAGAGATCAGAGGGCAAAGTTAAAGAATTGTGGAGAAGAGATCTTTAATTATTCTAAGATTTCACTTAGTTTAGCTAGGGCTTGTCTCATCCAACACAATTGTCATGTAGCTCTTCACTAGCCTTAGCCTTTCATTTTGTCCTCTGAACTATTGAATTATTCAGGGGAAATGAGACAAGAGTTAAAAAGCAAGCAATTTGATCCTATAAGATGAGATGATGAATAACAAAATCAAGAATATAGGTCTAAAGTAATTACCTAGAAAAGCGCATTAAAATATATCCGGGTGATGTGATATGTCAAGCATAGTTATCACAAGCCTGTAAGTAACATGCAAGACTTCATAGAAACTTCACGGGTGTCTTAGGCTGTCTCTGGTTTCATAAATGGGTTCAATCACACAATTAGGACAGTGTTTCTTGTTAACATTTCTTAATATAACTTGTCTTCTAAGAAAAGTATCATATCAATTCAGGAACATCTGAATATGGATTAAAACCAGACAGGCAGATAAGCCCTGAGATGTGGGGAAAGGGGGATGCCAAATATGAAACATAGATATCTCACCCTAAATGAAGTGGAAATGATGAAAAACTCATTTTGCAAGTTACTTAACCCTTGTGACTGAAAATGGAACCAGACCCCATGTTAAGATATTTGAGATATCTCTGCACTATTATGTCAAATGCCTCCCTTCATATAACATCAAATATATACATCCATATTTATAATAAATCCACTTTATCTCTAAATATGTGCATACTGATGCAGTTGATTAGTCTATATAACATTGCATTTTATAAACATGCATGAGCTTTGATTAGTCGATCTTTCTATGACTAGAACTTCATTTTCAGAAGTCCCAGAAAGCTGTTAGGGCTTGAGCTCTGCCTACAGTGCTTAACTGCTAAACCAGCTATCTATGAATGGGACATTGGATGAATTCAGAAATACTTGGGAGAGATTTTTGAAAAATTGCCATGCCATAACAGTATATATTTGTCAAATAATTTTATTCAACTCTTAGTTTCTATGAAATATTTCCTCTTGTTAAAATACTCACGTAATTATCCCAATACCTGGATTTCCTTCCCTTCTTTACTCACACAGTGTATAAAGTTGTTGACACTACAGCTGATCTAAGAAAAGGGCAGGGACAATTACTTATTTTTATTCTTAGTTTTAGTTTTGAGACAGAATCTCACTCTGTCACCCAGCCTGGAGTGCAGTGATGCGATCTCGGCTCACTGCAACCTCCGCCTCCCGGGTTCACGCCATTCTCCTGCCTCTGCCTCCAAAGTAGCTGGGACTACAGGCACCCGCCACCAAGTCTGGCTAATTTTTTGTATTTTTAGTGGAAATGGGGTTTCACCATGTTAGCCAGGATGGTCTCGATCTCCTGACCTTATGATCCGAAGGCAGGGACAATTACTAAGAGATGAGTGTATAAGTCAATGACTGAGTAGCTCAATTATCTTGCAAATTATGTAGTAATTATATCTCAAAATGTTTTTTTGCAAACTGTCATTTTTCTTTAAATATCTTTTCTTATATTCTTGATACTGCTCTTTTTACCTTTAAAAGTGGTTTATCATGCTTCAGAAATAATTTAAAAGGTAGATTCCATGGTGATTTGAAGCTAGGGTAATCAAAGCAAAACATGTAATACCACAGCGTATGAGTGACAAGAGCGACTCTATTGGACCATAGTCTCCCTCTATAATTGTAAGGCTATTGTCCTAAGAAAACTGAGTTCAAGTATGTTTAATTTCATTTCCTGCCACGTCCAGCCCACCAACAGTAAAACAATAAATCACATGTGTACTCTTTTTATTTCATAATCTTATTTCACAGATATAAAAATGGCCATCAATAAACCTTGTTAATATTACATATATAATATACCAAACAACGTAGTTCATGTATAGCATAAATAAGTACATTATCTTTCAGAAGTTATGCACACCATTACCATGGATGCTATTAGAAAGCATACTGGGTAAATAAAACAATTATTGGAATAACTGATAATTGGTTCATCTACTCTAAGGCTGAAGTTCATCAATTTATCTCTAACCTCAATACAGCAAATGGGAAGCTCTGACATTAGATATAGCTAAGAATTACATGAGCTTGCATAGTGCTTCTGATAGAAACATGCATTAATATAATAAATCCTTAAAATACAGTCCTCTATGGCACTTCATTTCTGAATTCATGTTTCTAAGTAAAATCAACTAGACATGAATGAAGAAGAAATCAATATGGCTCAGAATCAAGTAAACATCATTTGCCTAAAAACTATCACCACTGTTATAATTGTACATTAATTATGCAAAGAAATGAATAACACACATCCTAACTTTACCAATCCAAACTTGTACTTTTTTATGAAGTAGTTTACTTACACATGTTAAACAAGATTCACAAATGAAAACTCTGTATGTCTAATTTTAGCATGTATAGCATTACCTGGGGATCTTGTTAAAATGTAGAATTTGATTCAGTAGATTTGGGATGGGGCCCAAGATTCTGCATTTTTAACAAGCACTTAGGTGATCATGGTGCTGCTGCCCTGAAAATCCAGTTTTTGCAGCAGGGAACTGAAGCATTCCACCTATGTATTTTGAATACATAAAGCTACTGTTTATGAAAATTTACCAACAATGAAAGTACAAAATGAATAAACTGGAAATATCAACAAGATATTTAAAATATGTCTAAATGTCATTACAAAATTCTATATATTCATAAACACATCTCTATCTATATGTCTATCTATCTACCTATCTATCTATACAATGCTAGTGAGTTTTCTTTCAAAAAGCTATTTTAGCATCCTCTAAGTTTTTCTCAATTGAGAAATTACCAAAGAATAAATAATCATGATTATGTATGCTACTTTCATGTAATAATATTGCCGCAATAGATAGTAAGCTATCTTTTCTAATGAATAATAATATAGGATTAATTTAATAGATATAAGATGAATTATCTTTAAATAATAATCATTTCCCAAGAGAAACAAAAAATAATTCATAATCTTCTGAAATATTTTAGCAGCTTAAATATACAAAATTTCAGTTATTTGAAATGACAAAATAAAATAACTCTAGTGATATAAGATAAGACTATTTCTAATAATCTTCTGAATAAAATAATTCCACCAGCTATATAAGATGCATGAGTGTTATGAGCAATATACTAATGCACACACATTCCTTTCTACATTTATAGATACTTACAGATAATTTGTATATATTATTTGTAGACTATTTCTATTTTTTGAATTTTATATGTTGTTTTGGTATATGATGTACAAATGTGTAGAACTGTTTCATCATAGAGGATTATTTATATCATAATAGTGCCATCATGCTGGCTGCAGCAGGGAGCCATGGCTGGGGCATCATGCTTCATGGAGCAGGCGGGAGACCCCCATCCTGGGCACAGTTGCAGCTATCCAGATCACAGCTGCAGACTTCGGCCTCCAGCTCCACAGAGCATGCAGGACCCCCACCTACCCAGGTGCAGCTGCAAGCAAATAGAGGCTGTGGACCCAGGCAACCCTTCCCTACTGGGGGCCCAGGAAGGTCCCCCTGCCTTTGCAGGCTCGGAAATGCCTGCTCCTGCTGCCTGGCTTCTCTCTGCTGTCGGCGCCTCACCAGCTCCGATCTTGGAGCAAAGTCAGGGCCAAGCCCAGGCACCATGAATGGCAGTAGGAGGCAGACAGCTTCCTGGGGAGAAAGGGGCAGGTCCCCAGTGAGGCCCCACCTTCAGGCTGGGGAGGACCTGATGGCTGTGGGGTGGGCTTCCAGTCCCACAGACTAGAGTGGGAACTTGTGGTGTCTTTTCTGGGCCCATCAATGGCCACCCATGGACCTATGGGTGCACACTTCCTCCCCTCTGAGGCCCATAAAAGCCCCAGGATCAGTCAGAGCTAAGCAGATGTCTGGACAACCAACTGCGGAGAGGAGATACCCTTTCTGCTGAGAGCTGCAGAGATGATGGGATGACCTGCCTGCAGAGAGGAGTTTCCTTCTCTATGGTCTCCTCCCTGCTAGGAGCTGAACACTCATCAGGACATCCTGGATGTGGAAAGGGCCTTCCCACTCCAGGTCCTCTCTGAGCTGTTATATTGCTCAATAAAGCTCCACTTTGTCTTACTCACCCGCTACTTGTCCACATATCCCATTTTTTCTGGTAGCAGGGAAAGAACTTGGGTCCTGCCAAATGGCGAAGCTGAAAGAGCTGTAACACACACAGGGTGGAAACATGCTCTTTGGTTGCCACGTTGCAAGTGAAGAGAAGAAGAGAAAAGCTGCAGCCCTTCAGGGAGCTCAGACCTGGGAGCTCCCTGAGCCAATGCTATGACTCCTTCTTTGGGCCCTGTGGTTCCTGGCATCTCCAAGCTTCTAGGCCACACTGCATTTCCCAGTGCCAGTCAGGGAAGCTGCTTGCAGTGCTCCTGGTCCAGCCACAACCTCCCAGAGAGCTGACGCCCATGCAGGCACCTGGAGCTGCCCACCCCGTAGCTGTAGCCAGCGTGCCTGGCTACATAGTGATTGGACCCTACGCTTGCTTACACACCCCTTGTCGCTCCACGCCTGACTCGCAGTCTACCTTAGAGGTGCGGGATGTAGGTTGGTAGTGTGATTTAAGCGCAGCCTGCAAGGCCGAGTGCGTGAAACAAGCCCAGCTGGCCTGAGCAAAACTCAGACAAAGGCACAATTGGCCACAGGTTTCTGGCCAGAAAAATGACATTCCAATGATCTCATAAAAGCAAGATGCTGAGATCTTCCTGAATGAAAGCATATGCAAAGAAAATTGGCTAAGAAATAAGTAGTAGAAGCAGAGACAAGTGTAACATAGTCACAAGAGATGGCTGTGGGTTACAATCCAGAATCTAGCTTTGCTCTAGGAAAAAACACAAAATCTCATGTTCATGATCCATGATTTACTTGAAGTGTACGTGTGTTGGGGGGGGGAGGGGGTGGGGGCAGGTGTGGGGGTGGCAGAAACAGAGCTACCTCTTGTGGAGATATCCATGCCCCTTTCTGAAGTTTCTGCTAAATAAACATTATTCTGAATAGCTATTTACTGTTTGAGGTACTGCTTCTGGAGAGGAGAGTCCTAAAGCAGAAGTGGAAGTATTGGTCAACTGGAGACTAATATGTTCCCAGTTCATTGATAATATCAAGTTTTCTTAGTCTACTAAGCTCAGGGTCAGTTATTAGAATATTTCCATTTGTTTTATATCCTTTTGCCGTTGTGCTACTTCATGCTCTTACTTTTTGGTCTTGGAAACTTCTTTTAAACTATGGAAATATATTATTGTAATTTTAAATCTACTTTCTGAGAAATTATTATATCCAAAACCTAGAGATGAAAAGGTTTTCTATGAGATATTTGAAGTGATTACATGATACAACTATGAACATATTATATTTGAATGTTGTTAATATTTAAATATGTCAAAATATATATAAAATATTTCTGTAATTTATAACCCATTTTTAATGTTATAGTGTAAAAATGCTATATATGTGTATATAGTGGTTCTAACATAATAATTGCAAGATAAACAGGGTGACAACGGAATGTTACAATCAGAGAATGACTTAGTAATTTCGAATAAGAAATAGTGTGAAGCCAGGTGTGGTAATGCATTCCTGCAGTCCCAGCTACTAAGAAGGTTGAAGCAGGAGGATAAGCAGAGCCCAGGAATTTGAGACCAGCCTGGGCAAAATAGTGAGAGACTCCAACTCAGTAAGGGAAGAGAGAGAGAGAAAGAAGGAAAGAATAAAAAAGAGAAAGAGAGAGAGAGAGAAAGAAAGAAAGAAGGAAGAAAGAAAAAGAAAGAAAGAAAGAGAAAGAAAGAAAGAAAGAAAGAAAGAAGGAAAGAAAGAAAGAGAAAGAAAAAGAAAGAGCGAGCATATGTGCCACATATAAGACAGAGCAGATATTTTAGTCATTCTCTTTGTGCCCTGTTTCCATTATTGCCCTTGGTATATCTTTCACATTAAATCAACAATCCAAGATTGAAAAGAATGTCAGTAACCCATCACTAGCCTGGAGTATGAGATAAATAACAAAGTTTGTTCTTAATGTTGACTAGGATGGGGCACAACTAATGCAAAATTGGTGGGTCTCTGGAAGCCCTTGTCACAGAGTGTAGGTGTAGACCATGAGGGTAGGTGATTATATCCAAGTATAATAGTTCTTAGGAAATAGCAACACTTGAGAGAGAATTAGAGGAAGTTATTTATCTGTGAAGCAGAATTGCTGGAGTAAACTAAATTCTTGGGTTATACAGCAACTGGTAACTTTAGAAAGTGAAAGGAACCACTGAGGTTTGTGTCTCCTTGACATTGCCAGGCAAGTAGTTGATATCTCAAGGGATGTGAGCTCACAAAGAAAACTGAACATCTGAGGAGCTCAACTGCTATATACAAAGATTTTTAAAAAATAATAATAAAAGAATAATATTCTGGTACAATTGAACCAGCCATAATAAACCAAACCAAAAAAAAGTGTATAATGAAGATGTTAGATACTCTCAAAGAAATAAGGGCAGATATTGGAAATAGAGAGCATGAACAAAGTGCCAAAAGTAAAAATCATATATCTCATAGAAAAGCCAGAAATGTAAACATGCAATGTTCAACCATAAAACCAGATGAAAATAAATTATAACTTCAATGGAAACTGGAAAAAGGAAAAAAGAGAAAGAAACTTAAGAGAAATAGAAACACAGAATAATATAGCTGAAAATTATAAAAATAGTAACTACATATATATAAAATTAATAAAAAGTTTTCTCAAACTCATTTGAAATGTGCACTTATGCATAACTCACCTTCAGACAGAGACACAGATGCACAGAGAAAAATTCAGCAATGTATTATCTAGAAGAGTCTTTTAATGCAAAATAGATTTCAAAAGTAAAGAGATATGAAATTATACCAGGGGAATTGGAACCAGAAAAGACCTATGGGATACAATTTACATTATAGAAACTATTTTTTATTGTAAAATCATTCTAAGAGATAATCATGAATTTATAGATTAATAAAAAATAGATATAATAAATATTTATGTAAAGTAACTATATTATACATACAGCTATGCTTATGTTTGAAATTATTAATAGTCTTATCTGCTATTAATACAGCAGAGAACACATATGGGAATAAGGCCCCTTGTACATGATTTTAATTCTCCATCAAACAAACACTGCCTCTATTTTGTATTATATGAGAAGCTATTTTTTTGAGAAATAAAGAAATATCTAGAGTCAAGGCCGGGCACGGTGGCTCATGCCTGTAATCCCAACACTTTGGGAGGCCGAGGCCAGCAGATCACGAGGTCAGGAGTTCAAGACCAGCCTGACCAACATGATGAAACCCTGTCTCTACTAAAAATACAAAAATTAGCCAGCCATGGTGGTGCGCACTTGTAATCCCAGCTACTCAGGAGGCTGAGGCTTGACTCAAGAGGCAGAGGTTGCAGTGAGCTGAGATCGCGCCACTGCACTCCAGCCTGGGCGACAGAGCAAAACTCCGTCTCAAAAAAAAAAAAAAAAACATTTAGAGTCAAAAACGCTTTTGAGTATTACTTCCTTATAATCCTTAGTGTAATTGATTGATAGCAGAATCCTGAACTAAAACAGAGATTATGGAATGAAAATTCAAAAATAAACAAGTATTTATTATTAACTACAACTGATGAATTCACCAAATGTTTAATGAGTTTTTCTTAGGTGTAAAGGAACCTTTGAGGGGCTACGCATATAAGACTATGCTTAACACTATGGGGAAAATAGATATTCTAATGTAAATTGAGATAGTTAAGGGGAGACATTAAAGTAGTAAAATTTATACCTGGCTGAGATTTGAATAGAAAGGGGAGAAAATAGGGCATTTTGAAAGAGCATAAGTAAGAACAGAAAGCAGGGGCATAGAAACAAGAGTTAGCTCAATGTTTACCTCCTTTAGTCATCTCTCAGAAAAATTACACTAGGAGATAATTTGAAATACATATTCTTTGAATATGGAAAATAAATATGGACATACAACTAATATATGTGCACATGCATGTATCTCAGTTAATCACCACATCCGTATAGTAGGTGTATCACTGCCTTTAGGAATCTAGCACAGTTTGAATGGAGTTACAATGGCAGCTTTCAATGCTAATTTAAAATGGCATTGAATTTTCCCTTACCATTTTCATAAAACTTTCGGTCATTTGGGCCATCCACTTAAAGCTATTCCCAGGGACTTGACAGTGATGTTGGTATAATGGAATGCTACAGGTAGTCTTCTAACTCCAGCTTGAAAACACAGATTTTTTTTCTCCAAGAATTTGAAAGTGAAGTTTATGGGCCATGATTAATTTTTGCTGATTATTTGCACTGAGACCATAAACTCGAGTTTTATATGTGGTTATTAACGGTCATGTGCCCATGTTGAAGAAGATAAATCTTTGGATACAAAGTGAAGATAATGGTATGTGGCAGAAAGAACAAGGTCCAGTGTCCACGTTAAGGAGAAAAATTGAGACAAGCTTCCTAATATTTCTGCTGTTGGTCTCTAATGAGGTCTCAACACACTTCCTTTCCTTTTCTTAGGTCCCTCAATAAAGTATAATAGCTTTAAATAAAATCTTTCTGTATCTTTTTTTCTGAAATAATCTTTTGTTTCTTGTGAACAAACAAAAGCAGTAAGATACCTAGTCAAACAGATGTTTTCCAATTGCCTGTGGAATTGTTGAGTAGCATGGTGTTTTGACAGTTGATCCATTTCAATTGGATTGAGGTACCACTGGTGCCAAACAGAAGTTTTTATTTTGTTTTTATGTTTGTTTTTCTTTCTTTGCTTTTTGTTAGAGACTAGATTAGCTCTAGGTAATTTACCTGATAAAAAGTATCACCAGGCTAGTTTTCCGGAGAAAACCAGGACTTAGAGGAAGTAACAGGCAGTAAGTTTTACTGGCTGGAAGGGGTTGGGGGGTGGATTATGGATGAGACCTCATAGCCTGAAGGTTGACAGAACAAAATCAGCCAGGTTGGCAGGAACTGAATCCTGGATTGTTTCTCACTGGGTGGGTGATGCTGAACAAATTACGTAACTACTCTTTTGCTCAGTTTCCTTGTGTATAAAATCTGAGAAAATAGAGCCTAACTTACGATTTTGTATACGGAAATCATGAAGTGAACAGAAGCATGCCTGGAATATACTAATTGTTGAATAAGTATATTGTAACTGACTGCCTAGACCAGTAGAGGGGCTTAACGAGGATGGATTATATGAAGAGACTATAGGTAGCAAGGTCTAGAAAAAGGGTTCCATTCCTTTAGGAAAGGGAACGATCCAAAGCAATGCTGTTTGAAAAGGGATGGAATTATGCCAAAGACAAAGACAGCTCTTGTCAGAATTCATAAAGAGATGGCTACTAGAAAGTTTATATGAGCATCCTGAATTATTTGTGGAGAAGAAAATGTAGAGTACACAGAAAACTGTGTATTTTATTTTCCATTTGTACTCTGCATGGTTATTTGTCTCTAATATTTTTTGTCTCTAGTATTTTTGCTTGAAATGACTCATGGGGATGAAACAGTGAAAGCTTAAGTGAGAAAAAAAAGTATTAGAAAATAAAGGGACTATGAGGAAACCAACATTATTAAGGTGTTGTTCTTTCCCACCTAACATCTAGTCTATTGCAAATCATGTCAACCCTACCTACAAAATGTCTCAGGATCCCGGCTTTGCATGGTGTTTCCTGTTCGTAATCACAGAATTTTGGGAGGCAAAGGCAGGAGAATAGTTTGGGGCTGAGAGGTTGAGAACAGCCTGAGCAATGTAGCAAGACCCCCATCTCTACAAACCTGGAACAAAAATTAGCCAGACTTAGTGAATGTGTCTGTAGTTCCAGCTACTCGGGAGGCTGAGGTGGGAGAATTACCAGAGCCCTGAGATTGAGGTTGCAGTGAGCTATGATCCACCACTGCACTCCAGCCTGGACAACAGAGACACTCCCTCTAAAAACAGTTAACAATAATGTTAATAATAATAATAATATTAGTAAAATATATATCATGCTATTACTTCCCCCTACCCCTACCTCCTTTACTCCTGGCTTATTTCAGGAGCCTCCAAACTGGTATCTCTCATGCTGCTTTTGACCACTTTTCATTTATTTTCCACAGAATAATAGAAGGTAAGTTTATAAAACCTAATAATTCGATGTCACCTTTCTGCCCTAGCCTTTCCACTGGTTTTCTGTCTCACCTGGAATAAAATCCAGATTCCTTAATACAGGCTGAAAGGCCACCATGATCCCTCAGCTTCTCACTCTTTCTCTTGATTTTCTGCCCTTTTCTTCTTTACTCATTTCACAGTTTCCCAGAATATTGACACTTCTAGATTCTACATGTTTGGGTTTCATTGAGAAAAGCTTCTTGCCCAATCTGTAAAGTATCAGCTTTTTCTCACTATCTCTATATCCTACCTGATTTTTTTTCTTTGTGATATGTTACTCTTTATATTAAATGGTAGTTTACTTGTTCACTATCTGTTGCTCCTCACTAAGTTTTAAAACTCATGAGATTTTAAAAATCATGAGAGTGGTTGCTTGGTCTTTTTTAATTTCATTGCTATATTCCCAAACTTGGCATGGAGAAGATAATCTATAACTAACTTGTTGAATAAATTAATGTAGTATCTATTTTTAGAGGATCATTTTCTCCCTCAACTTGCCCTAATTTTGAAATGATCTACACTTACATCTTTTCATGGTTTAATAAAATAAATGATTTTAATGATGTTCTTCCCACATGTGCCTGCAGCTCAAACACAGTCCATGAGGAAAACTTGTAGCTCCCTGGATTCAGAACTACATCTGGGTAACAAGATACCAGAAATACATCAGGGGATAGTTGAAGACTGCATTTGCATGGAATCACTAATTCAAATGTATAAAACTCATTTTGATATTTGTGTGCCATAAAGCAGCCAAAAGGTTTCTTCCAGAGGAGAACACATTTCAATACATGGAAATTTGTTTATTTTGATTTAACTTCCTGAGCTTATGGAAAACTATGGAGATCAAGCTCACTGTATTAGTCTGTTCTCACATTGCTAATAAAGACATACCTGAGACTAGGTAATTTACAAAGGAAAGAGGTTTAATTGACTTGCATTTCCACATGGCTGGGGAAGCCTCATAAACATGGTTGAAGGCAAATGAGGAGCAAAGTCACATCTCCCATGGCAGCAGGCAAGAGAGCTTGTGCAGGGGAACTCCCTTTTATAAAACCATCAGATTTTGTGAGACTTATTCACTACCACGAGAACAGCTCAGGAAAGACCCACCCCCATGATTCAACTATGTCCCACCAGATCCCTCCAATGACATGTGGGAATTATGGGAGCTGCAATTCAAGATGAGATGGGTGAGGACACAGCCAAACCATATCACATGCTTAAACTGAAACACAAATTTTAATTAATGAAACACATATAGCCCTTTTCCTTTTATTCAGAGATTTCTTAGGCTAAAGTTTATGTATTCAGTGTCAGCTAAAAGCTAATAACAAGTTATTAGAGAACCTTAAACCAGATAAGCTGGAGTGTGTTCCCATGTACGTGAATATGTGAATGTAAATGTGTGTGGCAGGTGTGTGTGATACATATATGTGTGTGTTTTTATGTGTGTGTTTTGTGTATATGTTTTATGTGTGTGTATAAATGTGTGTATATCTATACATACACATAAAGATGGATTTTTATATAAAAAGACTTATTGATCAAGTGGAAAAACTGTAATATGAAAACGCTTATTTTGCTGAATAATTTGGCTATCTGAGTCAAATTCTTGCGTTTGCATCTTCCTTACTACTTATGAATTGGTCTAGCAAGATAAGTTGCAGATAGTGAAACCTAATGAAAATAGCCGCAAGGTTTAGTTCTATCATCTTCTGCATGGTGAATTTCTGCTTAAAAGCTCTTTCAGCAGGAAAGAAGAGTATGATTTCTAAGGTACTTCACTGCAAAACAAATGTGCAATTTATCCATTTACATATTTATTGTAAATGAACTTTTGAGGGATATAAAAATCTTTATGTAATTGTCATTACCATTTCCATAAATGTCTACATAGAACTTGAGTTGATTTATTACAGAGGAAGTTTGCTTCTTTTTATGAACTGTGGCATCTAATTATTAGATTTGAGGCAGTATTTTCTGATTTATGTTGGCGTTAATAATATTGACTCTGTGAAAATCACCATTCCCTCCCTGTTGGGCACTACCCTTCGGAGGATAGGTCAGGGCTATCTAACAGCGGCATCCACAGCTGTTCATGCTGACGCGGGTTTGAGTGTTATTTCCTTGACAGAGGTCACAGAGAAGCAGCAGAAGATAATTTTATGAGGCATCTGCTATATTTGTGGTTGTACTCATTCTTCAAGATTGACCTACAAACTTTAGTTTCTGCAAGAAAATAACATTAAATCAAGATGCAGGATCTTATAAATGGAAAGCTGTAACAAATGAACTTTCATGTGAATGGAATGTTATCTTCAATTGAAAAATCAATATAGTTAAAACCAATAAAATGTTGGTTTCAAAGAAGGTTTAAATAGAGGTCAAAGTGGATATATTTAACTTGAAAAGCTTTAAGGTACAATGTAAAGTTGCAGTTAGAGCACACTGTATGCAAGTATAGCACACTGTATGCAAGTATAAAACAGTGAATGCTTAGATGGAGTATCGCTCTGTCACCAGGCTGAAGTGCAGTGGCGCAATCTTGGCTCACTGCAACCTCCGCCTCCCGGGTTCAAGTGATTCTCCTGCCTCAGTCTACCGAGTAGCTGGGACTACAGGCGCACGCTACCACGCCGAGCTAATTTTTGTACTTTTAGTAGAGACGGGGTTTCACAATGTTGGCCAGGATGGTCTCCATCTCTTGACCTCATGATCCACCCGCCTCGGCCTCCCAAAGTGTTGGGATTACAGTCGTAAGCCACTGTGCCCGGCCTGAATATTTTCTTTAATATTTTCATTTAGGGGGAAACCACAGCAAATAAAACATGATTGCAATAATCCATTTTTAACTGTCTAACTTTCAAGTTGTAAATGCCTAGTTTGAGCAAAATAAAATCTATTCTCAAAAGTAATTTATAAGAAATAAATTTTAAAAGTTAAAGGAGTAGGTCTCTAGTGGGTGATTTATTTTCTCTCCTGAAGCTTCTTACCTGGCACCTAATGGGCATGTTCAACTAATACCGGAAGAATATTGGTTTTGCAGCCAGGATAGCATTCATATGTTGCTTGTAATCTGTCTGTATGACATTGGGCAAGTTACATCAGTCTTTCAAGCCTCAGCTTCTTCATCTATAAAATAAATATTAAAATACCACAACAATAACTCTGTGCATATTAAAAAATAAAATGCACATAAAATATCTAGAAAAGTATCTGTTAGGTTTAAAACAAAAACAAAAGACAAAAATTATCTAAATTAACCCAATTCTAAAGAGGATTCTAAGATTCAAAAATAGTTACTTTTGATACTAGTGAGCAAATGATCAATTTGCCTGCCATTCAATTTTTTTCTTATTAAAATCCATTTATGCCCAGTGTTCCATTATTGGAACTCTAAACATGTGGGAGTTATTTCTATCCTACTGCTCAAGGTCATTGTCAAGGTCTGATTTTTCAAATTCAAAAAATTGCAAACTCAGGCAGAAATGAGTTAATCGATTAGTCATTTTTTTCCTTAGGAGAGAGTTTTTATTTGCCTATCATGTGCCAGGAACAAATTTCTCTGATGCAGATATGATGCCATATATTAAATAGTCCCTGTCAACAAGATAACTATAATCTAATAAGATACATCGGCATATAAACAATTCTACGTCATGCAAAGTAATATAAACGTATATCATATTACAGTAAAGATAATATTTAACTCTGTCTGGAGACAAGTGGAGAGTGGAGGAGAGTGGGGACCGTTTCACTGGGAAAGCTTCACCAAGACACATTTGAGTGGTGTTTGAAAGGTAAAGAGGATTTTGCCTAGCATGAGGTACAGCAAGCACAGAGGAAGAATATGCCTTAAGCAAAAGATACCTCAGATTGTATCTTATGTTTGGGAAACCATAATTTGCTAAGTGAGGGAGTAGAAGGGTAAGAGAAGTACACACAGGCCATGCACCCTTTGCATGGGAAACTTCAATTTTATCCTGAAACCAGTAAGAAACTTTAAAGTGTGTTAAATATATTAGCTATATGTATTTGTACAATAATCAAAGCTATTGTGTAAATTATAGTAAAAGTATAATCAGCATAATGTGAAAAAATACAGAGATAAATGAACCTTTACCCTTCACCTGTACAAAATTAGTACAAATCTCTGAACATTTCAGACTGAGAGATTAAACACTGAAAATATACTCAAATATTTTTATTAAAAGTTAGCCTTTATTACTTTCTGTTTATGACAATTATACCTTCTTCTTAACTCAAAGGGACATTATTTCCCTGAAGTTTATAAAGCATATTTGAAAATAAATCTGCTTAAATATTTCTTCCACATTAAGAACACCACACATTTGCTTCTTATGTTGAGAGAGCAAGAAAGGAGCTTTCTAACTGACTTTTCCACTCTTAGAAGATTTTCTAAGGAAAATAACAAGGCTTTGTAAACTTAGAAAAAAATATGTTGAGAAGGCTTCTTAATTCTTTCAGTCAGGAATGACATAAGAATTTTTTTTAATTGTCGGTAAATGGTAACATTTTTGTGTATGAAAATCAGTTAAAATTAAGTATAAACCAGGTATTTCTCATTGATTCAAACAATAAGTCAAAGGGAGATTTAATAAAGTAACATTAGCTTTTTTTACTAGTATCTAAGCTTTGAATTATAAATTGCTGATCTAAGAGTCGCACCTTAATTGAAATGGTGCCATTTATCGCAGAACTGATACTTGGTTCTTTATTTCAAGATATTAAAAATAACTGTACAATGTTAAGAAATCTCCTCTGTGACATATTTGTAAACACCAATTTTGTGTTTCAAATATGTCTCAACTTACATATGTAATAGCTAGAGATTTGTAAGAAAAATAAAATGCATTTAATATAATAGCCAACTAGAATCACAGCAAGTTGGAAAGCAAATGATAGGAAAGAAATGGGAGAAATAAGAATACTTTAAACAAATACACAAAGGAAACCAAGGCTGTCACGTGACTTCTTCGACGAAAATAAGAAAGGGGCAAGATTTTCTTTTTTTTTTTCCTTCCATTTATCTAAAAAATATGATATGCTTGGTCTCCGAGAAATAAGACGTGGAGAGATGTGCCAAATTCTAACCAATTACTGGCTATTACTACCCATTGCTTTGGTATGGTGTCTGAGATTTGCTCAGAGGGCAAATATTTTGACAGATATTTGGAAGAAATAGAAAGGTGGTAAATTGGTGGTAGTTTAAGTGGTGTTAAAAGTGAAAAATAATATACAGTTAATGTCTGTGATTGATCAGCATTGGGAAACATGAATAAATTGTAAAAATCTGGGACATTTGTCAAGTTCTATATTTAAATGCATAGTAAGTGCAAAGATATGAAGGGCCTATTTTCATTTTTTTAAATTCAGAAGGCAGTGTTTGGGTATGCTTTGAATAAAAAATCTCAGTAGATAAATGCAAGAATAGTCACTTAACACTTTAAATGTCATGAAAGTTGTTCTACATAGTGAGTTTCTATGTGAAATTTAGTTTCTAATTGTATTAATCTTAAGTATTACATTGTGAAAGCACTATTTTTCAATATTTTTCATTCATCCTGAATAATGAAGTGTGGTTACTATTGGAATATAATTTTTAAAAATAATTTACTAAGATAAAATATTCTATTTAGCTACAACAAATCCTGTTGCAACAAAGCATGATCAATAGTATAGAAAGATTGGTAGTTGTAATCTAAGAGGGGTCAATGTCCAGTGGTCTCTCCTCTTTTTGAGAAATTCGTATACCCTGTCATATACTTTCTTTTAACAAATAATAATGATATTTTAATTTGGCTATGTATTGCATATTATTCTTTCATTTTAAAGTCCATTAAAATTATCATTGCCTAATTATCTACTGGAAGATCTATATGCATTTTCTTTTTCCTAAGATATTTTTTAGAGCAGTTTGAAGTTCACAGCAAAATTGAAAGGAAGGCACAGAGATTTGCCATATATCCCCTAGCCCCACTCCTGCAGAGTTCCCTCATTATCAAAGTACCTCTCAGAGTGGTACATTTGTTATCATTGATGAACCTACAGTGGCACATTGTCACCACCCAAAGTCCATAGTTTAAATTAGAATTCATTCTTGTTGTTGTACATTCTATGAGTTTGGAGAAACACATAATGACACTGATAGTATCATACATAGTATTTTCACTCCCCTAAATATACTTTTGCACTACGTATTCATGCCTCCTTCCACTCATCCGTTAGCATCCACTCATTTTTTATTTATTTTTTACTCTGCCCATAGTTTTGCTTTTTCCAGAACACCATCTAGTTGGAAAAATACTGTATATAGAATTTTCAGATTAGCTTCTTTACTTAGTTATATTCCACTGAAAGCACCTTCGTGTCTTTTCAGGGTTTTGTGGCTCATTTTCTTTTAGTAATAAATAATATTCTGCTGTCTCAATGTACTGCCATTTATTTATCTGTTTGCCTACTAAAGAACATTTTAGTTGCTTTCAAGTATCAGTGGTGATGAATAAAGCTGATATAAATACATGTGTGAAAATTTTTTTGTGGACCTAATTTCTCAACTCCTTTGGTGAAATAGCAAAGAGAGTGATTGCTGGATTGCATAAGAGTGTGCCATTCTAATAGGTATGCAGTGGTATCTCATTTTAATTTGCAACTTCCTAATAACATAATTTTGGACATATTTTCCCATGATTACTTGCCATATGTATATATTTTTGATGGGTGCCTATCCAAATATTTTATTCATTTTTAATTAGGTTTTTTCTGTTCTTATTATGGAGTTTTAAGAGTTTTTTTTAACATATTTTACATAATAGTCCTTTATTACATCTAGCTTCTGCAAATATTTTCTTGCGGTTTGTGTCTTTTCATTTTCTTTATGTTGTCTTTTAAAAAGTCTAAGTTTAAGTTTAATAAAATCTATTTATCAATTATTTCTTTCATAAAGCATGCCTTAGGGTAATATCTAAAATGTATCACCCATTCCCAAGTCACCTAGGTTTTTCTCTTATGTTATCTTTTAGGAGTTTTATAGTTTTACATTTTACATTCAGATCTATGTTCCATTATGAGTTAATTTTTGTGAAGGGTGTAAAAATTTGTAGAGTCTTTTTTTTTAACATGTGACTATTCAAGTCTGCTGGTATCATTTGTTTTAAAGACTAGTTTGTCCTGTTGTATTACCTTTGCTCCTTTTTCAATGATCACCTGACCAAGTTTATGTAGATCTCTTTCTGGGCTCTGTATTTTGTTCTGTTTGTCCATTCTTTCACCAGTACAACACTGTCGTGACTACTGTAGCTTTGTTGTAAATCTTGAAGTTGGGTAATGTCCTCCATCAAAGTTTGTTCTTCTCTTTCAATATTGTGTTGGCTATTTTGGATCTTTTGCCTCTCTATATAAGCTTTAGAATCAGTTTGTTGATATACCCAAATTAACTTGCTTGGATTTTAATTGTGATAATGTTGCATTTATAGATCAATTGGGGAAGAAATGGCATCTTGACAATATTGAGTCTTTCTCTCCATGAACATGAAGCCTCTCTCTCTTTCTTTCTTCTTTGATTTCTTTAATCAGATTGTGTAGTTTTCACCATGTAGATCTTGTGCATATTTTGTAAAATTTATATCTAAATATTTCATTTTGGGGAGTATTATAGTAAATGGTATGATATTTTTAATTTCAAATTTCACTCATTTATTGCTGATATATAGGAAAGCAATTGACTTTTTATATTCACCTCGTTCTATCACCTTGCTATAATTGCTTATTAATTCTAGGAATTTTTGTCAGTTATTTCACATTTTTTACATAGACGATCATGTCATCTGCAAACAAAAAGTGTTTTATGTGTTCTTCCCCAATAAACATAAACATTTATTCTTCTTGCTTTATTTCATTAGCTCGGACTTCTCAGAAGGATGTTGAAAAGAAGTAATGAGAGATCACTTTCTTGCCTTATATTTTATCTTAATGGGAAAGCATCCAGTTTCTAATCATCAAGGATGAGGTTAGTTGTGTGTTGTTTTGTACATGTCTTCCATCAAACAGAGAAATTTCCCCTCAATTCTTAGCTGCTGAGAGTTTTTATTATGAATGGTATCATGTGCCAAATGATATTTCTGATTCTATTGATATGATAATGTGATTTTTTTCTTCTTTAACCTTTTAATGTGATGGATAACATCATTTGATTTTCAAATGTTGACCCAGTCTTGCACACCAGGTATAAATCCTATTTGGCTGTAGTATATACTTATTTTTATACATCGTTAAATTGCTTTTGATAATTTTTTGTTGAGGAGTTTGAATCTATGCTCTTGAGCAGGGATATTGTTTCTTAGTTTACTTTCCTTGCAATGTCTTTTTTCTGTTTTTATTCATATTAAGATAATACCGGCCTCATAGAATGAATTAGAAATTATTCCTTCTGCTTCTGTCTTCTGGAAGAAATTGTAGGTAACCAATGTGATTTATTCCTTAAATGTTTGCAATTCATTACTGAACTCATGTAGATGTAGTTTTCTGTTACAGAAAGTTATTAGCTATTGACTAAATAGCTTTAATAGAGATAGACCTATTGCAAATTGTTTTATTCTTGTGAAAGTTTTGAAAAATTATATTTTCAAAGAATTGTTCTATTTTATATTGATTATCAAACCTGTGGACATAGAGTTTTTCATAAGATTTTTTGTTATCCTTTTAGTGTCATTTTATGTTAGTAATGTCTCCTCTTTGATTTCTGATATTAGTATCTTTTCTTCTCTCTCTCTCCCTTCTTTTTCTTTCTTCCATTCTCTCTCCCTCGTGAACTACTTTTCCTTGTAACAGCTTTATTAAGGTAAAATTGACATACAAACAAACTGCACATTTGATATTCGTAATTTGCTGAGTTTGGACCTACGCATACATTAGTAACCTATCACTACCATCAAGGTAATAAATTTATCCATCACGTCCAAAATTTTCCTTGTATGCTTTTAAAAAATATTTTTGTGGTAACAATACTTAACATGAGAGGTACCCTTTTATCAAGATTTGTACTGCACAAATTCATGTTGTTAACTAAGAGACACCTGCACTCCTACGTGTATTGCAACATTGTTCACAATAGTCAATATATGGACAAAACAAAAATGTCCATTGATAGATCAAAGAATAAAGAATTTGTTATATGTATATATATATATATATATATATATACACACACACACACACATATATATATCACATACACACAATGTATATGCATACAGAATTTTCTTCTTAAAAAAGAAGGAAATCCTACCATTTGTGACAACATGAATAAACATGGAGGATATTACACTACGTGAAATGAGCTAGTCTCAGAAGGACAAATACTTTATGATTCCAATTATATAATGTATCTGATATAGTCAACTCTCAGAAATAGAGAACAAAATGATGTTTTTCAGGGGCTGGAAGTAAGGAGAAACAAGGAGTTATTGTTCTATGTACCTTCTCTCTTTTTTTCTTAGTATATACTGACAAGGGGCTTATCAATTTTTATTGACATGATCACTTTTTAATTCATGTTATCATAGATTCATTTTGCCTACTTTGTTATAGAAATTTAGGTAAATAAAATCATATTGAACGTATTGTTTTTTTCCAACTACTTTAACTCAACATAATGCTTTCGAGATGAACCATGTTTTGCCTGCATGACTAGTATATTGCTCTTCCTTTCTGAGTGGTAACTGCTTGTATTAAGATATTGTATTTTTTATCTGTGATCCTATGGGTGCATATTTTACTTATCTTTTGGTTTTGGCAATTTTGATTATGGCTACTTGGGTTAATTTTTGTAAATGGTGAAAGGTAAGGCTCTTGTTTCATTATTCTGCATATGGCTACCCAGTTTTCCCACACCATTTATTGGATGGGGAGTCCTTTCCTTATCTTTTGTCTTTGCTGGCCTTGTTAGGTAAGTGGCTCTAGTTCTGAATTTTCTATTCTGTTCCATCAGTCTAAATGTCTGCTTTTATACCAGTACCAGGCTATTTCGGTTACTGTAGCCTTGTAATATAGTTTGAAATCCAGTAAGTTGATGATTCTGGCTTTGTTCTTTTTGCTTAGGATTGCTTTGGCTATTTGGGCTCTTCTTTGGTTCCATATGAATTTTAAAATAGTTTTTTTTTCTAATTCTGTGAAAAGTGACATTGGCTGCTATGACCATTCTCTTAGAAGTCTTTCTGTGAGTGTGTATTTCATTTTCTAGTGTAAATTTCCAGCTATAGAATTGCTAGGTCACAATATAAATATGTAAGTTTAAATTTAAATTTTAATTTTAATGAACCACCAAACAGTTTTCTTATGTGATTGTATCATTTTGCATTCTGACCAGCAGGGCGCCAATGATCTGGGTTGCTCCACAACCATACTTACATTTAATTTGTTAGCTTTCAAAAATTTCAACCACTGTGGTAGATGTGAAATAGTTGCTACCTGACATTGCTCCAAGGCCCTTCTTAAATCTTTGAACCCCCTACCTCAAACATGCCCAGCCAAAGACTTAACACCTAAGGGTATGTGTGAGAAAGGAGGTTCAAAGATTTAAGGAGGACAATGGAGCAATATTAATAATTCAAAGAGAGTTTCCTCTATAAATATGCAAACCTATCTACACTTGCACGCATTCGGTTTTATTCTCCCATCACAATGGAAAGCTGATACTCTCCCTAATTTTTTTACCACCATGATCTACATTGTCTGCATAGTGTCTTTAATCAGCTTCCTTAATGAAAAGTTCATGCTATTAATTTCACTGTGTCTTATTTTTATTCAAATTATATTAGTGTCTTCATCAGTATTTACGAAAGCTCAAATCTCTTAAATTAAAAACCAGTACAATTAGCAAAATATCTACTCCCAATTATTTACCACACACTCTTCAAAGCTAAACATTTTTCTTCAAGAAACATATCTTTATAATTCAATATCACATCATACTGTCCAATCTACTATTGCTCCTACTTCTTCACAGACACTGTGTTTTCGCTAATGACACCTGTAAGTCGTATGTGGCTAGTACAGTTCCAGTTCAAGACCTTTAACTTTCTTGTTTTTTCATCAGTATTTGCCAACCTTAATTTCATCCCCTTTACTGAGGATTTCTCTTTCTTGGTTGCTCTTAACAAATATCCCATGCACTTGGTTTCTTTTCACTTTTCAGTATATTCATTCATAGTTTTTTCTGTAGATGGTTACACATGCCCCTTAAATTATTCTTTTCTGTGCATGCTACACTCCTATTTCTATGTTAGAACTATTTTCTCAACTGTTCAATCCTAAAACCTGGGACATATCATTGATTTCCAATTATTCATGAATTTCTAACTTCACACTGTCAATTCAATTGTAAAAGACTGACTTTTAAAATATCCTTTTGTGCTTCACAATCCATCAGTCCATTTATAATCTGCCATTTGACCTTGCTCAGTGTATTTCCTGCATATTTTGAAAACATCCACTGCTTTCTAGACTCATGTTAACATTTCATTCCTTCCTCCATTATATCTTAACTAGAGTATAGCTCTCTACACCTTATATTTCTCCCCTACAATGAGTAATCTATTCCATAATGACTGTCATCTTTAAAAATCACAAAGCAGAATGTGTCACACCTATGTAGAAAATGCTTTCATGACTTTTCATTATTCTTACCATACATCATCCTCACGAGCTGAGGCATATTCTCATCTCTAGCCTTCTTTCTCACCTTATCTATGTAACTCAATTCACTTCATCAAAACAACACCTCTTATCTTTTAGAATATGCTCAATTTTCTCTAAAATATGAGCCTTCACATGATTTCCTTTGACGGAAATTTTCTTTTACCCATCCTCCTATATCAAATTCACCAGGGAACTGCTGGTCTTGCTTTTGATCTCAGCTTAACAGTTAGTTTTCAGATTAAATGTCAATACTTCCATGTTAGCTTTGCTCTTAAGTACTGAATTTTTCCAGCAAATATAAAATCCATGAGGGCATAAACTGCATCTGTTTCCTTTCCTGATGAATTTGTAGCACCTAGAGGAATGTCAGATAAAGAATGGGCACTCACATATCACATTGCAAAGATCAATAAATCATGATGTTTAATTAGTCATAATATACCTGTATTGCATAAAAATGACTATTGTCTGCAAAGATGTAGAACTGATTAATCCTGCACAAGCATGACTTGTACAAAAGAGGTTCAGTTATCATTCTTACACTAGGAACCTAATTTAGCAATTTGCTAATTTAAAATCAGCAGTCTATCATGTTGCAAAGTTTTAGAGCACTGATTACAAAAGATAAAAAGTACATTTAATAGATGTTAAAAATCTTTCATTAGTTAAGAAATGTATAAAACAAAATTGAATTTTATTGACTTCTAAATCTCTTTCATTTTCACAATTTCCAAAATATAGTGAGCATAATATTTCACTACAATGTATATTATATGAACTATCTGATTTACAGAAATATTGCTTCCTTAGAGATTTATATTAACAGTCAGGCTAATTAGTCATTGAAGAGATGAAATTAAATCCCACTAAATAGAAAGAATCATCCATTGAAACGTTCAATTAGAAAGTGAGCAGTAAATAATATATCACTAAGCTGGAGACTTTTCTTGCTCCCTTAGAAGTTGGATATTTTTCAGTGCAATAAATATAAATAAGAATAAATTGTATTAATTAATATAGACAACTTAGAGTCACATATAATGAATAATAAAATACAATGGAAATTTGATGCTATTCATTGTATGAGTGTTATAATTTGGTGATATGTAGTTTAAAATTCTGATTTAAAAAACCACCCTTCAGCATTCCCAATAAAAAGAATTAAGTATTTTCTCAATATTGGCATCCACAACCGCCATTAGGATAGATTTTTTTCCATAAACAAATTATCTGATGAACTTTAAAAAAGACTATTTTGGGTGTGTATACGTGTGTGTGTGTGTGTGTATACACACACAATTTTCTCCACCTGTGAAATTAGTGACCTGGAATCAATGGCTCATAAAACATCTCTGAGTCAAAGTTCCCATGACTTGATATTTATGCACCCCTTCTGTCACCAGGATCAATGCTTACTTCAAGGGGAGGAAGTTCTGCCCATGTGCTGTGATATTCCAGAATATCTCTCTTAACCCCTTCCTCAGGACTCCTATAGTGCTGAAAATTTATAACTACCAACAGAGAAATTTTTTTAAAGGGAGTCTTTTCCTTTCTCTCTTTTTTTTTTTTTTTTTTTTTTTTTTTTTGAGACAGAGTCTCACTCAGTCGCGCAGGCTGGAGTGCAATGGCGCGATCTCAGCTCACTGCAAGCTCCGCCTCCCGGGTTCAGGCCATTCTGCCTCAGCCTCCCGAGTAGCTGGGACTACAGGCGCCCGCCACCACGCGTGGCTAATTTTTTTTGTATTTTTAGTAGAGACGGGGTTTCCCCGTGTTAGCCAGGATGGTCTCGATCTCCTGACCTCATGAACCGCCCATCTCGGCATTCCAAAGTGCTAGGATTACAGGAGTGAGCCACCGCGCCCGGCGGAGTTATTTGCTTTCAAAAGATCTTTAAGTAGTGCAGACATTCAACATAGTAGTCATAATTATCTAACTTGAAGTAAGATCACTGTGGAACAGAGACATAATAATTAGTTTTATAGGAAGGCATATAGGATTTGCCAACACCTGCAGCATGAAATGGTAAATATTCCTGGGTAAATATTCCTAAAGAGGGTAAATATTCCTGGGTTGACCGAGAGTTCAAATGCCTTGCTGAGGAGGTGTGAAATGAAAATAACTTCTGATAAAAAATACACTATAAATCAAATAACTTTTTAAAGTTTCAGTTTACCAGTTTGTGAAGTGAGACTAAAATTGTCCCTGTCTATTTTAAGAGACTACTTTCATCAATGCCTTCCAGCAAAAGATCACTAGAAGCACAGCTGTAGATGAACAAGTTGGGTGGATTACTAATTGCAGAGACAGAAACACACTTTAAGGCATGGTGGGTAGTCTCAGTAAGAGAGTATTAGAAAGAACCGTTACTGGATTTGGACTTTTATTGCATCATTTTGGAAAGAGTGTATGGAAGTTGGGGTTCATTTTGAATTGGGTGCTGTTGGGAAGCAGGAGAATTTCTACGACTGAATATTTAAATAAATTGTATGACACAGTGAGCAGAACACAGGAAGCTGCAGTCACTCATGATACCTGAGAGAGGGAGATGTTTCATAGGTTATAAGTTGTACAGTGACCTTGTTTTGGTCTCACTGTATCACGGTCTCACAGTGATCTTGTCTCCTGTTGGTGTCTGTGCAATTATTTTTGTCCACCACAAAACAATGTAACCTACTTATGCGTGTTAGGCCAGTTTCTAACAACTCTAAGACCTAGCTGTCAGTGTCAGGCCACTTTCTAGATGTAAAAGACTTTTTTTCCCTAACCAAAAAAAGATATAAAAAATAAAACAATGAGAAAATATATAAAAAAGAAAAAATTAAATGTCCAATATACCACAAATAAGAGTTCTAGAGACAAACAGTAAGATATCATAAAATTAATACTGAGGAAAATACCCCAAACTCTAAGCATATTAACATGTAATAATACCAAGTTTTAAAAAATTTTTATAAAAGTTTCCAGAGTAAAAGCAAAAAAAAAAATTAAAAAAAGATTATTTTCCATAGAACAAGTTTCATGTTAACATCATACTAATCACAAGCAATGCCAGATTCTAGAACAGATAAATGTCATTAAAGTTCTGCAGAAAAGTATTTAATCTTGAATTCTAAAAGCAGTCAAAATTTGACTGTGCACATATTCAGATATGTCTTCACTGAACCCTTTCTGAGGCAATTACTTGAAAATATACTCCAGCAAGATAAGGATGAAACCGAGAAGAAAAGAAGACTTGAAATATATAAAATGATGTGGTAAGCCATGATACACTGAAAAAAAACAAAACAAACAAAAAAGGGAAAACAAAAACCTGCAGGATGAGACCTGTGGAGGGCTCTAATTTGTCTATAGCAGCACAAAATCAGTGGGATCAGAGAAGAGTGTCTTAAACCAGTGCTTCTCATACTTCATTATATATGGGATTCTCTTGGAAATTTGTAAATATTGACTTGATTCAGCAGGTCTGCAATGGAGCCAAAGATTCTGCATTTCTAACAAGCTTCTAGTTGGTGTTGATGCTGTTTCTCTATGGGCCATACTACAAGGAGCAAAGTTTGCTACTGAGCAATACATTCAATCATTTAAAATATAAATTGGGTTAAGTGGCTCATCCCACTAAAATCTGTCACATGCTGTTCTTCATTGCCTTTAGAATTAAATCTCTGTTTCTTTCCTTGGCTCTCAAAGTTCTGCATTACAGTGACTTTATTCAAACCTCAGCTCATGTCACACTAAGCCTGACTGATTATGCTGAAATCATACTGGCACAGTTTCAAGTATGTACTAACCTCAGAGTGTTTACATTTGCTGTTTCCACTGCTCGCTCTTCTTCTAACACTTGTGGAAAAATTTAAATCTCACATCTGAAAAGTTCGAATTGGCAAACCTATTCTTTTTTACAGCCCTATGTTCATTTCTACAACAATACTTAATACAAAATTATGCTAAACATTCTTATTATCTAATAATTATAAGTACTTTTATGTATTACTTATAATTATTATTCACTAGCCCTTCTAAAATACTAGATACTTGTTAAGCACTAAATTTATATTTAACAAAGGATTCTGGTGGCACTATGCTGAGTAATAATATAGAAATCATTTAAGTTATGTGAGATGCTATGCTAAGAATAAATATAATGTGGTAGCATGCACTAGAAGAGAAACAAAGAATAAATTATGATCAAAGTTGTCTTTTCAACTACCTTGAGACAGAGCATCACCTTCTCCCATGTTTTCATCTTTTATTTAGAATTCTATATTTCTAACTTATTTTTTATTTTTTTCCATTTATGCTGAGACCTCTAGGAGGTCAAAGCAACTGTGGCTGTCAATCAAGTCTCAGAACAGGACCCTAAAAAATAAAATAATCCCCATTGGTTAGAAATGTCTTTAGCTCAGAGCATCAGTCCATCTTCTCCTGAAACTAAGGGTAGAGTAGGCAAGAATATGAGAAAAACAATATGCATGATATTTATTGTACTGCTATGGACTATGAACTTATTATATTTTCTGATAGCTCAAAAATTCTATTGGTATAAGAGTAAGAAGAGAAGAAAGATTAGAGGCATGGAAAATAACTTCAAAACGAGAAAAATAAAAGGATGCTTAAGTGGATGAAAATTTTATAAACAGATAAACATGACAAACGATCAAGCAAGATTGAAGTATGTGAATAGCTGATGGTAAAGCAAAAAGTTCCATGATGCTATTTGAAGTCTAAGGGAAGAGAGGGGGAAAGTTATCGTCAAAACCAATTCTTTAATCCCAAATTTTATACTTTTTTCAATGCTTTATAGAAAAAGTGTTAGATATAAGAATATAATAAAAAATATAGTAAATTGATAGATGCAGAAGTGTGTGTAAGACATTTAGAAGCAGCTAGCAATGAGTTAAAACTCAGAACGCTAGGAAACATGCTAAGTGAATTAACTCAGGAAAAGAAAACCAAACATCATATGTTCTCACTCATATGGGAGCTAAACTATGAGGACACAAAGTTATAAGAATGATATAATGGACTTTGGGGACTCAAGGGGCAGGGTGGGAGGGATGTGAGGGATAAAAGACTACACACTCGGCAAACTGCACAATGCTTGGGTGTTGGGTGCACCAAAGTCTCCAAAAACAACACTGAAGAACTTATTCGTGTAACCAAACACCACCTGTTGCCCAAAAAAACACTAAAATAAAAACGTAGGACGGGCGTGGTGGTTCACGCTTGTAATCCCAGCACTCTGGGAGGCTGAGGCGGGCGGATCACGAGGTCAAGAGATTGAGACCATCCTGGCCAACATGGTGAAACCCGTCTCTACTAAAAATACAAAACATTAGCTGGGCGTGGTGACGGGCGCCTGTAATCCCAGCTGCTGGGGAGGCTGAGGCAGGAGAATCGCTTGAACCCTGGAGGCGGAGGGTGCAGTGAGCTGAGATCACACCACTGCACTCCAGCCTGGCAACAGAGCGAGATTCCGTCTCAAAAAAATAAAATAATCTTTAATATTTGGGAAATGTTTAACTCACTGAGCAAGCATAGGGAAAAAATTGGGAAGAAGTTACAGGACAACAATGAAATTTTAGTTCAGTTCTCAATTTGTCCTAGAAATTCTTACATCAGCCCCGAGATCACTGACTTTCTAAAGCTATTGGTGTAGATATTCAAAGAAATTGCCTATGAATTAAGATTAAATTATCTGTCATTACTATGCAAAAATAATCAGCTTTGAGCACATCATGTAATTAGGAACAGCTTTCACATCAGTATCATATTTTCTCCTCTGTTTACTAAATGTGCAATTTACCTGAAGAGGAAAGAAAAAGGGAAAAATAAGAGAAGAATTGAGTGAACATGCGTAGTGTCAATTCTCTGACTTACGAATGTTAAAGTGAGAAATTTAAAAATATCCATTATTAATGTACTATGTGTAATATATATCAAACACGTAGCCATTTGTCTACAAGAAGAGATGGATGGCAAGTAAAGTGTCATTAATAGTTTTCTAATGAGGTATCTTGATATTGAATCTTATCCCAAATATTAAAGATTTTTTAAAGGTAAAATGTAAGCTATTTTTAGATAGAACTTATAAATTCATAGGGGAATTCGGTTGAATAAAATATTGACCTTGCCTTTATTACCTAATTTGTTACCAATTCTTTTATTCTTTTTTTGTAATTTTCTGTTTTTCTGTTTTTATTTTATTTTTTTGAGACGGAGTCTCGCTCTGTTGCCAGGCTGGAGTGCAGTGGTGTGATCTCAGCTCACTGCACCCTCCGCCTCCAGGGTTCAAGCGACTCTCCTGCCTCAGCCTCCCGAGCAGCTGGGATTACAGGCGCCCGTCACCACGCCCAGCTAATGTTTTGTATTTTTAGTAGAGACGGGGTTTCACCATGTTGGCCAGGATGGTCTCAATCTCTTGACCTCGTGATCCGCCCGCCTCAGCCTCCCAAAGTGCCGGGATTACAGGCGTGAGCCACCGCGCCCGTCCTATGTTTTTTATTCTAGTGTTTTTTTGGGCAACAGGTGGTGTTTGGTTACACGAATAAATTCTTTAGTGTTGTTTTTGGAGATTTTGGTGCACCCAACACCCAAGCATTGTGCAGTTTGCCGAGTGTGTAGTCTTTTATCCCTCACATCCCTCCCACCCTGCCCCTTGAGTCCCCAAAGTCCATTATATCATTCTTACAACTTCGTGCCTCATAATTTAGCTCCCATATGAGTGAGAACATACGATGTTTGGTTTTCCTTTCCTGAGTTAATTCACTTAGCATGTTTCCTAGCGTTCTGAGTTTTGACTCATTGCTAGCTGCTTCTAAATGTCTTACACACATTTCTGCATCCGTCAATTTACTATATTTTTTATTATATTCTTATATCTAACACTTTTTCTATAAAGCATTGAAAAAAGTATAAAATTTGGGATTAAAGAATTGGTTTTGACGATAACTTTCCCCCTCTTTTCCCTTAGACTTCAAATAGCATCATGGAACTTTTACTTTACCATCAGCTATTCACATACTTCAATCTTGCTTGATCGTTTGCCATGTTTATCTGTTTCTAAAATTTCATCTACTTAAGCATCCTTTTATTTTTCTCATTTTTATTTTAGTTTCCATGACTTTAATCGTTCTTCTCTCCTTACTCTCATACCAATAGAATTTTTGAGCTATCAGAAAACATAATAAGTAAATATTTTAGTAAAGTTAAGTGCGCCAAGAGTTATTGAGATGCAGATCGACTTGGCAATGATAAATTGGTAGGAGGGAAAACAATCACAGGAGGCTACTTTGGATTTTACAGACATTCAATAAAACAGACTGTATTTCTCACTTACCTCCAGCTCTGGTCTTTAGCAGGAGCAACTTAGACAATGAAAAGCTCTTAACCCCAAAGAAGATAATCCATTGACAAGGATTATCTTTGGCAAGGAGCCAAAGACATTAACTTTCTTTGCAATTTGTGTTATGAGAAAAACATGGAGTTACTTCGAGAGCAGAATAACAGAAATAAATATTCTCCTGCGAGGGATATGAGAGCATCTCAGGTCTTTCTGAGGACTGTTGCTGTGATTTTACTTCTTAAATAGTACAGGAAATTTTGTAAAATGCATTTTTATTGTTTATTTAGTCATGTTTCTGATGCTTATGATAACTTTCTCAGAGACAGATTTATCCCAATATAAAAAATTGATCCAAAATCCAATATCGTAGAACTTATAATTTATACTTTCCTGTATATTGTTGTGTCCCTTAGATGAGCCCCTCATACATCTCTCATCCAGTGTGTCCCATCCAGTAAGATGGAATATAAATCTGGTCAAAGCAGACCACATTGAACTCAATGGGTACTTTAATATTGGAGTTTCTGGCTATTGTGCTTGCTTTTGTTATACTCTGTTAGAATTCATAAAATATAGTCAATGTGGTAGAAAGCTATAAAATGCATGTTATCTAAAGTTAAGTTGAAAACATTTGTAATTCATAGAAATTATACTGATCCTTTGATCTGTTCATTCTTTCCTTGATATTTTTTTCTCCTAAATGACAATATGGTAAGAGTGATTACTTTAGCTGCATGGTGCCTACTTTCAACATTTCAAAAATTGCAAATAAGTTGATAGAATGTATTAATACAAGGATGAGAAAATTAATGACATTTTGATTTAAACTCCTAATCTATATTTTATATTAGGTATATGCAATAAAGAGATATTTATTAGGGATATTTGTTAATATGGTTCAAAATAAAGAACGCTATTAATTTATTTTTAAAATAGTAAAACTGTATTTGATAAAGGAGGAAAAATATTTATTATAGACATACATGCAGTATATTAATAAATTTTATGCATCATTCATATTACTTATGTATTTGATTACAACATAAAATAATAAACTTATTACAATTAATTGGTTTATTTCACTTTTATCATTTTTAACAAATGGTGAAATGATTTTTATTGTTTCAAGAAAATAAATAACAATGAAAACCTGGTATAATTAAGGAGTAACAGAAAATTTATTATGTCTCCTAGATGACTATGATTCTAAATTCAGTTTTTTAACTTGTCTAAAAATGAAAGTTGGGGAAGATAAATTTTGACAATAAGGATGTAACAAAGTCCTTGAAAAGACAATTTTTAAAAAGAAGTTAAACAGTTCACCTTAAGATTAATAAATCCCGATTATCATGGAAAAATTATAATGCTTAGCATTTGGATCATCTACAGAATAATTAAGGTTATTTAGATAACTGCACCCAGTCCTGATGAAGGAGGCAACCCAGTTTGTATCTCTTTGATTGTTGGGGACTGAATTGTGCTGATGTTTTAATGAGACTTTAATACTTCATGATGTTCCTCACATGGCCTTGATTATTATCTAATATTTCTATACCCAGGAGAATGAATTTTAATAATGAGACTTATAGACAGGGAAATGAGAATCAAAAATCAGGACACAATTCTACCTCTCATACTAGTTATGCAGGTTTTTTAGGCATTATTAGATTGTTGGGTCTGAGGTCTTTACAAAGAAACTAAGCTAATAGATTTAATAATATGGCAGTACATTTTAGTTAAACATATGTAGAATTGTTACATTTATGTCCCTATTGTCTATTTATGCCCCCATGCATAATTATTCATATTTCTAAATACTTTAGGAATAATAGAACCAAACAAAGATAGCCTTTGTTTTCAAGAATATTATAGGCTATTTTGGTAGATAAGACCTTCTTCTCTGAATAAACTACATAAAAATTTGAGTCCCTCTGTTCATAAATATGAAAAAAATATGTTACTCAGCAAATTTATTATTACTAAGGAAATCCAAGATAGAAAACACTGTTTTATACATTTACAAATGAGTACAAAAATACAGTTAGAACGAATTTTGATTTCTTCACTGCTACTCGTTATATCAGTGAGCTCCTTGGTGAAAAGAAGCAGGTATCTATTAGGCAGGCCAAAGATTAATTATGTAGTTTAAAACAGTTGTAAAAGATAACGTGTGTTGTGCAACTCCTCTCTCAGGAATGAAGGAATTATTCTCCTCCACATGCTTGAAATGCTGCAGAGGCAGAGAGCACTTTGCTGTCAATCCTTTGGTAGCATTGTCTGAGATTAAGTCCCATTCTCAGAAGAGCATACTCTAGTTAGTCAACACAGACAGCAACATGGTCTAGCCACTTTACCCCAATTTTACAACTATGATGAGGACTTAGCCAAAAATTATTTGCCAAGGCCAACGTCCAGAAAAGTATTTCCTAGGTTTCTTTCTAGGATTTTTATAGTTTGAGTTCTTGTATTTAAATATTTAATTCATCTTGAGTTAATTTTTGTAAATGGTGAGAGATAAGGCTCTTGTTTCATTATTCTGCTTATGGCTACCCAGTTTTCCCACACCATTTATTGAATGGGGAGTCCTTTCCTCATCTTTTGTCTTTGTTGGCCTTGTTAGGTAAGTGGCTTCAGTTCTGAGTTTTCTATTCTGTTCCATCAGTCTGAATATCTGCTTTTATAGCAGTGCCAGGCTGTTTTGGTTACTGCAGCCTTGTAATATAGTTTGAAGTCCAGTAGTTTGATGATTCTAGCTTTGTTCTTTTTGCTTAGGATTTCTTTGGCTATTTGGACTCTTCTTTGGTTCCATATGAATTTTAAAATAGTTTTTTTTTCTAATTCTATGAAAAGTGACATTGGTAGCTTGATAAGAATAGGGTTGAATCTATAAAATGCTTTTTGCAATATGGCCATTTTAATGATATTGAGTCTTCTAATACATAAGCATAGAGTATTTTTCTTTTATTTTGTGTCATCTCTGATTTCTTTCAGCAGCATTTTGTAGTTCTTGTAGAGAACTTTGGTAGACCTCCTCGGTTAGCTGTATTCCTAAGTATTTCTTTGTGTGTGTGTGTGTGGCTATTGTAAATAGGGCTGTGTTCCTGATTTTACACTTAGCCTGGGCATTATTTTTATATACAATTGCTGCTGACTTCTGTACATTAATTTTGTATCTTGGAACCTTACTAAAATAGTTTATCAGTTCTAGTAGATTTTCACCAGAGTCTTTGGGGTTTTCTAAATATATAATTATATCATCCACAAAAAGAGATAGTTTAATTTATCCTTTTCTTATTTGGATGTCTTTTACTTTCTTCCCTTGCCTAATTGTTCTGACAATCATATCTAGGTCTTTCATTGCTATGCCGAATGGTAGTGGCAAGAGTGCACATCCTTGCTTTTTCCCATTTCTCAAGGGGAATAATTCCAGGTTTTGCCCATTCAACCCATTCAGTATAATATTGGCTATGAGTTTGTCATAGTCGGCTGTCAATATTCTGAGGTAAGTTCTTTCAATGACTACTCTGTTGAGGGATTTTATTATTAAGGAACGCTGAATTTTATTAAAAGCATTTTCTGTGTCTATTGACATGATCATGTGGTTTTTCCTTTTAATTCTGTTTATGTGGAGAATCACACTGATTGATTTGAGTGTGTTGAACCAAACTTGCATCCCAGTAAAAAAAAAAAAATCTACTTGTTTGTGGTGAATTAGCTTTTAAATACACTGCTGAATTTAGTTGGTTAGTAATTTATTGAGGATGTTTGGGTCTAAATTCATCAGGGATATTGACCTTGAGTTTTCTTACTTTGTCATGCCTTTGCCAGATTTTAGTATTAGGCTGATGCTGGCTTCATAGAATGAGCAGAACATAGTCATCCTCCTCAATTTTTTGGAATAGTTTCAGTAGGATTGGTACCAGTTCTACTTTATACACCTGGTAGAATTCAGCTGTCAATCCATCTGGTCTAAGGCTTTTGATAGTTGGTAGGTTTTTATTACTGATTCAATTTCAGAGCTCAATATTGGTCTATTCAAGATATCTATCTCTTCTTGATTTAATCTTGGAAGATTGTGTGTGTCCAGGAATTTATTAATTTCCTCTATATTTTCTAATTTTTGTGATAGAGGTGTTCATAGTATCCTCTGAGGATCTTTTTTGTTTCTGTGAGATCAACTGTGATGTCATCTTTGTCATTTCTGAATGCACTTATTTGGATTTTTTTTGTTAATCTAGCTAGCAGTCTATCAATATTATTTATTATTTATTATTATTATTATTTGAGACAGAGTCTCATTCTGTTGCCCAGGATGGAGTGCAGTGGCTCTATCTTGGCTCACTGCAACCTCCGCCTCCTGGGTTCAGCAATTCTCCTGACTCAGCCTCCTGAGCAGCTGGGACTACAGGTACCCACCACCACACCTGGCTAATTTTTGTATTTTTAGTAGAGACAGGGTTTATCCATGTTGCCCAGGCTGGTCTTGAACTCCTGATCTCAGGTCACCCACCTGCCTCGGCCTTCCACAGTGCTGGGATTATAGGTGTGAGCCACCGCACCTGGCCTATTTTTTAGAAAAACTAACTCTTGGTTTCATTGATCTTTTGTGTGTACCTTTGCATCTGAATTTCATTAAGTTCTACTCCAATTTTAGGTATTTCTTTTTTCTGCTAGCTTGGGGGTTGGTTTGCAGTTTTATTTATAAATCCTTTAGATTCAAAGTTAGAGTGTTAATTAGAAATCTTTCTAACTTCTTTTTTTTTTTTTTTTTTGAGATGGAGTCTCGCTCTGTCACCCAGGCTGGAGTGCAGTGACATGATCTTGGCTCACTGCAAGCTCTGCCTCCTGGGTTCACACCATTCTCCTGCCTCAGACTCCCGAGTAGCTGGGACTACAGGTGCCTGCCACCATGCCTGGCTAATTTTTTGTATTTTTAGTACAGACAGGGTTTCACTGTGTTAGCTAGGGTGGTCTCGATCTCCTGACCTCGTGATCCGCCTGCCTCAGCCTCCCAAAGTGCTGGGATTACAGGTGTGAGCCACCACGCCTGGCTGAATTCTTTGTAACTTCTTGATGAAGGCATTGAGGGCTATAAACTTTCCTTTAAAAAATGCTTTTGCCACAAGCCAGAGATTTTGGTAAGCTGTGTCTCTATTTTCATTAATTTGAAGTAAATTTTTTATTTTCTGCCTTAATATTGATGTTTACTCAGGAGTTATTCAAGAGCAAGTTGTTTAATTTCTGTGTATATGTGTAGTTTTGAGAGATCTTCTTGATATTGATTTATATTTTTATTCCACTATGGTCTAAGAGTGTGCTTAATATGCTTTCAGTTTTTTTAATTTATTGAGACTTGCTTTATGACCAAGAATGTAGTTAATCTTAGACTATATTTTGTGTTCAGGAGAGACTAATGTATATTCTATGGTTGTTGGGTGGAGTGTTCCATAGACGTCTATTAGGTCAAACTGGTCAAGCTGTCAAGCTCAATTCCCAAGTATCTTTTTAAGTCTTCCGCCTTGATGATCTGTCTAATGTTTTCAATGAAGTATTGAGATCTCCCACTATTATTGCATGATTGTTTAAGCCTTCCTGTAGGCCAAGAAGAGCCTGTTTTATGAATCTAGGTGCTCCAATGTTGGATGCATAGATACATAGGATAAATTAAGCCTTATTGTTAGATTGTACCCTTTACCATTATGTAATACCCTTCATAATCTTTCTTAATATTTGTAGGTTTACAGTTTGCTTCATCTAAGAACAGGGACTTCTGATCTTTTTTGATTTCCATTTCCATGTTAAGCCTTTCTCCATCCGTTTACTTTGAGTCTGTGGATGCTATTACATGTGAGATGGATCTCTTGAAAGCAACAGATTGTTGGGTCTTGTCTTTTCATCCAGCTGTCCACTCTATGTCTTTTAAGTAGAGTATTTGAGCCCATTTAAATTCAAGGTTAGTATTGATACATGTGATTTTGATGCTGTCATTGTGTTGTTATCTTATTATTATGTAGACTTAATTGCTTCGTTGCTTTATAGTGTTTGTGGGCTAGCTGGTAAAGTGTGTTTTTGTGTAGCAGATGTCATTCTTTTACTCCATGTTTAGCACTCCCTTACAGACCTCTTGTAAGTTTGGTCTACTTGAAATAAATTCCCTCAGCACTTGGTTGTCTGAGAAGGATTTTGTAGCTCCTTTACTTATGAAGCTTAGTTTGGTGAGATATTAAATTCTTGGTTAGAATTTTTCTTCTTTGAAAAGACTGGGGTCCTCTGAAAGTAGGTCCTCAATCTCTTCTGGCTAGGAAGGTTACTGCTGAAAGGTCTACTGCTGGCCTGATGAAGTCCCTCTGTAGGTGACATCATTCTTCTTTCTAGCTGCCTTTAATATTTTTCATTTTCCTTGACCTTGGTCGATCTGATGACTCTGTGCCTTGGGGATGGTTGTCTTGTATAGTAACTTCATGAGTTTGTAATAAAAAAATTGTAGAAATTAATTTATCTTATATATGTAATATAAATTGTATAAAAAATACAATCTTCTGTATTCTTACTTTCATCAGTCTATATCAGAATACATTGTGGAAGAAAAAATATTGACACATTTGTCAAAATAAAATAATGAATATCAAAGAAATATATAGATATGTGTATGTGTGTGAATGTGTATAAAATTGTGTACAAATGTACAGTTGTACAAATATGTATATTTTTGTACATATGCATATTCTTTTCTTGTGTATATTCTTTGTGCATATTCTTGTGCATATTAATGTGCATATTCTTTTCTTGTGTATATTCTTTTCTTATTAAACTGTATATTCTTTTCTTATTAAACTGTGTATATTCTTTTCTTATTAAACTGTATTAGATGATGCTTATATAATAAAATAAAGGGTGTGAAAAGTCAAATTTCACAGTTAAAATTTCAAAACATAAAGCTTCAATATCAATAAAAATAATAACTAAAACTGAAACCTATTAACATTTTTATGAAATGACAAATTTTAAGTATTACTAACTCAATTTAAAAGATCTATAAATGGATATTCTTTTAAAAAGCTAGAAAATTACGTGTTAACATACAAAATATTTCATCATTAGGGAAAAATTTTATTTATATTGCTGAGAAGAATCTGTAAAATACTGCACATAAATTTTATTTTGATTTCTATAATTTTAAAACTGGTTAGCATATATATCATTCCTATGTAGCCAATTCACACAAAGCTAACAGATAGCACTGAGATTATAAAGAAAGTAGGCAAAATTATAAAAATAAAATTTTATTAACTGGTGACTATTGTTCTTCTAGAATGTTGGTGGACATTCTAGAGATGTAGAGAGAAGAACCTCTGCCACAAGGACTAGGCATTGCTTACGTGTAGAAGGAGGTGCCTAGATGAGGACAAAATGTTATAGGAAATGGCTTTATAAGGGTTATTTTTGAAAGAGAGTAAGATTTGGATAAGACAGGAATGAGAAAGCAAGCTTTGAAGGAGAAAAAAGACTAGATGAAAATTTAAATATACAATCCTTTCATCACCATAACATACAAGGCACATTTATCTTATATGCTTCAGGTGGGCCCTATTCTATCAGGTGGGGTTATTAAATCTATTTTAGATTTTGCTTTATGTTTGTCCAAGGATCATACTTATGACAGTTGAAAAATTACTAATTTATTATTCAGTGAAAAAGCTGTTAAGTGAGCAAGAGTATGGTCTCAAACAAACATACATGTTGTTCAAAGCCAGCATCTTTGTTGACTTCTGAGCCATGTTTTGCAATTATTTGGCACTCATGGCATAACATATTTGAATAGCATCACCCTCCTTAGGTATATGCTTTTCTTTATATTTCAGAGAAATTATGAGACAGTTGCATTATTACTAAAAATATTGTTGTCATTATTTTTCACATAGCAAAATTTGAATTTGAAGAATTCAAATTTTTAAGTAGAATTCACATTTTTACGGTAGAACATAGTGAACTATAAAATTATTCATTTTCAAAGAAATACCCACGTAAATTATTTTACCTAAGAAAATCTTTAAATAATTTTCATTCTTTATTCTTAATATGACTATGAACTTAAATCTGTGAAAGTACTTTTCAAGTTGGCAATTTCATACCTGAGAATTTAAAATTGTATATCTTTATAAACTACAGAGATTGTTTTCCATGCTTATGGAAATGCACATATTTATGTGTGTGTGCATATCCATATACACATATACACACCTAAATAGGGACATGTGTATGATTACATATATTACTGATTAATAAATATTAAATAAGCAATAAATGTTTTATAACAATTTTTTAACTAATTGGGACAGACGGAAGTTAAAATAAAAGCACTCTTGTAATCTAAGTATAAATAAGCATGACTTTCTAATAAATTTCAAATAATCTTTATTTTTTTACATTTTCACATTTATTAACTTAGGTTTTAAAATAGTATCTACTTAAAATATTTACAATTTAAATTTATTAAACACAGAACCTATGTTCACTTATGTTTGCTACATATTTCCATGATATCAAAAGCGTGTTGTTATATATTCATGAGGGATTCCAAATCATATTATTAGGATGTTAGGCAATTTGTAAGAAGCTAACCACATTTTTACAGTAAAATACACTGAACTATAAAATTACTCATAATTCTATATGAACTGGTTTAAATTTTTTAATAACCAAAAATTAGACGTTATGGTGTTTTGTACTACTTAATCTTACAGTATACATTCTCTTAATAATTTAGAAAATTACTAAAACGAGTGAATTATTACAATAAACATGAGCAAAATTTATCTTAAAGAAAATGAACCTAAGCTCATTATCTATCTAAAACTTTGAATTATTAATACATTGTATGTTTTAAAATTCATGCATTAATTTTATTTTAGGCAATTTTATACAGTTGGGTAAATCACATTAATGTTGTGTGGTTTTCTTACTGCACTTTTTAATATGACAGAATTTTTTATATTATCTCATTTTATCTTTACAGTAATTATACTACTTAGGTGAAATATTTTCTCAAGATGTATAGAAACTCTGGCACTTCAATTGTCCAAAGTCACCTTGGTACTCATTAATTAAATTGTGTATCAAACCTGTTATAAATGACTTCAAGTTCAGAGATTTTTCTGCTTTATTACAATCATTTCCATTCTTGACATTTCTCAGAAAAACATACTAATTAAAATCTCAAAAATAATAGCCATTGTTATCTCAAGAAGCAGGATTATATAAATATATTTCACACACCTCTTTTTATTTAAACCTGCTTCATAACCTTAAAATTAGAAATGGCACACAGAATGTCATCTAGACTAAATTAAAACATTCCATTGTGAAAATATCACGACATTAACTATTTAATTAAATAATTTCCAGTTATATATATTTTAATCCAGAAAGTACTAGCAATTCATGAGATGTCAAAATCAAGATGAAGATACAGCCACTCTTCCCTTAATTCCTTGTTTAATCCATGAGGCTATTAATAATGAGGCACTTTGATTTACTTGACTCATATATTACAGTTAGCTTATGAGTAAAAAGAGCACTACAAAAATTTATAAATATTTTGTCCAGAATTGTGTAATCAATGAATAATATAAGCTTTCTTGTATTAGCTTCATTAATCTTTATTAATTTATCAATAAATTATATGTATATATATCAAAAAATATTTTGAAAATTTATAATTTACATATGTATATACATCTGTGCATGTACATGTGTGCATATATATGTAAGAGTTACTTTTACATGATTAAATATATTGATATATAATAAATATCTGAGTATTATATTAGTTGCCAAATTTGTGAAAGAGCAGTATTAGCAATGTGAAGTAATTGAGATTTCTTTTAGGAGTACAAGTCTATACTTTTTATTATACATTAAGGAAGATAACTTAAATAGCATTGGTAATTTACTACTGGTACAATACAGAGCTTTGTGTAATGTGGGGATTTGATAAATGGGAAAAAAACTAAGAAAAAAATACTATTTCATTCTCTAAAATACATCATTTGTTGTTTTAGAAATTCATCCTCTGGAATATACATACCCATTTTTTTATTATGACAATTTTTCTTTCAAATTTCTCTTCACAGTTTTACATTATGTACATTTACATTTTTAAATATAAAATTTATCTGTCCCAGTTAATTACAAGTCCCATAAAAGCTCATAGTAAATGCTCAAGAAGCCAGTTGGTCTTTTAATGAATGTGTAAAATTAAATAACACAATATCTGTAATTCAATTGTTTCAAATATGTATATAATTTAGATACTAAGTTAGCTCAGAAATGTACTCTATATATAATGAATCTGAAACATAGCGTAAAAAAGTAAAGCTTCCAAGTAAAATTTCAAGTAAACTTGAAGTTAGTCCATGAGTTTTACATGAAAACCGCTCTAATGTCTTCAAGACAATCCTTTCTTTCTCGGTCTCTGCCATCCTATTATGGGTTAGAAAGGACGTTCCTCTGGTTCTCTTGTCTATAGCTGCCCTTGTGGTAAAATAGGAACTTTCTCACTGAGCCCTTGTGAAAAGTGAAGACACATCATTTTTTCCATGATTAATGATTTCCCACTTTTTATCAAAGGCTTATTTTTAAAAGGAATTCCTCAGGTTTGTCTTTTGATCCGTGGCAATGTAAGACAACAAAATGTTTTTTATCATAGTAGAATTTATAGTGATAGGCTTGCTGTTGACAGATGCAAAAAATTAAATGTAGATGGGAAAGAAAAAAACCTTTCGTATTTCCTGGAGTCTATTTCACTCTCTGATTTTTTATCTGTATTTCAAAAATGCTGATTTTCCACATTGAAAATCTAAGCACCCTTCAAGTGTTGTTGAGAAACAGCAGTAGATTTTTAAAGAAAATTGCCGATTTTCTTATACAAGAATTAGCCAAATACTTCATAAAAATATGTATGTTCCATTGAACGTGTCTTTTAGGAATAGTCTGTTTTGGTTTTGCCCCATAAGTAATCAAAAATGGTTTTGCAGAATGGTAAATAAGATCTAGGGTGTGCCCCTGCATCTGGCACATAAACGACAGCATCATAATTATTCTCATCAGCCATTGACACACAAGCCATCAACCACACAGAACACATAAATGTGACAGGAACTTCCTAGGCCTAAATCAAAAGGAAAACCCCAATTTTCCACACCTAAGTAACAAAAGGACCAGAGGCTACTCCCTTTGCAACCTCCCCACCCCCACCTTCTTGCCTGGCAGATGGAAAATTGAAGGTACCTCTGACTGGTTGCTTTCCGCAACCAATCAGATGTTTGCATAGGAGTATAACTTTGTAAGTTCACTTCAGCGTCTGACTGGTTGCTTTCCACAACCAATCAGACTGATTGTGGGCCACTACTTCATTTGCATGGGGTGTACACCGAGTGGCCAAACTTAGCAATTTGTTTATATTTTCATGATGACCTAAGTGATCTAGCAACTCAAGAGGCTTATGGCCTATAGGCCTCTACACTATAGGCAGTCCTAGAACATAAACTTCTCTTCCTTCTCTATATTTACTAAATTTTTGAAATGCTTAATGAAGGTTGAAATACTTTTTGGCCTGGTTTTTGCTCCAGATTCTCCATGTGGTTATGTCCAGCCACATACTGCTCATACTGCTCGTCATATCATGGGAACAACACATGTCCTCAAGGGGAATCTATGTCAGTGAAAAGTTCGTGTCAGCAGTAATCAGATTGACTGACATTTAAGGTTCACTAACAGGTGCAGAGAAAGAAGCATTGCCATTTTCCCTTTTCTACTCAAACTTCTGATTAGTGATGAAAAATAATAATTGTGTCACATAGCTTAGTAATTTTTGCTGTTTTAAATCATCTACACAAAATTTTTCTTTGTATGTATGTGTGTGTGCGTATTACTGCATATCATTCTGCATTTTTCTCCTAAATAAGTTAAAACTATTACTTTCTAAACTCAGGTTTTAAAACAAAAACAATGAGTTTAAACAAACATAAACGTTCAAATAAATAAATGAAGAGAAATTTTCATTTGCTCACATTTGTTTTAACAAAATATTTCTGTGTAAAATATATACCAATGTCCATTAAAACTGTAAGTCTTGATATCTTTTTGAACTTTTATATGTCAGAATGTAAAATTTCAGTAGTTGAACTCATTATGCATCAGCATTTAGTTTAATAAATACTAAACAAGAAACACTATGTAGAGGGAAACCAATGCAGGTAAAGTTTTTTTCTAATTTAATGTCATTTCCAACTTGATTAAACTTTAGAGTGACAGTCTTCTTCCTGACACTAGGTCCCTGGCCTCTCTTGGATAATTTACTTTAGAAAACTTGCAACTGCAAATTCTTTCTGTGCCCCTTTGAAATGTAAATCTTCTTCTGGCCTCTTGTTAATTTACAACCCAGAAATTTCTTTCTGCAGAACCTGGAAGACAGTCTTTTGAAATAAAATCATTGAAGTAGATAGGGTCCCTATCTCCCAGTCTCTGTGGGAGGGCAGGAGCCTAACTTCTATAAGCAACAATTAACAAACATTGATGACCTAATCACTTTGTCCAAACTCCGCCCTAATGTCTTTTCCACTAGCTCACCTCAGCAGCTAAAAATCCTTGTACCTTTTGTTTCAGAGGAGTTGAGTTCAATCTCTCCCTGGATTATAGTAGTCTAATGTAATGTCTTCCTTGCTTGTCAATTCCTTCTGGTGCATTTTTTTCTTTGACATTGTTACTATAAACTTCAGTTATTTCTTTGAAACTTAGATTTAAAAAGTATGTATCTACCCGCTACAGCATATTTTAATATCCAGAGATCTCATTACAAGAATGAATGTGTGTATGTTTGTGTGTGTCTGTGTACATGGCTTGGTATTAATCAGGTGTTTGAGATTTGGATGTGCATGCAAAACACATAAAGTTGTATGAAACAATGTGTCTTCAAGAGACAAGAAGAAATATTGAAGAGTATAAGAATCAGAATTCTAGGTAGGCTAGCAGGGTCAGATAATGCCTGCATGTCAAAAAATATTAATAAGTCCTGGAGTTGGTAATTTGATGGATAGACTCATAAGAACAGACCTCTAAAGGGATAAAAGAGATCAAAAGATCAGTTTATGAAGAGGGAAGTAAAGTGGCAGATTGCAAGAATGATTAGCCAGATGTTCATACTTCAAGGACATGTCTAACGGAGGGCAACAGGTAATCTCTTACTTTCTCTGTAATTTAATGTACACAAATATCTTAGAAATAAATGAGAAAGTTTGTACAAAAATGAAAAGCTCTGCATTGTTTATATGCAGCACGTCTTCTTTATCCAGAATAAATAAGATCTAGTTTTTGATAGCACAACAGGATGATTATATTCAATAGTAATTTAATTGTACATTTCAAAATAACTAAAAGACTATAATGGGACTGTTTTTAACACAAAAGACAAATGCTTGAGGTGATGGGTATTTTGTTTACTTGATGTAATTATTCTACATTGTATGTCTGTACAAAATTTCCCACGTAACCCATAGATACATACACCTATTGTGTACTCACAAAAATTAAAAATTAAACATTAAAAAAGCCCTGCATTTCCTAATATTAATTTATGGTTGACTGAAGCATGGCCCTGAATGGGCTTTTTAAACAGTGTACAATTGGTAGTTTGGGGCATAACTAGTTTAAGTCATATAATTTATTTAAAATTTATGGACAATGATGAAAAACTTATGTACATGTTTAATTCTCCAATATATTATCTTTTTTTATTCTACTGTTAATGTTAAAAATTTAAATATTCAAAAAACTTAACATTAAGTCTTGTTGGTTCCTTGAGTTCTATAGTTGTTTATAATATACACATCTGAAATAAATTTGATGCTCCAACTATCATGAACTCTCCATTCAAGAATTAGTTTGAACTACCATTTATCCAATTGATCACATAAGAAAACAGGCCAATGCAGTGGCTGACGCCTGTAATCCCAGCACTTTGGGAGGCCAATGCAGGCAGATTAGGAGGTCAAGAGATCGAGAACATCCTGGCCAACATGGTGAAACCCCGTCTCTACTAAAAATACAAAAATTTACTGGGCGTGTTGGCACGCACCTATAGTCCCAGTTATTTGGGAGGCTGAGGCAGAAGAATCGCTTGAACCAGGGAGGCAGAGGTTGCAGTGAGCCGAGTCACGCCACTGCACTCCAGCCTGGTGACAGAGTGAGACTCCATCTCAAGAAAACAAACAAACAAACAAAATATATATTTTCTAGGAAAGTTTGTGCCTTAGGGATTTTTTATGGTTTTTTTTCTATGTTTAAAATGCATTCCCCTTGTTTGTATATTGTATAAATCATACTATGCCCTTTACATTTGATTATTAACTTTGCTGTGAACACCTTTCGGTTTAAAATTTTTTTACTTAAGTTTTGAACACACTACTTCAAGAACAGAAGTTCTTAAGCAGTGAGTATTTCTGAGAAAGTCTGAGGCCAGCCAAATTGTACCTTGGTATCCATAGGATTATTCTCTTTCTTCAGAGTAAAATGACTTACTGAAATATAGTTTAATAATTACCATTCTGTATTTTTTATTTTTTTATTATACTTTAAGTTCTAGGGTACATGTGCACAACGTGCAGGTTTGTTACATATGTATACATGTGCCATGTTGGTGTGTTGAACCCGTTAAACTCGTCATTTACATTAGGTATATCTCCTAATGCTATCCCTCTCCCCGCCCCAACCCCACAACAGGCCCCGCTGTGTGATGTTCCCCATCCTGTGTCCAACTGTTCTCATTGTTTAATTCCCACCTATGAGTGAGAACATGCTATGTCTGGTTTTCTGTCCTTGCAATAGTTTGCTCAGAATGATGGTTTCCAGCTTCATCCATGTCCCTACAAAGGACATGGATTCATCTTTTTTATGGCTACTTAGTATTCCATGGTGTATATGTGCCACATTTTCTTAATCCACTCTATCATTGATGGACATTTGGGTTGGTTCCAAGTCTTTGCTATTGTGAATAGGGCTGCAATAAACATACGTGTGCATGTGTCTTTATATCCTTTGAGTATATACCCAGTAATGGGATGGATGGATCAAATGGTATTTCTAGTTCTAGATCCTTGAGGAATCGCCACACTGTCTTCCACAATGGTTGAACTAGTTTACAGTCCCACCAACAGTGTAAAAGTGTTCCTATTTCTCCACATCCTCTCCAGCACCTGTTGTTTCTTGACTTTTTAATGATCGCCATTCTAACTGATGTGAGATGGTATCTCATTGTGGTTTTGATTTGCATTTCTCTGATGGCCAGTGATGATGAGCGTTTTTTCATGTGTCTGTTGCCTGCATAAATGTCTTCTTTTGAGAAGTGTCTGTTCATATATTTTTAATCAACATTCTATTTCAGAAGAGTTTTGGATTTTTAAAAGAAGTGAAGATAATCCAGAAGTTCCCTTAAGCTCTCAATGTTTCTCCATTGTTAACATCTTGCATTACTATACATTGACCACTACTAGGGAACTAATAATGATATATAGATATTAATTAAATTCTATACTTAGCTCAGATCTCATTAATTTTTCTCAAATGTCTGTTTTCTGTTCAATAACATAATTCCATTCAGAATACATTTAATCTTTACTTTATTTTATTATTTTATTTTATTTTTTTAGACTTAGTCTCTGTCACCCAGGCTGGAGTGCAATGGTGGGATCTCAGCTCACTGCAACTTCTGCCTTGTGGGTTCAAGCGATTCTCCTGCCTTGACCTCCTGAGTAGCTGGGATTACAGGCATGTACCACCACGCCAAGCTAATTTTTGTATTTTTAGTAGGGGCGGGGTTTCACTGTGTTGGCCAGGCTGGTCTCAAACTCCTGACTTTGTGATCCTCTCATCTCAGCCTCCCAAAATGCTGGGATTACAAGAGTGAGCCACCGCACCCAGCCTAATCTTTATTTCTTCTTAGCTTCCTCTGCTCTGTGACAGTTAATCAAACTTTTCTCGTTCCTGCATTGCCAGTTTTGATGAGTGCTAGTCAGGTATTTTGTACAATGTCCTCCAGTTTTGGTTTGGCTAAAGTTTTACTTGTGGATAGACTTGAGTTATGGGTTTTGTGAAGGGTGACCACAAGGGTGAAGTGACATTTTCAACACATCATATCAAGAGTACGTACTATTATCATGATTTATTACTGATGATGTTGGGATATACCATGTGACTTAGTTTTTGCCAGATATCTCTACTGTAGAGTAACTTTTTCCCATCCTTTTTATATGCTACTTGTGAAGGTTAACTTCATGCGACAACTTGATGTAGCCATAGGGCCCCTAGATGTTTGGACAAGTAGCATTTAGACTGGAACTGCACCATCAGTTTCCCTCTGATTTCAGATTGCCAATTGAAAATCTTGGGATTGTCAGCCACCATAATCTTGCATGAGGGACTTCTTTATTATAAATGTTTATACACACACACAACATGGACACACATATACACACACACCACCTACTGGTTCTGATACTCTGTAGACAGAACAAAGGCATACTTGTATGTGTGCTAGCTCATGTATATGTACATATCTATATTTTTGTATCTGTCTCTATTTTATTAAGCTAAACATGACTTTATACTGATGTCCCTGAATCTAAGTATCATAAAACACAGTTCCTTTTCTTGCATATCTGAAGCCTACCTCCTCAGTAGTGAGAACCTTGGCTCTCATCCTTCACCATTATTAATTATTTTAATAGTTAAAAACTATTTTGGGGTAAATCATGCTCTCTCTGCCACTAGTCAACTAATAATCTTGAATATGGTTATTCCAAATTGAACATTCTCATATGAAAACTGTGGGGTAGACTATGTTTTCCTTCAGGTTCAGCATTTTGTGATTTTTAAATACATTTTGGAATTTCAAGGAATAATAGAAACAGTATTAGACAGACAGCAGTGTAATGCATGAAAATAACACTATTTCCAGTTAATAGTCATCTTAACATTCATCGAACATCCTTCTATCTTTTCTCTATAAATATTTCCCTCCATTTGGTTATTCACTTTTCCTAACCCATCATTTGTATTTTCTCTATTATTATGTTTTCCTTTCCTATTCCCTAATTCTCTTTTTCTTTATTTCTTCCCTCAGTATTGAAGGAGTAAAATTGAAACAATACTACATCCAACATGCACGTGTACTTTGCTAACACATCACATTGTCTTCCCTACTTTCCCAACATGGGCTATTCTCCACTGAGCAGCCATTAGGATCTTTATAATGTTAAATATGCTTTTTGGTTGTGTGTGTTTGTTTTCTCCATAGCTTCCAATACCTTCTCCATACCTTCCAATAACTTCTGATAATACTTGAGATAAAATCCAAAGCCTATGCGTGACTTGTAGTGCTCCCAAATATCTGGAACTTGGCTGTTGCTTGGGTCTCAACACCAATCACTCCTTTCTTGCTTGATCCTGTCCAGTGGCACTGGTCCTCTTGCCCATCCTCAAGTGTGAAAAACATACTCCTGACTCAGTCTTTGCACTTTTATTTTGTTCTACTTGTGAGGTTTTTCTTCCATTTAGCAACTTAGCTAAACGTCCCATTTTCTTTAAGAATCTAGCCACTGTACCTTTTCCATTTTTTTAAGGTTTTTCCTTTTTATGGGTTTTTGCTAGGTGTATATAAATATGGGGCCCATGTCATATTTTGATACATGTGTTTTTTAAATAGAGACTTTTCCTGACATATATCACAACTAAAAATACATTGATTTTTCAATTTATTTAAGAGTTGTCTTCACCAACTTGAATGTAAGCTCCATGAAAAACAAGATTCATTGCTGCATTTTTAATGTCCAGAAAAGTTCAGAAACATGGTAGGTGTTCAATAGGTATTTGTTTAATAACGAAAGAAAACTAAAGAAAAGAACACCTACTTTTCAATATAATTTTACCTATATGCTACGTGTGTGTATGTTTGTGTATTCTAATTTGTCATTTAAAGTAATTTAACAGAAAATTAAATTACCTGTGTCTTTTACATTTAGTTACAGTTAGCTTTGTTTATGTTTAGTTAGCTTCATTTATAACAATGAGTAACTAAATTGTTATGTGACATGATTTGAAGAATTTCACTCTTTTATTCAGTTTGTCAACAAGTATTGTGCTTACTGTCTATCAAGGTGATCTTCTCAGTACTGGCAATATAGCACTAAAGGAGAAGTATCTAATCCTGTGAAAGTTACTTTTTACTAAGAAAGACTTAATAAATACTCGAATAAAGAAGAAGCTATACAAACAAATACCTTTTATAAGTAAACTGCAGATAATTAAAATGAAGAAATGATCTACAAAAAGAATAGATGTGTAGATTGGTTAAAGGATAAGTAGCACATTGAAGCCAATAACTGAAAAATTGTCAAAATATTTGGTTAGGCCACTTCTCTAATACAGTTACCCTGGTAAGTGGATGCTTGTCCTCTTGGAGAAAGCTGGGATGAAGTTTTGCAGTATAAATTTGTACGGTCTAGCAGTATTCTTCCTCAAGGAATACAGATTCCCGTTCATACAAGGGCTTAGGATATTTAAAGTGGCTCAAGTCTGGGGATTAATTTAGGAGCTGTGTTTTTCTATTGCGGTGATTCAAATCTAACTTCCCATTAACAGGATCTAATACCAAGAAATTCAAATATTATATTATTTTATGTCTTTCAGAATAGATGTTGCCTTTTATAAATTAATTCAGTAAAAATATGAATATTTAATTCACGTAGTAAAGGTAAAAATATAAGCTGTTTACTCTCATAAATGCAGTATAAATAGGAAACAATTTTACCTATTAACAATGCATTAATGAATATTTAAATATATGATTTTGAAAGATTGAATAATATTTACTAGGCATAATTACTGAAGATGCAATGATTCTTTGACATTTCTTGGGGTAGAGAGAGGGGAGTATCATGATTTAGGTGTTATCCTTGAAGAACTGCTTAGTGTTAAGACTCAATATCTATGGCAGAATATTTATTTCCATCAACAACCAAACCCTTTGAAAAGTTTTGGAGGAGGAAATAACCTGGCAGGAGATATGAAAAATAATAATGGAAAGTCTATCATGTGACCTAAGGATAATTGCGTATTGAATGCAAACTGTGTACTCTAGGAGTAATTGTGGAGTACAGTACCAGGCATGGAGGAATAAATGATGGTGGTGATGGTTGGTTCCATCTGTTCTGGTCTTTTAACTGTCAGCTCGTGGTTGACAAGTTGAATAATTGGAGAATGTGTCTGTTGGCTTAAAATAGGATGTTTTCTTTTATATGATTTAGAGGCTGTTTTTCACCTGGACTTTTGAACAGTTTCTGAAAGAAAAATAATAGGCGTCTATTTTTAGTCTCCCTAAATTGTAAAAGTAAATTAATTTTTCTTGTGACAAATTCTGAAAATATAAACTGTCTGCCCTTCACATAGCACAGAGTTTGAAAAGGGCATCTGATCTGATGAAAACAATATAGTGGTGAATAGTATTTAAACATCTTTATAGTGACATATGTGCTTTTATTTTTTTATAAATGTGCTTGCATGTCACATGATAATTTTTTCATATAATTACTTATTATTGATGAGCAACATAATTATTCTTTGAGCCAATGCATGTATAATTTAGTGCTACTTATGTTCACACAGCTGCTGCTACTGCAGTAACATACATAGCTTTATGTTGCTCTTTTAATATTTCTTTGTCTCACCCTTAGAGACAACTACGTTTTCTGCTTCTATCATCCTTTTATTTTCTCTAGTGTACTGAACCACCATTCCATGTGACGAAAAGCTGCCCAGTTCCCATATGTGTGAGGATAAATTACTCAAGTCTAGTTTTTTGTGAAAAATGATAGATTACAGATTTATTTTCTCTTTCAAAAACATTTTAGCTGAATGACAATTATAAACTTAATCTTTGTTTTAGAAAATTGTGTTAGACATTATCCATCCCCCAACTTATACATTCCATTCTCTTACACATTAGGAAGAAAGAAAGTGAAAGAAGAAAGATGAATAAAATGGTAGGGGGAGAGAGGAAGAAAAAGATGAAGAAGAGAGGACAATGACACAAATAATCTTATGTGAATTAGATTTTGTGGTGGGAATCAGCAAGAGGTAGCATTCAATAGGTTATTGAAACCAATCAATACGATCAGTGGCTATTTTGTTCAATGCTTACTCATATATTTAATCTTTTTTTTCTTTTTCTAGATGGACTAGTGTGTGGCAGAGGATAAATCTTATTAAAATTTTGTAATATTTTAATAAAACAAGAAAAAATGAAACAAAATATCGTATCAAAGAACCTTTTTATATAATTGTTGGTTTAATCATATTTCACAGTGAATAGTATTAACTCTCCGGAATACTATATTTTTATTAATATATTAAAAGTACTAAGTTAATTGCATTATTTATTCACACAGCATGCATTAGCTCTGATGGTCATTATATCAAATGAGGACATAGAGAGAAGACTGACATGTATAAACCAGGAAGTGGGCTCTCTCAGGCAACACCAAATCTGCTTGTACCTTGATTAAACTAGAGCAGTTATCAAATAAGTAAATACACCACTCTCACAATTAATGAAGTTCAACTCATACCACTTTTACGTTGGACTTGTACCTTGTTAAGCATTTCTTTCTTTCCATAGCTATCTAGGGCACTAAAATGATTGTTAAATATATTATTGTCAGAAAAATTCTCCTCTCTTTATATATTATAAATCCTTATCAGCTTACATTTATCATCAGTGATAAGTAAAAAATATTTTGCCACGATATATATATGAATATGATACGTTACAATTATTTGATACATTGCTGTGTGATCAAGGATAATTCAGATTATGGTTGCACTAAACACGTGAAACACTGCTTCATTTAATACATTTCCTTGAATGGGGTTTCGTTAAGATGTACACATTAACTTGAATTACCATAACTTGTTAATCTCGTATTATGCTGCTTTCTCCATGAATTTGGTTGGGAGTCTTTGGCAAGTTATAGAACTAAAATGCAGCACACAGATTTTCTATTAAAAAGGGAAATTTGTACTTTCTACAATTTCCCATATTTTATATTTATTGCCATAATAATTTGCACCTTTCTGTTTGGGTATGAGTGTATATAGCTGTAAGTATTGCCCATATTTGTCCTTTGCATTAATGAACTAGTCTTTTATTGCATTTGTAAATTACAAAGAAAATAGAAAGTAGGAGAACTTTTGTTTTTAATTTGTATCTAGCTACTGTGCTGAGAAACATTTACGAAAATATAGTGTAACATTAAAAGTAGTAGACATCAGTTAAAAATCCAATCATTAGTAAGCACAAAGCTGTTCTTGCAGTAATGGCTAACCAACTTATTTCAACAAATGCTCCCTTTAGAATTTATTTTAATATTGTTTTGTAAACTAATCTTTGGTTACGTAAAGGTGGAGTTAATTAAGCAAAAGCTACTTTGTAAAGAGAGCATGTAAAAGGCAATAAAATGTTTTCTACAGTGCTCATTAAGACTTAGAGTACTTTTCTTAATATAACTGTGTACAAAGTATAAAGGCATTTGTACAACAAACTATGCTTGTAGTGCATCCAAGTGGTTTGCTCCATTTTTGGACAATCATGACATATATATCTGTCAAGGGGTTTGCAACATTTTTGCTTGTTATTTTGATAAATAATATGTTTATACTCTCCATGAAAATTGTCTCTTATAGCCCCAATTGTGAAGTATGTGAGACACTGAAAAAACTTGTTCTCATATCTATTGGCCAGAAAAGCACAGTATATAACTGGAAGGAATGAGTGGTTGGGACAGAAATGAACCCAAAGAGAAAATATCTAATGTTTTTCTAATGTCTCACATTAGATGTCTAAAGTTATCTAATCATTCACCAAATATTCAAGATTAGTATATAAATCTAAAATTAGTGATATAGTTTATTTGGCTGTCGAAAACAATAAAATTATCTCATAGTTAAATGACATTGATTGAACAGATTTTTTTTTTTTTTTTTTTTTTGAGACCAAGTCTTGTTCTGTCGCCCAGGCTGGAGTGCAGTGGGGTAATTTCAGCTCGCTGCAACCTCTGCCTCCCGGGGTCATGCCATTCTCCTGCCTCAGCCTCCCAAGCAGCTGGGACTACAGGCACCAGCCACCACGCCGGGCTAATTTTTTGTATTTTTAGTAAAGATGGGGTTTTACTGTGTTAGCCAGGATGGTCTCAATCTCCTGACCTCATAATCCACCCTCCTCGACCTCCCAAAGTGCTGGGATTACAGGCGTGAGCCACTGCACCAGGCTTGAAAAGATTCTTTAAAAGAAAAAGAAAAATAATGCATGAAGAATTAGCAAAGGAAGAAGGCACTGATTCCAAAAGTTTGAGGGGACTTGAGAAATTATCTAGTTAATTGTGAATTACAAGAATATTTAAGGTAATTTAATATAGTATGGTTATGTCTGGGCACAGTGGCTCACGCCTGTAATCTCAGCACTTTGGGAGGCCAAGGCGGTTGGATCATTTGAGGTCAGGAGTTCGAGACCAGCCTGGCCAACATGGTGAAACCCCATCTCCACTAAAAATACAAAACTTAGCTGGGTGTGGTGGCACAAGCCTGTAGTCCCAGCTACTTGGGAGGCTGAGGCAGGAGAATCGCTTGAACCTGGGAGATGGGGGTGAAGGTTGTAGTTAGCAGAGATGGTGCCACTGCACTCCAGCCTGGGTGACAGAGCGAGACTCCGTCTCAAAAAAACAAACAAACAAAAATTCGGTTATGATTTAGTTATAACAAGTGATACTCACTTCATTCCTTAGCATATGAACATCCATATCTTTACCTCTGTTAGAGTTTACTTTTGTTCAGAATACTTAGGAACCCATTCCACATGGCCTGCCAGTATTAATGGGGGTGGCGTTTCCCACACTATAGACAACAACCTTGCCTGTGTAACTTGTTTAGGCTAATGAAATATAAAAATGACATGTGCTAATTCCAAGCAGAATATTTTAAAAATAATGACCCAACCATCTCTTTTCTCTCTCTTAGGTAAATACATGCCATAAGGATGAGCTGTTCTTTATCCTTGAATCTGTAATGACATAAATCAGGATTGAAGACACAGTTGATCCAAGACAAACTTTTACTATGAGCAAGAAGTAGACCTTTGCTGTTGCAAAGCTGTAAGAATTATTTTATGTTAGATCTAAATGAGTATATCTTAGGTCATCCTCACAGATGTACAGTGCATTAGAATGACAATGTAGATTGGAAGTGTCTTTAAATTTCACCTTTTATCTTCCAAAACATAACTTTTTTAAACCTACAGTTTCATCACTGATGTATAAAGACTCAGAAATCATCACTGCCATACTTACAGTAAGAAAAAGATGAGGAAACAGAAAATCAATAACTTTTCTTGGACATATCGAATAATTGAGGTCATAGGACAAACTTTCTCCCTGAAATCTAAAAGGACAAGAAATACAAAGAATCACATTTGAAATATTTTTATTAGGAGAAGTAAACACAATAGAAACAGAGAATTAGTAATGTTGACAAAATGTTGGAGACTGATTTGCACTACTGTGAGAAACTCTTAAGGACCATAGAATTAGGCCATACTTTTATGGGTTTACCTCAAGGAACCCCTAATATTCTTATACTGAAGAATAAGAAATAATAGTGAAGAGCCAATAAAAAGTCTCCTTCTGGGTCTGACAGAGGAAAGGAAAATTAACCGTTTTAAAATACAGCCAAATTACTCTTCATAACAAACACCTACTCTCCACAGGAAAAGATATAGAGGAAAGGACATTTTCTAATCTCCATCCTGCATTTTTCATTCTATTTGACCTGAGGGGTACTAAAAGGTCAGAAACATTTGTGAAGTTCACAGCACAGGGATGTATACCCAAAAGAAGATGAGATTTATTAATAAGATTATAAAACAGTTGTCCTTTTCTATACATATCTAAGGTATCAAAATGTCTTCAGTATAATAGATTACAGCCTTAAGAGTTGTAAGACATAGACTCTATTTAAGGTTTAGTTATTTGGGAAACCTAAGACAACAGGAGAGAAAATACCACAACAGCACAAAATTTGAATCCTTTGGCATAAACAGCCATACTAAAAATTAAACAGTACAGCCAGGCGTGGTGGCTCACATCTGTAATCCCAGGATTTTGGGAGACCAAGGTGGGTGGATCAGTTGAGGTTGGGAGTTCCAGACCAGCTTGGCAAACATGACAAAACCCTGTCTCCACTAAAAATATGAAAATTAGCCAGGTGTGGTGGTGCACACTTGTAATCCCAGCTACTCAGGAGGCTGAGGCATGGGAATTGCTTGAACCCGGGAGGTGGAGGTTGCAGTGACCCAAATAGTGCCACTGTACTCCAGCCTGGGCAACAGAGTGAGACCCTGTCTCAGAAAAAAAAAAAAAATTAAACAGTCCAAATTTCAATCAAATTAACATGAAACCTCTCATTAGAGGTGCCTTTTTTTTTTTTACCTCAGTTCTTATTACACAAAACTTCATACCCAGTTCTCAATAAAAAAATTATAAACTATGCTAATAGACAAGTAAAAGTATAGTGAGAAGATACATAGCAAATATCAGAACCAGATTCCAATATGACAGATTTTGGAAATATAAGACCAGGAATTCAAAGTAACTATGATGACACATTAAAGGGTATAATAGGTCAAGTAGAAAAGATGCCAAAAAATCTGTAATGTAATCAGAACATAAAACCTCTAAGAAATAATGAAAGGAAATGCTAGAAATCAAAACACTATAAAGTACATGAAGATTGCTTTTGATGGGCTCATTGGTAGACTGGATACAGATAAGGAAAGAATTAACAAGTTGAAGATATGCCAATAGAAATTTCCAGAACACAAATGTAAAAAAAAAAAAAAAAAAGGAATTAACAAAGAACAGAATATCTAAGAACTGTGCAATAATCAAATGAAGAATAGAGACAAGTAACTGAAATGCCAGAAAGAGAAGAAAAAGAGAAGGCAGCAGAATAAATATTTAAAGTAATAGTAGCCATGAAATTTCCAAAATTAAAGATAGACAACAAGCCACAGTTCATACTTAAACTTCAAATAACTAAAGTCAGTGAAAATATCGAAAGAATCCAGTGGGGACAAAGACTTCTTACATACAGAGGAACAACAATAAAAATTCCAATAGACTTCTAGACAAGAAATATGCAATCAAGAAGAGAACGGGATAAAATATTTAAGGTGTTGAAATTTAAAAAAAAAAAGTATCCTCCTGGAATTCTATCTCCAACATTAACCTTTAAAAGTGAAAGAAAAATACTTTCACAGAAAAACAAAAACTGAAATAATTCATTGCCACCTGACTTAGTCTGCAATAATGAATAAAATAAAATCTTTCCAGAGGAAGAAAATGTAGGTCAGAAATTTGATCTATATAAATAAGAAAAATAATTAATAAAAATATAAAATGAAATATTTTTATATAAATTGATCTAAATAGCAATGGTAAGTTAAAATATTATTAGCAAATTTTCTGTGACTATACCATATGAATAAGTGAAACATATTACAGAAATTGTATAAGAATGCGAGGTAAGGTTGGCAGCAAGGGGCAGTCTGCAGCTGGGTGGCGCTGGCTGCAGAGGCAGGAGCGGGTGTGGGAGCAGCAATGGCGGCGTGGGTTCCCTGTGCCCCGCCTTCCATTAGCAACCAGATGGGTTGCTTCCACTCTTGTCTGGCTGGGCAAGTCCCACCCCCAGGCCCCCACCCTCCGCGGCTCTGGACCCTGGCTCCCGCTGGGGCTCTCACCTGCCGCTGCACGGGGGAGGGTGAGAGGAGGTGGCGGGGGGCGTGGCGGGGGGAACTGGTCTGCTCTTGGGGCGCCCAGGGCAGAAGTGGGAGTAGCGCCTACTTTGGAACCCGGCCCCTGGCTCAATCACGGTGTACGTTGCCCAGGAAAACTCCGACAAAGCCCGCACCGACCACAGATTTCCAGCCAGAAAAGCGACACCCCAAAGATCCCATAAGAATCAGAAATACTACACACAATATACCATGCTACTGTTTAAGGGTAGACATAGATTAGTTATAAATGTTAATTGAAAAAGCTAGGTTAATAACTAAATATTTTTAAAGTATAAAATATGCTAAAAGGAGAGAGAAAATGCAGTCATATGAAAGGTTTCATTTAAAACTAGAGATATAAGAAAAGAGTCAAAAAGAACAAAACAAGGATTAGAAAACAGTTACAAACATGGAAAATATTAATCCAACTGTGTCAATGTGATTGATTTAAAATATAACCAATTAAAAGACAGAGACTGTGAATTTTAAAAGATAAAAATCAGAAGGGCTTCAAGATGGCTAACTGGAGGGATGTGGTACTTGCCCCTTCCACAAAGAACTATAATACCAAGTAGATAATCACACTTTGAATAGATTATCCAAGAGAGAATACTGACATTCAACAGAGAACTGATGGGAAATACCAAAGGCAAGAAAAGAGAGGAAAGTAAGGCATCCTACTTTGCTGGGCTTCACTGAGAGCCCAGAGAGGCTGCCCAGTGTGGGAAAAGCATAAATGAGAGACACCTAGAAGTCCACATTTCCATTGCAGATTCCTTAAATTCTAGTCACCAAGAGCCCCTTGAGCCTCACTATTCTGGATACTAAAGTAGAGAGCTTCCTGGAGGTGGCAAGATGGCATTGCTCCAGAGAGGGAGTTCACTCTGGGTCTCACACACACCCTCCATCCTAAGTAGCTAAAGCATGGTGTCATTTTGAGAACCAAGCTCCTATTAGAGTGCATCTTGCCCTGGGGACCAACAGCTCTTGCATCTCCACATTTGTGGAGTTCCATGATATCCTTATTGAACAGTTGCCAGCACCACTCACTGCCGCCAGGGCTGAGACACAAGCCATTTCCATCAACCACGCCACCCCAAGCAGAAGGACTACCACATATTTTCACATGCCCTGAGGACAGACTTCCTCACCCACAACTGCCACTGGCAGCAAATCTGTCCCTCCAACAGCACAGGGACTACACTCCCTGAGGAAAACTTTCTTCCTCCACAGTCATCACCTGAAGCCAAAGCTCACAATCTCCAGTTGCCTGCCTATGGCTACTTCCATGGAAAACAACTACATCCTCCTTAGCCACAGGGCTGCAGTGTGGCTGCTGCCGCCCCCACATGAGCATGCACGGGAGAATCAAAATCACCCCACCCCCTGCCCACCTCAGACCACACCCACACACCCTATCTGGGGACTGGGGTAGGCTTAGCCTGGCTCCACTCTGCACCAATGCCCAAGCACACAGTCCTTGGGCCTAAGGGTTACTTACCTTCCCCCTTCCACCATCATTGACTAAAACCTGAGCACTCCTTCTGTGGGCCTGAGGATGGGTACATCCAAACTGCCAATATTACCACAGTTGGTACCCACATGCACTTTCCATTTGTGGGGCTGAGAACAAGCCTTCCCAGCTGATATGGTTTGGCTGTATCCACATTGAAATTTCATCTTCTGTTGTAGTTTCTGTAATCCCCACATGTTGTGGGAGGGACCAGGTGGAGATAACTGAATCATGGGGGTGGTTTTCCTCATCCTGCTCTCCTGATAGTGAGTTTGTTATCACGAGATCACATGGTTTTATAAGGGGCTTCCCCTTCACTGGGCTCTCTTTCTTTCTCTAGCTGCCATGTGAAGATGGACATATTTGCTTCCCCTTCTGCCATGGATGTTAAGTTTCCTGAGGCCTCTCCAGCCATGCAAAACTGTGAGTCAATTAAGCCTCTTTTATTTATAAATTACCTAGTCTTAGGTACGTTTTATTAGCAGTGTGAGAACAGACTAATACAGGATATTGGTACTGCAGAGAGTGGAGTGCTGCTATAAGGATACCCAAAAATTTGAAGTGGCTTTGGAACTGGTTAACAGGCAGAGGTGGGAAGAGGTTGGAGGGCTTAGAAGAAGACAAGATAATGTGCAAAATTTGGAACTTCCTAGAGACTTGGAGGGCTCGGAAGACAAGAAGATGTGGGAAAGTTTGGAAATTCCTAGAAACTTGTTGAATGGATTTGACCAAAATGCTGATAGTGATATGGACAATAAAGTTGAGGCTGAGATGGTCTCAGATGGAGATGTGGAACTTGTTGGGAACTGGAGTAAGGGTCATCCTTGCTATGCAAAGAGACTGGTGGCATTTTGCTCATGCCCTAGAGATCTCTGGAACTTTGAACTTGAAAGAGATGATATGAGGTATCTCTCAGGAGAAATTTCTAAGCAGGAAAGTGTTCAAAAGGAAGCAAAGTATAAAAGTTTGAAAAATTTGCAGCCTGATGATGCAGTAGAAAAAAAAAAATTGCTGAGGAAAAATTCAATCCAGCAGCAGAAATTTGCATAAGTAACAAGGACATTTCTTCCTTCCTCCTGCCACCATGTAAGGAAGGACATGTTTGCTCCCCCTTTTGTCATGATTGTAAGTTTCCTGAGGCCTCCCAAGTCATGCAAAATTGTGATTCAATTAAACCTCTCTTCTTTATAAATTACCCAGTCTCAGGTATGTCTTTATTAGCAGTGTGAGAATGGACTAATACACCAGCCCTGTCAGCCACTGCCAACATTAGCACAAATTGCTTGGGAGGCAGAAAGCTGTCACACTACTGCTACTGCCATCATCCCTTTTATTCCCTTTTCCTAGGGGCTCAAGAACCCACTTACTCACTGGGGCCAATGAAGCCACTGCCACATACTGAGCAAGCCACATAGAGGGCCAATGTTTGCCCACCCACTGCAATAACACTGGTGCCAATGTATGGAAGCTGGGGGAGTAATGACAGACAGGTTTAACCTGCCACTGCCACCACTGGGACTTGAGGATGGTCCAACTGACATCCCTGTCCCCAGAAAAACCTTCACCACAGCCTCCACTAACAATACTGCCCCAAACAACAAAGGAAATCACAAAAACTACTGATGCTCTTTACAACCAAAGAAAGTATATGGAAAGTACACACTAGAGTATGTACCTAGAATCAAAGCCAAAGTGCTTGCTCTACCCAATCAACACCATAAATAATCTTAAAGAAAAAGCCCCAATGAAAGCAAATCCAAATAATTGGAAGAAGCAACTGTTACTCAGATATCAATGGAAGGAAACAAGAAACATTAAATTATAAGAAAATATAACACCTCCACAGGAACACAATAATTCTCCAGCAACAAGTTCTAATGAAAAAGAAATTTATGAAATGCTGGAAAAAGGATTCAAAATAATGTTATTAAAGAAGGTCAGTGAGATACAAGAAAATACAAAAAAAAGAAAATAAATCAAAGAAAAATTCAGGATGTAAATGAGAAGTTTACCAAAGAGTTAGATATTATGATAAAGCACAAAACAGAAACCTTGGAAATGAATAATTAATTGAATGCAACAAAAACATGCGCAATAAAAAAGTAAATCAAGTAGAAGAAAACAATTTATGACTTGAAGACAGGTTTTTGAAATAACTCAGTCAGATAAAAGCAAAAAAAAAAAAAAAAAAAGAAAAGAAAGAAATAAAAAGAATGAACAAACTCTATGTGACATATAGGATGTCATAAGGTGACCCAATATTTGAATTACCAATGTCCCAGAAGATGAAGAGAAAATAAAGCGATAGAAAATTGAGTTGACAAATAATAGCTGAAAACTTCTTATGTCTAGACAGAAATTTATACATTCAGATAGAGGAAATTCAAAGCTTTCAAATAGATATTCAGTGTCTTCTCTATGGAACTTTGTATTTACCTGCAAAAAATCAAAGACAAAGAGAATTACAAAAGCAAGAGAAAAGTATCTAATCACTTATGAGAGAAATCCTATCAGACTAACAGTGGATATTTCAGCAGAAATTTTACAGGCCAAGAAAATGAAATAATATTTTCAAAGTGCTGAAAGAGAAAAGAAAAAGAAAAGTTCGGTCAAAAATATTATACCCAGCAAAGTTATTCTTTATAAATGAAGTTAGAAAATGTCTTTTCCAGACAATCAAAGGCTAAGAAACTTCATCACCATTAGACTGACCCTACAAGAAATCCTTTAGGGAGACATAAACCCTAGAAGTGCAATCACAGTATCATGAAAACCCACAAAAATATAAAACCCACTGTTAGAGCAAACACATAAATAAGGAAAAGAAAGAATTCACATGTTATCAATATATTAAATGACCAAATGTCAATCATCATAAGATAGAAAAAAAGGAGAAAGGATATACAAAACAACTAGAAAGCAATACACAAAGTGATAGAAATAAGCCTTCACATATCAGTAATAACCTTGAATGTAAATGGATTAAACTTTCCACATAAAAGATAAGCTGGCTGAATGGATAAAAAAGAAGAAAAAACCAAACAAACAGAAAAAAAGACCCAAATACATGCTGCCTAGAAGACACTCAACTCCCTTGTCAAGTTGTCAAGACACATATAGATTGAAAATAAAGGGATGAAAGAGATAGCCCATGCAAACAGAAACCAAAAGTGAGCAGGAGTAGCTACATTAAATTAGATAAAACAGAATTTAAGTCGAAAAGAGTAAAAAAGAGACAAAGAAAGTAATATAACAATAAAAGGATCAATTCAGCAAGAGAATATTACAATTTTAAACATATATACACACAACACCAAAAGACCCAAATATATAAAGCAAATATGATTAGATCTAAAGGGAGATAAATCCAATAAAATAACAGATGAAGACTTTAGCACTCTCAGCATTAGAAATATCATCTAGACAGAAAGTTAACAAAGAAAGATAGAAATTAAACTGCCTTTACATCAAAAGGACCTAACAAACATTACCAAAACAATTTATTCAATAATGACAGAATACACATTCTCATAAGCACATGAAACATTCTCCATGATACATCATATGTTAGGACACAAAACAAGTTTTAACAAATTTTCCAAAACAAAAATCATATCCTGTATAATCTTAGACCACAACAAAATGAAACTAGAAGTGAATAAAAAGAGAAATTTTGGAAAATATACAAATACATAGAAATTAATCAGTATGCTCCTGATTTAACATTGGGTCAAAAAAAAAAGAAATTAATGAGGATATCACAAATTTCTTGAAACAAATGAAAATTGAATCACAACATACCAAACTCAGGAGAGACAGTAAAAGTAATGCTAATAGGAAAGTTTATAGTAATAAATATTTACATCATAAAAGTAGAAATGTAAAACTAATGGTGCACTTCAAGGAACTATAACAGTAAGAATGAACCCAACCTAAAATTAGAAGGAAAGAAATAACAAAGATTAGACATAATTAAATGAAATAGACACTAAAACATTACAATAATCAGTGAAATGCAAGTTCATTTTTTTGAAAAGATAAAATCAATAAACTATTTGCTAGATGAACCAAGAAAAAAAGAGAATACCCAAATAAAGTCAGAAACAAAACAGGAGAAACAGCAACTAACAACACAGAAATATAAATGATCATTAAAAACTATTATTAACAATGACTTAGTAATAAACTGGAAACCCTAGTGGAAATTGATAAATTCCTGGACACTTACAACCTACAAAGGTTTTATTAGGAAGAAATAGAAAACTCAAATAGGACAATACAAGTAATGAAATTGAATTGGTACTGAAAAATCTTTCAACAAAGGAAAGGAGAGGAATGGACAACTTCACTGCTGAACTCTACCAAATTTACAAAGAACTAAAAGCACTTCTTAATGTATTCAAAAATTGGAATAAGAGGGAATTCTCACTAAGGACTAATTCTACAAGGCCAGCATTATCCTGATACCAAACCAGACAAGAATGCAACCAAAATAAAAAGAAAACTACAGGCCAATATCCCTAATGAGCATAGATGGAAAAATAAAAAAAAAAATACTAGCAAGTTGAATCCAATAGCACATCAATACATGATCAACAAATCATATATTGATTGATCAATAGATATGTATTGATCACTCTATCAATTATCAATAGACAATACGTGATCAAGTGAGACTTATTGCTGAGATGCAAGGATGGTTTAATATATGCAAATCAATAAACATTATACATCACATCAAGAAAATGAAGAAAAAAACCCTCTAGTCATCTTAGTGGACATAGAAAAATGTTTGATAAAATTTAACATCCTTAATGCTAAAAATTCTCAACAAACTAGGCACAGAAATAACATACCTGAACATAATAAAGATCACATATAGTAATAATAAACCCACAGCTAACATCATTCTAAATGAGGAAAAGCTGAAAGCCTTTTCTTTAAGACCTGGAACAAGACAAGAATGCCCACTCTCACAATTCCTATTCAACCTAGTACTGAAAACTCTAGACATAGAAATTAGAAAAGAGAAAGAAAGAAATAAAATAAAATTGAAAAAGAAGAAGTCGAATTGTCCTTCTTTGTAGATCACTGAATCTTATATCTAGAAAAACTTAAAGACTCCACCAAACTACTCTTAGATCTTATAAATAATTTCAGTAAATTTGTAGGATATAAAACCAATGTAGACAAATCAATCAGTGAAATTTCTATACATCAGTAATGAACCAGCTGGGAAAGAAATAAAAAAGAAAATGTCATTTACAAAGTCTACAAAAATAAAATAAAATACCTAGGAATAAAGTTACTCATAGAGGTGAAAAAACCTTTGAAAGGAAAACCACAAAACTCTGATGGAAGAAATTGAAGAGGACACAAACAAATGGATGACTATCCCATGGTCATGGATCAGAACAATTAATATTGTTAAAGTGACCATTAATCCCCATGCAATCCAAAGATTCAATGCAATTCCTATTAACATGCCAATGCCATTTTTCACAATATGGAATAAAACAATTCTAAAATTTATGTTGAACCTAAAAATAGCCCAAATAGCCAAAACAATCCTGAGATAAAAGAACAAAGCTGTAGGCACTACACCACCAGATTTTAAAATATACTGCTGGGCTATAGTAACCAAAGCAGCATGTTATTGGCATAAAACTAGACACACAGAAGAGTGGAACTGAATAGAGAAACCAGAAATAAATTCATATATTTTCTGAAAACTGATTTTTGACAAAGATAACAAAAACATACATTGGGGAAAGGAAACACTTTCCAATAAATAATGCTGGGAAAATTGGATAGTTGAATATCTTAGCATAGAAGAATGAAATAGAACCCCTCTCCCTAACCATATACAAAAAATCAACTCAAAATGGATTAAACACTTAAACATAAAACTCCATACTGTAACATTGCTAGAAGAAAACACAGGTAAAACACTTCAAGACATTGGTTTAGGCAAATATTTTATGGCTAAAATTTCAAATGCACTGGCAAGATAAAATAGAGAAATAAGAACAATAGTAAAGAGCTTCTGCACTTCAAAATAATGAACAGTGTGAAGGGATGATAGGTTGAATTGAAGAAAATATTGGCAAGCTATTCGTTTGACAAGGGGCTAATATCCAGAATGTATAAGAAACTAACAATTCAGTGATAAAATAATAATAACATTAATAATCAATATTAATAATATTAATATTAATAAATTAATAATAATGATATTGATTAATAATAATGTTAATATTTGCCCATATATTGAAATGTGGGCAAAGGATATGAATAGACATTTCCCACAAGAAGACAAAAAAATGGCCCAAAGATATATAAAAGAAGTTCAGCATCATTAACCATCAAGGAAAAGGAAATAAAAACCTCGGTGAGATATTTTATCTCAGTTAGAATGGCTATTACTAAATGGCAATCATTAAATAGGCATTTTAGCCAGTAAGAATGGCTATTATTAAAAAGACAAAAAATAATATATGCTGACAAGGATGCAGAGAGAAAGGAACTTTTATAAAATGTTAATTAAACTATACATTAGTATAGCCTCTATGAAAAACAGTATGGAGATTTCTCAAAAACTAAAAACAGGACCACCATATGATCCAGCAATCCCACTGTTGGGCATTCATACCAAGGAAATAAATCAGTATACCAAAGGGATACCTGCACCTTCATGTTTATTAAAGCACTACTTACAATAGCAAAGATATGGAATCAACCTAAATGTCCATCAATAGAGGAATTAATAAAAAAAGTGGTACATACTTAAATGAAATACTACTTAGTCATAGAAAAGAAGTAAATACTGTCATTTGAAGCAATATGAATAGAAATGCAGGTCATTATATTAAGTGGAATAAGCCAGGGCCAAGCACGGAATAACAAATGTTGCTCCCATTCATATGTGGAAGCTAAAATTGTTGATTTCTTAGAGTTAGAGAGCAGAATAATAGAAACTAGAGGCTGGTAAAAGTGTGTGCGTGAGAGGTGCATAAAGAGAGGTTGGTTAATGGGAGCATGGGAGCAAACATACCTTGAGATAGAAGGAATAAGTTCTAATCTTTGACATCAGGGTATAAGACTATTGTTAACATCAATATATTTTACATTTCAAAAGGGCTATAAGACAGAACTTGAAATGTTCTCAACACATAGAAATGACAAATGCTCAAGATGAAGGATACCCTTAAATCTTTTACTTGATCATTATACTCTGTATACATGTAATGAAACATCACATGTACCATGTGATGTACAAATGTACATGTACAAATATTATAAACATGTACAAATATTATAAACTGCTAAGGTTAAAACTGCAAGAAATAATTATACATGGTCTGTAAGAATTCTACCATAAATATAAGGATTCATATATGTTATAAAATTAAAAAAGTATAAATAGATTTACCTTGATAACACTAAGCAAAAGAAAACTGAGGATACTATATAAATTTCAGACATAGCATACTGATCAAGGATAAATCAATATTTTACATAATGAAAAAGAGTCAATTATCCATGAAGAAATAGAATTCTTAATATACATGCACATAAACAAATAGTACCAAAATAGATGAGGCAAAAATGAATGGAACTGCTAGTAAAAATGGACAAATCCATTAGATTTCATCAGGAATTAAGACAGAAATCATAAATATGCTCAATATGTATTAATAAATATTGAGCATATTAATATTGAGCATATTAATCGATATTAATATTAATTAATATTGAGCATATTAATATCAAGCATATTTATTAATACATAATATTTATATTATTATGTGCATTTATTAATACACATTTATATGTTATATATAAATTATATATAATATACAATTAATATATTATATATTAATATATTATATAACATTATATAATATTTATGTAATAATTATGTATTAATAAACATCTTGTGTTAATAATGTGTGATATTTATGTATTAATAAATATTATGTATTAATAATTTATGTATTACAAATATGTATTAATAAATATATAATTTATAGTTATATACTTTATATAATAGTTTTTCAAAAACTATTCAATAACAGAAGACAGCTGGAAAATTTCCCAAGTACTTACAGATTAAATATATATCTAAAGGGAAAGATAGACCAAAAAGGGTGTCTGAAGAAAAATTTTAAAGTATTTTGAACTAAATGCAAATAAAATTAATTTTATCAGCATTTCCGCTATTTGGCAAAATCAGAGCATAGATGAAAATTTATAAAATTCATATGCATGTATTAGGAAATAATTTTTTCTTGCTATCAGTACTCCAGTCTTCTACTTTGAGAAACTAGAAAAAGGAGAACAATTTAAGCCCTAGTAAAACAGAAGGAAAGAAAATTAAATTATAACAAAAAACAGTGAAATTAAAAATAGAAAACTATTGGATAAAACCAATACATTTAAATATGGTTTTTAATTTAAAACAATAAATTTGATAAGCCTCTAGCCAGAATATCCAAGAAAATATTAGGATATAAAATTACCCATATCGTAAATAAATGAAGGAGCAACACTACAGATTTAAATTAAAAAAATGCAGAGAACACTCGTATGCTGCGATAGAAGACAACAATCTCCAAAACACATAGTCATCAGATTCTTCAAAGTCAACATAAAAGAAAAAAAAAATTAAAGGAAGCTAGAGAGAAGGGGAAAGTCACCTACAAAGGCAATCCCACCAGGCTAACAGTGTACCTTTCAGCAGAAACTCTACAAGGCAGAAGAGATTGGGGGCCTATATTCAGCATTTTTAAAGAAAGTAATTCCAACCAAGGATTTCATATCCAGCCAACTAAGCTTCATAATCAAAGGAGCAATTAGATCCTTTTCAGACAAACAAAGGCTAAGATAATTCATTACCACCAGACCTCTCTTACAGGAGATCCTTAAGGAAGTGCTAAATGTGGAAACAAAAGAGCATTACTGCCACCAAAAAAACACACTGAAATACATAGGCCATTGGCAATGTAAAGCAACCACACAATCTAGTTTGCATAATAACCAGCTAACAACATGATGAGAAATGAAATATGCACATATCAACATTAACCTTGAATGTAAATGGGCTAAATGCTCTATTTAAAAGGTACACAGTGGGAAGTTGGATAAAGAATAAAGTCTTAACCTTATGCTGCCTTCAGGAGACCCATTTCACATGCAATGACATCCAAGGGCTCAAAGTAAAGGGATGGAGAAAAATCTACCAAGCAAATAGAAAACAAAAAAAGAGAAGGTTTATTTCAGACAAAACAGACTTCAAACCAACAACAATGAAAAAAAGATAAAGAAGAGCATTACATAACAGTAAAGTGTTCAAATAGGGAAAAAAAATGTAAGTACTCTAAATATATATGCACCCAACACAGGAGCACCAATATTCATAAAACAAGTTCTTAGAGAACCATTAAGAGACTTAGACTCACACACAATAATAATGGGAGACTTCAAAACCCAAATAACAATATTAGACCAATCACTGAGGCATTAAACAAAGATGGATATTCAGAACCTGAACCTGACACTTGACTAAGTGGACTTAACAGACCTCTACAGAAGTTTCCATTCAAAAACAACTGAATATACATTCTTCTCATCCACACATGACACATCCTCTAAAATTGACCACTTAGTTGTTCATAAAACAATTATCAGCAAATTCAAGAAAATCAAAATCATCTCAACCACTCTTGGATAACAGCACAATAATATAGAAATAATATAGAAATAAGATCATTCAAAATCATTCAAACACATAGAAATTAAACAACCTGCTCTTGAATGACTTTTTGGTAAACAACTACATTGAGGCAATAATGAAGCAATTATTTGAAACTAATGAAAACAAAGATACAACATATGAGAATTCCTGGGACACAGCTAAAGCCGTGTTAAGAGGAAAGTTTATAGCACTTAATGCCCACATCAAAAAGTTAGAAAGATTCCGAATTCGCAACTAAACATCACACCTAGAGGAAATAGAAAAACAAGAGCAAACCAACCCCTAAGCTAGCAGAAGACAATAAATACCCAAACTCAGAGGTGAACTGAATGAAATTGACACATGAAAAATCATATAAGAGATTAATTAGACAAGTCAGTTTTTTGAAAAATTTAATTGATTGACCATTAGACTAATGAAAGAAAGAGAGAAGAGCCACATAAGCACAATCATAAATGGCAAAGGAGACATTATCATCAATCGCACAGAAATACTTAAAACACTCAAAAAACACCTCTATGGACACAAACTAGAAGTCCTACAAGAAACAGATACATTTCTGGAAACATACAACCTCCCAAAATTGAACCATGAAGAAACTGAATCCCTGAACAGAACAGTAGTGAGTTCTGAAATTGAACCAGTAATAAATAGCCTACCAGCCAAAACAAAAATCTCTGGACCAAACAGATTCACAACCGAATTCTACCGGATGTAGTAAGGATATCTGGTACCATTCCTACTGAATCTGTTACAACAAATTGAGGAGAAATGATTCCACCCTAACTGATTCTATGAGGTCAGCAGCATTCTGATAGCAAATCTTGGTAGAGACACAACAACAAAAAAAGAGAACTTTATGCCAACATCTTAGATAAACAGATGCAAAAATCACCCACAAAACACCAGCAAGCCAAATTCAGCAGCACATCAAAAAGCTAATCTACCATGATCAAGTAAGCTTTATGCCTGTGATGAAAGGATGGTTCAATAAACACAAAGCAATAAATGTGATTCATCACACAAAGATAACTAAAAAACAAAACAAAAAAAGCACATGAATATCTTAATAGACACAGAAAAGCCTTTCAATGAAATTCTTACACCCTTTGTGTTAAAAGCCATAAACAAAGTAGGTATTTAAGGAATGTGGCTTAAAGTATTAAGAACCATCTATGACAAATGCAGAGCCAATAATACAATGAATGGGCAAAACCTGGAATGATTCCTCTTAAGAACTGGAAAAAGACAAGGATACTCACTCTAACTGTGTTATTCAACATAGTACTGGAAGTCCTGGCCAGAAAAATCAGGCAAGAGAAAGAAAGAAAGGACATCCAAATAGGAAGAGAAGAGATAAAACAATTTCTGTACATGATTTGATTTTATACCTAGAAAATGCCACAGTCTTTTCTAAAAAACAAACAAACAAAAAACCTCTAGATCTGACAAACCACTTAAGCAAAGTTTCACGATACAAAATCAATGTATGGAACAAATACCATTACTTTACACCAACAACATCAAAGCTGACAAATCAAAAAATGCAATATCATTTAAAATAGCCACAAAAAAATTAAAATACATAGTAACACAGCTAACCAGGGAGATGAAAGATTTCTATGTAATTCAATGAGAATTACAAATAATTGCTTAAAGAAATCAGAGAGGACACAAATAGAAAGAAATCATGAGTAGGGAGAATCTATATCATTTAAATGGCTATACTGCCAAATTATATTGGAGATTCAATACTATTCCTATCAAACAACCAATGATATTTTACACAAAAGTAGAAAAAAGTATTCTACAATTCCTATGGAATAACAACAAAAAAACCTGAATGGCCAAAGCAAATCCTAAGAAAAAATTAAGAAAGCTGGAGATATCATGTTACCTGACTTCAAACTATATTACAAGGCTACATAAACCAAAGCAGCATGGTACTGGTACAAAAAGAGACATGTAGACCAATAGAACAGAATAGAGAGCCCAGAAACAATACCACACACTTATAGCCATCTGATTTTTGATAAAGTCAGCAAGAACAAATAATGAGGAAAGGATTCTCCATTCAATAAATGGTGCTGGGATAAGTGGCTAGCCATATGTAGAAGTTTGAAACTTAACCACTTTTTCACACATATACAAAAGTCAAATCAAAATGGATTAAGGACTTGAATGTTATAAAACTATAAAATCCCCAGAATAAAACCTAGGAAATACCACTCTGGACATATGCTTTTGCAAAGATTTCATGACAAGGATGCCAAAAGCAATTGTAACAAAAACATTGACTAATGGGATCAAAGTAAACTAAAGAGCTTCTGCACAGCAAAAGAATCCATCAACAGAGTAAACAGACAACCAACTGAATAGGAGAAAATTTGTGCTAACTATGCATCCAACAAAGGTCTAATATCCAGTATCCAAAAGGAATTTAAACAAATTTACGAGCGAAAAAAAGAGCCTCATTAAGAAGTGGGCAAAGGAAGCGAACAGACACTTTTCAAAAGAAGACATACATAGAGGCCAACAAGTATATGAAAAAATGCTCAACATCACTAGTTATTAGAGAAATGTAAATCAAAACCACAGTGAAATACCATGTCACACCAGTCAAAGTGGCTATTACTAAAAAGCCAAAAAAAAATAAAAATAAAACTAACAGATGCTGTCAAGGTTGTAGAGAAAAGGGAATGCTTATATACTGCTCATGAGTATGTAAATTTGTTCAGCCATTGTGCAAAGCAGTGTGGCAATTTCTCAAAGAACTTAAAAGAGAACTACTATTTGACCTAGCAATCCCATTATTGGGTATATACCCAAAGGAATATAAATTATTCTACCACAAAGACACATGCATGTGTATGTTCATCACAGCACTATTTCTGATAACAATGACATGGAATCAACTTAAATGCCTATCAATGGTAGACTTGATAAGATACACTTTTTAATTTTTTTATATTAAGTTCTGTGATACATGTGCAGAACGTGAAGGTTTGTTACATAGGTATACATGTGCCATGGTGTTTTGCTGCACCTGTCAACCTGTAACCTAGGTTTTAAGCTCCACACACATTAACTGTTTGTCCTGATGCTCTTTCTCCCCTGCCCCCAACCTGCGACAGGCCCCAATGTGTGTTGTTTCCCTCCCTGTGTCTATGTGTTCTCATTGTTCAACTCACACTCATGAGTGAGAACATGCGGTGTTTGGTTTTCTGTTCCTGTGTTAGTTTGCTGAGAATGATGGTTTCCAGCTTCATCCATGTCCCTGAAAAGAACATAATCTCATTTATTTTTATGGCTGCATTGGAGACCATGGTGTATATGTACCACATTTTCTTTATCCAGTCTATCGTTGATGAGCATTTGGGTTGGTTGCATGTCTTTGCTATTGTGAATAATGCTGCAATAAAAATATGTGGGCATGTATCTTTATAATAGAACAATTTATATTCCTTTACGTATATACCCAGTAATGGGATTGTGGGGTCAAATGGTATTTCTTGTTCTAGATCTTTGAGGCATTACCACATTGTTTTCCACAGTGGTTGAACTAATTTACACTCCCACCAACAGTGTAAAAGTGTTTCTATTTCTCCACAGCATCATTAGCATCTGTTGTTTCTTGATTTTTTACTAATTGCCATTCTGATTGGCATGAGATAATATCTCGTTGTGGTTTTCATTTGCATTTCTCTAATGATCAGCGATGTTGAACATTTTTTCATATGTTTGTTGGCCACATAAATGCCTTCTTTTGAGAAGTGTCTGTTCATTTCCTTTGCCCACTTTTTGATAGGATGTTTGTTTTTTCTTGTAAATTTGTTTAAGTTCCTTGTAGATTCTGGATATTAGACCTTTGTCAGATGTGTAGATTGCAGAAATTTTCTCCCATTGTTAAGTTGCCTATTGGCTCTGATGCTAATTTCTCTTGCTGTGCAGAAGCTCTTTAGTTTAATTCAGTCCCATTTGTCCATTTTAGCTTTTGCTGCAATTGCTTTTGACGATTTAATCATAAAATCTTTGGCCATGCCTACATCCTGAGTGGTATTGCCTAGGTTTTCTTCTAGGGTTATTAATATTTTGGGTTTTACATTTAAGTCTTTAATTCATCTTGAGTTAATTTTTGTATAAGGTGTTAGAAAGGGGTCTAGTTTTAGTTTTCTGCATATGGCTAGCCAGTTTTCCCAGCATCATTTATTAAATAGAGAATCATTTTCCCATTGCTTGTTTTTGTCAGGTTTGTCAAAGATCAGATGGTTGTAGATGTGTGATCTTATTTCTGACATCTCTATTCTGTTTAATTGGTCTATATGTCTGTTTTGGTGCCAATACCATGCTGTTTTGGTTACTGTAGCCTTACAGTATAGTTTGAAGTCAGGTAGCGCTATCCCTCCAGCATTGTTATTTTTGCTTAGGATTGTCTTGGAGCTCAAAATAATAAGAGCTATTTATGACAAACCCACAGCCAATAGCATACTGAATAGGCAAAAGCTGGAAACATTCCCTTTGAAAACCAGCACAAGACAGGATGCCCTCTCTTACCACTCCTATTCAACATAGTATTGGAAGTTCTGGCCACATCAATCAGGCAAAAGAAAGAAATAAAGAGTATTCAAATAAGAAGAGAGGAAGACAAATTATCTCTGTTTGCAGATGGCATGCTCCTATATTTAGAAAGCCCCATTTTCTAAGCCCCCAAACTCCTTAAGCTGATAAGCACTTTGGCAAATTCTCAGGGTACAAAATCAGTGTGCAAAAATCAGAAGCAATCCTATACACCAACAATAGGCAAGCAGAGAGCCAAATCATGAATGAATTCATCTTCACAATTGCTACAGAGAGAATAAAATACCTAGGAATGCAGCTAACAAGGGATGTGAACGACCTCTTCAAGGAGAACTACAAACCACTGTTCAAGGAAATAAGACAGGACACAAACAAATGGAAAAGCTTTCCATCCTCATAGATGGGAAGAATCAATATCATGAAAATGACCGTACTGTCCAAAGTAATTTATAGATTCAATGCTATCAAACTACCATTGACATTCTTCACAGAATTAGAAAAAAAAGCTACTTTAAAATTCATATGGAACCAAAATAGAGCCCATACAGCCAAGAAAATCCTAAGAAAATGTTTTACATATACAGCATAGAATACTATACAGCCAAAAAATAAAATTATGTCCTTTGCAGCGACATGGAAGCAGTTGGAGAGCATTATCATAAGCATATTAATGTAGGAACAGAAAATAAAATACCACATGTTCTTACTTTTAAGTGGGAGCTAAACATTGAGTAGACATGAACACAAAGTAGAGGATAACACACACTGGAGCCTGCTTGAAGGTGGAGGATGGGAGGAACATAACTGTCAAAAAACTACCTATCAGGTACTATGATGAAATAATTTTTGCACCGAACCCCTGTGACATGCAGTTTACCTATACAACAAACCTGCATATATATGCTGAATCTAAAATAAAAGTTAAAAAAAGAAAAAATTTGTTCTAGAAGTTAAAAAATAAATAAAATTTTCTAAATGACATGATGGTACAGAAGCAGAAGTATCATCTGAAAAAAAATCTAACACTCTTTTATTATAAAACCTCGAAGCAAAATTAAAATAGAGACAATTTGTTTCAACTTGGTAAAGAATATCTCAAATAACACAGTATCATACTTAATGTAAAAAAAATGGACAGATTCTCCTGCTAAGATCAGAACAAGGCAAAAGTTTCTACTCATCACTCCTATTCAATATTTTACTGAAAGACCTAGGCAAAGCAATTGACAAGAAACAGAAACTAAAAGTATGTGTATAACAAAAAATGTAAAATCTTCTTTGCTCTCAAATGACTTGATACTGTATCTCAAAAATCCCGAAAATATCACAAAAACCTGGAACAAATAAGCAAATATTGTGAGATCTCAGAATATAAGATGAATATATAAAATCAATTGCCTTTCTTTGTATATATCATCAATGAACATATAAATTTAAGAGTTATAACAGCATACATTTGAAATAGTATCAAAAATAGGGAAGTCTTCAGCTAAAATTCTAACAAAATGCATATAGGACCTATATGCATGAAACTTCAAAATTCTGATAAAGTCGCTATCTAAATAAATGTAGAGATATTCTGTGTTCTTGAATTGGCAGGCTCAACAATGAAAACAACTTAATTATTCCCAGATGGATCTATAGATGCAGTATAATTCTAATCAAAATCTCAGAAGTTATTTTATAGATATTGAAAAACCTGTTCTAAATAATATGTGAAAAAGCACAATATATAGAATCAAGTGGAAACACAACACTGAAAAAAACCAAAGGGGTGCACCCCTATACCTGACTTCAAGACTTACTCTGAAGCTACAGGAATCAAATAGTGTGGTATTGGCGAAAGGTTTGGCAAATAGCTTAACAGAATTAAGAGTTCAGAAGTAGATGCACACAAATATAATAAACAGATCTTGGGCAATAGAGCAATAAAAACTCAATAAAGAAAGGACAGTCTTTTCAATGAGGTGCTAGAATAATTGGACATCCATATACCACAAAAAAAGAAAAGAGAAAAGAAAAGACATCTAGATACAGACGTTAAATATTTCATTAAAAATAACTTAAAATGGACCATAAATTCAAACGTAAAATCTAAATAATATGCACAACTTTTTTTTTTTATTTTTAGCAGAAAATATAGAAGAAAATGTAGGTTACCTTAGATTTGACAACGCATTTTTACATACAACAATAACAAAAAAACTGATTATCAAATAAAGAAAAAAATGATTGATACAGAATTTTTGAAAGTTAAACACATCTGCTTTATAAAAAAAATACAGCTAAAAGAATGAAAAGACAAGAAAACACCATAAGAAAATATTTTTCAAATACATATCTAATAAAGGACTTTGTACTGTTTTAAGTGGCGTTTCTCCAAAATTCAGGTCTCTCTGATAACTTTAACTGCAATTTCAAACCTTTTTTGGAAATAAGGTCTTTTCTAATATAATTAAGTTCAAATGAAATCACATTGGATTAGGAACTTCTGAGGGCAGTCTCTAACCCCTTGACTCAAGTCTACACAGGAAGAGAAAACGGACATAGACACACAATGAATGCCATGTGAAGGCAGAGTCAGAGATTGAAATTATGTTTCTTTAGGGGTCCCACCTAAAGCACACACAGATTAAATCACAGCAGTCAAGTCATCTCTCGTCTGAAAAGCCTTCCCAAGGACAGGTACAAACGAGTCCAGACTGCAAAGACTACAATAAATACCTAACTCTTCAAGGTCCAATCACAGACAATCATGTACAAATATCAAGACAATCCAAGAAAACATGGCCCCACAAAATGAACTAAGAAAGGAACCAGGGACCAATTCTGGAGAAATGGAGATATATCACCTAGCCATGAAAATGTCAAGGATTGCCATCAACCACTTGAAACCAGGAAGAGGCAAGAACAGAGTCTACTGTAGAGCTTTCTGAGGAAGGATACATGTGCCAATACCTTGATTTTGAACTTTTAGCCTCCAGAAATAGGAGATGATAAATCTCTGTTGTTTGAAGCCACTAAATTCATGGTATTTTGTTACAGCATCTCTAAGAAATACATACAGACTTACTGTGTATCCAAAATATATAAAGAACTTTTTAAACGCAGCAACATTAAAATAACCTAAGTGAACCGGGCTAAAGATCCAAACGTTACTAAAGAAGATATAGAAATGGCAAGAAAGCATACAAAAAGATGACAGACATCATTTGTTATTAGTAATTTTGAATTGATATGAAGAATTACCACTATTTCCTGTTAGATGAAGAAAAATAAATAAATGAATAAAACCCCCAAAACCTGACAATACCAAATACTGGTGAGGTGGTGAAGATGTGAAGGAAGAGGAGATTATATTTATTTAACAGTAATTCTTTACCAATGTAAGAAATGCAAAACGGTATGGCCACTCTGGAAGACAGTTTTCCACTGTCTTTACAAATGTTATCATAGTGTTATGATGCAGAACTTGTGGTCGCAGATTTTTACCCAAATATTTTGAAATTATTTTTCTGTACAAAAACCTGTATGCAGAAATGATGACCACTTTATTTGTAACTGCCCAAAACTGGAAGCAACCAAGATGTCCTTCAATAGATGAATAGATAAACAAGCTGTGGTACTTCCAAACAGTGCAATATTATCCAACAATGACCAGACTAAAAGTGCTACCAAGCCACAGGAAAGTGGGGACATGTTAAATGTGTATTGCTAAGTGAAAGAAAGCAGTCTGAAGAGACCATATCCTTTATGATTCCAATTATATGACATTTTTAAAAGACATTATAGAAATAGTAAACAGATTAGTGGTTTCCAGGGGAGAGAGGAGGTAGGGGTAGGAGATGATGTGAAATTTCAGTAGGTAAAGTCTAGAGGGCTTTTTAAAGTGGTAAAACTATTCTCTGTGATACGGTAATTGTTGATACATGACGCTAATGTATTTGGCAACACAAAAGATAACCTCACACCATAAAGAGTAAATATTGATGTATGTAAATTGAAGTAATCATTTAGGAGGTGAAGAGATACTAGGATTGGGTACCATTATGAGTAAGCAATCTACCTGTGTAAGAAATGTATGAAACACTCTCTCTGAACAAGATGAGAGGTGCTTTCCTAAGTAACTTTGGGAATGAGTGAAGACAGCCAGATTAAGGCAAAATGAACTGTACATGAATACCATAACCTAGTTGATAAAGTCATTTTCTGCAGGGATAGAATTCAGATTGGCAATTTGAATACCTCTATGTATGCAAACTGTAATTGAACCATTAAATTATTGGATGTTAGATACTGAAAGCCAGATTTCTCACTGTTGGAATGGAAGACAAACAAAAGAGTAGGAAGCTAGAATGATACACGTGGTAATAGATTAGTTATGGTGACATCTATATAGCCTCATTTTTAGCTTGATATACATACAGATCATTAAATGGATAAGTAATTATAGATATGTACATACACACAATTAGTATACTCACATATATTTCCTTGTCTGTCAGCCAGGAGAGTTTGGAAACACAAAGCCTAAATGGTAACAGTCAGACCAGTGTCACAGGATTTTTTTTCTCATACAGTTCTCCAATAAAAGGTACCAGGGTGACTTGAATAAATAGATTATTCTATGGATGGGGCAAAAATACAGAGGATATATCTTGGGGATCTTGTAATGTTATCAAATAAAGAAGTGCTAAAAAAAACAGATTGGTGGAACTATGACAAAGAAGGAAACAAAGATACAACTAAATGAACTTTGAATGGCCTAAGATAGAACAGTTTGAAAAGAAAATCAAATAGTGTTAGATTTGAATGCAAGCATAAAATGAATATGAAATAATAATAAAATCAGGAATGAAGGAACAAAGAAAAGATGTGAGGAATAAAGAGAATCATAAGAATATACTTTACAGCCAGGTGTGGTGGCTTACGCCTGTAATCCCAGCACTTTGGGAGGCCGAGGCAGGCAGATCACCTGAAGTCAGGAGTTCGAGATCAGCCTGGCCAATATGGTGAAACCCCATCTGTACTAAAAATACAAGGATTAGCCAGACGCAGTGGTGCATGCCTGTAATCCCAGCTACTTGGGAGGCTGAGGCTGGAGAATAGCTTGAACCCGGGAGGCGGAGGTTGCAGTGAGCCGAGATCACGTTACTGCACTCCAGAGCAGGTGACAGAAGAGCAAGACTCTGTCTCAAAAAAAAAAAAAAAAAAGAAAGAAAGAGAATATACTTTCCTCCATACACACACGCACACACAAAATAAATAATTGTCTTATAAACCTACTCATAGTCAAAGGGGAAAATATTTTGCAACAGACACAAAGAAAGAAAAGATGATCATTCTCATTTGCTAGTAGAAAGCCCTAGAGAAAAGAATGAGAAACTGTGTGTATGGTAAAGTGAAAACTTTCTGATTAGAGCTCTTATTAATGCTCACAATTTTTTTTCAGTTGACCTAGATGAACAGCTCCAATAGTATAAGCAGTGATACCAGATATTATGCAGCCTTTTACAATATCCAATGGCCTGAAGAAAGACTTTGTTGATGTATTCATTTGATATTTTTCCCTTTGTTCTGGTACCTAGATGATTTTTCTTAATTCTTAACCTTCAGTTTCCTCCATGGATATATTCTTCCTATACTACTTTTTTTTTTGAAATTTTCCTGTTTTGATTCTTAGATCTTCCTACTGACATCTAAGTATCAGCTTTTTTCCTGGATATTAGAAACTTACCTATTATATCTAATTCTGAATTTGTCATCAATTTTTGTCGCTGTATTTCTTTTCTGAATCAATATTGGGGTGGCTATTCAGTCCTCCATCATGTCTCGCCTAACAGGATTGAATAGGGTCAGTGTATGGGGTGAATGATAAAGAGACAAATCTCAATGTGTTCTGAAGTTTAAAAGGTTTGAATGAAGTATAAAAATCTATAGATAGATTTGTTAGTGAGGCCCAGAAAAAGAGAATATTCTGCAAGTTCGGGATACACAAGAGTCAATAACAGGGAACAATTTGAGGAGCTTTGCGGACACAAAAGGATAATAAAAATTGAATCTATTGGGGAGAAATTTGTCACAATACAACACTATCGAATAATGCCAGGCACTCTAAATGTAGACAAATGATCATAAGTAGAAAGGGGTTTGGAATCTATCATTGCTTCCAAGAGTTTTCTTCAGTCTTTTGTAAGACAGCTAAACTGTTTCTTTCATCGTTTCCTTTCCCTCTTCTGATTTTTGCTCCAGGATTTATATGTTGGTGGGGAGAACAGAGCCAATAAGTTTATCAGAATACCAATGTCCTTATTCTTCCAGCATGTGTAATCTTAGCTAGTTTAGGGCAGAATAGTATTGATGTAGAACATTATATATCAATTGCAATGACATTTGGAAGAATGGAGGCTTAAATGCCCCTATTAGTAGTCAACTGCCACAGGGAAAGATGCACCATGTTAAATTTGAACCCTGTTAGATACTATAAATACAAAAATTCAAGAAAATCTCATTAACATTGTCTCCTGTAACAAAACAAAATATAGTGCAAATTCTAAAATTCCATCTTATCTAACACATTAGTATAGCAAATACAGTTTATCCTTTACCTAAAATTACATTTACAACAACACCATAATAAACATCTACTTACAATTAAAAATGTAAACCTTATTACTGTTAGAAAAAGGAAAATTCAAAAGAAAATCTTAACAATGGCCCATGATGGCTGCAGTCAGGCACATGGATAATAAAACCTAGGCTTATTAGCTAAAGCTTAGCCCTTGCCTGAGTAACCGGAGTTAAATATTTTACTGACAGATACTGGTTATAAACCCGTTTATTAGATATAGAACAAGACTGGATGCAATCAGTCACCCTCCACCCGCCCTAATATGCCTAAACTTTCTCCCTGCTCACTCAACTGCATGTTTACCTTATCTTATGTATAGCATCACTGAGCACCAATCAGAATTATAAGAATGAAATTCTTGCTTAACTACCCACTTCTCCTGTCTTCGGTGATGTATGTCTCCCCCTATTAGGAAATGTATATGTACTGTGCTTCATGTAATCTACTTTGGAATACATTCTTGGTCTGTACTGAGTTTGTGTTCTCTAGGCTTAAATCTTCATACTTGGCTCAGAATAAATCTGATTTCTGCAAGTTCCAGTGCCTATTATTTCATTTTTTGGTCAACATTACTAAAGTCTAAAGTAACCTGAGAGTAAAAATATATGCAAATTATGTCAATAGGTGAGAGAAAAATATTTACTTGCTTATATATACACTCATATATATACATTCCAATGTAGTTTCAGATTTTAGCTAATAACCATTACAGAAAATTATGTTCCAGGAAATAAGTAGTAATTTTTACAATGTTATATTTTAAAAAGATAAACTTAATATGTTATTATATTTTCCTATGGCAATGTGTTTTTTTTCTGCATGTGTAGTTGTAGTAGTTTTCAGATTTAAACTTTGAGATACTATTAATATTGTTCAGTCATTTGAAGACAGGAATTGCCTTTTAGAAACGTGTAGCATGAGCAATTCATTTTGAATGAATAGTCAGAATTTCAGATTTAATACTCAGCTCATTAGTGCCCCTTTAAAGTTCAGATTGTTTACTAAAAGTGATGGAATTCCATAAAGTTGTTAAAAATGCACAGGAAATTAATGTTATTACAGGAAAATATATCCAAAAGAATGCGTATATCTGAACAACACGAAGGGATAAAAAATCTATAGTCTTCCTCCCAACAATTATTTCTCTTATGTTCCATTTATTTTGTTGTAGCTGAATACATTACCAATGTTTAGTAATTATCGGATTCTCTTCATCACCTAAAAAATTCTCTTCATCACCAAAAATTCAATACATGAAAATTAGAATAAAAATATACAGGTGAACTTTGACACAGGAAAAATGTTTGATAGACCGTGAAAGTTCCAAAGGCCAGCTATCCTGAAGATCAGTTTCTATTTTCAGGCTATTATAAGGCTTAGTGGTGTTGACAGGAATATTTGCCTGAAATTTGAATTAATTAGCTGGAGAATACTTAGGTACAATTAAAAACTGAAGCTCATCTTGGAGTTATCTTTGACTTTCTACAATTCAGTTTCCAAATTCAGTAATTTTAGAAAATCTTCAATATTTACCATCTACCTTATAACAAAAATTTATTGAGTATTTCTTTGCCTGTCACTGGACTACTAGCTTTTTCATGGATGACATCACTTAACTCTTTTAACAATTTTATGAAGTACTATTGTTTCTTTATTTTACAGATGAGGAAAATGAAGGTATATGTAATTTGTCCAAGTTTAGACATCTAAGTAAGTGGTAGCAGTAGGCATTTTGATTATACAATGATGTTTTTGACCACAGGATCAGATGTTCTTGTCACCCTTTGCTCTTTATGCCAAACTGGTTGAGAAAGTTATTTATACATTTGTTCATTGCCTCATTCATGAGAGTTCAATGGGCTTATTGGTAATTGTGAGATTTCAGTTTAACAGCCCATGGATTCTATTTGACACACATATATGTTCAATTTGGCATACAAACTTGTTTATTTCATTTTAATTAAATTACCTAGAAGGATTTAAAATTTTGAGAATTTACAGAAAACCAAATTCTCTACTTCTTCTGAAAATCCATAAAACCTGAAAATACGTGTTTGCATCAATGCATGTCACCCACTGGTTGAATCTCAGGCACTTAGTCCCATTGAAAGGAGACATGCAGAGTCCCAATATTTTCCTGGTGAATCTTTGGTATTTGTATATATATTAGAGGAAGTTTAGGTTACATGCTAGCAAAGATTAGAATTTAAGGGATTTATTGGGAGCGTGGAAGAATTTAGCAACTTTTCAGATTTCGGCAAATTCTCATCTAGAATATATAAAAGGAAAAAGAAACCTTGCAGTGTTTGGATAGTCTTTTAAATCAAATGCCAACATCTGAGATTGGTGACCATCAGATAACTTCATGCCTTGATAATAGTTCAAAAAATTTACTTTTCCAATTTATAGTTAATGCTCAAATTCAGGAGGCAGGAAAAACAGGAAGAGATAATGGCACCTAGGAAGATTTATTGAAGTGGAAGAAACTTGAATTCCTAAACTCCACTAAAATATTTCCTGTTTCACTCCTTGCCTTACAAAGTTACTAATATGCCTCAATATCTTTCAGCCCTGTCTGTGATAAAGTATCTTCCATTATGATGCATATTGCGGCAGGGACTAGATTAGCTATGCATCTCTATCTCAGTTTCAGGCCATGTTGACAGTCAAGCAGTTAAGCTTTAGGCAAAGATTAGAGACCTGCATCTAAGAGAGACAAAAAACACAACATTCAAAGTCCATCACTTAACATGAACAAAAACATGCCTAGTTTTGGTTGCTAGTTTATTTTTTGCCCTAAAATTTGAAAGAAAATTTGCCTAGTATTCTACAGATGTTTATTGCCAGAGAATTTCTAGCCCTGCTATAAAGCATCTGTAAATACACAACCATTAAGGCAGCCCCTAAAAGTACTGAAACCTCTGGTGTGAGTATTCTGTTAGGCAGAACCAGATTTGTCCATGCTGACTGACCCAATAATTTACTGTGTTACCAGGGGAGCAAGTTGCTGTTCGCTCTAATTTTGTGGTAAGCCTATAACAATGAGTGATATAAACTGGTGAACTGGTGACAACTCTATATTGTTTCCTATATTTTTTCAAGCTAGGCCAGGCTATGTATGTGAAGGAACAGACATCCTAGGAATCTCAGTGGCGTCACTTAACAAAGTTCATTTCTTACTTCCATAAAGTCCATAGAAGATTTGGGCAACTTCTCTAATTGCTGGCTCAGACTTTCACATCATGTAGGTACACACTCACTATCACCATGGACTGAGAATGTCACAGTGGCCAGGAAATGCTTTTGTCCGGAAGTCACATACCTGGTTCCAAATTATAATACATTGTTTAAAGAAGTCCACATCATTATGCCTAGATTTAAGAGGACAGTGAAGTATAATTCTTTTTTTTTTTTAATGCAAGAAGGGAGTTCACGATGTCTTGGTGAACAGCTCTAATTGCTAACATTCTTCCTTTTCTCTGATTTTGAAATAGGCATTTTTATTGCTATTATACCCGTTTCTCCCTAAGAATTAAATATCTTGCATTTAGAAAGAACGCTGTTTGTTGACTATATTATTGGAACATAGATGACAAAATCAGAAGTTGCAAAGAGTCTGACTAATTGGGTCTATATAGCACCCCAATATTCTAGATTTGGAACTTGAGTGCGGAAACGTTCAATAATTTGTTCTGTTTGCCTTTGGGGAACAGTAGTATTGTTTTAGATTTCTAAATTCTTAGAACTACATGTATGCTAATAAAGGTGTGTGTGTGTTTGTGTGCTTACACATATATATGAAGACTGAGAAGATTAAGTGTAAAATGTAGAGTACATAAATATTTATTTTCTGCACAGTATTTTAAAATTTTTAATCCATGTGATCTAAGGAAGGAAGTAGAAGAAGGCAATAGCAATAACCTACCTACATGGGCTATGGCTACATATATATGATGTCTTTAACAATAACAGAAGCCCACTCTGATAATATTTTTTTCAAAGTTGCTCAGAATAAATCTAACATGGTTATTAAGTTTTCTTAATTTTTTTATCGATTTATTACTTTTTGAAGAAAGCAGCTCTCTATTATGCTGAGGTTGACAGTGCACCTCAATCCTGACATGTGGAAGATACTCCAACACAATAGGAGAAAACGTGCCCACCACACAAAGGGAAGCAGAAATAAGGGGGGATTGAAAAATATCAGGAGATGAAAGGAGGGAGAAAGTGTAGATAATATCATTTAAAGTCCTAGATTGAGGTATACCTAAACCAAATATACCTCAGAAATTGTCATCATCATTTAAACACTACATTTCCAAAGTGCATAGATTGGGAGGAAAAATACCCTTAATAATACCATACCACCCACACCTTAGAACTGGATTTTATGGTAGGTTTCACTGACAGAGTCCAGGTAACTGTCCTATTACTGTTGATGAACTGAACTGCTGAATAAAGGCATTTTTAATGTTGTCTGATATCAGCAAATATAGCAGGTTAAATAAGAAAGAGGAATTTTAACTGCATTCAGAAGAACAGCAAAATTATTGAGGGAAAAAGGCAATGCATTAATAGATCTCTTCTTATTCACAGATGACTATGTATAGAATGACCACAATGATAAACATTAAATCATTTTATAAATTACAAAAATTAACGTCTTTTTCTTCTAGGGGGAAGGTAAGAGCATAGTTCTGAGATGGAGGGAAGATTTACATCAGGGAGAAAAAATACAGTTTACATGGCATCTGCTCTGTATTAAAAATATTTTTCAAATATATATTGACTTTATTAAGCAAAATATAAAGATAATGTAAGAAAAATAAGTAAGATTGAATATTTAGCTGAGAAAGATGATAATATAAGAATACATAATAGAATAATTTAAAATAGAATTAGAAATAGTACAGGAAAAAACAGTATTGTAAATATTGATCTGCTATTATAACAAGTAATGTACAAGACAAGGTTGAAAAGTTTGACCTAATTTAGAGAAAAATGTACATGAGAATAATAATCAGAAAGATGACAAATATGAAGGCTGTAACAGAAACAATTATAATTGTGTTCATAGAAAATTGAACAGAGGCAAAAGTCAAAGTTGCTGAAAGAAGTCTAAGTTGCGTGACTTTCTGTGAAAAAAAAATAATTTTGAAAATGAATTAACATTCCAAAATGGAACCATAATTTTAAATTTAATTTTAAAATTAATTGACACATATAATTTATAAAAATTCTCATTCTTAAATCAGAATTTAAGTCTGAAAGTAAGTGTTCTAAATAAGGAAGAAATTAAGGCTACCGCAAAATACTTTCCTACTTTAAAAATGCCACAAAGCAATTGCCAAGAGTTTTATGGAAAATGTTTTTTTGTTGTTTGTTTGTGTTAAAGAATATTGATTACTACATTTAGCATGGCATTCGAGAACGGCATCTACTTACCTACTGTTTGTGTATAGGGCATGCAAATAAATACAAACACTTTTACTAAACAATTATCTGTTCCTTATCTGACGTTCAATGTAACTGGGTGTCCTGCATTTTATCTGCCAACTCTACTAAACTACAAGTTGTTGAAAAGTACTCAAATTCCTCCTGAAAAACATGTCTTACCTTCAGAAATCAAGATAAAATTTCTTAAAAAAGAATGAGCTCAAAAAAATAAGAAAATTGCAGTATAAAAGAGTCCACTGTGAGCCTTGTAAATATGTCTATGAATAAATAATTATTATAAATATGATTACAAAACCATGGCAAATATCCTAAATTATGATTGCAACAGAAATGCATAATAAAATATAAGTTTTAAAGAGAAGTATCAATAAATCTGTAATTCAACTAAAACGATGGTTATAACATTGACAAGCACAAAAAAGTGAGTAGAGCGTGAGAGAAATCTCAATCTGTTAGGTTACAGAGATTAGGAAGCTTAACAAAAGAAGACATTTTGGAAAGATAGATAGATGAAAGACTATTTTAAAACACAAACAGAAGCATTAGTAGAAATAAAATCAGAATGTAATGTATTTCTTCAAATTGTTAGTGAATAAAAAAGAAAATATGCATACTACTGGCAACAAGAATTCAGAACAGGAAATGGAATTCCAAATGAAAATGAGTTTGATGTTATTTTCGAATCATTTATTAACAAATATCTTTAGAGCTCCTATTTGTGACATGTCTAGGGCTGGGGTTTCATTCTGTCATGAGCACCAATATAATTGGAAGAGATAGGTATAAATCAAGTTGGCACAGTTACCATGTAAAATTACAGGTATGGTCATTGCCCTGAATTAAAATATATAACACAGTATCTGCTCCTACAGGTCCAGGAGCGCTTTCCTGATTAAGTGATATTTGACCTGGGGTCAGAAGGTAAAGAAGAGTGAGAAAGCATTAAAAGTTGAGTTGCCATAAGGCAAAAGTATTGAAATGAGAAAGTTCATGGCACAATGGGAGAAATGATATTTCTACTATGGAAAAAAAAGAATTCGGGTTGCTTAACAGATCTAAATACACTTCACACTTTCTAAAATAAATCTCTGTGGAAGTCAAGATAAAACCAAAGGGCTAATAAGTTAGGAAAAAAATAGTTACATAGGTTCAGTTTAAATTGTGTTTACCAGAATTGGTTATGAGGTCTTAGGAAGAGTAATTTTAATAAGAGTCGAAAAGGGATGTTAAAGTGAAAAGTGAATGAGGTGATCATCAACCTTGTTATGTAATTTTTTAATGAAACAATGGAAAGTATAGCCATTACTCAAGAATGTGGACAAAAATGTCTAAAAATAAGTTTATAGATTCTAAAAAAATAAGAACAATGCAACTGATAGTAAATTCATAATCAAAATAGTTCTTGCCACCACCATCTTAGTTTTTACAGCACTGTAAGTTGTTACCACACATCTATACTTTTCTTCCTATAGTTTAAAGTCCACATGACAGATTCTGTTAAGATATAAGACAGAGCACATCACTCTTGTTCGAAATCCTCCAGTTGCTTCCTATATCATTCAGACTAAAACCCAGAGCCCACAGTGCCCTACATAATCTGCTTCCCTCACTCACCTTCAGATACCATGTGGTCTTTTGCTATTCCTGAAACATGAGAAGCTGAGCCCACCACAGGGCCTTTGCATTTGTGGCTCCCTCTGCATTCAGTATTTTCTTCAGCCATTTTCTTGGATCACTTTCCATTTTATTTGTGTCTCCACTGAAATTATATATAATAAATAGATATTTTATGATAATGCTGTCTAAAATGGCATTCTCATCATTCTTATTTTTCTTAACATTTACCTCCACTGGCATATATCTGTTTTTTTGGTTGCTTATTGTCTGATTCCCAGTAAAAGAATGTAATGTCTATGAAAACAGGAACTATGTTTACTTCAAGGATACATTTTCAGCACAAGAAAAGTTGCCCAGAAGGTAATAAGCATCTAGTAAATACTTGATAAAGGAATGAATATAAATATAACTACCAAGGAGGGTTACATATGCATTAAATCAAAAATAAGAACATTTATAAATAGTGTGGATTGTGTTGATCTAATTCCAGTTTACCTTTAGTAACATGTGAGTTTTCTCAATTATTTTTTGCACCCCTGACATTTCAAAAGAGTCTCTGGTCAGGTTATCTGAACTCTTGATGTTAAAGCTTAGATGAACAGGACTTTACCACAGAAAGATATTAAATGTGAACTGCTACAGAAAGGTATGGATGTGATGAATTATACTTTAAAGCTAAAAATGAGTTAGGACTTTTTCTTTGTCTTAATGCCTCCTATACCTTTTTTCCCCTCCATTAGTGTGAATAATTGAGAATTGGATATATATTTAATCATTTTTGCTCATGCTTTGCTAAATTGTACCAAATGGAAAAAAGTGTAATTTCCACATACTAAATGAAGTGTATTCTGGATCTCACCAATAAGAATGTTCCAAAAAAATATGAAGTTGGCATTTATTATTAAACAATTTTTAAATAATAGCTATACAGTAAGATTTTTCTTATATGGAAAAACATATCCTTTCAGGTAGAAAATAAAGAATAAATTATAATAATGCCTAACGTCTAAGTTTAAGAAACAAAACAATGATTACATGGGTATCAATAGTATCATAATTGTAACTGTGTTGTTTGAAACTAGATGTTTAAATTGAAAAATACTTTAAAATAATATTTTTTGTTAAATGTGAGAGCTAATTTAATTACATTTGTTTTAGTAAATTAATTTACACAGTTTTAAATATTTTGCAGAAAATTCAAATTTTATTTCTTCTAACTTGACTGTGGATATACAGATTCCATTATTAACTATGTTTGATGCAGAATGTACTAAATAATCAATTTAAAAATATTTTCTAAAATGCGCTCACTCTACACATTGGTTTTTCCTCCAAGTATTTTGTTCTTGTTGTTTTAAAATTGGTTATTTAATGAAATATCACATAGGTATAGTCAAACAAAAATATATATTCTTCAAAGCCAATAAATAAGATTTAGCATTGGCAGAAACTTGCAGAGATATATGATTTATATTTATCACTTGTTGATAATTGGGCTAAGAGATATTTCTAGAAAGGAAAGTAAAATGAAAGTATAGTTTAATTAATAATGTAGCTTTTACTGCTTGATGTTTTATTCACAGATCTATAGACAGAAAAGTTGCTATGACAAATTTAATTTCCTTCTTTAATTGAGGTATATATCATGTCTGTATCATAAACCAAAGATGAGTTTTTGAAAGACAAGAGATGATAATTTTTGTATATATTATTATTTATTTATTGAACTATTTAATCTAATATATTTTTTAAACACTTTGTGGAAAGACGTGGTCATAATATTTAAATACTGTGCATTTATGGTAAATAAAAATTGTTAAATGTAAAATATATATAAAATCATTTCAGAGTGTTGTTGCCAAAGTTATTTTTAACTGTTTTGGGGAAATTTTATGAGTTCATAATTATTTTTCTTTGCTTACAGAAATCTACATCAATCTTTCTAAATGAATACACAGAGAGTTGAATCTGTCTGAAGTATTGTCCGTGGCTGATTAACAACCTGTACTATGGGCATATTGAATCACTTAAATTTACCCTAGAGATTCCCTTAACTTCGAACACTGATTTGCTTGCTATGTTTGTGTACATCTATGTTTTATCATTTGCGCATCTGATGTTCACTCCTTGAAAAATGGCTATTTTAAGGGAATATTAAATTGTAAAGTAGTACTGGATTCATGACAAACTGTACCATAGAGGAGGCAATAATCACAACTAATTGTTAATGTGATATTATAATGAAAGCAGCTAGCTAATACTTTAGACATTTTTATTTTTATACATTTATAATGTAGTTGCTTTATACATTACTTCCTGGAATAACCTTATGTTTTTTTCACTTGCGAGTCCACAATAAAATCGTAGAATACATGTCTCTTACAGCTTCTCTTAGTCTTAATTCTTGAGAGAAAAAGAAGTGATAAGATATATATGTGTTAAGATTAGTGTAAGGTATTGGCTCACACAATTATACAGGCTAAGGGTCCCAAGAATCACATTTAGCAAGTTGGAGACCTGTTGGAGCTGATGGTATAATTCCAGTTTTAGTCCAAAGGCCTGAGAACCAAAGAGCCAATGATATAAGTTCTGAACCCTGAAGGCAACCCAACTCAAGGATTGTCAGGCAGGGGAAGAGAATTTTTTTTCTTAACCCAGGCTTTCATTTTATTCAGGCCTTCAATGTACTGGATGAGGCTCACTCACACTGGGAGTACTATCTGCCTTATTCAATCCATGATTCAAATGTTATCTCATCTAGGAACACCCTCATAGACACACGAAAAATAATATTTAACCAAATATCTAGGCTGCTGGTGGCCAAATGAACACATAAAACCAACCTCTCACACAGCTTCACATCTAACTTGCAAACTAAGAAGTTAACATACTTATAGAATTCCAAAGGCCAATTGTTTTTTAGTATGGAAGGAGAAGTTATGCTTTTTCTATGGAAAATTAAGCATCACATTTTTTTCTAGTGATTCCCCTTATAATTAAATCTGGATATTTTGTAAGGATAAAACAAATAAATTGAAAGCTACTTTGCTTAACAGGTGTGTTATTTTAGACAAAAATTGTATATTATTTTTTATTTGAATAATAAAAATGTTTTCCAAAATAAATGTGAAGAGCATATTATTCACAATATGTAGCATGACTAAATTAAGATATTTATCATATTATTTAATAAATTTCAAATTAAACTTATATTGTATAAATTTAATACAATTAAAACTCATATTGTATAAATTTATTATTTAATACAATTAAAATGTATATTGTATATGTGGTCATTCTACTGAAATTTTTGAAGGTCAAGGTAAGAATTAGCAAATTCTCTTTGGGGTTTTGCAATTTGAAGATTGTCTTGATCAAAACTGGAGGTCTCTCAGTAGAATGATGTGTGCAGAGAAGACATGAAAGCTTAAAAGAAAATTAGCTCTGAGCAGTCATTATGTATCATGTAAGTAAAGAAAACAAAACATCAAATAACAGTGGAAACATTGGAAATTGAGTCTGACACCTAAAAACCTCAGAATATGAGACCCTCCCAGTGGAAATCTGTGAAAACCAAAGTGGGAAAAGGGGACCAGTTGTCTCATACCACATATGCATAGTTTCTCTTGAACGATATTGGAAAAATATAAAGATCAGTGGGAAAAGTAAAAATAAATCTGAAAGACTGGATTAATTTGGAAGTAACTGAAGAACTGATTAATTTGGAAGAACTGATTATTTTGAAGTTCCAAACTGCTTTTTCATTCTACCCATATTGCCAATGTCAAGCCAAGTCCTTGGGAGACTGAGGAAATTGCTTTATCACTTATAGAGGGAAAAATAGAAAACTTAGAAGAACTTCTGTATTGGGACTAAATTTTAAACTCTTCTATACCTTACAGAGAATGTTTGTGGCCTCTGTCATTTTCATCCTACCTTCACATTAATCAACAACAAATAATGATTTACTTAATGTAAAGATGATATAGGTTAAAATATTAATATATGGTTTAACAATACAATTTGCTTTTTCAGACAAATAATATCAATTCGGAAAAAATAGGTCTTTAAAGAATAACTAGAATAATTCTGCATGAATAATTTTACCTGAAATTGATAATGACTAAACAATGAAAAATATGTAAAGCTAATGAAAATGCAATTATTTAAGGTTTTAAAAAGTAATGTTATAAACTTTTAAATTACAGAGTGTATTCATAACATGCCCAGTAGTAAACTAGTGAATTCAGTTGAATTTTGCTCAGAACGCTTATTACGATTTTTCTATGAACCTGTTAACAGGGTTATTAGTACAAGACAGTGCAAAAACTGGAAATAACCTACAGGGGACAAAACAGAGATTAGTGAAGCTTAATCTTATTTACCATCCTAATTATTGTTAAAAGAGAGTAAATGCAAAGTCAGAGAACTCACAGATGGTGCTAAAAGGGAAGGTAGAGAAAATACTAATAAGGACAATGAAACAATAGAATGAGAAAAACATCTTATGAGATAATATGAAATAGAAAATGATATTTTTGCCCTCAACATTAGAGTAAGAATATATGATTAGATAAAATATATTCAAGAGAGAGCCTCAGGAAAGTTAAGAGAAGACTTAAAACACTTCATGAAGTATAATTACAAAAGATTTGGCAGGGTGATGAAGAGAGGCATAAGGTTAAAACATTGGTAGATGAGATTCCTGAAAAGGAATTCAATTTATTATACATATCATTTGGATATAAAGATCTCTCTAAGTGTTGGCTAGGGTGAGGGTAGGGGAAAGGGAGAGGTGTCCTGAAACAGCAAAGGTTATTTTGAAATGTAATGTTTTCTCTCTAATGTATAGTGTGTATGGCACCTATCTGTGACAACTTAAGTCCTGGATATGTGATTGAACTCTATGACCATAAAATCTTACCTTTATCATTCAAAAAAAGAATTACTTTGAGATAATTTGTGAATGTTAAGTGTGAAAAAGCATGAGCGCAGGAGACAGATAGATGAAGGTTAGGATTCCCAACTTCATCATTTATTAGCTGTATGAATTAAGTTATTGAAACTCTGAATTGCAATTTTCTCGTATATAAATGGAGCCAGTCCTCCTAACCGACATATCTGTAATATTTAGAAGACTTTGCATGTGTAGCATATGTAGCAAAAATAGAGTATAGGGTTATTGCAAAGATTAAATGACACTGATATATGTAAATTACCAAAGCTGTAAATGTCAAAATCTGTGGAATTTATTTAATTGTAAATAGTGTGTCAGAGTTACATGCCCCTTAGAGTCTAATGATTCTTCTGTGGGCCAGTGATGTCCCATTGATACTGAAAGAACTTGCTGGCTATGTTTTGTCTCATTTGTAAAGCATGAAAAAATTTTTAACGACCAATAATATTGCAAAACACATGTATTTGCTTTGGTTTTTCTTTATATTTGCATATTTATAAGTAGTGGCTTTCTTTTTTTAACTCAAATAATGTAAGTATAGTTTTATAATTAGAGAAAAATATTATTTTTTAAAGGAGGTTTAGCACTAGGACCAAAATCTGAGTTGAAAACTGGTTGTTTTGAATGGCTAGATCTAACCCAAACACAAATCAAATGATAAAATCTGGTATGTGTTTACATTTCTTAATGGAAAGAGTTTGCTTGATTAGAACCATCTGACTGTTAATTCTTAGAGAAATGAAGTTAATAATAATGCATTAAGTGAAAACAAAATCCTCCAATTTCAGAGCTGGGAAAGTGTATTATGAATAAATCTAAAATTAAAGATTAAAATAGTTTAAAGTAAATTATCTTTTCTCTGGGTATATAATTAACAGAAAATTTTATATCCATAAATAATGTTATGTATGCTTCTTTTCCTAAAATTATCTTAGCTAAAACCATTATTTAATTCACATCATGAAGTTTAACTATCATAAATGTATTCAGCAGTTTAAACTACTCTTTCCTCAGTGTGAAAGAGTTTTTTAAAACATATAAATAATTTGTCCTCTTGACAATAGCATGAATATGTATTTAGTAAAATGGCAAAGCACTGGTCTTATTATGGTCCTTAAAAGATTAGAAAAGCTGGTTATCAATGTCCTTTTTATATAATTCCTTGTATACAGTTACTTTCATGTTTCAGATATAGATGTCATTTAGATATAAATGTCAATAATTATATTAATGTTTGATATTTAAAAACAAGAAGCCAAAACCATTTACCTACCCATAAATAAAAGCTTTGGGTTTCAATCTAAAGTAAATTTACATACCGTACTGCATCTGAATCTAACAGAATACCACAGAAAATTATATGAGGTAGTTAAACAAATACCAAATATTTTAAACAAATACCAAATATTTTACATACATGTCATATTTATACTTGACTTTACTTTTTTATATTTTTATAATAATAGCTCATTCTATAGTGCCAGTTAAAGAGAGATTTTAGAAAGAATTTGGCATTGATAAATAATTCAGCATTAAGTAGCTCCGTATTTTGACATTATTTCTTTTTTAAATAGAGTAGTATGTACATACATGCAAATATATGTCATATAAATATACATATACTTATGTTAAATATATACATATGTAATATATTACATAAAATGTAAGCGAGTATTTTCTTTCTTGTTAAGTGATAATACAAAAAACAAAACAAATCCAGTGTGATTTCTACAATCTTCAAATATATTTATTTTGTTTCATAATTGTTTTATGGCTTTTTTTATAAAGCTTTATTTATGGCTGTATTTTATTTTCTGATTTCAACTGTCTTTTCTAGTGTCAGTGATTCCGCTACTACGTTCCTCATTTCTTTTGCTGCTTCTCATGTCATGACCTAGAATTAAAGATAAATCAGTATAATAAGAATTTGACTTAATGGATATAAACAGACAATGAAGGTATTAGATTTTCAAAAAGTAATCAATGTGTGAATTAATTCTAAGTTTTAAAATGCGTAGCCTTGTGATAGTTAATATAGGCCAAAAACTATTTTTGAGCTTGTGTTCCAGAAAGTAACATTTGCTGGAAGTGTGACTCTAAGATAAATGTGTATAAATATAGTTGATTTAATCTCTAAACGTGGTTATCTTATACTGCTTTTGAAGAGATGTTTTTACTCACACAACGCAAAAAATGTGTAAATGTCATAGATTTATGTTATACCACATTTTACCCCTAGAGGCTGATTTTGATCTAGGTTACTTTCGTCAGAGTTTGGCTTTGTAGGGAATAACGGCTAGATCCATATTCTCAGAATATAAAAGAATGTCTTCTGGCACCGATGGAAATAGAGAGCCATTATGCAAACACAAGCAGTACACTGTTAGACTACATTTAACTTCAGTCCTCTGAGGCATGTATCATGGGTATTGAGTTCCCTCTAATCTCCTGATCACCTTGTCTTTGATATGGAAAACTAACAGAAACCTTTCTGTTAAAACCATTTATCCTTTTTTTTTTCTTTTTCCTGTTGCTAAAGGTAATTCTAATTGTGAATCTTGTGAGGATACTCATACGCAATCTCAATTTGTAGAATGGAAAGAAGTTATGGACAGAGGTGTTCATGCCTGTTTCTCTAGGTAGATAGATGTCACTGCTATTTGAACTACATACTTCAGAGATACAGTGGTATGGGAAAAACTTTTATTCCCTTTATGTCACAGATGCCAAATTGAATAACAAACATTAACTTTTAAAGCTATATTTATTCAATCACTCAAATTCTTATTCCTGGCTAATAATTTCCCATCCAGCATTATCTCTGTAGGTTTTCTCTTTATCTTCATGAGATCCTGTCGTACAATTTAATTAGTATCTTTTATTTCAGATCTACTCATATGTATTTCAATGAGGTAAAAGTCAATATATTGTGAAACAACGGTTCTCTGAAAAGGAATTTGGAGGAAAGAGACTTTATTCCAGTGAACAGTTTGCAAACTGGGAGACATAGCCTTCTGTGTAAAATGAAGGTGCATTCCAGAGAAGAAAGGAAGGGTTCAGGTTTTATATAAAAAGTTTCTGCTCAGGTTCTCAATCTGATCAGTTTTGGGAAATAAAGGATTAAAACTAGCTTAGTTCAGAGGGGTAGGTGTAGCTGAATTCTGATTGGTTAATAAAGTTGAAACCTGACTGGCTGGGGCAGGTGAAGTCTGATTGGTTGGTGTTCAAGCCCAAAACCAGAAGTCTCTGTCAGATGTTTCTTGCAGATGGTCTGTGGTGTGGTAGATTTCCTGTGCCGTCTATTTTGGCACCGACAACAGAATCTGATTTGGTGTAGAAAGGATCTGATTTGGGGTAGAAAGGGAGGTCCTGTGATACTTTCACAACATCTGGGGACATACTTTAACAATATAATTAACATTTTTATGTTGCTTATTTTTATGAAATGTCATTGTAGAATGCGTTAGTAAAATTGACATGATTCTTTACAAGAGTCATCTGTAGTCTTCATTTGAATTTTTTTTGCCATGATTCAATTTAACAAATATATACTAAGAAACCACTAACTACAAAGTAAAACTATGGATTATAAAACATATATTTTATAAAGGTGGACATACAGAGACTTTAGTGAGTCGTTATCATTACAAATCATCTTTCATGTATATTAATTTACTAACTCAATCATAATTTGTTAAGTCAAACATTAAATTTCCCTTTCTCACTTTGGGGGAAAAATATGAATATATCATATTACCTCTTTTAAAGGAAAGTGTAATCATTTTCCAGGATAAACATATAAACAATTATTTGTTATTTGAATTGCCAAGAATTATGACATAACACAGAATATACTGAAGAAGTATAGTCAAAAGTTATACTAAATAATTGCTAGATATTAGAACAGGACAGTAGTCTAAATACTTTGAAATTCTATTATGCTGAAAGCCTAAAATAATAAAATACGAGAAAATTATTTCACAATATAAAATATATAAAACAGAATCCATTGTGTATGCATAGTGTGTAACTTAACTCTTTAGATATTAAGAACAAATTTTTAGATGTCAAAAATCATAATGAAGCCAAATTCATAAAGTAAGCAGATGTAGGTGATAGTGTCTGACAATAATTTTTGCTTGACTAAATTTTAGTCAGGCCCTTGAATCTTCTCCTAGGCCCATCTTTGCACTTCCTTGTAAAATCCAGGTTTTGTAAAAACTCTGCAAGGTTACCTTTGCAAGAACACTCCCACTCTCTCTGTCTGATCACCTTGGATAACTGACATGTTCCTCAGCCTGCAGCATAACCCGAATGATGCCTGATCACCCGAACCTGCCTTCAACAAGAATCCTGTAGGTCAGTTTAGCCAGAATCCTTCTTACCCCTAATGTTTCCTTTTAATAATTTTTTTATCTATTGACTCCCCCACCCAATCTTGCTAGGCGGCTATCAATCAATTCCCACTTGTTCTTGCTGTATTTGAATTTGAGCCCAAAATATTCTCCCACTGCAAAATCCCATTGCAGAGGTCCCTGTAACCATTGTAGTGGTCCTGGAAAATAGTCTGCCTTCCTGTGCTTTAACAAAAGTCATTGGGTTTTTTTAATGTAGTTCCCCCAGGAGAACATGCTAATCTGTAGTATGCCAGAGCTAAAGTATTAACCAATAGGTAATAGAGGAAAAAACAAAAACGAAACAGAAAAAGAAATAGGACCAAGTAATACGAAGAATTAGTTAAGAGGCCCTGCATACATTTTGGGCATGTCTACAATGTGTAAACTTGAAAGAGGCTACTCTTAAAAAGGGAAATATGGAAATTTGTAATCTCAGCACTTACTCTTGATAAAAAGGCAAAAATCTTCCCTGGATGTATAATTTAAATTTTAAATTATGTTCATTATTTTAGAACAACCAATTGCCTTGCAGAAAAAAATGGAATATCTTTCTCCCTGTTACTACACAACTTTGACCCAAGACTCTATTAATTTCTCCAGATAAAATTTCTAAGGAATATGAACTCACAATTTATTGAAAAATACCAGAAAGAAAAGACCACCTATGAACACAAAAATGAGACTGAAAGCTAATGTCCCACCATCAAGAACAGAAAACAGATAAGAGGGGTGAGAAAAAGTTCAGAGTAAAAATAAATGCTGACCTATAACTATACATTAACTGAAAATTTATGTTGCTTGTAAAAGAGAAATTAAATATATTTTGAGGAAAAATTCTTCTTTATTACCAATAAATCCTCACTATAGGAACTTCCAAGTCATATGAACAAAAGAAAAAAATTCTAGGGAATAGTTCTGACAAAAAGAAAGCATGATGGGAAAAGAAACGAATATATAATACTGTAAAAAATGAAAAAATAATAACATCTAACTTGATATTTTGGGGATAGAACAGTTAAACTAAAAAGCAATGGCATTGAATTGGGGGAAAATATTTAAAAGAAGTTGAAATCTTCTAGGCTTCTTAAAAATGGTGTTTAATAACAGAGTTTGTTACTTTAAATACGCTTGTAAACTATCTAGAGTAACAATTAAAAATGTAAAAATAGTGGATACAACTTTTAAATTAGTTGCGGGCAAATGCCAAAGGAAGGTAATAAGGGAAGGGAAACAGAAGGTTGAAAGTGAGACGACGATGATTTTATGATTTGAAACGAACAAGGGTGCAGAAAAGCTAGCTCCTCTCTTGTTCCTTATTCATTTTCTAAGCGGGATTTCTGACTCTGAAAGTTACTTTCCAGAACCAAATGCAAAATAGATATCCACAAATACATCTATAACTGACTATTATAATTTTATTGTGTTTTTTTTTTGTTCTAATATGGTCTTAGAGATCTAAGCCAAAATAGCTACTCCCTAAGAGAGCTCTGAGTGGGACAAAAGTGCATTTGTCAAGAGAGACACAATGAGGAAGTGAAACCAAAATGCATGAGATGGAAGATATTTTTTACTTACATATCCCGGAGAGACTTTGGGTGCTAATGAGGGCTGACAGGAATTCTAGAGGTGGCAGGGAGATATACCAGTGGGTGGGGAGAGAGGAGAGAGGTGAGGATCTGTAGGACTATCCCTTTTTTAAGGTTCATGGTTGTTACGCCTTACACTTTTCCGTGGGAGTTGTAGATTCACTAGTTTAAAATACACACACACACACACAAAGGGAAAAACTTATTTACATGATTCTGGTATTAACCATTAGGTTTTCCGTAGCAGCTGTGTGTGTGTTGAATTTTGGGTCACTGAGATGAGGAACAAGCAAGCTATATCATACACAACTACACAGGTAGGGGTGTTTTTTTAATGAACTTTTATTTTAACTTCAGGGATACAGTTTTGTTGCATAGGTAAACTTGTGTTTTTGTTTGTTTGTTTGTTTTTGTACAGGTTATTTTGTCACTCAGTTATTAAGCCTAGTAACCATTAGTTATTTTTCCTGATCATCTCTCTCCGCCCACCCTCCCCCGTGATAGGCCCCAGTGTCTGTTGTTACACTATATGCGTCCATGTGTTCTCATCATTCAGCTCCCCCTTATAAGTGAGAACGTGTGGTATTTGGTTTTCTGTTCCTGTGTTGGTTTGCTAAGGAAAATGGCCCCCAGCTCCATCCATGCTCCTGCAAAGGACATGATCTCATTCTTTTTATGATTGCACAGCATTTCAAAGGTGTGCTTGGCTTCCAAATAACTTATGTGAGGCCTAAAATGGTTGCGGAGGCAGCAAATATATTGAATAAACATATGATACTGCCTCACCTTGTGATGGTACCTATAATTCTTTAACTTTCAATAAATCAGACCAGAGATTTAAAAAGGTTTCTGAAGCAGAAAATGCATTCTAACATATATTGGTGTAGATAGGTGTAGACATTTTTAGACATACCAGCAGTCACAAAAATACAGCAGTTCCTTCTCATCCACAGTTTCACTTTCCACAGTTGCAGTCAACCACAGTCCAAAGATACTAAATGACAAATTCCATAAATAAACAATGAGTTTTGAACCATATGCCATTTTAAGTAGTGTGATAAAATCCCTTTCTGTCCTGCTCTGTCCCCCCCAGGACGTGGATCATCCCTTTGTCCAATCTGTCCATGCTGTTTATGGTGCCTATCAGTTAGTCACTAAGGAGTGGTCTCGGTTGTCAGATTGGTATTCCTGGTATTGCAATGATTTTCTTCAAGTAGCCCTTATTTTACTTAATAGTGGCCCCAAAGTGCAAGAGTAGTGATGCTGGCGTATTGTTATATTCTTCTATTCTATTAGATATTGTTGTCAATCTCTTACTTGCTTAATTAAACTTTCTCATAGATAGGTATGTATAGTGTAAACAGTAAATATAGGGCTTAGTACTATTTTGGTTTCAGGCATCCACTGGAGGTCTTGGAATGTATCTCATGAGGATAAGGGGAGACTGTTGTATTTATTATTATAACAAACACTTATGGAATCCGGAGCAGCCCCAAATGCCCTGCATACATAACTTCACTGAATCTCACAACTTATATGAAAGTATCATTTTACTTACATTTGAAAAAGGGTATTGGGAATTTAAGATCACCATCATAAAGTGGGGAAGACCAAATTTAAATCCAGGCAATTTATCTGCTATATCGGTATTTCCCAGTGTGGGTTGCACATTTTACCTATCGTACATTTAAATGATAATGCAAGTACAGAAGGGATGACGCTAGGAGGTAGGGCTACACCCGAAGTAGGGAGAAAGGGAGAAAAGATGGAATAAACAGAGAAAGAAAAACTTGAAAAGTGAAGTTGACACCTCTTTTTTTTTTTTTTTTTGAGACAGGGTCTCACTCTGTAGCCTAGGCTGAAGAGCAATGGCGTGATTATAGCTCACTGCAGAATTGAACTCTTGGACTCAAGAACTCCTCCTGCCTCAGCCTCCTCAGTAGCTGGGACTACAGGCACATGCTACCAAACTCGGCTAATTTTTAAACACTTTTGTAGAGACAGAGTCTCACCATCTTGCCCAGGCTGGTCTTAAACTCCTGGCTCAAGTGATCCTCCCACCTCAGCCTCCCAAAGTGCTGGGATGACAGGTGTGAGTCACTATACATGGCTGACACCTCCATGCTTAATTAGCTGTGCAGGCCATTGTGATAGCCCTCCCACACTCACACACAAACATGTTCTATTAGTTGCCATTAACCATTGTCTTCATGAGACTTTTGGGACAGGAGTGAACTAGTCATAAAATTGGGTCACTACAGCTCTGGGCTCAGGTGTTTCTTGAGGAGGACCCTGGCCCAGCCCAGTGGAGGAAGTCAGGCATCATGTTCTCATGACAATGTCAGGTGACAAGGTGCCACTAAATTCTAATTTAGTTTCTGCAGGAAAACAACATTTGAAAGTATAGAACAAATGTCTGAAATACATCAGTCCTGGATTCTAACCTTGGCTCTGCTACATATGGGATGTGAGTTAGACGAGGCAATAATCTTTCTGAATTTCAGGGAACTTTTGGACTGTACCTAATTATGTGTTATTTCAGACTAAACTAAATCAGATGACAAAATACTGGAGTATCTCAACAGGAGAAGACATAAGGAGTGAGTGTCAATCTGGAGAGAAAATCTTCCAAATTTTAATACATAGTAGAAAATATAAAAAAGGATTTTTGTGCAGCAATTCAGAGATTTATAAAAGATTTTGGTAGATACAAAAATTACCAGGAAAAATCTATTCATACATTTACTTACTCAGATATGAAACATGAATTTATAAGTTAAGATATATCTGACATAGTATACTAGGCATTGAGAATTCACAGTATTGGCTCCAATGCCTTGAATCTTACAATTCTGAGTGGCATAGACTTAATGTAAATCATTAATTATTTTAAAAAGGCACATTTTATAACACAAGGTAAAACTAAATTTACACAAAGGTGGAAATACAGACAGATAAAGGGTTTCATTTTGGCAAGTCACTTTATAAATATGTTTTACACTACAAACTATAGAGAAAATATACCCTCAGAAGCAACTTCTTCATTATTAAAATTACCAACATTAAACAATCTTTATTCTAATCATCAGCAAATGATAACACAGAAAGAAATAGATACAAATACCTCTGCCTTATTAGGAATATTAATATGTCTATGATTGCTGGCATGATTGTGTGACCACTGGTGATTTTTCTAAAACATTTGTTTCTGAGTTAATTTAAAAAATGCTTCATTTAAAGTGACATTTCAAAATAATATTAAAACTACTCACGAAGCAGAAGATAACTATATTGTAAGACATCATCGCTAGCTTCAAAAGCACATACATATTTTATTTCACCTCTGCTTGGATCTTCTAATTCTATGTAACTGTATGCAAAATATTTGAGTTTAAAACATCAATACAGTTTTATAAAAATGGCCCCCAAACATCTCCTTATTCATAATTCAGTAAATACAATAACTCAAAAATCTTAAGTATGTGACTTCTACATCTACTTAAAAAACTAGCTTTCTTAAGGAAACAGCTTTGAACATTTCACTCAATGGTCAAAATCATAGATAGAGGATTGACTATGCTGTGAACTGTGCATAAAACATAAGTAAGAAGACTAAAATAAATGCTATTTGAAAGTACAAGGATAAGTTTGAAGTGCTCAGGATATAAATCTGGACACACACACACACATATATATCTATATGATATGCGGTAGTCAGGCTTCAAATTGTATAACATTAATATTTTTCTGTTCTTGTGAAATAATATCATCCATTACTACTATGTTTCTATTAAGTTTCTGGTACATCTGTTTATATAGCATCTCACAGGTGCAGTTTCAGGAGAATGATTTAAAACAAAGTTTATCGTCCATTTCAACTGTACTAAAAAAAGGTTAATAAGGTTTATTATTAGGGAAACATTATTATACATTTTGACAACAACATATAGCAACACATTTAAAATATAAGCTGGATTAGTCTCTAGTTGTTTTTTCAGATTAAAGCCAACATATTTTATTATTGCTTTCTTAAAGGAAATCCAAGAATATAATAGAATATGGCTGACATTACTTATAATGTAGAAAGATTATAGCATTGTGTCTTTAATTTTAAATGCATTAATATACAGTTTATGTAATTATACCTCAAAAATGTTCTCATCTTTAGATATTATGGAATATTTATTCTGTCATACTAAATTCTATAACAAGCTAATATATATAAATATCTAAGACAAGAACATATTTTCCGCTATAATGTTGTTGTTTCTCTTGGAATTTTTTTCAGTTACTCACTTGAATTTAAAATGCACTTTATTGCTCTTTTAAATGCAGTGTTATAAAGTACATTTTAATGTATTTATAATTCACTAATAACACTTTTAATTTTTCCATTATATTCGGTACCTAATTCTTTGATATTAAAATCAGTGTGTGATCATTTTTATGATTTGAGAAGTAACATGGTGTAGTTTAATTTTAGAATGGGACTTTAAAGATTCACTGCATGCATGCATGTTGTTACCCTTCCTATTACAGGGAGAACATTTACTGCCTATTTTTACTGCACACACTATTTTTCAGTTTTATATGAAACAATTTTAAAACACTTTTTCAGGGAATTATAAACTCTGGAAATGCATGTTATCAAACTCCAGCCACTCACAGATTTAGCTATTAGAATCAGAATCAAAATGAAAGTTATCTTAGCTCACATGTGAGATACATATGTTCTGTTTTTTTAACCTAAAAAATAATTTATTTTTGTTAACCAATGATTTATTTTCTCTACTTCAAACAACATATATTTAGTATGTTTTAATAGTAAAATCTTATTTATGTTTTAAAGATGATTAAATAAACAATAGTATGACTTCAATTTTAGATTATTGCCAACATAAGAAGCAATGTGCTTTTAAAAATAACTATTACATTTAAGCTTAAACACTTGAGTTAGTAAAAAAATTAAACTAAGAAATGTTTCTGATTCATACTTGCCTCTCAATATCAATTACTCTGGTGAATAAAAGTGCAGTGGGCTGAATGTTTGTGTTCTCCAAATTTATTTGTTAAAATTCTAGAAAGTTTAATCCCCAATGTAGTGGTATTAGGAGGTGGGGTCTTTGGGGGGTAATTAGGTCATGGTGGGCGAAATCCTCATGAATGGGATTAGTGTCATAAAAGGGATCACAGAATGCTCTCTGTCATTCTTTCCCCCATGTAAGGGTATAACAGGTAGATAGCAGTCTGCAACCCTTAAGAGTGCCCTCACCGGAACCCAACCATGCTGGCACACTGATCTTACATTTCCAGACTCCAAAAGTGTGAGAAATAAATTTATGCTATTCAGAAACCACCCAGTTTATCATATTTTGTTATGGCAGCCTCAACTAAGACAAAAAAAAAAGGAGAAAGTTAAACTAATCTCTAATAATCATTAAAAATATATACTACCAAACACTGAATTAGCAGCTTCCTATGACATCCACAAAATACAATATTGTTATACATAGCAATGTCTTTATTTGATAACATTGAATTAAGTTAATTAAGAATTATATTTTTATAGCTTTAATTAAAATAATGTATTAAAAGTGGTTTGACAGACATAATTCAATAAAGTTGGAAGCAATTTTCAACAAATATAGACAATACATTAATCAAAATAAAGAAATTACAGATAGCAAACTGGTGGTAGCATAAAACCTGGAATAAAACTGAGGTCAAGTGATGATGGAGATAACGTCCTGAGAATTGATTACGAATGTCAATAGCCAAAACCAAATTTTTAGAGACTGTAATTCACAGACCAGAACATAGCAGAAATGGGGTAAATAAAAGTTACTAATTGTGGTCTGAGAAACACTATAGTTACCACAGATAAAGTAGTGGAATACAGTGGGTAAGAATTCTTTGAGTAAACACCCAATTTTAGAACATTGTTCTCTCTATACTCCATTAATTAATAGTTTACAAATATCAAATTTGACATATGGTCACACAAACCAAAAGGGCAAGATGACTAGATTGAAATGCAGAGAGAAAAGCAGATAAATAATGAGGGGATTTAATTATGAACCATTCCAAAGGAGATCATTCCAAATGAGAGGAAGCAAAAGACCTGAAATAGATCCATGAATAAAAGTATGTCTTGTGTATCTTAAGATGTTTCATGATCTCATAACAATAATTTCACTTTATCCATTTTAATAAGTTTGCTGGAAACATGGCAAACATTTATGTATATCTCATAATGACCTGAGTGTATGTGTGTATATATATGTATGTGTATACACACATACACTCAGGACATTATGAGATATACATAAATGTTTGCCATGTTTCCAGCAAACTTATTAAAATGGATAAAGTGAAATCATTCTTAAGAAGGCTTTTTTGCTTATTTGTTTTGGTGTTGTTATTTACTCCCTTTTAAATTACAAGAACAAAATTAGAAACATTGCAAATATCCAAGATTGAAAATAACCCAGATTTTATAAACATTAAACATAACTGGAAGAATAATGACAATGAATACATTTTCAAGAATATTGAGTGTGTATTTGCAAAATTTATGTAAATGAAAAGCGTTATCTTGTTTGTTGTTCAATTAATTTCTTATACATATTGCATATTTAGTAGGCTATTCTCACATAGCACAGGAACAAGCAGAATAAAAGAAATTTAGTTATTAATACAACATGTCTTTGAAATTTTTGTCTAATTATCAGTCACCTAATAGGACAAGAAGAGAATAGGGTTATGTCATACTAAAAGCTACATAGAGTTATATAGCTTACACATATTGTTATTCTTTTGACTATAAAAATACACTCCCCAAATGGCTAATATCCAGAATCTACAAAGAACTCAAACAAATTTACAAGAAAATAACAAACAACCCCGTCAAAAAGTGGGTAAAGGATATGAACAGACATTTCTCAAAAGAAGACATTTATGCAGCCAATAGACACATGAAAAAATGCTCATCATCACTGGTCATCAGAGAAATGCAAATCAAAACGACAATGATATACCATCTCATGCCAGTTAGAATGGCAATCATTAAAATGTCAGGAAACAACACATGCTGGAGAGGATGTGGAAAAACAGGAATGCTTTTACATTGTTGGTGGGAGTGTAAATTAGTTCAATCATTGTGGAAGTCAGTGTGGTGATTCCTCAAGGAGCTGGAACTAGAATTACCATTTGACCCAGCAATCCCATTACTGGCTACATACCCAAAGGATTATAAATCATGCTACTATAAAGACACATGCACACGTATGTTTATTGCGGCACTATTCACAATAACAAAGACTTGGAAACAACCCAAATGTCTATCAATGATAGACTGGATTAAGAAAATGCGGCACATACACACCATGGAATACTATGCAGCCATAAAAAAGGATGAGTTCATGTCCTTTGCAGTGACATGGATGGAGATGGAAACCATCATTCTCAGCAAATTATCACAAGGACAGAAAACCAAACACTGCATGTTTTCACTCATAGGTGGGAATTGAACAATGAGATCACTTGGACACAGGGCAGGAAACATCACACACTGGGGCCTCTCGGGGGGTGGGGTGCTGGGGGAGGGATAACATTAGGATAAATACCTAATATAAATGATGAGTTGACAGGTGCAGCTCACTAACATGGCACATGTATACCTACGTATCAAACCTGCACATTATGCACATGTACCCTAGAATTTAAAGTATAATAATTTTAAAAACTCCCATAGTATTTGCAGTAAAAATTGCTATTTTTATGTTATCATGGCTTCACCAACTTTGTTTTTCATTCCACCCGTGTTATTCAAAGAGGACAAAATAATTATGGTAATTTGTAACACACAGCAGAAATGAAAATCAAAAATAACCCAAATACACTAAAAAATCCTTATAAACTTCTATTGTCAGACCAGTGGTATTTCTATATGATGCTGCAAATTGTAGTTCATAAATGTTAAATTTATGGTTAACATTTGTCCCATTGTTTTGGAAATTCATCTTCTTCTTTGTCGTAATGTGGTACATAGATTGTTTGATTTACTTTCTGGAATAAATTTGCTTATATCTGTTTGTTTAGTTTTTAAAGATGGAGCTCTCACTGTGTTGTCCAGGCTGGATTTGATCTCCTGGTCTCAAGTGATCCTGAGTGAGTGGTACTACAGGCATGTACCACTATAACCAGCTATATTTGCTCATGTCTATTCATTGGCCTAGATACATTTAATTATTTTGCATCTTCTTCTTTTTGTGGATTGTATATAGAGTTTTGTTTCCTGACAATACATATCCAGTAACATACTGAATTTATTATTATGTAGGATACAGGCAGCAGAAGAATTTTTTTTAATTCAACGTATTGACACATTACTTATGTACAATAAGGTAAATGCATGTTTAATTTTTTAAAACACTGGCAAACAGAAAAAAAAGATGTATTACATACAAGTGAGAAAAAAATTATAATCATCCCTGATTTCTGTCTATTATCATTTTTCTTAAGTTCAAAATTTTTTAATTAGCAATTCTTTTGGTGCAGGTGTACTAGCACGAAATTTTCCCAAGGTTTTTGTACTGTTTTGTCATGGTGTAAAATGTTTTTATTTCATTTTAATTATGAAAGAGAGTTTTGCTGCATATAAAATTCTGAATCAGCAGTTTTTATTTTCGTTTTATGATTTTATTTTAGTTCCACAGCATGTCTATAATATGTTATTGTCTTATTTTCTTCTGTCCCCATTTTCTTTTTTCTTTTTTTTTTTTTTTGAGATGGATTCTGTCTCTGTCGCCCAGGCTGGAGTGCAGTGGTGCTATCTTGGCTCACTGCAAGCTCCACCTCCCGGGTTCACGCCATTCTCCTGCCTCAGCCTCTCCAGTAGCTGGGACTACAGGCACCCGCCTCCATGCCCGGCTAATTTTTTGTATTTTTTTTTAGTAGAGACGGGGTTTCATGGTGTTAGCCAGAATGGTCTCGATCTGACCTCATGATCCACCCGCCTCAGCCTCCCAAAGTGCTGAGATTACAGGCATGAGCCACCACGCTTTGCCCACATTTTCTTAAAGATGAATCAAATGAGAGTCTAATTTTTTTCCCTGTATGTCAATATATATATATTTTTTCTCTTTGTCATTTTTCATTTTATTATTAGTTTTCCACAATTTTATTATGATGTATTTTAGAGTAGTTTAACTTTTCTTTTGATTATCTATTCTGCTTAGAAATGGGCTCTTTAATTTCAAATATTTGAAATATTTGAAACTATTATTTTGTATTAATTTATAATTATTTATTTTACATCATCTATTTTTTCACTTATAGAATTCAAATATTATGCAAACAATGTACCTTTCTGTCCCAGAAATTTTATTACTTTAGATTTGTTTCTATTTCTCAGCTAATATTTCTCATCTGTTCATTCATTAGGGTCATTGTTTACTTTAAGCCTTTAAATACTATTAGAGCTGATTCCAAATACTTAGCTGCAAATTTCATCATCAGTCATCTTAGAGTATGTTTCCATTATCTAATTTTTTTCTAGTAAATAGATTACATTTTCCTGATTGTTCTTATGTCTAATAAAGTTTTCTTTACATGGAATATATTTGAAAGAACTTTGAAGAGATTTGGATTTGGTTATTTTACTCTGAGCAGTTTTGATTTTCATTCAATCAGGTTGTTATGCTATGGACTGGTAACTTTACATTTGTTAAAACTTATTCTACACTTTTAGAGAGTATGACATTTCAAAAATCTGAGACATTTATGACCTCCTTTTAATTTGGTGGGACTTCTCTCCTGATTGTGCTAATCAAGAACATAACAAATTTTATGCAGATAGTGAGCCTCATCAGCTTTGACCATCCATTCCTGAATTTACCTGCACAATCACCAGTCCCTGTGGACTCTGCCACTCCTAGTCAATAAGTATGCAGATTTCTCCATGACTTTTTTCTTCATTATAAATAAAGGGTAGATAAGGACACAAAAGAAGCTCGTAAATGTGGACATCAGTGTGCTTCTGGTCTTTCTAGAACTGAATTTGCACATTCTTTCTGTCTATGATCATTTCCCATTGTCTTCCTTTTTATGCATATATTTTAAAATTTTCTAATTCTTACTTGCTGAAATGATTGTCTAATACAAGATCATTTGTCCCTAATTAAATTGTATTTTTTGTGCTGCATTCATCCTAAAATGAAGTATTTGGCACGGAGACCCTATGACTCAAAAAGCCTAAAATAGTTACTATCTGGCTATTTACAAAAAAAAATTTTGCAGATCTATGATGAAGACAATAAAATTAATTAAGAGGATATTCTTCCCAAATGCAATAATAATACAATGTAAATTTCTTAAGAATAATTGTTTTACTCATTTGCTTTTAATTTACATTTTTAAAACCAAATATTTATCATCTCTTTTCATTTTAAGACACAAAAGTGGCTGGCAAGGTGGCTGAATAGGAAAAGCTTCGGTCTGCAGGTCCCACCGAGATCAACGCAGAAGGTGGGTGATTTCTGCATTTCCAACTGAGGTACCTGGCTCACCTCATTGAGACTGGTTAGATAGTGGGTGGAGCCAACGGAGGGCGAGCCAAAGCAAGGTGGGGCATCACCTCACCCGGGAAGTGCAAGGGTTGGGGAACTTCCCCCCGCCAGCCAAGGGAAGCTGTGAGAGACTCTGTGGTGAGGAACCGTGCTATCTGGCCCAGATACTATGCTTTTCCCACGGTCTTTGCAACCCACAGAGCAGGAGATTCCCTCAGGTACCTACACCACCAGGGCCCTAGGTTTCAAGCACAAAATTGGGCGGCTGTTTGGGCAGACACTGAGCTAGCTGTAGGTTTTTCTTTTTTTCCATGCCACAGTGGCACCCGAATGCCAGCGAGACAAGACTGTTCACTCCACCGAAAAGGGGGCTGAAGACAAGGAACCAAGTGTTCTAGCTCAGCAGATCCCACCACCACAGAGCCAAGCAAGCTAAGTTCCACTGGCTTGAAAGTCTTGCTGCCAGCACAGCAGTCTGAAGTCGACCTGGGAAGCTCAAGCTTGGTGAGGAGAGGGGTGTCGGCCATTACTGAAGCTTGATTAGGTGCTTTTTCCCTCACATTGTAAACAAAGCCTCTGGGAAGTTCAAACTGGGCAGTGCCCACCACAGCTCGACAAATCCACTGTAGCCAGACTGCCTCTCTAGATTCCTCCTCTCTAGGTAAGGCATCTCTGAAAGAAAGGCAGCAGCCCCAGTCAGGGGTTTATAGATAAAACTTCCATCTCCCTGGGACAGAACACCTGGGGGAAGGAGTGGCTGTGGGCACAGCTTCAGCAGACTTAAACATTCCTGCCTGCCGGCTATGAAGAGGGCAGCAGATCTCCCAGCACAGCACTTGAACTCTGCTAAGGGACACACTACCTACTCAAGAGGGTGCTTGACACCTGTAACTCCTGACTGGAAGACACCTCCCAGCAGGGATTGACAGACACCTCTGAGCAGGTCAACAGACACCTCATAAAGGAGAGCTACAGTTGGCATGTGGCGGGTGCCCCTCTGCGATGAAGCCTCCAGAGGGTCTGAATTTTAGAAAGAAAATTAACATATAGAAAGGAATAGCATCAACATCAACAAAAAGAATATCCACTGAAAAACTCCATCCGAAGGTAACCAACCTCAAAGACCAAAGGTAGCTAAATCCATGAAGATGAGGAAAAACCAGTGCAAAAAGGCTGAAAATTCCAAAAACCAGAAAGCCTCTTCTCCTACAAAGGATCACAACTCCTCATCAGCAAGGGAAGAAAACTAGATGACAAATGAGTTTGACAAATGGACAGAAGTAGGCTTCAGAGGTGGGAAATAACAAACTCCTCTGAGTTAAAGGAGCATGTTCTAACCCAATGCAAGAAAGCTAAGAACCTTGAAAAAAGGTTAGACGAATTGTTAACTAGAATTATCAGTTTAGAGAAGAACATAAATGACATGATGGAGGTGAAAAACACAACGTAAGAAATTCATGAAGCTTACACAAGTATCAATAACTGAATCGATGAAGCAGAAGAAAGGATATCAGAGATCGAAGTTCACCTCAATCAAATAAAGCTTTAAGACAAGACTAGAGAAAAAAAATGAAAAGAAATGAACAAAGCCTCCAAGAAATATGGGACTATGTGAAAAGACCATACCTATGTTTGATTGGCGTACCTGAAAGTGGCAGGGAGAACAGAACCAAGTTTGAAAACACTCTTCAGGATATTATCCAGGAGAACTTCCCCAACCTAGCAAGAAAGGCCAACATTCAAATTCAGGAAATACAGAGAACATCAAAAAGATACTCCTCGAGAAGAGCAACCCCCAGATACATAATCATCAGATTCACCAAGGTTGAAATGAAGGGAAAAAATGTTAACAGCAGCCAGAGAGAAAGGTTGGGTTACCCACAAAGGGAAGCCCATCAGACTAACAGCAGATCTCTCTGCAGAAACCCTACAAGCCAGAAGAGAGTGGGGGCCAATATTCAACATTCTTAAAGAAAAAAACTTTCAACCCAGAATTTCATATCCAACCAAACTAATCTTCATAAGCAAAGGAGAAATAAAATCCCTTACCGACAAGCAAATACTGAGAGATTTTGTTACCACCAGGCCTGCCTTACAAGAGCTCCTGAAGGAAGCATTAAATATGGAAAGGAAAAACCAGTACCAGCCACTTCAAAAACACACCAAATTGTAAAGACCGTTGACACTATGAAGAAACTGCATTAACTATTGGGCAAAATAACCAGTTAGCATCATAGTGACAGGATCAAATTCACACATCACAATATTAACCTTCATGTAAATGGGCAAAAATGCCCCAATTAAAAGACACAGACTGGCAAATTGGACAGAGTCAAGACCCACCAGTGTGCTGTATTCAGTATACCCATCTGATGTGCAAAGACACACATAGGCTCGAAATAAAGGGATAGAGGAATATATACCAAGCAAATGGAAAGAAAAAACAAAGCAGGCGTTGCAGTCCTAGTCTTTAATAAAACAGACTTAAAACCCACAAGGATCAAAAAAGACAAAGAAGGGCATTACATAATGGTAAAGGGATCAATGCAACAAGAAGAGCTAACTATCCTAAATATTTATGCATCCAATATAGGAGCACCCAAATTTATAAAGCAAGTTCTTAAAGATTTACAAACAGACTTAGACTCCCACACAGTAACAATGGGAGAATTTAACACCCCACTGTCAATACACAGATCAACAAGACAGAAAATTAACAAGGATATTGAGGACTTGAACTCAGCTCTGGACCAAGCAGACCTTAACAGACATCTACAGAACTCTCCACCCCAAATCAACAGAATATACTTTCTGCTCAGCACCACATCACACTTATTCTAAAATTGACCACAAAATTGGAAGTAAAATACTCCTCAGCAAATGCAAAAAAACAGAAATCATAACAAACAGTCTCTCAGACCACAGTGCAATCAAATTAGAACTCAAGACTAAGAAACTCACTCAAAACTGCATGACTATGTGGAAACTGAACAACAACTGCATGACTACATGGAAACAATACAACTTACAAGGGATGTGAAGGACCTCTTCAAGGAGAACTACAAACCACAGCTCAAGGAAATAAGAGAGGGCAGAAAAAAATGGAAAATTGTCTCTGCTCCTGAATGACTACTGAGTAAATAACAAAATTAAGCCAGAAATAAATAAGTTATTTGAAACCAATGAGAACAAAGACACAACATACCAGAATCTCTGGGACACAGCTAAAGCAGTGTTTAGAGGGAAATTTATAGCACTAAATGCCCACAGGAGAAAGTGGGAAAGATCTAAAATCGACACCATAACATCACTTTTTAAAAAGCTAGAGAAGTGAAAGCAAACAAATTCAAAGGTTAGCAGAAGACAAGAAATAACTAAGATCAGAGCAGAACTGTAGGAGTTAGAGACATGAAAAATCCTTCCTAAAATAAATGCGTCCAGGAGCTGGTTTCTTGAAGATTAACAAAATAGATAGATGCTAGCCAGACTAATAAAGAAGAAAAGAAAGAAGAATCAAATAGACACAATAGAAAATGATAAAGAGGATATCACCACTGATCCCACAGAAATGCAAACTACTATCAGAGAATACTATAAACACCTCTATGCAAATAAACTAGAAAATCTAGAAGAAATTGATAAGTTCCTGGACACATACACCCTCCCAAGACTAAACCAGGAAGAAGTCGAATCCCTGAATACAGCAATAACAAGTTCTGAACTTGAGGCAGTAACTGATAGCCTACCAACCAAAAAAAAAAAAAAAACAGGACCAGATGGATTCACAGCCAAATTCTACCAGAGGTACAAAGAGGAGCTGGTCCCATTCCTTCTGAAACTATTCCAAACAACAGAAAAAGAGGGACTCCCCCCTAACTCATTTTATGAGGCCAGCATCATTCTTATACCAAAACCTGGCAGAGACACAACAAAAAAGAAAATTTCAGGCCAATATCCCTGATGAACATGGATGCGAAAATCCTCAATAAAATACTGGCAAACCAAATCCAGCAGCACATCAAAAAGCTTATCCACCATGATCAAGTCAGCTGCATCCCTGAGGTGCAAGGCTGGTTCAGTATATGCAAATCAATAATTGTAATCCATCACATAAACAGAACCAATGAAAAAAAAATGATTATCCCAATAGGTACAGAAAAAGGCCTTTGATAAAATTCAACACCCCTTCATGCTAAAAACTCTCAATAAACTAGGTATTGATGGAACGTATCTCAAAATAATAAGAGCTAGTTATGACAAACCCACAGCCAATCTCATACTGAATTTTTCAAAGGGCAAAAGTTGGAAGCATTCCCTTTGAAAACTGGCACAAGACAAGGATGCCCTCTCTCACCACTCCTATTCAACATAGTATTGGAAGTTCTGGCCAGGGTAATCAGGCAGGAGAAAGAAATAAAGGGTATTCAAATAGAAAGAGAGGAAGTCAAGTGGTCTACTTGCCGATGACATGATTGTATATTTAGGAAACCCCATCGTCTCAGCCCAAATTCTCCTTAAGCTGATAAGTAACGTCAGCAAAGTCTTAAGATACAAAATCAATGTGCAAAATCACAAGCCTGCCTATACACCAGTAATAGACAGAGAGCCAAATCATGAGTGAACTCCCATTCACAATTGCTACAAAGAGAATCAAATGCCTAGTAATAAAACTTACAAGGAATTTGAAGGACCTCTTCAAGGAAAACTACAAACTACTGTTCAAGGAAATAAGAGGGGACCCAAAAAAGTGGAGAAGCATTCCATGTTCATGGATAGGAAGAATCAATGTTGTGAAAATGGCCATACTTCCCAAAGTAATTTATAGATTCAATGCTATCCCCATCAAACTACCAATGGAACAGAACAGAGGCCTCAGAAATTACACCAGACATCTACAACCATCTGATCTTTGACAAACCTGACAAAAACAAGCAATGGGGAAAGGACTCCCTATTTTATAAATGGTGTTGGGAAAAGTGGCTAGCCATATGCAGAAAACTGAATTTTGACCCCTTCCTTACACCTTATACAAAAATTAACTCAAGATGGATTAAAGACTTAAACTTAAGACCTAAAACCATAAAAACCCTAGAAGAAAACCTAGGCAATACCAGTCAGGACATAGGCATGGGCAAAGACTTCATGACTAAAACATCAAAAGCAATGGCAACAAAAGGCAAAATGGACAAATGGGATCTAATTAAACTAAAGAGCTTCTGCACAGCAAAATAAACTATCATCAGAGTGAACAGGCAACCTACAGAATGGGAGAAAAATTTTGCAATCTATACATGTGATAAAGGGCTAATATCAAGAATCTACAAGGAACCTAAACAAATTTACAAAAAAACAAAAAAAAAAACAAAAGCAAAACTCATCAAAAAGTGGGCAAAGAGATGAACAGACAGGTCTCAAAAGAAGACATTTATGCAGCTAACACATGAAAACAAGCTCATCATCACTGGTGATTAGAGAAATGCAAATCAAAACCACACTGATATACTATCTCATGCCAGTTAGAATGATGATCATTAAAAAGTGAGGAAACAACAGATGCTGGAGAGGATGTGGAGAAGTAAGAACACTTTTACACTGTTGGTGGGAGTGTAAATTGATTCAACCATTGTGGAAGACAATGTGGCAATTCCTCAAGGATCTAGAACTAGAAATACTATTTGACCCAGCAATCCCATTACTGGGTATATGACCAAATCATTCTACTATAAAGACACATGCACATGTATGTTTATTGCAGTACTATTCACAATAGCAAAGACTTGGAACCAACCCAAATGTCCATCAATGATAGACTGGATAAAGAAAATGTGGCACATATACACCATGGAATACTATGCAGCCATAAAAAAGGATGAATTCATGTCCTTTGCAGGGACATGGATGAAGCTGGAAACAATCATTCTCAGCAAACTAACACAGGAACAGAAAACCAAACACTGCATGTCCTCACTCATAAGTGGGAGTTGAACAATGAGTACACATGGATACAGGGAGGGGAACATAACGCACTGGGGCCTGTCGGGGAGTGAAGGGCTAGGGGAGGGATAGCATCAGGAGAAATACCTAATGTAGACGACCAGTTGATGGATGCAGCAAACCATCATAGCACGTGTATACCTATGTAACAAACCTGCACATTCTGCACATGTATCCCAGAACTTAAAGTACAATAATTTAAAAATAGATATTCTTTGAAAAAAAAAAAGAAAAGAAACAAAAGTGCTGGGAAATACTGAATAGAAATATTTCTAAAATAAACAATTTATGCATTTGTATATAGAGAGACTGTTGTCTCAATACTAAATGATTTTCAACTCTCCAAAATAACATTATAAAATGACTCTTTGGAAATAATTATAAATTCAATAAATGCATGATATATTTACTTTGGTTAAATTTCAGGATGAATACCTCTATGTACAATATTTACCAATGTATTTTCTCTTTGTACATGTTTATTTCACATATACTTTTTGGAGAAATAAAAACAATTTTCTACTTCATTCCAAGAATCTTTCACCCACATATATGCTGTTTTTATTTTTGTGCTTTGATTTAACTATGCATAGATTTTACTAAGTAAGTGTAAAGCGTTACCTCTTTGAGATGAAAATAATTACACATTTCTGATGATTCAAATATATGATTATCTAAAATATGACTTTATTATTCATTTAAATCACTATTTCTCCTTCTTTACCCACAATCTTTTAGCTCCTTTTTTAGATAATATGAGACAACTTATTCATGACTTGCCAGATTTATCCATTTGAATTTGAGTCATTACTCTGTTTACCTTTTGTTCTGCATTAGCAGTCAATCTAATACGCTTATAAACTGATATTTTATACCTAATACACTATTTGTTGGTGCCTACTGTTGTAATTCAAGCAAAACATGTGAATTTTCCTGTATATTTTTAAATGGTAAAAATTAAATTAATAAATCTTTAAAATAAGAAAATAAATTAAATAAAAGCATGTATGCTATTATTTCCAGAAAAGCTGCAAACCTTAAAATTACAAAGAAAAATGCTCAGACTAATATTTTGAAATCAATTACAGAATTACATTTTTTTGAAAGTCAGGACATCAGTCAGGGACAACTAAGGTGGCCAACTAGATGCAGATGAGAAACATCTCTCTTACTGAGAGAAACCAAAATATGATATAAACTATCACACTTTAAACAGATCTTTTGAGAAAAAAAATCACTGAAAGTTGATAGAGAGGTGAAAGCTGGGAAGTTTGCAGAGTTACTGAGCATCAGGACTGGCTCCCGTTCCTGAACACATCCTAAGAAAGGGGTAAGTGAAGGAACTCTAGGGCACCACAGTCCTGCCAAAGATCTCTGAGATCATAGCTGCAAGAGATCTCATGATCTCACATAAAGATTTGAATTGCCAGGGGGACCTGCCTGGAGTGTAGGCAGAGAGAGAGCTCCAACTTGCATGGAACCCAGAAGGTTTCATGGTGCACAGTGCTACTGCAGCCAAATATGACTATAGGTGTCCATCCCCCAAGCTCTCCATCTCATTCTGATTAATAATAGCCCTGCTGATTGCCAGGTAGGGAGAGAGCAGGGATGCCTTTTCCATGGCATGGGGGCATGACATGATCAAAACTTCACATATCAATGTTAACCTTGAATGTAAATGCCAATTTTAAAAAAAAAGAAGAAAATGAAAAAACAAGACCCAAAATTCTACTCTTTTCCAGAGACCTATCTCATATGTAATGAGTCCATAGGCTAAAAGTAAAGGCATAGAGACAGATTGATCACTCAGAAAAGAGCAGAGGTTGCTATTCTTGCATCATATAAAAGAGCCTTTCAACCAATAGCAGTTAAAAAGGACAATTAAGGTTATTACATAATAATGAAGGGTTCCATTCAACGAGAAGCCTTAATTTTTCTAAACATAAAAACATCCAACACTGGAATACTCAGATTTATAAAACAAGTATGTCTGAACTTATGAAAGACATAGTCACACAATAATAGTAGGGGATTTCAACACCTCACTAAAGGTATTAGAGCATAGTGGCAGAAAAAAAAACAAAGAATTTCTGGACATAAATTTTACAATAACCAATTGGACCTAATAGACATCAACTGAATACCTCACCTATCAATCACACAATATATATTCTCCTCATCTGCCAGTGGAACATACTGTAAGATCAAAAACATTTACAGCATAATGCAATTCTCAATAAATTCAAAAAAGTCAAAATCTTACCGAGTATAATTTCAAATGAAAGTGGAATAAAAATAGAAATTAACAAAAAGAGTATCTCTCAAAATCACATAATTACATAGAAAGTAAACAATTTGTTCCTGAATGACTTTTGGGTAAAAAACAAATTTAAGGCAGAAATAAAAATAATTCTTTGAAATAAATGACAAAAAGTGACACAACATACCAAAATCTCTGAGATGTGGCAAAAACAGTGTTAAGAGGAAAGTTTATAGCACTAGATACCTATAACACGAAGTTAGAAAGATCACAAATTAACAATCTGACATCACACTCAGAGAAATTTTAAAGACAAGAACAAACTAACCACAAAGGTAGCAGAAAAAAAACAACTAAAATTAAAGCAGAACCAAATGAAATTGAGATCCCAGAATCCATACTAAGGATCAATTAAACAAAAGGTTGGTTTTTTGAAGGATAAACAAGATCATTGGACCACTAGCTAGATTAACAAAGAAAAAAAGAGAGAAGACCCAAATAAGCACAATCAGAAATGACAAAGGTGACATTACAATTAAGCACAATCAGAAATGACGAAGGTGACATTACAATTGATCCCACTGTAATACAAAAGATCTTCACAGACTATTTTGATCACCTCTGTTTACACAAACTTGAAAACCTAGGATAAATGGATAAATTCCTGTAAAGACAGTCTCCCAAGTTTACATCAGGAGAAAACTGAAACCCTAAACAGACCAATAATGAGTTCTGAAATAGAATCAGTAATAGAAAACCTAACAACCAGGAAAAAATCTTAGGACCAGATGGATTCACAGCTAAATTCTACCAGATATCAAAGAAGAGCTGGGAGCAATTATACCGAAACTATTTCAAAAGATTGAGGCAGAGGTACTCCTTCCTAAGTGATTCTAGAAAAATAACATCACCCTGATACCAACATCTGTCAAAGAGACAAAAAAAAAGTCTACAGGCCAATATCCCTGATGAACACAGAAGCAAAAATTCTCAACAAACTACTAGTAAACCAAATCCAGCAGCACATGAAAAAGCTAATTCACCATGACCAAGTAGGCTTTATCCCTGGGATGCAAGGTTGATTCAACATAAGCTAATCTACAAATGCAGCTCAACACATAAACAGAATTGAAAACAAAAACCAAATGATCATCTCAATAGACACAAAAAAAGCTTTTGAAAACATCCAATAAATATTCATGGTAAAAACCCTTAACAAACTAGACATTGAAGGAATATACCTCAAAATAATAAAAGCCATTTATGACAAACCATAGCCAATATCATACTGTACAGGCAAAGCTGGAAATATTCCCCTTGAGAACTAGAACAAGACAAGGATGACCACCCTCATCACTCCTATTTGACATAGTACTGGAAGTCCTAGCCAGATAAATGAGGCAAAATAAACAAATAAAATCATCCAAATAAGAAAAGAAGTAGTTAGACTAACACTCTTCACTGGTGATGTGACTCTATACTTAGAAAACCCTAAATACTTTGCCAGAAGACTCCTGGAACTGATAAATTACTTTGGTAAAATTTCAAGATATAAAATCAACATACAAAAATCACTAGCATTTATATACACCAATAATGTTCAAGGTAAGAACCAAATCAAGAACACACTCCCATTTATAATAGTCACAAGAAATAAAGTACTTAGGCATATAGCAAATCAAGGAGGTGAGAGATATCTACAAAGAGAACTACAAAACACTGCTGAAAGAAATCAGAGATGACACGAACAAATGGAAAAACATTCCATGCTCACAGATTGGAAGAACTGATATTCTTAAAATGACCATACAGCTCAAAGCAATATACAGATTCAACCCTGTTCTTATCAAATGATCAATGTCATTTTTTCACAGTATTAGAAAAAAAACTATTCTAAAATTCATATGGAACCAAAAACAGAGCTTGAATAGCCAAAGCAATCCTCAGCAAAAAGAATAAAGCTGGAGTCATCACATTTCAAACTATACTACAAGGCTACAGTAACCAATACAGAATGTACTGGCACAAAAACAAACACATAGACCAATGTAACAGATTAGAAAACCCAGAAATGAAGCCATACCCCAAACTAACTGATCTTTGACAAAGTGAACAAAAATAATCAACGAGGGAAAAGACTCCCCATTCAATAAAAGGTGCTGGGATAATTGGATATCCATAAGCTGAAGAATAGAACTGGGCCCCTACATCTTACAATATACAAAAATTAACTCAAGACTGATAAGGACTTAAGTGCAAGAGCTCAAACTATAAAAACCATAGAAGAAACTCTAGGAAATATTTTCCTGGTCAAAGCCTTGGCAAATAATTCATGACTACATCCACAGAAACAATTGAAACAAAAACAAAAATTGACAAATGGGACCCAATTAAACTAAAAAGCTTCTGCACAGCAAAAGAAACTACCAATCGAGTAAACAGACAAACTACAGATTGGGAAAATATATTTGCAAACTATGAATCCAACAAAGGCCTAGTATCCATAATCTATAAGGAACTTAAACAAATCAAAGAGAAAAAAAAAACCACCTCATTAAAAATTAGGCAAAGGACATGAACAGGCACTTCTCAAAACTAGACATACATGCAGCCAACAAGGATATGAAAAATTCTCCACATCACTAATCATCAGAGAAATGAAAATAAAAACTACAATGATATACCAGGATGACTATTATTAAAAAGTCAAACAAAAAACAACAGATGCTGGTGAGGCTGTATAGAAAAGGGAACACTTATACACCGTTGGTGGGAATGTAAATTAATTAATCTCCTGAGGAAAGCAGTTTGGAGATTTCTCAAAGAACGAAAAACAGAACTACCATTCATTCCAGCAATCCCATTACTGGGTATATATCAAAAGGAATATAAATTATTTTACGAAAAAGATACATGCACTACCATGTTCATTTCAGCACTATTTGCAACAACAAAAATGTGAAATCAATCTAGGTGTCCATCAGTGGTGGATTGGATAAAGTAAACATGGTATAAATCCTCCATGCAATACTATGCAGCAATAAGAAAGAATGAAATCATGTCCTTTGCAGCAACATGGATGTAGCTGGAGGCCTTAACCTAAGTGAATGAACACAGGAACAGAAAATCAAATATTGCATGTTCTTACTTATGAGTGGTAGCTAAACATTGAGTACTCATGGACATGAAGATGAGAACGATCGATACTGCGGACTACAGCAAAAGTGAGGACACGGCAGGGATTTAAAAATTACCATTGAATACCATGGTCACTACTTGGGTGATGGGTTCAGTTTTTCGTCAAACCTCAACATCATGCAATATGCCCTTGTAACAAATGTGCACATGTACTCCTTGAATCTAAACTAAAAGTTAAAATATCAACAAACTTATGTGCTCCCATATTTTGATGTAAGTATATGTAGTAAAAAACATAGTAAATAACTAGTTTTAAAATGAAATTAATGATCATATTTTAAGACCAAGAGTAATCTGTTTTGAGGAATAGGCAAAAAACATTGTCAATAAAATACTTCCGTACATATATACATGAAGCAGTATTTTGTAATGCATAAAAATGCAGGACATGAGCAAGATTGGCGAGATTTAAAATTTGACTTTCCCATTTACTCATAGTTGTTTCCTTGGGCAATATACTAAACAGAGTACCTATTTTACTCTATTAAAGTGGGAATAAGAATAGTTCTTTAATCCTAGGATTGCTAGAAGGATTAAATGTATAAATATAATTAATTTTTTTGGCACAATGCCCAGCACTTTTTAAGCACCATGGAATTATTAGTTTTTTATTTATGTTTTTATTTCCTTTATTAAATGGCCTTACTTTGTGTTTGTTCTATGATATTGATTAAACTTCAGATTTAATTATAAATAGTTTTGAATGTAAAACAAGATATATTATGCAACAAATTCTAATGGTAAAAAATACACTTTAATACAGCAAATCTTTAACGTCATTGATAGGATCTAGGAAACTGCAACTTCCATAGAAATGACGTATAACAAAACCAACTTTACCATTATCTAATTGACATAAACAAGAGTTTGGTTTCTGCTGCATATTTCTGGTCACAAAAGCACCACCAAATTTCTAAACAAAGACCCAAAATACTTCTTATATTAAACACTGAAGTCGATATACACTATCCATGTATTTGAGAAAGATTAATCAAAACAAAAAAAGGTAATTATTTATCAAATTTTTCGTGACTCAATGAATGACAGCATTAGTTTCAGTGGTGGGTTAAATCAAATAAATGTGTGCAAAATGAAAATTGTAATGTGCATCTTGTACCACCACACAGTTCAAAAATGAACAATAGCAATTATGGTGGGTTCAATGTTTTTTATTTTAACCACACTTTATTGTTTATTATTCTGCAGTTGTATGCTTATCTTAAGCAGGTTGGAAATTTTCCCTAAATTTTTATTTGACAAATAAAATGTATTCGTTCATTCATTCATTCATTCATTCATTTTCCAACATGGTTAGTCCAGCTCAGGGTGGCAGGTGGCCAGAGCCTATCCTGGAACCTCAGGGCCCAAGGCAGGAACTATACCTGGACAGACCCCCATCTTATTGCAAAGCACGCTCACACACACATCCATGCTAACTCAGATGGGGACCATGTAAACATGCCAATTCACCAAACATGCACGTATTTGGGATGTGGGAGAAAACCAGAGTAGCCACGGGAAACCCATACAAACATGGTAGAATGAACACACTCCACTCAGAAAGTGGACCTGGCTTGATATTGATTTTCTTCTCATCAGTATTAAAACAAAATGAGGTGGAATGGAGTGATGTTATTTGGGGACCTGCTGTACTTCTAGAAAGAGCTCTCACAAACTGACAAGGTAAAAAATGAACATTAATTAGAAACTAAAAAAGCAATGTGAATTTAAAAAAATAAAAAAGCAAATCAAAATTATAGCCAAGTATATGAAAAGAGATTCAAATAGGTTAGTAGCCAAAGAAATACAAATTAAAGTCATAAAATCATATCACTTTATGTTTTATATATGGCTATAAATGTTTTAGAAGTTATATAACATCTTTTGTTCTTAGGAATTTAGGAAGAATACTCCCAAATATCATTGGTGAACATGTAGGATTAGAAATTTTCTGGAAAGATATGGTAATAGATATAAAATTTATATGTATGTACATACACATCTAGCAGAGCCTTACTGCTTCTAATAATTGATTAGTCACTTTTATTAGATGAACCCTCTTACCAATGGACAATTAACAACTTTTTAAAGATTCTCTAGGGTGACCAAATATGACTGAAGCTGGAGGATATAACCTAGAGAAAAGGGAAACCCTCTGGATGAGATCTCCATTTAACTGACTTTTCTAGAAGGCCACTCCGTTGCCTGCCTAACACACAAGGACTAGAGTTCAACAGAAGTCAGTGGCCTTACTAGGTAGAGATATTAGAGTTTTGGATTACAGAATAACTGGAAATTGAAGAAAAGGGGAAATCATAGAAGGAGAGCCCCAAAATCTGAGTATAAATTATTTTCCAGCCTTTCACTGGGTCATAATGTAGGCATATTTTGGGCCAGACAACAGGATCCTAAAGAAAGCAATAGCTGATAGGCAGAAATACCTGAGCTGAGATTTCAGCAACTGTTTGCTGCTATGAAGACAGAGTCAAGTACTATCAATTCAGAATTTGGTAAACAATTGGATATTTTCAGAAAATTTGAGAGAGGTCGCACTTTAGCAGAAAAGTATCATATAGTGAGAACAAGGTGTGGGTCCTTGGACACAAGGCAAATTGTAATAAACTTCTAATATCAGCCCACACAAGATCAGGTCATCTACTGATAACTTGACCCTCTGCTTGAATAAAACATATCATTTTGTAAAAGAAGATAACATAATCCAGAATGTACACAACAATGAAAATGGCCAGTGTAAATATAAATTATGAGCCATTTAGTGAAGCTGGAAAAATGTGACCCATAATCTAGAGTGGAAGAAACACACACCAATTTTTCTGATGTAGAAATTAGCAAGAAGTTATTTAAAGAAAATTATAACCAGGCACATTAGTTTTCAGTTATTGAACTGAACTATATGACAAAAATAGCATAAAGATAAAGAACAGGAGGGGGAAAATGAAATTCTATAACCAAAAAATTCTTATATTATGCACAAAATGAAAATTAATTATGAAATAAAACTTCTCTCACAGAAAAAAGAAAAAAGGCCAGGCGCGGTGGCTCATGCCTGTAATCCTAGCACTTTGGGAGGCCGAGGCGGGTGGATCACGAGGTCAGGAGTTCAAGGCCAGCCTGGCCAACATGGTGAAACCCTGTGTCTACCAAAGACACAAAAAATTAGCCGGGCATGGTGGTGCATGCCTCTAATCCCAGCTACTCAGAAGGCTGAGGCCGGAGAATCGCTTGAACTCAGGAGGTGGAGGTTGCAGTGAGCCGAGATCCTGCCATTGCACTCCAGCCTGGGCAACAGGGCGAGACTCTCTCTCAAAAAAGTAAAATAAAATAGGAAAAGAAAAAGGAAAAAAGATATTACAATTAGCTAGGGGAATAAATATACACTACCTCTGGGAAAATAAAATAAAATAAAATAAAAATAAAAATAAAAAATAAAAAAACAATAAGAATGCTTACCTCTAATAAGAAGACAGTGGCTGAAACCTGAATTGTGCGTGTGCAAGGTTGAATTCAAGGACATTCATGTGGAAAACAATAACTGGAAGCCTGAAGGAACTGAACAGAGGTTTCGCTTGCTTCCTACCACAGGAGAAATGGGGTTGTTTTCATACCAAGTTAAAGAAGCTTCATAAATGCCGTGGGGCTTCAATACATTCCATGCTAACAAAGCTGTAAATAAACCTGTACAAATTCAAGGTCACCAGCCAGTCATTGAACTGTGTGATAGAATAAAATATGGTTCAAATGTGCTTAGAGGGAAACATAACTTTAAACAATTACACTAGAAAAGAAGCAAAGCTTTAATCAGCGATTTATTCAAATATTTGAATAAAACATTTCCTAAACTTCAATAATATTTAAATATTACATATATATTTTACAAAAGATGGACATGTCCCTACTCATAAAACACTCTTAAGAAATTTAAAGAAGATTTGAATAAATAAGAGGATTTATCACCTAAAGAATTGGAAGACCTTTTTTTGTTGTTGTTGTTTGGTTTTGAGACGGAGTTTTTCGCTCTTGTCCAGGCTGGAGTGCAATGGCGCTCGATCTCGGCTCACTGCAACCTCCGCCTCCCGGATTTAATCAATTCTCCTGCCTCAGCCTCCCAAGTAGCTGGCATGCACCACCACACCTGGCTAATTTTTGTATTTTTAGTAGAGACGGGGGTTTCACCATCTTGGTCAGACTAGTCTAGAACTCCAGACCTCAGGCGATCTGTCCACCTCGACTTTCCAGAATGCTGGGATTACAGGTGTGAGCCACCGCGCCCGGCTGGGAGATTCATTTTAATGTATCAATTCTATCTAAAATAATCTATAGATTTAAAACAGTGTGAAAATTTTTTAAAGGTATTTTAAATAAAATTACAGATATAAAGCTATTTTTTTGTAAACACAAAAGAGGTAGCCTAAGATGACAACAACAACAAAAAGACAAAGAAAAAAACAAACAAAAACTTTGATTATTACAATGACACATTTATTTCTTACTTCACTTTTAAATTGACTTTACATATAATTGTACGTATTGCATGATGTTTTGAAGTATGATATATGTGGCTCTCAGAAATAGAGAGTAGAATGGAGGTTACTAGAGTCTGAGATGTTTGAAGGTGGGAGTTTGGAACCGGGGGTTGAGGAGATGTTGGTCAAAGGATACAAAATTATAGTTAGGTGAGAGGAAATAAGTTCAAGATAACTATTGTGCAGCATGGTGACTATAGTTAAACACAAAACAAAAAACCCTGGAAATTTGGAAGTTTTTGGAGGATGTACCCTACTTTATATCATTATACAGCAATCAAAATTATAAGGGTTGGTGCAAGCATAGAAAAATAAATCAATTAAATACAATAGATACTCCAAATGTAAATCGACTAACTGTGCATGATGTGCAGGTTTGTTGCATAGGTAAACATGTATCATGGTCGTTTGCTGCACAAATCAGCCCATCACCCACGTATTAAGCCCAGCATCAATTAACTATTTTTCCTGATGCTCTTCTTCCCCGCAATCCCCCAACAAGCCCCACTGCGTGTTGTTCCCCCAACCTGTCCATGTGTTCTCATCATTCAGCTCCCACTTATAAGTGAGGACATGGGGTGTTTGGTTTTCTCTTCTTGTGTTAGTTTGCTGAGAATGACAGCTTCCAGTTCCATGTCTTAGGCTAGATCTTTTTTGTTTACAAAAAAATCACTTTACATTTGTAATTTTATTTAAAATACCTTTAAACAATTTCACATTGTTTTAAATGTATAGATTATTTTAGATAGGACATGATCTTGTTCTCTTTTATGGCTGTGTAGTTTTCCATGGTGTATATGTACCACATTTTCTTTATCCAGTCTATTGTTGTTAGACATTTGGGTTGATTCCATGTCTTTGCTATTGTGAATAGTGCTGCAATAAATGGCACTATTTATGGGTGCTTGTATCTTTATAATAGAATGATTTATATTCCTTTGGGTATATATCCAGTAACAGGATTGCTGGGTCAAATGGTATTTCTGCTTCCAGATCTTTGAGGAATGGCCACACTGTCTTCCACAATGGTTGAACTAATTTACACTCCAACCAACGTTGTAAAAGTGTTTCTTTTTCTCTGTAACCTCAGTAGCATCTGTTGTTCCTTGACTTTTTAATAATCACCATTTTGATTGAGGTGTGGTGGTCTGTTCAGAGTTTGTATTTCTCCCTGAAATAATCTAGAAGGGTTGTATATTTCCAGGAATTTATTCATCTCCTTTAGATTTTCTAGTGCTTGTTCTTAAAGCTGTTCATGGTAGCCTTTAATGATCTTTTGTATTTCTGTAGTTTGTTGTAATATCTTCCATTTTGTTTCTAGTTTAGCTTATTTGGATCTTCTGTCTTCTTTACTTGGTTGATCTTGCTAATGGTGTATCAATTTTGTTTATCTTTTCAAAAAAACTAGCTTTTTGTTTCATTTGTTTTGTATTGTTTTTGTTGTTTTAGTTTTATTTAGTTCTGCTCTGATCTTTGTTATTTCTTTTCTTCTGCTGGGTTTGGTTTGTTCTTGTTTCTCTAGTTCTTTGAGATGTGACCTTAGATTGTCTATTTGTGCTCTTTCCCACTTTTTTTTTTTTGAGATGGAGTCTCACTCTGTCATCCAGGCTGGAGTGCAGTGGCACTATCTCAGCTCACTGCAACCTCTGCCTCCTAGGTCCCAGAGATTCTCATGCCTCAGCCTCTCAATTAGCTGAGACCACAGGCTCATGCCACCACACTCATCTAATTTTTAGTAGAGATGGGGTTTCACTATGTTGGCCAGGCTGGTATCAAACTCCTGACCTCAAGTGATCCACCTTGGCCTCCAAAAGTGTTGGGATTGCAAGTGTGAGCCACTGTGCCCAGCTCTTTCAGACTTTTTGATGTAGGCATTCAATACTATGAATGTTCCTCTGAGCACTGTTTTTGCTGTATCCCAGAGGTTTTGATAGGTTATGTTACTATTATCATTAAGTTAAAATAATTTTTAAATTTCTAGCTTGATTTCATAGTTGACCCAATGATCATTCAGGAGTAGGTTTTTAATTTCCATGTATTTGCATGGTTTTGAGGGTTTCTTTTGCAGCTGATTTCCAACTTTATTCCAATGTGGTCTGAGAGAGTAGTTGATATAATTTCAATTCTCTTAAATTTGTTGACATATTTTGTGGCCCATCATATCCTGTGGACATATCCTGGAGAATGTCCCGTATGCTAATGAATAGAACGCATATTCTGCAGTTGTTGGGTAGAATGTTCTGTAAATAGCTATTAAGTCCATTTGATCTCATGTGTAGTTTAAATCCATTGTGTCTTTGTTGACTTTGTCTTGATTACTTCTCTAGTGCTGTCAGTGGAGTATTGAAGTCCCCCACTATTATTGCATTGCCTCTATCTAATTTCTTAGGTCTAGTAGCAATTATTTTATAAATTTGGGAGCTCCAGGATTAGGTGCATATGTATTTAGGATTCTGATATTTTCTTGTTAGACTAGTCATTTTATCATTATATAATGTCCCTCTTTTTTTCAACTGTTGTTACTTTAAAATCTGTTTTGTCTTATATAAGAATAGCTATCCCTACTTGTTTTTGCTGTCCATTTGCATGGCATATCTTTTTCCACCACTTTACCTTAAGTTTCTGTGAGTCCTTATACGTTAGGTGAGTCTCCTGAAGACAGAAGATACATGGTTAGTGAATTGTTATCCATTCTGCCATTCTGCATCTTTTAAGTGGAGCATCTAGGCCACTTACCTTCAGTGTCAGTATTGAGATGTGAGGTATTCTTCTATTCATAATGCTGGTTGTTGCCTGAATACCTTGTCTTTTTTTCATTGTGTTATTATTTTATAGGTCCTGTGAGATTTATGCCTAAGAAGGTTCTCTTTTGGTGTATTTTGAGTTTTTGTTCCAAGATTTAGAGCTCCTTTTAGCAGTTCTTGTAGGGCTGGCTTTGTAGTGGCAAATTCTCTAAGCCTTTGTTTGTCTGAAAAAAGGCTTTTTTTCATTTATGAAGATTAGTTTCACTGGATATGAAATTCTTGGCTGATAATTGTTCTGTTTAGGAGCCTAAATATGGGACCCCAATCCCTTCTATCTTGTAGTGTTTCTGCTGAGAAATCTCCTGTTATTCTGATAGGTTTTCCCTTATGGGTTACCTGATATTTTTGCCTCACAGCTCTAAAGATTCTTTCCTTCATCTTGACTTTAGATAACCTGATGGCTATGGGCCTAGGCAATAATATTTTTATGATAAATTTCCTGTGTGTTCTTTGAGCTTCTTGTTTTTGGATGTCTAGATCTCTAGCAAGGACCAAGAAGTTCTCATCAATTATTCCCTCAAATGTATTTTTCAAACATTTCAATTTCTTTTCTTCCTCAGGAACACCAATTATTTTTAGGTTTGGTCATTTAGCATAATACTAAACTTCTTGGAGGCTTTGTTCATTTTTTAAAAATTCTTTTTTCTTTGTCTTTGTCGGATTGGATTAATTCAAAAACTTTGTCTTCGAGCTCTGATGTTCTTTCTTCTACTTGTTCAATTCTATTGTTGAAATTTTCCAGTGTATTTTGCATTTCTCTAAGCGTGTCCTTCATCTTCAGAAGTTGTAATTGCTTTCTATTTATGCTATCTTTTTCTCTGGAGATATTTCCATCCATATCCTGTAACATTGTTTTAATTTCTTTAAGTTGGTATTCACCTTTCTCTGGTGCCTCCTTGATTGGCTTAATAATAGACCTTCTGAATTCTTTTTCTGGCAATTCAGGGATTTTGTCTTGGTTTGTATCCATTGCTGGTGAGCTAGTGCAATCTTTTGGAGGTGTTAAAAAAGTCTTGTTTTTTTCATGTTACCAGAATTGTTTTTCTGGTTCCTTCTCATTTGGGTAGACTATGTCAGAGGAGAGATCTGGGGCTCAAGAGTTATCCTTCAGATTCTTTTGTCCCATAGTGTGCTTGCTCCCTTGATGTGGTGTTCTCCCACTTCTCCTAGGGATGGGACTACCTGAGAGCCTGACTACAGTGATTGTTATTTCTCTTCTGGGTCTAGCCACCCAGTGGAGCTACCAGGCTCCAGGCTGGTACTGGAAAGTATCTGCAAAGAGTTTTGCAATATGATCTGACTTCAGGTCTCTCAGCCACGGATACCAGCACCTGCCCTGGTGGAGACAGCAGGGGAGTGAAGGGGACTCTGTGAGGGGCCTTGGTTGTAGTTTTATTCAATGCACTGTTTTTTTCTAATGCTGGTTGTGCTGGCAGTAAACTTATCACATGGACAGACTCAGGACCTCTGGTTAGCCAGGATGTTACAGGCAGTGGAGTTAGCTATTGCTTTCTTGGGGCAGGATTGTTCTGCTGTAATGGCTTGAGTTTCTTGGCCTCCAGCAAGGAGGTGGTGCTTTCAAGAGAGCATCAGCTGTGGTGTTGTAGAGAGGAAACAAGCTTGCTCTAGCGTAGCCTAGGTAAGTGTTGGGGTTTTTCAGGTGATGTGCAGGGCCATATAGCTCCTAAGAGATTATGTCTTTTGCCTTTGGCTACCAGGCCAGGTAGAGAAAGACCATTAGGTGGAGGCAGTGTTAGGTGTGTCTGAGCTCAGACTATTGTTGGGTGGGGTTTGCTGTGGTTGCTGTGGGGGATGGGAGTTAGGTTATCAGGCAGATGGAATCCCCAGGGGGGTTATGGCTGCCTCCACTGCTTCATATAGGTCTCCAGGGAAGTAGAGAAAAGCTGGCAGCGACCAGCCTCATCCAGCTCCCATGCAGTGAGAAAGGCTAGTTTACTCCTGTCATGTTTCCCCAACAGCCCCACATTTCTAGACTGGCAGCTGGTAACCAGGGCTGGGAACTTGTCCCTGGCTACAAGCCTCCACACACTGAGAAAACAAGCAGGGCATTCAGGCCCTGCCTTTCCCCAGTGTGACTTCTGTGCTCATATCTGTACTTCCTATTCACCCCCATCCCCAGATTCTGCCCTGGAAAATTTGCACTGGGTCAAAATCCCTACAAAGTTCAGCTAGAAGTTTCCTTCTCCCTGTGTTCTTTCCCCAGTTCCATTAGTAGCCTGCCCCAAGGACCCATGTGAGATGAATTCAGAAATGGCTTCCCTGGGCTTTTCTACGGCCCAGGAGTGCTTACGGGGCTTTTCCCACGGCTGCTTCTTTTATATTTCACCCAGCTCTCTAAATTTGCCTCAGCTCTAGGCAAAGTTAAATTCTTCTCCAATAATCTGGATTTTCAGGCTCCCTGGTGAGGATGTGTGTTTCGAGGTGGACCTTTCCCCTCTCACACTTTGGGTACTCGCTGATTTTCAGCTGTCTCTCAGAGTTTGCAGCAGCAAGCCACTTCTTTCAAAGCGTCTGTTAATTCTTTCAGTTTTCCTGGTATGTTCCTTCAGTAGTTCTTGGAGCAAAAGTTCATGATGTGAGTCTCCACACACTGTTTTGTCCATCTGAGTGGTAGTTGCAAGTCAGTCCTGCCTCCCATCTGCCATCTTCCCTCCTTTCCTAAATCACCTTTTTAAAAAATCTTTACAACCACCTTACAAGGTAAGCACAATCATCATTGCCCATTTGCTGAATGATAAGATTGAGACTTAGCTACTTCCACATGATCTCAAGACCAGTAAGTATCAGGTCAGGGTTAGAACACACGCATCCACATTCCAGAATGTTAAACATTAAATAATATGTTGTCAATACTTATGCTCTAATATGGTGCCTAATGTGGACATAAAAAGTGATAAAACTCTTTGAGTATATATTGATAAGACTCATACTTTGGAATCTAGAAATGTTCTCTGACCTTGTATATGTATTTGAAGTACAAGTCTAAGGGAAAGGCAAAGGTAGTTTTGTAAATTGTAGGGTCTGTCAGCCTCATTTATGTTGCTGAAATTGTAAGAAAATTGAAAATCTGAAATCAAGAAACTTATTAAGCATATCATGTTATATTCATGCAATTTAATATTATTATTAAAATTATATTCTGTTAAATTTATTGACCTAGAAATATATTGTGTATGCATATGTAATAAGTTACAGTATCACATGATAGCATTCATGTAATTTAATGAATATAAATGAGCCACAAATTTATGAATTATAATCTCAAGTATAAAAATAACTAACATAAATTATACTGGGGGACAATTGCAGAAATATTAATTCTGCCTAGTAGGTGACAATATCTTGTTTTTTAAACATATTTGGTTCTATTTCCAAATGTTCAACAATTTTGATGCATAATTTTAAAATGCAATTCAATCATAAAAATAAAGTTTTGAAGTTTATCTGTTTCACTTTTCAGCAACATATTGACTCCCCAAAATAGATTATATTCTAGTCTGTGGAAGAAAGAAAGAAAGAAAGAAAGAAAGAAAGAAAGAAAGAAAGAAAGAGAAAGAAAGAGGGAAGAAAGAAAGAAAGAAAGAAAAAGAAAGAAAGAAGAGAGAAAGAAAGAAAGAAAGAAAGAAAGAAAGAAAGAAAGAAAGAAAGAAAGAAAGAAAGAAAGAAAGAGAAAGAGGCAACTCTTACTTATCCAGAGGATCCAAGGATTCTTTATAGGCCTGAGAAGTCAGCCACAACAGCAAAGCTTCAGCCAAACAGATGAAACATCAATGTTCTGGAATTATCCTTGATGGAAAGTAGAAACTGTGGAAAAAACATTAGCAAAAAGCAGGATGATTATTTTGGATATTTTCATGGAAGCAGCAGGTGCTTCAAAGTTTTGTCTTCATTAGAAAAGCAATGGCTGTCTGGATGTCTATCTTTGGGTGTTCACTGAGAGTTTGAATATTTGACATGATCCATGGCATCACTGCTATTACCTAACAGAACTGAGGAAGAGTCAGGAAAGAATCACACAAGATGGTTATATAAAGGGTTTGTATTAACAACTTGCAAATTTAAAAAAAGTGATTATTCATATTAATAATATTAGACATCTGAAATTAGACACTTGGATTAGACAAGTGAAAAGGACTGGAGAGTAATTAATAAATGGAAAGAGAAATATGAGTTTTTTCAAAATGTGGCTTGAAAGAGAAGTTAAGAGAAACTGAGAATAAGTCCATAAGTTTCAAAATCCATCTAAGAAATAGTAGAAAAAAAAAGACCCAAAGCTCCTAAGAAGGGGGAAGGAAAAGAGAATATTTGAAGAAAATATAATCCAATACTTTCTATAAAGAAGATTTAAAAAGCATTATTCAGAATAAAAGAATACCAATAGTCAACAGAGATTAAAAGAAAAAATACCTACACATAAACACACTGTAATGAAACCTTGAACATTTTATTTAAGGGGCCATTTCAAAAGACCACCAAAAGAGAGTTAAATTTCTTTTAATGAAAGATACCAGATGTTTCCTAGAACTGACAATTTCAGGAAGAATAAATGAGAAATGACTTTAAGGACAATATTTGACTGAGACTTGTATAGAGATTTAAGTTCAGAAATTTTCTGACATACAAGGACCCAGAAATTTATCATACATATAGGCTTTTTGACAGAATAACTAGAGAATGTCATACATCAGAAAGGAAATCTCAAATGATACAATGCAACTGAAAAAATAGGAAACAAGTATAAGTGGATACATTGTTTGTGTGTTAAAATTAAAAAAAAAAATAAACTGAAGGCAAATAAAAGGTTGGAAAACAACTGACCACAATTTTCAAAAAGTACTGTCAAGGAGAAACAAGAACTATGCCACATTTACTGTAAATAAGTGCAGAAAGTACAATAAGATTTTATTAGATTCGGCAAACTAAATACTTCCAACAACTTTCCCATGATGCAAAATTCCATTGTATTTGCTTGGATATATTTTATCTGAGAATATTATGCTGCACTGTTACATTATTTTCCAATTTATAATTAAGATTTTTCTCACGGTCCCGCTGCCGCCACCACCGCGGTCACTCGGCACCGCGGCTGCCACTGCTGCCACCACTGCCACCACGATCGCTTATCACAGGTTTCTGCAGTTGAACTCCAAAGTGCAGAAGGCTTTGGAAAGTAGCTGTATTCCTCAGCGTGGCACTGGGCACTGGTGCTGTTCCCATAGATGATCCTGAAGATGGACGCAAGCACTGGGTGGTGATCGTGGCGGGTTCAAATGGCTGGTATAATTACAGGCACCAGGCAGCTGCGTGCCATGCCTACCAGATCATTTACTGGAATGGGATTCCAGACGAGCACATCATTGTTATGATGTACGATGACACTGCTCACTCTGAAGACAATCCCACTCCAGGAATTGTGATCAACAGACCCAATGGCACGGATGTCTATCAGGGATTCCCGAAGGACTGACTACACTGGAGAGGATGTTACCCCACAAAATTTCCTTGCTGTGTTGACAGGCGATGCAGAAGCAGTGAAGGGCATAGGAACCGGGAAAGTCCTGAAGAGCGGTCCCCAGGATCATGTATGTGTTCGTTTACTTCACTGACCATGGATCTACTGGAATACTGGTTTTTCCCAATGAAGATCTTCATGTAAAGTACCTGAATGAGACCATCCATTACATGTACATACATAAAATGTACCAAAAGATGGTGTTCTATATTGAAGCCTGTGAGTCTGGGTCCATGATGAACCACCTGCCTGGTGATACTAATGTTTATGCAACTACTGCTGCCAACCCCAGAGAGTCGTCCTACACCTGTTACTATGATGAGAAGAGGTCGACGTACCTGGGGGACTGGTACAGCGTCAACTGGATGGAAGACTCGGACGTGGAAGATCTGACTAACCAGACCCTGCACAAGCAGTGCCGCCTGGTAAAATCATACACCAATACCAGCCACATCATGCAGTACGGAAACGAAACGATCTCCACATTAAAGTGATGCAGTTTCAGAGTATGAAACACAAAGCCAGTTCTCCTATCTCCCTGCCTCCAGTCACACACCTTGACCTCACCCCCAGCCCTGATGTGCCCCTCATGATCGTGAAAAGGAAACTGATGAACACCAACGATCTGGAGGACTCCAGGCAGCTCACAGAGGAGATCCAGCGGCATCTGGATGCCAGGCACCTCATTGAGAAGTCAGTGCGCAAGATCGCCTCCTTGCTGGCAGCGTCCGAGGCTGAGGTGGAGCAGCTCCTGTCTGAGAGAGCCCCGTTCACGGGGCATAGCTGCTACCTGGAGGCCCTGCTGCACTTCCAGACCCACTGCTTCAACTGGCACTCCCCCACGTGCGAGTATGCGTTGAGACATTTGTACGTGCTGGCCAACCTTTGTGAGAAACCGTATCCGCTTCACAGGATAAAATTGTCCATGGACCACGTGTGCCTCGGTCGCTACTGAAGAGCTGCCTCCTGGAAGCTTTTCCAAGTGGAAGCACTCCCCCGAATGTGTGCTAATCAGAGACTGAAGAGGTGGAGTGAGAAGTCCCCGCTGCTCCGGGCCCTCCTGGGGAGTCCCCACTCTAGGGCTCGCTCCAGGACCTTCCTCACAGGATGACTTGCTCGCTGTTACCTACTTCCCCAGTCTTCTCTGAAAACCTACAAATTGGAGTGGGGAAAGCTCTGTATTGAGAAGGGTCATATTTGCTTTCTAGGAGGTTTTTTTGTTTTGTTTTTGTTTTGCCCATTAGTTTTAAGGAGCAGGAAGTTCATGGGGGCTTCTGTAGCCCCGCTCAAAAGGAGTCTTTATTCTGAGAAATTTGAAGCTGAAACCCCTTTAAATCTTCAGAATGATTTTATTGAAGGGGGCCGCAAGCCCCAAATGGAAAACTATTTTTAGAAAATATTATGATTTTTTATTGCTTTTGTATTTAGTTCTGCCAGTGTTCAAGTACTAAAAAATAAAGATTTATAACAGAGTCCCACCAAAATAAAATAAAATAAAATAAAAAGTTTTTCTTCCTTTTATGGAAAAAAAAAAACACTTACTTTATAGTAAACTCAAATTGCTTTTTTTGAGAGTCAAGCATTCCATTCTTGACAAAGTTTTGGATTAATAGGATGTGTTTTGTCATTACCTGATCTTACAACTTATTCTCAGATTCAGTGACTCCATTTTAGTATGCTGGATATTTTAAGCTATTGTTTGACTGGCTACCCTGTGTCTGCTCTGCATAGTTGTCTTAATTTTAGTTTCTAAACATATTTTCCAGGTAGTGACAAAATATGTGAAGGAATATGTGAATTAGGTTCTGCTCAGGTAGACTGGCTTTAAATGATCATTTTAGCAATGATGGAAGACAAGTTTTGGGGTCGTGTTTTGCTTTAAGTCTTACCTAAATATTATCTCCTATCGAAGGGAAGAAATTACACTTGATGTTTACAGGTATGTAAATAAAAAGTCTTAAAACATGTTCCTAACATGTGAATAAAGCTTATTTTCTGTTTTCATCCCTCTTAAGTATTTTATGGTTACCAGAAATCAATGTCATCAGTGATAGAGTGACAGAAATAACGTAAGTGTGTTAGAAAACTAGGGGTCACTTCTGTGATTCTACTGATCCGTGAGTGCTATTAAGAAGGTTCCTCAGTGTCCTATATTGTGCAAGATACAATATTTGAACTAATTTTTTTTTTTCTTGAGACAGAGTCTCACTCTGTTGCCCAGGCTGGAGTGCAGTGGTGTGACCTCAGCTCACTGTAAACTTCCTCTCCCGGGTTCAAGTAATTCTCCTGCCTCAGCCTCCTGAGTAGCTGGGATTACAGGCCTGCACCACCACACCCAGCTAATTTTTGTATTTTTAGTAGAAACGGGGTTTCACCATGTTGGTCTCGAACTCCTGACCTCAAATGATGCACCCACCTCAGCCTCCCAAAATGCTGGGATTACAGGCATGAGCCAACGGGCCTGGCCACTGAACTAAAATTTTTATTGGGCTTAGATCACCATAATTTAAGAAAGGAGACTATCTGTTAAATGTTGTATGTAATGAAATAACATAATTTATTACTTATTAAAAATATAACTTCTAACTAAACTGTGAACAGTTATTTAGCACATTGAGGCAACTTTTGAAGATTATTCTGTAATTTTGCAAAAGTACTCAATTTTAGTTAAAACTAACTTTATTTCAGTTTAGTTAGCATTTTACATATATTTTAGAACATACGTTTTTTCTCAATTACTTTTATAGTTTATGTTTATAATAATGATAACATAAAAGTTTTATCACTGTAATCCCAGCACTTTGGGAGGCTCAGGTGGGCAGATCACGAGGTCAGGAGATCGAGACCATCCTGGCTAACATGGTGAAACCCCATTTGTTCTAAAAATACAAAAAATTGGACAGATGTGGTGGTGGGCACCTGTAGTCCCAGCTACTCAGGAGGCTGAGGAAAGAGAATGGTATGAACCTGGGAGGCAGAGCTTGTAGTGAGCCGAGATGGCGCCACTGCACTCCAGCCTGGGTGACAGAGCGAGAATCCGTCTCAAAAAAACAAAACAAAACAAAACAAAACAGTTTTATCGTGTGTATATCTATATCTAATAGCTGTATCTATATTTAACTTATCTATACCCATATAAATGATGCTTATACTGAATATTCTATTGGTTCTTAATTTTGATATTAGAAATAATAGTTTCTAAGAACATACAAAGTACATTACAAAATGATTGTTACAACACAAATTGTTTACCTGTTGAATAATATTTTTAGCTGAATATTGACAATTCTACTCTAAATCACCTATATTAAACCATAAGACAACTACTTTAATATCATCAAGTTATTAGAAAAATGAAAAGAATTTCTCAAAGTTTTTTAATAATCTCAAAAAATAAAGATTAATTCTGATCAAAATAATACTTTGTCTTCACCTATTTATGTATAAAACAGTTCTTTAGGCACATTTGAGAAAACTCACTTAAAACTGTAGTAGCTTATGTTTATTTAATGTGTCCTATGTATTGGATCATATTTAAGCACTTCATTAAAATTATATAATTTCATTCACAAAGTAACTGTAGAAGTTAATAAAATTATTTCTGTTGTGCTAAAAATGTATGCAAAAGAGTGGCTAGAATATGAAGTCTAAAATTTAATCTAATCAAAGGAGGAAGGTAAGCAATGAAATGATTGATGACTTGGAGGTCCTGATACGATTTTAAGAACTGTTGAAGGTGAAATGTTAGAGTGAGCTTTAGAAGTAAGAGATGGGCCGGGCGCAGTGGCTTACTCCTGTAATCCCAGCATTTTGGGAGGCCGAGGCGGGCGGATCATGAGGTCAGGAGATCGAGACCATCCTGGCTAACAAGGGGAAACCCCGTCTCCACTAAACAATACAAAAAAATTAGCTGGGTGTGGTGGCAGGCGCCTGTAGTCCCAGCTACTTGGGAGGCTGAGGCAGGAGAATGGCACGAACCGGGGGGCGGAACTTGCAGTGAGCCAAGATCGCACCACTGCACTCCAGCCTAGGAGACAGAGTGAGACTCCATCTCAAAACTTAAAAAAAAAAAAAAGAAAAATTAAAAAAAAAAGTAAGAGATGGTCATTATTTGGATGCTTAAAGTCAGATTTCAAATGACAAACATTTTGACTTTGACAATGAGATTTCTCATGTAGACTGGTGTGTGATGCATAAAGTACATAGATGGTCTGATGGAACTTGGGATAATCTGAATCCCTTTACATGAGTGGACCACACAAATACTATTGATTTCTATGTGTATCATAATATAAAAAACTTTGGGAAGCAAGGGGCTAAATGGCACATGTATCAGTTTTATCTTCTCTATGAGATAAAAATGCAGAACATTGAGATTTACCTACATAATAATACAAAGAAAAATTATTTCTGCTCAGTATTCAAACAATTTTTAAAATTTACCTATACATTTCCAGTCCCCTAGTTTTCTATTATCTATCCACCAGCAATTAGCTAGGAGTTCCTGGTCCTATCTCAAAACATATTACTATATGAGAATTATCCATGTTACTCTTCAGTTTCATATAACAGAAACCATTCTATTCAGTTTAAGCAGAACAAAAGGTAATACAAAACATTTTCACACTTTCAAAACTATTGAAGGCAGGACATAAGCAGATGCTAGCATGGTTGGGTGGACAGTCCAGGAAATTCTCTGACAACTACCAGAGTAGATCCATGAAGGAATTAGCCATTCTGTGTTACCTTCTCATTCCACAATTAAATGCCCATAGCTACAATGTAGGGACTGAGTAGACACCACTATGGTTTTGAATCTAAGGGGTATGGTAGTTGCTACAATCTAAACTATTAAAACAGACACTTGTTATATACCACCTCTTTTGACACTTACTAACCAACCAAATGTAAACCAGCCTGAATTAATTCAAACATACACATTGTTTAAGTGAAGGAAATTGACTTTTACTGTTCCATCCTCTTCCTTTGAGGAAGGCACACTAGAAACAGTTTAGAATATATGCCAGTGAGCCAATCTATTGTACCTGTGACAATGACCTTTTGAAATTCAAATTATCTTCTCCTGGTCCTAAATTTTCTCAACTATAAAATTAGGTGGGTATATTAGAAAATACATAAGATGAATTCCATTTCAAGCATTCTATGAATAGCTAGGAATAGAACAAGTCAAAAAAAGTACATACCATAGAAAATACTGAAGACTATGAATTAAAATATGTGTAAGGTTGACTAAAATCATAACAATATCTTTAACATATGAGCAAATTCATTTTTAAAAAATAACCATTAAGACTTTTGATAGAAATGTGAAATTTATGCTTGTTCTGGAATCATAATTGCTAATCTAAACAACTTCTTCCAAGATTTTCTTTTGAGTCGTAAATATAAATACACACATGCACACACACACCCTTCACACACAAGGCATGTGTTTACATTGCTTTTACTAAGGAATAAGATGAAAGGATTAAAATGAGATGGTGCTGTTCAAAACTAAATGATTCAAAATTCTTTTTGTGTAACTTATGAATAGCTTCATCCAATACTTATAAATACAATTCATGCCTTTTGGCTGTAAGTCTAAGTAACAGCAACACAAATATAAGGAAAATTTGTATTGCCTTATCTAAAATAAGTGATCATGATTACCATTTGTTTACAAAGGGAAATTCCATTTTCCTGCCCTGCAATTAGTAGACTAACACACATAACATTTGAGAAGTATTGCTAATTAATTGTTAACAACCTGCTGGGAACATAACCAAGACAAACACAAAATTGGAAAAGTAGTTATCAAGTGAGCTGGAGCAGAAATGATTTAAGAATTTTAATCAGAATTTTTGGTAGAAAGTACTTATTTAGCTTGGCTACCTAAATGAATGAGGCATTAAGTAAAGAAAATGGGGATGGCCAAGCTTAATTTACTAAGCATAGCGTTCTTTGTACTCTCTTAGTTATTTTAAACAATGTTTTATGGCTTGGTTTATTTATGAAATGATTTAACAATTTTTCTAAGTTATGATTGTAAAATTAGTTGCTATTTCACTTTCTGCTTTTGCAAATTTAAAAGGTTTTCAACAACCAGGACTGACAAATTTTTAATTTATATTAAAATATGAGTATATAAAAATATGTGGAATTTAAGAGTCAGTGAATAGTATTATAACTAGTTCTGTAAAGTCAATTTAAACTAGCCTTTATCAAAAATAAATAAGGCATAAAACACAACAAAAAACTCAGCAGTTTTTCGATACAGTCCCAATGTTCTCTCCTTGTATTTTTAAGTTATTATGCATCATAATTGGCAAAGGTCTTATTTTTCTCCTCCTCCTGTTCATTCCACCTAACCCAAATCATTCACTACTTGTTTCTCCATTTTTATTTTTACATTAAGCTCTCACTCCTTAATATTTTCTCATTTATTGATTTTATCAAGTTAAAATTTAGGAGAGAATTAGTCCATATTATGTTTTGCCAATGAAGCAACTGGCAGTTTATTTATCCACTGATTTATTAAACTTGTCATTATTACATATCTTTATATTGGAGGTGCTGATCCAAAAACTGGTGTGAAATCATTGATTTTACAAATTATGTCATGTCCTTCTGAAGCTTTTAATTGAATAAAAAGTATACTTGGTGTAATGCCTGTCAATGATGCATGTTTTTAGAGAAAAGTAAAATGCATTAATGGAATAGAGCTTGGGGAAGGGGTAGTACAAAATTGCCTTTTTAAATAGGCTAAGCAAGAAGGACAAAGAGTAGAGATATTGGAAAGTTTTCTAAGAGCCACAACGTACAAAATACTATAAACCATTATAACCACTTAGCACTTATGTGTTGTGGGCAGCCATTGGTGGGATTTTGAACAGGAGATGAAATCATTTTATTTTATTTTTCAAAGGATTACTCTGTTTGAAGTTTACAAAATTGACTCTGGAGGCAAAATGGAAAGTATAGTCCTCTTTGGAGCATATTTCAGGGGTGCAGGTGAAAAACTGGAATGTTAGAATAGATATACTGAGAAATGGTTAGCTAAAACATAATTTGCAATGAGATTGGGAACATATACTTTAAGCACAAGGTTAATGAAGACCCTAAAAGTAGTCTTCTTAGCTTCTCAGTAGAAAAGCATTGTAAAACAAGGGGTTTATTAAACAGAGCTAGACTCATCATACCTCTCATGAACATATATAGAGAGAATTATGACAGACTGCTTCTAGATTGTTTTTCTATTTTTCCTTGATAATTCCCAAACTAATATTCTATTTCTATAAACTTTTTGCTTTTATTACTTTATACTTACTTCCTAATTTTTATATTTATGAGTTTTTTTACTTTTAAAATATGACTTCAAACCATTTTCCCAGGACTGAACCCTTTTCTAAGTTTTAGAAATGAAAAGGCATTTCCATTTCAGACTAATAAGTTATTTCAGAATATTGAGACTAAATAGTTTTGTACTATTTATTTAAAATATTAAAAGCATTATTCTATATTGAACTCATTCAAGTAGTGTAAAGAGAAAAATGATACAGGAAGAAAATATCTGTGAAATGACAGAGTAATTGTTACCTCTGAGAGTCAGCTTCACCTAGTCTATGCCTAAGGGTACCAATACTTAAATATGCATTGAAAACCACATGAGAAACCAATAATAAATATCAAAAACTATCATATTAGTCAAAATTAATCTAGAAAAAAATTGCTGTATGGCATATGTAATTTAATGCTAGTAACAAATGTGAAGTAAATTATAAAATTTGATAAATTAAGATAAACAAAATATATTTTCCATGTGCTAGGCTCTGTATAAAGTGATAAAGTAAACAGATGTAACATGCCATCTTAGATCTTGTGTCTTATTAAGGGACAGAGACATCCAATAGATAAACACAACTGTAGTAACTAATGTCGATTGCAAAGTGGAGAAATGTGCAATGAAGTGTACATAAAGAAAACTATGTTTATAGTGGCACTATTCACAATAGCAAAGACTTGGAACCAACCTAAATGTCCAACAACAATAGACTGGATTAAGAAAATGTGGCATATATACACCATGGAATACTATGCAGCCATGAAAAATGATGAGTTCATGTCCTTTGTAGGGACATGGAAGAAACTGGAAACCATCATTCTCAGCAAACTATCTCAAGGACAAAAAACCAAACACTGCATGTTCTCACTCATAGGTGGGAATTGAACAGTGAGAACACATGGACACAGGAAGGGGAACATCACACACCAGGGACTGTTGTGGGGTGAGGGGAGGGGGGAGGGATAGCATTAAGAGATATACCTAATGCTAAATGACGAGTTAATGGGTGCAGCACACCAACATGGCACATGTATACATATGTAACAAACCTGCACGTCGTGCGCATGTACCCTAAAACTTAAAGTATAATAATAATAAAATTTAAAAAAAAAGAAAACTACCGAAGAGGTTTAATGTAGATTAAGTGATACTTAAAAGCCAGATATATTTTGATAAAACTTGCTTATTGAGAATCAAAGAATAAGTCAGGGAAAATGGGTGAATTCATCAGAGATTAGCCAGATTCCACCAAAACTAGGAGGTGCATGTATGTTTTATAAATAAGACAAGGAGAGAAAGAAGGTCACTCAATGATTTTGAAGTAGGCGATTCAGAACAGGCATAATGGAAAGGTTCAGTTGAGCAGTGTCCTGGGAGATTGAATTCACAGAAGCATTTGTATATAAGTGCAAATAGATAAGCAGACAGGACTAAAAATATGACAATGGACATGATGGACCAAGATTATCACGGAAATTGTGCCTCTAGCTTTGTTCCTATGGCTTCATAAGGGAGATACAGCAGATTACAAGGCAGTTTCCTCTGTCAGTGAACACTTACCAGAGTATATCCACCTTCTTGTGTGGCTGTATTTACAGATTTTGTAGAAGCATTTGTGTGTGGGTGAGCAGGGGCCTTTCATTATTTGCAGAAGTTTGGAATTTCTAACTAGGGGATCCAGGGCAATCAAATGGAAAGTGATTAGTTTTAATATAAGAGTTCCACAAGGGAAACAGATACAATGTCAACAAACTGAAATCAATATATTTGTATTTTTTTCATTTATCAGCAATAAGCTACTAAATATAAGGAAAAAAGCTTCCATTCACAATAACAAGAAACACGTTGAAAACGTTTCTAATAATATACTTTAAAACAAAAAAAAGGATACAGTTAATGAACATTTAATATATTACTGAAGAAAAAAGACAATTTATATAAACTGTATTACTGAATGGGATGATTTAGTATATTTTTAAAATATTAATCTCAAATTTAATACAATTTCAGTTAACAGATAAACATAAATTTTAATGAAATTCCCAGGTACCAAAGTTTATCTGAAAGAGAAAATATAATCAAATAGCTATTTCAGTTTTTTAAAAGCAGGATAATTAGAATTAGAAGGCAATTTATTAATTGTACAAAATATACTACATAACTGCATAATTACAATCAATAAGACAGTTTTGTATTTCTATTGATACGGAAATTTGGAAAAACAAAATAGAACAGGTAATTCAGAAAGAGACAGATGTTTATATAGTTGTGAAAAGGAACAAAACACACACACAAACATATACACAGTTTGAAGAGAAGAGCAAGCATTATAACTAGGTTTAAATATGGCAGATAATTTCAAAGTAAAGATCTGGAATTTAAAATAACTATGATGAAGATGCTAAGCTTTCTAATGTAAAAGGCTGATACTGTGCAAGAATCAATGGGTATTATAACCAGAGAAATGAAAATGCTCAAAATTAAAAGGAAATGCTAAAATCAAAATATTATAACAGAAATCAAAATGCCTTTGTTGAATTTATCACACTGACAATGGCCAAGGAAGAATCATTGAGCTTGAATATATGTCAATGGAAATATTAAACCTAAAATACAAAGAAAAAAGTACGAGAAACATAAAAGACTATCCAAAAATTGAGGGACAAATATGAAGTATAATTTACAAATAATGGGAAAACTAGGATACTAGGAAAAGACTAAAGAGAGAAAGAAACAGAATAATAGTTGAGAGGTTTCCAAAATGAATGGCATAAACCAAAATAAATATTCAGGAAACTCAGAGAATGCCATACAAGATAAACATTTACAAATCTACAGTTAGACATATATTTAAACTATAGAAAATATAGAAAAAAAAGCCAGAGTTTTTTGAAAAAAATCAAAAAATCTAGAAATAATCCAGATTTTTAAAAAAATTCTAAAACACGTTACCTATACAGGAGAAAGAATAAGAATTATGTGAGTCTTTTCTTCAGAAACCTTCTAAGCAAAAAGAAAGTATAATTAAATATTTAAAATGTTGAAAGTAAAAAGCGCCAACCTAGCATTTTGAATTTAGTGAGATTATTCTTTAATATGTAAGGATAATAAAACAGACAAATGATCAATAAGGAAACAGATAACTTAGACAACACTATAAACCAATTGGAACTAACAGCACACAGAATATTTCACCAACAAAAACAGAATGTACATTTTTATCAAGTGCACATGAGGTAGTATTTGGGGACACAGTGCTCTCTGAACCCATAACTGCTTTTTTGAAAGTGTATTAATTTTAACAAGAAAAAGGTTGTTATTCCTCCCAGATAAGAAAAGCATGGACAGGTAGTCAAGTGTTGGTGAGGTGTCTCCATATTGTCTTCAGGGACATAGGCTTCTGTAATTTTCCACTATCATCCCACTATAGTATCATCTATCTTTATGTTCACAAGATGGCTACTGGTTGTGTTCCAGCCTAAAGACCACATCTCAGACCAGAACAAGAGGTAGGGGAGGAAGAAGTGTAAAAATTATGGTGTTTTCCAAAAAATTTTCTGGAAGATCTGCCAGAGCCTCACATTTTGTAACTTGTTGAAAACTGAATTGTATTAGCACCACTAACTGCAAGGCAGGCTGAGAATTCTAACATTTCATATGAATATTTTATATTAAATGAAATCGAAGTCAGCAAGTAAAGAAAAAAACAGAAAATGGAAATTGAATTGGTGACAACTTGTCCCTATCAGAAATGTATAACTGTATGTTAGAGAACATAACATAAAGTACTTCAACATATTATTCATTGTTTATTGGGGGAAAATAAGCGGAACCATGATATTTGACATCAGAACTTTTAAAGAAATTTGATATAGCAAGAAAATGTGATTATACCATGAGAAGAAGGAAGATACTAATAAATGCAATTATTTGTCCATGTCAAAAGCTATATAACATTAAGCAGAAGAACACAGAAAGCTGTCAGGATTGATTTTCACCAATGTCTTTTTTTGTCTTCGATAATGATTCATATATATGCTTATTAGCAGTCTTGGGTACGCAAGAAAAAATGGACCAAAACATCCTCAGATTTAAAAATGGACAAAATTTAAATTTCAGGTGTTAACTGAAAACTCCTTCAGTCTACTGGATTTCACCAAACTGCAACCAAGCAGCTTGTTATTTGGCTGTCATATCTCACTTAGGAAACTGTTCAGTTGGTAAGTTAAAGTTTTCTTCCTTTGTAATCTGTTTTTTTTTTTTTTGGCTTAAATACTATTTTATTCATTAAGTATAGTAAAATGTTACTTTGTTAATTGATTTACACTGCAAACATGGTTGTCTTGGTGTAGAAGAAAAATTATTTTGCCATATGGTACTTTATTGCTTTACTTACTTTATTTTGCCATATGGTACTTTATTCCTTTATTTAATAAACTTACTGTGCAATTGTTAAATATTTGTATAATTGAAATTATAAATGCTTTCTATTATTCAGGTTTGTTAAGTAACTTGTTAAAAGAGTTTTAATTGTATGTGGGGGAATTGGATGGGGATTTTTTCACTAAATTATTTTTTCCTATTTAAAATAAGGGAATATGTACTATTGTTTTCTAAAAATTAGCTATCCGGCAAATTTGCAGGAAGAAATTAAACTAATGAGAAATGCCTGTATTGAAGAAAAAAGTTTATTTGCTGATGCAGGTTTATTGTTTATTTGTTCAAATCCAGTGGGAAATGTCAATCTTTATTTGGCTGTATGCTGATAATTATTTGGCACATTAATTGATAGCTCCCTCTTTTTGAACCGCAATCTTTGTGTGCTTTCGCTAACATCTTTCCATTGGCATTCAGCCTGCACAAACACTGGTTATACACGCGCTCTTATCATCCTTATCACCTACTTAAACTTTAAAATGCGTACCATTTTAGGTTCTATTATTTATTCTCCTCTCTATATAGACTTACTTCTTGGTCATCCAGGTCCATATCTTTAAATGCAATTCATGGACCCATGATTCAAGAACATATACGATCACCCTCAAACTTCAACTCACATTGTGATATCTACATCCATCTGAATTACCAGCATTTTTACATGTATATCTAATAGACACGATGAACAAAAGCCCCAGTTTTCTATGAGCAGCTGCAGTTTTCTCTCATACTGTGACAACTAAGAATACTCAACTTTTAAAACATATAACCTGGTTTGTAAAATAAAGTGTATGGTCACTCTGCTAAGCTGATAGGATCTTGAACTTTATGTGTCTACAGCCAAAGTCATAAAAAATTAATTTTGTATTTGTATAAAATATCAGGAAAGAAGTGTTTTATAGACAGATAATATTGCTAAAATATATTCATTAAAAATAATAATTATATGCTATAAACCTATGTCAATGAAGTATTAAAGCATTACCAATATCTTTTAATTCACCTGTATGAAATTGATGGAACTTCATCCTCACCATTCTTTCTGAGCCATATCTAATATTCTGAATATATATATCCCATCCTTTTGCTTTTCTTTAGGGTTTACTCTTGTGACTCTGAATATTTATTAGTTTTGCCTGAGTTTGAGATTGTATTAATGGAATTATGTCCTGTAAAGTTGTAGAATAGCATATTTTACTAGTGGTAGTTTTTAGCATTCATTCTGGTTCGTGCAGTTATATTGAATTCTTAGTCACTTATCTGAGGTATTTTAATGTATAAATATGCATACAGATAGATATATATGTATTTCAATAATGTCAGCCATTTGACTTATTCAGTATTTATGCTACCATCAAACTAGTGCTATAATATATTGCAAATGTGTCAGAATACTCACTTTCAAATTCCCTTTTTTAATATACCTAAGGAGTAGAAATGCTACATTGTATGTCATACACATGCTCACCCTTGTTAGGCAATGCCAAACACTTTCAGAAAGTAATTGTAGCAATGTATTCTCCATACCAGTGGTGCATTACTTTTTTAAAATTCCAAATATTTATGTGCTTTAAAAATGAAAAGTGCCCAATCTGGGAGTGTGGAATTATGTTTAGTATAGTACATTTTCATTTTATCAATGAATAAAAATGGACATGGTTCCTCTGTGAAGTGCTATTCTATTTTACTGATTTTTATATTGAAGACTATTTTTTGTTCCTGAATAATCACACTTTAAAAAAATTCTCAGTAATAAACCCTCTTAGTACTTTATGTTGAAAGTATCTCCTAATTTTGTTGTCTTTCCATTTTTTCACCACATTTTGATGAACAAAGATTGCTCATTTGAAAATAGTTGTTTTAGATCAGTTTTACTTTATAATTTTTGCTACTAAAAAATATTTAAGGCCAGAGCCAGGAAGTTGAAGCTGACTTTCTCTGAGGAAGTCTTTGATAAGTTCCTGTTACCAGTCTGCCACAAGATGAGGCTGTAGAGGGTAGATATTTATATCCTTTGGCTTGGTAAGTTGGTGATAGGACACTCTGGAGAGTAAAGTTTACTCATAGTGTCCCTCTTTCTGGTTTGGGCCAGAGAGCATAGAGAGATCTCCAAGTTATTGACAGCTCTCAGACTCATAGAAGATATTAACAATACACAAATCTGGCAATGTATTTAATACATACTTCTGCAATAAATTTCTTGAGCAATTCAATAATAATAATACAAACCCCAAATAAAAAGGGACAAAAGCCTTAAAAGAGCACATAACAAAAATTTATATGTGAATAGCTAATATATTTGTGTATATATGCAATATATTTTGAAAATTACAATTATAAAAAGTACCATTTACATTATCACAAAAACTTAAATACTTATACTTAAATCTTACTAATTATATGCACGATCTATAACATAAATGGTAAAAAACTGATTTAACAAAAAGCAAAGAATTTCTAAATAAGTGGAAAGAGATGCCACGTTCATGAATTGGAAGACTCAGTATTGTTGTTAATGCTCCCCAAAGGTATCTATAGATAAAGTGCAATTCTAGTCAATCAAAATTTGAAGATTCTTTGTTGTTATAGACAGGCTGATTCTAAAATTTATATTGAAAGGTAAATAAATTAGAACAGCCAAGTCAATTTTGTAAATGAATAAATAAATTAGAGCACTTATACTACCTGATTTTCAGACCCACTAAAAGGTACCCTAATGATGACAGTGTGTTATCAAAAAATAATAGATACATAATGAATAGAATAAAAGAAAAGATACATAAATAAATAACGACATAGATACTAAACTGGTTTTTGGTGAAATTTACAGAGATTTAAAATTTTTAAATTTATTTACATTTATTTTTTAGAGACAGGATCTTTTCTGTTGCCCAGGCTAGAGTTCAGAGGTGCAAACAACAGCTCACTGCAGCCTCAAACTCCTGGGATCAAGCAATCTTCACGCCTCAGCCTCACTAGTAGTGGGGACTACGGGTTTGCACCACAATGCCCAGTTAATTTTTTTATTTTTATTTTTTGTGGAGATAGGGTCTTGCTGTGTTGCCCAGGCTGATCTCAAACTCGAGCCTTAAATGATTCTTCTACCTCAGGCTCCCAAAATGCTTCCATTATAGGCGTGAACCACCACACCCACCTTAATTTTAGAAAGAACATTCCACTAATGGTTATAAAACCATTAGATTGTCGTATTCATAAAATGATGCTTATGAATGCAAACAGTGGTTGCCAGGCATCAAGGATGGAAGTAGAGATTGTGTATAAAAGAGCACAGAGAGATTTGAAAGTTTCTACATTTCTTTGCATCAATATTTTTATTGTTTTATTGAACTATAATGTAAATACCATAAAAGGTACCATTTTCAGTTAAGTAGCTTGGTGACCTTTAAGAAATCTACAAAGTAGTATAAGTATCATCAGAACTAAGATGTAAAACATCCCCATTATTCCAAAAAGGACTATTTTTTTTTCTTTTGCAGTAAATTCCTTCCCTTAACACTAGGATTTGTTGATCTCTAATAAGCATTGTATTATTCTGCCTTTCCAGAAAGTCATATAAATAAAATCACATATTATGTGGCATTTTTCATTTGGCTTCCCTCCTTTTTCAAAATTCTTTTGAGATTTATTCTTCCCCCACCAGCTCTATTAAGGTATAATTGGCAAATTAAAATTATATATATTTAAAATATATGCTGTGATTTTTTAAATACACAAATATATTGTGAAATTATCATCAAGCTAATTAACACATCTGGTCACTTCTCATAGATACTTTTATGGTGAGAACACTTAATGATCCACTCTTCTAGCTAATTTTGTACATATGCGACGTTATTGTTATCTATAGTCAGCATGCTGTATATGAGAGTTTCTAAATCTTGATTTTGATGATGGTTAAATGACTGTATATAATCTTGTTTTCAAAAAGAAATGCAACATTTTCTGGTATTTTTAATATCTGTGCAATTTTAGGGAAAAAGTTATAAACATAGGAAATCAAATCATAATTCTTAATTTAAACCCACATATTTATTATTTATCTAAAGATTCAGTATAAATAATTTGGAGTTATTTAAAAGGTTTACTTTTAAATGAATGGGACTCTTCCATCATCTCATCTTTCATTAAGAATCACAGTAAAGTATTTTACTTGTTCAAGTTTTTCATCTTTCTGTGTGGAGTGTGTAAGTATCTATGCACACACACACACACATATATATATGTACACACACACATTTCTTACTAGAAATGTAATCACGACTGTCTTCTAGAGACATGGTACAATTGTACAAATCAAAATTTTGTTGTGCTTATTTACTGAACATCGAATCAGTCTTGTATATTAAAAATTCTAAGACAATACCATAGTTTCTTCATTTTTTGTACTTTCTCTGATCCTTACGGAATGAAAATATTATCCATACATTTTTGGTAACATTTGGCTTTGAGGTTTGTATCCCATTATTAATTTATAAAAGTCATTATATAAAATATAAATATTTTGTCCTATAGCACAGATTGTAATTCGGGATTCATCCTGCTGTTTGATTTTGTGTAATTGACAATCAAATACTGGAATTTATTTAATTCAACCTGTCGGTAATTTCTGTCTCAGATAAAGATTTCTATGAAAATGATAGATGTGGAAAGGAATATTGCTAAAATATATTGAATAAAGTAAGCAAACTTTCAAAATTTAGGTATATGAGAATAACGAAAAAGCAGAAAGGGCAGAAAAGCCAGTCAGCATAATCCTCAAAGCAACAGATTTTTTATAAGAACTTAGAGAAGTACTAATCTAGGAGGAGAAAAACAACTGGGCTTCTGAGTTATATTGAATATGAAATATAAACAAGCTCAGGTAAAGTGGTGACCTGCAGAGATACTCAGCTTACAATTGAGGTGAATATGAAGATTTTAAATAATATTGAGGGAAAATTTAACTTCTTATCATGAACCACTTTCTCCATGAGGTCATGTCAGAGTCGATGATGCCCAGAACATTTTGAGAATGGCGGTAAAGTCAAGCTATAATTAAACCTGGAGGCTTGCATTTAAAGGTCAGTCAACACAAGAATGAGTGATATCATGGTCTGGTTTTGGCTTTTTGTTGTTGTTGTTGTTTTTGAGAGGGAGTCTCGCTCTGTCGCCCAGGCTGGAGTGCAGTGGAGCGATCTCGGCTCACTGCAAGCTCCACCTCCCAAGTTCACGCCGTTCTCCTGCCTCAGCCTCCCGAGTAGCTGGGACTACAGGTGCCCGCCACCACGCCCGGCTAATTTTTTGTATTTTTAGTAGAGATGGGGTTTCAACGTGTTAGCCACGATGGTCTCAATCTCCTGACCTTGTGATCCACCAGCCTCAGCCTCCCAAAGTGCTGGGATTACAGGCGTGAGCCACCGCGCCCGACCTGGTTTTGTTTTTTGCTGTTGTTGTTGAGACAGGGTCTGGCTCTGTAGCCCAGGATAGAGTGCAGTGGCATGATATCGGCTCGCTGCAAACCTCCACCTCCCAAGTTCAAGCAATTTTCCTGCCTTAGCTTCTGGAGTAGCTGAAACTACAGGCACCCGCCACCACGCCTGGCTAATTTTTGTATTTTTAGTAGAGATATGGTTTCCCCATGTTGGCCTGGCTGGTCTCAAACTCCTGACCTCAAGTGGTCTGCCCGCCTCGGCGTGAGCCACCGCCCTCAGCCCACGGTCTGTTTTTTATAGCTTTTTGAAAAAAAGTGAAAATTTTATTCCTAATAGAAATCAACTTGAATTTCTGAAGTTTACATGTGACCTGATGTTCTCTTGAGTAGCAGACATTAACAGTGGAGATTGGCAAAGCTGACAGAGAAAGCAACAACAGAGACCAAAGTAACGTAGAGTAAATCATCCTGATTTGCGTCATGAACAGCAGTCTGAAAGCACACATAAAATATTTGCTTCCGCAGGTCGCGGTGGCCCACGCCTGTAATCCCAGCACTTTGAGAGGCCGAGGCGGGTGGATCACGAGGTCAGGAGATCCAGACCATCCTGGCTAACACGGTGAACACGTGTTAACAAGTCTCTGCTAAAAATGAAAAAAAAAAAAAAAAAATTAGCTGGGCATGGTGGCCGGCGCCTGTAGTCCCAGCTACTTGGGAGGCTGAGGCAGGAGAATGGCGTGAACCTGGGAGGCGGAGCTTGCAGTGAGCCGAGATCGCGCCACTGCACTCCAGCCTTCGAGACAGAGGGAGACTCCATCTCAAAAAAAAAAAAAAAAAAAATCATTTTTGTCAATCGTTATTTCTTTGCCAATATTGAATGTGTTATGGTTTTAATATGTCCCTTCCAAAATTCAGGTACCAACAATGCGATGGAATAACAAAGTGGGGCCTTTAAAAGGCAGTTAGGCCATGAGTTTGTTCCTGATGAATGGGATTAGGCGAGGATAAAAGAGGCTTCATACAGCGGTTCAGCCCTCTTGCCCTTCTGCCTTTTACCTTGTGGCGACACAGTATTCCTCCCCTCCAGAGGATGCAGGCCTCACCAGACAACAAGAACAGACAGCACCTTGATCTTGGACTTCTCATCCTCCAGAACTGTAAGAAAATATATTTTTGTTTTTTATAAATTGCCAAGTCTCAGGTATTTTGTTATAGTAGTAAAGAGTGAATTAAGTATGTATGAACATGTGCTTTCATTGTTTTAACTTTCTCTAGTTAGTTCTGACCAATGCCAAATATTTCATATATTTAAATATATATTGCATTATTATGTTTTTGTCTGGCCAATTTTTAAAAAAATATTTCTATGCCTTTAGCCATCAACTCTTAACACTGTAGAAAATATGACCGTTGGAAGCATTTTGAGGACACCAAGGAAATGGCTTACAATAATTTTAGGGGTCCAATTTTCTCTATGAATTTTCCCTTTATATGGCCATATGTATTATCACCCGAACATGTTTTGTTATAATTGGGATTTTTCTTATACTTCTCACTTTTAAAAATGAGAATTGAATTTCCCAAGCCTAGATTTCCTAAGAAACAAATAACTGGAATTTTTCATTTACACTGTACAATTAGATTCTCTCTCCTTTTCCGTCTCAATTAAATTGGTTCACTATTTCAATTTTTTTAGTTAAACTATAATATATGCTAAACTCCATACTCTTTTGTAGAATTAGTGTTAACAAATTATTATTTATTTTTTGATAACTTCCAATCTCATTGCATCCTTTTATGGTAACTTTAAATATCATTGCAAAGTATAAAGCCTGATTCTGAATCACACACAATGACACAACATATTAAATGTATATTTATGTTTGCCCTGGCATTGTTTACTTTCACAGAGCTTTTTATTCTTTATGGGCCATAATTCTACATTTATTTTGTACTTTGTTCATAGTATACAAATTATTTTTATATTTTTTCTCAAGTAATTTCTAGAACGAAATAGAGTATAATTACTTTGGGAACAAATACAATCAGGCAGTTCAAGGAAAAGAAACATGCTTAGGTGTCCTCTAGACATTTGTCAAATGATGCTCACTTTTTAACTTTTCTATCATTTGTTTTGTGAATAGATTTACTAAAATTATTTGTAAACCACTAATTTCTATTCCATCCTTAAGGTTAGTGATAATTTCTTGTGAAGAAATAAATGTTGTGGCTTGTTTGCCTTAACATTATGTAGAATTTTTTCTAATGACCATGCTAAGGATTCAGTAAATTCCAAGAAGCTATATTTGTCAGTCTTTAAAAATGAGCCTATAATGATGCTACTTTGAAAAATAAAAATAAAAAGTGGCATTTAAATTAAATTAAAATATCCTCATGTAATTACATCCTAAAGATATTTCATCTCCATCTTTTATTTTTCCAAAAGAGCTACTGAAACTACCAAGTTTCAAATGGTTGAAAGTTTGACTCCTTCAGCCCTCCAAAACCACATCTAATTTATATCTACAAACACTACAAATAAAAGAATAGCCCTGCAAATGAAAACACATATAGACAAAATCAATGTAATTTTCTTTGTTATTCATTGAAAGAAGTAGCAAAAAATATTATTTAAATGCTAGCTCATATTTAAAGTGGCCATATTATTAATCAATATATTTTTGTTTGAAGATTTGTAAAAATAGTGTTACATACGTTACTGCTTCTTAAAGTGACTTTCAGTCATTGAATTTCTGTTTTAGAGAGAAGCTACATAGAATGTTAATGAATCAACAAAAAATGTGGTAGGTTCAAGCACTTTCGTTCTCCTAATAGCCAAGCCCTAGAGAAACTGATTTGATCAATGCATAATCATTTCCGTTCAGATGAATGTGACCAAATAACTAGAATGTTCATTTTGTGGTCCAATAATTTTGGTTGACTTAATGACACAAGTAGAACAACTATGAGTAACTATGCAGCACCCAATTAATTTCTTGGTGATAGATTTTCAAGGAGTCAATCTAGTCAACCGCATAGCACGAGATACTTTCAAATTATCTCACATAATCTAGAGAAATTTATTGCAACAAGTATTTACTGTAGATATCTTGTCTTGTGTGCAGATGTATTGACATATAAGCTCCTTGAAATCACGTTTATGTAAAACTAAGTTACTGCTTTCATTCATGTAGTGATTAATTGTGCTTATTTATACAGACCAACCCTTATTTATGTTTGTGATGAAAGTAGCAATGGTATGAAAACTACATATGTTAGTAGATGAGAAAGAAACATGAAGTAGAAGAGACTTTGAACTCTGTGGGAGAAATCTGTGTGAGCTGATATTATTATTGTTAAAGAGAACCAAGTCTTTACACATAGACAAAACCTATTTAGGCCTAATAATTATGAAGTTATGAGACAGTAATTTAATAACATTACATATTTAGAGAGATATGCCAATGAAGGATTCACTAATTACTAGGTGCGAGTTACATAAAGATAAAAATATTCAGTTTATTTTCCTTACATAGCTTACAATCTGGTGTCTAGCACTGACCTGTGTAAATGTGTGAGAATGGGCAATGAGGTTAGCAAATTCTCACGAATAGTTTATAGACCCTTTCTGAAATGGGAAACAAAATAATATTTTTTTTTAACTAAGAGAAAAGAATTTGAAGAATAACAAAGCTCTAAGTACAAAACTATAAAAGGAAGATTGAAAGTAACATGACACAAACAACCAGGATACAGCAAGTTAATGCAGGAGAATAGAGCTTTGTGTGTTTATACATTGTTAGATGTAATATTTCTTTGCAGGATCTTTGAAGATACAGCAAAGTTCATATTACTTTTTTTCTTCTCCTGAAAAGTTACAAAAAACATGGCATAGAAAAGTAAATAAAAATCTACTTTTTCCTAATAATGTAAACCCCATTTTTAAAAAGCCAGTTATCAAATTACTTTAATACTATAGATATCATAATGAGGTAAATAATTACACCACTATAATTATGCTGTGTCTAAATTTATCATGTTGAAATTAACAAATATATTATTTTATGCCATTTTAATCATACAGTGTTGAATTTCTGGCTTCATTTTTAAAAATATAACATTGTTTTATTTTAAATACAACCATGTTTTAAATGTAAAGTGACTGAATAAGTTTTATTGAAAATGCACACTTTAAGGCAGTTAATAACTGTGATGAAATATGACATTCAAAACCACCCTGCTGATATTTTATCAAAAATCAAGACAGCTCACAATCTATAATTCACCACTTTTACTTTGATCTGCTTAGGAAAGAAAGCAATAGAAAATAGCTTCGTCTATATTTTACAGCTTAGAAATCAATATTAATAAATCAATGTCAACAACATTATTTTGCAAACTGTATCATATTACTTAGATATGTGACCTAAACATGGAGCATGTATATTACTCTTTGTGGTTGGAAATGTAAAAGTGGGGTTTGTGAAACATCTTTCATTACAGACCACTGTTACCAGTCAATCACATTTTTTATAAGTGGATATCATTCAGGATGAAATTTTTATGCTTAGACTTAGCCTGCAGGTTGATTTTTTTATGGCTAAAGAACATTTTTCCAGTTGTTCCTGAGTTATTACAGGGTAGAAAAGTGGCTTTTTTCTATTTATAAAATTTCCTCAGTGACAACTTCCAGATCCATCTTTCAATCAAAAAGAAAATACCAGTCTGTGCAAAGCATGGACTGGAGAATGTCTGTCTTCTAGAATTTCAGACATCTGGAGGATGTCTGCCTTCTAGAATTTCAGACTATAAAATTGACATTGTCCTGAGTAAATATACAATGTTGCTGAGATGTAAAGACAGCAGCATTTTCATTATTTATTTTATCAAAGGCATTTACGGAGACAATATATTTGTAGGTCTGAAATGATGGTTCTCTGAGCTAAGCATCGCACTTTTTCTACTTCTAACCTCTCCTTCTTCCCCAATTAAGTCAAGAATAGATTTAGAAAAAAATAAAAAAATTGCAGATTTTAATTATAATTTTATACAAAAAATGAAGAATATGAGAAGTAAATGGTAATTCTAGACTGTGTAATATATAAAACTGGTAAATCTAAAAACTGGAGAAATAAAATAGAAGCAGAGACATGAGATAAAGATCTCCATTGATGATTATTTTATTTTCCATATCTAGCATGTCAACCTTAAAATGTCAGTTTTCATCTATATAGCTCAGTAAATAGTTGTTGAATCAATGAGTGAAAAGGGAAATGCTTTGGGAGACATTGCAATTCATAAAAAGGCAACATTGAGGAGACATAGAAGTTCAGACAAGTTAGATACTTTATTATTTTATAAGTATCTAAAGCAGAAAAGCAATAGATAAGATCCACTTTTAATATCTATCCCAAATTGATATTTTCTGCTTAAACTCTTGTAAATTCCTCTCCACATCAGCCCCAATAAATTAGTTTTTTATTATAACACATAATTCATAGGTGCACTATGGTGTTTGCCTTGTAATCATTTGATGGCTTGTCTATGTGGTTCACTAAACTGTGCTTGAAGACCATTGTCATGTTCATCATTGCTTAAAAATATATGGTTATAGCACATATACTCACATCTAGAGCTACAATAATGCTTATTGATTTCATGTAACTAAGTTAAAGAATGGAGACTCTGCAGTGTGTATTGATATCAGGCTACAGAGAGGTCCTGAAGACTTCAAATTGGAAGTACAGATCCAATATCAAGGGGAACATAAAATAGTTACATTTTATTCATTCTATTAATTTGACTAAGCAACTGATAGTTAACGTGCCCCCTACTTATTATATATACAGGAATAAACAAAAGAAACATAGTTTTTGTTTCCTGATGCTTACAGCCTAAAAATGCAGATGTCATTTATATTTTTGTTAGCTAAGAATTATAAAAATACAAAGTTTTATAAGTGTTTTGAAGGAGTGTAATGGCGTACTTATTAAAAAATAACAGGGGTTGACTTACTTTGGTTGTGGGTATCAAGGAATGACTTTCTAAGGTGGTAACTTGAAGGATAAGGAGTCAGGTATGTGTGGAATAAAGGAAAAGACAATTTTCAGCAAGAGATAACAGGATAATTAATTCCCTGAAGGTCAAATCTAGTTATATTCTAGGAAGTGACAGGCAAGAGTAACTGAAGAACAGTGAGTGAGAGGAAACAGCATGAGATGAGGTTTTGAGGAATGTAGGAGCCAGGTGATGTGAAAATCTAGTAAGAATTTGAATTTAATTTTTAATGAAATCAGAAGCCTTTGAAGGGTTTCAAGCAGGGTACCATAATTTAATTTGTGTTTTCTGGAAAATATTATGATGATTCAATAAAATACAGAGAGTGAAAGGCAAATATATACAAAAGTAATGCACACATATGTTCCTGTAATAATACAGACAAAAATGGTAAGATCATCAGTCTTTAAAATAAGAAAAATTGAGGAATACCCCAATGTCTATAACCAGTACAATGGAAAATACAGTTTGCTATATGGCACATAATGGACAATTATACACACAAAGAGAAAGAACGAACTGAAACCTCATACAACCACATAGATTAAAGAAGTCAGGCACAAATAAATACATACAAAAAGATTCCCTTTATAGAAACTCCACAAACAGGCAACACTAACTTGTGGTGTTAGAAATAGTGGTAGTGGTTGCCCTTAGTGGTTGATAACTGCAAAAAAATTAAAAGGTGGCAAGGGCACTACTGAGTGTTGAATATTTTACATCTTCATCTGGCTGCTGTGTATGTGTTCAGTTTTTGAGACAGTCTTCATTTGGGTGTATAATGAGTATGATTAGTTCCGTAAGTTATATTCAATATAAAACTTAATTAATTTATAAAAGATTTCTTTCTTGATAATGTGGGAATTGTGAAGCTGAGAGTGATAAACTTGAGAGCAGAGATACCAGTTAGGAAGGCTTTCAAGTAATTCACAGGAATGTTGATAGCATCTGGGGCTGAACAAGAGTCTGGAAAAAGGACGTGACAGATTAAGAGTTATTTTGGAAGTAGCTGATGAATTAGATATGGGAGACGAAGAAAGAATGCGTCAAATACAATAAATCAATTATCTTGAGCAATTGAGTGGTGGTGACATTTATTAAGCTGGTAAAAATTCTAAGAAATATACATTTTTGAATAGGGATGGAGCATTGCCATAAGAAACCAAGGAAGAAGGATGCCAGAGGCAGGAAGACAAAAGTTTAGGGTAATGCCTTAGAAGCCAAGTCTAACTTTTTGATAACAAAAGAAGTTAATATATTATATGCTGCTGAAATGGATTAAATAGCACTGAAAAGTCTGATATGAAAAGAACAAAAATTTGTTCATTAAATTTAGCAATATAGAAGTCTCTTGCTTATTTGACAACAACATCCTAAATAAGAATTTTTCAGAGTATATAGTCATCATTCCAAAGATCTGCTCCAATATTAGTTTATTTGGCAGCAAATGACACAAGTAAAGTGAGGCTATTCAGGTATGCTAGTGACCTTGATTGTACTCCTTGAGAATGATCCTTTTATTTTCAGAACAGTAAATTCAGTATTCTTTCCGAATAGCTTAACTTTAGTTTCCATAGGGGAATTACACGTAATGGCCTACCTAAGTTTTATTAATTAACAAGCAAATGTATATTATTTATAATTATTTCATGTGGTTTTTAACTTTTATCTTACAAAAGTTCACCCTAAGGAGGTTCTCTGTATAATATTTTAATCAATGAATAGCCAACAGACCAACAGTGTAGAATCATTCTATATCCTCAGATAACCCAGATAAAACTCAAAACATTCAATTACAGGTAGACCACAGTACATCACAATATAGAAGCTGATGACACTGGAACTAAATGATTAGAAAAATACTCAGAAATGAATCACATTTAAATACATGTAAATAATTTTTAATTTTAAAATAAATTTTAAAATAAATTAATTTGCCAAGAAAATTTCATCAATGTGAAATGCAGTACTATAAACAAATATGAAAATGATATTTGTAAGAAATTTTGAAAACATGTTCAAAATAAAACATTTCTTAAATAATAGATTATAATGTTACATATGATAAATTTTCAATTGTATTGCACTATATAATTGTACTCTAGATAACATATAGTTATCTATAGGTAGAAGGATTATAAAGATGTGGTATAAAATGTGATATCTGCTAAGAAATTTAATATCAAATCAAATGTAAAAATGTAAATATCAGTGTAATCACAGATTCTGAATAATAGCAAGAGTATGTTAATATTGCATATAATTTTGTGTGATTTTTACTTTCTTCACTTTCATAATTACATATTTTATGTTTCCGTAATTAAATGTATTATTTGATTAATCAAAGAACATATAAAAGTGATATTAAATATCTGAAGAATAAAAATTATCTCATAAAATGAAAGGCTAAATTAAGAATATATGAGATTAAACTGAGAATACATATAGTGACTTTTCATTAAATTATTGGGAGAAAATTAGTAAAACATGAAGCATTACAATACATATTTTGTGGTAAAACATTTTTAATGAAAATAATGTATAAACAATTTTGTGTATTAGTAATATCTAGCTATGGTAATATTTGGATCCTGATATAAGTATATCTGACATCTCATTCAAGTTAACATAATTTCTAGTAGTATTTTTTCATGACCTCTATGAGCAGGTTTGGGTAAAAAAGGTCAATAAGAAATAAGTCTCTGTATGGTATATACAATGATGTCAAGTAGCTGTAAGATTTCGGAATAAGAGGTAAAACTAACGTAGCTGACATGTATCTTTGATGTTTGGATGATGTAGTGAATTCCCTCAGTTTCTCTGGACAAGAGTTTTAGCAAGTACCAGAAACCGCAAATCACAGCTGAAGAAGGGCCAATAGTCTCACTTCTGCCTCAAATTACCTGTTTCCAGATTTGAAGACTGTGATTACCCAAGTCTTTAAGAGATATAATGAAGACAGCACTTTGCACCCTTGAATTTTACTCATTGCATTACAATAAAGAGGTATCTTTTTTGCTTCTGTTTTTTTTTTTTTAATAGCATGTGATAGTTAGTGCTCAATGTGATTAGTCCTTGTGGAAAATTTTATTATTACAAAATTGTGCTAAACTGCCTCTTTTGCTCTTTAAATTCTCTGGTTAATTCTCAGTGGCCATCGAGAGAGATTACCTGCAAAATATATTTGGCAGATATAATTCGAAATTTTGAAAATTTTAAAGACAGTTAATATGACATAAGAAAAGTTTCAAATCTAAATTCGTAAATGGATGATGGTGACAATTACTAAATCAAAAATACATGAATTGAATCCATTATTCTGATTATATCTCAGATAAATCCAAAGCAAATACACTGATTTTCTTCACTTTAGGAAGCCACAGTTTGAAAAATTGTTAATATCTAAATTTAAACTATTTGTTTTGGGTAGGATTAAAACTATAACTTTTACCATTACTATTCACTTGTAAATGAACACTATATTCATATTTAAGCAGTTTTACTCAAAACATAAAGCAGAAAATACAAGAAAACATTGTCATTATACAGAGCAGTTGCTTGTCTTCATGCTTAAAATGAATTGGTCCTAATCTGTGATTGAACCTACTCCATAAATATGTGTTGCACAAATGAATAGTAAAACTATTTGGGAAATTAGATCTCCATTAATGTGATTCAATACATGGATGTACCAGCTCCAAAAATTTAAATAATAAAGCTTTAAAATGAAATTAAGTTCAACAAATATTTACTGAATGTTTATTAGGCATATATCTATACTAATAATGGTGCTATTACAGTTATAGACTTGGTCACAGTCAAAGCAAAAATTGCACTGGATAAAATCAAATGTACAAGGAAAGCTGTATTGAAACCTATTATAAATGTGGAAAGAGACCACATCTCAGACTGAGCTCCACTCTGCCGTAACAATGGGCTTTAGAGTTTTTAAGAGCTGAGGTGGGGGATCATAGGTCTTCTCTGTTTACTAATTGGCTTTGCTCAAACAAAAGTAAAGTTCCTCATATTTTTATGACAGGAAGTACCTTTAAAACTTGGAGCAAGTGTTTTAAAAAAGTTAGACTTCTACTCTCCCACAGAAACTGGGAGATAGGGACACTGTATTCATTGATAATTACATTCCAAAGGGAAGGCTGCCAATCCCTGAGAAAGTCATTCCTGAGTTTTAAAAATGGAAAGAATATTTTGAAAAAGATGTTTATATCAAAGAAGCCGAGCATAAATTTACAGTAACAAGTTTTTAATATAAATGCTGTAAGAAAAGGGAGCTCTGGGGCCTAGAGTTGGGAAGAAGCCTGTCTGACATTCAGTCAACCTGAAGAGACTATTAAAACCATCTCGGTCATCGAATACCACAAAAACCTTGAAAAGTCACTACTCTAAGCCTTTTTTTTTTTTTTTTGAGATGGAGTTTCGTGCCGTAGCCCAGGCTGGAGTGCAGTGGCATGATCTTGGCTCACTGCAACCTCCACCTCCCAGGTCCTGGTTCAAGCAATTCTCCTGCCTCACCCTCCTAAGTAGCTGGGATTACAGGCACGTGCCACCATGCCCAGCTAATTTTTGTATTTTTAGTAGAGACAGGGTTTCATCATGTTGGCCAGGCTGGTCTCAAACCCCTGACCTCGTGGTCCGCCCGCCTTGGCCTCCCAAAGTGCTGGGATTATAGGCGTGAAACACGATGCCCAGCCACTAAGCCATTTTTAAGAAAGAAGAAGTTAAATTCTTCATTGATCCCAGAACAACTTGCATATGAAAGAGCCAATGAAGAATGCAAAGTGTTATATTACAAGTAGTTCAGTTTGTGAAATCAAACTCACAAGAATTAGAGATTTTACAAACTATAGAACCATACTTATTGTTCAAATAGTTTAGACAATTGTGAGATATAGATGAAGCATGGAGCAGTCTGAAACTTTCAGTGTCCTTTCTCAGTTCCTTTTTCATTACATTATGGTAAATTTCAGTCCAGATTTAACATACATGGATTTATATAATGCTTGCACTAAAAACAGCTATTTAGTCTTGGATCATCTCCACTTTATAGTCATTATTACATAACTTACATGATATTTTTTGGCCTGGTGCAGTGACTCATGCTTGTAATCCCAGCATTTTGGGAGGCTGAGGCTGGTGGATCACCTGAGGTCAGGAGTTCGAGACCAACCTGGCCACCATTGTGAAACCTGTCTCTACTAAAAATACAAAAATTAACAGGGCATGGTGGTGAGCTCTTGTAATCCCAGCTACTTGGGAGGCTGAGGCAGGAGAATCACTTGAACCTGGGAGGCGGAGGCTGCAGTGAGCCAAGATTGTACCATTGTACTCGAGTCTGGACAACAGAGTGAGATTCTGTCTCAAAATAACAATAACAATAACAATAATAATAATAATAAATTTACATGACATTTCTTAAGAGCCATAGTTCTGTTTACATACAATAAGCAAACTATACAGATGCTGTGGTCTTAATGTATCCCCCCCATAATTTATAAGTTGAAATCCTAACCCCCAGGGTGATTGTTTTAGGAGATGGAGATTTGGGGAGCCATCACAAATGGGATAAATGGGGCCTTATAAAATAGGCCCAAGAGAGCCCATTCACCCTATCTACCTTGTAAACACACAGAGAAAAGACCCTTTCAACATGCCAGGAAGTGGCCCTCACCAGACACTGAATAATATGTCAACAGTTTGATCTTGGATTTCCCAGTCTCCAGAAGTATGAGAAGTAAATTTTCATTGTTTAACCTAACTACTTTAAGGAATGTTATTATAGCAGCTTGAAGGAACTAAGACCAGAAAGGCATGAATCTCTTCCCCCACAGAGGAGGTAAAGTCCTTGATTAATGTTTACTCTTCCTCTGGTATTCCAAAACTTAAATACTATGCAGTAAAATTAACACTACTTAAAATAATGATACAAAGTCAATACATCTTATGTTACATGATAAGGGAATAAAACATAAAAGGGAATGAATATATTTGCTTAATATATGTATTTATATATACACACAATAATATTCATAATAAAATAACAAGAAAATACTCATCACAATTATAGTTCTCATTTCTGTAAGCGCTTTTGTGATGCTAGATGGTACTTATAACTACCTTCTATTGCCCATTCTTTATTCTCTTTGCCTTCACCAAGCACTTCAGCTGGTTGTGGTTCTTTATCCAAACAAGGGACCCAAACTTTCATTCCTGAAGAGTCTGAGCTACTTTCAATCCCTTCTGGAATGGGTTGTTATGGTTTTCCATAGATCTTATTCAGGCAAGGTAATACTAAGATATACCCTAGGGCATCTACAGTATTACAGACATACTCTTCCTTATCTCCCTTGTGGAGTATTAGCCAATTTCCTCTTGGTAGTCTGTATCAATCACAGCAGCAAACACTATAATTCCTTTCTTGGCTTGTAGACTCAGAGGCATCTGAGCACAAAGTGGCTGGGGGGAAATCTGCACTTCAAATTGAATGGAAACATTCTACCAGGAATGCTCCTGGTAGAAGCATTCTTCTCTCTTAAAGATCTAAAAGATTTCTAAGATCTCCAGACCAGCAGAGCATGACGTTGTGGAAAAAGAAAGCAAAAATTCTGTGACTCACTAAGGGTAATGGTGAGTAATGCCATTTCATTTTCACCCCTTGATTTCTGTACTTGCACATACTAGCTACTGGAGAAACAGCACCATATATTGAACACTAATTCAAAGCATCTACAGGCTTCTAGAGATCTCTGCTCTAGCTCTTTAAGGCAGGGGTCCCCAAATCCCAGGCAGTAGACCAGTATTAGTCTGTGACCTTTTAGGAACCAGGCCACAAAGCAGGAAGTGAATGGTGGGCTAGCTAGTGAAGCTTCATCTGTATTCACAGCCGCACCCCATCACTTGCATTTCTGCCTGAGCTCCACCTCCTATCAGAGCAGTGGTGGCATTAGATTCTCGTAGGAGTGTAAACTCTATTGTGAACTGCACATGTGAGGAACCTAGGTTGTGCACTCCTTATGAGACTCCAATGCCTGATGATCTCTCACTGTCTCCCATCACCCCCAGATGGGACCATCTAGTTAGAGGAAAACAAGCTCAGGGCTGCCACTGATTCTATATTATGATGAGTTTTATAGTTATTTCATTATGTATTACAAGGTAATCATAATAGAAATAAAGTGCACAATAAAGGTAATGCCCTTGAATCATCCCACAACCTCCCCTGACCTCTGGTCTGTGGAAAAATTATCTTCCACAAAACTGGTTCCTGGTGCCAAAAAGGTTGGGGACCAGTTCTTTAAGGTATGGACACCTAGAAGACACTATAACTGAGTCTGTGAAAGGTTATTTCACTATTCTGTGATTCTAGCTGCCTTAGAATGGTGGAAATCTTGTTAATATCGGTGAATTCCATGAACATGAGCCCATTGGCACAGTTCTTTAGAGGTGAAGTGAATTCCTTGGTCAGAAGCAATGTTATGTGCAATACTATGATAGTCGATGAAGAATTATTTAAGCCCATAGATAGTAGTTTTAAAAAAGCACTAAATGCAGTAAAAACAAAACCATTGCTAGAGTAAATGTCTATTCCAGTAAGGATAAAACATTGTACTTTCCATGATGAAAACTATTCAATACAATAAATCTGACACTAGTTAGGTGGCTTATCATCCCAGGTAATGGTGCCTTAAGAGGGGCTGATTGTGTTTGTTTGTTTGTTTTTTGAGATGGAGTTTCACTCTTGTTGCCCAGGCTGGAGTGCAATGGTGCGATCTCAGCTCACTGCAACCTCCTCCCAGGTTAAAGTGACTCTCCTTCCTCAGCCTCCCAAGTAGCTTGGATTACAGGCATATGCCACCATGCCCAGCTAATTTTGTATTTTTAGTAGAGACGGGTTTCTCCATGTTGGTCAGGCTGGCCTTGAACTCCTGACCTCAGGTGATCTGCCCACCTCGGCCTCTCAAAGTGCTGGGATTACAGGTGTGAGCCACCCCGCCTGGCCTACTCATTGTTTATCTCTGCTGCTGAACTCACTCAAAATGCAGCTTTTCAGGTAACTCAGTAAATGAGCCAGAGTAACACACCCAAATGAGAAATATGTTGTCTCTGAAATAAAAATAGTCCCACTAAACATTATGAGACTTTCTTGTTTGTGGGAGGAGCCAGATGCAACAACTTTTCCTTTACCTTAGAAGGGCTATCTCAGCATGGCCCCCACTGAAACCCTAACTATTTCACTGAGATTAGAAGGCTTCTGAATTTTATTAGAATTTATTGCCCACCCCCTGGCATATCTTCCCAAGAAGTCTATTGTAATTGCTACTTCTTCCTCTCTAGGTCCAAACAACATAATGTCATCAATGTAATGTACCAGTGTGATACCTATGGAAGGGAAAGGCACTCAAGATCCCTGTGAACTAAATTATGACAGAGGGCTGGAGAGCTGATATACCCCTAAGGTAAGAAAGTGAAAGTGTCTTGCTGGCCTTGCCAGCTGAAAGCAAACTGCTTCTGGTGGGCCTCACGAACAGGTAGGTAGAAAAAGGCATTTGTCAGCCCAATAGTTGCATACCAGGTACCAGAGAATATGTTAATTTACTCAAGCAATAAAACTGCATCTGGTACAGCAACTGCAATTAGAGTCTCCACAGAATATTTTATACAACAATAAACCCATTGACACACAATACTCTAAAAGTGCAAAATTCTGGCATGTCTCATACTTTTGATGTCTTCATTAACTGCCTAATATATGATTTTTACTTCTTCATCTGTTACCAAATAAAGGCTAACATTTTACTGCATCTTAGAGGCTTAACCTAGCAACTATATTCTTGAAACTTTTCACAGTGTTTCTTGCAACTCCAGGTTAATTCACAGAAAATTATTTGATACAGTTATGTGTTATTCAGTATGTTCACTTCATATCTATATTTGAAATCTACCTCCTGACCTTGCCATATGGCACTCTGTCTTCAGCCGTCTTAAGCATAGATTGCTTTCCTTTTACCCTGGGTCTCTTAGATATAGAAGAATAAGTAGGTGTTTGTTTTGTTCTCTTGTGACATATTTGCATTTCTACTCTTTTTTCTTCCTAAATAGCTGTGCTTTTATAGTTTGTGATAACAATTTATGTTATGTGTTTTCTTTACTATGATCATTATTTAATTTGCTTCTTATTCACCTGGTTATCAGCCTATTTTCTATTTTGTGCTATTATATTAATAATTATTATTCTTAATGATATTATTCTAATTTATATACTTAATACTATATCAAGAGAGAAACCTCAACCAGCAACTGGAAACTCAATATATACACTTCAAAAGCTTTCATTTATCTGCATGTCAGAAACCCACTTACTTAGTCATACTCTAGATTTGCACTGTTCGATGAGGAAATTGAGCAATGAGAAGTGGCTAGAGTGACTGAGATAAATTTTCAATATTAATTAATATAAATAATAAAATAAAAGTAGAGTGAAATAATTTTCCATTAAATAGAACGTAATTGTTTTGGTAGAATTCCATTCCATTAAAACCATTACATGACATAAGATAGTACTGTTGTACATTAGTACATTATTCAGACCCAGACACCATTTCCAATATTACCTATAAACACATCATCGTAGGTTTGATGTAAATAGATTAATTCCATATAAATTACTTCTGTGCATGTGATGGTAGTGGTGGGCCGTCCAGAGTGGCCGCTGGCATCCCGCTAGCTGCAGCAGAGAGGCGAGGGCGGTGCCCCGCGTCTCCAAGGCAGCCGACTGTGCTGTCCTCGCTCTTGCACAGCCGGGCAGGACTTGCTCCCAGGCTCGGAGCTTCCGCCACTCTGGACCCTGGCCCCGCCTCGCGGTTCTCACCCTGCAGGGGAGGTGCGGGAGGAGGTGGAGACGGGCCCAGAATGGTGCACACTCCACGGAGTGGGCGAGAGCCCCACCTTACCAGGCGCAGAACTCTGATATTTCTGCACTCTGCATCCTCAGTAGCCCGGGAAGACCCTTCCTGTCCTCTCAGGCTCAGGGAGCGTCTCCTCCCACTGCCTGGCCTCTACCCATTCCCGGCACCTGCTCCAATCTTGAAGCGGGATTGGCGCTGTCACAGCCCAGGTGTGTGCACACTTGGGGCAGCACTGACACACCAGCAACCTTCCGCCTTGGTCCCCTCCAGACTTTGGGCTCTAACGAATGTGAGGGGGCAGCCAAAATAGGGCTGAGGGCAGCTTGGTGCTTGCCTGCAGGTTCCCCTTGGCACAAGCAGCCTGGGTACCATGGACAGCAGCAGGAGGCAGACAGGCTCCTGGGTGGAAGGGAGCGGGTCCCAGTGAGGCCCCACCTTCAGGCCATGGAGGGCTGAAGGTTGGGGGCCGGGCTGCCAGTCCCACGACTGGAGTGGGAGCAGGTGCCTTTTCTGGGGCTGCCCATTGCTGCTCATAGACCAATCAGCCAGCACTTCCACCTCTCTGAGTCTTATAAAAGCCATGGTTAGCCAGAGCTGAACAGACAATGGGACAACCAGCTGCAGAGAGGAGCTGCCCTCTCTGCTGAGAGCTGAACACTAATGGAGACAACTTGCCTAGCAGAGAGGAGCTACCCTCTCTGCTAGGAGCTGAACACTCATTGGGACACATTGAGTGTGGAAAGGAGCTGCCCCTGTCGGTTTCCTCTGAGCTGTTCTATTGCTCAATAAAGCTCCTCTTCATCTTGTTCACTCTCCACTTGTCTGCGTACCTTATTCTTCCTGGTTGCAGGACAAGAACTCAGCATGCACCAAATGGTGAGGATAAAAAATCTGTAACACAAACAGGGCTGAGACATGCCCCTTGCTTGCCACATTGTGGGCAAAGAGAAGGGGAGAAGAGCTGCAGCCCTTTGGGGAACCCAGACCTGGGAGCTCCCTGATACAAGGCTGTGACTGTCTCTTAGGGAGCCTGCAGTCTCTGGCATCTTCAAGCTTTCCAGCACCACAATATTTCCCAGTGCCAGCTGTGGAAGCTGTTTGTGGTATACCTGGTCCAGCTGCAGTCTTGCAGAGAGCTGGTGACCATACCAGCACCTGAAGCTGCCCACTCCACTGCAGCAGCTGGAATGTCTGACTGCACAATGTCTGCACCCCACACTCTCTCACACACCTGCTTGCCGCTCCACACCTGACTCGCCCTTGGCAGACGTGGGACCCAGGCTGGTCACGTGAACAGAGCACAGCCTGCTAGGCTGAGTGGGCAGAATGAGCCCAGTGGGCCCCAGCAAAACTTTGGCAAAGGAGCCATCGGCCACAGAGTTTTCTGGCCAGAAAAGCGGCACCCCAAAGATCCTATAACACTTGCATAAATGTAAAGTGCAATTTGCTCACATTTTATGCAAAAAACACAAGGTAATGTATTAATTATGGCAACAGTAATTGGCAATTAAACTGAATAATTTCTTACATTTTAATTGTAAAATAAGTAAAGTATTATAGATCTTAAATTTTTAAGTCTTGGCATTTTATTTAAAAATATATGTTTATCATAGGCTTTGTCATCTTGGTAGTGCTTTGAAAAGTCTATGACACTCTTTTGTAGATATTGAGAGATATGTTTTAGTCTCATTTTGTTGTATCACTTTTGTTTTTATTGTAAACACATAACTTAAAATTTACCATCTTAACCATTTTTAAGTGTAGAGTTTAGTAGTGCTAAGTATGTATTTGTATTGTTGTAAAACAGATCTCCAGAACTTTTAAATATTGCAAATCTGAAACCCTATACTCATTAAATAACAGCTCCCTTTTTCTCTTTTCTCTCTCTCTGTCTCTCTCTCTCTCTGTCTCTCTGTCTCTGTCTCTCTCTCTCTCTCTCTCTCTCTCTTCATCAGCAAGATCTGCTGACCATCATTGGACTTTTTATTTTTGTGAATTCTACTTCAGATATCTATTTTTAGATACAGGATTTGTAAATATTTTCTCCTATTCTGTAGTTTGCCTTTTACTCTTTTGATTGTGTCCATGGATGCACAAATATTTTAAAACTTGATATAGTCCTAGTTATCTATTTTTGCTTTTGCTTCCTGTGCTTCTGGTATTATATCCAATAATTCATTGCCACATCCAGTGTCGTCAAAATTTTCCCTTTGTTTTCTTCTAGAAATTTTGTAGTTTGAGGTCTTACAATTAGGTCTTTAGTCCTTTTTATATATGGCGTAAAACAAAGGTGCAACTTTATTCTTTGGCACATGGATACCCAGCTTTTCGAACATTGTTTCTTTCCTCATTGAATAGCTTTGGCATTTTATAGACTTTTTTAAAGCTTAAAACCAGAGCACACTAATAATGTAGACTTGAGTGGAGAATGCAGAATCTAGTACTGCAACTAAAATAGGAAGGACAAAAAGAGGTTGGAAAAATTGTTTTTGTTTTTGTTTTTTTCAGATTTCACAATGTATATAACTTGCAATTTTCTCTAGCAGAATGAAAATCTCATTGTATAAAAATATTTTAAAAGATAATAAAGTATATAATAAACATACTTATTGTAAATTCAAAGTAAGTTGTATTAGATATTTTCTCTCAAGAAAAAAAATTTAATAAAATTAATCACTTAAAATCAGAATTAAATGTCAAACAATAACTTCAGTTTTAAGGGATTTTGAGCTTGCAGCTGTCAGACTGTATAAAGGACTTCGATTCCTATACACACACACACGCACACATATAGATATTTTTGGTTGAAAACATGGTAAATTATCATTTCAGTAGCAGAAATTTTGTTTGAAAATTATGAGAAATATAATAAAAAATGATATTTTTTAAAAAGTGAAATGTCTTGAGATGTCACCAAACAACTGCTCATAGAATATAAGACTTTCCTAACATCAAAGTTCAATTAATTTAAAATTTGAAAAATTTCATATATATTTTTCAGCTCTATGAGTCATGTACTATGAGGCACTGTAATTAATAATTTATGTTTTGTATCAAAGGACTTTCAATTTGTTAAGAAATGTATAATTTTGGCCTCAAAAATCAAACTATCACATATATTTTTAGTAGCTTCTACATCTGACAAATAACTTAAATCTTATATATTAAATTAAAATAGTTTCTATCCTCATGGATAGTGCTCCAGATATAACAAATCAAACATCTATATATATATTGGGATTTTAAAATAAGTCCCTGATATTTTGATATTTCCTTATTGTTTCACATTATGGCCTAAGAAATCTTAAAACTATTTTTACTGTGTTTTCTAAAGTATCATCAGTGAAAGGTGTCTTAGATACAGTTATTACAAACTTTCAGCACATTTGCCCAAATGCTATGAACCATTTCAAGATTAGAGTCATTCTTCAACTTATAAAATAGATCTTTGAATTAAATGTTTTTAATTTTGAGATTAAATAACAGACATGCTTTTCCTCCAAAGTCAAACCAATTCTTCCAAATAGATAAAACAGTTGCATAATATATGAATGTTAAAACACAAATTTTGACAGTTTATTCAGTGATTAGTATGTATAAATATTTAGAGTGATTTTGGCAAGTAAATAGATTTTTTTTTTTTTTTTTTTTTGAGATGGGGTCTCTGTCACCCAGGCTGGAGTGCAGTGGCCTGATCTCAGATCACTGCAACCTCCACCTCCTGGGTTCAAGTGATTCCCCTGCCTTAGCTTCCCAAGTAGCTGGGATTACAGGCACGCACCACCACCCCCAGCTAATTTTTGTATTTTTAGTAGAGACAGGGTTCACCATGTTAACCAGGCTGGTCTCAAATTCCTGGACTAAAGTGATCCACCCACCTCAGCCTCACAAAGTGCTGGGATTACAGGCATGAGCCATCGCGTGCCGGCCTATTTCAACTTTACTGTAAAACTAAAGTACGGATAAAGTATTTGTAATATTTTTTTTAGAATTGAGATATAATGAGTATAAAATATACAATGGATATGAAAGATTTAGTATGACTAAAAGAATGTAGATTGTTTCATTTCTTTTATATAGATGGAATGTTGAAATAATAGTCCTGATATATTCTTTAAAACATATTGTTAAACTTATTGCATTGTTTCTTTTTACTTTTTTAATGTGGCTGCCACAAGTTGTAAAACTGGCTCATATATTTAAATTTTATTTCTATTGAATCTCAATGATCTAAACTTTTTTGACACCAAAAACTGCTCAATCCCTGATGCCTTATTTCTACTTTCTGCTGCAAGAATACACCTCCAACTTCACTCTTCATCTTACATAATTTTGTGCACCACTGCTGCATGACCTTCTTGAGTACTTGATTTTAATGCTTCCAAAACTGTCTCAGAGACATTGTGAGTCTTCTCTGTCCTCCTTACCCAGTGTGCGTATGGAATAGCTTGTTCTTAATAATTCATTTTCAAATATACAAAACTCTTCTTTTTCCTTCCCTCTCTTTTTTTTCTCTTCTTGTCTTCACTTCTTTCCCCTTTTCTGCTTTTCTCTCATTCCTCTTCTCATATTCTTTTCCTCCCTTTCCAGCTATCTTGCCTAAAAATCTCCATGACAGTTGAACCTATCTGCAAACCCATTCCACATGTTGACAAACAAAAATCTCAACTTAGATGACAGCTTTAATCTCACATTTCCTAAAAAGCTGTTAGCTTTTTTCTTGGGGCGACTACTTTGCATTATTTCCATTTTCCACTTATATAAAACTCTGTATCATCATTTACAGTTGGTAATTTTTTATACTCACACTCACACTAAAAGACTGCCTGAGTAGAACCCATTCTTCCCATTGCAAAGAATAAACTAACTTCAATGTTTTCATCTAATTTGTTCTTTACTTTTGGCTTTGATATTATCTACTGTACCCTATTCAAGGATGTCACTCCTTACCTATCTCCTCAGTAACATGTGTCACCAAATTCCTCCACCTACACACACACTTGAAAGAGATGTTTACAAGACTTACTACAACTTATCTACAATTTATTTTACTACAATTTATCTACAATTTATTTTACTACAATTTATCTACAACTCAATCCTCAACTTTCTACAAATGTGTATCGTTCTCTAACATTCCATTGAAATTGCAGTTTCCTAAGCCATGCCCTTTCTAAAATATATTCATGGACATACTTTGTTATTGTAATTAACCCCCCCCATTGATTTCTTAATATCGCAATCTATTTTTCTGCTTATCTCTCATGACAATCTAAATTTTATTTTGTGTATCCTCCTCCACTCCACAACTCTAAGACCTTTTCTGGATTAGATCTGTGACTTTTTTTTTTAACCACACTCCTAAAAAGGCATTATTATTTTTAGTGCTTTTTTATTACTTCCATTTTAGAAGCTCTGATTTCTGAGCTCAAATACTTGATTTCAGTTCAGATTCATATTTTCAACTACAATACATTTTTGACATATCTTCTTGGATATCTTATAGACTTGTCCAAATTAAAATATTCATTAGGAACTCTAAATTTTCCACTTTTCTGGTGTGTAGGTACATACATACATATTATTTTCAAGCATTGAATTTTAACTATTAGTGAAGATTTTAAAGCAGTTACTAAATTCAGAAACAAAATGCCTATTGATCTTTCTGATAAACTCAAAATATAACTCAAATTTGTCTTCTTATCTGAAAATTAATTACTTACATGTTAACACAAGCCTTCATCTTTTCTTGACTACTCTGTTTTAGTTCCCTTATTGGAATATCTGAGCGCTAACCTGTACTTACTCTACTCCTCTCTCAAAGCAGCAGCTAGACTGAACTTACAAAAACACAAACCAGATATTGATATTCTCTTGATTTAAAAAATGAAAAAAGACAAATACATATCTTCAACAAGTTCTTTTTATACTTTGAAAGGGGAAAAAAATGACCAAGTCCAATATAAATGATACTGCTTAGCAATAAACCTCATTTTAGCATATTCCGCTTCAAGACTTGTCTTACATGTTAAAAGTTAACTTTACATATTTTTCTTCAGTCTCTTACACTTAAAACTACTACTTAAACTACTTAAAAATGTATTGAATTAATCCCCTGTATCTTATTAAAGTAGTGTCTATCAAAAAAATGATACTTGAGTGATGTTTGTAACAATGCTTGCCAAAATAATACAAATGAATCACAGTGCTATGTGAACTTCATTATTGAAACAACATAAACAATATATTTTTCAGGATGGCCAGTATTTTATCTGTAAATGAATTACAAAAAAATGTTATTCTGATCAAATTATTGCTCAAGAAATAATTTCCCTAAGTTTAATGTCAAAAGTTTTATGGTTTCCAAAAAGGAATTAAAAATATAGAAACAATTTTAATATCAAAATGTACATACAATTGAATTTAAATATATACAGATAACATAAAAGCAGAAATTGAATGTGGATAAAGGTACCAGTAGATTTTATGCAGTGTCATGTGGATGTAAATCACTACAAATGCATCTTCCAACATTAAATGTTATACAATATTAATTAAATGTTAGCAATTTTAGGTTGAATGTCATTTAACAGAGACTCTACTTCTACATTTTTTTCTTCTTTTACAAATCATAAAAAGCTCAGATAATTTTAGCACAGATGGTTTCTGTAATATTCCTCCAAAAGGATATAGGCAAATCAGTAATTCATACTTCATTTTTAGAGTGCAGTTTACAAGGTGCAGAGCAGGTAGTGAGTGCTCAATAAATACTTGCTGAAGAAATGATTGATCATCTATGATACCTTTAAGTTTCTAGAAAAAATGGGATGCCAAAACAAAACAATATTCTCATTAATATTTGGCAAGTTATTATAGCAAATGATGTCTGCAATATCAATTATAGGGCATAATTTACTAGTTACAATCAATAAGAAATTATTATTGAAAAAATAGTGAGGAGGAAATAACAGTTATTCATTTGTTAATCATTATAAGTAGGAGCCTATGCCTTCTAATACTTATGTATGTTTATCCAAGCGTTGCAATTTTATTGAATGGCAGAATCAGATCAAAGTGTGAGAGAAAGAAGCTAATAAGTAAGTATATTCCTCATAAAAATCTTGCAGTAAAACTATATTGATAACAATTTTTAAAAAATATATTTTGCACAGTCAAATTTTAAAGACATGAATGAACTGAAAAACACAAATGTGTTTTACTCATTAGAAACATGTTTTAGAGGCTGTAGATGGTACAAAAGCATTGAGAGTTTGATACTGAAGATTTGTAAGACCCTTTCCAACTGTATTATTATATTATTTCATAGATTCTGTTTCAAAAGCCAATAAGGAAAATGTAATTTAGCATACATAAAACCATAAAACATAAACTATCCATATCATAATTAAATTGATAGAAACTTTTAATGTGAAACATTTTGGAAAAAAACCTTGCTTTAGATTATTATAGATAAATGTTAAAACTGTACTAGGTGACCTCCTAATGACATATCTTTATGATTTTATTTCAACATTTTGATGATGGATATTTTATAATAAATTATTTGGACTTAATTATTTGTAGGAAGTCTTTAATAGTAAAAAAAAAAAGAAAGAAAAAAAGAAAAAAGAAAGAGAAAAGAAAAATCCAAATAAATAATCTGCTTTCTTGTCAAACCCACAATAGGATGTACATTATATAGCACACTTCTCTGCTATACCAATTCAGTAGAAAATCACAGCACAATATTTTTTTATAATGTTTTCTTTTTTCTCTTCTTTCTGCTTATTTACAGTGACATCATCTCTAAAAAAATACCAAAAAAATATTTTATTGGCAAGAAGGTATCTTTAATGAGTCTTGTTTCGTAATAACATTTTACATTCAAGTTCATTCATTTTTTAAAATTTACTGATATAGTTCACATATTTAAAGTAATTTAATCTTTATATAATAAAGAAAATATTCTGTGAAATAATCTGTAAAAAAATAGCAGGTAATTAAAAGTAACACAGATTGTACTAATAACAGGAAAATTCTTTTTTGGTGACTTTGCATACCACATTCCTCTTGTAGACAGCTTATAGAAATTTTACTCTGCTATCTGTCTATTTTAATATCCTACATTTTATGTCATCTGCTTTGCCTCAGTGATAATAAATTTTATCTCATAGTTCACTGGGTAAAATTTTCATAAAAATTCATAAGATCCCTCATGTCTTGGGCTTGTTTCATGGAGCTTAGATAGAGGTGACTATTGAAATTAATTCAAAGTTCAAAGCAAGAAATATATTTAATAACAACTTAAAAAGTGAAGAAGTAAAGTCTTCTTGATTTTTCAAAATTGTTAATAAGTTACAGAAGCAGTATAGAAAGCTTTTGCGACCTACTTTTTAAAGTGAGATACTGATGAACATCTCTTTATTTGGTCTTTTGTGTTACAAGACATAACTAATACTACTGAAACTAAAGGATAATATTTCTTGTGGGATATGAAATATTACCTTTAAAATTAGAGTGAAAAGTTTGGCTTTTTACACCAATGAGGAGGTCTATAGGAGAAGCAGTCCTTTATTTAAGAGCAAAATAAGTCAATACTGTCAACCTAAATAATAGTTTTTAAAAATTAAATTTAAACACCAACAGTCATCATATATATTAAAAAAACTAAAAACATGAAAGAGAAAATTCAAGAAAAGCTAAGAACTTATCAGAAGACAAGAAGAATTAAAAGAAGAAGAAACTATCTTAAACAGAGAAACTTTGGAAGTAATGCAACGAAAACAATAGTGTGTTAGTGAGGGTTTTCTTAGAGGGACACAACTAATGGGATATATATATTAGATTGTGCCCACCAGATTAAGGGTGGATCTGCCCTCCCCAGCCCACTGACTCAAATGTTAATCTCTTTTGGCAACACCCACACAGACACACCCACGATTAATATTTTGTATCCTTCACTCCAACAAAGTTGGCACTCAGCATCAACCATCACAAATAGTAAAGAAGAAAAAGAGGAGGAGGAGGAGAAAAGAGTGAGGAGGAGGAAGGAGGAAAAGAAAAGAAGAGAAGAAGAAAACAGAGGAGGAGGAGAAAGGTAGGAGGGACAAAGAAAACATGTATTGGCAATAAAAGTTACGATATATACAACAATAAATGCTGTAAAAGGACTAGAATATAAACTTAAATACATTTCTCAGAGGACAGAGCAAATTGACAAAATATTTGAGAAAACATATAACATAGAATACATAGAAGAGGTTAAAATAGAGATCCAGAAAAAAAAAAATGAAGGTATGGATAGGGAGGAAATTATCACAGAAGTAATAGCACTGAAGAAAATGTAAGCTTTTAAAATCATAGAGATGATACTGTACCAATCAGAATGAAGGAAGAAGACACCAATCTAGTTATGTCAGATCAATTATGATTTTGGAGAAAATAATAAAAAGAAACATTAGGGAATCTGTAAAGAAAGCAGAATCTGGCTTCAGCCTACCGATGAGAAATTTTACGTGCCATAGAAAAACAAGTGAAATATCTTTATACTACAGAAAAAAAAATTTTGAATCTAGACATCAGTGTTGCACAAACTATGAAGGAAAAGTAGTAACAGTTTTTAGGTGTGTAGGAACTAGAATATTTGTTAAAATATTCATCTTTTTTTTCTGCAGGAATTTTGATAGTACCTCAAAAGAAAAAAATTGAAAAAACTCAAGACAAAGCGGGAATTGAAAAGCCTCTATGAGTTGACCTAAAATAGAAATGTTATAATCCATACAATAATATTAAGCAAGCAAGCATGCCAAAATAGATAAACCTTGTGGGATATCACAGATTACTCTTAAAATGAGAGTGAAAAGTTTTGCTTTTTACATCAGAGGGGTGATCTACAGGAGAAACAGTCCTCTCAATCAAGAAAAAAATAAGTCAATAACATCAACCTAAATAATTGTTTTTAAAATTTAAATTTAAGCACCATCAGTCATCAAATATATGAGAAAAACTGAAAGCATTAAAAGAAAAAATCAAAGATTAACTAACAACTTTATTAGAAAACAAGAAGAAAAAGAAGGAAAGTTCTCTCTTTTCGGAAAAACCCACCTGGGATAAATACATTATAACAATGAATAGTATTCATGAGAGGGTATAATGATATAAGCATATTATAATTTTGACAGAAAAGTAATGCAATTAATACAGCAGAAAAAAATCAGTTGTTTTATAAGCCACATGATTAAAATATAAGTTTGACTCACATATTACATGAATTTTAATAACTACTAAAGAATAGAAAATACTTCATTAGACTGACAGTTACTACAGTCTCATAAAAATAGCACAGGAAACATGACACTTTACATGGCCTTGACAAATATTTGCATAATCAAGACATTATAGTGATTGTTTTGTTTTGATTTTAACACTTAGGTGTCACCAACAAATAAATAAATGCTTAAATAAAGCTTCAGTACAAAACGTAAAATTAAATCAACAGATGACATATTTGATGATATAGAGTAGGGGAATCATGGTGAATGGGAAAGTAGAGGCACTAATGTTTTCCGTTCATGTAATTAGCAAATATTGTCAAAGTTGAGAGGCCTCCAAAAAAAGGCTAATAATAAAATTATAAGATTGAAATGTAACTAGTGGGTGATATTTGCTCTGAAATGTTAGGACAAGTGAGAAAGAAACAAAATCAAGAATAGCGTAAGAACACTGAATACTCATTTTTCCTTCTATGGAGAAATAGGTATCATCTAAAGTTGATAGATAAATACATTCATAAATAAATACACAACTTAAAGATTTCTGGGTCATCTTCATATAAATCCAAACCAGAAATTCTAAAAAATGTATCTTTAAAATGTTCATAGAAGGTGGAGGGATGCTTGAGATTATAGCATTCTGTATTATTTAATTTTGTTTTAAATATTTTAATGTTTTTAACTCAAAGAAACTTATTTATCTGAGTAATTAAATAACACAAAAACATACTCTGCCTTTGTGGTAGAAAGAAAATCCAAATCCTAAAGTTTTATTTTAAGAAAATCCTTCAGTCGTGTGGTACAGATTGAAATACCAACCACAGATAATTCATTATTCTTAGGATAATAGAGAATGTGGGCAAAAGGAGGCTCCCAATAATCCTAAACAAATGAAATAAAAGAAATAATGTATAAAAAATATGATCTATAATCTTAGAGACACATATTTAGCTTAATTTGCCTTTAAATTAAAAGAAGCAAATGTATTTTATTTCTACTACATAAAAAAGTTAATTCAAGTCAGTAGATATGTATGTCATTTTGGTACTAGCAATTCACAAAGATTCTAATAAAATAGGTTTTTTTTATTTCAACTTTTATTTTAGATATGGGGTATATATGCAGGATTTTTACCTGGGAATATTGTGTGATGCTGAGGTTTGGAATATTGATTCCTCACCCAGGTAGTAAGTATAGTACCTGATAGGTAGTTTTTTAAAAATCAATTAGTCTATACATTATTTTCTTTGAAGGACATTTAAAAATTTTTGTAAACATCCAGTAATAGGATTGCTGGGTCAAATGGTAGTTCTCTTTTCGGCTCTTTGAGGAATCACCACACTACTTTCCACAATGGGTAAACTAATTTACACTCCCATCAACAGTGTATAAACATTACATTTTCTCAGCAACCACACCAGCAACTGTTATTTTTTGACTTTTTAATAATAGCCGTTCTGAATGGTGTGAGATAGTATCTCATTGTGGTTTTAATTTGTATTTTTCTAATGATCACTGATATTGAAATTCTTTTCAACTGCATATATGTCTTCTTTTGAAAAGACAAGGCCAAGGCTCAAGTCGGTTCATGTCCTTTGTCCACTTTTTAATGGGGTTTTTTGTTTGTTTCTTGTAAATTTGTTTAAGTCCCTTATTGATGCTGGATATTAGACCTTTGCCAAGTGAAGAGTTTGCAAATATTTTCTCTCATTTTGTAGGTTTTCTGTGTATTCTATAAATAGTTTCTATTGATACGCAGAAGCTCTTTAGTTTAATTAGATCCCATTTGTCAATTTTTGCTTTTGTTACAATTACTTTTGACATCTTTGTCATGAAATCTTTGCCAGTTCCTATGTCAGAATAACATCGTCTAAGCATCTACCAGGGTTTTGATGGTTTGGGGTTTTACATTTAAGTCTTTATTCTATCTTGAGTTGATTTTTGTATATGCGTAAGGAAGGGATTCAATTTCAATCTTCTGCATGAAGCTAGCAAGTTATCCCAGCACCATTTATGGAACAAGAAGTCCTTTCCCCATTGCTTGTTTTCATCAGCTTTGTCAAAAATCAGATTGTTGTAGGTGTGTGACCTTATTTCTGCACTTGCTATGCAGTTCCATTGGTCTATGTGTCTGTTTTTGTACCAGTACCATACTGTTTTGATTATTGTAGCCGTGTAGTGTAGTTTGAAGCCAGGTAGCATGATGCTTTCTGCTTTTTTCTTTTTTCTTAGGATTGCCTTGGCTATTCAATCTTTTGTGGTTTCATATACATTTAAATTTTTTTTCTAATTCTGTAAAGAATGTCATTGGTGGTTTAATAGGAATAGCATTGAATCTGTACATTGCTTTGGGCAGTTTGTCCATTTAAATAATATTGATTATTCCTATCCATGAGCTTGTAATATTTTCCCATTTGTTTGTGTCATCTCTGAGTTCCTTGAGCAGTGTTCAGTAATTCTCATTGTGGAGATCTTTCACCTTCCTAGTTAGCTGTATCTTAGGTATTTTATTCTTTTTGTGGCAGTTGTGAATGGGATTGCATTCCTGATTTGGCTCTTGATTTGGCTGTTGTTGGTGTATAGGAATGCTAGTGAGTTTTGTATGTTGATTTTGTATCCTGAAATTTTGCTGAAGTTGTTTATCAACTAAAGGAGTTTCAGGGCTGAGACTATGGGATTCACTAGATATAGGATCATGTTGTCTGCAAACAGATACAATCCTCTTTTCCTATTTGGATGTCCTTTATTTCTTTCTCTTACCTGACTGTTCTGGTCAGGACATCAAATACTATGTTGAATAGGAGTGGTAAAAGGGCTTCAGTGTTTTGTGCCAGTTTTCACTGGAAATACTTCCAGCTTTTGCCTGTTCAATACGTTGTTGACTGTGGGTTTATCACCATGCATGGCTCTTATTATTTTGAGGTATGTTTCCTCAATAACTAGTTTATTGAGAGTTTTTAATGTAAAGAAATGTTAAATTTTATCAAAAGATTTTTCTGCATTGGTTGAGATGATCATGTTGTTTTTGTCCTTAGTTATGTTTATGTGTTAAATCACATTTATTGATTTGCGTGTGCTGAACCAACCTTATATCCCAGAGAAAAAGCATACTTGATCATGGTGAATTAGCTTTTTGATGAAGAGATGATTTTCTTGTGAAGTATTTTGCAGGGGTTATCTGTGTTTCCTGAATTTGAATGCTGGCCTCTCTAGCTAGGTTGGGGAAGTTCTCATGAGTCATATACTGAAATATGTTTTCCAAGTTGCTTCCATTCTTCCTGTATCTTTCAGGGATGCCAATGAGTCATATATTTAGTTTCTTTACATAATACCATCTTTCTCAGAGATTCTGTTCATTCCTTTTTATTCTTTTCTCATTATTCTTGTCTCACTATTTTATGATAGAAAGCCAGTCTTCAAGCTCTGAGATTCTTTCCGCAGCTTGATCTATTCTACTATTGATAATTGCAATTGCATTATGAAATTATTGTAATGTGACTTTCAGCTCTATCAGGTCGATTTCATTTTTTTCTGTACTATTTTGTCTGTCAGCCTCTTGTATCATTTTATTGTGATTCTCAGCTTTCTTGGATTGGGTTTCAACATTCTCCTGAATCTCTATGATCTTCGTTTCTATCCATAGTCTGAATTCTATTTCTGTCATTTCAGCCATCTCAGCCTGACTAGGAAACCTTGGTGGAGAACTAGTGTGTCATTTGGAGGAAAGAAGACACTCTCACTTTTTCAACTGTCAGAGTTATTGCACTGGTTCCTTCTCATATTTGTGGGTTGATGTTCCTTCAGTCTTTCAAGTTGCTGTCCTTTGTATTTTTTTTCTTTTATTCTATTTGATGGCCTGAGGGTTTGATTGTGGTACAATGTGAGCTCAGTTGACTGGCTTTGTTTCTGGAAGATTTTAGGGGGCCAATCCTCAGTTTATGATTCCTTGATTGTGTACTGTACTCTTTGGGACTGACATTGGGCCCCAACATTGTTCTGTGGCTTCTTGAGGAGCTGTAATGGAGGGGCTGAGGAGTTCCTAGACTGCTGGTCACAGTTCTCCAATGGGTAGTGCCAAGCAAAGCACTTTGCAGTGTGTTGGCAACTGGATTGTCCTTGCTTGCACATGCCAGCAGCTTCCGTAGTGGCAATTAAATAAAATCTAAGACTAGAATATTATACAATCTAAGACTAGAACATTAAAAAACAAAAAAAATTCATACTGGGTTAAGTGATTTAACTTTTATTCCTTTGGTAATATAGACAGTTCACTTTTTAAAGAGAGTAACTTGAATCTAATTGGAATTGGGGATATCATGTTTTTATTATATATCAAAATATTATAGAATTATATTCAAAAGTATGACTTAAATTATATATTATATAATTATATAATTCTTATTCAAAAGTATGACTTAAATTACTTTCCTCAACAAAACCATTTTTCTTGTTTGTATAGCCTAGAGCTAAATAATGTATATGGATATATTCTATGCCCAGGTGAATCTTACATGTGTGTGTATTCATTTCAAATTTAAAACATTTTATTATTTTCACCAGAAATATACTGCTCAATATGACAACCTGGTAGGATACGTAGGTTAATTTATTCTTTTGGTGTATATTGTATGTTAGAAAATCACTCTTGCCATAGAATCATAGTAAGAAGTTTAAAAGAAATAATACATACCAAACTTTTCTGCATATAAATTTAAACACCTCTGCTTACACAAAATTCTCTGTTCTTTTTGAGCATTTTTTGCTTTGTATTCTTTAGATGAGCTGCAAATGATTGCTTTTTAGGGACAAAAAACACACCTTTATTTCTGGCCAACTTCATTTACAAAAGGAACTTAGTTATGGTCTATAATACACACACTTCTGAAATCAAGAGCTAAGAGAGAAGATTTGGAATGCTTCCCAACATGAAGAAATGATAAATGTTTGAGGTGATGGATATTCCAATTAACCTAATTTGATCACTACACATTGTATGCTTGTATTCAAACACTAAATGCGCCCTGTAAGTACGTACAATTATTATGTATCAGTAATTGTTTAAAATAATAGAGTTTGGTCCATTCATAGGGTATACTATCACTTAGGAGCTGACCATCCATTTTTATGGTTAACCATAGATTTCCTGCTGAGCTAGTGCAAATTTTGTGAAGAGAAGGAGACATTATAGTGTCCTTTTTCTCGGAGTCACCATCTGTTTCTTCTTTCTCCCAAATGCCACTTGCTCTTCTGCCAGGAAGAGACACATTCACCCTCTTCTGAGACATATTCTCATCAAGCAATCCTCCAGATTCTCTTTGCTATGACATTTCCACCCACACAATTAGCATGTAAGGGCTTGCAGTTAGAAGTCAGGAATTGAAAAGATCACTTAGAAAAAGAGTACCACTGCTCAATGGACTAAAAAATGGAAAAAGAAAAGAAACATAATAGGAAACATTTGAAGCTAAAATTATATGATTATTCATGAGGGTAATACTCTTCTTCATAAATTAAGTGGAAGGAGGAGAAGAAGGCTTGGGGATATAGGATTTAATGACTATACTTTAGAGTACCCTAAAGATTCAGAGGGAAAATTGCTAAGCTGCAGAGAGACCAGGTGTTAGCCTTTAGAAAATTTAAAAGTTAAGGATATCTACTTTGAAGGGATTAAATAAAACAATGATAGTTGATTCAAGTTAATTGATAGAGTATAATCTAGTAATGATGTGCTCCAATTATTATATTAATAATTTATAGTTGATCTGGTAGGTAATTTTTAAAACCTCAAAAGATGTAAGTGTAAGAGACATACAAGATAGCAAATAGCATACAAATAACCAAAAATAAAAATAGGATCTAAAGTAATTTTGGTCACTGATTTTACTAAGGTCGTAACATTATGTATATATTCTTTTTTCTCAGCAGTTATTTGGGACTGTTTTCAGAGTATTTGTTAAGACTTTTTATAGCAGTCTCTGACTGAACATTTTTAGATTTGAGCAACCCACCATGATATGATTTTGACAGAACAAGTCTACTAAAGGATGATTACAATTTCAAATAAAGAAATATGAAACATAGAACAGTGAAAGCCTACTCTATAAGTGTATGTAACTCCCATTTTACATTCAGCTCAAAGAGGATGGCTTATTTTCTCTTTTATAATCTACTGAAAGTATAGCTGTCAAAACCAAGGAAAAGATATGACAGACTCACCTACACAGACCCTAAATGGATAGTTATAAAAGTGACATTGGAGTTGTGTTACTCTCTCATGTGATTCTATATTCCCTGTATTCACCTAATAGGTTAGAGTTGAAACACCTCCAGTGAACAATAACAATGTATTTGAAATACATATCTAGTTAAATAATTTTTAGAACTCTTTACCACTGCTTTTCAGCAGCAACAAAAATACCTTTCTTTTTAATCTTCTAGTTTTCCACAAACATTGAAGGAAAATATTCCACTGTGAGTCACCTTAATACATTTTCAACAAAGGAAGTTCCAAGGGCAGCCTGTTTATGCTTTTATTTTCTAAAGGGGCATCACTAAGTATCTGAAAAGATCAACCGAACTGTCTGGAATATACAATTTGGCAGATGTTCTTTCTTGCACTGGGTAATTATGCTGTTTGAAAAATCAGAATGAATGAATGCTGTTTATTTGAAAGTCAAAGGTCATAGTAGAATGGGAACGTACACATGAAAAATAATCAGTAGCTAACATTAACACTCACATGCATACCCCAAAGTAGCTAGCATGTATAAGAAAGAAATTTCTTCATATCAGAACTTTCTTTCTTTCTTTTATTTGTGAGAATTATAACACAAGTAAGTTCGAATGCCTCAGAATCAGTAGCATGCTGGAGAAATTTTAAAACTGACTTTTAAAAATTATGGAATACGTATAATTTTTATGTAATTTCAAATATTAAATATATGAAGCACCAATGTCTGAATAATAATAATATATGTAATCATTTTTCATGAATACCACTTAATTGATTATCTCTCATCGAAGGCTTATATTACTTTTTGTCTAACATTTGCATCCTTAACCAAATTATGGATATGTTTTATGAATGAGTATAATTCTAAGATAAACAGAACTTGATGATTTTCTTTAACATTAAAAAGACAAAAGTGTAACAAAAAGGATGCACCTTTGTATTATATTTATTTTTCAATGATGTCAGCCACTTCTTTCTAAAATTGTTTAATAGTTTTCAAAAATTGGAAGAATAATTTCTGAATTTTTTATGTGGTATTCACACTATGATAACTACCAATATGACACATGTTAAAGTTACATTTGCTTTGTTAATATTTTACGTTTACTCTTTTAAGTCTAGGCGAGACCTAAGTATTAAATCATATCCCAATTCTTAGCTTGTTCTGATGTCTGCGTTTTAAAGACTCTTGCCCTGGACAACTGAAGCTATCAATGTGTTATTAAAAGAGTATGAAAGAAATTTGCCACCATTGTAAGATATTTCCACCTGACAAACACATCATGTAAATAACCTCAAGCATGTAGATAATGGTAAAACTTTTTAAAATAGTGAGTTTTTAGTATTATTGCCTCTGTTTTAAATATAATTTAATTTTAAACTATATAACTTACTTTTTAATAATGGCTGTTTCACAACTGACTAATAAGATTTCAGAAAATTTAATAATTGACTATTTTGGTGCATTTGAAGACAGCACCATCACACCACTGGGCAGAAAACATGTGATTGCTTTTATTGATTAATTGATTGTAGCGATTCAAGGGTTTTCTTCTACTGGATAACCTGAAAAGTGATGAATGACAACTGAGATCTGTACATGTCTTGATCTTTCTCAAAAAATTCCTGAGTTTCATGAAAATTTTGTCACTCACTGGCTTGAGAAATGTCCACATTTATGAAGGGTGAGCTCAGCACCATATACACATAAAAAACTATTATATCATTATCTTTTTAAAAGAGTCTCTTGTTCTTACTAATAATCTCTGTATTTCCGATACTTCAAAAGAGGTTGTGCATGAGCTGCGCATAACTGTCCTTAAGAGAAATTATTATTTAGTAGTAATTTTTAAATATTAATAACATTAAAAATCGATAATGGGTCTTACAATCAGTGGCTCTTTTATTTAATGGACAAAAAAAGTGTGTTGCATTCTTTATTTTATTAGCATTTTTCATGCTTTTACTTTCAATTTCTTCCAGTTCCTTGTGCTGCTCTGCTTGATAGTATATATGTTCACAGTGGCCCCACTTAAGGTGGGTCCTTTTATACTGAGAAAAAAGAATTCCAAGTTTATTTGAGGGAAGGGGTCTGTATTCTTTGCATTTAAGACATTTTAACACACTGTATTCACCACCCTTCTGCTACCATAAAGTATTAAAATCAAATTATCTCTCTTTCTCTCTTCGATTTTATTTTAGATGAACAAGTGAGAAAATTTTCATTAGGGTGGCAGTTTTTATACTGCCTAATGAAAACCTGCAGGTGTTTACTTACATATATTTGCATATTTCATTAATTTCCATTACTATATTTATTATTTTACTCTTTACTTTCTTCGGGTTTTTCTGTGGTTTTTCCCACCAACCTCTTAACATGCTCAAACTGTTTATTTTTCAACCTTTCTTGAGTTTGGTGAATGAATGAACCTATAGAGGTAAATTTTTATTTGCATCTCACAAATTGTTATGTGTAATTATTTGTTTGTATTAATTGGTAAATGTTTTATAATTCTCATACTCATGAGCTATTAAAATTATATTTTATAAGTTCCACATGTAGGATTTTAAATATGATAGCCACTTACTTTTAATACATAAAGTTAAATCTCTTTACATTTATTTTGATTAGTACAATATTTTTATAACTATATATCTACCAACTTGTTTTAGGTTTTCTATTTGATTTATTTTTTCTTTACTTATTTTTCTTCAACTATTATTTTAGATATGGGTTTGTTTCCTGGGTATATTGTGTGATGGTGAGTTATAAATGATCCCATCACCCAGTTACTAAGCATAGTACCTGGGTGGTAGGTTTGGGTTACAAATAATCCTGTCACCCAGGTACTGAGCATAGTATCCAATAGTTAGTTTTTCAACCCTACCTCCACTCTTTTCCTCTCCATTTTAGTAATCCCCAGTGTCTATAGTTCCCATCTTTATGTCCATGAGTATCCGATGTTAAGCTCACACTTATATGCAAGAATATGTAGCATCAGGAATTCTGCTTACACGTTAATTTACTTAAGATAAGGGCCTCCAGCTGCATTTGTGTCACTGCAAAAAAAAAAAAACAACACAATTTCATTCATTTTTATGGCTTCGTAGTATTCCATGGTGTATATGTACCACATTTTCTTTATCCAGTCCATTGTTGAAGGGCACCTACATTGATTTCATGTCTTCGTAATTATGATTAGTGCTGCGATGAACATACAAGTGTATGCGTCTTTTTGGCACAACTATTTGTTCTCTTCTAGATATATACCCAGTAATGAGATTGCTGGGTCAAATGGTAGTTTTATTTTAAATTCTTTGAGAAACCTCCAAACTGCTTTCCACAGTGTCTGAACTAATTTACATTCCCTCCAAGGGACTACACGTGTTCCCTTTTCTCCACAGTCTTGCCAGTATCAGCTTTTGTTTTTTTTTTTAACTTTTTAATAAGAGCCATTCTGACTGGTATGTGATGATATCTCATGGTGATTTTGATTTGCAATATCCTGATAATTAGTGATCTGGAGCACTTTTAATATACTTCTTGGCCACTTGTATGTTTTTTTTTTTTTTTTTTTGAGAAGTGTCTATTCAAGTCTTTTGCCCTCTTTTTAATGAGATTACTTCTTGTTTGCTTCTACAATTAAGTGGCTTATAGACTCAGGATATTAGACCTTTGTTGGATACATAGTTTGTGAATATTTTCTTCTATCCTGTAGGTTGTCTGTTTACTCTGTTGATAGTGTCATTTGCTGTGCAGGAGCTCTTTAGTTTAATTAGGTCTCACTTGTCAATATTTGTTTTTCTTGTAATTGCTTTTGAGGACTTAGTAATAAATTTTTTCCCCAAGGTTAATGACCAAAAGTGTGTTTTCCAGGTTTTTTTCTAAAATTCTTGTAGTTGAGGTTTTATGTTTAAATCTTTAATCCATCTTGGGTTAATTTTCATATATGGTGAAAGATAGGGGTGTTTTATCTTTTGCATGCAGCTAGCCATCTATCCCAGCACCATTTAATGAATATGGGGACTTTTCCCCACTGATTATTTTTATTGAAGATCAGATGGTTGTAGGGGTGCAGGATTATTTTTGGGTTCTTTATTCTGTTACATTTGTTTATGTGTCTGTTTTTGTACCAGTACCTTGCTGTTTTGGCTGCTATAGCCTTACAGTATAGTTTGAAGTCTAGTAATAGCGTGCCTCTGGCTTTGTTCTTTATTTTTACTACTGCTTTGCTATTTGAGCTCTTTTTTGGTTCCATATGAATTTTAGAATACTTTTTTTTCTAGTTCTGAAAAAAATAATTTTGGTCATTTGATAGGAATAATGTTGAGTATGTAAGTTGTGTGTGTGTGTGGCTATTGTAAATGAGATTTGGGTACATCAATTTTGTTTGCTGAAACTTTACTCAAGTCATTTATCAGATCTAGGAAACTTTTGACAGAGTCTTTAGGATTTTCTAGTTATAGATATATAGTCTACAAAGAGAAATAGTTTGCTGTATTTTTTTTTTCCTTTTTGGATGGCTTATATTTTTTCTCTTACCTGATTGCTTTGGGTGGAACTCCCAGTCCTTTGTTGAATAGGAGTGGTGAGAGTGCAAATCCTTGTCTTGTTTCAGTTCTCAAGGGGCATGCTTTCAGTTTTTGCACATTTAGTATATTCGTTGTGGGTTTGTCATAGATGGCTCTTACTGTTTTTGAGGTGTGCTCCTTGAATGCCTAGTTGTTTGAGGGTTTTTATCATTAAGGGGTGTTGGATTTTATAAAGAGTTTTTTCCTTGACTATTAAGATAATTATAATGTTTTTATTTTTAATTCTGTTTAAGTGGTAAATCACATTTATTGATTTGCATACATTGAATCAACCTTGCTTCCCAAGAAGAAAGCCTACTTAATCATGGTGAATTAACTTTTTGATGTGCTGTAGGATTTGCTAACAAGATTTGTAGGATTTGTTAGCAAGAAAATGCTAACATTTTCTTGAGGATTTTTGCATCTATGTTCATCAGATAAATTGTCCTGTAGTTTCCCTTTTTCATTGTGTCTTTGCCAGGTTTTGATATCAGGATGATGCTGTTTTCATAGAATGAGTTAGACATTTCTCCTCCTTAATTTTTTTGGAATAGTGTCAGTGGAATTGGTATCACCTCTTTTTTGTACATCTGGTAGAATTCAGCTGGTCTGTGCCTTTGGGTAGGATTTTATTACTGATTCAATCTCAGAACTTTATGTTGATTTGTTCAAGGTTTCAATTTCTTCCTGATCCAAACTTGGGAGATTGTGCATTTCAAGAAATGTACCCATTTTCTTTAGATTTTCTAGTTTGTGTGCTTTGGAGTATTCATAATATTTTTAAAGGATCTTTTGTATTTCTGTGGGATCAGTTGAAATGTCAACTTTGTTCTTTCTGACTAGTTATTTGGATCTTCTCTCTTTTTCTGGTTGTTAATCTAACTAGTAGTCTAATGATTTGTTTATTCTTTCAAAAAACTACTTTTGGTTTTGTTGATTCTTGGTATGGATTTGAGGGGTCTCAATTTCATTCATTTATGCTCCAATAATAGTCATTGCTTTTATTCTGTTAGCTTTGTTCTTGTTTTACTATTACCCCAGGTGTAATATTAGATAGCTAATCTGAGATCTTTCTAATTTTTTGACGTAAGTGTTTAGCACTATAAACGTTCCTCTTAATGCTACTTTTACTGCAAACCAGAGATTTTGGCATGTTGTGTCTCTGTTTTCAATTATTTCAAAAATTTCTTTATTTTTGTCTTAATTTTATTGTTTACTCAAAATTCATTCAGGAGAAAGTTGTTTAATTTCTATGTAATTGAGTGGTGTTGAGATATCTTCCTGGTGTGAATTTCTATTTTCATTTTACTGTGCTCTGGGAGTATGATTGGTATGCTTTCATTTTTTTAAACAATTTATTGAGACTCTTTTTATCATCAAATGTGGATGATCTTGAAGTATGTTTCATGTGCAGATAAAAATAATGTATATTCTGCAGTTGATGGATGGAGAATTCTGTAGATGTCTATTAGGTTCAATCAGTCCAGTGTTGAATATAAGTTCAGAATCTCTTTGTTAGTTTTCTGCCTTGATGATCTGTTTAGTGCTATCAGAGGGGTGTTGAAGTCCCCTCTTATTATTGGGTTGTAGTGTAAGTCATTTACTAGGTCTACAATTACTTGTTTTGTGAATCTGATTGTTCCAATGTTGAGTTTGTATATATTTTAAATAGTTAAGTCTTCTCTTTGACTTGAGCCCTTTTTCCTTATGTTTTCCCCTTCTTTATTCTTTTTTTACTGTTGTTGGCATAAAGTCTTTTTGTTTTGTTTTGTTTTTGTTTTTGTTTTTGTTTTGAGATGGAGTCTCACTCTGTCACCCAGGCTGTAGTGCAGTGGCACGATCTCAGCTCACTGCAACCTCCGCCTCCTGGGTTCAAGTGATTCTCCTGCCTCAGCCTCCCTAGCAGCTGGTATTATAGGCACCTGCCAGCATGCCAGTCTAATTTTTGTATTTTTAGTAGAGATGGGGTTTTGCCATGTTGGTCAGGCTGGTCTCCAACCCCCGACTTCAGGTGATCCACACTTTGGAAAGTCTGTTTTATCTAATATAAGTATAGTGACCCCTTCTCTTTTTTTATTTTCTATTTGCATGGTAGATCTTTCTCCAACTCTTTACTTTGAGCCCATGGGTGATACTACATGTGAAAAGGGTATATTGAACACAGTAGACAGTTCTTGTTTTTTTAATCCAACTTGCCATGCTGTGCCTTTTAAGTAGGCAGTTGAGACTACTTATATTCAAGGTTAATATTAGTATATGAAGTTTTGATCCTGTTTCCAAGTTGTTAGCTGGTGGTTTTGTACTGTCTATTGTGTGGTTGTTTTGTAGGGTCTGCAAGCTGTATACTTAAGTATGATTTTGTGGTAGCAGGTATTGTTCTTTCATTTCCATCTGTAAAACTCCTTTTAAGATCACTTGTAAGTTTGGTCTACTGGTAACAAATACACTTAGTGCTTGTTTTTCTAGAAAAGATTTTATTTCTCCTTCACTTATGAAGCTGAGTTTGGTGGGATATGAAATTCATGATTGGAATTTCTATTTTTTTTTAAAGAATGGTAAAAATTAGCCCCCAATCTCTCATGGCTTGTAAGGTATTTGCTGAGAAGTCTGCTGTTAACTTGATGGGGTTTTCTTTGTGAGATATTACCTTTTCCTCTAACTACCTTTAGTATTTTTTCTTTAGCATTGACTTTGGACAGTCTGGTGACAACATAACTTGATGATGTTTGTTTTGTATATCTCTCAGGTGTTCTCTAGATTTCTTGTATCTGGATGTCTATCTCTCTAGAATGATTAGAAAATTTTTCTTCAATTATTCCCTGAAATATTTTTTCCAGGTTATTAACTTTTTCTCCATCTCATAAATGACAGTAAGCCATAGGTTTGACTTTTTTACATAATCTCATATTTCTTGAAGACTTTGTTTATTTTTTAAAATTCTGTTTTCTTTTTTTTCTCACTGTTTAGCTCAAAAGATGAATCTTTAAGCTCTGAAATTCTTTCCTCTGCTTGGTCCAGTGTATTAATAAAACTTTCAATTGTATTTTGAAGTCCCTTAAGTGATTTCTTTTTAATTCCTTAATTTGCTGAATTGCATCAAAAAGTTTCTATGATTTTAAACCTGTCTTGGAGATCAGTGAGCTTCCTTGCAATCCATGCTTTGAATATTTTCTGTTATTTCTCAGTTTCCATTTTGGTTAGAGACCATTATTGGAGAACCAGTGTGGTACTTTGGTGGTTTCACTTCATTCTTAGTTCCAGAATTCTTGTGCTAGTTCCTTCTCATCTGGAAATGCTGCCACTTCTAACTTTTGTAATTATTTTCATGTGGGTAATATTTTTTATTTTTCCTTCCTTCCCTATTATATTATTGTACTTTCCTTCTCCCCTCTCCTGTCCCTAGGGATGCAACTGTAGAAGTTGCTGGGTAAAGTCTTTTGGCTTTGCTTCTATAGCCCTATGAACTTGTTTTGGCAGGTTTTATATTGGGCTGTGCAGTTTCTCCTGCAAGTCAGAAGATGGAACCTGTAGGTAAGAGCAGCTGCAGCCAACATGGCTGGGTATATACTTGATCCTTGTTTACTTTCAGAAACACTTTGTTGCCTCAGGCAATGGGCTGGTTAGTGGAATATACACTGGTCTGAGCCCCTTGCTCAGGCCCTGGGGGCACAGGACACAGTGGGTGGGCTAAACCTGGCGAGGCTTCCTCCAAGTCCCCTAATGGCTGGCACAAACATCAATGCTGAGGGAGAAGCCAGTGGGTAACTACCAAATGCCCAGCTATATGTGTAGACGTAAAGCTGGGAAACCTTCTCAGCTCCAAGTTTTCTGCACATGGTTGAGGGACAATCTAATCTAATACAGGAGGGTGGGTGCTTCAGATTCCTAAAGAACTGCCTGAGCATGGAACAGAAAGGGCTCCTCTCCGTCAAGATCTCTGCACAGGAGGATTGGAGTGACTCAGGCTTTTGAACCACACAAGCAGATTCTGTTAGGCTGTTCTTGTATTGTTATAGAAAATACATGAAACTGGATAATTTATAGAAAAAAGAGGTTTAACTGGCTCATGGCTCTGCAGGCTATACCGGAAGCATAATGCTGACATCTTCTCAGCCTCTGGAGGGGCCTCAGGAAACTTACAATCATGGTGGAAGACAAAGGAGGAGCAGGCATGTCACATAGTGAAAGCAGGATCGAGAGAGAGAGCGAAGAGTTTTGAACAGCCAGATCTCACAAGAAGTCACTCACTATCATGAGGAGAGCACCAAGATGATAGTGCTAAGCCATTCATGAGAAATCTACCCCCACTAGGCCCCACCTCCAATACTGGGGATTACAATTTAACATGAAATTTGGGTGAAGACACATATCCACACTATATCACAAATGCTCTGAATACCTGGACATCTGCTTAAGCATTTAGAAGAGAGGCCCTCCTACACTGGGTTCTCTGCACAGGAAGGGTGGGGATGGTCAGGCTGCTGATTCCAGTGAATGAGTGCACTAAATGCCTGGAGATCTGCCTGAGCATGAGCCAGAGAGGACCCCACTGGACCGTGATCTATGTTGATGAAAGGTGAGGTGGCTCAGGCTGCTTGTGCAGGCAAGTGGTTGCTCCAAATGCCTGCATTTCTGCATGGGGGTGGAGTGGAGAGAACCCCACTACACCACAGTCTCAAGAGAGCAGGCTGAGGCACCCTGCAGTGGCACGTGCAGACTGGCTCCAAGGTTGCCAAGCTGGCCCCATCTGCAAGTCTCACAACCCAGGAGAAACCACAAATGTAGCAGTTCTTCTGCTCCAGGCTTGTGACAATTCCAGTGCCTACTGCTGAGGTACTTTCCACAGTTCTGGCTATGGAGACCCCTACTTCACTCCAGAGCAGCTGCTCCAATCTCTGGCCCAAGATGAAAACGCCCACATTACCATGCTGCCAGGTCAACAAAGAATGGCTTACTTTGTATGTACCTAAATTTAAAATGTCACCCTCTTCTCAGTACTTGTTCTAGGGAAATCTCTGTGCTTTTTTCGTGTCTTTCTCTCAAAAGATCTCATAGCCTGTCCCCCAAGTTAATTCTAGAGCTTGGGAGAAACAAAGTGCTCTCCTTCAGTCTAGGTTGTTCCACTCTCCAGTGAAAAGGCAAGTGACGGGGAGATTTTCTGCCTTTCTCATGTGCTTCATTCACTTTGATCAGCTGGTTGTCATCATGGGCCTGTTTGCTGGCATTCTTCTTCCCCAGATCTAGAATGTGCTTCATGATTCCAGCAGATTCCCATTTTCTTTCTTGAATAAAATCTCACAGAGTTGATTTTCATGCACTATCTTGCTATTTCCAAGTGTCTGAGGCACACTAACAGCCTCTAATCTGCCATCTTGGAAAAAAATGAGATTGAGTTGTCCTGACTTATATTTGATTTATGAAAGTTTGTCCTGACTTATATTGGATTTATATATAACTTATTTAAATCTCCTTAGACAGGTTTAGGAGATCTAGATAGTATTTCTTTTGCACTTTTATTTTTCATTTTAAATTTCAAGTCAAAAAATTGAGTAAAAATTATGCTCAGTTTTTCTGTTTATGTTGGTATTTAAATTTACACATGTGGCAAAGCCCTTCATATCTCGTATTGACATATATACTCAGTTAACTAATTCACATTGACAGATTATTCTCCACTTTTTTGATCTAACTGAAAATTCCACTTTCCCTCATTTTTTCATATCTAAGCAATATTTAGTCATAACAACTTTATTGTTTTAGTATTTTTCTGGTTATAAAAATAGTGCATTTATAAGTGCAAAATATTAACAATAAAATATAAATTTTGTATTTGCAATAATCTCATTACTAAAAAGATTTTTCTTTTTTTATATACCTTTTGTCCACTTGTAGAATCACTTTTCCATGCATATTCATTAGTATGTTTTGCTTATTTTCAAAACAATATTTGTTTATATTGTTGGTGGTGGTATTGATGATGAATTTTCTTGTGTGCTCTACAATCTTCCCCATAGTATTTAGATATTGATCAAAAATATTTGCAGTATATCACTTGTGTATTAATTTTGTCTGTAATCTCTTTGAGTAAAAATTATTTCCCTTAATTTCAAAAAATACATTGAGAGTTTTCTAATATGTTTGGCTTTTTTGGATTTATTTTTAAAATATCCTTTTTCAAATTTATAATTTACTAGCTATATTGTTATATTTCTCATATTTGGGAATTTAATCCACTGTAATGCGTCACTGTATTTGGCATCAAGTAGGAATGCAACCTACATTTCTCTGTTGTTCTATGTTTTCTAAATTACCTACTAACAATGAATAATTTCTCAATGGGTTTCTGACTCCAAATTTGTTCCTGAGTTCTAGATTTAGTTTTATTGACTTATTTGTTCCCACAAAATTAAATGAGCTTTTATTCCTAACTACAACTTTGGAACATGCTTTAAATTTGTGAGGATAAGACCTTTCTTTACTTTTTTTGGTCAAAGTTATATTATTGTTATTTGAATTTCTACAATTATATTCTAACATAACCCTTATAATTAATCTAAAACCTCATAGTAGAAATTTTAATTAGAATTGTACTATATTCATTATGAATATTGTGCTATGTATCTTATAATATTATATCCTTCCATTCATTAACATAGTAAATATCTTCACTTATTTTTCTGTTTGGAAGTTAATATTTCCCGTAAAATTACTGGGGTTTGCTGTTAGATCAATTTTTACATGCTTGAAGGTGATTGTTTTTATTGTGAATGAATTTTTTTATTATGTGTATTACTGTGATGGAAAAACCCTACTGTTTTTACATTGGTCATATATGTGTATGTGTATGTGTGTGTGTGTTTGTGTGTTGAGCCTTTTTATTTTAAAAATGTTGATTATTTTGTGTTTCTATGTGTAATCACATAGCATTTGCAAAAAAAAATTGGTTTATGCCTCCTATTTCAAAACTTGTCCTTCTTGTTTCTGTTTACTTTTAGTACATTGGTTATACACTCTAATACTGTACTGAATAACAGCAATAATAACAGCCATTTATGTCTTGCTACTTAGTAATAAATAAAGTGAATCTAACTTTTTTCCCTGGAATATCTTTTTAAAATGTGTTCAATAGATGCCTTTTATAAGTGAGCAAGGTGTTTACTATCCCTGTTTGGGTGAATTTTGTCCTAGAAAAAATACTCAGAAAAAGAAAATTATATCTCGACTCACTGTTGAACCTGTGCATGACAGGGACAAAGCCTGCATGCCAGTGTATAATATCAGTCTTATATTTATTCTTTGCAGATAATATGGTTTTTATAGCAGATTTTAAGCTTTCCTCTTTAATTGTATTTTGCGGTTTTACTCCAACAGGTCAAATTTGGATATATATGTTTCTTTATCTTTTGTGTGAATCTGAGTATTTGTGGCTTCCATAGATTCTACAAAATATCTGTATAAGGATTGATTACCTTCATTGCTTATATTATCTCTTTCTATAAGTAAAGCGTATATTAAGTTTTTTCACTGTATTCCTCCTGAATATTTATCATCTTTCATGCATTGCATTTATTTCTCTTTTATATTTTATGTATAATTTTCTCATACTTATTCTTTGTAAACTTTCATTGTCTAATCAAAGAAAGAATATTTGTCTAATCATTTAAATCATTCTATTGAAGTATGGTTAAAACCACTATTACTCTTCATTAATAAAAGCTACGTGTTTTCTTCCATCCGTGCCTTGTCACTTTAATAATCTATAATTTGTCTAGTCTTTTAAAACTTCATACATAGTTATAATTATTAAATATTTTAATGTTTGAGTTTATAAATCTATATACTGTTCTATAGCTTGTTGTATTTTAATTTTTTGTTTTGTATGTGGACTTATATTCTGTAGCTTTTTTAGGGAAATTATTTGAGGCTTCCTTCCCTCTGCTCCCACCATGTATCACACATCCTATTTCTCCTGTGACAGTTTCTTAGACTTTTCCTTTTTATGATGACCTTGACAGGGTTGAGGATTATTGGACAGATACTTTGTCAAATGCCCCATAATTGCATTTGTCTATACTTTTATCCTAATTGTATTGGGTTTATGAGTTTCAGAAAGGATGACCATAAAGGTGAAGTGCCATTTTCATCATATCATATCAGGATACACACTAACAACATGACTTATCACTGTTAATATAACCTTATTAGTTGGTAGAGGTAATGTTTGTCATGTTTCCCATTGTAAACTTACTGTTTTTCTCCCCTTTTATAATTCTGTACTCTCTTGAAGGGATTCACTATTCACAGCTCAGACTGAAGAAGGGGTAAGCTTCCCTCTCAATAAGGGAGTATCTACATAAATTATTAGTAGTTCTTCTGAAAACAAGACTTCTTTCTTCTCCCCAGTTATTTATTTATCCATTCAAGCATTTATTTATATAAGCATGTGTATTAGTCAGGATTCTCTAGAGGGACAGATCTAATAGGATATATGTATATATGAAAGGGAGTTTATTAAGGCGAATTGACTCACATGATCACAAGAAGTCTCACAATAGGCCATCTGCAAGTTGAGGAGCAAGGAAGTCAGTAGTGGATCTATCCGAGTCCCAAATCCTCAAAAGTAGGGAAGCTGACAATGTAGTCTTCAGCCTGAGGCCGAAGGTCCAAGGGCCCCTAGTAAACCACCTAGTATAAGTTCAAGAGTCCAAAAGCCAAAGAACTTGGAGTCTGATCTTGGAGGGTGGCAGGAAGCATCCAGCACAGGAGAAAGATGAAGGTTGGAAGACTCAGCAAGTCTGCTCATTCCACCTTCTTCTGCTTACCTTCTTCTAGCTGCTCCAGCAGCAGAAAAGATGGTGCCCACCAAGATTAAGGGTGGGTCTGCCTCACCCACTCCACTGATTAAAATGTTAATCTTCTTTGACAACACCCTCACGGACATGCCCAGGAACAATACCTTGAATCCTTCAATCCAATAGAGTTGACACTCAGTATTAACTATCACAGCATGACTCATAGAATTTACATTATATTTTGGGTTAAAATACAATACTACTATATTTAACTTGTTGCTCAAATGATTTTAGCTTTATCTGTTGGTAGTTTTTTCATCTGGTTTCTTTGTCCCTTCGACATAATACTTTTGTTGTGTTGCATGTGTGTGTTGAGAATTTTCTTACTTTCTGCCAGTATCATATACTGGAAGCTAATTTTGTATATTTTCTGTTTCACTACTAGATTTGGCCAATTCTCCTGATTTTTCTCATGAAAAACATTATTAAAAAGTAAGATAAGGCCACTGGCTGTGCTTGTTACTACTAGGATGTCATTGCTTCCAGTCCTGTGACAAAAGAGAATAAAAATATATATGTATGTACTAACACTTGTATAAGCATATAATCACAACTATTTCTACTTGTCTCTAAGTGTTTATATATGATGCTATGTGAGTTCATCTGATGTCCCTAAACCCTAATCCATTGCCACACAGATCTTTCTATTCTCTTCCACTTGACTATCTGTAAACTCCCATTGCAACATTGAAAAACCTTGTTCACACCATCCACCATTCTTTAAGCATTCATTTCCAATATACATGTATTGTATCAAAATTGTTAATCGTTACCCTGTGTGACACAAATTTACACAGGGTAACGTTGTAAAGTTTTTATGTAAAGTTTTTATTTGCCATTAGTTTTACAGACCACTCATTTCCAAAGTTACTTAGGTCAGCACCTATTTGTCCTACCACCTTTAGTTACATACAGTTAGAATGATTTGTTACATTTTTCATTGCATCCTGTGTCCTCCCAATTTCTTAAATAATTTTTAATGAATACATTGATTCATACTTTTTGCTGTAAAATTCCATTTATTTTGACAAATGCATAAGTTAATGTATCCACTATTAGAGTAAATTGCAAATAGGTTCATCTCTAAAAACTCATGGATTTTTATTTATATTTAATGCTTTATTACCAATTACTTATATTTTCCTTTTGTTCAAGAATCTTGGTTCACTTTTGTGGAGACTTGTATCTTGTAACCAATTTCTAAACACAGTCTAGACCCTGTTGCTTTTTTCATGATATTATGTCCAGAATAATTGACTGCTGTCTTCATTCTTTATTCAAGATTAGATCACCTCTTCACCACATTAAAATTCATTCATTCCTTTATTAATCATTCAGCAAATAGCTATTCAGTATGAGATACTTAAAAGATGCTTTTAAAAGTATTAAGCATATGACACTGATATCTATATCTACATCCACATGTGTATCTATCTATTTAGCTATATATCAAGTGAGCTTACATTTTTATTGACAAAGACAAAAAATACATAAAGATAATACAAAATGTTATGTAGTGATAAAATCTATAAGAAAACAATAGAACAGAGTAAGATGATAGAAAGTGATAAAGGCAGCTGCTATATTAAATGCTGTGATGAGGGAAGCCTTGAGTAAGTCATATTTGAAAGAATAATTTATTATGACGCCCACTAATATCATTCTTAGGCAGAAGAATCAGCAAGAACATATGTTCTGAGTCAAAACCATGTTGAGTATATTTAAGAACTCACAAGAAGGATATCTGCTGAAACACAAGGAAGAAGATAGAGTGTAAATCAAGATGGGATTAGTTAAGGCCTTTTACATATTTAGAGATTTTTGTATCTTAAACTTTTCATTTTGTTAATGTATTATTTTCAAGATTTTGTTGGGTTGTCTGTCTGTTCTCTTGTAGCCTGCTGAACTTCTTAAAACAATTAACATGAATTATCTCCCAAGCAGTTTGTAGAGCTCCATTTTGGGGGATCAGTGACAAGACAGTCACTTCATGTTCCTTTGGTGGCATCATGTTTTCTTGATTTTTCATGTTCTTTGAAGACTTGCCTTGCTGTCTTCACACTTGAAAACCCAGTCTCCTCCTCCAGTCATTACTGACTGGCTTTGGGAGACAAACAATTCACTAGTCTGCCCAGCTAAGAATTCTGGGGCAGAGCTGAATATCATCCGTTGGTGCACTTAGTAAAATTCTTTTACTCAAATAAAAACAAAATAAATTGAATTCAATGAATTATATGCTATAATGTCAGTAAGTTTTTAAAATTAATTTACTCTTGAAAAACAAAACATGATTTACTAAATGAGAAAAACTATATTACTATTGTGTAGCTTTTCCAAGTACTAAAAAATTGACCAGAATAAGTAAGTATCTGGTAACGTGCCCAATGCTTCATGAATTTCTTCTTAGGCTGTACATCAGGTGGATTCAGAAGGTGTGGGTAAAATGTTTATTCTGGGATTCCAAACCACTGTGGCCCTTAATAATTAATTGGTGTTGACAAAATGAGTGTCAGGAAAACAGAAAACAAAACAAATATCTTTTGTTCAAATCCCAGTCCCATTAAATCTTTCAGACAGATCTTCCTTTGTGGAAAATTTATAAATCCCATGTTCCCTTTTAAAACAGTAGGTGCCCCTTATATGAGCCATAACTCTCACATAATTGGGTGTTCTAGGACTCTTTCCAAATTTCTACAATAGGTATAATTTTTCAAGAACACATCTGCTATAAGTGAAAAAAAATCTGCAACAATTAACTAAGAAAACTAAATCATGTGATTTACACTGTTAAAAATTATTTGAATACAGAATCTTTGACATGTAATGTGTGTTAGGCAAGGGGATGGTGGTAGTGTGTCATTTTGTATTTTTATTTATTTTTGAAAATAATGGAAATTATATAATTTCTACCAGTTTTTTTTCTCATTTTTATTCAAATGTAGCATAGGTAGCTCTGGATGTAAATTCTGAACATATAAAGTCACTGTTTCTGATATGGTTTAAAATAACCACTCTTTGAAATATTAGCTATAAATAAACCTATAATGTCAACTGCAGTTTCTATGAAAAATAGCACGTACCTCATAATTACCGCATAATTTGCTGCTTACTATTAGTCTTCCATTGTCATTATGTTGTTATAGCCATTGTTTGTGGGCTTGCATTTCCCCCAATTGTGTGTTCAAGAAAGATAAAAACAAAAAAACAACTACCAAGTCATCGACTAGAAATTAAGTAATGAATTCATCAAATTTCAAGTATTTAAAAGAAATTAACTATTAATTACATACTCATTTACTCAAAGGTGTTTATTAAATTGCTGCTATAAAACAACCACAAGAATAGATGAGAAAACAGTACAAATAGTACAAACATTGCACTGACAGGAGTGTGATGTAGCCAAATGTTTCATGAAATAAGATGAACTACGATAGATGTAATGGAGGTGAGTGTCTTTAGGTAAGTACCATCTAGTTTTAAGACTTCCTTAAAGAAGCGGCATTTCTCCTATTGGCCAAGGGAGCCCCAGAGTAACCTTGAAAACTGAGTTCTCCCCCCATGACCTAGGTCATGCGAGGTCAGACACGCCTCATTTATAGTCCCTCCCTCACTAACTTCCATTAGACGTTCTTCCCTAGGCGAGACACAGAAAACAGCCCTTTCCAAAACTCCACCGCTGATCCCAATCAACCTCTTGATGCTGCCCTACTTTTTTTGCCCGATAAGAGAGGACAGAGTGGTTATGGCCAGTCTACAGAGAATGTGTCCAAGAAGGGTTTTTGTGTCCTCTGCTTCACCTTTTGACATCTAAGGTCCTAAAACTCCAACATCAGATCACGCTAACGCTGCCATTATTTGTGCATGGGACCAACAAAGGGGACATGATGCTCAATTGCATATGTGCATGCTTCTCCTCTCATCAATATTTGTGATTTCTCCTATAACTTATTAGAGGTGTATATTTGGCCACCCTGCTCACCACAAATTTATGTTGCCTTTGGCTTTCCCTCCAAGTGTCTGTTTCTGGCTTCCAACCAGAGACTATGCTTCCCAGCCTGTCAGAATGGGCATTCTGCAGTCTATAACCCTTTATTAGAAACAAAACTCTCCTTTCCAAATTTAAAATGAAAAGAAGAGAAAAAAATGGCATTTGATTTGCGAACCTAAGAAAGGACAAGAAATACGGAGAATAATGGGAAGAAAAACATGGACAATAATAGGGAGAGATAAGAATATTCCAAGTACATCCTAATCCTGGGACAGAAAGGAAACTGGAATTGAAAGTCAGTGTTCAAAGCACCTTAGAGAGGAGGCACGAATGCATAATGAGTGAGAAAATGGGAAGGATCCACATCATGTAGAAGAATACGGACCATGTAAAGTGCATTGCTCTTTATGTAATGATAAAAGAGAATACAATACAGGGTTTTACAATAGGGGATTATATAGTCAGTTTTGCTTCTTAGCAATCTTTTTTGCTACACTGGTTAGCATGGTTTACAGAGGGGTCAAAGTTAATGCAGAAAGATAAATTGGTAGAATACAATAGAGGCCCCTAAAGGGGTAAAATAGGACACTAGATATATTTAGAAATAAAACTAAACAGCTTGATTAATGGTTAGATATAGCAGATAAGGGAGAAGGAAATATCAAATTTGACTCTTAGGAAAATGGATATAGTCATTGCATAGATTGTAGTATGAAAAACAATTCAAGAATTGGTAAAAGAAATGGAGTTACAAAGTAGGCAAAAGGAGTCGGAGGCTCTAATTGAGGCATGATATTACACTGATAGACACTTAACCTAAACAGCAAATAGTTGACCTTTGAACAACATGGATATGAACTGTGCACGTCTGCTTACAAGCAGATTTTCTGCCATCCCTAAGACAGTAGGACCAATTCCTCCTCTTCCTTCTACTTCACATAATTTTCTTAATAACATTTTATTTTCTCTAGCTTACTTTATTGTAACAATACAGTATATGATGTATGTAACATACAAAATATGTTTTAATTGTTTTTGCAATTAACAAGGCTTTTAGTTAACAGCAGGTTATTAGTAGTTCAGTTTTGGGGGAGTCAAAAGTTATACACAGATTTCTGACTATACAGAGAGTCGGCACCCCTAAGTCTCCTGTATTGTTCAAAGTTTACATGTACTCACCTAATTGGAAAAGTTCAATTTTCAGAAAATTTAAAATACAGCCTACCCAAATGTAAATATGAATTGTTAAGGCAACATCGTTAAAGAATGTTCATTGTCTAATCGTCTCTGAGGTCCAGAGCCTGTAAAACAATTGTTATTTGATATACACTGGACAACATAGTAAAAGATTCTATTATATGGAACTATATAAAAAAGACCTGAATGATTAAGAGAAGTCAGAAATAAATAATATTAGTAACAAAGAGAAAGTTAACATTTCAGATACAGTGAAATAAAAAAATAGGAAATATAATAGAAAAATACCATGAAACATTTTATACATTTTTTTTTTTCTTTTTGAGACAGTCTCACTAGGCTCACTGCAACCTCTGCTGCAACCCGGGTGCAAGAGATTCTCCTGCCTCAGCCTTCTGAGTAGCTGGGACTACAGCCGTGTGCCACCATGCTGATTAGTTTTTGTATTTTTAGTAGACAAAGCGTTCTGCCGTGTTGGACAGGCTGGTCTCAAACTCCTGGTCTCATGTGATCTACCCGCTTCAGCCTCCCAAAATGCTGGGATTACAGGCATGACCCACCGTGCCTGGCCACATATTTAATCTTAGAAATAAAATCCAATAAATTATAAATGACTAAAATTGTCCAGTCAAAATAAAAATCCAAAATGCCCTAATACACTTCCAATAAATTCAGAGTTAAATCACTATTTTCCCCAATAAAAGAAACCCATACCTTCTTAATTTATTAACAATACAAATAAAACATATAAGGAAAATAAAATTTCAATATTGTATACACTTTTCCATAGATTAAAAAAAGAGAATTCCACAAAGTCTAATATTACATTGAAAACCAAAAAAAGAAAATCTAAGAATAGAAAAATTATAGATCAATATTCCTTATAAACATAGATTTAAAAAATCCCCAATTATGTGGGAGAAAAGGTAATCCTACAGTCTCTGGATCTCTCTCTTTCTCACATACACACCTACACGCGCATAAACACTACACCTACCATGTATCCATGAGAAAGAAAAAATGTCATCCATAGAAGCTGGCTTCCTCCCTAGAAGACTTAATGTTGTCCAGTGGTAAGCTAATTGGCTGGAAACTATCAGAGAAAGTATACCCTGGTTCAGACAAAACCGTTAACATGGAAGTCAATTGCAGTTATTTATGGTTTTTTCAAGAAACCTTGTAATTTTAGCTCTTTCTGAACCTACTGTGTTTATCTGTGGATAAGAAGTATTGCACTTCTTTTAGAATCTCCTGCTTAGTTAAGCCAGGGCCGCTCCATTTCTCTTTCATAATTCCTGAGGTCCAATTCACTGTCATAAGATCCATGTTTTCTGTAAATGTTTAAGTTTCTTCTTGATCCAGTACTATGGCTTATAGTCATAACTATGTTGCAACTTTTATGCACCTGCATATTAGTGGTATAAGGCAAAAAGAAAATAAAAGGAGAATCACCAATGTCACATAAAATAGTTGGAAAATACTCTGCATTTTGTGTCCATATTTACTGGACCTAGTCAAGACAATAATCCTGTGCACAATAATACAGTGGGACTTTTCTTCTTCATTGATATTTCTACTTTTGTTGATATGTCTAAACTGAAACTACTACATATGTATACTTTGCTTTAGCTGGCCAATACACATTCAAGAGCAATTTAATTATCCAAGTGTTTTTTGTTTGTTCGTTTGTTTTGTTTTTTGAAATAGAGTCTCACTCTGTCGCCCAGGCTGGAGTGCAAAGGTGTGATCTTGGCTTACTGCAACCTCCAACTCCTGGGTTCAAGCGATTCTCGTGCCTCAGCCTCCTGAGTGTCTGGGATTACAGGCACCTGCCAACACGCCCAGCTAATTTTTGTATTTTTAGTAGAGTTGGGGTTTCACCATGTTGGCTAGGTTGGTTTCAAACTCCCGATGTGAGGTGATCTGTCCACCTCAGCCTTCCAAAGTGCTGGGATTACAGGCTTGAGCCACCACGCCAGGCCTATCCAAATGTATTTTAATCAATAAATTTATGCTATTGTATATTTATCTAAAACTTGGGATCATTTATGATTTGCATCATAGTTGTGGAGAAATTGCAGATCAATACATTTGTCCAGGATATAAAATAATTTTTGTTATTTTATTTTATTTTAGATTCAGTGGGGACATAAGCAGGTAGATTGCATGAATATAATGTGTAATAATGAGGTTGGGTTTCTAGTGAACCCATCACTCAAGTAGTAAACATTGTACCCAATAGGTAATTTTCAGCCCTCACCCACCTGTCATCTTCTCCCATTGTAAAATCCCTGGTATTTATTATTTCTATCTTCATCTTCATGTATACCCATTGTTTTGCTCCCACTTATAAGTGAGATTATGTGGTATTTGATTTTCTGTTTCTAAATTATTTCACTTAGGATAATGACCTCTAGCTCCATCCACATTGCTGCAAAGGACATGATTTTTTTTCATGACAGCATAGTATTTCATGATGTATATATACCACATTTTCCTTATCCAGCCAACCATTGATGAACACAAAGATTGATTCCATAACTTTGCTGTTGTGAATACTGCTGCAATAAACATGTGAATGCAGGTGTCTCTTTATAAAATGATTTATTTCCTTTTGGGTAGATACTCAGTAATGAGATTACTGGGTGGAATTGTAATTTTATTTTTAGTTCATTGAGAAATCGCCACACTGCTTTCCATAGAGGTCGAACTAATTTACATTCTTACCAACAGTGTATAAGTGTACTCTTTTCTTTGCATCCTTGCCAATATCTGTTGTATTTTTACTTTTAAGAACAGCCACCCTGACTGGTGTGAGATGGCATGTCATTGCAGCTTTAATTTGCATTTCTCTTCTGATTAGTGATACTGAGCATTTTTTCATATGTTTATTGGCTACATGTGTTCATATCATTTGCCTACTTTTCAGTGGGGTTGTTTTCGTCTTGTGGATTTGTTTGAGATCCTTATTAATTTTGGATATTTGTTCTTTGTTAGATGCATAGTTTGCAAATATTTCCTTCCATTCTGTAGGTTTTCTGTTTAGTTTGTTGTTTTTACTTTGCTGTGCAAAAGTTTTCAATGTAATTAAGTTCCATTTGTCTATTTTTGGTTTTGTTGCATTTACTTGTGAGGTCTTTGTCACAAATTATTTGCCTTAGCAAATGTCCACAAGAGTATTTTCTCAGTTTCTTTCTAGGATTTTTATAGTTTCAGGTGTTACATTTAATTATTTCATCCATCTTCACTTAATTTTTGTGTACGGTGAGAGATAGGGGTTCACTTTTGTTCTTGTTCATATGTCTAGCCAGTTTTCCCAGCGTCATTTATTGAGTAAGGTATCCTTACCCAGTGCATATTTTTGTTGACCTTGTAAAAGATCAGTTGTTGGTAAGTATTTTCTTTTATTTCTGGGTTATCTCTTTGTTCTATTGATGTATAGGTCTATTTTTGTACCAATATCATGCTGTTTTGGTCATCATAAACTTCTAATATATTTTGAAGTCAGGTAATTTGATCCCTCTAGCTTTGTTTTCTTTAAGATTGCTTTGGCTATTCTGGCTCTTTTTCGGCTTTCTATGAATTTTAGAATTGTTTTCTCTAATTCTGTGAAAAATGTCACTGGTAATTTGATAGGAATACTATTGAATATGTAGATTGGGCATCACTCATTTTAATAATGTTGATTCTTCATATCCATGAGCATGGAATGTTTTTCCATTTTTTATGTCATCTACAAAGAAATCATTCCGTAAGACAAGAACTCTAGTGTCTTCAATCACATCTGGGACCTTACCACATCAGACTCCTCATGAAATTTAAGCAAGTAAAGACCTTTTTGTTAAACACATGCATACATATCTCAGAGATATTGCAGGGTGGGTTACAGAAAACCACAATAAAGCAGATCACACAAATAGTTTGGTTTCCTAGCACGTATTACAGTTGTGTTTACACTCTATTGTACTCTATTAAGTATACACTAGCATTATGTCTAAAAAAAAGTATATTATTTCATTGAAAAATACTTTATTGCAAGCTTCTGTACACCAAAGGAAATACAACCGTAAAGAGAAAATCTGTTAGATGGGAGGAAATATTTGCAAACTATTCTCCAACAAGTGACTAATATCCAGAGTATACAAGGAACTCAACTCAATAGTAATAAAACAACTAATGCCATTAAAAAGTAGGCAAAAACATGAGTAGATATTTCACAAAATAAGATATACAAATGGCCAACAGATATATAAAAAAATTTTCAGCATCACTAAGCATTAGAAAATTCAGATCGGAACAATGAGATATTATATTATGCAAGTTAGAATCACTATTATTAAAAAGACCAAAATAAGAGATGCTAGCACAGATCCCTGAGGAGACACAGAGAGATGGAGCGATGGCTTGTTGGTGGAGTAGTCAGAACACATGTAACATTTCTCAGTTAACATTTATCACGAACTTATGTGCATGGTACATGGCTCCACAAAGTAATTACAATTATAACATCAAAGATCACTTTATAACATATCTGTCTTTTCTTATAATGGGCAATATAAATCCATGAGTGCACACCCAGTGGTTTAAAAATAGTATTGCCTAAAAAGACTAGTTTAGCCATTTCCAAACAGATGAAAAGTTTTCTCTTAGTGATGTCTTTTCTAGTATACCAAATCTTGGTTACGCAGTCTTAATTAATGTGTCCAAGTATATTTCTTTTGAAAATAAAGCTTTCTTCTGTTGAATACACGGCTGTGTTTATTATATTATTATCATTTTTAATATATACAATATTTGACAAAATGAAAATGTAATGGGTAGAGTCTACCAGCAAACTATGCCAACAAGTCTATGGTTATTCTACTTTATATAGTAGAAAATCGTGAAGATTTGTGGTACAGATGCCATTATTATTAAGACTTTGAACCAAGGGAAGGAAATCTCTTATGAAAGTTTTGAAAGATTTGATTTTAAAATACCATTATCTCATTCTCATTCTCCAGATTTTGAGGATAGTAGGGGCAAGAATATTTCTTACTAAACAGAAGAACTTGCACAGTTATTACACATTTCATGTATAAGAGGAGTTTGTCTAACACAACACAGACTTGAAGTCATTTTCAAATTGAGAAAAACAAAATCAGTATATCTTTTTTCCAAGAGAAAACACAGTAGCTTTTGATAAAGAAAATGCCAAATAACCAGAAAATTTAGAATCTATCACTAAAACATATAAAAGGCTTATAATTGAAACAACTCAGTACAATCTTCAAATCGTCCTTCATTTGGGTGTTTCAGGTAGTCTGCAACTTTATTTTTTTTTTATCAGAGTTAACATACTTAGAAATAAAATAATATTTCAACAGCCATTCAGTCTCTCTGGTAACATTTCTCTGCCAATATATTTGTAAACTTGAAAAGAATCCCCCCTGCCATTGAGGGGTTTACTTGAGCATGAGTGGACCAGAGATTTTCTTAGATGTTATCAAGCATGTGTGTTTGCAATGACAAAATGTATTGCTATGCATAAGTAACATTTGAAATGTAAATACGTTTTCACTATGTGGATTCCGATTGTTGTATTTGCAAAATTCCTTTTGGATTTGTAATGTCTAATTGTGTATATACCATTATTATATACATAGAGATGAAATCTCTCATTGGTAGTCAACTGAAGGACAATTTTAAGTTCTAAAATATTACATTTATATGTGTTCTCATGTTAATAATTAAAATTTTCTGAAGTACTGGAATACCTCTAATAAGGTATTATTTTATTATACTGTTATTTAAATTATTTTATTCTGTGATGTGTTAATGTTTAAGAAAGCTACAAACATTGTTTTGTTCATAGCAAACTAAAAAAGAAGTTCAGCAAAGTTCATCCTGTATCAAAGTCTTTATACAAATCCACAAAAAATATTCCTTGATGGTTTGTAATGTATGTCATCAACAAATAATATACAAGTTGTTTAAAAAACAATGATTAATTTATGACAGGGAAGGCTTTTAGTTTGTATAGATATTACACTGAAAACTCAGCTTTATCAGAAAATTTAAAGTTACTGGATTTAGATTGGAGTGGCATTTACAGTTATGGGTGAAGAAGGAGATAAACACATTTAATGGCAGCATGTCTTTTGTCCAAGAGGTACTGAGTATTTTTCTATAGATACAGCTTTTTCAACTGAAGAAACTATAAAATTAAAAACAAGACTGAAAACCTCCTGAGTCTTTTATTAATTTAGTTGTCCACACTATTAGATGCACCATAGAGGAATAATCTCTAGCTATCAGATTAAGTAAAATTAGGCAATAAAATTGTTGTGAATTCCCTGTTCTTGAGTAAACACATTTAGGATATCACCTTATTTATATGAGAAAAGTAAGAAAAGATGTTATCATAATTAAGAATATCCAAAAAACGGTGTTGCTGTGGTAGCTAGCTAAGAAAGAAAATGGACCAAAAAACACACAAATGGCTTAATGGTCCTGTATAAACTTGCCAAGTGACACACTTAAAGAGCCACTTGGATTCCAAGATTTATTTTCATGTACTTGCGTGTATTGTCATCACTATCAAAATAAGAAAATATACAGGAAAGTGCTTTGTCAACAGTTTAAAAAGTATGTGTATGAAGGAAATATTAATAAAAGAATAGGCCTATTTGGAATTAAAGATAAAGGAAGTGACTACTTTCATCTATTTCAATGAGTTAATATAGTAGTTGACCCAATTAATATGTGGAGAATAGCAAACAGTTATTTTAGGATCTTCTCCAGAATAAGGGAAGGAGAGAAACTTGATACAAATGGCCATCTGAGGACTATCAAAATTGCCAAATAAATCTGTAAAAGATTTATTATCCTAAAAAATCAAATATCAAAAGTAGTTCCAGAGAAAACTTATTCCTACATAGAAAATATGAATATAAAATCCAAAACCACTAAAAGGTGTCTAAAGATTAAACACACACACACACACACACACACACACACACACACACTCAGCTAGCTTACAGTGACAACATTTTTATCAGTACAGTAGCATTTAATAATATGCACTTGTTAGTATACTCCATAGTATTAATTTTAGCTTTAAAAGTATTATAGTTATATGGGATTTAATATTTATAATTGTATTATTAAGTTAAATTTAATATTAGATACATTAGCTTTTCTAAAAATGAGAAACATTTATTAAAACATTTTAACATAAAAAAGCACAAAAATACAGTCAGACCAATAATATGCTTAGTGATTGTTTTGTTAACATTTATAAACTTTCTGTTATTAATTTAACATACAGTTATTTAAACATAAGCAACTAAAATCACAGACACATTTATGTTGTACTTTTTATAATATATTTAATAATTATGGATGACAATACTTAATAGATTTGTAGCTTCCACTGTGAAATATATTAACCTTATCAGGCATATTAAATAAGAAAATGCACTAACTACTTTGAATTTACTACTTAAGAAAACCTATCTCTGTGTGTGTGTATATATATATGTGTATATATTCTCTATATAATCATTATTTACAACTTTTCAATTTTGTTTAAAAGTGCAGAGGCTTTTAAAACATTTTTTTCTATTTGGTTAACTGATTTGAATTTTTTCACTTCTTACTTTGTGACTTAGCAATCAAGGCCAATTAATGTATAGCTCTGTGTGTGTGTGTGTGTGTGTGCATAAATGCATGGTCACAATATAAGTATATGTAAATATATTTTTCATTTCTGTTAGTGCTTCAGCAACGGCTTGAACATTTTTTAAAGCACTATCTTTTTTTTAAAGTTAATCTTTTCTATTCTTGAAAATACTATAATTTTATGTACGTATGTGTGTGTGTGTCTCTGTGTTTATATGCATATTTATAACCGGGCTTTATTTGCCATTCAAAATATAAATTATTTTAAGCTTAAGATATAATTTCTGAAGATGAACCAATGTATTCTTATGATTTTGTTTAGAAAATATTTCACAGTTACAAAGCAGAAGAAATTTCTAAAACTCTAAGCTAAATAGGGAACTATGTCTGATTTTGCAGCTATTACATTATACACTGTTTTCTTTAATCCTCATCTAATTGTATTGTGATTGTAGCCACTGGCTGAAGCTTAACCTCTGCTAACACAGTGTTTGTGTTGCAAAATTTTCCCTCTCTTATTGAATGTACTTCTGAGAAACTTTCCTGTTTTATTTTTTTCTGAGAGAAGGAGGAAGAGGAGAAAAAAAAAACATGTACCTAAAACTCTTCTGCTTTTTTGTGATGTCAAGTGTTTCCAGCTTGCAATGAGTCTACAATGAGATACCACTTCACATCCACTAGAATGGCTATAATCAAATGGACAGATAATAACATGAGCTGGCAAGGATGTGAAGAAACTGGAATCTTCATATGCTACTGGGGACATGTAAAGTGGTACAGACACTTGGAAAACAGCCTGGCATTTCCACAAATGTTTAAACCCAGTTACTATATGATCCAGTAATTCCACTCCAAGGTTTATACCCCAAAGAAATGAAAACACATGACAGTAAAAAAACTTGTACATTAATGTTCATAATAGTCTCATTTATAATAGACAAGATGTGGAAACAACCAAAACATACATTAACTGATGAATGAATAAATAAAATGTGTTATATTGATATAATATAATATTTGGCAATAAGAATAAATGCTACAAAATGGATAAACCTTGAAAACATTACGCTACATAACAGAATACAGTCACCGAGGGCCATATATTTTATAATTCCATTTATATGTAATATGCAGAATAGACAAATCTGTAAAAACAGAAAGTGCTTTAGTGGTTGCCTACAACTAGAAGGATAGGGGAATTGGGGATAAAAGCTAAGGGGTGTGGAGTTTCTTCTGGGAGTAATTAAAATGTTCTAAAAGTGATTGTGGTGATGGATGCGCAAATTTCTAAGTAAACTAAAAGTTGCTGACTTGAAAAGTCTAACTAGGTGAATTGCATGGTATATTGGTTATACTTCAATAAAGCTGTTTAAAAAATGTCAAAGCAGAAATAATCCTTTTTATTCCACTGCTGTTCTTATTCCAACAGAGACTTAGTCTCATTTACACACTTGTTACCCAAATAATTAAGCTTCCCTCTTTTATGTTTACAAAATTCAATTTCTTAAATTTTTTAATATTTTTTTCTAATTTAAATTATATATTTTTACAGTATGGATATGTTATAAGGATAAAATATCCTTGTAATATGGATACACTTTTATGATTGAATAATTTCCAAAAGCATTATATCAATTGTCAGAATAATATCTCAGGAAATTATATAAAAAAATTCCCAAACTCAGAACTGACAAAGGCTAAAAGCCCAACTTAACCATTGTCTTGTAACCCAGTAACTTAATAATAAATAACTCAATTCTAGGAACAGAATAGGTAACTCAATTCTCAGAACAGGAAAGACAAACAAAATTGATAAAACTATAAAGAAAACTAGATTCTGAATTGATTGGCTCATTACGGAAAATTTGTTCCCTCTCCTAGTCCTCCTGACAGAGACCGGATGGTCAGATGATTAAAATCAGCTTACTATCTTCATTGCCATCAACTGGGCAATAAATGACAGATTTTATCTATCTATCATCTATCTATCTATCTATCTATCTATCTATCTATCTATCTATCTGTCATCTATCTAATCATCAATCTACATATATATAAAGCATACATGGACAAAACCAGATTTGGCCATGAAAGCAAAATCACTTTATTGTCACAAAAAGAGGCTCAAGAGTAGGGCTTAAGTGTGGATAAAGTGTCTACTCAAGCTGCCTGTTTCTGTGACTTTAATGGAGAGACTCACGCAGACAGATCGGTGAAACTTTCAGAAATAACTGACAGAGAATAACACACATATGGCAGTTAGATAGAAATGCAGGTCAGATTTACTTACATGTTAATCAGATTAATCATTTGTGACTGTCACCTTTCAAAAGCAAAAGGCAAGTCAAGGCTTATATAAAAAAAAAAAAATAGACTGTGTGCCAGTGAGTTTTTGTTTAATGGGCATCATGGATATTTATGGTTTTCTAACAAAATTGGTGATTTGAGCTATGAGAGTACTTGATAGACGAACTGCTAATGCCGTCTATTGGCATCTCCAATTAGGTAAACCAGGACTTTACCATTTCCCTAGATATTATACGGGATTGCTGGGAAGGGAAGAGCGAGGTCCCTTTAAATGATATCGAAGAGGGAAGGGAAGCACCCTGTAGAGGAGGGAGTGGTCCCTGGCTAGGGCTCCACCCCCATGGACCTAGGTGAGGACAGGCACTTCTGCCTTCCTTCCCAAGGGTTGCATTTTTCAAGACTACCCTGGCCAGCCACGCTCCTATCCTGGGCCTATAGAAACCCGAGACCCTAGCAAGGCAGAGACAGAAGCTGCTGGCCCGCCAGAGGAACACATAGATGGAAGAAGACAAGCAGCTGGACATGGAGAAGACATTGGGAGCACACTAGGGGAAGAGCACACAGACAAACGCCAGCATGCTGGTAGGCCATCAGCTGATGGGGTGAGGTGGAGTTTGGCCGGGGCATTGGGCAGGGGGTTTGGGGGAGGCGGGGGTGTACTCTCATTCTCCCATGTGATCTGAGTCTTCTGATACATTGAGATAAGAACCGCGAGATACAGAAAGCTCTCTGTCCTTGTGACAAGGTAGAGGGTCTAATTGAGCTGGTTAACACAAGCTGTCTATAGACCGCAAAATTAAAAGAGCACCCTGTAACACATGCCCACTGGGGTTTCAGCTGTAAACATTCACCCCTAGACACTGCTGTGGTGTCAGAGCACCCCCAGCCTGCCTGTCTGTATGCTCCTCTAGAGGTATGAGCAGCAGGGCAAGGAAGAAGGGAGCCACACGCTTATCACATGCCCTATGAGGGGAAAGCAAGTACTCAATAGCTACATGTATACACATATAACTTCTTTATCTCCCTTCCAAACCACCAAAATATATGTGATTCCAATTTTGTTATTCTCATAGATATTGAAATAAATTGCTGAAATTCATATAGGTAGCAATTTTTGGAGTAAAAATTAAGGACTGGATAGTTTGCTTACTAAGACTTACTATTTGTACTAAATCGTATTTATGCTTATCTCTCAGTTTCATATCAGTTGCCTCCTCTTCAGTGCTGCCACATGATCTTATCAAAATAAGCTGTATCAAAAATTTAAAATAAATTAAGAATTAAATCTTATACATATTTCAGCTAAACATTATAACATTATGAACTTCATAAATCTTCCTTAAGAAAGGATAGTATACCTATGACTATCTTTTCTCACAAATTTAGCCATGAAAGATAGGATTTGATTTTAACAAACCTTTCTGGAAAGCATGAAGTCATTATATTGTTCTCTATCTATTTAGAAATATAAGAGAATAGCATAATTTTTCTTTTGCTAAAATCGGGGTCTCTATTGCAGTGAGGCACACTTGCAAACATAAGCAGCACCATTTCCACTAATCCAGCGTTATTCACAATTCTTGAGATGTATGATGATCACTGAGGTTTTATGACTTTATATACTTATTAAGGTTACTTATGGCTAAGTTTTTTCTTTAAAACATCAGTTCAGCGAGTTTTTTTTTGTTTGTTTTTTGTTTTTTTGAGACAGGGTCTCATTCCATCACCTAGGCTGGAGTGCAGTGGCCCCATCTCGGCTCATTGCATCCTCTGCCTCCCAGGTTCAAGTGATTCCTATTCCTTTCAAGTGATTCTCCTGAGGAACTAGAATTACAGGTGTGTAGTCACCACGTCTGGTTAATTTGTGTGTGTGTGTGTGTTTTGTTTTGTTTTTAGTAGAGATGAGGTTGCACCATGTTGGCCAGGCACCAGCCTCAAACTCCTGGACTCAAGTAATCCACTGGCGTTCGTCTTCCCTGAGTACTGGGATTGCAGGTGTGAGCTACTGCGCCCGACCTCAGCAAGCATTTTTGAACTGTCATGTATTGAGCTTAGCATTTACTATGCAATATAATATATATTATATAATATATTATATACAATTCTATATTTTATATAGAATTATAATATATAATATATATAGTGCAGTGAATATATCTATATCTATCTATATATATCTATATATCTATATCTATATCTATATATATATATAAAACTGAGAGTAGCCAAAGACTGGCCAGATGAGTCTTCCTGAGTTGGTATTGCAGATGAAGGTTTTGTATGATTTTAAAATATCATTATTATTTAGTTTCTAGGACTGTCTTGGCTGATACTGACTTAGCAATAGAAATAATAATAGTGCCAAACAACGCAATCTAAATATATTTAGTTTAATAATATTACCTAAGTGTGCTTTTTTGTCATTTTAATTGAGATGAAATTACAAATATCAATACATTTTTAATTACTATATATTTGTTTTTAGTTCTAGAATTCAAAAATTATGAAAAGCCTATTCACTTCTGATTCAATATTGGTAATTTATTATTATCATCATTTTTTAGAGATAGGATCTTGCTCTGTTGCTCAGGCTGGAGTATAATGGTACAATCATTGTTCACTGCAGCCTCGAATTCCTAGACTCAGGCAATGCTCCAATCTTAGTCTCCCAAAGTGCTGGAATTACAGGTATGAGTAACTGCATCAAGCCAATATTAGTATTTTAAAACATTTTTACAGTGTAGTAGTGAGATTGTATCAAAATTATAGAAAGAAAAGAAATCATATTTTCATAATCAGATTAGAACCTAAATGTGTCAAAAAAGCTATTGTTGTTAACTATTTTTACTGTTTATTCTTTATTTCAAAATGAAATCAATAAATAAAAAGGTAATTAACTAAAGTGCAAGACGATTTTACCAAATTTAAGACATTTTGTATCTGCTGAAGGACTTTACTAATGAACGAAGCCAGAAGGTCTGCTTGCAACAAAGGTGTCAGTTCTGCCAATTACAATCTGTCAAAGTTAATTCATTTGATGTCTGAGACACATCCTTGTAATACCATTAATGCATATTTAAATCTGCACACTCTGGAAATGACACATTTACAATGAAATGACTTCCATAGTATGGATATATTTAAAGAATGATTTTTGTAATGCGTTGTGAAGATCAAAAAATCTTTAAGCTGATGATGCTATTTACATTAAATTTGAAAACACTATCTTTTGCTATTTCAAAATAATATACACCAGGTTCTCAAATAGTAATATTTTATTCAAGGTCATTTTGTTATAAGGTTGATGAGAAACAGAAAATTGATTCGCAGCTGGGAACACTGTCTGTGGAGCTTGAATGCTCTCCCCATGACTGTGTGGGTGTTCTCCAGGTATTTTGGTTCCTCCCACACACCAAAGATGTGCAGATTATGTGTGACAGACATATCTAAACGGTCCCAGTCTGAGTGAGTGTGGAGTGTGTGTGTGAGTGCACCCTGGGGCGGCATGGCCTCCTGTCTAGGGTGGGTTCTGGTCTTGCCTCTGAAATTCAAGAATATGGTCCAGACACCTGAGAATCTGAACTGTAATAAGTGGGTTGAAAAATGAAGGGACAGCCATAAAAAAGGATGAGTTCATGTCCTTTGCAGGGACATGGATGAAGCTGGAAACCATCATTCTGAGCAAACTAACACAGAAACAGAAAACCAAACACCACATGTTCTCACTCAGCGTAAGTGGGAATTGAACAATGAGAACACATGGACACAGGGAGGGGAACATCGCATACTGGGGCCTGTCGAGGGGTAGGCGGCTAGGGGAGGGATAGAGTTAGGAGAAATAGCTAATGTAGATGGTGGGTTGATGGGTGCAGCAAACCACCGTGGCACGTGTATACCTATGTAACAAACCTGCACGTTCTGCACATGCACCCCAGAACTTAAAGTATAATAAAAAAAAGAAAAATGAATGGATATCACTGATTATAAAATAAAAATTTATAAGGTACACAATAGTCATCCAAATGCATAACGATAAATCATGTGGTATGAAAGTGCTCAGTGAGCCTGCCATATTTGTTATTGTTTGTTTTTGAAATGAACTGTGTGCTCCTTAAAACTTTTACTTTGCAAACATGTGTTTCTTGATTTAACCTACCACCACTATGACTGCTATCACTTGCTGATTTGTCAGAAATGGAATAAATAGTTGTTTTTATTACTCTACCTTAAATGTATTTGTAGCTCTCATTTTTTTCGTATTTAAAATTAGAAGTATTTTGAGTCTTTATTTAAAAGTTTGGTGATGCTTTTGTGACCAGAAATATGATGTACACACTTAAGTCTTATTGATGTCAATTAACCCATGGTAAAATTGGTTGTGTTACACCTAAGTTTGCTTTAAGTTTCAGTTTCCATGAATCAATTGATGGCATTCAATGAGAATGTATGGTATTTTCATCATATAATCAATCACAGGTTGACCTATATATTGAGCTGTTATTTTAATGAGTATAATATTCACTCTTTCCTCTTTATTTGCTCTCAAATATAGTAACAATCACCAAGCAAAAAAAGATAACATCTTTTCTGAAAATAGTGTTCCTTCTTCAAACTGCTTAGTATAAAGTGGAACATGGGGTTATTTGATGGTTCTGATTTTTTATCGAAGGTATCCCCATGAAAATTTTAAAATTTTTGTAAGCTAAGGACTAAAGGAATAATGTTTCATTTTAAAGAACAGAAAAACACAAACATAACTTACATTAATAAAAAGTGGTTCATAAAACTACTTTTGTTGAAATAGAGATCTAAAATACATACATTTTTAATATAATTTTATTTTTCTTCTTTTTTTAGGAGAAGATATTGCACAATTCTACTCCCCTGATCAATTTTCGCCACTCCTCAATCCCATTACATATATTATGAGGGATGTTTTAATGTTAAGGTCTAGTATAATGTCAACATTTGAAAGTTTATAATTATGTATGAATACACTCCTGGAAAAATCACTGAGAAAACCCATAAAACATAAACTACTTGACATTTTAAATAATTTTCCAAGCCAATCACTTTACATTTTCCAAATCAGTGAATGCATAAGGATTAAAAATCCTGATTTTTTTTCTTGAACAATTAGAAGACATATACTAAAATAAATAAGTACAAGCACAAATTCAGGAGTATAGAGCTAATTTTTTTAGGCTTTTTATGCATTGTTGATTTTCTTGTGTGTGTGTTTCACAGTGAATTTTTCAAGATGAAAGATTTTTACTGAATATAAAAAAAATTTTCCCAAGTTACAAGGATTTTCCAAATGAACTTTAAACCAGGATTTTGTGCTAGTATGAGGACAACCTCGAGAGTAGTTATCTGTAATCCATCAATAAGTAATAGTGTAAATGTAAACACCATGAACTCTGGAGACAGCCTGAGAGGGTTTTACTGTTGCTCTACTACTGTTAACTGTGCAAATATCAGCAAGTTAGGTGACATTTCTACACCTTAATTTTCTCATCTGCAAAATGGGGATTAAATATAAGTACCTACCTCATTGCTTATTGTGAGAATTAAATGAGTGTTCATGTGTAAAGTGCTTAACAAGGAACTTGATGTTTACTAGTACTATTTATAAAGAATATTAAAAATGAATTGTGAAGTAGAAAAACAAGTGGAATTTAAATTTTTAAGTTTTGGAAATATTAAAATTATATTAATTGTATATTTTCATTAACCATCTGAACATGAACTTTTTTCCTACACAATATATATGCTTCAAAATATTTTATATTCAATAGATTTAATTATAGAATGATCTTTAATGTAATGCTACTAGAAAACACTACAAAAATACGATCATTATGAGTTTGACTTCTCTTTTTATTTTACTGAGGTATAATTAACAAATAAAAATTGTGTATATTCATGGAATACCACACAATGTTTTTATATACATACACATTGTAAAATGATGACCATGATCAAGCTAATTAACATTTACATCATTTGTGTGTATAGAGAGAAAACATGTAAGGAAAAAGCAATTTATTAAATTGAAAAATATTTCATGAAATGGTTTGAAACATAAATTAATGCAAACACTATTATGACGAGAAAAAAATAAAATGACTTCTTTTTACTCTTGTAATCTTAGTCAATGTCTGAAACAAAACAATAAATTATACAGGAAGACTATCACCTTCAATATTTATCATTTCTTTATGTTGAGAGCATTTGGAATCTTCTAGTTATTTTGGAAAAAGAATAAATCATTATCAACTATAGCTACCTACTATGCTATTAAACACTAGAACGTACTCCATGTTTGTACCCATTTAACAATCCCTTTTTATACTCATCTTTCTACTATCCTTCCCCACTTCTGGTAACCACCATTCTATTCACTAGCGTCAAGAGATTTTTTTTTTAATTCCCATGTGTGAGTGACCACAAGTATTACGTATTTATCTGTGCCTGGCTTATTTCACTTAAAATAATGTCCTCCAGTTCAATTTCTTTTGTTGAAAATGACAGAATTTTATTCTTTTTATGGCTACATAGTATTTTATTGTGTAGGTATACCACATTTTGCTATTCTTTCATTCATTCAAAAACACTTAGGTTGATTCCATAGCTTGGCTATTATTAGTAGTGCTGAAATAAATATGGGGGTGCAGATATTCTTTTGATATACTGATTTCCATTTCTTTGGGTAAATACCCAGTAGTGGAATTACTGGATTGTTGGTAGTTCTATATTTAGTTTTCTGAAAAACCATCAAACTGTTTTCTTAATGGCTCTAATAATTAATATTTCCACCAAGAGGGTATGAGTGCCCTTTTGTCTGTGTCCTCCTCAGCATTTGTAATTTTGTTTTGTCTTTTTGATAATAGTAATTCTAACTGGGGTGCAGTAATTGTGGCTTTGATTTACATTTCCCTGATAATTAACAATGTTGAGCATTTTAAAATATACCTGTTGGTCACTTGTAAATCTTCTTTTTAGTGATGGCTATTCAGGTTTGTAGCCATTTTTAGTGGGATTATGTGTGGGTTTTTTGTTTGTTTGTGTGCTGTTGATATGTTTGAGGTCCTTTTATATTCTGGATACTAGTCTCTTGTTGGATGAAGAGTTTGCAAGTATTTTCTCCAATTCTACAGGTTGTCTCATCATTCTGTTGTTTTCCTTGCTGTTCAGAAGCTATTTAGTTTAATATAGTTTCATTTATTTATTTTAGTTGTTATTGCCGGAATCTTTGAAGTAAGTCTTAGCTATAAAATCTTTGCCCAGACCAATATCCTGAAGTGTTTCCACTGTTTTTTTAAATTAATTTTATAATTTCATGTCTTGCATTTAAGTCTTTATCACATTTTGAGGTGATTTTTTCTGAGATAGTTTTTTATATGTTGAAAGACAGTATCTAGTATCATTCTTTTGCAAAGAAGTCATTTTCCCAGCACCATTTATTGAGGAGACTGATCTTCCCTAATGTATGTTCTTGGACACCTTTATCAAAAATCAGTTGACTGTAAATGTATAGACTTATTCCTGGGTTCTCTATTGTCTTCCATTGACCTATTTGTCTATTTTTATTGCAAATCCTGCTGTTTTGGTTACTATAGCTTTGTAATGTATTTTAAAAACACGCAGTGTGACCTATCCAGCTTTGAATATTTTGTTAAGGATTTCTTTGGCTTTCTGGGGTCTTCTGCAATTCCCTATGACTTTTAGGAGTTTTTTATTCCTCAATTTCTGTAAAGAAGCTCACTGATATTTTGAGAGGGACTGCATTTAACCTATAGATTGCTTTGTCAATATAATCATTTTAACATTATTGTTTATGATCCATGAGTATTTTTATTTGTGTTCTCTTCAATTTAATTAATCAGTGCCAGGTAGTTTTTGTTGTAGAGGTCTGTCACTCCCTTGATTAAATTTATTCTTAGATTTTTTGGTAGCTATTATAAATAAGATTATTTTTTCTCAGCTAGTTTTTCATTGATGTATACAAATGCTGTTAATTTTTGTATGTTGATTTTGTAAGCTGCAACTTTAGAGAATTTGTTTATCATTTTAAAGAATTTTTGGTAGATTCTTTAGGTTTTTCTAGGTATAAGATCATGTCATCTGCAAAGAGAGACAATTTGACTTCCTGTATTCCAACTGAATGCCTTTTATTTCTTTCTCTTGCCTGATTGCTCTGGATAGGACTTCCTGTACAGGATGCTTGGGTACCCACGGTGCCAGCAGTGGTGGTGGTAAACAAACTCTTGGACCACTATGTAACATATACAGACATCAGGGGTACATGCAATATTGTAGGTCGGCTGGTACCCAGGTCTCCAGGAGGTTTGCATAGCTGCCATTGGCAAGATGGATGGGCTCATCATTATGCCTCTGGCAGCAAGCACATGGACAGGTGGTGGTGGGCAGGATGGGCCTATCCTTAGGCCCCCAGACAGTATTTGCAGGCAGCAGCATTGAGTGAGCAGGGCAGATAGATCCCCAGGCACTTGAATAATCTGTGTAGTTGTGGCACAAGTAGTAGGAGAAGCAGGCCTATCTTCAGAACCACAGACAATGTGCACGGGCACTGGTGGTGGTGGGCAGGGTGAGTTAATCTCCAGGCTCCCAGACAACGCATACAAGTGCTGCTGGCAATGGAAGTAGCTTCCTGGTTGGATGTGGGAGGATGTCAGCCTGGCTGGCTCTAGGAATATGGAGATGTAGAACTATTGGTCCCAGGGCAGGACGTAGTCTGGTGGGAGCTGAGCTCCCAAAATAGCACCAGGCTGCAGCTTCTTGGGCCTCAGGAAGTGTGTGGGATCCAACACAATTTCCCTCTGTGGAACAGTGCCATTGTGTGGACTCCAGGGAATTTCCTCTGCTAGTCTCAGGGCCTGTGAGGGTCAAAGAGCTCCCGCATGACTAGGATTGCAGGAGTCCATGATGGGAATGTGGACCGCTAGAGATCTCTTGTTTACCTTTTATCCATAAAGCGTAGTCTCTCTTGGCTCCTGACTGATCCCAGCCAGGCATGCTGTCTCACTTCCTTCTCCTTTTATATCCCAGAGGTTCCCAGTCACTTCTCTGCTGAATTCTAGTGTTTTCTCTTAGAAGGTCTATTTGATAGGTGGTTACCTACTCACTGTTTTGATCCTTCTTTGGGAAAAGGTGAGCACTGGGTCCTTATATTTATCCATCTTTCTCCAATTTTAAATCAGTGATCTTTGGTGCTGCTATGGTAGTTGTTTTAGGGTGGCATGAATTTAGCCCATATAATATGACAAACTTAATAAATAAATACTATGTGTGTTCTGACTGGCCCACCTACCAGCCATCCCCCACCACTCCTCCTCCCTATGGGACTCCCTATTTCCTGAGACATGAAAATGTTAAAATTAATAGTTAACAGTTAATAGTAGTTATTATTAACTACTATTATTAGCAGTTAATAGTAGGGTTCTACCATGGCCTCTGAGTGTTCAAGTGATAAAGAGAGTTCCACATCTTTCTCTTTAAATCAAAAGCTGGAAATAATTAAGCTTAGTAAGGGTGGCATTTGGAAAAGCTGAGATAGGCCGAAAACTAGGCCTCTTGAGCCCAACAGTTAACATAGTTGTGAATAAAAATAAAAACTTTTTGAAGGAAAGTAAAAGTACTATTCAAGTGAACACACAAATGGTAAGAGAATGAAACAGCCTCGTTCCTGAGGTGGAGAAAGTTTTAATGATTTGGTTAGAAGATCAAACCAGCCACAACGTTCCCTGAAGCCAAAGCCTAATTCAGAGCACGGCACTCACTCTCTTAAATTCTGTGAAGGCTGTGAGAGGTAAGGATGATACACACAAAAAGTTTGAAGCTAGCCGAGGTTAAACCATGAAGTTTGAAGAAAGAAGCCCTCTCTACAACATGAAAGTACAAGATGAAGCAGCACATGCTGATGGAGAAGCTGTAGCAAGTTATCCAGAAGATTGAGATAAGATAATGGTTGAAGGTAGCTACACTAACCAACAGATTTTCAAGGAAAATGAAATAACCTTATATTGGAAGGAGATATCTAAGACTTTCATAGCAAGAGAGGAGAAGTCAATGTCTGGTTTCAGTGTTGTCTTGTTAGGGGCTAAATCACCTATTGACTTTAAGTCTCAGCCATGCTCATTTACCATTCCCAAAATCCCAGGACTCTTAAGAATTATACTAAATCTACTCTACCTTTGCTCTATAAATGAAACAACAAGGCCTAGATAACATCACATCAGCTTATAGCATGGTTTACTGAATATTTATTTTAAGCCCATTTTTGACACCTAGTGCTCAGAAAAAAAGATTTCTTTCATGATATTACTGTCAATATTATTACTTATTGACACTGTATCTAGTCACCCAAGAGCTCTGATGCAGATGTACAAAGACATTAATGTTTTCATTTCTGTGAACACAATATCTATTCTGTACTCCATGGATCAAGGAGTAATTTTAAATTTCATGTCTTGTATTTTAAGAAATACATTTTGTAAGGCTTTAGCTTCTATAGATAATGATTTTTCTGATGGGTCTGAGCAAACTAAACTGGAAACTTTCTGGAAAGAATTTGCCATTTTAGATGCTATTATAAACATTTGTGATCCGTGGGAAGAGTTCAAAATATCAACAGTAACAGAAGTTTAGAAGAAGTACATCCTAATCTTCTTGGAAAATTTTGAGGAGTACAAGACCTCAGTGAAAGAAGTAACTGCAGATGAGGTGGAAATAGCAAGATAACTAGAATTAGAAGTGAAGCCTGAAGATGCGACAGAATTGCTGTGATTTCATGATAAAACTGGATGGATGAGAAGTTGCTTCTGGATGAGAAAATAAAGTGATTGTTGAGATGAAATCTACTCCTGGTAATAACGCTGTGAACATTATTGAAATGACAACGAATGGTTTAGGGTATTACATAAGTTTAGTTGATAAAGCAGTGGCACCGTTTGAGAGGACTAATTCTGGGTAGAATGCTATCAAATAGTGTTGCATGCTACAGATAAATCTTTCATGAAAGGAAGACTCAATCAATACATCACACTTCATTGTTTTCCTTTTTAAAAGATTGCACAGCCCAACCTTCAGCAACTACCATCTTATCAGTCAGCAACCATTGACATAATCAGCAAAAAGATTATGACTCATTGAAGGTGCAGATGATTGTTAGCCTTTTATAACAATTAAGAATTTTTAAATGTTGGTATGTACACATTTTTAAACATAATGCCTTTGCACACTTAATAGGCTGCAGTATGAAACAAAAAAAAACTGTGTGACTTGTTTTATTGTGATATTTGTTTTATTGCTGTGGTCTGGATTTGTACTGTAATATCTCTGAGGTATGCTTGTATTAAGTTTAAATTTATTTCATCCATTTACCTTTATGCTGAAAAATATTAATTTTCTCCTAGAGCAGGGTGTGTGTGTGTGTGTGCAGCAAGAAAACCAAATTTCTTTAAGAATACCATATCCTTTTACAACTCATCCCTCTAAACTTATTTTTCAAATTTTCTGGAATTTTCCATTAAGTATTTTTCTTTTTTATTTGTAAGCTGTTACATTATTTCAGAACTTAGTCAAATAGCACCTCCTTACTAAAACTCTCCCTGACTTATCAAGAAAAATTAGCTGATTGTCTGTGATCCCTTCACAATTAAACTATAATTACTATGTTATGTGTCAACATTTATTGAAGCTATCCTCTTTAGCTATTCCTTCTTTTCCTGAGCCCCATTTCAATGTTGTTATGTACAAGTTCCTTTACCTTGGGATCACCTGATATTTGAGTTTTATCTCCAGGGCTTGGAATAGTTTCTCATAAATATAAGACAATGAAAAAACGTAGGGTAAATTAATGTATAGGGAAATCTGAATAATTGCTCTTACAGAGAAAAAGCTCAGTGACAATAGATAAAATACTAGAGAAGGAAACTATTACCATAAAAATACCTTCAAAACTTTGTTCATATATTTTCTCATTATTTTTATTTCTTTTTAAGTCAGGAAAAAGCTAACTACCAAAAAGGGTGGGGGGAGATGTTAATAAATTAACCTTTATTTTGTATGCCATCTTATTTATCATTATATCAGAAATTAGTGAATTACATTAATTATAATTACCCAGAGAGAAAATAATTCTGTCTTATAACCACTCTGTTGATTATGAATTCAGTATCCTGAAGAATAATATTCACATATGGTGTATTTGGAAAATACAGAAATATGCTAAACTATTAATATTACTTCACATCACAGAAATTTTTTTTGACTCACTTCATCAATAGCATTATCAGTAGAAAGAGCAGCTCCTGAAAACTCTTTTCTGTTTGATGTGTCTCAATTAACTCTGAATGTGTGAAGAATATATTTTCAAACAATATTAATGATTTTCAAATTTTTTATAGAACATATAATATGATTATTCATCCTACACATTTAGACAGTCACAGGCACTTGCAGAAACAGATGTTCATGATAGTATATCAGCATACAGCCGTCAGTGTTATACTTGTCTCATATATGGAGCCTTAGTTTTTAAACTAGTACTTAAATCAGCATCACAGAGTTCCTCAGTGATTTATATAGTCCTTCATTTTAGTAAACTAGAAACTGGTCCTTAAAAGCAGCCAGCCATATAACAGACCTAGATGTGCAGAAAAACTACCAATGGATTTTGCCAAAGAACCAGATGCTGTCTTTGGAAGAAATTTTCCCAGCTTGGCATCAGAAGTTTGCAATGTCATCCAAGTGATTTCTCTACACTTTGGAAGACGATATTTTCAAATAACTTAAGCACATAAAAACCAATTTGAATAGCACTAAAGCTAAAGCCTAATTAGTCTTTAGGGATTAGATTAAGGTATACAACATGCCCCTTCATCACTGTGTTATATTTTTAAATTTGGATTTGAAAAATAACAACTGTTTATATTTGTCTAAATGAAATTTTATGGTAGAGATGTGTGTTGGGAAGACCCAACTATGTGCTTATAACAATGTTCAATCATAACAACCTTCAAGGTTTATAAAATTATTTTACAAGTCTGTTCCACTCATGGGATAAATAACAACAAATTTGGAGAGGTCGTTGTACTGGGGAATTGCTCTGGACAAGCCCGTGTTTGTGTGTGTCTTGTTTTTGTGTTTCACGTTCTTATGATTATTATTTGAAAACCTAATACAATTAATAAAACTCAGTTTACTACTTAGATGTAAGAAATTAAAACATACATAAGTTCACAGAACAAAAGAAAATCTGGGCCTGAACAGAAACATTAAGTGAGTTTTTTCTCTTGCATACAAAATCCAATAGCAGTTAAATATTTTAGAGCAAATTGTTTCTCCTGAATTGGACCATTAATATAAACCTTTGATTTTTCATCTTGCACAGTGTTGAGAAATTTTGATAAAAATGTTTATATAACTCTCAAAAACCTGCATAAAATTTTGAAAGTACCCATTTTTAAAGAACTATTTATTCACATTTTATTAAAATACTAAATTGAGCACATTCTGGCAAAAACATGGAAGAACATTTTCTATATTTATGTATCTGTGCAAACATATTTAAAAATGTTTTTTGCTAAATGAGAATTATTTGGGTTTTTCAGGGTATATGAAAATATCTCTGTAATATGATCAGATCAAATTGATTTAGTCAATGTTTGGAGTTTGTTGCAAATTCCTGGAATATATGTCCTGTATCTCCAAAAGTAATATGTATGAACTTCTAATAATAATGAAAATAAATTCCTTTAAAATGTAATTGCCTGACATTCAATTAAGAAATTATAAATCAGTTAATTTCCTAATACTGAAATAAATTTGGCTTGTGGTAATTTACTTTTGAGGCACTGTGAAAAAGAATCATCCAAAGATACAGAGAATGATTTGAGATTATCTTAGGGATGCGTGCTTTGTACTTTTCTTTACTTCTACATGAAAAATATAGATAATTTTTCCTTAGTGTGCTTTTCATAAAATGAGGACAAATTCTTGTGGACATAGGTCATTCAGAGGAACAAAAATGACAAATTCCAAAAGATAGGACTTTTAAAATAGTTTAATCAATGTCTGATTTTGTGGGCAGGTCACCAGAGCCTGCTAAACAGATATTAGCATGGTTAGCAGTGGAGTCAACAGATCTAACAGACCCATCCAAGCATCAAATGAAGAAAGCAGCCAAGAGCTTTGCACAGACACAGATGTTAATGCTAAAAAATTTATTTCAGACCTTGGCATCAGTGTTCTTTATCTGTCAAACATGTCCTTTGTGTGGCTCAGCTGCTGGTTCTGTAGAGGAACATAAAGAGCAGAGGAGTGTGGGAAAAGAATATTAGTTACATTAATTCTTTTCTATAAAACACTACCAGAGTTTAGTAAATTTTTTTGTATCTTGTAAAATAATGAGGGACATAGGTATTTCATATTTATATTATGTATGAATTAAGGGCTTTTGTACTGAAATTCGGTACTTTAGATGAAATATATGAATAAATCATTTCAAAAGTATATATTGCTAGCTTTATTGAAATATATTTAGAAACATTATTTTGTTTACAGCTAACTCCCCAAGAAGTTAGGGGGAACCAAAAAAGTATAATATTCATTATTTTAAAAATTAAAATATAGTGTTTAGGAAATTGATATAGTAATTTTTTCACTAAAAGTGGTTGTAATTTTGGAGTATATAAGTATACTTATATTGCAAAATAACCTTTACATAGTAATTCAGGTAACATCTACATAATATATATTTTTGACAAATATAGTGATTTCTTACTGAATACTTAATTATTTTTCAAGCCCTACAATTTCTACTAATATCACATTTCTTGGATTCAGGGCTCCCTCTTCATTGCTAGGGCTACCACCACAGCCCTCTCCTTAGCTAAATAGCAGCAAATAAACAGTGAATAAGCAAACCTTTAGTAGTAATTATTTCTTAAGTTAAAATTGCATAGGAACAACTCATTCTTAGTTACAATAATTTATAATTATGTAAACATAAAGCAGTTACAAATTGCTGATGGAAACTAAAAGAAAGGAAGTTTACTTTCCCCTTCCAAAAATGAGTATCTGCAAAGGAGTAAGTTATGGTTGATGTATAAGGTGAGATTTTCAGCAGTTACTAGGTATAGGTATTAACTGTCAGATAATTAGTGTTCTATTCACTCTACTTCTTCACTTTGTCTACATTGTTCCCTTGAATTACCATAATAGAAAAAACAACTAAATAAAATAACCAGAGTAAACATGAGAGGAGAGGAACAATGGAAGAGTAAAATAATTCAATCATATTCAACACTTACTACATGGCAGACCACATGTTAAATCTATGTTACATATCCTACTTACCAAATCCACAAAACAGCCTAGAGAGTAAAGTGTATAAGACTCTTTCCCAGTAAAGGCCTGGGGACTTTCAGGCCTTTGGTGATCTGCAAAGGCTACCCACCTCCTAAGTGGCAGGACTCAAAGCTTTGGTGTCTATCTCCAAATTTCATGCTCCATCATGGTCGTAATCAGTGGTAAGTGGGAAATGTTTAACCAATATCTTTTTGGGGAGCAAAAGGGAGAACCATGATTTCTAGTCATCCTAACTATCATGGCAATATATGTTCCTGCAGTTGATTTTAAGCTACCAAAGAGTCATCAGTGGATATGATATTCAGAGAGGTATACAATTTGGCTTCTGACAGCCAGAGAAAGCAGGATCTAGAATCCCAGTGCAACTTATGGTAACATTCTATTTTGAAGTTTATCAACTAAATAAATACACATCCGCTGTGAGCTTTATTAAATGAAAATGTTACCACGTTATAAATACTTGTATTAGTCCATCATCACTGAATTTTTTATTTCCTAAAGGACATACATTACTTTAAAAATATTTGCAGTTACACAGTGTTTTATGTAAGTCTGGTGGCAACATTTAATCTAAGTCATGATACCTCACTGTAGTAACTCTAACTGGCACTTATCTTTGAATCAGGACTGAAATTTTGGGCAAAAATTTAACTGGTAAGTTTAGTTCATATTCTTTAACAATCTACTTTGGAAATGCTGTAGCATGAATGTATATGTCTCCCTAAAATTCATATATTGAAACCTAAGGCCCAGTGTAACAGTATTAAGGATAAGGCCTTTAGGGGATGATTAAGTCATAAGGGCTCTCTCATGAATGGGCTTAGAACTGTTATAAAAAGGCTTAAGGGAACTAGGGAGTTTCTTTTGGCCCTTGCACTTCTTTCACCATGTGAAGATACAGCGTTTGTCCACTCTAAAGGACATAGCAACCAGGCACCATCTGAAAACCAGAGAGGAGCCCTCACCAAACTTCAAACACCTTTTGGATTTCCCAGCCTCCAGAAGTGTAATAAATAAATTTCTATTGTTTATAAATTTTCCAGTCTGTGGTATTTTGTTATAGCAGCACAAATGTACTGGGTCAGGGACTTACTAAACTGTCTGCATCATCCTTTTCACACATTTGAAAGTCCACACAAATGTGTTTATGGATGATAATTTAAATAAAGAACACAATGAACCCTCTATGGATGGTTATGAAATCAAACCCCTGTATGTTTTATGAGTTTTACATCATACAATTAAAAGTTACTACGAATTCAGACAGAAATAATTACATACTTGAAAATAATTCATTTAACTGGTAAAAGAGGAGTTTAAATAGTATGATTAACATGATTCAGAAACAACAGTAAAAGAGAGAGATAATAAATGAAAGAATGGAGATTTCAATCAGAGAAGTATAATGTGCAAAAAGAAAGATTGAAAAGAAAATCTTAGTTCTAAACACAAATGATTTTGATAAGCCAATAAATGGGTTGAACAACAGGATAGACATAATAAAAACAGGAATAGTAACTTAAAGTACAGTTCAGGCTGGACTTTCCTGAAGGTAAGGGCTGGAGTTTGTTCTAGAACAACACAAAAAGGTCTGTGAGGATTTTTTGGAGTTCATGTCCCAACTCGCAGTCTGCTCTGAGAATCTGAACAGTAGCCTTGAGCCTCAGATCTTCCCTCTGACATAGCCCTACCCAAATGAGAAGGAAACAGAAAAACAATTCTGGTAACATGACAAAACAAGGTTCTTTAACACCCCCCAAAATCACACTAGCTCACCATCAATGGATCCAATCCAAGAAGAATAGCCTGAAATAGAATTCAGAAAGTTGATTATTAAACTAATCAAGGAGGCACCAGAGAAAGGTAAAGTCCAACTTAGGGAAATTAAAAAAAAATACAAGATGTGAGGGGAGAAACCTTCACTGAAATAAATAGCATAAATTAAAACAATCACAACTTCAGGAAATAAAGGACACACTTAGAGAAATATAAAATGCAATGGAAAATCTCAGCAATAGAATCAAACAAGTGGAAACAAGAAATTCAGAGCTTGAAGACAAGGATTTTGAAATGTTACTAACATTGAATGTAAGTGGCCTAAATGCTCCACTTAAGAGATACACAGAGTTGCATAATGGAAAAGAATTCACCAATCAAGTACCTGTTGCCTTCAAGAGAGTCAACTAACACATAAAAACTCACATAAACTTAAGGTAAAGGGGTGGAAAAAGACATTCCATGCAAATAGACACCAGAAGTGAGCAGGAGTAGCTATTCTTATATAACAGAAAACAAACTTTAAAGCAACAGCAGTTAAAAAAAAAAAGACAAAAAGGGGCATTATATAATGATAAAAGGCCTTGTCTAATGGGAAAAATACCACAGTCCTATATATAAATGCACCTAACACTGAAATTCCCAAATTTATAACACAATTACTACAAGACCTAAGAAATGAGTTAGACAGCAACACAGTGATAGTGGGGGACTTCATTACTCCACTGACAGCACTAGACAGGTCATCAAGATAGAAAATCGGCCGGGCGCGGTGGCTCACGCCTGTAATCCCAGCACTTTGGGAGGCCGAGGCGGGCGGATCATGAGGTCAGGAAATCGAGACCATCCCGGCTAAAACGGTGAAACCCCGTCTCTACTAAAAAAAATACAAAAAATTAGCCGGGCGTAGTGGCGGGCGCCTGTAGTCCCAGCTACTTGGGAGGCTGAGGCAGGAGAATGGCGTGAACCCGGGAGGCGGAGCTTGCAGTGAGCCGAGATTGCGCCACTGCACTCCAGCCTGGGCGACAGAGCGAGACTCCGTCTGAAAAAAAAAAAAAAAAAAAAAAAAAAGATAGAAAATCAACAAAGACACAATGGATTTAAAATATACCCTAGAACTAATGGACTTGATATTTACAGAACATTCTACCCAACAACTGCAGAATATACATTCTATTCATCAGCTAATGGAAATTTCTCCAATATAGACCATATGATAGGACACAAAACAAGTCTCAATAAATTTAAGAAAATTCAAATTATATCAAGTACTCTCTTAGATAACAGTGGAATAAAATTGAAATCAACTCTAAAAGGAACCTTCAAAACCATGCAAATACATGGGAATCAAAGAACCTGCTCCTGAATGATTTTTGGGTCAATAATGAAATCAAGGTGGAAATTAAAAAAAAAAAAAAAACTTTGAACTGAGTGATAACAGTGACACAAACTATCAAAACTGCTGGGATACAGCCAAGGCAGTGTTAGGAGGAAAGTTCAGAGCCTTAAATGCCTACATCAAAATGTCATTAGTTCCCTAAGGTCACACCTCAGGGAACTAGAGAAACAAGAATAAACCAAAATTGAAACAAAAAAAATGGAAAAGATAAATGAAACAAAAAGCTGATTCTTTGAAAAGTTAAATAAAATTGATAAACCATTAAGAAAATTAACCAAGAAAAGAAGCTTGAAGATCCAAATAAGTGCAATTAAACATGAAATGGGAAACTTTACAATCAACACCACAGAAATACAAAAGATTATTCAAGACTACTCTGAACACCTTTATGTACATAAACTAGAAAACCTAGAGAAGATGAATAAATTCCTGGAAATATATAAACCTCCTAGCTTAAATGAGGAAGAATTAGAAACCCTGAAAAAGACCAATAACAAGCAGTGAGATTGAAATGGTAATTAGAAAATTACCAACAAAAAAAGAGTCCAGGACCAGATGGATTTACAGCTGAATTCTATCAGACATTCAAAGAAGAATTGGTAACAATTCTATTGACATTATTCCACAATATAGAGAAAGAGGGAAACCTCCCTAAATCATTCTATGAAGTCAGTATCACCCTAATATCAAAACCAGGAAAGGACATAACAAAAAAAACTACAGATTAATATCCCTGATGAACAAAGATGCAATAATCCTTAACAAAATTCTAGCTAACTGACTCCAAAAGCATATCAAAAAGATAATCCACCATGATCAAGTGGGTTTCATACCAGGGATACAGGGATGGTTTAACATACACAAGTCAATAAATGTGATACACCATATAAAAAGAATTAAAAACAATCATCACATGATCATCTCAATAGAAGCAGAGAAAACATTTGACAAAATTCAGCATCCCTTTATAATTAAAACCTTTGGCAAAACTGACATACAAAGAACAAACCTCAATGTAATAGAAGTCATCTGTGACAAACCCACAGCCAACCATATGGGCAAAAGGTGAAAGCATTCCCTCTGAGAACTGGAACAAGAAAAAGATTCCCACTCTCACCACTTCTATTGAACATAGTACTGAAAGTCCCAGTCAGAGCAATTAGACAAAAGAAAGAAATAAAGGGCATACAAATTCAGAAAAAGGAAATTAAACTGTCTCTGGTCACTGATGATACGATCGTAGACCTCGAAAACCCTCAAGACTCATCCAAAAAGGTTATAGAACTAATAAATAAATTCAGCAAATATTTAGGATACAAAATTAATGTATGCAAATCAGTAGCTCTGTTATACACCAACAGCAACCAAGCTGAGAATTAAATCAAGAACTCAACCCTTTTAAAAATAGCAGGAAAAAATAACCATACAATACTTAGGAATATAGCTATCCAATGAGATGAAAGACTTTACAAGTAAAACTACAAAACACTGCTGAAAGAAATCACAGATGACAGAAATGGAAACACATCCCATGTTCATGGATCGATAGAATCAATATTGTCAAAATGACCCTACTGCCAAAAGCAATCTACCAATTCAATGTAATTGTCATCAAAATACCACCATTATTCTTCAGAGATCTAGAAAAAACAATCCTAAAATTCATATGGAACCAAAAAAGAGCCTGCATAGCCAAAGCAAGACTAAGCAAAAAGAGCAAATCTTGAGGCATCACATTACTTCACTTCAAACTATACTATAAGACGACAGTCACCAAAAGAGCATTATATTGGCATAAAAATAGACACATAGACCAATGGAACAGAATAGTGAACCCAGAAATAAGCCCAAATACTTACAGCCAACTGATCTTTGACAAAGCAAACAAAAACATGAAGTGGGGAAAGGACAACCTAATTCAACAAATGTTGCTGAGATAATTGGCAAACCACATGTAGGAGAATGAAACTGGATCTTCATCTCTCACTTTATATGAAAATCAACTCATGATGGATCAAAGACTTAAATCTAAGACTTAAGCCTATAAAAATTCTATAACATAACATCTGAAAAACCCTTATAAACATTGGCTTAGGGAAAGACTTCATGACCAAAAACAGAGGCAAATGTAACAAAAACAAAGATAAATAGGTGGGACTCAATTAAACTAAAGAGCTTCTGCATAGAAAAAGGGAACAGCAAGCAGAGTAAACAGACAACCCAGAGATTGGGAGAAAATCTTCACAATCTATACATCTGACAAAGGACTAATATCCAGAATCTACAGGGAATTCAAACAAATTAGCAAGAAAAAAATCCATCAAAAAGTGAGCTAAGAACATGAATAGACAATTCCCAGAAGAAAATACATAAATGACCAATAAACATATCAAAAAATTTTCAAAATCACAAATGATCAGGGAAATGCAAATCAAAACCACAATGCAACATCACCGTACTCCTGAAAGAATGGCCAAAATTTTAAAAAAAATAGATGTTGGCATGGATGATGTGAAAATCAAACACTTCTACACTGCTGGTGGGAATGTAAACTAGTACAACCACTATGGAAAACAGTGTAGTGATTCCTTAAAGAACTAAAAGTGGATGTACCATTTGATCCAGCAATCCCACTAAGGAGTATCTACCCAGAGGAAAAGAAGTCATTATACAAAAAAGATTCTTGCACATGCACGTTTATAGCAGCACAATTCACAATTCCAAAAATATAAAACCAGCCCAAATGCCCATCAATCAATGAGTGAATAAAGAAACTGTGATACATATATCACATATGATGATATATGTGATACATATATCATGATATATATATATATGATGGAATACTACTCAGACACGGAAAAGAATGAATTAATGGCATTCACAGCAACCTGGATGGAAATGGAGACTATTATTCTAAGTGAAGTAACTCAGGAATCAAAAACCAAACGTCGTATGTTTTCACTCATAAGTGGGAGCTAAACTATCAGGATGTGAAGGCATAAGAATGATACAATTAACTTTGGAGCCTCAGGGGAAAGAGTGGGAGTAGGGTGATGGATAAAAGGCTACAAATTGGTTTCAGTGTATACTGCTCAGGTGATGGGTGCACCAAAATCTCACTAATCACCACTAAATAACTTACTCATGTAACCAAATACCACCTGTTATCCAAAAACCTAAGAAAATAAAAAGTTCAAAAGCAAGCAAACAAAAATAGATATATAACTTTTAAATCCACAATTCATTCAGCCATTCTGTTTTTGATTAAAAAGGTTTTTTGGTTATTGCTGTGGTTTTGCCCATTCAAATTGTTATAAGAAACCAGTCTTGTACATAGAGTCATACAAAGTCTTATTTTTGTGCATAGCATTGTATAAACATATCTTGTCAAAAAATACAGTTCAGTAGAAAATATCTAGACTGGACAAAAGAAAATAAAATTAAAAAGAGAGAAGAGAGTATGAGTGGCATTAGGATCCAAGCACAAAAGTCTAACATAGACATGTTTGACTCCTGAAGGGAGAAGTGAGAAATGAAGCAGAAGTGGTGTTTAAAGCCATAATTGCTGAGAATTTTTTATGATAAAAGATCCACAGATTTAGCCCATTTATGTCAGAGGTTGCAAATTTTTTGTCTGAAAAATCGGACCTTGGTGATGACCTTGAGCAGTAGGATATAAATAACTCCCACAAGCTTAGCGTTCCAATAATGAAACACTAGGCATAAATGGGTTAAGGAGAACTATAACCTTACACAAAATGAGTTTAGGGACATAAAAGAAAGAGAGAGAGAGAACAAGAAAGGAAGGAAGAAAAGCATGCATATTTCTATTAAAGTAAAACTGCTGCATACAAACAAAGCAAACAGTCTAAAAGCAATCAGAAAAAAAATCTAAAAGACAAAAACATTACCATCAAGGGAACAATAAGATGGACAACTGACATTTCAACAGAAGCAACAAAAGTGAGAAGATAAAAGAATTAAAGATTTGAAAGAAAAAATATTTTCACACAGAATTTTCTACTCAGTGAAATAGTTATAAAAATTAGGAAATAATAATATTTGCAAAACTAAACAAAACTTACAGAATTCATCTTCTATGATAGAAAGATTAGAGAGGGCTTTTCAGGCAAATGCAAAGAGAACCCAGGAGGAAACACCGAAAGAAAGGTGGGTTAAAAAGCAATGGAAATAGCAACTAAGATTCTACAGAGCTTTGTTTTTCCACTATCATAATATGGATCTCACCTTATTGTATTTGACTAATTGTCTATCTGGCTCATAGGACTGTAACCTGTATTAACTCAGGGACAGTCCATGTTTTGTGTTGTCCCTAGTTATTTATGTAAACATTTGATGGTCTCTGTTTGTGATTTTAATGTTAATGTTCTTTGTCACAGGTTTTCTTATTGAATGCCGTAATATGGCAACCACAGTTAAAACTTACCAAATACTCGTGTTTCTATTTTCAATCTCTTTTAGTTGAGACCTAGATCATGTAACTAGTGATGGTCGATGAAATATGAGCATAGTATCAGGTTACAAATTCTATCCTGTGGCAGTCAATTGCTTGCTTTCTCCTTCTATTTCTCTTCCCCGGATGAAAATCTGAAGGCCAGAGATTCATTACAGATGGCATAGATTTATGATGTAAGAGCTATATGCCCACATCAGAATTAGTTTGGGTGAGAAATAAAACCATAATATGTTAAACCACCGAGACTTGAAGTTTGTTAGTAAGACAGCATACCTAACATACTTACAGATGTGTGTATAATATCTCTCTCTGTGTCTCTGAAATGTCACTTCAAAGGCATAAATAATGGCATATGAAATACATTCTGAATATAAGGTAATGTTTTCCTTAAACTAGCAAAGTATATTATTCTGATATTCTATATATTTTGAGTAATTGCCATGGAAACTGAAGAGTTACTAAATATCATCGTAAGATTTTGATATATAGGTCTGTTTTTAAGTTTTACTGTATGTCAAGACATTTTCAATTACAGTTTTGTTGTTTTACAATAAATAGAAACACATCTTATTTCATGATGTTGAAAGCTTGTATACCACAATAGGACAAAGACAATTTATCTACTGTGGGATTACTAGGTGGTGACATTTTAGTCATATAAAATAAAGTACAAATGGGTGCTATGTACAAATTCGACATGATGGATTAAGAGATATGGCTATACTGTAATGGTATTGATTGTACATGATGTGGAAGCAAAGTTAATTATTATTAATTATATTTCTGTCTATATATACATATCTAACTCTGGATATGTTAGTTTTATAATCAATCAAATCAAAATCTTATGAACTTAACACTAGGCATAATTACACCTTCTCAGAAGGGATAGAGACACTATTCAAAACCTGGAAATGGTAAATGCTTATTGAGAGCTGCCAATATTGACTGCTGCAACAACAAATAGGCCGACAACACTTTATCATTCAATAAAAGTGAAGTAAGTCAAGGGTGATAAAATAGTGTCATCACATTTTGTCACAAAACAGGCATAACCTGTAAGGGCATCACTGTGACAGGGTTCAAAAAATATTTCTTTAGAATTATGTAAATTTTTAATAACAAGCTAAATATTATATTGTACGCTGAAAAGGCTAAAAATGAATTTTAAAAAGTAGTCTGTATAATCAAAGACAATAAAATATCAAGAATACAAGATACAGAAAAATATTAACAGCATTTATTCATCTTCAAAATAATGTGACTTCTCTTGAGCACTTGTGTTATATTAAATGATGAACTACTATTTTAGAAAGTCTAGTGATATTACCTTTAATATTCTTTAGAAATGAACATAAATATATGTACTTATTCGTGGACAATATATATTTACAGCATGTAACAGAAAATGAAGATTTTCCCCATGAAGCATTAAATCAAAAAGTCATAATTTAAAGTTCTCCCTTCTCATTATATCAAAGACCTGAGAGACAGCACAGACATGTGGAATTTCCTAACCCATAGGGTAATATATGCAGAGCTAAACACAATCATTTATTAGCAATGCCTCATTCCGATGTGTATAATTAGTTAGATAATAGCATTGAAGGATTTATTTGACAGTTATGATTATTTTAAATGTTATCTTAGAATGTTGGTGTATTATAAGATATTTGATTTACATTGAATTGCAGATATTTTTACATCCTTTGATAAAATTATACTTTGCTCTCTAAGTAATATGTTAAAAAACGGTTTTACTTTTTGTTGCATTAGTATCCTATTGTTGATATAACAAATTACCCCAAATTTAGTGGATTAAAAAACACAAAGTCCATTATTATCTTATAGTTCTAGAGATCCAAAGTTTAAAATAGTCTCACTGGATCAAAATTAAGCTATAGACAGGGCTGTATTCCTTACTTGATGCTGTAAGGGAGAATTTGTTCCCCTGTTTTTCAAGCTTCTAGAAGCTGCCTGAATTCCTCAGCTCATGGCTGGCTGCCAAGAGACCATTCATTATGGCCTCTGCTTTCCTAACCACATCTCCTAAAAGACTGTGACCCTCCTGCTTCCTATATATTGTAAGTGCTCTTGCTAACACATTGGCCCTCCCTGATAACACAGGATAATATATTCATTTCATAATCAGTAACTTACATTCACAAGGTCTCTTTTGCCATAAAAAATAAAATAAGATCAAATTAAGAAAAATATAAAAGTTTATTGTCATACAAAAAGTATATACAGAGATCCTAGAGACCTCAAAGTGAAAAGTGGTAAGAAGCACGTCTTTACCAGATGTCTTACAATGAGGAAGTCATTTAACCTTTACAATGATTGGATATTACAATGGGTGTTTCCAGATGGAAGATAATTGCTTGCAAGTGATTATCTTATACCAGTTTTGGAAGATGACTTAAGTTTTGCTTATGATTGTTAGAAGGGTTTACACAAAATAAACTCAAAGTTTCACTTATGTTCAAAAATCAAGCTAGTTTACTTTTCACTTATGTGGCTGTATTCATCTGTCTCACATTGCTGTAAAGAAATACCTGAGACAGGGAAATTTATAAAGAAAGGAGGTTTAATAGGCTTATCATTCTGCAGGCTGTACGGGAATCATGATCCTGGCATCTGCTTGGCTTCTGGAGAGGCCTCAGGAAACTTACAATCATGACAGAAGGCAAAGGAGGAGCCTGCACTTCATAGAGCCAGAGTAGGCGGAAGAGAGAGGGGGGAGTTGCTACGTATGTTTTTATCAATATATCACATGCACTCTACAGATATGTACAACTAGTATGTATCCATAGTAATTACAAATGAAAATAATTTTAAAAGAAGAATGTGGGCCTTGATGGCATTGTTGAGCAGAAGAACTCATCCAGAAACTATTTACTATCAGAATTCTCTTTACATGAGAAAAATGCTCCTTGCCCTTTAAGTCTCTGATAATTGAATGTATGTATATGTGCTTTTTAAATTTGAAATCAAACATTTTCTTACCTGATGAACATGGTAAGAAACTATCTCTCCAAGATGGTGGGATTTGAACTGACAAGGTGAATAAGTGATAGAATAATATATGCAAATATCTGAGCAAGAACTGTCCGGGCAGAGGGCACATACGAACACCCACAGCAGAAGAAAACTTAGGGTCTTTAGTGCTTTTAGGTCAAAGAGAAGTCCTTTGGGAGTAAAGAGGAGTAACTGGGAAGTCATGTGGCAATGATAAGCTACCCAAGAGCCATATCGTAGCCATAGCAGATGGATTGAAAGGCTATCAGCACAAGGGAAATTTATCAGATGTTTATTTTTACAATTAAAGTGTGTCTTTTCTGATGAAAGCATTCTGAGGAATTTAGAAGTAGTAACAGGGTACCAGTTTAGCAGGCTTTTCCAGTAATCTCCAAAAATGATAATTATGCCTGGACCTGCGTAATTGTTGAGGTATTTAAAAGTGATTGAGTTCAGAATATATTCTCCAAGTAATTGCTAGTAGGACCAGAAGACAAGTTGGGATAAGAGTTATGACTTAAAGAGGGGGCTGAATCAAGAATAAAATTTTGGTTCAAGCATCTAAATAAGTGATGACAGAAAAATGGAAAATTGCATTCGAGGGACAAGGATAAAATAAAGAAATGTGAAGTTTACAAAAACATAGAGAAGTTTGATGTATCTATTTCATACTCAAGTGAATATAATAGGTAGGCAGGTGGCTGAGTCTGGAATTCAGGAAGAAATCTATTTAAACTGTTGGTCCTTAGCTGTATCTCACAATGGTGTTAGAAACCACCATTTAGATGTCAGGAAGAGACATAGAGAGAGAAAAAATTAAGGAGAAAGAAAAAGCAACGAAGTCTCCAGGAAAAAAAAAATGTATTCTATTTAAAAACAAAGCAAACAAATGCAAAAAAATCCCCTATTTATATAAAATTTATTTAACAATATGTAGAAACAGAATACAATAACGAAGTTCTCCAATTATTGGCTACATATAGGAGCATATTTTGCTATTTAATTGTTTAAGCCGAAGGCAGTCCGTGAATTTAGTGACTGTAAGCTGTTTAATGTCAGACTTCAACAACACTATAGTTACAGAAATATGAATCAAATATTTACTTCCTCAAATTTAAACAAGTCAAGCATTAACAAGGAAGGATACAGTGGCTAAAAGTCAAATATACTTGGAAGTTAGAGAGTGGCAAAAAAAATTGGTAAGTTATTGAAAAGAAGCTTGTGGATAGCTGATGTGTGTGTAGGAAAACCTCACAATAGCTGAACCATAAAACAATGGGTTTTTTTTTTTATAACTCAGAGTATATTACCTTCTTTAAAGAAGCAATCTAATTTATTAAGTTTTTCCTGAGCACAGTCGCTCATGCCTGTAATCCCACCACTTTGAGAGGCCAAGGGGTCGTATTGCTTGAGACCAGGAGTTTGAGACCAGCCTGGGCATTATGGTGAACCCTAGTCTTTAAAAAAATACCAAAAACAAAAATAGTAGCTGGGTGTGGCAGCACACATCTGTATTCCTAGCTACTCAGGAGGCTGAGATGGGAGGATTTGATGAGCCTGGGAGGTGGAGGTTGCAGTGAGCTGAAATTGTGCCAGTGCACTCCAGCCTGGGTGGCAGAGTAAGACCCTGTCTCAAAATAAAATAAAAATTAAAAATAAATAAATCTATCTACTGCATTTTAAAATAACAACAAGAATAATTCAAAGAATTAACAAAAACATTTAGTCTTTAAAAGGAAAAAAACAATTTTTTGCTTAAATCCCCTTATTCCTAGTCTATTCTTCAAATAATTATTCTTAAGACAAGCACTCTCAGTCAAGGTTCTGGGTTACAAGAAACACATCTGACTCTCCATGTATTAAGTAATAATAATAATAACAAAATGCATATGATATTCTAATAGTAATCATAATTATATATGAGAAGGCTATTTAAGGGTTGTTGATGAAATCATCAGGAAGCTGGAAATCTATAAAATATGTTGAGGAGAAAAATAAATTCCGGAGATTTATAATCACTTGCTGTTACAAAATTCACCGACATTCAAAACTCAAAGTTTCTGGAAAGAGTTTCCAAATGTCTGAGATGCAGACATTGGTCTATTTCCCGGGCTGGGGCAGAGCAGTGGGAAGGATAATCATCCCCTTGTGTTTCTGAGGTGGAGGCAATGCTCTCCTCCCATAAACGTTATCTCATTCAAGTGGAATAAGGGGTGGCAAAGGAAGGGTCTTAGGATTTGATTGATGGGCAGCCAAGAAATGACAAATATCTTCTACAATCATGCGAGCAGAAGAGAAAGTAATACATACTTTCAGTCAGGGAAGGCTAGGTGATTATGCAGTATCAGTAGCAACAAAGCCTGTGTCTTTAAACAACAAAATTTTACTTTTGGTTCATTGCTTCTACCATGGTTTTCCTTCAAGGATCTTGGCTTACGGAGTGCTCAGCATCCGCAACACTGCCGATCTCCCTGGAAGAGAGAATATTTACTATAAGGATTGATAATAGCAACAATATGTAATATTTTATTTTTGTAAATATTTGAACACAATAAATCTTGTGAATGCTTTTCCTTCCACTAAATGTCTTCAAAGAATAAGTCTAAGATCTAGCAATTTACCATTGCAAAGGAAATAAAGATTGTTGTATCAGTTTTACGTTTCTAGTGTGATATTTTTATATAGGAAAGGCTCTAAGTTATATAATGTTGAAATTCATCTGGAAAGACAGAAGTTGCTTATGATTTTAAAAGATGATTATGGTGGTCATGTTTCTCATAGTGTTACCCATATATCACCTACCTCACAATTATCTTTTAACATTTAAATATGCATATTCATAAGCCCAATCTGAAAAATAGAATCTCCTCCGGGAAGCTGCATTTTAAACCAACTGCCTAGATAATTCTTAAACTGAATTAAATGGAGAAATCATTTTAGAAGGTTTATGTAATTAAAAAATGGTCATATGAGTTATGAAGTATTTATACATGCCAAACTAAAGATGAACCAATAAATGATATTTGTTTTCAATGTCAGTATGTTTCTATGAAGAACAGATATCTGTCGGGGTAGGGAGGTGATATCCAGGTGGGCTGCCTGGATATTGGATCTCTGTATTCTGGCAAGAAGAGTCATAGTGTAATTGTTAAGAGTCCATGTCAGTAGTCAAGTCTCTGTTTAAAACTTGTTGCTGTAAATGGAATAATAATTCAGCCAGGTCTTGATGTAGAGGTTTGTTTTGTGAAGGTTGAAGACGTGCCTAGAAAAAAAACACAAATCACAGTGGTAACATCCTAGATCCCTGATTTTCCAAAAAAGTGATTTGAGAATTTCAATTTTTTTTTTTTTGAGATGAATTTTCTCTCTTGTTGCCTAGGCTAGAGTGCAACAGCTTGACCTTGGCTTACTGCAACCTCTGCCTTCCGGGTTCAAGCGATTCCCCTGCCTCAGCCTCTCAAGTAGCTGGGATAAGAGGCGTCCACCAACATGCCTGGCTAATTTTTTGTATTTTTAGTAGAGATGGGGTTTCACCATGTTGGCTAGGTTGGTCTCGAACCCCAGGCCTTAAATGATCCACCCTCCTTGGCCTCCCAAAGTGCTAAGATTTCAACTGTGCACCACCGCACCTGGCTGGATTTCAATATTTAAAGCAGAAAGAGCATGTAGGAGGGTAAGGAAGAAAGGAAAAAGAGGGAGAGGGAGGGTAGGAAATGAAGCAAGTGATTACATTCTTGTAAGGCTTTGATGAGGGCTCAATGAATCTACATTTTTACCTGAGAGAAAAGGGGTTAGAAGAACTGTCAATTGTACATTCCTCTTGCAAGGAGTAGATTTACATTTTACATAAGATATAGTAAACATATGAAAAGATAGAGTAGAGGAAGAAGTAAATTATGCATTTGTCATTCCTTTCAGGTGGGCAGAAGGATGAGTTTTATTCTTGTTTTTGTCCCATGCCTGTGAAGATAAGCTGTTAATTTAAATTGTATGGTGAGAATCAAAAAATTTCTGTTTTAAGACTATTTTATGGGAGATACATATTCTGAAAGATTTTGGAGTCCACCAGAAATTTCCTTGTGAGTAATTTGTAAGGGAAGCCATCTGGGGAGATATGTGGCCTTCTATCGTCACAGATATCTGATTGGGAACAAAAGGAAGGCAGTTTTTTGTACGACTCAATTCCCAAGCTTAACTTTCCCTTTGCCATTATAAGTTTGGGGTCCTGAGGTTCTGTTTTGTTTCAGTTTCTACAGCTATTAACTTATTGTCTTGGAAAATTTATGTAAACCATTGGGACCTTGGGTTCTGCATCTGCAATATGCAGATAATATTAATATTTTAACTTCTGTAGTTAGAAAACTGTCTGTAAAATCTCATGCTTTGTTAATGTTATTGCCTATTACCACTATTAATATTTCATCAAATGTAGTTGCATCATACTTAAATGTAACCTTTGCCTTATGACAAAGATTTCCAAATTGCTCCAGTGCTGACAGTGCTATCATTTAAGTCAAAACAAACCTGGTAGGACATGTGTGTTTGAGTTAATATTTTCTTTCTATTCTTTCTGCTGTTATTTTATTATTTTATCATTTTAATATGCACCTCCAGCAGATTAAGCTTTTAGCTTTCATCTACTTTATTTCTCACACAAACTGGAGATTATTCTCTGCTGAAATTATATATTTTATAATCACACAATTATGTAATATATTCCCTGACACATATAACTTTAAAAGGATTAATTCACATTATGTCACCAATGATATGATGTTGCTGATGAGATTTGGTACAATTATTTAAAAAAATGAACTGCATGTCAAATTAGACGATTAAAATCTCATAACTATGTTTTGGCAACTCTTTCTTTTTATTGCCTTCATTTAAAAGGAGCAGGAATAATTTCCAACTTTTAGACAAGTTTTAAGCTAATCTTTTAATAAATACTGATTTCATAGAAGATATTTTAGAAGACACATCATTGAGAATATAAAGTTATAGTTTTAACCTTTTCATTTTCAGTTATCAGTGCTGTCAAACAAGAACTATTATAAATTCTATCATATTTAATAATTTTGACATAATTAACAATTTGATAAATCTACTTCAAAGGCTATGAGTGACCTGCCCCCACATCTATATTGCAGCTGACATGTTGCTGTAATGCATAGTGAAACATGATGGACCTTTGCACTTCCAAAGCTACTTTATCATATATGTTGACAATTATGTGCAACAAAGTAGTATAGCAAACAATGACATAGAGTTCACAAATGCTTATCACTCCAAACAAGACAGATTTTATGGCCACCAGCCCCTTAGAAGCCAAAGAAAACCATTTGAAGTGTCAAATATATGTATTGTGCAATAAAGAAATATTCCTTTGCAATCACTTCATGTGAAAGAAATCCCTAGGAAGGCAGCAATTTAAAAGGCAACCCATCTTGTGGAGGTGTGAGGCTGCTTCAGTTGAGATATATATGATATTTTAGAGGATTTAATTGCAACTCTGGAGCATGAGTGTATAGACCACAATCTACAAGTACTTCCATATTGCATGGCCAGAACTTCTCCTAGATCAAGCCATACTAAAGCTATATTTTTCCATAAGCAACATTCCCTGCAGGTTATCCCAGCAGTATCTTTTTGTTTCTGAAATTTTATTTTTTTTTTAATTATCTATTTTAGAACTGAATTAAAATGATTTACTCTTGATCACTTGCTGTTTCCCCAGGGGTGAATTGGTAACCTTTCTATTATACAGAAATGAATTTGCACCTCAGTGAGGATTCACACCTGGTTAGGTAGTCAGGCCAGGTTAAATGGATTTTGCCCCAGGGAAGAGAAAAGAGTTATCACCCTGTTAAAGCAGTTTCCACTGTTTGCATGTGAATTTGAGTCAGGGAACTAATAAGGGGCAACTGCGAGTGTGTGAGAAGTAACCTACTTAGATGCTTTTGCGGTATAGACTTATACTAGTATTAAAAAGGAGCATCTCTATCTTAGAATGTATATAATATAACACAATTTTGGCCATTATATTTCTCAGTTGAAACCATATTTATAGACAAGACTTTTTCTTTTCCTCTCCCCGCAATATTAACCTAATTGTCAACAACGACATTTCTAATGGGTAAGAACTTACATTTAAAGTTAATATATAAATATAAATTCTCCAAAAAACATTATCTACTTTTCCCACATCAAATAAAAACAAATCTAGACTTAGGTAAAGAAAACCTTTATAGAAAAGGTTTATTTTTAAAAGGAGAGGTAGCTATTGCGATACAATTATGCATCACTTAAGGCAGGGATACATTCTGAGAAACATATCATTAGGTGACTTTGTCACACAAACATCATACAGCGTACTTACACAAGCCCAGATAGTATACCTTATGACATTCCTAGGCTATATGATATAGTTTATGGCTCCTAGGCTACAAACTTGTACCGAATGTCGCAGACAATTGTAATAAGAGAGGAGGTAGAAAGAAACTAGCTAGGCAGATGGTTAGGGCAGAGTCCTTGGCAGAACTTCCCTTCTAACAAAAAGCAGCCCAAGAAATCACTTTTAACAAAAAGTAGCCTGGAAGATCGGGCTGTAAACATAGATAAGGAAGCATCTCGGACACAAAGCAGGAGCTTCCTGGGTAATCAGCAAGCTTCACACACATAAGGTAGGTCCCGGTAAGCACACACCTTTCTTTTCTGGGGACATATTTAGATAAGGAAGCTGGAAGCTTGCACGGGGTAGGAGGATGCCTGCAGCTGCACCAATAGAAGGTACTACCTTGGGCCAGGCACGTGGACCATGGGGTCTCTGCTCCCACACCTTTTTTAGCACGTGCACAGTAGGAAAGAGATAAGCAACATGGAGTAGCTTAGGCTAAGGACAAGCCTGAATAATAAAAGGTTGGGATTGTGGCTGCTAGAGATCTGTGCTTTATGAAAATGACACATCTGGTTCGAACTGGTTTTTCGTGCCATATGTAGATAAAGTACCCCCTCCCCACTAGCTCCTTTATTAAAACCCTTGCATTTTACTGTGGAACAGCAACCCTTTTTGGGACCTCTTTCTGAAGCAGAGAGCTACTCTCTTTTGCCTATTAAACTTCTGCTCTAACCTCACCCTTGGTATGTCTGCGTCTTTGATTCCCTTGGCCATGACCAAGAACTTCGGGTGCCACCCCAGGCAATGAGGCCATTTCAGTAACACAATAGTAAGTATGTGTGTATCTAAACATATCTAAACATAGAGAAAGGTACAGTAAAAAAATATTACAATCTTATAGGACCACTGTTGTATATGTGGTCTGTTCTTATCCAAAATGTCATAAATAATTGATATACATAAATGAAAATCAATTAGTATGTTTTTAAATGAAAGAAAGTATTTACCTCTCTTTTAAAACAGACAAAAGTAAGGTCATCAAAAAGAAATGTTTATTTTTTCACTAAAGATTATCAGATACTGATTTTTTATATCTTCCCCAACATAGTATTTTATAATTCACAAATGAAAATAAGAAATAATTATATCCAAATAAGTTCCCTCTTTTAAAAATTTCATGTTGTTTACTTATGTTAAAATGAAGAATGGCTACAGGGAATGCTCATTAAAAAAAATACAATAGCCAGGGCGCAGTGGCTCATGCCTGTAGTCCCAGCACTTTGGGAGGCCGAGACTGGCAGATCACTTGAAATCAGGAGTGTGAGAGCAGCCTGCCCAACACTGTGAAACTCTGTCTCTACTAAAAATACAAAAATTAGCTGGGCATGGTGGCGCACGCCTGTAATTCCAGCTTCTCGGGAGGCTGAGGCAGGGGAAACGCTTGAACCCGGGAAGTGGAGGTTGCAGTGAGCCGAGATCTCACCATTGCACTCCAGCCTGGGCAACAAGAGCAAAAATCTGTCTCAAACAAAACAAAACAAAACAAAAACAAAAACAAACAATAAATTAACTTTTAAAAATTCAGTGCTAAATCTCATTTTTCATTCTACTATTGACAATTCTATTGACTATTACTTTTTAATGTCCATGTGCTCAAAGTCCATTTTTAAAGGATGTTTGCAAAACCTAGATGCAGCATTCTTTGACAAAGAATGATTCAGAAAGATCAGTTTCAAATCTTTCAAATGTCACAAACGTCATAATTATTTTAGTACTATAATATGATAGTTTATGTCCACAATATTAAACTGTTTTCCTTTATCTGTGTTTCTAGTAAATTGCTCTCCTACTTTGACCTGGGTATTTTTTATTTCATATATAAATTATATTTTGCTTTTGAAGGCTATCAGTTCTTGTTATGTTGAAATTACATACTTTTAACATAAAATTTATCTTTTCAATATGAAATTTCCCTGTATAATACAGATTCTAATTAACCTTACTTTCCAATCATATAAAAATTGAGAAAATATGCTCATCTTTAAAAAATATAATAAATAGAACATGTCCTTATTATTGACAAGAAATCACAAATAAAAGTTCCTTATATGTAAGACTATATTGTGTGATTCACATTAATATTGAGAATGTGACATTTACTAAATTGATGAAAATGTCATGTGGAATTGTCTCATAAACAAATTAAAATTCTGTTATGTTTTCTCCACTATGACTTTATGGTTATGTCAAGTTAGTTTAATGTAATATGTAAGTTTTTGTGCTAATATTTAGAGGAGAAATTCAAGCAATTAAAAGAAGTTTTCTTTTCATAATTTTTTTTAGGTCAAGAATACTAACTGACAGCACAAAGGAAAAGTATTTACCTCCTCTATTCCTCATTTGTTTTATATTGATAACAGAGATACATTGTCATTATTTATGTGATATGACATTGAATTTCCTTATCGGTTTCTGATACTATATATTAAATATGAATATATTCTTAAAACTAATGTTATAGTGTGACTATTTCCTCTACACATTTTGGAACTGGTCTAAAAATATGTTCATGAAAATAAATAAATTGTTTAGAAAGTGGTAGTGTGTTTCCAGAAACAATAGGCATTTTGACATTGTATAAAAAGAAATAATTTTTATAAAAGAAAAAAAATTGTTACATCCTGTATCAGAAAGTACTAAAACTTACAGAATGTGTTTTTTTCCTACTTACAATGCTTTTCATTTTATTTTGTATTTACTTTCACAAGTAGTTTCCCATATGAATGAATCTGAACAACTAGTGTATGAAACAAGTAGCCGTAAATTGTTCTTTCTCAAATAGCAGCTATGTCACACAAAAGATAAGAATAAATCAAAGAAGGAAACCACTCATTTCTATTGTTATGTATTCAACATGCATTTATTGTGTGCCTTCTATATTCTGAGTAATGTGCTGGATAGCAGGCATAAAAGTTGAATGATGCTAGGAATTATGCACATAAGTTGTTATGGTAACATAAAATAAATATGCTACCCTATTGGGAGGTGAAAGAAAAGTTCAGAGAAACAGTTTCCTTGGAATTCAGTTATGAAGTAGGAGAAGGAGAAAACTATACAGAGAGGGTAGAAAGTCATTCAGAGCAGAGAACAGAATGTATAAACTTTTGATGATATAAAACACCCTGATGCAGGTTGAGAATTCAGTAGTGGTCTATCACTGGAGTGCAGTGGGGAGAAACAAAGCAAAACACAGCTGAGGACCAAACTGTGAAGAACATTAATTGCTAAGTTATTCAAAAATTTGTCTTAAAGTTATTGGTGCATTTTAAGAAAAACAATCTCATTAATTAGCATTTAAGAAGAATTACATATAATTATTTATGAGACAAATGTAATTGGAGATAGAGATATGCTTTAGGAAGCTATGATAATAAGATATTTGAGAAGTAATATGCACATAAAGTAAATTGCCATGTGGAAAAAAAAGAGAAGAAGGATGTAAGAGATATTAAAGTGGTAAAACTGATAAAATTTGACTGGTTAGAGGGTTTGTGATGATAGAGAAAATCATATTTGTAATGGCTTTTAATTTTCTGGAGTTGGCGACTGGGCAAATGGAGATGTTAATCATAAGGGCCCAGAACGAAGAAAGGGCAATAGGACATGAGGAATAGATGATACTTTTAGATTGAAGTACATTAGTGACATCCAGATGAAAATTACTGTTTGTCATATATAAGTGTACTGTATTAGTAAGTAGAGATATAAGTTGCATATTATCACTTTAAATTTAATATACAAGGAAGATACATTTATGTTAATGTTTTAAATAAGCAGGCTTTAAAATATCAAGAATTTTTGAAAATTGTGTGAATTCCATGTACTTTATCAACGAGAGAGAACATCAATGAAAGAAAAGGTTAAATGTTAGGGTAAAAGAGGTTAACAAAAACTGAAGAATTATAACCTCATCATTGTAATTAGCACCATTAATTGTTCACTTGTCCAGTGAAACTTGAGGAAATAAGAGGTAATTATTACCCCTCATTTGACCTAGAAAATCATAATTATTTTGAATCAAAAGTTCTGTAGATTTTAATTTACAATTTATTTTGGTCAGTTGTTACTTGCAACTGGTCAGTTGCAAAGTTTGGTCAGTTGCAAAGTTTGCAGAAGCGAAGTTTGGTCAGTTGAACTAAGCAATGAAAATGTCTCTGAAGAAATTTACCACTTTAATGCTTGTAAATCCCAGAGTTATGGATAGAACTTGTAGAACTGGATGTAATGCCTAATATCATTACATTTAGGAAAGAGAAAGAATGATTGTATAAAATACTTGTCAAGATAATTTGTTTGTAAATAACTACTCAAGTACACATGGCTTAGACAATGAGTGCACAGTCTATTTCATATAATAAGAATTCTGGAGACCAGGTCACTTTTCAGATGTCTACTCCTTTATTCTTAGAATCTTGACTTATTCTCAGGTTACTCTCTCTGAATTTAAGATGGCTACAACAGCTTCAATTTCCATGATTCCAACAGCGTGAAGAAAGGGATAGTTTTCTTTGTATCTTCTCTTTGAAATATAGATAGAATTGATTGACTGAAGCTCACCCAGCATCATCTTCCTGTACCATTTTCCAGGCTTTATTCAAATGCAAACCATTAAACTTGTCTCTATCAAAGAGTCACAAGCTATGAAATGGAGATAAGACAGAGTGATATTCTCTTGTAACACTAAACATGAACAAATCTTGAGTATTTTTATTAATAAGTAGAAATGACTGTTGGATTGACAAGCAAATATGTTTACCATATTTTGCTATATCTAAATATATTTTAGGTGTGTTAATATTGATAACTATAATATGCCATTTGGACAAAATTTCTCCTAATATACTGGAAATATCCAGAGGAAACTTCTTAGATTTCTTAGTTTTAATTTCTTCAGAATGTAGCACAGGAACTGGTTCATCATAAGTACTTAAACACATTTCTATAGAATGAATAAATACATCTGCAAAATAGCTTTTATTGTACACTCCATCTACTAAAAACGACAACAAAATACCCAGGAACTCTTCAATGAAAATAATCAGAGAATTTCTGAAAACCCTGCTGCAAACATACTACTCTCGAACTTCAATGTCTCCTCAGAATGTAAACTTAACATTTACTACTGAAAGATGTATTTCAGACTTCTTGTTACGATAGAATAATAGGGACTGAATTTATCCTCTCAGGGGATCAACTAAAAAAAAATGCTAGGAATAATATAAGAAGGTGTAATTTATAAGATATTAGAAATCAGGTCACAAAGAAAAATAACCTCCATGAGATGGATACAAAACAAAGTAGTCTTTTTTGTTGGTTAGCTAACTAAACAATATCTCTAATACTTTATTCTTATTCCTTCTTTTTTTTTTTAATCAATCATCAATTCTCGATATATCTAGGTAGATCTCCCTGGGCCAACACTCTTGTATTTCTTTTGCACATGTCTTCAGCTTCTTTTCCCCTCTCTGCTTTTCACTACTAAAAACATGTAGCCACGTTGTTATGGGATGAATTACACTCTTCTTTCCTTAGTCCAGATGTTAAAGTCCTAAAACAATATCCCAGAATGTGACATTATTTCAACATTTGGTTATTGATGATGTAATTAATGAAGATGAGGTAATTGGGGGGGAGTCCTACTCCAGTATAGCTGGTATCCTTATAAAATGGGGGAATTTGGACACAAAAACTTCACACATGTGAAGATAAAGGCAGATATCAAGGTGGTGCTTCTGCAGCAACTTAAAAAATGACAAATTCGGCCGAGGCAGGCAGAACATGGTGAAACCCCATCTCTACTAAAAATGCAAAAAATTAGCCGGGCATGGTGGCTGGCACCTGTAGTCCCAGCTACTTGGAAGGCTGAGGCAGGAGAACGGTGTGAACCTGGGAGGCCAAGCTTGCAGAAAGCCGAGATCGCGCCACGGCCCTGCAGCCTGGGCAACAGAGCAAGACTCCATCTCAAAAAAAAAAAAAAAAAAAAATGACAAACTCATGCCAAAGGTTTTCAACAAACCATCAGAAGCTAGACAAGAGGAATGGAACCGATTCTTTATCATAACCCTCAGAAGGAACCACCCACACCAATACCTTAATCTTGGACTTCTGTCCTCCAAAACTGTGAGACAATTTTCAGTTGTTTAAGCTACCAGTTAGTGATTTGTTATAGCAGCCCTGGGAAATTAATATACCTCGATGTACATCACATTTTTCCACTTCATGACTATTACCATCAAGCCAGGTTTACTCAAATAAAATGATACAATAATTTAATTATATATCATCACCTAGCCTAGTGTGATCACCAAAGTTTATTAAATAAGGACGGCATTGTTTCAAGAATGCCTAAAAATAGTATGCCATACCCTTAGCAAACATTTCATTCCTTCCAACTTTCCCAGTAACTCCCATTCTATTTCCTAATTTTTATCTGCTAAATCTGTCTTTGTTCATACAATATAAATTAGTTCATACAATATAAATTAATCTTTAATTTAATGAATATTCATTAAAATATCTCATTTTATTTTGCTTTACCTTATTGTACTTTGCAGATGTTTCATTATTTAAAAATTTAAAGTTTATGGCAACCCTATATAAAACAAGTCTATCAACACTATTTTTTCAATAGCATGAATTGACTTTGTGTCTCTTTGTCATATATTGGTAATTATTCAATATATAAAATGTTTTCTTTATTATTATATCTATTATGGTGATCTATAATGAGTGATCTTTGATGTTACTATTGTGATTTTTTTTGGTGGGAGGTTGCCAGAAACCATGCTTATATATGACATAATTGATAAATGCTGTGTATGTCTGACTGCTTCACCAACTAGCCATTCCCCTGTTTCTTTCCCTTTCCCCAGATTTCCCTATTCCCTGAGACACGATAATATTAAAATTAGCCAATTAATAATTCTATAATGGCCTCTAAGTGTTCAAGTGAAAGGAAGAGTCACAAGTCTCTCATTTTAAATGAAAAGTTAGACATAATTAAGCTCAGTGAGGAAGGCATGTCGAAAGCTGAGATAGGCCAAAAGCTAGGCCTCTTGCACTAAACAGGCAGCAAAGTTAGAAATGCAAAGAAAAAGCTCTTGAAGGAGATGAAAAAGGCTACTTCAGTGAACCCATAAATGATAAGACAGCTAAACAGCCTTATGGCTTATATGGAGAAAGTTTTAGCCATCCAAATAGACAATCAGACAAGCTACAATGTTCCCTTAAGCCAAAGTCTAATCCAGAGCAAGACTCTAACTCTTTAATTCTATAAAGTCTGAGTGAGGTGAGGAAGCTAAAGAAGGAAAGTTTGAGCAGAAGTTGGTAAACAAGGTTAAAGAAAAAGTCGTCTTCATAAAAGGGCAAGATGAAGCAGCAAGTGCTAATGGAGAAGTTGCAGCAAGTTATCCAGAAGATACCCAAGATAATTAATAAACATAGCTACACAAAACAATAGATTTTGAATGTAGACAAAACAGTCTTATAGTAGAAGAAGATGCCATCCTGGACATTCAAAGCTAGAGAAAGAATATTAGTGCCTAGCTTCAAAGCTTCAACGGACAAGCTGACTTTCTTGTTAAGGGCTAACGAAGCTGATGGCTTTAAGTTGAAGCCAATGATCATTTACCATTTCAAAAATCTTCTAAACCTTTAGAATTAAGGCAAATTTTTAATGCCTGTGCTGTATAAATGGAACGACAAATCCTGAAGACAATGCATCCATTTATAGCATGGTTTACTAAATATTTTAAGCCCATTATGACGATCTACTAATCAGAAATTAAAAAAAAAATTTTAAACTATACTTGCTCATTTAAAATATACCTCATCATCCAAGATGTCTGTTGAAGATGTACAAGGACATTAAAGTTGTTTTTATGCCTGCTAACACAACACCCTTTCCACAGCCCATGGGTCCAGGAGTAATTTTGACCTTCAAGTCTTATTTAATAACCATATTTCATAGCTGACATAGATAGTAATTTCTCTGATGGATGTGGGCAAAGTAAATTTAAAACTTTTTGGGAACAATTCACTATTCTAGATCTATTAAAAACATTTATGAATCATGGAAGGAGGTCGAAATATCAAGTATCAACAGAAGCTCAAGAAAAGTTTCCTCCAACACTCATGAATGACTTTGAAGGATTCAAGACTTCAGTGGTGGAAGTAATTGCAGATTAATGAAAACAGCAAGAGAAATAGAACTAGAAGTGAGTCTTACGATGCAACAGAATTGCTAAAATCTCATGATAAAAGTTAAGCGGATGAGGAGTTTTTTCTTATAGATGGTCAAAGAAAGTAGTTTCTTGAGATGAAATCTAATTCTGATGAAGATATCATGAACGTTAATGAAATAATAACAAAGCATTTAGAGTATTACATAACCTGAGTTGATAAATCAGTGGCAGGAGTTGAGAGGACTGATTCTAATTGTGAAAAAAGTTCTACTGTGGATAAAATGCAATCAAGCAGCATCGCATGCTAAAAAGAAATCTTTCATGAAAGGAAGAGTCAATCAACGTGTCATTCTTCATTGTCCAATTTTAAGAAATTGCCACAGCCACTCCTACCTCCAGTAACAACCACCTTGATCAGTCAGCTGCCATCAACATTGAGGCAAGACCCTACACCAGAAAAACTATTATAACTGGCTGAAGCTCTGATGATAGTTAACATTTTTAAGCAATAAAGTATTTGTAATTAGATATGACATTATTTTTAGCCATGTGTTATTGAATACTTTGATTATAGTACATGTGTAAATATAACTTTTATATGTGCTGGAAAACCAAAAAAAAGTGTGATTTGCTTTATTGTGTTATTTGTTTTATTGCTGTGGTCTTGAACTGAACTTGCATCACCAAAGTATGCCTGTTTTGAATTCCTAATAAATGCTAGACCTATAAGAGCTAACAGAATATCAGTGATTAATACATTTACATTGTATACATATTCTAGAAGGTGCATCAAGGGGTGACAATACATGGACAGTAAGTAAAATAAGTATTGGTTGTAATTAATTATTTAAACATAATGAGAAATTGAATGATATGGAGTATATTGGGAAAATATATATCTAACGCAGAAAAGGTATAAGGTAAGTCAGTCTGGAAAACTGATAATCTGAGATTTAAAAAGAGGATATTATGAAAGTGTAAGTAAAAACAAATTGACAATGTCTGGAAGCTCAAATTTTGTCTGAAGAACCAAATTTTGTCTAAGGATTTTAAATAAAATGTACATAGCTAAAGGAGGAAGATTAGATCAGAGGAAGAATGGCAAGATATTTGATAGAAACAGGAACATTTCATTAAGATTTTTTGTAGACCAGAGTAAGGGGTTTGCTTTTTAGTGCAATGGTAAGTTATTGAATAGTTTTAGCTTTAACAGGACTTGGTAGAATTTATATTTATGGTCATTTTTATTGATACAGTAGATTTTTTATAATCAGTAAAGGTGTAAGAAAAATAATTTTGCATAGATTTTAATAAGGTAAAATGAATATGATGACTGCTTGAACTAATAACATAAAAGTGCAGATGAGAAAAATTAAAAATTCAAATTTATTTTGAAGGTAATATTTATAGTGCTTGCTGTTGAATTATATGGGGAGGCAATAAAAAGGAACATTCAAAAGTTTTTTTCTAACTTTTGACTTGAAAAACTTTGAGGATTTTTATAACATAAAAATGGGGAACTGCGTTTGCAGAATGGCAAATAAACAATGGTATTGATATATCTATGGATAGATGTAAAAAGTGTTACCTTAAATGTAAGTCCAGAGCTTAGGCAAATTTCTTAAACCTGGGGACTATTGAATACAAATATGACTTCCTTTTTCTACTACCATATTTTCTGCCTGAATCTTTATCCATCTTTTCTTTGTAATCTCTGGTTATCTTCTTATGTTTTGACATGTCTATAGGAAAGCATTTCGCATTCTATCAAACATCAATTATTATATGTGTATATGCTTATATTAGCCCATTCTCACACTGCTATAAAGAACTACCTGAGACTGGGTAATTTATAAATAAAAGAGGTTTAATTGACTCACAACTCTGTAAAACTGGGGAGGCCTCAGGAAACTTAAAATAATGGCGGGAGGTGAAGGTGAAGCAAGGAATATCTTACATGATGGCAGAAGAGAGAGAAAGGTGAACTGTCACAAACTTTCGAACCATCAGATCTCAAGAGAACTCACTTGCTATCATGAGGACAGCATGGGGGAATTCTCCTCCATGATCCAATCACCTCCTACCTGGTCCCTTCCTCAACACATGGAGATTACAATTAGAGATGAGATTTGGGTGGTGACACAGAACCAAACCACATTGTTCTACCCTAGCCCCTCCCAAATCTCATGTTCTTCTCACATTTCAAAACACAATCATGCCTTTCCAATGGTCCCCCAAAGTCTTCACTCATTCCAGCACTAACCCAAAAATCCATGTCCAAAACCTCATATGAGACAAGGGAAGTTTCTTCCACCTACGAACCTGTAAAAAAAAATGAAGTTAGTTACTTCCATGATACAATGGAAATACAGGAGTTGGGTAAATGCTCTCCTTCCAAATGGGAGAAACTGGCCAAGATGAAGGGGATACAGGCCCCTTGAAAGTCCAAAACTCAGCGGGGCAGTCATTAAATCTTTAAGCTCCAAAGTAATCTCCTATGACTCCATGTCTCATATTCAGGGCATGCTGATGCAAAGGGTGGGCTCCCAAGGCTTTAGGCAGCTCTGCCCCTGTTGCTCTACTGGGTACAGCCCCCACAGCTGCTTTCACAAGCTGGCTTTGAGTGCCTGCAGCTTTTCCCGGTACACCATGCAAGCTGTCAGTGGATCTACCATTCTGGGGTCTGGAGGACTGTGGCCCTCTTCTCACAGCTCCACTACTCAGTGCTCCAGTGGGGACTCTGTGTGGGGGCTCCCATCCCACGTTTTCCCTCTGCATTGCCCTCGTAGTTTCTCCATGATGGCTCTGCCCCTGCAGCAGACTTCTGCCTGGATATCTAAGTGTTTCCATACATCCTCTGAAATCTAAGTGGAGGTTCCCAAACCTCACCTCTTGTCTTCTGTGTACCCACAGGACCAACACTGTGTGGAAACCTCCATGGCTTGTGGCTTTCTCTCTCTGAAGTAATAGCCCCAGCTGTATCTTGGCCCCTTTTAGCCATGGCTGGAGCTGGAGCAGCTGGGACACAAGGTTCACAGAGCAGCAGGGCTCTGAGCCTGTCCCACGAAATCATTTTTCTCTCTTAGGTCTCTGGGCCTGGGATGAGAGGATCTGCCACAAAGGTCTCTGACATGTCCTGGAGACATTTTCCTCACTTTCTTGGTGATTAACATTTGGAACCTCATTACTTATGCAAATTTCTGCAGCTGACTTGAATTTCTCCTCAGAAAATAAGTTTTTATTTTCTATTGCATCCTCAGACTGCAAATTTTCCAAACTTTTATGCTCTGTTTCCCTTTTGAAACTGAATGCTTTTGAAAGCACCCATGTCAACTCTTGAGTGCTTTGCTGCTTGGAAATTTCTTCTGCAAGATACCCTATATCTTCTCTCTCAAGTCGAAAATTCCACAAACGTCTAGGTCAGGGGCAAAACACTGCCAGTCTCTGCTAAAACTTAGCAAGAGTTACCTTTACTCAAGTTCCCAACAAGTTTCTCATCTCCATCTGAGACCACCTCAGCCTGGACTTCATTGTCCATATCACTATCTGCACTTTATCATAATCATTTGACAAGTCTCTGGGAAGTTTTAAAGTTTTCCTCCGCTTTCTGTCTTTTTCTGAGCCCTCCAAACTGTTCCAAACTCTGCCTGTTACCCAGTTCCAAAGATTTTCAGTATCTTTATAGCAGTGCTCCAAACTCCTGGTACCAATTTTCTGTATTAGTCTGTTCTCACACTGCTATAAAAAACTACCTGAGACTGGGTAATTTATAAACAAAAGAGGTTTAATGAACTCACAGTTCCACATGGCTGCGGAGGCCTCAGGAAACTTACAATCACGGCAGAAAGTGAAGGGGAAGCAAGGCACATCTTACATGGTGGCAGGAGAGAGTGAGAGAGAAGTGGGAACTTCCACAAACTATTAAACCATCAGATTTTGTGAGAACTCATTCACTATCACAAGAACAGCGTGGGGGAAATTGCCCCCGTGATCCAATCACTTCCCACCAGGTACCTTCCTGGGCACATGGGGATTACAATTTGAGATGAAATTTCGGTGGGGAGAGAGAGCCAAACCATATCAACCCTAAAAGAGCATTGCAGTCTGTAATATTCACAATTTGTTACAGACTCATATTATTCTATGTTATGTTAAATTTATTCTCCTCCTCTGGATCATTCCCTCCTAGATTCAATCTTCAGTCTCTACTGAATCATTTTCATCAGCATTAATCATGCTCTAATTCAGGAGTTGATACTGATGTTTTTGTTTATGTTTTTCTTATTTTACATTGATTGTTCGTTGTATCCTCATATGATTTATATGGTAATCATATGCTATTTAATTTAAACCCATGTGTACACACACACTATAGCAATTGCCTAGTTAAAATGACTATTTCAATGATGCACAGAAATCTCAACTTGGAACTAAAATAGTGATTTTCCTAAATAAATATTTCTCTAATATTATTTTTCAAAATGTAAAATATCACCTATTCATGAGCTAGATAAATTTTTTAGCCATCTCTGGAACAACCATCCAAAACCAAACTCTGACTTGACTAAGAAGTGGGCACATGACTAATAGATCTGCTACTTAGAATTTAAGGGATTTATGAAATCATAATTATGATCAGATGATAATTATTGATGTTGAGATCTGTTCTTTACCCAATACATCACATAGATGATGTAATAGATTTAGAGATTCTTAATGGTATTATAATCCCAAATTCTCAATAGTTTACAAAAAACGAACATGTATTTATCATGCACTTTGTATACTTTTTGGAGTTGGCTAGCTCTGCTTCACAGCTTTTTATTTTGCAGTCTCTAGGACTAGTGTCTATCAGGAAATATTGTTCTCAAAGAGGGGGAAAAGTGATAGCAGAATTTTATCTGGGTTTAAAGTGTCTGCTTAAAAGTGAAATACATTACTTCTCAGATTTTACTGGGCAAAAAGTTGTACCAGAAATGCTGAGGTCAGATGAATAACCTCTTTTCAGAAATAAGCTTGGCAGTGAGGGTGGCATAGAAAAATGAAATTTCTATTTATTATATAAGTTTTGGAATACACAGAAAAGATAATTTTATTTTACAGTGAACTCCCATACAACTACTTTCTTAGTTTGTTCAGGCTGTCATAAAAAAATAACATAGACTAAATGGCTTGCACAGCATTTTTTTTCTCTTTCTCACAGTCCTAGAGGCTGAGGAGTCCAAAATCAAGGTACCAGACAGTTCAAATCCTAGTGAGGCTCTTTCTGGCTTGGCAATGGCCAGCTTCTCCCTGTCTTCTCACATGGCAGAAAAGGAGCTCTGGTGTTTCTTTCTCTCATAAAAACACCAGTCCTGTCCAATTAAGGGCCTACTTTTACAATCTCACTTAAGCTTTATTGCCTCCTCACAGACCCTATCTCCACATACAGTCACATTGGGTTTCAATGTATGCATTTTGAGTTGATACAAAACTGCAATCTGTAATACTCACAATCTAGACTCTTTTATTAACATTTTATTATATTTGTTTTATTAGAGACTTCCCAATTTATTTGTTGATGCATTCAAATTAAACTGTAGACATCTGTACACTTTATGCTAAATGCTTTAGCATGCATGACATTAACTAAAACAATATTTTTTGAGTTTGGCTTTTGCCTTAAAATTTCTTTGTCAGGAAATATACAAATCTAAGTGTGTATTCCTTATGCTTTGAAAAATGCATACAGCTGTGTAACCTCAAACTGTATCAATATACAGAACATTACAAAAACCTCAAAGAGTTCCCTCATGCTCCTCTCCAATCAATCCCCATCACCACTGTTAGGACTTTTCCCAGAATAGATTAAATTTGCTTATAGTATAATTCAATATAAAGTCTTTCATTGCTTACACTTTTTTTATTATTATACTTTAAGTTTGGGGTATATGTTCAGAACATGCAGGTTTGTTACACAGGTATACACATGACATGGTGGTTTGCTGTACTCCTCAACCCATCATCTACATTAGGTATTTCTCCTAAAGCTATCCCTCCCCTAGTCCCCCACACCCCGACAGGCCCTGGTGTGTGATGTTCCCCTCTGAGTGTCCATGTGTTCTCATCATTCAACTCCCATTTATGAGTGAGAACATGCAGTGTTTGGTTTTCTGTTCTTGGGTTAGTTGGCTGAGAATGATAGTTTCCAACTTCATCCATGTCCCTTTGAAGGACATACACTCATCCTTTTTATGGCTGCATAATATTCCATGGTGTATATGTGCCACATTTTCTATATCCAGTCTATCATTGATGGGCATGTGGGTTGGTTCCAAGTCTTTGCTATTGTGAACAGTGCCATAATAAACATACATGTGCATGTGTCTTTATAGTAGAATGATTTATAATCCTTTGGGTATATACCCAGTAATGGGATTGGCTGAGCCAAATGGTATTTCTAGTTCTAGATCCTTGAAGAATCACCACACTGTCTTCCACAATGGTTGAACTAATTTACACTCCCACCAACAGTGTAAAAGCATTCCTATTTCTCCATATCCTCTCCAGCATCTGCTGTTTCCTGACTTTTTAATGATCGCCATTCTAACTGGCGTGAGATGGCATCTCATTGTGGCTTTGATTCACATTTCTCTAATGACCAGTGATGATTAGCTTTTTTTCATATGTTTGTTGTCCTCATAAATATCTTTTGAGAAGTGTCTGTTCATATCCTTTGCCCACTTTTTGATGGAGTTGTTTTTTTCTTGTAAATTTGTTTAAGTTATTTGTAGATTCTGGAGATTAGCCCTTTGTCGGATGGATAGATTGCAAAAAATTTCTCCCATTCTGTAGGCTGTCTGTTCACTCTGATGATAGTTTCTTTTGCTGTGCAGAAGCTTTTTAGTTTATTAGATCCCATTTGTCTATTTTGCCTTTTGTTGTCACTTCTTTTGGTGTTTTAGTCATGAAGTCTTTGCCCACGCCTATGTCCTGAATGGTATTGCCTAGGCTTTTTTCTAGGGTTTTTACGGTTTTAGGTCTTACATTTAAGTTTTTAATACATTTTGAGTTAAATTTTATATGAGTTGTAAGGAAGGGATCCAGTTTCTGCTTTCTGCATATGGCTAGGCAGTGTTCCCAACACCATTTGTTGCATAGGAAATCCTTTCCCCATTGCTTGTTTTTGTCAGGTATGTCAAACACTAGATGGTTGTAGATGTGTGGTGTTATTTCTGAGGCCTCTGTTCTGTTCCTTTGGCCTATATATCTATTTTGGTACCAATACCATGTTGATTTTGTTACTGCAGCCTTGTAATATAGTTTGAAGTCAGGTAGCATGATGCCTCCAGCTTTGTTCTTTTTGCTTAGGATCGTCTTGGCTATATGAGCTCTATTTTGGTTCCATATTAAATTTAAAGTAGTTTTTTTTTCCAATTCTGTGAAGAAAGTCAATGGTAGCTTGATGGGGATAGCATTGAATCTATAAATTACTTTGGGCAATATGGCCATTTTCATATTGATTCTTCCTATCCATGAGCATGGAGTGGTTTTCCATTTGTTTGTTTCCTCTCTTATTTCCTAGAGCAGTGGTTTGTAGTTGTCCTTGAAGAGGTCCTTCATATCACTTGTAAGTCGTTTTCCTAGGTATTTTTTCTCTTTGTAGCAATTGTAAATGCAAGTTCATTCATGATCTGTCTCTCTGCTTATCTCTTGTTGGTGTATAGGAATGCTTGTGATTTTTGCACATTGATTTCATATCCTGAGATTTTGCTGAAGCTGCTTATCAGCTTAAGGAGATTTTGGGCTGAGGCGATGGGGTTTTCTAAATATACTTTGATGTCATCTGCAAACACAGACAATTTTACTTCCTCTTTTCCTAATTGAATACCCCTTATTTTTTTTTCTTGCCTGATTGCCCTAACCAGAACTTCCAATACTATGTTGAATATGAGTGGTGAAAGAGGGCATCTTTGTCTTGTGTTGATTTTCAAAGGCAATGCTTCTAGTTTTTGCCATTCAATATGATATTGGCTGTAGGTTTGTCATAAATAGCTCTTATTATTTTGAGATATGTTCCATCAATGCCTAGTTTATTGAGAGATTTTAGCATGAAGGGCTGTTGAATTTTGTCAAAGGCCTTTCCTGTATCTTTTGAGATAATCATGTGGTTTTTGTCATTGTTTCTGTTTATGTGATGGACTATGTTTATTGATTTGCCTGTGTTGAACCAGCTTTGCATCCCAGGGATGAAGCCAACTTGATCGTGGTGGATAAGCTTTTTGATATGCTGCTGGATTCAGCTTGCCAGTATTTTATTGAGAAATTTTGCATCAATGTTCATTAGGGATATTGGCCTGAAATTTTCTTTTTTTGTTGTTTGTCTGCCAAGTTTTGATATCAGGATGATGCTGGCCTCATAAAATAAGTTAGGAAGGATTCCATCTTTTCTATTTCTATTCTTTCTGAATAGTTTCAGAAAGAATGGTACCAGCTCCTCTCTGTACCTCTGGTAGAATTTGGCTGTGAATCCATCTGGTCCTGGACTTTTTTTGGTTGGTAGGCTATTAATTACTGCCTAAATTTCAGAACTTGTTATTAGTCTATTCAGGGACTCAACTTATTCCTGATTTAGTCTTGGGAGGGTATATGTGTCCAGGAATTTATCCATTTCTTGTAGATTTTCTAGTTGATTTGCATGAGGGGTTTATAGTATTCTCTGATGGTAGTTTGTATCTCTATGGGATTGGTGGTGATATACCCTTTATCATTTTTTATTGCATCTATTTTATTCTTTTCTCTTTTCTTCTTTATTAGTCTTGTTAGTGGTCTATGTATTTTGTTGATCTTTTCAAAAAACCAGCTCCTGGATTCGTTGATTTTTTGAAGAGTTTTTTTGTGTCTTTATCTCCTTCAGTTCTGCTCTGATCTTAGTTATTTCTTGTCTTCTGTTTGCTTTTGAATTTGTTTGCCCTTGCTTCTCTAGTTCTTTTAATTGTGATGTTAGGGTGTCAATTTTAGATCTTTCCCATTTTCTCTTGTGGGCTTTTAGTGCTACCAATTTCCCTCTACACACTGCTTTAAATGTGTCTCAGAGATTCTGATATGTTGTGCCTTTGTTCTCATTGATTTCAAGAACATCTTTATCTGCTTTCATTTCATTATTTATCCAGTCGTCATTCAGGAGCAAGTTGTTCAGTTTCCATATAGTTGTGCGGTTTTGAGTGGGTTTCTTAATCCTGAGTTCTAATTTGATTGCAGTGTTGTCTGCGAGACTGTTATGATTTTTTTCTTTTGCATTTGCTGAGGAGTGTTTTACTTCCAATTATGTGATCAATTTTAGAGGAGGTGCAATGTGGTGCTGAGAAGAATGTACATTTTGTTGATTTGGGGTGCAGAGTTCTGTAGATGTCTATTAGGTCTGCTTGGTCCAGAGCTGAGTTCAAGTCCTGGATATCCTTGTTAATTTTCTGTCTCATTGATCTGTCTAATATTGACAGTGGGATGTTAAAGTCTCCCACTATTATTGTGTGGGAGTCTAAGTTTCTTTGTAGGGCTCTAAGAACTTGCTTTATGAATCTAGGTGCTCATTTATTGGGTGCATGTATATTTAGGATAGCTAGCTCTTCTTGTTGCATTGATCCCTTTGCCATTTTGTAGTGCCCTTGTCTCTTTTGATCTTTGTTGGTTTAAAGTCTGTTTTATCAGAGACTAGGATTGCAACCCATGCATTTTTTTGCATTCCATTTGCTTGGTAAATATTCTTCCATCCCTTCATTTTGAGCCTATGTGTGTCTTTGCACATGAAATGGGTCTCCTGAATACAGCACATCAATGGGTCTTGACTCTTTACCCAATTTTTCAGACTGTCTTTTAATTGGGGCATTTAGCCTGTTTACATTTAATGTTAACATTGTTATGTGTGAATTTGATCCTGTCATTGTGATGCTACGCTAGCTGGTTATTTTGGCTGTTAGTTGATGCAGTTTCTTTACAGCGTCGATGGTCTTTACATTTTGATGTTTTTTTTGCAGTGGCTGGTACCGGATGTTCCCTTCCATGTTTAGGGCTTTCTTCAGGGGCTCTTGTAAGGCAGGCCTGGTGGTGACAAAATCTCTCAGCAGTTCCTTGCCCGTAAAGGGTTTTATTTCTCTTTCACTTATGAAGCTTAATTTGGCTGGATATGAAATTCTGGGTTGAAAATTCTTTTAAGAATGTTGAATATTGGCCCCCACTCTCTTCTGGCTTGTAATGTTTCTGTCGAGAGATCCGCTGTTAGTCTGATGGACTTGTCTTTGTGGGTAACCTGACCTTCCTCTCTGGCTGCCCTTAACATTTTTGTCCTTCATTTCAACCTTGGTGAATCTGACAATTGTGTGTCTTGGGGTTGCTCTTCTTGAGGAGTATCTTTGTGGTGTTCTTTGTATTTCCTGAATTTGAATGTTGGCCTGCCTTGCTAGGTTGGGGAAGTTCTCCTGGATAATATTCTGAAGAGTGTTTTCCAACCTGGTTCCATTCTCCCCAACACTTTCAGGTACACCAATCAAATGTAGATTCGGTCTTTTCACACAGTCTCATATTGCCTGAAGGCTTTGTTCATTTCTTTCCACTTTTTTTCTCTAATCTTGTATTCTCCCTTTATTTCATTAAGTTGATCTTCAATCTCTGATATCCTTTCTTCTGCTTGATCGATTTGGCTATTGATACTTGTGTATGCTTCATGAAGTTCTCGTGCTGTGTTTTTCAGCTACATCAAGTCATTTATGTTCTTCTCTAAACTGGTTATTCTAGTTAGCAATTTGTCCAGCCTTCTTTCAAGGTTCTTAGCTTCCTCACATTGGGTTAAAACATGCTTCTTTAGCTCGGAGGAGTTTGTTATTACCCACCTTCTGAAGCCTACTTCTGTCAATTCGTCAAACTCATTCTCGGTCCAGTTTTGTTCCTTTGCTGGAAAGGAGTTGTGATCCTTTGGAGGAGAAGAGGAACTCTGGTTTTTGGAATTTTCTGCCTTTTGCACTGGTTTCTCCTCATCTTCGTAGATTTATCTACCTTTGGTCTTTGAAGTCTATGGCCTTTGGTTGGGGTCTCTGAGTGGATGTCCTTTTTGTTGATGTTGATACTATTCTTTTGTTTGTTAGTTTTCCTTGTATCAGTCAGTCCTCTCTGCTGCAGGTCTGCTGGAATTTGCTGGAGGTGCACTCCAGACCCTGTTTGCCTGAGTTTCACCAGCAGAGGCTGCAGAACAGCAAAGATTGCTGCCTGTTCCTTTCTCTGGAAGTTTTGTCCCGGAGGGGCACCTACCAGATGCCAGCCAGAATTCTCCTCTATGAGGTGTCTGTCGGCCACTTCTGGGAGGTGTCTCCCAGTCAGGATACATGGGGGTGAGGGACCTACACGTGAGGAGGCAGTCTGTCCCTTATCAGAGCTCGAACACTGTGCTTGTAGATCCACTGCTCTCTTCAGGGCTGCCAGGCAGGGATGTTTAAGTCTGCTGAAGCTTGTGCCCACAACTGCCCCTTCCCCTAGGTGCTCTATCCCATGGAGTTGAGGGTTGTATCTATATGTCCCTGACTGGGGCTGCTGCCTTGTTTTTCAGAGGTGCTCTGCTGAGAGAGGAGGGAATCTAGATAGGCAATCTGGCAGTAGCAGCCTTGCTGATCTGCGGTGGGCTCTGCCCAGTTTGAACTTCCCGGCAGCTTTGTTTACACCGTGAGGGTAAAACCTCCTACTCAAGCCTCAGCTATGGCAGATGCCTCTCCCGCTACCAAGCTCGAGCTTCCCAGGTCGATCTCAGACTGCTGTGCTGGCAGTGAGGATTTCAAGCCAGTGGATCTTAGCTTGCTGGGCTCTATGAGAGTGGCACCCGCTGAGCCAGACTACTTGGCTCCCTGGCTTCAGCCCCCTTTCCAGGGAGTAAACATTTCTGTTTTGTCACTACTGGGCTATGAAAAAGAAACTCCTGCCGCTAGCTCTGTCTGCCCAAATGGTCACCCAGTTTTGTTCTGGAAACCCAGGGTCTGGAAGGAATTTCCTGGTCTGTGGGTTGTGAAGACCATGGGAAAAGCACAGTATCTGGGCTGGAGTGCATGGTACAGTCCCTAATGGCTTCCTTTGGTGAGGAGAGGGAGTTCCCCAACCCTCTCCAACCCCAACCTTCGCAGGGTGAGGCAACGCCACACCCTGCTTCTGCTCAACCTTCTTGGGCTGCATCCACTCTCCAACCAGTCCCAATGAGGTGAACCATGTACCTCAGTTGGAAATGCAGAAATCACCTGCCTTCTATGTCAATCTCTCTGAGAGCTGCAGACCAGAGCTGTTCCTATTTGGCCATCTTGCCAGCCTCTTCCATTCCTTACACTTTTATCTATACTTCTTTCACAGTGAAAAATGGTTCTGAGACCCATTCCTGCTGCCTTTTTCAATTTCCCTTTCATTGTTTTTTTCTTTTTTCTGAGAATTCCATTGCTAAAATACACAATTGTTTTACCATTTTCCTCTTCATACACAGTGAGATTATTCATGTTTGGGCTATCATGAATAAAAATTCTAGAAACATTTTTGTAAAAATTTTATTAGAAGTCAATTTTAATTCGGAAGGAGGTTATACCTAGGATTGGAAATGTGTACGTTTAGTTGCTTTTTTTACACAAACTTTCAGACTATTGTCCGAAATTATATGTTTCTATTTTTAATGTCTTAATTCAAGTAATATAAGTCCTCCAAATTTATTTTTCTTTTTTATCATCATTTTAGCTTTTCTAGGTCTTTTGTATTTACACACAAAATTAAGAATTAGTTTCTAATATTAGAGAAACATTAATATTAATTTCTGTACAAGAGATTATTAGAATATGGATGACAGAACTAAATAAACTAATTCTTTCTGTTTCTTTGAAATATGTAACTGTTTCTATAAGGATGAATAAGATGAGGATATGTAAATTCATATGTGGAATAAGATAAAATCAAGTACATTTTTATTATAAGTATATGAAATCTTTACGTAAAATAATGAGTTTTATGCCTTACCTAGATGAATCTCACATAATACTGCTAAAGAAAATACTGTTTTGGCCTGCAGTGGTGGCTCATGTCTGTAATCCCAGTGCTTTGGGAAGCCAAGGTGGGCAGATCATGAGGTCAAGAGATTAAGACCATCCTGGCCAACATGGTGAAAACCTGTCTCCACTAAAAATACAAAAATTAGCTGGGCATGGTGGTGTGTACCTGTAGTCCCAGCTACTCTGGAAGCTGAGGCAGGAGAATCACTTGCCCCCACTAGGCAGAGGTTCCAGCGAGCCATCACGCCACTATACTCTAGCCTGTTGACAGAGTGAGACTCCATCTCAAAAAAAAAAAAGTAATAATTAAAAAAAAGAAAAAAAGGAAATATTGTTTCAAAGTTACTGACAATAGATGTAAAGGTTTTCTCAGTATTTGAGGTTCATAAAAATTAATTAACACAAAAAATCCTGTTTTCATTGCAATTGCTTTTGTAACATATATAGTAAAGTCATGTTGGTTGCACTGGATGTATATAACAAACCTAAAAATATACTACCTAAGTTTCAATTAATTATTTCATTGTCTATGTAGTCTATGATGAAACTATAATAAATACAAATACATTAAGATAATCTCAATTGTAAGATGGAAAAATTGAAATTAAAAATATTTTCTGAATTCTGAACTACTCATGGTCTTAACAAATATTTGACTATTCAGACTAAAACATTTTTCTAAGCTTGTCAAATATTTTTATCTACATATAGAGTATATTTCATAAAATTTGGAGAATACCATCAACCATCACAATATAATTTAGATTTTAAAAAGTAAAATAACTTAGGAGATAAGCTGCATGTATTAATTACACATTTTACATAAAGTAGGCCAGGCGTGGTAGCTCAAGCCTGTAATCCCAGCACTTTGGGAGGCCTAGGTGGGCAGATAACTTGAGGGCAGGAGTTCGAGACAAGCCTGGCCAACAGGACAAAACCTGTCTCTACTAAGAATACAAAAAAAAAATTAGCAGGGCATGGTGGCACATGCCGGTAATCCCAGCTACCCAGGAGGCTGAAGCATGAGAATCATTTGAACCCAGGAGGCTGAGTTTGCTGTAAATCCAGATCGTGCAACTGGTTGCTGTGAGCCAAGATTGTGAAGCTGCACTCCAGCCTAGGCAACAAAGGGAGACTCCATCTCAAAAAATAATAATTACATAAAGTGTTATGCAGTAAATTATTCTTAATAGCTTAGGCATTAAAATTAGTTAAAATTATTGTATTTAATATTCTCTTGAGTAAATTTTCCTTATTGACCAAGTAAACATAATTTTTAAAAATCTCCTATGCGTTTTCCAAAAAAATGTATTAAATTTGCTTCTGATTCAATTTGCATTATCATATCTTATTTTACTATTCTCCAAATCCATCTTCCTAATTTTTCTGTTATAGAAGAGATAAAAAGGTAATACTAGTCAATATAAGACCATCACATTTCTGTGATAAAGTAGTTTTTGTTTGTAACCAATATATTTTACATAAATGATATTAAATTCACCTTAATGCTGAAACTTCTTTTCTTTCTAAATTACTAAACATTGGTAAACATATCTATTACTTTGCTGAAGTGCTATCATTTCTACACATACACACATATCAATGGATTGTTTTAAATGTGGTAAGAACATGCTATCTTCCCTCTCAACACATTTTTAAGTGCACAATGCAGTATTTTTAATTATAGTCACAATGTCATATATCAGATCTTTAAAATTTATTCAAATTATTTAACTGAAATTTTACACTTGCTGAACAGCTACTCCCAATTTTTCCCTTCTTAAGTCCCAGATAACCACCACTCCTCTCTCTTTCTCTAAGTGACTATTTTAGATATTTTCTATCAGTGGAATTATGCAGTATGTGTAGCTCTGTTACTAGCTTATTTCATTTAGTACAATGTTCTCCGGCTTAACTTTGGAAATGATTATAACTTCTTAATATTGCAATAGGAAAAACATTTTATCCTTAAGTTTTCAAAATATGCAGAATGAATGACTTAGTATATAAATCCAATAATAATAATATTGTCAAATTAAACCACAAATGTTTCTTCAATAAAATACAAAAATTACATTTTTTGTGAAGTGATAAGCCTATTTTATGTTTTAAATATTTTTTAATATCCTTAAAGAAAAATATTAAATAAAAGTGAAGTTTTTAATGTAATAATGAGTGTATTTTTATAAATATACATGATGTTATAAAGTAATAATAAACAGGTACACAATTTTAGTAAAAAGTGTTAAGGAAAATGTCATGAAAAATATTAATAAATAAAATTAAGGCAGAAATTAGAAAATGTTCTTTTATAAATCTCATGATAATATTTCTTATTTCATTTTAATGAGAACATTATCATTTAATTTATTGTAATAAAATGTTAGAGAATAAATTAAGCAAAATCGAACTTATAATGAGTTAATTTAGGAGGGAACTTGTAGATGTGATGAATTGCTAAATGCTTAGAAAGTAATTATTGAAATTATTAGATAATAGATCTAAATTTCAGTAAAAACTGGAGATATTACAAGAACAAAAGCAGTTTTGGATAGTTTTCTCATTAATCAAGACTAACACACAGTTGTCATTGAGTAGAATCTTGTTGCTTCCACACTGTGTCTGCCTGACTTCCCCAACTCTGAGTTTCACCTCTTTTCTTCAGATCCATCTACTCTGCCTCATCTAACATTTTTGTGGGTATATATCAGTATTTGACACACTGGAGGGGGTTTACATAAGTCGACACAACTCTTTGTTAGAAAGCATATGTAAATGGTGAGAGAGGTATTAATAAAAAACAAACAAAACAACAAAAAGAGAATCATTTACTCTGTTCGTTCTCTTCCCATTGTGGTATTCATGTGTGCTGCTTCCTTTACCTAAAAACACAAATATTTTGATTATCCTTTGAATAGGATAACAAATATGCTAAGAATAAAGATAAGTGTGAATGTTAAAGGAAAAACAAAAATCAGGGTGCCAAAATTCTTATTTTATTTTTGTTGACACATAGTAATTGCACATACTTATGGGTACAACGTGATGTTTTGATACATGTATATGTTGTGTAATGATCAAACCATGGGAATTAACATATGCATCACTTTAAATATGTATAATTTGTTATGAGAATATTTAAAATGCTTTCTTCAAGTTAATTGTAATAGTAGTCACCCTACTGTGCAATAAAGTACCAAAATTTATTTCTCCTATCTAATTGTAACATTGTACCCGTTGACCAAATTTTTCCCATTCACCTTGCACCTTATTTTCTCAAGACTATGGTAACCTTTTCTCAAGACTATGGTAACTCTTTTAACTTTTATAAAATGAATTCTTTTAAATTTCACATATGAATGAGATCATGTGGTATTTGTCTTTCTGTATTGAATAGAATTCCATTGTGTAAATACACATAATACCATATTTTCTTTACCCTTTCATCTATTGGACATTTACACTGATTCCTTACTTTGGCTATTGTGAACAGCTCTGAAAAAAACAAGTGAGTTCGAATGTCTCTTCACATATTTCCTTTGGATATATACCTAGTAGTGTGATTCCTGGATCATATGGTATCATATGGCACATCTATTTTCAAATTTGTTAAGAAACTGCCATATTGTTTTCCATAATGCTTGTGCTAATCTATATTTCCACCAGCAGTGTACAAAAGTTTCCCTTTGTGCACATCATTGCCAGAATTTATTTTCAGTTATACATATAATACATAACCTTTTGATTACATATAATCAAAAAGACAAAAGACAGTTGATGTGTGTGTGTGTGTGTGTGTGTGTGTGTGTGTGTGTGTGTGTTTTGGAGAAATATCTATAAATAGATTTTGCCCATTTTCCAAATGGATTTGTTGTATTTTTGCTATTGAGGTGTTTGAGTTCCTTATACCTTCTGGATGGTAACAAATTGTCAGATGGATATTTGGAAAATATTTCCTCCAATTATTATAAGTATATGAAATCATTACATAAAATAATGAGTTTTATGCCTTACCTAGATGAATCTCACATAATACTGCTAAAGAAAATACTCTTTTGGTCTGGCGTGGTGGCTCATGTTTGTAATCCCAGTGGTTTGGGAAGCCAAGGCGGGCGGATCACGAGGTCAAGAGATTGAGTCCATCCTGGCCAACACGGTGAAACCCTGTCTCTACTAAACCCTATTTTTTCACTCTGTTGAATGTTTCCTTTGCTGCGAAGAAGCTTTTTAGTTTGATGTACTCCGATTTGATTATTTTGCTTTTGTGGCTTTTACTTTTGCCATCTTGTCTCAAATATCCTTGTTCAATCAATTTATATAATGTTTATTTTTTAGTAGTTTCAGTAGTTTCATAGAGTCAGTCTCATCCATTTTAAGTTCATTTTTGTATATGGTGACAGTTAAGGGTCACATTTTATTATTTGTATGTGTATATCCAGATTTCCTAGCACCATTTATTGAAGAGACTGTCCTTTTCCCATTGTGTGTTCTTAACACCTTTGTTGAAAATCACTTGCCTTTAATGAGTGGACTTATTTCTGGGCTCTCTTTTCTGTTCCAGTGGTCTATGTGTCTGTTTTTACGCCAACACTGAGCTGTTTTGGTTACTACAGCTTTGCTGTGTATTTTGAAATCAGGTAGTGTGAGGCCTCCAGTTTTCTTCTTCTTTGCTCATTGTTGCTTTGTCTATTTGAGATCTCTTTTTTAGTTTCAGATAAATTTTAGTAATTTTTTTCTACTTTTGCTACGAATTATATTAAAATTTTGATAGAGATTGCATTGGATCTGTAGATCACTTTGGATAGCATGGACATTTTAACAATATTAATTCTTCCAATTCATGAACATCAGATATCTTTCCATTTATTCATTTCCTCTTCAATTTCTTTCATCAGTGTTTTATAGTTTTCATTGTACAGATATTTCACCTGCTTGGTTAAATTTATTTATTTGTTATTTATTATCTATTATAAATGGAATTGCTTTCTTGATTTCTTTTTCAGATAGTTTGTTATTGACATATGGAAATGCTACTGATTTTTGTACGTTGATTTTGAATCCTGTGACTTTACTGAGTTTATTTGTTTTAACAGTTTTTTTGGTGGAATTTTTAAGATTTTGTATATATAAGAACATGTCATCTACAAAGAGAAACAATTTGGCTTCCTCCTTTCCAATTTGAAAGTCTTTTTTTTCCTAATTGTTGAAGGTCTTTTCACGTTATGTATTTCTTCTTTTTAAAATGTTGGTAGGTTGTATGTATCCAGGAATATATCAGTTTCTTCCAGGTTTTCCTATTTGTCGACATAGAAATTTTCATAGAAATTTATTATGCTCCTTTGTATTTCTGTGGTATCAACTTTACTGTGTCTTTTTTAATCTATGATTTTGTTTGTTGTAGTATTCTCTGTTAGTCTAACTAAAGGCTTGTCGATTTTATGTTTTCTAAAAACTCATTTCATTGTCTTTTACAGATGTTTTAGTCTCTTTTGTGCTCTGATCTTTATTATTTTTTTCTAATAATTTTATGTTTTGTTTTCCTAGTTCCTTGAGAAGCATCCTTAGGTTGTTGATATATTTGAGAATTTATATATATATATATATATATATATGTATATAAATGTGTGTGTGTATATGTGTGTGTGTGTGTGTGTGTGTGTGTTTGTGTGTATTGCTATAAAGTTTCCTCTAAGAACTGCTTTTGCTGTATCCCATAATTTTGGGAATATTGTGTTTTCATTTTCATTTGTTCAAGAAATTTTAAAATTTCTCCTTTAATTTCTTAATTGGCCCATTTGTTTACAAACATACTGTTTAATTTCCGTGAACTTGTACAGTTTCTGAGGTTCCTCCCGTTGATTTTTAGTTTTATTTCACTATCATCAGAAAAGACACGATAAATTTTGATTTTTTTTTAAATTTGTTAAGACTTGTTTTGTGGACTAATATATGACCTGTTCCGTAGAATGTTTCACATGCTGTTGAAAAGAGTGGCTATTCAGAAGCTCTTTCATAAAACATCTTTTAGGTTCGTTGCTCAAGAGTGTAGTTTATATTCAATGATTTTTGCTAATTTTCTTTCTGGATGATTTGTTCATTGCTGAAAGATGGGTATAGAAGTTCTCTACTATTATTGTATTCCTGTCTCTCTCTCTCTCTTAGATCTATTAATGTTTGTTTCATATATTTAGGTGTTTTGATGTTTCATGCATATATATTTATGACTGCTATTTCCTCTTGCTGTATTGACTCCTTTATTATTACAGAATCACCTTGGATATTGTTATAGTTTTTTAATTGAAGTCTATTTTATCTGATACAACTATAGCTACTTCTGCTTCTTTTTGGTTTCCATTTTCATGGAATATCTTTTTCCATCCATTCACTTTCAGCTGATACATGTCCTATGGATGAAGGCAATCTCATATAGGCAACATATAATTGGGTCTTGTTTGTTTAATCCATCCAGCCACTTTGTCTTTCAATTGGATAATTTAATTCATCCACATTCAGAGTAATGATTAATAGGTAATGACTTGGTACTGCCATAGTGTTCCTTGTCTGCTGGTAGTTTTATACAGCCTTTGATTTTTTCTTTTTCTTTTTCTTTCACTGTCTTCCTTTGTGATTTTCAGTATCAGTATGATTGGATTTCTTGCTTTTTATTCCTAGTTTATCTATTAAAGGTTTTTGCTTTGAGAGTGCCATGAGACTTACAAAGGTCATGTTGTAGAAATAACAGATTATTTTATTTTGTTTTGCTTTTAACTAATATTTTAGATTCAGTGGTGCACGTGAAGGTTTGTTACACAGGTAAACTCAAGTCATGGGGGTTTATTGTACAGAATATTTTATCACCCAGGAATTAAGCCCAGGACCCAATAGTTATCTTTTCTACTCCTCTCCCTCCTCCAACTCTCTCCCCTCAAGTAGACCCTAGTGTCTGTCATTTCCTTCTTTGTGTTCATATGTTCTCACCATTTAGCTCGCCCTTATATGTGTGAATATGAGGTATTTGCTTTTCTGTTCCTGCATTAATTTGCTAAGAATAATAGCCTCCAGCTCTATCCATGAACTGTGATCATGCCACTGCACTCCAACCAAGGTGACAGAGCAATAACCTGTCTCAAAAAACAAACGAACAAAACAATAACAGCAACAACAATGAAAGCTCTCTCCAATGTCACCAATAAATATGCATTAACTGTATTAACTCAAGTAAATTATTTAGAGATTTGTCAATCACTTTCTCCGTCACAAATTATTTCCTTTCATATCCTTTGGCCACTTCTCTGTTCCATTTGCAGGAGATCCACTCTTTTGCATATGCCTTAAATATTGTTGTTTTACAGAATTCAGCCCAAACTTATTTCTCACCATATACTATCTGTTTGACCTAATGCACTTCCAAAAATTCAATAGTCATATATCTTTCCTAATATATCTTCAAATGCCTACCCCTTCTTAAACCGGCCTCTTGAACTTACGATAAACGCATGAAATTTATACCAGAAAGAAACATGTCGTAAATTTTACATAATTTTCTCCAAGATTGCATATTTTGGAAAAAGCCAAGTATTCTTAATTTAGTTTTCCTTTCGGGAAAAAATGAAATTGTAATCTCTGGTTTCTTCCTCATACTTACTCCTCCAATGCAACCATTCAGTCCTATTAAAATTTTACTACAAATATTATTTTAATCATCTATCCAGCACAACCATTACTAATATACATCATTACACCGCCATCTTGTGACTGGCCTCATCATACAGTTTTCATCAAAACAAGAAGTGACTGACTGACTGATCTTAAAAGAACTTTTTTTTTCCTAAAAGCAATGTTGTAGTAAGCAAGAGATCTCTTACAGAAAGTAATCAAAGTAGCAGTGTGCACATTTTAAATATCCTCCAAATGACAAAATAAATATTACAACCATGAAACAGTCAGCAAAATATTATTTTCTTTAATAATAATTGGGAACATTTATATGACTAATAATCTGGTATGAAACCCAATAATAACCCATAAAATAAATAATAAAGGTAGAACTAGACTCAGATACAATCATTATAAGACACAATATTATAAAAATATCTAATGAACTAGACAATGTGAATAAAAACGTAGTTGGTAATACCAATATATAAATCTATGTTTATCTATATATACTATATGTTAATATATTTATATTCTTCAATGTCTTATATTCTTAAGATACATCATATATAAAAATGTCTCACAATCTTCCTGTTTGCTCTAGATTAAGCCAACATCTTTCTTTTTCCTTCACTTTATCACCTAAGCCTGGGGTTGGCAAACTCGTCTATAAAGGAACAACTAGTATTTTATTCTTTGCTGGTGAGAAATCAAAATTTAGAATATTATGTAGGTATAGTTGGTTCTTAAGATTTGCAATAGTTATGTTCTATGCAGTTTCCATGAAAATTGAATTAGCAAATGCTGAACCATTGCTCCTAGTACAGGGTTAGATTCAACAACCAATCAATACAGAATCTTATTTAATGTGTGTTTCTTTATAAAGACAACTTATTTGTTGTATATTGTTCACTTTCTAACATTGAACTTGTAGCCAACAACATTATAACTCATGCCTGAAAAAAATTTTATCTAATACACAGGTTTTTCCATAAAATCTATAAGCTTCCTCCTGGTGGCCATTCTCTATTGGTCTTTAGCAATACCAAGCTGTCTAGTATCTTTTAAATCATCTTTCACTACTTACCCACTAAATATTAATACTCTTAATCTCTCATCTTTTTAAATCATCAAACAATTTGTAATTTCATAATATCTACTACCTTGTTACTTAATGTGTGGTTCATAGACAGTAGCACCAACATCATATTAGAAATGCAGAATAGTAGTCCATATTCCAAAAATAATCAGAATCTGCATTTTTATAAGATCTCCAGGTGATTTATATGCCTATTAAATTTGAGAAACACTGCTCTGTCATTTTTCTGACAGCGTGCTAAGATGTTGGGATATGCATCTGAAAACTAATGGCATGTTTTTTAAGTGTTTACTCAATACTTCTGGATAGATATGTAAGTCAAATTATAAAACAATGACTTTCGCTTTAGGAATGCACAGAAAATACTGCTCATACTGCTCTTTGACTACTCTGAAGGACAACAAGTATATCCCAAGAAAGTCAGAGAAAGCTTCCCAAAGAAGGCGCAGCCCCTGGCAACTGAATAAAGAGGGAAATGTAGTTAGTCATTATTACTTCAATGCTTGATCTATGAAAGCCATGACATTCTTCTTAGGTGTTGATCATTTTTATCTTTTGTTCCCAGTAATTCCTGGTTCTTAGTAACTATTCATTGAATGAATAAATAAATAGATAAATAAATTCACTTTGTACTCAATGCTTCTCTTCACCACTAAATCATTGCTAAAACAGTTGACATAAAATGTGGAACAAATACCTCCTTCACCAATATATGTCATGTATTCTATATGTGGCACCAGCATAGTCTTCTCTCATCCACAAATATTTTCCTAATTTCTAAGACAACTAATTTCCCATTTGAAAAGTCATTTCCCAAAAATTAATATGATAAAATTGGACAATTAGAATGTTTTCTAATTATTCTATATCTGTTAAGACTGTTTTCTTTGTTGCGCTATCTGTTCTAGGTCATGGTCATATTTGTGCCTCTGAACCAACATGCTGGGAAACATACTTGATTTGGTATTTTGATGTATTTTTTGCCTGACTTGGGCATGGATAAAATAAGAAGAAAGTGACTGCAAAATTATAGCAAGATGCCCAAATCCACACTATCTACTAATAGTATCTCTGATTCTTTAAAGTATTGAAAATGTTTTAATTATTAAAAATTTTAAGTTACAAATGAATTTTTATCTCAGTAATTGTATGTGCAGGTTTTTGAGCCACATGTATACAGAACAATTATTGCTTCATTAGTCATTTACATTTAAACAAATGTCTACCTCTGTTTTTTCTTTTAAAATTTTAAGCTGATATAAAAACACATTTTTCATATTATACTTGCCAACTACATGTAATTAGAGTAATTCAATAGAAATAACCCAATAGCTGCATCCCTTATTCAAGTGTTTCTCTTTTAAAACACAGTATATTAAAATCATTTTATCACAATACTCACAATGAAGGTTCTTCTAGATTTAACACCATCTTTATTTGTTGACTATACTATGTACATAAATCACTCAAAATTACGAAAAAGTACCTTTGTGAATTATAGTAATCTCATGGTTAGCAGAGACGTGGTGCTTTCATGTTAACCTAGGTATGTGCAATGCTCTGTAATATAAATTGCCTTGATTTTAATAAATTTTATATGCCAAAGTTAATTATCCTTGAACACATAGAAAAAGATTTCTAACCATGTTTTAAACTATCTTTAATATGTCAAATATAACAATGACCAGGAATTAATGCTACTTCCAATTTCATTAATTGTATTAAATCGCCTTGGCAAATTATAGCTAACAAGTTCACTTAGAAAAATGTAACTATTTGTACTATATTTGAGGCAATAATTTCTTATGTACAAGCTGTCATTTTTACCAATATATAAAAATCTATACTTATTAGAGAAAAGGGCCTATAAGAAGTAGAATGTTACAATTTTTATTGGGTTTTCCTTGCACTATAATCAGGCCTGCAAGCAACACTTAGGCTTCAGTCCACATTTGAGGAAGATTTTGATATATACTCATGTCAAATATATGGTTGTGGTTTATATTTTTCAACTAGAAAATAGATTGCTATTTCAAAAATTGTTTTCTTTCCTTATTACTTCTATTGTTTCTTTACTACTTTAAATTAGAGGTATCTAGATATATCGATGCCATCACAAAGGCTTTACCTGCAATATGTTATAACAGATGAAATTAATGAAATAAAGAGACATTACAAATTCTTATAAAGCACATGGGTGGCTTTGCCATATTTTAAATGTTAGTTTATATTTAATTGATAATTTATTTTTAAAATTATCATAGGATGTTTTCTGTTTCTTGAGTCTTACATATGCATAACAAGCATGTTTTATTACTAGTTGAAATTTAAAACACAATTTTGCCTTTTTTATGCTTAGAAAAACTGCTAGCTAATATGATACTAGTTTTTTTTTTTTCAATCTCAACCTGTTAAGTTTCATCGAGTATATACAGAAACTGTCAAAAAATAAAAGTAAGAAAAATAGCACTCAGCAGATTGCAGGATAAGTAGTGAGAAACATGTTCATGGATGAGATAAAATATTTTAAAATACCTTTGGTTTAAAACTTGTCAGTCTTTGACTTTTATATGAATTATATGATTCTTTAAGTAGGTTAAAGTTACAATTAGAAAAGAATTACGTCAACCCTACAAAGATTATTCTATATTTGCCATGACTTTCAAGTGAAATTGAGTGTATATGGTAAAAAGAAAGAAAAGAAAAACATGTACATGCAGTTACTATTATTTAAGAGAACAAGATCTAAGATAACTAAAGAAAGACTTATAATTGCATTTATTTACCGCAAAGTAAGAAAAGCAGAGTTATGAAACACCCGCAGTGTTAATAATTGAGCTCTATAACTAACATCTCCTATTATTGAATTAAATACCTTGAGAAGTGATGATATTAATAAGTATATACATAGGGCTATTCAAATTACTTTTAAATTGTTATACAGAAAATACGTTGGAGTTGCCACCTGATTATTGATTACAAAGTAAGGGAGAATAAATATGAAATGTTGGACAAAGCCAAGACAGATTAAAATTACATTTTACTGGTAACATAAGACATCAGATGAGATGAGGATTAAAAGGCAGTGCTTCTATTATCCTAAAGATCCACACAAAATTTTTTATTCTTTTAGGTTTGTTTTCCAAAAAGTAGCTTATATTGGAATGGTTGCGGATCTTATTCCTTGGCAATCCGAACATATAGCCTACTCTGTTTTGCTTTAAGTGCCCTAAAAGAGAAATATAATGTCAGAGAGACCTTATTTTTATTTTTTTCTCTTTGTAGATACCATGTTTTTTTCCATATGAAAGTTTATAATATTTTCTCTTAATTGATGTTACCAGGATACTTACAGGCGACTTTTTTCTTCTTATTCTGACCTGGAATTCTGTGGACTCCTAATGTGCCAACTGGAGCTCATGGGAATTTTCTTCCATTGGTTTAACTACTGTCTTTTCTCCAAAAGTATTAGGCTGATAACTTACATGATTAACTCATTCATAGAGTCCACAGAACTCTAAGGACAAAGCTTATCTAGCTATGCCTACATTTTTAGTCCTCTCCCAGTGCTCCAACTTGTTTCTTCAGGTTCTTACCCATCCCATAGAGTAGAAAATATTGCACTGGTTTTCTCTGCCAGAGCACTAACAAAGCACTAGACTAATCCAACAGGCCTAAGGTAGATGGATTAATTTAAGGACTTCTTAAAAATTGAGAGGAGAATTAAAAAAAAGAAGTGCCATTGTCACTGTTTGGAGCAGAGTGTGGAGTAGGAAGGAAATGTTAAAAAGTATTAAGATGTGAAGTTTAATCCTTTTTTTCTACAAACTTTTCTGTTTCAAAGTCACAACTCAAACATTCAAGACAGAACTAATGATTCAATCTATCCAAGTTTCCTATCTCAAACAATCTAGTCTGATAATTCCAATTTCTAGTTAACAAGAGAATGAAGAAATTACAGATGATGTGATATTTCCTACTTCCCTATTTCCAGATGGAGGCTTTCTTCCATCTCATTCTATTTCTTTCCTTTTCTTTCCCCCTCTCTCCTTATCTTCCTCCCTTTTATCCTGCCTGCATATAAAATGAATTAGAAAATCTGCTAGGCCAATGTTTAGGAGATCAATTAAAGCAATAAACTCAACTATTACCATTTTGGTGTCTTTTCTAATTGGTATATCTATTTTTGCTTTATTTTCTGATCTTTCTACTGACTAACTTGATGGTACAGTTAACTATTTACATTTCCCACAGGAGTTTGAAAAATATAGATGCTGACCAAACAGCCGTTTTCCAACAACAACTTCACTTTAAGGAAAGAAGACACAAAACTTTGATGTTTAGTTTTCTCTTCCACATCAAGAAAGCACCACAGCACATTTCATATATTAAGGTGCAACTAAAGGGCAATGCAAACAAAATGTTTATGCTACATTTCCCATTATTCTTCAACTAAATTGACCTTTTCATTAAGTATGTTTTTGTAAGTGTGTTTATGGGTCACTACCTGTCTCTTACAAATTAAGTAAAATGTCTTAGATATAAAGTTGAAAATCGTGATCTTGACTAAAGTTTTAAAATATGAGATGATAGTTTTATTGATTGCTATGCATGTTTTGTAGAACAAGAAGGAGAACTTATTGCATCTGCTTCATTCATTTTCTTTTGAGAAGATGTAGTCTGAATATGTTTTTAAACTTGCTTATTCAAACACACTTCTTACTTGGCTGCTGTGGAAAAGCAAGAAAATGCCCATTTTCAGCATTACATATAGTATTTTAAAACTTGCAGAATATTCAACTCACAGGATGAAGTTATTCTAGAATTTTCTATATTTACTAATGCTAATAGGAAGTATAATACCTCTAAAGTATCTTGCAGCAGAATATTGAAACAAGTTATGTGAGTTCTGTGGCGTGAGGAGGAATGCCAACACTTACTTTGGTATTTTTTTCAAAGTTCTCATTTATCTTCTGATTGTTTTGCTATGACATTTATTTCAAATCCTAGATTAACATTTAAAACATGTTGCATATATACCACCACTTCTTTATCCCAGTTCTATTGCAAGCAATATTAGGTTATAGCAATCACTCTTAAGGAGTATGATCACTACTTCACATTCCTTCCAACTCAGGCATGTAGAAAAATACTACCAATTTATTTCAGTTAGAAAGATAGGCAAAATTATTTTTTCACTCCAGTGTTCCATTGGTTCACCTATATTCTTTCAACAAAAAAACGCACAGCCTACTCAATGGTCCATCTTTCCATCTCTATTAGTAATTTCACAAATGTTATTGGTAAGTATGATTTTCTAGGAAATATATATTTATTAGTAAGGGTACAAACTAGGCTAAGGTATTTTTTAAAATGCTAGGTTTTAAGTAAGAAGTTATTTTTCATTCATATAATAATCTAGAGATTATTTATGGGCTTTAGGGCAATTCAACTGCACAAGATTATCAAGGGAATCAGACTGGAAATTTGGCTGAGTTCCCCAGCATTTTGCTTCTCCTTCAGAGTTCTAGACGGCAGTCTTACCATCTCTTAAGAATCAAGAATAAGGAAAAAACACAGTGTAGGGTATGTAATTACATTTTTAACGAGGTGACCCAGAAATTTCATAGTTGTTATAAGGGAGAACAGCAAACTCTTCTTTAGGTATGTAACAAGGTGCCCAAATAAACTTGAGAATTCTCTTTCTAAAAAGAATTGATGGATACTAGGGATGATTATAATGCTTTGTCCCATGTTAGGAATAGTAGATGGATGATGATTGTCATGGAATAAAAGACTTTTTATATTTTTTATAAATGGATTTTTAAACAGCAAAAAGAATGATGTATCCACATTATGAATATCAAAATAGATACACTTAAAATTGGAGGCTAGTAAAAATTCTCCTCTTACAAAAATTGTTTTTGGTCAACTCATTTCAGTAAGTAGACATATCTTTAATGTTCTCATTGTGGATAATTTTATTGTAAATTTTTCTTTACTTTCCTAATAATAAATTTGTATTATCAATGCTAAGAGATATTTAATTTTTAACTTGGGAAAGAGATTTTATGACATATATTCATGAGTTTTTAGGAATAGTAGAAAATAAACAGTTCCTTGGGATTTATTGGACTTCAACAAAAATATAGCATATAAGATAAGATGTTTCTGGTCACCAGTAACAAAATCTCCAACTCAGATTTTTAAGCAGTAAGAAAATGTGTTTACTTGCGTGTAAAAACATTCATAAGAAACATCATCTTTAGAAATTATGTATCAAAGCTTTTACACTCTTCTCTGCAGTTTTTCAGTCTGACTCTTCAAGTGAACTAGCTTCATCCTGGGATTGGTAAAAGATGGATATAGCAATTTGGCTACACATTATAATCATCTACTTTTAAAAATGTCCAGACAAAGCAAAGTTAACATGTATTTATTTGTCTTTTATTGATAGCAAGGAATCCATTTCCAACAACTTGTCAGAAGGCTTCTTTGTGGTCTCATTTGCCAGGGGGATGAAAATAGCTGACTAGGTAAGCAGAATTTATAACCCATGATTGGCTTAAATAAACCATTTATGGTAGAATGGATAATATAAAAGATTTATTTTCTAGGATTTACATATTCAACAAATGCAGTTTAACAATGGATATGCATATGAGAATAAATAGAGAATATTACTGAAATATAACATTAGTATTTAGAATCTATAACACATCTGTGTTCCAATGATTCTCAACTAAGATTAGAGCTGCTCTGCTAAGGGGCATTTGGTTATAAGAGGAGAAGGCAGGATGTGCTTGTAATGGTTATAATATCTTAAGGGTGAAACTGGCATACAATGGCCACAAGCCAAGGATGATTTGCATTCTATAATTCATTGATTAGTCTCTATCAATTAGACATGTTGAGAAATATTGACTAGATCATATTTATGTAGAATAATAATATAAATACCAATATCAATATAAAAATAAATACATAAAGATACAGGTACATATGTAGACTTGTACATAGTCATTTCACATTAAATATTACTTTAAACATACTGTAACAAACTTGCATTTTTCATTTTGGCAATGTTAGTGTTTATAAGAGCCCTGTGTTTCTGAAAAGCAGCAATAATTAAGAACCGTCCCCCATCCTTTTGTGTTCTAGGAAATGCCTTACTACAAAAATACAGCTTCCCCCATATGAGTCAGTTAAGACTCATAAATGCTTCCCTTGTTTATTTATGAAAAAGTCAAATGCAGATTTACCAAATTTCCTTTCTGTGTTTCATAAATAGTTAATTGTTTGAACTCACTCACCAATCTGCTCAAAATACCTTCTAACTTGGTTTGACCAAGTTTAATTTTCTCTCCTTCTTCCCGTAACCCAGAACTGTGAATCATACTCAGTCAACACTAGCATGGGAATATGGAGCAATACCTCCTTATGGACCACTCCCGAGAATCTGACAACCTTGGGAAAAGACTGTTTCTGTTCAACTGCCCTATCAAGCCACCATTCCACCCTACTCCCCAGTAACCAGTACTTATTGTCTTCTTTACACCTTCCTATTAAAGAAAATTCTCCTCTGCCTATTCTATAAGGTGCTTGGAGATCTTATGATCTGAAGATTTTTCCCTACTGCAATAGTCTTTTAAAATAATATCTCTCCTTACCTAAGTCAAAAATACTTGTTTTTGACAATTTATTCATTCATCAATAAATATTTTTTGAGTGTCCATTATATGCCAGGCACTAACTACACAGAGCTTACACAACTGCCTCAGTAAGCCCTGCTTTAAACGAATGTGAATAGGACTGTTTTAAATAAAATGGCTTAGGAGGGTTCCTCTGAGAAAGTGATATTATAGTTTAGTCTTATAAGAGAAAAAGGAGCCAGTTTTGAAAATTGTGGCATAGAGTGTATCAGATAGAGACAACAAAAAGAGTGAATGCTCTGGGATATAAAATACATTGTGTTCGCTTTTACAACTCCATTGAATATAATTACTTAAACTCATCTCCCCCCAAATGAGTTTCATATTATTTAAATGTGATTTATAATAGTAAATGTAAAAAATCAGCAGATAAAATTTTGCAGGGATGGTAGCAATTAATGCTTGTCTGAAAATAAATCAAGGCTATGCCTTTTTGACTATGACCTTCTTCTCTGCAAAAATATTTGATTGAATAACATGGAGATTTCTCAAAGAACCAAAAACAGTAATACCATTTGATCCAGCAATCCCACTACTGGGTATCTACCTGCATTAGTCTGTTTTCACACTGCTGATAAAGACATGCCTGAGACTGGGCAATTTGCAAAATAAAGAGGTTTAATTGGACTCACAGTTCCACGTGGCTGGGGAGGCCTCAGAATCTTGGCAGTAGGCAAGGAGGAGCAAGTCACATCTTACATCAATGGCAGCAGGCAAAGAAAGAGAATTTGTGCAGGGACATTCCCTTTTATAAGACCATCAGATCTCATGAGGTTTATTCACTATTACAAGAACATCATGGGAAAGACCTGCCCCCATCATTCAATTATCTCCCACCAGGTCACTCCCACAATATGTGGAAATGATGGGAGCTACAAGATGAGATTTGGGTAGGGACACAGAGCCAAACCATATCATTTTGCCCTGGCGTCTCCCAAATCTTGTGTCTTCACATGTCAAAACCAATCGGCCAAACCATATCATTTCACCCTGACCTCTCACAAATCTCATGTCTTCACATTTTAAAACCAATCATGCCTTCCCAGCAGTTCCTCAAAGTCTTAACTCATTTCCAAATTAACTCAAAAGTCCACAGTCCAATGTCTCATCTCAGACAAGGCAAGTCCCTTCCACCTGAGTCCGTAAAATCAAAAGCAAGTTATTTACTTCCAAGTTACAATGGGGATACAGGCATTGGGTAAATACAGTCACTCCATGTGGGAGAAATTGGCCAAAACAAAGGGGTTACAAGCCCCAGGCAAGTTCAAAATCCAGCAGGGCAGTCAAGTCATAAAGCTCCAAAATGATATCCTTTGACCCCATATCTCATGTTGGGGTTACACTGATGCAAGAGGTGGGTTCCCATGGTCTTGGGCAGCTCTGCCTCTTGGCTTTGCAGGGTACAGCCTCCCTCCTGGCTGGTTTCCCAGGCTTGTGTTGAGTGTCTGCAGCTTTTCCAGCACACGATGCAAGCTGTCAGTGGATCTACCATTTTGGGGTCTGGAGGACAGTGGCCCTCTTCTCACAGTTCTACTAGTTGGTGCCACAGTAGGGACTCTGTGTGGGGGCTCCGACACCACATTTCCCTTCCACACTGCCCGAGTGAAAGTTCTGTATGAGAGCCCCACCTCTGCAGTGAACTTCTGCCTGGATATCCTGGTGTTTCCACACATCTTCTGATATCTAGGGGGAGGTTCCCAAATCTCAATTCTTGACTTCTTTGCATTTGCTGGTTCAACACCTCATGGAAGCTGCCAAGGCTTGGGGCTTGCACCCTCTGAAGCCACGGCATAATCTGTTCCTTGGCCTCTTTTATTCATGGCTGGAGTGGGACACAGGGCACTAAGTCTTTGTACTGCACACAGCACAGGGACCCTTGGCCTGGCCCACAAAACCTTTGTTTTCTCCTTGGCTTCCAGGCATGTGATGGGAGGAGCTGCCATGAAGACCTCTGATATTCCCTGGAGACATTTTCCTGATTATCTTGGGGATTAACATCTGGCTCCTTGTTACTTGTGCAAATTTTTGCAGCCAGCTTGAATTTCTCCTCAGAAAATGGGATTTTCTTTTCTATCACATTATCAGCCTGCAAATTTTCTGAACTTTTATGCTCCGCTTCCCTTATAAAGTTGAATGCCTTTAACAGCACCCAAGTCACCTCTTGAATGCATTGCTTTTTAGAAATTTCCTCCATTAGATACCCTTTATCATCTCTCTCAGGTATAAAGTTCCACAAATCTCTATGGCGGGGGCAAAATGATGCCAGTCTCTTTGCTAAAACATAACAAGAGTCACCTTTGCTCCACCTCCCAACAAGTTCCTCATCTCTATCTGAGACAACCTCAGCCTGGACCTCACTGTCCATATTGCCATCAGGCTTTTGTTCAAAGCATTCAACAAATCTCTAGGAATTTCCAAACTTTTCCAGATTTTCTTGTCTTCTTCTGAGCCCTCCAAACTGTTCCAACCTCTGCCTGTTACCCAGTTCCAAAGCCGCGTCCACATTTTCAGGTATCTTTTCAGTAATGCCCCACTCTATTGGTACCAATTTACTGCATTAGTACATTTTCACACTGCTGATAAAGACATACCGGAGATTGAGCAATTTACAAAGTAAAAAGGTTTTATTGGACTCACAGTTCCACACGGCTGTGGAGGCTTCAGAATCATGGCAGAAGGCAAGGAGGAACAAGTCACATCTTACATCGATGGCAGCAGGCACAGAGAGAGAGCTTGTGCAGAGAAACTCCCCCTCATAATACCACCAGATCTTGTGAGACTTATTTGCTCTTACAAGAACAGCATGGGACATACCCACCCCCATGATTCAATTATCTCCCACCAGGTCCCTCCCACAACATGTGGGAATGATGGCAGTTACAAGATGAGATTTGGGTGGAGACACAGAGCCAAACCATATCACTACCCAAAGGAAAAGAAATCTTTATATCAAAAGACACCTGCACTCATATGTTTATCACAGCACTATTCTCAATGGCAAAGATATGGAATCAAACTAAGCTTTCATTAACAGACGATTGGATAAAGAACACATGGTGGAATGGAATGGAACACACAGCAGAATACTGTTCAGCTATAGAAATAATGACATTATGTCTTGCAGCATTATAGATGGAACTGGAGGTCATTATCTTAAGTGAAACAACTCAGACACAGAAAGACAAATGCCACATTCATATTTATAAGTGGAAGTTAAATAATGTGTACACATGAACATAGAATGTGGAAAAATAGTCATTGAAGACTCAGATGGGTAGGACAGTAGGAAGGTGGTAAGAGATAAAAAATTGAATGGGTACAATGTACATTATTTAGGTGATGGTTACACTAAAAGCCCAGACTTCACAGCTATAAAATATATCCAATTAAAATAGTACTTATACCCCTTAGATTTATACAATAAAAAAAAGATTCTGAAGTGATATTGACAACTTAATATAACAGTTCCCAAACTTTATACCATGTCCCAAATAATATCAAAATAGGCTATATGCTTGACTAGCTATAAGAGCCGAGGGCAGACATCTGCTATGTGCTGTATTCATATTCAGATTTTATTTTTCCTCTGAGGCTGTAAGCTTATCTCCTTAAATTATATTTGTAATGAATTGAAATTAAGATGTCAGATATTTATTTCACTATGTATTGACATTGCATTATTAATGTTTGTTGGAGAGCTATGATTTTTACTATAAACTGATATCTGGTGTTGCTAATAGGTCACTGCCACCTCCTTTCTTCTTCTCTAAGTCTCTAAAGCTAGTCAACATGCTCATAAAGAAGGTGCAAAATCTGAAAGTTTGGATTCTGCTCACATATAGACCTTTTTTATGTAAAATATGTTATATTCTTATATAATATGCTATATGTTCATTAAAAATTGGGTAATTTAAATAATAATATATTTAATGTAAAAACAATTAATTGCCTTTTAAAATAAATTTATACGCATGCCAAGCATTAACAAAGATCAACTAGTTCATGTGAAACTTTATAAATTATGAGATGTATGATGAAAACTTAAAATGTCTTCTTTAATAAATATGTAACTAATAAATACGACATTTATTCATTTTGATGAAGTTATGTGGCTCCCAGAATGTTTTTTTCATTTCTAATCACAACAGATGATAGGCAGTGGCATGTCTATCTACTTGTCAATAGACATTAAATAAAATTGAATGATTACAATTATAAAACAGTTTTATATACAGTTATTTTTAGTAAAATAGCTTTTATAGATTTCTAGTGTCCTATTCCTCCTATACTCACTGTAAGACAACATTTCCTCTGCTCTAGAAACATGCACAATTCTTTTCCTTTCTCCACTAGACCATTGCAAATTGGAGGTGGAAAAACGTAAATGAAACCTAAATGTTTCGCTATATTTGTTCCTCAATTTAGCCTTCTAAACTTTCTCTCTTTGAACTTCAAGTTATTAGAGAATGAGACAGAGAACGTAAAATAAGAGCCCAATAGACTTGACAGACCCACAGGGTACAACTGAAAAGTGTGCTGTTTTTATATCCTCATCTTTCCTACCAAATGAACACTTTTTCTCTGCTGTTTTATTTTGTGTAGCTTCTGCCTGAAAGAAATAGTGTCTTTCTTTTCATTTAGCACACAACTGTTGGGTGCTATTAACGTTTGAAAATGTTTTCCCGGTCTAATTAGTTAAAATTTTTAATCATTATTTTAACACTTCAGTGTTTCTATAGATCTTTAACTCTATGCAGTTCCCCTTTATGTTTTTTAAATTTCTTCATAAGGATATCAATTGATCCAAGTAGGACATAAAGTCAACAAGTTAATACTATAAAAAGTTTCTTCAGATATAAAAGAAAAATGAAATTATAAATGTAATAACTGTAATCAATAAAATGTTATACAATTAGTAATTTATGTGGTTAATTTGTAATACCACTTATTCTCACAGAAAACATTCCAGAAAGACAGTACAGCCTAAGTCAAAATTTTAAAACAATTTTAGAATGCTAAATATGTCATCTGTGTGTGTGTATACATCTTATATCAAGTATAAGGTTACCAATCAATTAATGCATTTAGATACACATGCCCACATGCAGACACACACACACACACACACACACACACACATATAATTTCTGGCCATTGTATTGAAACAATCATTGAATGACTGTTAGTCTTAAATATTATCTACAATAAAGTAGGCCATATAAATACAGAAAAAAGATTAAAGATCCTCCAATTATATGACAATACATTTATTTTCTTTCTAACATAAGCCAATTTATAATAAGGATGAATTACAATGATTATGACTCCTAAGGGAAAAAAGTTAAAAAGAATGTCTGTTAACCACAGTTAATGAAGGAAAGCTATGGATGGGAATACACGCAAGTTCATGCTTCTTTGTAGATAACTTCTTTTCCCATCTTTGCAAGGGTGACAAAGTAGAAATGAATTTCCTTACTCTACCATACTAATGCTCCCTTAAAGTTTATCATTCATTAAGTGCATGTTCAGTGGATTAAACAAAGGCTAACCTAATTTAACACAATACTTCAGTAAAAATGCTTTGATTTAATGATCATGATAATTCAAAGTTATTTATCTTATTCCAGTAAGGGTAAATTGACACCTGATTGAAAAATCAATAAAAATAAGCATACCTGTGTGCCTTTAAAGTATGTATTAAGGGAATAAATGACTAGAAAAATAGCAGACTGAAGAGACACATTCAACATGTTTATTATTATCAATTAATAAATCATGGAGTTAACTTATAATAGTATGAAGCCTGTGGGTGAAGTGGGTACAGATATCTGATTTTAATATTTTACTTTTTCCTTACAAGAGAATTTATATGTGATTCTTTGCTTAACTATAATGATATACATATAATAATTTATCATTGCTTTTCATTTCAGTGACTGCTTTGTATTAAACAAAATTTTAAGAATAAAATTCAGAAGAACAATAAACAAAATATTTGCTTAAGGTGCTTAATTTAATTTGCCAATATTTATGAGACAGCCATGCTGAATTACCTTTGTTTGACACTTTCACATTCACATTTATATGTCACCAGAGTGATTCATGTTTTCTTTTCCTCAAAGAACTCTACTTACCCGTTTGATTCCTTTCTTCATTAATTACAAAAGTGTTTATTGAACACTATGAAAATATAAAATTCTCAAAATTATTATTTCCTAACTTAATTTGAAGATAACTTTGTAACTTTTAATACAAAAGGCCAATCTTCCTGTCCTGCCTATCACTAGCATCTGTTCCTTCATTTCGCTAATAATATTACTGATCCAATAACTCTCCAAATATTAGTGATTGGATGATGAAATGGATATGATATATTTTTCAAATTTATGATTGTCTTATTTTACCAGAGAAACTGATATACCATTTGTGTTTCTACAGCCTCTGATTACTATTACCAATTACTTGATGGAAAATGAAAAGATCATGTACAGAGGCGCATGGAATAGAAAAGTAGAACAAATTGTTAGACAAGTATCACACGTAAGTTATATTTGGAATTGATCATAGTACAGTTCGCTCATTTAAGCCAGTGATCATAAATTGGGTGATTTTTCTAAGCTCTCTAGCTCCACAAACCACTTTGTTGACAAGCTTTGAAATTTTTAGTTTCTGTGTTTATTGATTTTCAATGGAATTGCCATCTAAATTGATGAATGTGTACCTGTACTAACAAAAAGATGTTCGTTGTATCTCTACACCCTCCTAGGTGAATCTGATCCCAGAAATTTGCACCAAAAACGTAGGTCAAGAAAGAAAAGAAATAAATTATCTTTAAAAACAAATAAAGTTAAAAAGATAAAAAGAGGTTACCAAATACATTCGTGGATGGTTATAACAACAATAACTAGGAACTAAAAGCCACTATTACATATTCATGGCAAATTCTCACCTCAATATCTTTACATTTCATGTAGGTATTTAAGAAAATTTGTATCCACATTTAGTAATTGGGTAACCTTTTTGTTAAAGTGTTTGCAGATGCACAGATGGCTGCTCATATTAAAAATCTTTTTTAAGCACATAGCTTTGAAGAATTAATATTTGAAAATCTTTTAACATCTTTGACCTAACAACCTCTGTGTTTAAAACCTACTTCATGGGTCTAAAAAAATGAAAATAATTGGTGTGGCCTCATGGTTTCTTAACTTTTCAAAATCACGTGATGGTGTAGAGAACAAAAGAGACTGAAAGACAAGCACAGTGAGAGAAAGCACAGAAGTGTCGGTCAAGTCACAGAGTGGGTCATTGGTCAGGAAATGTAGATAGATTTGCCATGAAGATAATTGAGAGCAAATAATCAAGAGAATGCTTCACCCATATTGATTTTACCAATATCTTATGATAAAAACTGACTCAGAAATAACGTTCATGTATAACATCAAATTAATTTGCATAGCAAAAAATACTCCAATTGCATTTTGTTAGAAATATTTTAACTTCTGTACGTCTGCATAAGAATATAATTCAAAAATAAAATGATACTGATAGAAACACTTGTCCAAGCAATTTAGAATCATGAAGAGTTTGAATAATGTAGATTTACTTATATTTATTAATACTTTACTTTTGATCACACCCTGTGCAGACCTGGCTTTTTGAGCAAGAGGCTTGTGCAGTTGTACAGGGCTCCATGTTCTGAAGTCTTGCTCTGGATTTAGTGCTTACCAGCAGTCATACAATACTTCCTTCATCTATTTACTCCCCTAGTCTCTTACACAATTATTTCATAATATTCCCTTTCTCTTTGAAACTCCAACTCCCTGTCATGGAATGACTATTTTTCTAGTTCACTTCAAAAAATAGAACCATTTGTAACATTACTGCCACAAGCTCCCAACATCTATGTTATCTAGCTACCCTTATCTATGGCCATATACTATAATTTTTCTATTATTGCTATAAATTAATTTACAATTTCTCTAGCAAAAACCAACCCATCTATTTACATACTAGGCATCATCTTTTAATTAATTCAGACATGGATCCATAAATTCCTTTCTTTCTCTCTCTTGAATCATATTTTCACTTTTTCTTGATGTTTCCTAATGAAACATACATGTTATGCTTAATCCCATGTTTAAATACAAAAACCCCAGTCATAAATTCATAACCCTCTCAAGTTATCATCCCATTTCTCTACTTTTAGGTACAGTGAATACATTTATTGCCTATCCTGACTCTTTAATTTCTCTCCTAGTGTTTTCTGTAGAAAATACTGAAATCAGAATAACACCCTCACTCCTTATTATGGTGGCATTGTTTCTTATTAACTAGCTAAACTAGAATTATGTTTTCCAGAACCTCCTTCCCTATGTCGTCCTGGGCTAAGGTTGGTCATGAGTGAAATTTGTGCAATATTTCAAAAGTACAATAAACATTTATTTTTATGCTCTGAATTTTGGTATAGGAGGTGGTGCTGTGGCACCTCCTGCACGTGGTAACCGATATTTTAACACATCTTGTTGACAGGAGATAGTAACCAGGCCTACGCTTTTTCCAGCTCAAGACAAATTTCCTCTTGCAACTGCTTTGAATCCTGGGCCCGGTGTGTGTGCAGACCTGTGATCAAAGGTGCCAGATACCCTGGAATTCACCATGCTAACAAAATTGGAGATTGTAAGATAGAGATGAAGTTGCCAGTGTTACCACTTTGTAAGATATTCTTAACCAATCATCATGTAAGTCCATGAATAGATAGAATTAGATTGCAATTACATTATTTACCTATGTTCAATGTAAAAAGAAAATTAGCATTCTTGTATATGAAATCAAATTGTTGAAAAAATAATAATAAGATGTGCAAATGTGCGTGCATGAGTTGGTATGTGCTTGTATGTGTAAGTATCTGTCTGTGTCTGTGTTTAGGTCCAGGGCAACATTTCTGCTTTGATAGAACTTAGGGTGAATTTGGTGAACAGATTCATGTTATTCCTCATTCTATTTCTACCATGACATTATCTAAATCTTTAGTTATCTATTCTGCTTTTCTTTAATACAGGGTTGAATTTTAATGAAGTGTATGTATACATGAGTATATGAGAAATAGATGTACCACTGTTAGTAATCATACCATATAATCATTGAGAAAGTAATGTGTTTGTGTGCACTTGTAAACTGACTTCAGTGATAATACTATTCATAGATAGATGATGTTTGTCATTGCTTTTCCCTCATATTGTTGTCTGATACTTTTTGCTAAAAATTACAGCTCTAAATTTCTGTGTGTTGTTTTACAGTATTAACATGTTATGGAGATACCAATTTATTTTATTGTGATTCAACTAATGTATATGCTTAAATAATTTTAACATAACATTGATATGTTTTAAGAACAATCTGTACTTTAATATTTTTAAAGCTATATGGAAAATAAGAAGCTCTGGAGAGGCTAGATATGCAGATTTAGTTATAAGTTGGTCCATTATAAAATTTTTACTAAATTAATATTCAGATTGTATCAAGAGAAGACTTTAAGAGATAAAACCAATTAAATCAAATAATCTTTAAAGATAAATTATGGAGCAAAGGTGCAAGTTCAACTATAATACTATCATCTGGAATTCTTTGTCAACTTAGAGAAATTCACATATTTCACTTTCCAATTAAGTGGCATACATATAGACAAGCCTAAGGCCATAATCTCCTTAGCAGCTCATTCTATTCCAGGCAGCAAGAAAACAGACATCTACTTGTTCTCTTCCATGTCTCTTGTACAGACTGGAGTAGCTGCTACTGAGACAGCCTGTCTTGTTGTTTCTTATGTATTCATTTTAACAGCTGCAAACATAGTCTATTCTTGTAAGAATTTGCATAAAAATTTCATCTTAATAAAGCAGGTCCCAAATATTGATGTTAGTCTATATACTGATAGATTGTAGTGATTCAAAGTAATTTTATTTTTATATTTTTTATTTTGTTAAAATTTATTTGAATTGGCAGATAAAAATGCATGTATTTATCATGTGCAGCATGATGTGTTGAATTACATGCACATCATATGCACATATTCACCCCAATGTAAAGTTATTTTTACATTTTTCTGCAATCTACTCCAATCATTTGTTTACAAATAGATTACAAAATTAATATGCTAAGGATTATATTCAAGCTCAACCAAGTAGGTATAATTTGGCACAATAACATCTTGGACAGCAGCTTTCAAATGTTACAGTAAAAATTCAACATACATTTTAATTTCTTTTTAGTAAAATAAAGGCTTTCCAGTTGAGAAAGTGAAATGAATTATATGAATTATATGCATTTAATACGTGTACACACACTATGCACCTAAAATAAAGTCAAGTCTGATGAAACCACAGGTAACTATAATTTTTTAAATAGACTACAGGATTTTCATAACTATCTTGAACTAATTTCAGATAATATAATAAAAACCTTTAATCCCAAGTGATGTCCAGAACTCAAAGATGAGTAACAACTAACCCAGTTGATCCTTGCTGCCAGAATTACCTATTAATTTCAGCTATTTATGATTCTACTCATAACAATGAAATGGATTCTTCCCTTTGCATTAACCTACTTTTCCATAGGCTTAGGAGACCAACTCTGCTTTACCTTCTTGTTCCAAAAACTATTATTTCTGCTTTGTTCAGTACTAACCATATCCCAGAGGGTATCTGCCAAGAAGTGAGTTTTGGCTTCTGGTCACGGATTTTCTGCATGGAGAATGGTCTAGACTTTAGGAGACAGATAGCATACTCTTAGATGCAGTTATAAATGCCTAGGGTGAATTCCTTAGACATTTACCTTATTTTTTCTAATGTAGAAACAAAATGTGTGCCTAAAAAATACAGCCCACATTAGAAGAAATAATTACAATCAGGGTACATTAAAATAATTATTTCCTCTTCACTGGAATGCAAGATGGCAACATACATAAAAATGAAAAAAGAAAAAAATTGAACTGAATTCTTTCTATGTACTGCACTGCCATAGATTATTTAAATTTGATATTTAACTTACTTGTGAAATAACAATATCAGGTTACAATTAAAAGCTTTGCTTTATCGACAGGAAAAATTCATGACATCTGTCTGATATGACACAACTAATATGTCATATTATGTAATATGTCACATTACATGATAATAGTAAATATTATCAGAAAAAGTAGATATGATGCTAAGATATCACCAAAAAAAAGAAATATAATACCAGTCATACATATGATGTAATATGTAATTAGCTATTTTATTCCTAATTGCAATGAAACAAATTTGACATGTCCACATAATATCTTAATCTGAGATTTATTTTTAGTGTTTTTATATGTGAACACAAGTAACTATAAGATAACCTCTGAATTATTTATTATGGTCAGTAATTCACTAAAAATATAGAGTCTCTTGAATTAAAAATTAGGATATATAGGTTTCTCAATTACTGTGAGTATGCTTCAGTATTAAACATGTATTATATTTTGTGTAGGTATCAACTTTTAATTCAGAAAAATTCAAGGATTTTATCCAATGAGCTATGATATATGCACAGGTATCTTTTGCCTGCACCGAATCATTCAAGGAGAAAAGAGCAGGAACAATTTGTACAAGTTGTGCCTGCACAAAGATGTCCAGCCAAAGGGGTTAGTAGCTTGTGAAATTATGTGGTGCCACATCCACAAAGAAGGACCACTTTTTTCTTTTTTTAATCATTTACAAAAGATCACGTCTTCTGAGAAAGAAACGTGCCTATCAGCCTAGAACATTCAAAAGATTTAAATGTTGTTTCGGATTTTTTTCCTTCTAAATTTAATGAGGCAACATAAGGCCTGCAAACAAATTCAATGAAAAATAGTATTTTGGCTGAGTTTTTTGTGTGAACACTGGAGAATTGAGTATTTAAAAACTTTAAAAATTTTTTTGCAAGTCATTGTTGTGTATGCAAGGAATTACTGCTGCACTTATCTTCTATCAGGCCCCTTAAGTATGCCTTTTACTAAATAACTAAAAATAGGTGGTAAAATGTATGATAAAATATATTTTTAACTAAAACACGAAGAAAATAAGAAAGCAAGAAAACCCCAGAGTCTAATATGAATAAATGTGTTAGTGTAGAGAGGCAAACAAAATGTAAACCCATGTTGACCCTGGAGGTATGCACCAGCCCTGGTGCTCCTGAGATTCCATTTTGACCAACAAAATGCAGGGGTAAAGGACAGTACCTACTGCTTGGGCAATCTAAAGAAATCTCCTATGTAAATCTGGGACCAAATGAACTATAGAATGACCTGGATGGGAAGAACCTGTGAGTTTCAATTTTGTTGCTTGATCATAGGGAAAAAAAATCTGAAAATCATAATCACATGCCAGTCCTCAAGCATTTTTGAAGTCTACATTGACACTTTCAATGTGATTTAAATAACTTCAAGCTGAAATTTTATAGAGTTTCAGTAATCTACAGTACGTGGCTGAAACAAATGAGACTCTCTCTAATGGTATGCACCTTCAACTCAGATAATATTTCAAGCAAAATGAATTGCAAGACAAAATTAAAAAGAAGAATTCACAGGGAAGCAAGACAAGAAAGAGTGCAATCATAGCCCATATATTTTTAGTGTTAAAATAATCAGAATCCAAATATCACGTGATATCAGAATATTACATGTTTAATATGTTTAAATATATTTAAAGAAATAAAAATAAGTGAAAAATAAACAGGTATTAAAACTTAGCTAGAGGTCTCAAAACAGAATTAAATAGAACTTCCAGAAATATAGTATTGAAATTAAAGATGCATATCATGGGTAGAACATTATATTTGACACCAAGGAATAAAATAATAATGGACTAGTAAGTAGAATTGACAAAATTATTCAGAATGCAAGGGAGATAAATAAAGAAAAGGGATTTTTATGAGACACATAGGCTACAAGATCTATGATATACCTGGGTAGATTTTTAAAAATCACTAAGCATTTCTTCAAACTGGTGATAAACCTTAATCTTCATACTCAGGAAAGCCAATGACATTGAGTCAGAAAAATTAGAAGACATTCACACTTCAAATAACATTGCAGGCCAAAGATTATAAAAGCACCTGAGGGAGCAAAGAAAAGTTTTTCTATGGAGAAATGATGATTTTATTGAGAGGTATTTTACCATAAAAATAGAGGCTATTAGACAATAGAAAAATGTTTTCAATTTTCAAGGAAAGTAACTGTCAATCACAAATCATATGCCATGCTCAACTATCTGTTAAAAGCAGTGATAAAATAAAAACATTTTCAAAAAAAATTTCTTTTTAATCAAAAGGCCTCTACTAAAAGAAATTCTAAAAGTTGTGATTTAGGTAGGAAGGCTTTGAGCCCAGAAAGAAGGTCTGCAAGGCAAGAAATAATGAAAAAAAGCAAGATGAAAAATATTTAGAAATTCTATCAGTGACTAAATATAAAATAACAACAATAACAATACTAAGAAGGAGGTTTAAAATAGTAAGACTTACCAAAAAAAAAAAAAAAAATGCTTGACCTAATATTATCTACATTTGAAATACTGTGTGCAGAGCTAAATGATTTTATGTTACTTTACTGTTTGGGAAGAAGGAATAAATTTCAATAATTAATTCTTAAACTGAGTATACATTAAATATTTTTTAAAATGTAATAAAAAATAGAAAACATAGATATAAATGCAAACTTTCAGGGGAAGAAACAGACAAGAAAAACCTATGAAAACTCAGGAAAAGACTAATTTTATCCATAGTGATAGAAATCATTATCAGCATTTGCTAAGATGTTCTGGGAAGGAAGAATAGACAGAGAAGGAGCATAGAGATTTTGTTGCGGGGCAGGGGTGGGGGTGATGTAAATAGTCTCCTTCTATTTTGAACATGACAATTGTTACATGGGTGTAAACATTTGTGAAAATTCAGAACTGTACACTTAAATGGAGCAAATTATTGTTCATAAATTAAATTTTGATATGATTATTTTTGTAGTGAAAAAGTCCACTAAGTAAGCTGAGAAGCTAAGTGAACGATGCTAATTGCATAGATTAGTTGAAAAAAAAAAACAGTTTTTGGAATTTCTCAGAAGAGAAAATTAAAAGGCTAATAGACACTTTTCCATCCTTCCTGCATATCTCTTTCAAGAAAGCATAGCTGCAGTAAACAGCTAAAATAAGTGTTCAGAGGTACTGGGTCCCGAAAATAAATATCTCTTTCCTACCACTACTTCCAGGAGAATATGATAGTTCAGCCCCAGCTTCTTTTGTGCAGGGATTTCATTTCCACCACAGCGGCTCCTTCAGATTCAATCCTAAATGACCCCATGATGCCAGCCTCCAGGTTGTGCAACTGCCCTGTAATAGATAAAACTGAATCATTAATTCATTAGTTCATTATTTTTATTCATGTAGCTATTTTTCAATGACGGTGCTCTATTCTGTCTCAAAAAATATTTTCTCCCACAGTTTTTTAGCTTTCTCTTGCATGTGTCAGACACCAGTCAACAGTATTCCTTTATTGGGTAACACATATGAAGCTCTCCAAGCATGAAGCTGATAGTCCTTAAACTTGATGTGAAGTTAATGTCTAGGAGAGCTCATCCCTTACCCACTTTGAAGGAAAGAGTTAAGACTCCCAGCATGTATTCATTCATACAAAAAATCTCCATAAGTCTCTCTCTCTCTCTTTCACAGTTCTGAGAGGAGATTGGAGAGTCCTTCACATGGTTCTAGGGCATGTTCTTGGTTGATTTTGCTTAAAGTGCTCACTCCTGTACTCACTTTTTAACTATCATGTTGCTATCAAAATTGAAAATATGGCAGGTAGATTCATAAGGATAAAATTGAGTCCGTTCCATAAACCAGTAAGTCAAGAACAAGTTTCTTCCTTATGTACATGGTCATCTTGCATCATAAGAGAAAGAGCAAATAATGGAGCTAGTGGATTGGGAAAAGTTTCACATAGAAGGATGTATTGCAAATATACCTTGGAAGAAAGCAGTTTTCCAAGCAGAAGTGGAATATTCTAGAGTGCAAAAGAAATGATACAAACAGCATGGCATCATTCTCAGAAGAACAAATAACCATAGATAGCTGGAGTGTAATTTTGTGTGGAAATTCAAAAATTGTAAGAAAAAGTAAAATGGGATATGTTTTTTGCTGTTCTAGAAACTTTAGATTATGTCATATAAAAATAGAGGTTCATAGACAACCCATCATCAGTGACAGAACATTGGCTGTCATTCTGTAATTACTCAAACATATGAGATATATTGTGATGATGATTACTACTAAAACTTTTAAATAACTGCATTGCAACTTTGAATGTGTATTTTGAAACATGATGACAGCAGTATGAAATATGAATTGAAGAACCATAGGCAGAGTTGTCAGTTAGAAAAATCATTTCAATGGATTATATGAAATGGTCAGAGCTTACATTATGGCAATGTCCAAAAATAAAGAGAATAGATGGAGTAAATGACCTGACCACTAGTATAAGGGGAGATTTGGAACACAAGGATGACACGTGTCCTTTGTGGTGAATTTGCAGAGAGGTGGAGCCCATGGGCATCTTCTATTTTCTTTACCTCGTGAAAGAACAACAGTGTGAAAAGACAAGTATAGTGACTTAAGAGAGGGAAAATATCACACCCAGTTTTATGTACAGAGAAACTTGGTGTGGCACAAATCCAGATGTTTTCTGTGGATCAAGAAGAAATTACAAATGGCGGAAGTGTACATGGGTAGCTTGTCAGCCCTGACAAGTGCCCTCCCCTGAAACCAAAGTGACCACCCCCACTTCAGCAGATGACACTTATGGTATGGATCTGATTTGGAAAGAAGAGGCAAGACATCATTTTCATTCATAGGATCATACGTGAAAGGAGGACACTTGCGAATATGCAGAGCCCACAGAACAACTTAACTTACTGCCCCCCAAAATTATGCTGATACCTGTACATGTGAGGATAACACCTATGAGTTAGACAAGCAACGGGCCCAGTAGTTTTGCAGGTTTTCCGTAGAAAGAAAAATATGATAATCTGCTCATGCTCCACCATAGTCGGCCAGAAAGTGATTATTATTAAACTGTTCTCTCAGGGAGGTTATCAGCAGAACATGGAGGCCAGGAAGGGAACAAATATTCACAAGGAGAGTGGAATTGGAGAGAGCTTTGAAAAGAGTGGCTAATTTGCTGAATCCTGATTTGGAATATACATTTTCCAAATGCATATATTTCTACATGGATAAAGGTACATATATCCCATATACACACATTTACAAATGTGTATATGTGTGTGTTTGTGTGTGTGTGTGCCTATAACCTAAAAGGAGGTCTTGTAGAAGAGTATATACAGTAAGTCCTACTTAATGTCATCCATAGGTTCCTAGACACTGCAACTTTAAGAACAATGATGTATAACAAAACAAATTTTACTATAAGCTAATTTATATAAACAGGAGTTAATTTCCTACAGTATATTTCTGGTTACAATAACATCACCAAACTTCTAAATAAAGATCAAAACACTTCTAATATTAACCATTGAAATAAATGTGAGCTATACATAAATTTAAGAAAGATTAATAAAAACAAGTAAGATAATTATTCACCCAATTATTCCATTTCAGGGTTGCAATTGGCCATAGTCTATCTAGGCAGCTCAGGACAGTAGATGTGCATCAGCCCTGGACAGGACACCATTCCATCTCAGGGGACACACATGTGGACACACACACGTGGAGGACACACACACGTGGACACACACACACACACTCTCTTTCATCCTGAGACACTGTGGAAACACCAATTAACCTAACATGCACATCTTGGGGATGTGAGAGGAAATCAGAATACCTGGATAAAATAAACGAGGACATGGAGAGAATGTGCAAATTCCACATAGACAATGGCCCTGGCTGGAAAGTGATTTTTTTTCCTTTTCATCAAATCATAATGAAAGAAAATGACATTATTTGAGGACCTGCTGCACATATAAGCAAGCACTCACATGTGTGTCTGACATAAGATGTATAGAGTGGGTCTTCATTATACATGATCTGCATTTGCAAATTTGCCTACTGGCTAAAATTTGTTTTCCCAAGTGAATACTGGCTGAAATTTTGTGATCAATTCACAGATACTCAAGTAGCAATAAATTTGAGTTGTGTAATGTGCACATACCTAGCCGAGGTCGAATAAAGGCCAGGTTCTGCTTCTTGTTTCAGTGGTCATACAGAAATGATCTTAGCATGCGGGTAGTAGGGGTAGTGTAGTGTGGTGTAAGAAGCTCTGGTTCTGGAGAGACTTGGACAGGGTTTGACCTTAATTTTCTCTTTGGTAAACTAAAGAAAATAAAATCTACCAGGGTGAGCTGTTTGTAGAATGTAAGAGTATAATCTATGTAGGACAGGGAATGAGATGGCAAAATATTTGATTTTAACTATGAGAAAAATAAAATGTTACAATTCTATACACATCTGATTCAAGATTAAGATATTAATACCAGACAGATGAGGCTGTTGATTACTTTTTAACAACATTTTCCATAGGATTTATTGTGGTCTTCATAGGCAGAGAATGTACATAAATTAAGAAACTATTTTCAGTGAGCATGGACTATCCCTTCAAGATGTTTGTTGATGAAGGGGAGACCTTAGGTAAATATATAAAGAAAAAGAAGGATTCAGAAATAAAATAAGTACATTAAAATTCTGTATAAAATACAGCAACTTGGGGGAAATTGGGAATTAAACATTCAGGAAGGTGACCCAGGGCATGATGGAGGTATTAAGAGAAGCCACACTTAAGTGGTTTTATTTTCCATATGCATTATGAAGTAAACTATCTATTGGAATGTAGGCAATTAATTTAGACAGAATGAAGATAAGGCACTTCACAGCAACCACTTCACTGAAAGAAGACTAAGTTGAGGTAAATAATACCACTGTTGAGCACTGTTGAAGTTCCCATGAGTTTGGAATTTGAAACGACGACTATTCTTTGGCACTAGTCAGACCAGTTATGTAATTTTTTCCAACATGTTTCAGGGGCTTGAGGGTAGGAATGGAGAAAGCAGATGTTTAGATTCACCGTGTGAAGAGTTTTAACAAGACATGCTGTGGAAGGATGATAAAGCTAAAGGAATTAAGGTTGGGGTTGAGAGTACATTTGAAGCAATTTGTCAAGAAGTTCAGGCTACAGAGAAAACAAAGTGAAGTTAGAAATCTCTAGAACTAAGTAAGAATTGATGAGGGAAACTCAGGTTTCATAAGAGAATAGTAGCTTTAGAGATGGTGATCAGGTGATCAGTCATCAAAATGTTGACTCTAATCATGGGAACTAGAAAAATCCAGTAAAAACAGTTTTTTAATATATTTTTGCTAAAGTGAAGCTTATAGGTGGAGTAAAGCAAAAAGGAAAAATACACGTTTTTGGCCAATCATATTAGGTTACAGTTGTCAGTAGTTACCAGAAATTAGTGTTGACGCTAAAGTAGCTGGTAGCTGTGCTTTCAGTGGATGTGAGGAGAGAATGGGAACCAGTATGTTAGGTACTTTGTTCTATTTATACTTCCCTTACTTTTTATGAAGATTTGACTTCGTCTATGAACTTTTTAAAAAATTTAACATATTTACCAGGTATGATGTAGCATAATACTAAGAATCACAAACCTCAGGAGGTAAAACATCATCATTTCTATATTTTATAGAAGGTAATTTATGGACTCTGAGCATTGTTTTAATTTTTTTCCAGTAATTTCTTATATATTCAGTCTTTTGTAATAAGTGTTTTTAGTAAAGTTCATATTTATTTAGCTATATTCAAACTTCTTCTCTCAGCTTGCCACTCCTCATGTGTATCAATGCCTAAGAATGATCCATTTTTGTCCTACACTTATTGTGACTATAGTCTACAACAGTCTGTTCTATCCTCCTGAGTCATATCTGACTTGGGCCCACAGGCGCGTATCTAATTTAGGCCCAGAGGACCAAATCTTCTTTTATCTGTGAAGTTGATGGGCATGAGTAGTTTTGAGAAGACACTGGGATACTTCCTTTTTCACATCTGAGTTTTATTACTCATCTCGATGGTGCTATTTCACCCCATCAAATACCCCTTGAAATTCATACGTAAGTCCACCCTGGGTCCAGAGGAATCCTCTCTGATATGGTTTGCTTCTGTGTCCCCACCCAAATATCATGTTGAATTATAATCCCTAGTGTTGGAGGAGGGGCCTGGTGGGAGTTAACTGGACTTCCCCCTTGCTGATCTCATGATAGAGTTCACATGATCTGATTTTTGAAAGCATGTATCACCTCCCCCTTCACTCACTCTCTCTCCTATGGCCATGTGCTTGCTTCGCCTTCAATTTGCACCGTGACTGTAAGTTTCCTGAGGCTTCCCAGCCGTGTTTCCTGTACAGCCTGTGGAACTGTACAGCCTGTGGAACTGTGAGTCAATTAAACCTCTTTCTTCATAAATTACTCTGTCTCAGGTACTTCTTTACAGCAGTGTGAGAATGGACTAATACACCCTCCATGAAAAACTGGGTTTTACTGAGCATAGAGACTTAGTCTTTGATCAGTTCTTCCTACCTCATGACCTTTAATAGCCTGCTATATATGTCTGTGAAACAGCTATTCTCCACTCTGCACTTGCAAATAAATGATAGATTCTTACTTGGAGAAATACCACAATATCTGGCCATTATTTTCAAACATTTCTTAATAGGTCAAACTATGTTGTAACTCTTACAATCTGTGAACTTGGACAAGTTATTCAGCTTCTCTCTCCCTCAGTTTCTTCATCCATAGATTATGGATAACAATACTTAATCCCTAGGGCATTTTAAGTATTAAAAATATACGTATTATACTTTAAACTGTGTCTCTCACAAGAAAAATGTTATATACATAACTATTATTACTATCAATATCATTATATAAATAAATCTTAAATGAAAATATGCAAATAATCAATAATGACTATGGTTGAAATGTTAATTGAGGTCAGGAGCCTGGCACAGTGGAATCAAAAAACCTGATAAAAATATATTTGAGTAGAAGATGATCAAAGTAGTTTCCAACGAACTTTTTTAATACTCCCATCCAGGGATTAGTGTGTCATTTTACATTCAGAACACATTTGTTTCTTGTAGCATACCTCTAGGAAGCAGTTCATCAGCCAAACCTCCAGAATTGAAAACACCATTTTGCTTCACCATCAGTCCTGCTAAATATTCCTAAACACTCATCATTAATAAAATAGTCAAACCACAGTAACTGTGTTTCTGTTGCTGGATTTTCCCCTAAACATACTGATTAATTTTTATAACTACTGTAGGAGTCTTTCATGGCATAGCCCTCTAAATCCATAAATGTAATTTGAATACTACTCCAAAGATTTAATCATCTATAATATATAAAATACCACAAATAATTCATTAAATAAGCCTTTATTGAGAGACTGTCTTAAGACATGCTGTATACTAGAGCCTGTGTTTTAAAATATCAGTATTGTGTAACTTCTACCTTGAATGTTGATAAAATTGAAAGAACATTTCTACACCTATGAAAAAATGCTAGACAACCTGCAAATTTACAAGTCCTCTTGAATGCATCAGGGAAGTAGATCACTGGTAAACCAACTGACCAAAATTTAATGAAAGACAGTACTTCCATGAAAGCATCAGTTATAAGTAGTTACTTCTGTAGAGAAGACATGTCTGGGTAGTGAGAAAATACATGATTTAGCTAGAATTTGAACGATTTGTAAAAGGAAAAGTGTGGACAAGTGGGAGAATACAAATCCCTGGGGGATGCAGATACAAATTGGAAATTGTACATTTTGGAGCCTCACCAAAAAAAAAAAAAAAAAAAAAGGTGGGGGGGAAGGTGATAGCACTAATAAATCAACACTCTTGTGTGGGCCTTAGGGAAGGAATAGCAGCTGCTGCTTGAGCCCCACATAAACATTTCTATCATGCATAATAGAAAAAAGCCTTAAAATGCTAGAAAGGGGCAAGAAACTCCCTTGCCCTTATGACATTGGTGAAAACCCATTGCAGTTCAAGGAAAAAGAAGAGAGGAGGAATTGAAAAGACCTGTGTATTCATAGGAGAGGGGCAGAGATATATCCTGAAACCAGATACACAGGTGGAAAAGTAAAAGAATCACAAAGAAGGCACCACAATCCAGGGCCGGGGATACAGTGCCTATCTGAGACTTACAGTGAGTAAGAACAATAAAGAATAAGTCTCTTGTACCCTCTGCATCAAAGCAAGAGCAATCATCAAGTGTCAAGGAACTACAATATGCTTTTGGAAGATGGAAAGATTTAAGGTGCAACCTAATACTCAAAAAAGAATAACAAGTTAAAGTAAAAACAAGTAGACAGAAAGATCTACTAAAGAAATTCTTAACATTCTTGAAAACTAAGTAAAGACATTTTTAAAAACTAATCTCTGGACCAGGTGTGGTGGCTCACAACTGTAATCTCAGCACTTCAGGAGACCAACGCAGGTGGATTACTTGAGGCCAGGAATTCCAGACCAGCCTGGTGACATGGCAAAACCCCATCTCTACTAAAAATACAAAAATTAGATGGGCATGGTGGCCTGCACCTGTAATCCCAGCTAGTTGAGAAGGAGAGACATGAGAATCACTTGAGCCTGGGAGGTGGAGGTTGCAGTTAGCCCAGTTCATGTCACTGTACTCCAGCCTGGGCAACAGAGTGAGACTCTGCCTCAAAAAACCAAATACAAACAAATAACAACAAAAAAACCAATCTCTGGTTTTCTGGAAAAAAAAAATAACAAAATTGAAGTTTTAGCATAATTGACAAAGAAAATTTTACAGAGATAAGACACAAAATACACATAATAAAAATGAAAGAGGTGACATCACAGAACATGCATATATGAAAAGAATATTAATTTAAAAATTAAAACAACTCTATATTCATAGATCCAACAACTTCTCTAAAATGGGCAAATACCGTAAAATGTACAAACTACTCCAGAAGAATTAAATAACCTAAATATTTTATATCTTTTAAGATTTAAATTTGTAGCTAACAATTTTCTAACAAAGAAAACTGTTTACCCAGGTGGCTATCCAGATTAGTTATACCAATTATTTGAGGAAGACATAATACCAATTTAACATAGATTTTTCCTGGAATGTGGAATAGGAAAGAATATTTACAAGTTTATTTTATGGTGCTGGACTTATACTGATAGCCAAGCCAAACAAAGAGAGTAGGAAAATAAAACTATCAAGCAGTAAACCTCATGATATAGGTGAAAAATATCCAAAAAAAAAAAATAAAAAAAACTAGTAAAGCAAATCCACTAATATTTGCTTTTAATATTAAAAATAATAGTATATTGTGTGCTAATGTGTTTTATCTGGGGAATGCAAAACTGATTCAACAATAGAAAATCAATGAAAGTAACCATGTTAATAGAGCACATGAGAAATACTACGCTAACATTTTATTACATGCAGAAGAAAAAAATTGACAAAAAAGTCAACATCATTCATGTTAAAAGCTCTCAGTACACTGGCAATAGAATGCCCACTCCTACATATTGCTAATGAGTAGAGAGTAAATATCATACTTCATCATGAAAGAAAATGTTTTCCTTCTGATGGTTGTCCACGTCTGAGCACAGACCTGACAATTTGTCACCTCTCTCCCAGCAGGCCAAAATCCAGAGAAAACATTCTTTTTGAGTTGCACAGCTAAATTCTTGGGAAACAAACAACACGGTTTAGACAGCACAACACAAATTTATAGCACAAGAGACAGTGACAAATGGATACATAATGGCTATCTGCAAGAAGAGTCACAGTATACAAAAAAACTAGTTCTAACCAAAATTTTTCTCCTTTAAATCTAAATTTTAGAAAATACTCTTTGAAAAAAAATAGGAGTGGCTTTTATTGCCTTTGCTCAGGACCCTGAGCAGAGATTCAGGGGTCTGACTGGTAAAAGGTTTACCTTTGCCAGCTTGGTCATAGTATCCAACATCTCAGCAGGAGTCTTAAGGGTAATCTAAGAGTATAAACCATCCCCTCCTCCTTGCCAAAACAGGACAGGAAAATTTTACTCCTACAACTTGGGTCTAGTGTTTGGGGGCCTACAAATGAAATTACAATATACAGATTAACAGAAAAAAACACAGGTTTTTAATATCTATCTATGAATAAATTTCAATAGCTTTGGGGATATGAGTGTTTTTTGGTTACATGAATGAATTGTATAGTGGTGAAGTCAGATTTTAGTGCTCGTCACCTATGTAGTACACATTGTACCCAATATGTAGTACTGATATAGGAGTTAAAAAGAAATTATGTAGGCAGATAGTGAGGGTAAAGAAGTCCTCTGCAGGGTTTTCCTTTTAATGAAAAGCAGCCCCCAAATCATTTCCTTTTCTAACAGAGAGCAGCCTGTAAAATCGAACTGAAAACATACACAAGAAAGCTGGAAGCTTGCGTGGGCGAATGCTGGCAGCTGTACTGATAGGAAAAGGCTACCTGGGACTGGGCAGGTTCAGAATGGTGGCTCCATCTTCCCTGCTCTTTGTCAGCCACGTGTACGGTAAGAAGCAGACAACATGGCCACCAAGTGGAAAGCCCATTTGCATAATAAGATTAGGGTGGGGTGGCCAGCCTTCCCCGTGTACTATGTAAATGTCACCCCTGAGCAACAAATCTGTGGGCCCTATGTAAATCAGACATCGCCCCCTCAAGCCTGCCTGTGAAATTTGGTGCAGTCTGCCGCAGGCTGGCTTTTCCCTTTCGGACACCGCTCTCTCTAGCAGAGAGAGAGCTGCTTTCCTTTCTCTTTCTTTTGCCTATTAGTGCCCAAGCTCCTATACTCACTCCTCCTGTGTGTCTGTGTCATTAATCCTCTTGGCGCAAGAGGACAAACCCTGGGTGTTCACCACAGACAATGACCTGCTTCGGTATTGTATCCTTCCTCCCCACCCACCCGCGTCTGAATATCCTAAGTCCATTTTACCACTCTGCATGGCTTTGCATACCTGTAACTTAGCTTCCATTTATACATGAGAACATTCTCTATTTGGTTGTCCATTCCTGAGTTATTTCACTTAAAGTAATGGCCTCCAGCTTCATCCAAGTTGTTACGAAAGAATTATTTCATTCTTTTTAATGGCTCAGTAGTATTCCATGCTGTATAGTTCCCACACTTTCTTAATTTACTCATCGGTTAATGGACACTTGGGTTGGTTTCATTATGTTTGCAACTGTGAATTGTGCTGCAATAAACACATGCATACAAGTGTCTTTTTGATATACTGACTTCTTTTCCTTTGGGAAGATACCCAGTAGTAGGATTGCTGGATCAACAGTTGATCTACTTTTAGTTCTGTAAGAAATCTCCATACCATTTCTCATAAAGATTGTATTAATTTACATTCCCATCAGCCATGTATAAGCATTCCCTTTTTACTACATCCATTTCATCTATTGTTTTTTGACTTTTTAATAATGGACCTCCTTGCAGGAGTAAGGTGATATCTCACTGTGGTTTTAATTTGCATTTCCCTGATAATTTGTGATGTTGAGCATTTTTTCAAATGTTTTTTGGCCATTTGTATATCTTCTTTTGAGGAATGTCTGCTCATGTCATTTGCCCACTTTTCGATGGGATTATTATTATTTTTTTTTCTTGCTGATTTGTTTGAGTTCCTTGTAGATTCTGGATATTAGTCCTTTGTCAGATGCACAGTTTGCAAATATTTTCTACAATTCTGTGGGTTATCTGTTTACTCTGATGACTATTTCTTTTGCTATGCAAAAGCTTTTTAGTTTAATTAGGTCCAATTTATTTATTGTTGTTTTAATTATGTTTGCCTTTGGGGTCTTAGTCATAAATGCTTTGCCACAGCCAATGTCCAGAAGAGTTTTTCCTAGGTTTTCTACTAGAATTTTTATGTTTTCAGGTCTTAGATGTAAGTCTTTTATCCATCATCAGTTAAATTTTGTATAAGGTGAGAGATAGGTTTCTAGTTTCATTCTTCTACAATTGGCTTGCCAGTTTTCCCAGCACCATTTATTGAATAGAGTATCCTTTCCCCAATTTATGTTTTTTCATGTTTTGTCAAATATCAGTTGGTTGTAAGTATTTGGCTTTATTTCTGGGTTCTGTCTTCTGTTACATTGATCTATGTACCTACTTTTATACCAATACCATGCTGTTTTGGTAATATGAAGTCCAGTAATATGATGCCTTCAGATTTGTTTCTTGTGCATAGGATTACTTTACCTATTTAGGCTCTTTTTTGGTTCCATATGAATTTTAGAATTGGTTTCCATAATTCTATAAAAATATATGTTAGTATTTTTATCAGAATTGCATTGATTCATTGTAGATTGCTTTGGGCAGTATGGTCATTTTTTAAGATATTGATTATTCCAATCCATGAGCATGGAATGTATTTCTATTTGTTTGTGTCATCTATGATTTCATTCAGCAGTGTTTTGTAGCTCTCCTTACAGAGATCTTTCACCTTCTTTGGTAAGTATATTTCTAGGGTTTTTTTTTTTTAATGCAGTTATTGTAAAAGGGGTTGAATTCTTGACTTTTTTCTCAGCTTGGTCATTGTTGGTATCTACCAGTGCTACTGATTTATGCACATTGATTATGTAATCTGAGACTTTACTGAATGCATCTATGAAGTCTAGAATCTGAAAAGAGGAGTCATTGGGGTTTTCTAGGTATATGATGTTATCATCAGCAGATAGTTTGACATCTTTTCCAAGTTGGATGCCCTTTATTTTCTTGCCTGATTGTCCCAGCTAGGAGGACTTCCAGTACATGCTGAATAGAACTGGTGAAAGTGGGCATCCTTGTCTCGTTCCAGTTCTCAGGGGGAATGTTTCAACTTTTCCCCATTTAGTATGATGTTGGCTGTGAGCTTGTTATATATGGCTTTTTTGTTTAATTTTGAAGTATGTTTCTTCTATGCCTAGTTTGTTCAGAGTTTTTACCATAAAAGGAAACTGGATTTTGTCAAGAGCTTTTTCTACATCTAGTGAGACAATCATATCATTTTAGTTTTTAATTCTGTGTATGTGATGTATCACATTTATTTACTTGCTTATGTTAAACCATGAGGTTTACTCATGTGTGCACTGGCTTATAGGCAGAAACAGTGTTGTGTAAAGTGGTAAAAACACACACACACAGAAATAACAGGCTTGTGATATTCTAAGGTTTGCAAAATGAGTAGGAGAGTTCAGGGTTTCACTGGGGAAATTTGAAAAGTTATCTTGGTTTGTTTGATGCTAACAGACAGCTGAATTTGTACGTCCCCATGCTAAGGGTCCATCTTTTCCAAATCAGAAAACTCTCTGAGAGGAGGGCCAATACAGCTGTATTTTTTAGAGGTTCTGTTTAAATTTACATACTCTTTTTTTTTTCCATGTGCTGCTGTTTGTTCAGATATTTTCATTTTGAAGTAATTTTCATAGCACTTTGGTGGGCTAATAATCCCTTCAAAGATGAGGGTGTTTACTCTCGCCACTCATATTTTACATCTTACTGGAGATAAAGCCAGGGTAATAAGATAAGAAATAGAAATAAAAGTATATACATTGTAAAGAAAAAAATAAAATTGCCTCTTCTTCCACTTTTCATAAATGTCTACATAAAAACACAAAAAGAAGTTACAAAAATCATATAGAACTGAGAAATGAATTTACCAAACTTGCAAGGCACAAGGCCAGTGTTTTTTTTTAAAAAAAAGTATTTCAATATAATAGTAAAAAAAAAGAAAAGTTGAATTTTAACAGTACCATATTAATAGCATCAAAACTAAAATATTTAAGTATAAAACCTATAAACTATAGGAAACATCTATCTATCTGTACACTGAAAGCTGCAAAACACTGATAACAGAAATCACAGAAGACCTAAACAAATAGGGAGATATAGCATGTTCATGGAGTAGAATATTCCATATTGTTAAGATTTCCATTCTCTAAAATTTAACTTACAGATTTAACACAATTCAAATCAAAATCCCAGCAGAATTTGTTTTTTATAAATCAACAAACTAATTCAAAATTATATAAAAAGAAAACAGAATGAGGAATCCAAGGAAGAACAAGCAGAACAAGTTGGAAGACTCAAGCTTCATGCTTTCCAGGCACTAAAAAAATTGTGTTAGTCAAGACAACACGGTTTTGGATAAAGAGAATACATATAGATCAATGGAACAGAAGAGAGTTCAGAAATAGAGCCACGCATATATGGTCAACTTATATAGAAAATGAGAAAGGTCATTCAAGGGAGAACAGACAGCCTTTTTAACAGATGGTGCTCAAACAAATGGATATACATACATTAAAAAAAACTCTATTCTAATTTCCTAGAGTATTCTAAAATTAACTTTTGAACTTAAGGCCAAAAACATATCAGAAAATCTTTATAACTCTGGGGTGAGCCAAGATTTCTTATCTTCCATATTACACACCAGCTTTTTTTTTTTTTTCTTACTCTAGTGGACTTTATCAAAATTAAGATCTGTTCTCTTAAAAGTACCGTTAAAAGGATGAAAATATAATCCAGGACTGAGAGATATTTTCAAATTCATTTCTGATGAAGGACTAGCTTTAAAAGGAAAGAACTCTAATACATAATAAGAAAATGAACAACACAATTTTTAATAATTGGCAAGATACTGTAACGTTCATTCCACCTAAGATATATGGATGGTAAATGTACATACAGACATATGCTTATCATTATTCATTTTTTTTTGACAAAGACTTGCTCTGTCACCTGGGCTGGAGTGCAGTGGTGCAATCACGACTCACTGCACTCTTGACCTCACAGGCTCAAGGGATTCTCCCACCTCAGCCTGTCAAGTAACTAAGACTACGGGCATGCACTACTATGCTTGGCTAATTTTGTTTATTTTCTGTAGAGACAGGTTTTAGCCATGTTGCCCAAAATGGTCTCAAACTTCTGGTCTCAAAGCAATCTGCCTGCCTTGGCATCTCAAAGTGATCTGCCTCGACCTCCCAAATTAATAATACCACTAATCTCAAAGTAGTGGCATTAATAATAACCACTATTAGTTTTTAATGAAATTAAACTAACAATGATATACTTGTGATTTCATATCTGTATATATACACAGATAGAATGGCTAAAAATCCTGACAACAGCAAATGCTGACAAGGGGACTGTCCAGTAATATCGTATATTGTTGATAGTGATGCAAAATGGTATAGCCACTTTGCAAATGTATTTTTCAGTTTATTTTGAAGTTAAAACAAAAACTTACAATATAACCCAGTAAACCAACTCCCAGGTATTTCCCAAGCAAATAGGAAAAGTGTGCTCAGGCCAGGTGTGGTGGCTCATGCCTGTAATCCCAACACTTTGGGAGGCTGAGGCAGGAGTATTGCTTGAGGCCAGGAATTTGAGACCAGCCTGGGAAACAGAGAGAGACACTGGCTCCACAAAGATAAAATAATAATAATAATAATAATAATAATAATAATAATAATAATCAGGCATGGTTTTGTGCTCCTGTAGTCCCAGCAACTTGGTAAGCTGAGGCAGGAGTATCCCTTGAGCCCAGGAATTTATGGTTTTTGTGAGGTATGATCAGGCCACTGCACTCCAGCCTGAGAAATGTAAAAAGACACTGTCAATTGGAAAAAAAAAAAAAGGTATTTTCTCACAAAACCCAGTACTTGAATGCATATAAAGATTTTATTTTATTTTTTAATAATTTAGAGAATAAAAAAATACCCTAACAGAGGAAAGGATGCATACCCTAGGGTACATCTTACAATGGACTACCACTCAACAATAAAAACAACAAACTTTTAATACATGCTGCAACAAAGATTAATTACAAATGCATTATGAAAAGTTAAATGAAACCAGACTCAAAAGATACATATTTTTAAATTTGATATATACTATGTTCTTGGAAGAGTTAAGCTAGAGAAATAAACAGATCAGTTGTTACTAGGGGCTGGGTTTGGGAGGAATTGACAACAAAAGGGCATAGTGAATTTCTTTATTTCATGAATGTATTATTTATCTTAATTAATAATGTAATTACCTTCATAATTAATTACCACATTTGATAAATGTTTATCCAAGCTTGCAGAAGAATCTCTAAAATTGAGATTATAACCAATATTAAATTTTATCTTATTTTAAAAATTGGAACAAATCAATTTACAAAAAGATCAAGGAATAAAACTTAATTTCTAATTTTGATCACCTTTATGGTAAAACAGATCCATATGTATTGGAAAATAATAAAAATATCTAACCCAATTATCAAACTAGGTTGGCTTTATTAGACAAGCAAATAAAAGGAACGCCTATCTCAGTCACAAACTTGAGTAGAGATACTCTCTGTGGAAAGAAATCTCAGGATTAGGTAAATGATTACTGCAGATTAACTGGGAAAGGTAAATGCATTAGCAAAGACAGAGAAATATTATACAACAAAACATGTGATTTTTGTATTGAGAGGTTCAGTGCTGCTCTGATTCAGAGTATGGATCACAGAATTGTAGGACAGAAATCTTGGGAGTTAGGCAGGAACAAGATTATGTATTTTTTTATTTTAGTACTTTAAGGTTTCTTGTATTTTATTCTGTAAGTAATGGAAAGCCATTAAGAAATATAAATATGAAATTATGTGATTAAATATTCTTTTTGAAATAATTATTCCTTTCTTTTATTACTCTCTTCCTTCAAGTTTTTCTTTGTCTCGCATACATTTATGAGCACTGATTATGTTTAAGGATAAAGTGGTCCACAATATAATAGAATAGTCCCTTTCTCTAATAGAGATTAAGCTGCAAAGGTAGTGACAGAAAATATATTAGCTAATTAATAGTGTAATACAATGTGATATAATTCTAGTCAATAATACATTCAAAACAGAATAAAGGGATAGAAGGAATAATAAGATTTAAAGTTTTTCAAAAAAATATTAATAGTTGATCATCAAAGACTTTTTGCAATATTATATATGAGACAACAATAGTAAAAGGGAAATTAAATATGTGAATATTGTGAAAAGAACATTTTAGCAGAGAAAATAATTTCCAGAGGCAATGAGGCTGAATTTTACTTGACCTGTTGGAGGAACAGAAACAATAGTAGATCAATGGGAGCTGAGAGAATAGTGATAAGTTTGAAGAACTTTTTTAACAACCATGGTAAGGTCTCTATGTCTATGGTAGGCAGAATTTTATGATAGTCCAAGATTCCTATCTGCTGGTATACTTGCCATGCATAGCCCTCTTACCTTGTGTGTGAGTACAACCTGTAAATATGGTGGATGCCACTCCCATGATTATGTTACATTATATAGGGAAAGTGAGGGGATTTTTTTGCAGATAAAATTAAAGTCCCTAATGAGTTCAACTGTGAGGCTCAAGAAGACGATAATCTTTCATGGACCTGACCTAATCAGTCAAGCCTTTTTATAACAGGGTCTAGAGGGAGGAAACTTGAAGCAGCTGAGACTTTCTTGGTGGCATTGATGAAATAAGGCACTTTGAGTTTTAGGGCTATGAGAAAATGAATTCTACCCACAGTGATGTGAGTTTGAAAGGACCCCTGAGCCTCAGTTGAGACCACAGCCCTGGCTAACACCTAGATAGAGCCTGCATTATCAATTTAGTCAACAGAGTCACTAAACTATATCTGGAGTCCTAGGATACAACAGTGAAATAATAAATGTGTGTTAAGCCACTAAGTGCATACTAATTTGTTATGCAGCAATAGAAAACTAATATCATGTCTATGTCTGATGAAAAGTTGCTACAGGGCTGGGTGCAGTGGCTCACACCTGTAATCCCAGCACTTTGGGAGGCTGAGGGCAGGTGGATCACAAGGTAAAGAGTTCGAGACCAGCCTGGCCAATATGGTAAAACCCTGTCTCTACTAAAAATATTTAAAAAAATTAGCCGGGTGTGGTGGCACATGCCTGTAATCCCATCTACTCAGGAGGCTGAGGCAGGAGAATTGCTTGAACCCGGGAGGCACAGGTTTCAGTGAGCCAAGATCGTGCCATTGCACTCCAGCCTGGGTGGCAGAGTGAGACTCTGTCTCAAAAAAAAAAAAAAAAGAGAGAGAGAAATTACTATAGCTATAAGCGGGAGTTCTTTGAGAACTATTCTGATTTCTTAAGAATAAAGGTATAAAATGTAAGATTTTCTGATTGTTTGAATGTGAAGAGTTAAAAATAATGGAAATCCAAGCTGACTTCAAGTGAATCCTGTTGCCTTTTGCTGAAATGAGGAAATTTTGGTTAAAAATAGATTTGGGATAAGATGTGGAATTAAGAATTTTGTTTTATACATGTTACATTTGGTATATACCACTTAGACATCCATTTAGATGTTGAGTAGACATTTGTGAATATAATTCTGGCACTTGGGAGAGAACACATTAAAATATTAAAGTGTAAATCTTCAGCAAATATGGGATATTTAAAACATGAGTGAGAATAAGATAATCTAGGATGTGAGGGAATATTGACAGGAGTCTAAGATCAAAGTTCAAAACTGTGAGAACACTTATAAGTAAGCAAAAAAAAAAAAAAAAAAAAAAGGAGAACTTGTGGCAGAGATCAAGAAGGAGTACCCAGTGAGATAGAGGAAAAATCAGGAATATATAGTGTCCTTGCATTTGAAGTGAAGAACCCATTTAAAGAGGAAAGGTAATCAACCATGCAAAATGCTTCCAAGAAATTAAATGAAATGAAGACAATGAACGAGTCATTAAAACTGGCAAGATGAAATTCATTGAGATGGTGTGGTACAGAGATGAGATAATTGTCTCTGATTATTTGTATGTCTTCATATGTGAAAATTTCTGTGTTAATCATCTGAGAGTGGGATGCATGATGAAGTTTGGGAGAAAGAAGAAAGTATACATTAGTAAGTTGACTACGAACCAGCATATTATTTAAGACTGTCGGTGTTACATTGGGCCGTTTCATTTTAAAGACTGAACAAACAGAAACTTTACTGTCAATTTTGAGTTTTAGTTCAATACTTATAATTGTGGGAAAATGGATGCTAGTAATTGAAGTCTTTTATAATGGAAGAATTTTATTCAAGGGACAGTGGGTTTTTTTTTGTTTTGTTCTGTTTTAGTTTTTTTTTTTTTATCCTAATATGTTCTTCAATGCAGAGGAACAGCTATCAGTGTGAAACTTCTAGACTCTCTCTCCACTTCCTCACATACTCTGTCCCAGGGAAATAAACAGGATGAGTTTAGGAGAGAAAGGAATTGCATGCTATGCCCTTTACTCTTCCTCTACCCTTTGTCTTGGATACCGACATTCCTGAAAAACTTATTTCCTTGATTATCTTTGATTGTGTCATGAGCCTAGAGCTTAAGCTTTCCAGGACTGCTGGTGTAAATTGAGTTTTTTAATCTTGAATATCAGTATTTTGATTCCAATTGCCTACAAATGCCATCTTTTCTAATATATGTCAGATAACACAGGCTTCCATGTGTTTTGTCCTTTAGTATTCTAAATTGATTCAGAACTTGGTTAAGAAAAATAAGATAATTTAATATTCCCTTGAATAACAATGTGTAAAAAGAAAAGAATAGAAAAGGCAGGAAGGGGAAGACTGAGATAGACATTAGTCTATAGATAATTCTAATTATAGAAAAATCTACAGTGCACAATAGAGGTGAATGTGGAGGTAGAGGTGGCAATATCAATGACAAATTTGGTTATATTTTAAACACTCAATTTTTAATGATTATCTTTCTATTTTTTCAGGTCTTCTTTTCTTTTTCAACAATGTTTTGTAGATTCCAGGGAATAAGTTTTGCATTTTTTTCTTAAATTTATTCTTGGATAGTATATGATTTTTGCTGTTATTATTAGTAGAATATTTTAAAATTTTATTTCAGAGTGTTCACTGTTACTGTATAGAAGTAGAATTGATTTTTTTGTATCAATCTTATATTCTGTGATGGAGAAACAAGAACCATTGCATAATGTTGGTGAGAACCACTAAGGAAAATAGTATGAGAGTTACTAAAAAAAATTAAAAATAGAACTACCATATGATGCAGCAATCCTGCTATTAAACATATATGCAAAGGAATTAAAATCAGTATTTTTAAGAGATATTAGCAATCTTATGTTCACTGCAGCACTATTCTCAATAGCCAAGGTACAGAATCAACCAAAGTGCTCATTGATAGATGAATGAATAAAAAAAATTACACACATGCACACACACACGCACACACACACACACACACACAATGAAATACTATTCAGCCTTTAAAAAGAAGGAAATCCTGTCATTTGGGACAACATGGATGAAGCTGGGGGATATTATGCTAAGTGAGATAAGCCAGTCGCAGAAAGACAAATATTGCATGATCACTTGTAACTGGAATCTAAAAAAGTTGAGCTCATAGAAACAGCATAGGTTGGTTTGCCAGGGGCTAGAGGTGAGGGGAATGGAAAAATGTTGGTCAAAGGATATAAAGTTACAGTTAGAAAAGAGGACTAATTCAGGAGATTTATTGTATATCATAGTGACTATGAGATAATGTACTTTATACTTGAAAATTATTAAGAGAGTTCTGGTTTTAAATGTTCTCACCACAAAAACTGATAAGTATGTGAGGTGATAGACATGCTAATTAGCTTGATTTAACTATTTTACAATGTATACATATATCAAAATACCATGTTTTATATATATAATTTTAATTTTTATTTGTTAATTATACTTTCATAAAAAATCTTATATCCTGCCACATTGCTAAACTCATTTATTAGTATGTGAAATCTTGAAAACTCACTACTTTAAGAATAAATTTTATCATTTAATTCAACACAAGAGCAAGTTATAAAAGGCTTTTACTGAAAGTCTCTTGAATAGTATCTTGTAATTGCTATTTAATATTGTATCAATCAGAATTCAGATCAGGAACACTCCCCAACACAAACATACTTATTTACTATTATTTACTATTTTTTGTAGCATCTCTTCGTGTCTGATGCTAGGACTTAAAGTCTGCAGAGCAGGCAGTTGTGAAGAAAAGACAATATAAAGGGGTGGAGAGAACATAATCTCTCAAGGATGGATTTGCACCCATGTCAATGTCTCTCGGATTCCAATTTTTATGATGGTAGGTGTTGGTGCTCTTTGTTGGAGAAACAGGAATGCATCATCACAGAGCTATACACATGACCTGACCCCAAAGTCACAGAAGCTTAAGGAGTTTCCAAAAATGTAGTGGAGCAGTTGCAGACTCTGCTGTGAAATGGAGGTGAGCCTGGAGATGTGTCACAACACGTATGTTCTGTAATAGCACTTGGTGACCATGTACTGACCTTCCAAGTGTGCAAACATCATGGCTGATGCTTCACTTTCACTTCAAATCTTATACAAAACATTTCTGTGGCACCTCCAAATTTTGCTTTAATAAGTTCAAGATAACTTTTAATATGATCATTGGAGTGGTTTGTAATGTGTCAAATTGGATAGGCTGACATCATTACTGAGAATTCCCTTCTCTGTATGTTTCTGATGTTTTGATTATGGCCATTCTTGTATGTTTTCACTCATAAGTGGGAGCTAAGTTACAAGGATGCAAAGGCATAGAATGACACAATGGACTTTGGGGACTGGAGGAAAGGGTGGGAGGTGGGTGAGGAAAGAAGACTACATATTGGGGACCAGGCACGGTGGCTCATGCCTGTAATCCCAGCACTTTGGGAGGCTGAGGCAGGTGGATCATGAGGTCAGGAGTTCGAGACCAGCCTGGCCAACATGGTGAAACTCTGTCTCTACTGAAAAAAAAAAAAAACAAAAATTAGCTGGGCGTGGTGGTGCATGCCTGTAATCCCAGCTACTCGGGAGGCTGAGACAGGAGAATTGCTTGAACCCGGGAGGCGGAGGTTGCAGTGAGCTGAGATCATGCCACTGCACTCCAACCTGGGCGACAGAGTGAGACTCCGTCTCGGAAAAAAAAGAAAAAAAGATTACACATTGGGTACACTGTACACTGCTCAGGTGATGGGTGCACTGAAATCTCAGAAATCACCACTAAAGAACCTATCCGTGTAACCAAATACCACCTGTTCCCCCAAACCCTATCAAAATTAAATAATAACAATTATTTAAAAACATACAGAGAAGGGAATTCTGAGTATTGATGTTAGCCTATGCAATTTGACACTTTACAAACTACTCGAATGCTAATATTAAAAATTATCTTGAATACATTAAAGCAAAATTTTTAGAGCCCTAAGGACATTAAACAAATTGTGACAAACCATTTTGAAGAAATTTCAAATAAGAGGACATATCTGATAGCTAAACTCACCCTGAGAGTTACTCAGCATATTTACCTTTGAGCATAATATTTACTCTGAGCAAGACAAAAGTAAATAATATTTTCTAAATTTTTTCCAATCCTGTAATTTAATCTGCCTATTCCAAGTAAGTAGCTCTAAAATCTGGTCCTTATTTAGTTTGACAATCTGGAACCATGTGGCTCAAATACACATGCTTATAGTCTTCTCTGACTTTTAGTGACCTTGGATATTTAAAATTTTCCTTAATTATCATAGAATTTTTGAAGCTATTATTTACAACACAAACTTTCCTAAAACCAAAAAACCAAACAAAAATATGGTGAGAAGGTGGAACAAGCATTAATATGAAATTTGCGAAACAATTTGCAATGTTCTGCTCTTTATTTTTTATGTCTCAATATATATTCTTCTGATAGCATTATGTCTTTTTTTTTCTATAGCATATGCAAACTTGTTTGAGTATAGAGGTATGTGCTATGCATTGTCATTTACAAGTCATTATTTTTTCCCAGGATTATGAAATTTTTAATTGGCTTAAGAAATATGTGTTACAGGAATGTTTTCACTTCTGAGTAAGCTCTGTTTATTTCAAATTTTAAAAGATATATCTTAATCTAAGTGAACCTCTCCTTTTGTTATATTTTGTCTCATATATTGATAAATGAGTGAATCAAAACCAAGTTTAAATAATTCTTATTAAACTTTATTATTTTATTTAAATTACATATGTATGTAGTTTGCATATAGAAATTAAAATAGTTAAGACTATTTCAAAGTAAAACTCTCAAATATACTCTGCATTTGAAATGTTCAAATTATATTTATTGATTTGCATATGTTGAACCAGCGTTGCATCCCAGGGATGAAGCTGCCTTGATCATGGTGGATAGGTTTTTTGATGTGCTGCTGGATTCGGTTTGCCAGTATTTTACCGAGGATGTTCACATAGATGTTCGTCAGGGATATTGGCCTGAAATTTTCTTTTTTTGTTGTGTCTCTGTCAAGTTTTGGTATCAGGATGATGTTAACCTCATAAAATGAGTTAGGGAGAAGTCCGTCCTTTTCAATTGTTTGAAATAGTTTCAGAAGGAATGGTACCAGCTCCTCTTTGTACCTCTGGTAGAATTTGGCTGTGAATCCATCTGGTTCTGGGTTTTTTATGGTTGGTAGGCTATTAATTACTGCTTCAATTTCAGAACTTGCTATTAGTCTATTCAGGGAGCGGACTTCTTCCTGGTTTAGTCTTGAGAGGATGTATGTGTCCAGGAATTTATCCATTTCTTCTAGATTTTCTAGTTTATTTGCATAGAGGTGCTTATAGTACTCTCTGATGGTAGTTTATATTTCTGTGGGGTCGGTGTGATAACCCCTTTATTATTTGTTATTGTGTCAGTTTGATTCTTCTCTCTTTTCTTCTTTATTAGGCTAGCTGATGGTCTATCTATTTTGTTAATTGTTTTTCAAAAAACAGCTCCTGGGTTCATTGATTTTTTGGAGGCTTTTTCGTGTCTCTATCTCCTTCAGTTCTGCTCTGATCTTAGTTATTTCTTCTGTTAGCTTTCAGATTAGTTTGCTTTTGCTTCTCTAGTTATTTTAATTGTGATGTTAGAGTGTTGATCTGAGATATTTCTAGCTTTGCGATGTGGGCATTTAGTGCTATAAATGTCCCTCTTAACACTATTTTAGCTGTGTCCCAGAGATTCTGGTATATTGTCTCTTTGTTCTCATTGTTTTCAAAGAAGTTCTTGATTTCTGCCTTAATTTCATTATTTACCCGGGAGTCATTCAGAAGGAGGTTGCTCAATTTCCATGTAATTGTGTGGTTTTGAGTGAGTTATTTAATCCTGAGTTCTAATTTATCGCACTGTGGCCTGAGAGACTGTTCTTTGTTATGATTTCAGCTCTTTTGCATTTGCTGAGGATCATCTTAGCCCCAAACTCCTTAAGCTGATAAGCAACTTCAGCAAAGTCTCAGGATACAAAAACAATGTGCAAAAATCACAAGCATTCCTATGTACCAACACTAGACAAGCAGAGAGCCAGATCATTAATGAACTCCCATTTACAATTGCTACAAAGAGAATAAAATACCCAGGAATACAGCTAACAAGCAATGTAAAGGACCTCTTCAAGGAGAACTGCTCAAGGAACTAAGAGAGGACACAATAAATGGAAAAACATTCCATCCTCATGGATAGGAGGAATCAATATTGCAAAAATGGCCATACTGCCCGACGTAATTTATAGATTCAATGCAATTTCCATCAAACTACCATTGACATTCTTCACAGAAATAGAAAAAAACTACCTTAAATTTCATATGAAACCAAAGAAGAAGCTGTATAATCAAGACAATCCTAAGCAAAAAGAACAAAGCTGGAGGCATCATGCTACCTGACTTCAAACTATACTACAAGGCTACAGAAAACAAAGCAGCATAGTACTGGTACCAAAACAGACACATAGATCAATGGAACAGAAGAGAATATCAGAAATAATACCACATATCTACAACCATCTGATCTTTGACAAACCTGACAAAAACAAGCATTGGGAAAAGAATTTCCTATGCAATAAATGGTGCTGGGAAAACTGGCTAGCCGTATGCAGAAAGCTGAAACTGGACCCCTTCCTTACACCTCATACAAAAATTAACTCAAGATGGATTAAAGACTTGAATGTAAAACCCAAAACCATAAAAACCCTAGAAGAAAGCCTAGGGAATACCTTTCAGGTCATAGGCATGGACAAAGACTCCATGACAAAAACGTTGAAAGCAATTGCAACAAAAGCCAAAATTGACAAATGGGATCTAATTAAACTGAACAGCCTCTGCACAGCAAGATAAACTATCATCAGAGTGGACAAGCAACCTACAGAATGGGAGAAAATTTTTACAATCTATCCCTCTGACAAAAGTCTAATATTCAGAATTTGCAAGGAACTTAAACAATTTACAAGAAAAAACAAACAATCCCATCAAAAAGTGGGTGAAGGATATGAACAGACACTTCTCAAAAGAAGACATTTGTGCAGCCAGCAAACATAAAAAAAAAGCTGAACGTTACTGATCATTAGAGAAATGCAAATCAAAACCACAATGAGATACCAACTCACACCTGTCAGAATGGTGATTATTAAAAAGTCAAGAAACAATAGATGCTAGGAAGGCTGTGGAGAAATAGAAACACTTTTACACTGTTGGTGGGAGTGTAAATTAGTTCAACCATTGTGGAAGACAGCGTGGCGATTCTTCAAGGATCTAGAACCAGAAGTACAATTTGACACAGCAGTCTCATTAGTTGGTATATACCCAAAGGAATATAAATCATTCTACCATAAAGACACATGCACACACATGTATATTGCAGCAATATTTACAATAGCAAAGACATGGAACCAACCCAAATGTCCATCAATGATAGACTGGATAAAGAAAATGTGGCCTATATATACCATGAAACACTATGCAGCTGTAAAATGGAATGAGATCATGTCCTTTGCAGGGACATGGATGAAGCTGGAAGCCATCATCCTCAGGAAACTAAGACAGGAACAGAAAAGCAAACACTGCATGTTCTCACTCATAAGTGGGAGTTGAACACTGAGAAGACATGGACACAGGGAGGAGAACAACGCACACTGGGGTCTGTTGGGGTGTGGGGGGCAAGGGGAGGGAACCTAGATGACAGGTCAATAGGTGCAGCAAACCACCATGGCACGTGTATACCTATGTAACAAACTTGCATGTTCTGCACATGTATCCTGGAACTTAAAGTAGAACAAAATTTTTTAAAAGAAATGTCTAAATTGTAAATCACCGTATGAGGCTGATACTGCATTGCTCTAAAGAAATACCTGAGACTGGGGAAATTACTTAAAAAGAAGTTTAATTGCTTCATGGTTCTGCAGGCTGTACAGGAAGCATAGCAGCATCTGTTTCTGTGGAAGCCTCTGGAAGCTTACAATCAAGGTAGATGGTGAAGCAGGAGCTTGCAGGTCAAATGGCAAGAGCAGGAGCAAGAGAACAAGGGGAGGAAGTGCTACACACTCGTAAATGACCAGATCTCGGGAGAACTCACTATCCTGAGGACAGTACCAAGGAAGATTGTGCTAAAGTAAACCATTCATGAGAAATCCATCCTCATGATGCAATCGCCTCCTATCAGGCCCTACCTCCAACATTGGAGATTACATTTCCATGTGAGATTTGGGCGGGAACACACCTTCAAACTATATCAAGCACCAATGGGCAGATTCTTTGATAAAAACAACTAAAAATATAACTAGTGACAGTTTAATGTTTTTAGCCATGTTAATTAAACAAAAAAAGTAGTTTGAATCTAATATTAAAATTAATGTTAACATGCACATGTATTTTTGTTAAATACTATTTAAACATGTTTCAATTTATACATTTTTATTTGTCATGTTAATGTTTTTATTATGCATTATTTGTCAGTCATACTGTATTTTATGAGTGTTATGGTAGATGTTGGAACTGATAGAGCTTTGCTCCATTACAATTTACACCTATAGCCTATCTGTGGCTCAAGGATCATTGATTTAATTGGTTTTAACACTTCCCTTTTATTTTTTCAGAACATGTGCTATCTGATTTTTATTGAATTTGAGAGGTTTATGTACTGAATAATGACACCTAAGTGTGTGCATTAAAAATGTAGAGGAACTAAATTATATGTTAAAATTTTCAACTTTGGGTAATTTTGCTTACTTAAATGATAACACAAAATTTTCTGATTTCTGCAGTGACTAGACTTATATGTTTTTACATTTTGAAAAATCAGAATTTTTTATCACTTATTACAGTCATATATTAAAAAATAAAAAATGCTACCTACAGCATACACATGACTTCCATCTGCATCCCAACAAATAACTATAGGATGCAAATGTAACTCATGTATATCCCACAGGTAGAACTGGAGTGTACTAATAATCATCAAATTCATTATTTTACTTTCTTTTGTAAAACATATTTTAAATTGTTTCTATCTTTTAGTGGCATGCTCAAGAAAGAAAATATATTTTGAAGAAAAAATAATATGAGCTTAGTTTTAGCTTTACCTGAGTAGAACCAACTAGCTTATACTTTACCAAGGTCACTTTTGGGAGAAAAAATAAGTGAGTTTGCCGTAAGTATAGAAAAGCTATTGAAAATTCATACCTTCACGAGATAGGTATTGCACTTTATAACTTCACTGAAATCAAACCAAAATACTTCTCCCATTTTGATGAAAATAATTTTCTCCCAGTAGAAAAGTGACAGGATAAATCTGTTCCATGTGTCAGGAAGGGATTCATGACCTGGCTTCTATTAACAGAAATGGGGTGTCTTGCAGCTATATCTCCATAAGTTGAACTGAAAAATACCTCTGTAAGTAAAGATTCAACCCAAGGGTTAGTTTTTACTGCGAGTTATAAACTTCAAGAAACTGGGTATGTAATGGAAATGCTGACACAACTTTAAAGATAGCTGCTTGAACAGAGCAACCATAATACTCCAACTCCTTTATTTCAGAAAGTGTGAGTGTTTATGTTGCCACTGGATAAAAGAATTGATGGGGAAATTACTCATGCTTGATGAATTGCAAGGTAATAAAAGAAAATCTTGCTAAATAGAGCTTTGGGTAAAATGGAATATGAACTCAATATTCCCTACAAAACCTTTTTACAAGTTTTATGTTTTACTAGCTATGTTCTACAAATCCTGCACTTCGTGTCACTTAAAGCTCTGCATTTCATTTGCAAACACTTCACTGATGAAATAATTTATATAACAATAATGAGACAGTTCACTCTGGACTTTCAGGGAGCAAATACAACAGCAGGAAAAATAGCTTTTAAAAAAAATCATAAAAACAAGTTTTCAAGTTTTATAGTCATTTAAATTTAAGTTTCTAAAAGTGCTTTGACAATCATAGGTGTCCATATAAAAATTTATTAATATTATGCTAAATATCAGTTTACAATTTTAGAATAGAAGAGTTATATATTTTAGAAAACATCCCATATAAGACATTAAAAATTTATAATGTAAAATGTAAAACTTTTTATTTTCTCTTAGAATTTTATTACTTTAAGTAAGAAAATAAAACTTGTTAATAAGACTTTTTTCTTAATTTATGAGTAAGCACAGTACAAGGCTTTTCAGTGTGGTGTTTAAATATCAGAAATGAATTACTTTCTTTACAGGATTATTACTGAGAACCTTTTGGGTAATATGTGTATAGCAAGGCTGTGGGATTGCAACACTCAGTGTTACACAGTAATACTTGTTCTCAAAGATTTTAGTCTAATGGGAAAGAGACATGAAAACATGGAAAGAGATATGATAAGTTCTTTCGTAAGAATATACTTGGGATAATAAGAAACACAGCAAAGAATTAATAACGATATTGGATTTCAGGGTATCAGAAGATGACACATAGATGAGGAAATATTTCTAATACATTTTGAAAGATAAGCAGTAATTCATCAGGTAGATGGAAAAGACATTTTGGGGGGCAAAGGTGAAGAAGAGATAAAGAGGGGAATAACATGAGTTAAAAATAGAATGAGCCATAAGAGCATGTAACCATTGCAAATATATCTATGTAGATGTGTAGAGTGCTTGTTTATAAGGATGAGAGGAAACATTTGAAAGTAGAATGGGGTTCTACCCAGAGGACTTTCAGGCTCTGTGAAGTAATTTTGTATATCTTGCCATATGAGGTAAGAATAATGGTTTAAAAAAGGTCTGGCGTGGGGATTCAGGTCTCCAATCCCAGCACTTTGGGAGGTCAAGTTGGGTGGATGAAACCCCATCTCTACTAAAAATACAAAAATTAGCTGGGCATGGTAGGGCATTGCCTGTAGTCCCAGCTACTGGGGAGGCTGAGGAAGGATAATTTCTTGAACCTGGGATGCAGAGGTTGCATTGAGCTGAGATCATGCCACTGCACTCCAGCCTGGTGACAGAGCAAGACTCCATCTCAAAAAATAAAAAATAAAAATAAATACAAAAATTAGCTGGGCGTGGTGGCAGGTGCCAGTAATCTCAGCTACTTGGGAAGCTGAGGCAGGAGAATCACTTGAACATGGGAGGTGGAGGTTGGAGTGAGCAGAGATCATGCTACTGCAGTCCAGCCTGGGCAACAGAGCAAGATTCCATCTCAAAAAAAAAAAAAAAAAAAAAAAAGAAAGAAAAAAAAGAAAAAGAATAATGGTTTAAAAAAAATAGAACTGAAACAAAGGGAAAAAAATGGCTAAAGCAATCTATATTTTACAAAAATAAGGCCAACTATTTAAGAACTGAACGAAATAGACTCAGATAAAAAGTACTCAAGAGTGGCCACAGCCTAAAGACATGGATTCAGGAAAATGAATAGAAAATGGAATTGATATTTTTAAATGAAAATTTTTAATATATCCTAAAAATAACATTAAGTCTTAAGTGTTTGAAAAACTATAGCCAAGATGAAGAGTTGCTTTTAAATACATAGTTTCAGATTGGAATTCTATTTTGAAATGTATTAATTTATGAGGCAGGTTTCCCTTAGCAATTAATGGTTCTATTATAGGATTTTTACATTAATTAAAAGTGAAGCATATGTAGAATGCTTTGCCTGTAAGAAGTACTCAATAAATGAGCTTCTGTTTTTATTTAATGTAAACACCCACAGTGTTTTCTTTCTCTTTATTTTTTAAGTCCACTAGACAGTAGAGCAATTGCCCTTTTAAAGTGCCTGTCCTAAATGTTGGATTGAGCTGTGACAGATGGAAGCTCAATAGCAGTCATGCAGAATATTTGCCAAATGGGACAGCCATCTGAAGAAGATGGCAGTAATAGAGTTCTTCACTGCAGGACTCAAAGACCTACTGCTACTCATCGATGACTATGGAAAGTGCCTGACGACTCTGTGTCCATAACAATACCAGTAGACATGAAACAATCTTTGCTAAAGATACTAAGGAAAGAGAAGCTGACCTTCAAGTTAAGAAGTTATTTCTCCTCCCTCTTTCTTTGTCCCTTTTTTCTCCCTCATTCCCTTCCTCTTCCTTTATCATTCACAGTGAAATTAAGGAAGACTGAATGAGAAAATTAAAATTTAGCAGAGGAAACATTTCAATGAAAATATAAGGATAACTTTTTTAGCTTCTGAAAAGATAAATGTGTAATTCTGACCTCTTGCTTTTCTAACCCTTTCCAGAATCTTTTTGTTATGCTGCTTTGGAAATAACTTCACTGCTTTTGTAAACTGACAGGATTTCCTGTTGGTCAAATAGTGAGTTAGAACAATAATGTCAAGTAAAGGCTAACTTCTTGTCTCAAAGTTTTAATTTAATATTTAATAATTGAACTTATTTATGGAAAAGAGTAGGACTCTAACCACTGGTGAAAATAAAATAAAAACTTATTGGTACTTTTGGCTTGAAGGTTTGGGAAGTTTTCGTTTGTTTTGTTGTCTTTAAACATTTAACATGTAATAACTTTTAAAGCCATATTATTATTATTGTATATGTGAGTGGAATTTTATTGAGCTTTGTCAATTTCTGTGATGTCTTGAACTTATGGTGTATTAATCATAAAAATATCATTGAGAGTAGACAGAAGTTCTGAGTGTCCTTGGAATTACATAGCAGTGCAATTGTTAAAATTCTCACTGGTGTTGAACTCAAGTGAGATAACTATGATGAGAATTAACTGGCTAGAGTAATATTTTATACATTTGAAAGGTATGAAGGAAATAGTAATTGCAAAGACTATGGAATCATATAGGTGTTGTTGGATACTATTCATGCACAATGGAAAGTCAATTAAAGGCTGACTTAATATTATGTTTGGAAACAAATGGAATTCTTTTGTAGATTACAAAGCTAATCTCATTTCTACATTCAGAGCGCTAAAGAAGTTGAGCATCTAATGTAGACATCAGACTTGAGAGTAGCAGAGCTCCAGTGATGTTAGAATCCTTCACCCAATCCAATATCTTACAAAAAAATCAAGGTCCTGATTATGAAGGAAGAAGACCCTGAGAATTCAGATGAGTTCATTTGAAAATCATCAAGACTCCAGATCCTTCTCAACTCTCTTAGAGGGCTGAAGTGGTTCATTCTTCCCTATTAAAGGCCAGACCCTTCCCTACCCTGGCTTGAACATGATGTGGAGTCATCTGCCTTGAAAGAAAACATAAACTTCCTTGGAATCTATTCCCATTTTCCCTCCTGGTCATAAGATACATAACTAACACAGCCAGGTTGGGGAAATGCCAGTTTTGCTAAGGAAGAAAAGGAACTAAAAGCCAACAAAAGCTACAGAACAAGCCAACATATATGGGCTAGAACCAGGAGACTATGTATAGAAATGAGATCTGAGGATGATGATCAAAGGGGGATGAAACATAAAGTTGGAAATAGGAAAGTCTATTAATATAACATACTCTCCCAGGATTCTTGATTTATTACTCTAATAAAGATCCAGAGAGGAGATGAGATTTGGAAGTCTGGGGAAAGCAATGGCTTCCTCTAAATGATACAGAAATTCTAGAATAGAAAACAATGGAGGAAAGGATCAAAAGGTACAAATAATGTATCATGCTAACTGGATTTACTTTGTAACCTCACAACATCCACTGTGAGACTACTATCCAGGAGAGGACTCAGAGGGCACATTACTTACTGAAGTATCAAGGAATTTCCTAAAGAAAGGGATACCAGCATGGTTAAGAAGCTCAGTAATGAGTGTGTATTTGCAGAAAAAGGCTGATAATAACGGATGTTATTACATAACCGGATTTCCTAATAATAAAAGGAACGGTATCTTGAAGCCACATGGCAGCATTTAAATGTCCGAATTTAGATGGGTTCAATTATCATAACAAGTTATAAGACCACAGTGCAAACTAGGGGGAATCTACTCAAAGAAACCAGACAAGAAACAAAACATGGTGTTGCTTAGGACAAGGTAAATCAGTAGCCAAATAAGTACTGCTTAATTGACAAAATCAAAAGCAATCAAAGATTGATAATTAGCTAGATGAGGGAAGTTGGGTTAACAGGAACTCATTATTTCCTACTCAGCTTGAAAACTTGGACCAGATTTTAGAGGTGGCAAAGGGAGAAGCAAGGTGCCCAGGAGGAAGGACACTGCAACACCACAGTAGGTTCCTGTTGTAATGATTGTCCCAGGTTCTCCCCACTCTCCCACCAAAATATCCATGGCATTTACTCATGTTACCAGACAATGGGAAATAGAAAATTACCAGATATTTTAAGGACTGTTAAAGATAGGTCCTAACTTGACATCAATTCCTGAAGACTGGAAGCATCAGGATAGTCAACTTTTAAAATCAGAACACATAAGAGCAAAATCATAAATGAAATCCTGGCCTACGTCTGGTTTATAGTTGGTCCACTGTATTTAGGTAGCTAATCCTTGGTGATTTTTCAGAACTTGAATTGGATTATTCTATTATAGCTTTTTAATAGTTTTGAAAGAAAATTTCCCATCAGTCTCCCACATTACTGCATGTATTGAGAGCAGAGGGATTGGTTGCTTTGTTCTGTGATAACTTTTCAAGGATAATTGTACAAGCAAATACGTTTTGCTGAATGAGATACTGCCTCATTTTGAAGTATAGGACCAGTTTGTTTATTGCCTAATTTAATAAAGAAAATGTCTCCACTCAGGGCAAGCAAAGGTATGCAAACTACTCAGTATCAGAAATATGTGTTCTTCCAAGCTTGATGTTCCTCTACTGTGAAACAAGCCCATTGCATGTGTTGAGCCCACTTAGACCACTCTGCATTGCCCCTGTAGGACTTGGAGAGCAGGGAACTTGTGTAAACATTGAAGCTCATTCTGTTTGCTCTACTGTGTATAATCGAGTTATTTGCCTCTGAGGCACAAGCCTTGCATCCTCTGTGTTAGCTTGCATGTAGGGTAAAAGCTCAGTTTATTTGCAGTTCTTGACAGGTAGCAGCAATTTCATAACAGTTTACTTACCTGTGTGGTCATAGCCATTATGATTGTGAAGGCAAAATGGAAATCTCTGAGTCTGCCCCTCTTTGCCAGCCAGGAGAAACAACCAAATTTTTATCACACCCAGAAGGAAATGACCCCTTAAAGATGAGGCTAGTGATCCCCATTATATCTCTATTTAATTAACCAGTTGGACCCCTTAAAAAAAAAGGTGGATCCAAAGAAAAAAGAGTTTACTATCACAAACTCATCCAAATTTTAGCCCATATGGCATGCAGGTACCATAACAGATGTGTTTCTGCTAGAACAGATTAACATAGCCTCAAGTACATCATAAGTTGCCATTGATCTAGCAAATGCAAGATCAAAAAATGAAGACATTTTTTAATATCTGCATATTCTTTAGCCGAGCACATTGATTTATAATGTTGATGACATCTTGTTATTTAGAGACAAATCAGTCACTTGTTGGTAAGCTGATTACGTTAGACCCCTAACAACCTGGAAAGGGTTAAAATCCATCTTGCATGAAATTGGTGAACATTTTTTACTTTGCCTTCCTGCTCACCAGCCTCACATGTACTACCTCAAGTCCTAACAGAATATCTGATCTACTCATAGCAATGCCTCATAACAATGCCTCCGATCAAAGGAAACATTTACAACAGAGATGTGGCCACGGATACACAATGATGGAATGCACTACTCATCAAATATTGCAACTTCAAAGCTATTGATCTGACAAAGCAGGGGAAGGGAATGGCCTCTTAACACAACAGCTGAGATGCAAGTCAGGAATTGGTATTTCGGGAGGGTGTCATCCTCCAGGATAAATCACCAACATTTAGATGGTCCTTTTTTCCCAAAGTAGAAACCAGGAAGGGTAAATAGATGTAGAGTTGTTTTCTGTCCTTCCAGTGACCCACTGGCAGTACTTTTCATTCCTGTAACTTAGGCTCTGTAGGTATAGAGGCGCTCATTCCCAAAGGGAGAGGGTGGGACACTTTTGCTACAGGATACAATAATAGTCCCACTGAACTTTAAGCTATGGCCGCTGTATTAGTCTGTTCTCATGCTGCTAATAAACACATACCCAAGACTGGGTAAATTATAAAGCAAAGAGTTTTAATGTACTCATAGTTCTATGTGGCTAGGAAGGCCTCACAATCATGGAGGAAGAGCAATGGACGTCTTACATGGCAGCAGTCAAGAGAGAGCTTGCTCAGGTGAACTCCCTTTATAAAAACGATCAGACCTCATAAGACTTATGTACTATCATGAGAACAGCATGGGAAAGACCTGCCCTGTGATTCAATTACCTCGCACCAGGTCCCTCCCATGTCACATGGGAATTATGGGAGCTATAATTCAAGATAGGATTTTGGTAGGGACACAGCCAAACCATATCATTCCACCCCAATCCATCCTAAATCTCATGTCATCACATTTTAAAACCAATCTTGACTTCCCAAGAGTCCTGAAAGTCTTAATTTATTTCAGCATTAACTCAAAAGTCCACTGTCCCAAAGTTTCATCTGAGACAAGGCAAGAAACCTGTAAAATCATAAACAAGTTAATTACTTCTTAGATACAGTGGGGGTACAGGCATTGGGTAAATACACCTATTCCAAATGGAAGAAATTGGCCAAAATTGAGGGGCTACAGGTCCCATGCAAGTCCAAAAACTAGTGGGACAGTCAAATATTAAAACTCCAAAATGATCTCCTTTGACTTCATGTCTCTCATCTTGGCCATGCTTGATGTAAGAGGTGGGTTCCCATGGTCTTGGGCAGTTGCCATATGGCCATTTCTAGTACCATGTAACCAGAGACCTGCAAGTAAAAGCATCAACATACTGACAAGATAATCAGCCTAATCATCAGTGAGTGGCAGGGTTATTATTAGAAAATGCCTGCAAGAGGCCAGGCCCCGTGGCTCATGTCTGTAATCCTAGCACTTTGGGAGGCTGAGGCGGGCGGATCACGAGGTCAGGAGATCAAGACCATACTGGCCAACATGGTGAAATCCCAACTCTATTAAAATACAAAAAAACAACTCAGCCGGGTGTGGTGGTGTGCACCTGCAGTCCCAGCTACTTGAGAGACTGAGGCAGGAGAATTGCTTGAACCCAGGAGGCAGAGGTTACAGTGAATCCAGGTTGCACCACTGCACTCCAGCCTGGCAACAAAGTGAGACTTGGTCTCAAAAACGAAAACAAAAGAAAAGAAAATGCCTGCAAGAAAGAATAAGTTTGGCCTTTTCTTTAATTCATTGAGACATCTCATGGTTCCTATTGTATTAAATTTTTAATCTTAAATGGATAAGTGTATCAGCCACAGACTAAAGAGGTCATTATTAATAGACAAAAGAGAACTTCACCTCCCAGGTAAGCCATCTAAATCAACAAAGATGCCATCCAGTGTGAGAAGAAGGTTGAAACAATAGTTATCCTTGAGAACAATGCAGTGGAGAGAGAGAAGATGTAAATCATCCCACTAATATGCACATTATTCATTTCCCCAGGATATGAGACAAAATGGAATCTTAGAGAATCTGAACCAGGTGAGGGTGAGCTTGCTACTAGAAACATGTGAATCAAAATGAGACAAAGTGGGTACTGTAGTGGGAACCATGATGCTTCCTGCTTTATGATAAAGCCCTCATTCACACAGCTAGTATTGGCTGCTGACAACTCACAGCTCAGTCTTTCTCCTGGAATTTTCTTGTTCGAAGGTCACCTGCATTTAAAGCATGATTGATACTAGGATACAGAGGCCCAGACCTCTTGTCTTTGTTTTGGACAGCTCAGCCTTTGGGATCCGCTGAAGCCTTTGCAGTACATTTTAACTTCAATCTCTGCCAAGTCCTGCCTCCCTCACTTACAATTTTTCCCAAATGCACAACCCTAAATTTGCTATGTATAAATATTTAATTCAGAAAATTTCTTCCAGGGACCCCAGCCTCAAATGTTCCCCAACTTAACATCAACTAAGGAGTTACATACTTATATTCATGTAGATAGCAAGCATTCCTAAAGGCAATTCATGCACTTTATAAAATATTGCTTTGTATATTTTATCCCTGAATGAACAGGCAGGAAAAAGAATTTAAAAAAGGGACTCATAAAATAATACTACAGAACTATGAGAATGAGAAAACATACAAAGATTCAGAAGATAATATTAATGAAGTTATTTGTAATCAAAACCATATGACATTTTAGAAAGTTGCTTGGCTTATTGTAAAAAGCATGCATTTATTTTAATTCAAAAGGAAAATTCAATAAAATATACAGATTAAAGATCAAAGAAATATTTTTTTCATCTTCCATGGCTTGCAAAAATAATAAGACTTCTATAGAAAAAAGCATCACAAAGCTAGTTATATCTGGATAATCTCATCTTTTCTTGAAACTTCAACACATGCTTATCTTGATGAGCATCAAATCAATTTATCTTGCCTACACCTCCACCTGAGCTTCAAAATTTGATACACAATTTTTTACCTTATATCTCTATTTAGATATCCAGTAGGCATCTCAAAATCAATATTTACAAAACCAAATTATTTCTTCATCATTATTTTTGCCTCCCCCTCATTTCTAAACTGCATTTCTTCTCTTTAAATTTTATATTGGTTGATACCAAAACATAGAGCTGCTGTCAAAGTTTGAATCTTATTCTTGACTTTGGGCTCTTTCTCATTTTCCACATCTTATTATTCTTCAAGTCCAGCCAATTGGACCTCATTAATGTTTCTCTTTCCTTCTCTTTTTTACACTATGAGGCAGTATAGCCTCTTATTATCTTTAAACTAAACTTCTGTAATAGCATCCTTAGTTGGATCCTTGCTTCTCATTCTTCATCCACCATAAATCTTTTACATAAATAGCACCAGCATGAGATTTTACCTTGATGAAATTGTTTAATGACCCTCTGTTGCCTGTAGAATTAACAAACTCCTTAGTATGCCACACATAATCCTTTATTATCTAGCGCCTGACTACTGTTTCATCCCCATTTCTCACAACTCTCTTATGTGGTATTATTTACAGTTCATGCTTGGAATCATACAACAACTTTTCCATCTGGCTTCAAAATTCAACTCAGGCATTCTCTAATCCACCAGACACAAAACCTGTAAACGTACCAAAAATCAATGTTTGCATCTATTTTTTCTCCTTCATTCTTATAACATTGAAAGCAGTTCCTCCTCCAACAAACCTCAACACCTTTATATGCTGTATGGATTTTATTCATTTTGAAGATAATCCATTCAAATATCAACAGAAAATGATAAATTACATTATTTTAAAGTGTTTCAGGCGACAGAAAGCTGGCTCCCTAAAAGTCTCTGATATCTTCTATTTTAGTCCAAACTGTTTTCTGAAACTCAAATCATAAAATCATAATAACGTTCTCCCAAAGTTATCCTGATTGACTTATTTTCTTGATGTGAGGTAAATAAAAAAGAGTGTCCATGGGATTCAGATAAAAAATGAAGGGTCTGCTGTGTCTTGGTGCTACATGTTGCGATTTGCAAGTTCAAGTCACCAAACTGAATTGCAAACAATATATGTTTAATAAATCATGTGATTTTTAATGTTATATTATCTAAAACTTACAACATATGTTTAAGAATTGTTTTTATAAACTCCTCTCAGAATACTGTTAAAGCAAGACTCATTTCATGCTTTGGAAACATTGTAAATTATTTCTGATGAAAACCATGCTGACTGTCTGCCATATCAATATGCTAGATTATTTTCCATTATACTTCTAGTTTTCCCATCTTCTCAGTAAATCTACAAGTAACAGAATACTCAATGAAAAGATTCTATTTGCATCATCTGTACTCAATACATATGACATTCTGATAAAATATCATAGACTGAACGTAGAAATTGAAAAGTATATGTAGAACGTGTTTCAAAACCCTTGAACTCTTCACCTAATTCAGTAATATAAAGTATAAAAAAGGTGGAGCTCCAGGAAGAGAATTGTAAAGCAATTTTTTGAGAGAGAGCTGCTATTACCCCACCCTGCATTCCACCACCAAGGGACAAAGAGAAGACATTGATAGGAAGAAAAAAAGAGTTTGAATCATTTCTCATAGAACTTGGCAGAGCCAAGAACATAGTTTTGACCCATCCCAGGAAGTCTGAAGGCTAGGGGTAACACATGGAGATGAGCTGCTTGGGCAGCATGGCAAAGATGGGTCACTGTTATGTCTGGAACACAGGAGTACTTCTTTTTGAATGGAGCCCCACATTTTTGAGCATGTTTTCTCTGAATCAAATGTAGACCTCATAATACAATATCCCTTTTTGAGGCCAATTTAAGTTCAGCACAAAAGCAACACATGGAAAAAGCAATAGAACTCCAAGTGTGGAGTCAATGTGGAGAGAAAACCAAGAAATGAATGGGAAGCTGCTTGCAAATGAGATGCACTGCCAGGAATTTGGGCTGGGGATTACACAAGAGAAAATAAGCTATTAGCATGACTATGCCCAGAGAAAAAGGTTCCATCCTATGAATATTTAAGAATTTCCAGCCCTCACTTGGCTCTCTTTCCCACACTAAACTTCCAAGAATTCCAGGTGATGGAGAGGAAATATTTGACATTAAGTTAACTTCACAATTTTGATTATTTACTGCAATTAGAATCTATAATTACTGAGTTCAGACTGTGTTTGAAATTTTAAAAGATCTTAGGAATTTCCATTTTGTAAGAATGACCAGAAGTAATAAAACTGTCAGAGGCATTTGAAACAGAGCAACTCCATCTTGAATAGGAGCTTGGTAAAATAAGGCTGAGACGTACTGGGTTGCATTTCCAGGAGTTTAGGCATTCTAAGTGTGAAGAGATGGAAGGATGGCACGAGGTATGGTCACAAAGACCTTGCTGATAAAACAGCATGTGGTATAGAAGCTGGCCCCAAACCACCAAAACCAAGAGGGCTATGAAAGTGACCTCTGGTCGTCCTTATAAACTAATTATAAGGCATTAGCAAAAGACACTCCCACCAGCACCATGACAGTTTGCAAATGTCATGGCAATGTCAGTAAATTATTCTGTATGGTCTGAAAAGGGGTGAAACCCTCAGTCCTGGGAATTGCCCACCCCTTTTCCGGAAAACTCATGGATAATCCACCCCTTGTTTAGCATATAATCAAGAAATAACCATAAAAATAGCCAACCAGCAGCCCTCAGGGCTACTCGTGCTTATGAAGTAGCCATTCTTTACTCCTTTACTTTTCTAATAAACTTCCTTTCACTTTACTCTATGGACTCGCCCTGAATTCTTCCTTGCCTGAGATCCAAGAACCCTCTCTTGGGGTCTGGATTGGTATCCCTTTCTGGTAACAAAACCTGTCTAAATTTTCATCTAAGAGCAGAGAAAAATTACCTGAATAAATACAAATGGGAGGCTAAAATAAAGTTTTGTTTACAATATTGCCCTGGAGTCATGCTTATTGAGCCTATCAATCAAAACCTTGATGATTTTTCCCTGCTGTCTTCTCTAACTTGAATCTCCCCAAATCTTTGGCACCATCCTATTACTATCAGCAATTCACATAATTTAATATCCTTCATGTTGAAAATAAGATGAAATATAATACCAAATAAAATCTTTGGACCTTTTGAAAGAGGCTTTGCAAACATTATAAGTGAGAAAATTATTACAGTGTCAGAAATCTGACCTAACTGACCCCATCTTGCTTCTAACCTCCAGTCTGTCCTTGTTCATTCCTGAGCACAGGCCAAACTAATTTTGGGAGGAAGTTAGTTTATAGTTTAATTTTATTTTACTTTATTTTTTAGCTTTTATTTTAGGTTCTGGAGTATATGTGAAGGTTAGGTAGGTAGGTAAACTCGTGTCACTGGGGTTTGTGTTACAGAATATTTCATCACCCATGTATTAAGCCCAGTACCCAATAGTTATCTTTTCTGCTCCTCCTAACCTCCATTCTCAAGAAGACTCCAGTGTCTATTGTTTCTTTCTTTATATTCATAAGTTCTTATCATTAAGCTCACCCTTATAAATGAGAACATGCGTTAACAGATAACATAAAGAATGGAAGAAATATTTGTAAACTATGCATCTGACAAAGGTCTAATATCCAGCATCTATAAGGAACTTGAACACATTTACAAGGGAAAAACAAACAACTCTATTAAAACATGGATGTACATGAGGCCAACAAGCATGTGGAAAAAAAAGAAAAAAAACCTCAATATCACTGATTGCTAGAGAAATGCAAATCAAAACCACAATGATGTCAGTTGGAATAGCTATTACTAAAAAGTCAAAAATTTACAGAGGCTGACGACATTGTGGAGAAAAGGGAACACCTGTACATTGTTGATGAGAGTGTAAATTAGTTCAACCATTGTGGAAGGCAGTATAGTAATTCCTCAAAGACCAAAAGCAGAACTACCATTCAACCCAGCAATCCCATTACTGGGTATGTACCCAAAGGAATATGAATCATTATATGATAAAGGCACATGCATACAAATGTTCATTGCAGCACTATTCACAATAGCAAAGTCATGGAATCAACCTAAATGCCCAACAATGACAGATTGGATAAAGAAAATATGCTACATATACCATGAAATACTATGAAATACTACATATACATATACATATACATATACACCATGAAATACTATGCAGCCAAAAAACAAATGAGATCATGTCTTTTGTGGGAACGTGGTTGGAGCTGGAGGCTATTATCCTTGGCAAACTAACGCAAAAACAGAAAACCAAATATAGTTTAACTTTGAAACAAAGACAATAACAGCACTTCACTGAAATAAGACCCCTTCCTGGCTGGGGACTAGACTGCCTTTACAGGACTAACAAATTAGCTGCAAGATTAGAAATTATGGTTTAAGAGTCATGCAGCTGAAGGCTGCAAGATTCCAAACCTCCCAGTCCTAAGGATAACATCACTATTGTAAAAGCTAAGATTAATGCTTGAGATATTTTTTAGACCTTCCACTTGATGGATCAGCTGGCAGAACCCAGATAGATAAACTGGCTTATCTGGTCTTGTGGCTCCCACCCAGGAACTGACTCAGTGCAAGAGGATAGTATCAACTCCCTATGGTTTCATCTCCAACCAGACTAATCAGCACTCCCCACTTTCTGATCCCCTACGTGATCCCCACGTTTTCGGGAAGACTGATTTGAGTAATAATAAAACTCCACCCTCCTGTACAGTTGGCTTTGCATACATTACACTCTTTCTCCATTGCAATTTGCCTGTCTTGATAAACCAGCTCAGTCTAGGCAGTGGGTAAGAACCTGTCGAGTGGTTATACTTTCATTCATATATATCTACTGCTTGATTCATATATATCTACTACTTGATACTATATATCAAGTCTCCTCTTCAAAGAGGCATCGACATTCAGTGCTTCCACTTCCTCACCTTCCTCTACCACTCTTGTCAACACCAGACTTGCATATGTGTAATTTTTACTTGCATATTTAACATGCAACTTAATCTCAACATCTCAAAAATGAATTACTGATTTTAGCTTTCAAACCTGCCCCACTACTGCTTTCCGTATTTTAGAGATGACAACTACTCTCTCCAATTGCTCAGGTCAAAAATGTTGATTGCATTTTGGTCCTCTTTCTTTGTCTCATATTCTGTATCTAATCCATCAGCTAATTCTATTTTCTTTACCAAAATACATCTAGAACTCTGCCATTTTTTTGTCAGTTCTATTGTAAAGACTCAGATGTGAAACACAATTTCTTTTGTCTGGATTAAGTAGTTTTCTAACTCAGGGGATTGGAAATGTTTTCTCTAAAGGGTCAGATATTTTACACATTTTTATTAAATATTTTACTAATACATTTACTAATTTACTAATATATTTAATAATACATTTTCTAACATTGTATTAGTATAGTTAGTAAAAATTTTTCACATTGAGGGACAAGAGGCAAAAACCAGGATATGATGTAGGTACGTATAGAACAAGAGAGAAAACATTTTTATTGACAAAATTCAAATGTAATAATACTAATTGAACACAATTCTTTAAATAACATATGCCTAATAACGACAGAACTGGAATCTATTCCTGTATTTCTTATCATCAAGCTGATTGTCAATTTTACCTGAAAAAAAATGTTTTCATTGAATGCCTTACAAAAATAGGCAGTGGGCTAGACTGTGAAACGTATACTAGTTTTCTAGCTTCTACCCTTATACCTCCAGCATCATTTCACTACAGAACAGCTAGAGCAATCATTTTTAAAACACAAATCAAATGATGCTATTCCACTAAATCCATCTTTCTCAAGGTAAAAGCCAAATTGCTGACAATGGCCTGCAAGGTTCTAAATGATTCGGCATTCCTATTTATTGATTGTCTTTATCTATTTCTAGTCTTCTGTTATAGGTTTCAATCAGCCACACGGTCTTTCACTGTGAATCTTTTGCACTGGCTCTTTTCTCTGGCTGGAACTTTTTTTCTCCAATTACACACATGTGACTGACTTTCTGTCCTCCATCAATGAGCCTCCTTCTTTGATTTTCTCCTCAAATGCCTCCTTAATGATTCCTGTCTTACTAACTAACCTCTTTAAAATAGCAGTCTGCCAACTCTTCCCCTTACACTCCTGGTCCTACTTTCCCAGCTCCACTTTTAATTTTACTTTTTCTTTTGTTTTTGTCACCTTCTAATATACTCAGTGACTAATTTAATATGTTATTTTTTTTTCTCATTTGTTTTCATGAGGTGATAAAGGCTCTTCATTAGTTTTCTTCACTGATGTTTCCCAGGTACTTAGAACAGTGCCTGGCACATGGCAGTTGGTCAATAAATATTTATTGAATGAAAAAATGTTTATATTATTCTATTTGTTCAGGCTTCTTTCCATAGCATCAAAACTACTCTCATTGAGACCATCAATTAACTTTCATAAAGTCAATTTATTCCTTCTCTTAGAAAATCAATTTTAGAAATAGTCTGGATCACTGGTTTTATAACTTCCTTACTCTCCAAGTTTTTTTTTTAATCTAATTTCCTCCAATCTCTGAGCATATATCTCTGAAGCATAAGCATTAATTTTTTCTAAATTATATACAGATAAATATATAGACATGTATATTTATATATCTTTGTCTATTTTTATCCGTGTATACATTTTATATATGTGTATATCTCCCTTATCATAGGACCCTGAATCATCTCTCTCCTGACTAACTCATACCCTCCTCTCATGTTTTTGCTTCTTCAGCACCATGCTGCAGTCATACTTTCAAACACTGGCTATTGATTCAATAAATATTTTCCATCCTGAAAAACAGCTCTCCAAAGAATTGTTCTACATCTGGCTTTTAGCTGAGTCTTCAACAAGTAATTTCACTATTACATCAGGCTGACTGTTTCTGAATGATGATGCATTTCATAATATCAGGGCACCACATGGTTATTTTGTAAAGGCTTTCAAATTAGTTTTAAAAAGCCATACCACTTTTCCCCATATTTATAATTAGTCTTTCCCTCATATTGATGAAGTACCACAACCTTTGCAAAAGCCAACACTTCAGCTTTCACCTGCACCCTTCCCAATGAGGCACAAGTGACAGTGTGCATAATTATGCCATATTGCTGCATGCCAGAGTTATTGCTTCTGCAAAGGATTATTATTGCTTTTTGACTGTTGAATAATACAGCTCCATAGTCCCATCCCAAGTGTTTACTATTTAAATGTATTTATGGTACTCATTATCTTAGCCTGGGTTTTTCTCCTGAACAGTGGCTATGATAAAAATTTATGTATGAATAGTCTATTTGCAAATGTTATCCCAGAGAACTGGCATGGAGCAGGCTGGGGAATGGAGAAAATAAAAATATTTATACATCAGCTTCTGTTTCCCATCGGGCAAGAGTCACCCACTGTTGCTCACTGTGCCTTAAATCCCCTTCACTTCTTAGCTCTGTATATATGAGGGACAAGCATGTTTGCATAGCTGAACTGACAAGAAGACAAGAAAGTTGTGCCGGCAAGATAATCAGGTTGTGAAGACACAGCTGCTGTTCAGAGCTTGTGAGGGACTAGATACTACTCAGTGGCTGCAATGGGACAGGGCCTAGAGGATATAACGTTGTATGTAAAAGAGAACCGATGCACTGCTTATTAAAATCTCCATTACCTAATTAAGGGTTTTTTGTTTGTTTGTTTTGAGACGGAGTCTCGTCCTGTCACCCAGGCTGGAGTGCAATGGCAATGGCATGATCTCGGCCCACTGCAACCTCCGCCTCCCTGGTTCAAACGATTCTCCTGCTTTAGCCTCCTGAGTAGCTGGGATTATAGGCATCCAGCACCACGCCCGGCTAATTTTTTTTTTTTTTTGTATTTTTAGTAGAAATGGGGTTTCACCATGTTGGCCAGGCTGGTCTCGAACTCCTGACCTTGTGTTCTGCCCTCGTTGGACTCCAACAGTGCTGGGATTACAGGCATGAGCCACCGTGCCCAGCCAATAATTATGTGTTTTATGTGTTGTCCTGTAACTTGAAATATTTGTATGAAGCTAAGGTCTGACCTGTTCACTGCTATTGTGAGCTAGTAGTTGTGTACTTAGCACAGGATATGTTATAAAAATACTTTTGCTCCATATTTTTGAAACAAAAATGAAATGAGAGACAACAAAATTACTTTTACATTAAACATCTTCACTATGTTTCAAGCAATATTTTTGTTATAGAAAATGTATTTTTATTTCAAAAATTGCCTGATTTAACTTTTAATCATGCTAATCAACTGTCTACTTAAAGATCTAAGATGTTAAATCTTAAAGAAAATAATGTATATTTTTATAGAGTTAAGGTACACAATAATTTACTAAAGTATAAAATAGTTGCAGCTTGAAGATATACAAATACCTTATGAATATACATTTGTATCACTGATATTTTTTAATTGAAAAATTTTAAAAACTCTATCTGAGGGTTCTATTAGGTAGTAATAGTTAATAATGCATGTAGTCTTTCTGATTTTCAAGAATTTCCCTGAGAAAAGTAAATCATGTTTCCTGAAGTATGCTGAATATCTTTCAGCTGTTAGAGGTATGTTAATAAATTTATTTTAGGACAATTTTCTTCATGTTTTTATTAAAGGTCAAAATGTCTTATTTAACCTTATGACTTTACATGTAGGATACTGTCATTATTTGTACTCTTTGTACGAGGTTCTGTATAATGGGATTTTGTTATGTCAATATGATATATGACTTCTGCACTTTCACAGAATATAAAAAGCTTCACTCTACCTGTTAGTTGTCTGCTATCTACCCACAAAATGAACATTCTGCATTCTGCTGTGCAAAGTTATCAATATTTAACCAAAATTGACAGGACACTTGAAAACCAAGTGAACCAAGACTTATTACAGTAAAGCTGAAGGTCTTCTTTACATGACACACAACCCATAATAACCAGTGATCTATACAGCTGTTATGTACTTGGGTCACTCAAACAAATGGGAATACATTTTTGGCTTTCATGGGTAGATGTATTGCTATAACTCAAGGAGTTTGAACCAGAAAAGAAGTTAATTGCATTCGAAAAGAGCTTGAGAATTATTTTCTCCTATGACCTTGTGGATTTGCACAATGAGGTGTGATTTCCACAGAGATCACTACCACAAAGGAGTCCTAAAGGCTACAGTGAGTAGTAAATTTTAAATTATATAAAAGCAAAGCAGCCTGCTTTGTGCCAGTTTAGCGTTCCATTAAGAAAAGCTTCTGTAAAACCTCACCTGATGTGATGGTTAATACTGAGTGTCAACTTGATTGGATTGAAGGATACAAAGTATTGATTCTGGGTGCTGTGTCTGTGAGGGTATTGCCAAAAGAGATTAACATTTGAGTCAGTGGGCTGGGGAAGGCAGACCCACCCTTAATCTGGTGGGCACCATCTAATCAGCTGCCAGAGAATATAAAGCAGGCAGAAAACCGTGAAGAGAAAAGACTGACAAAGCCTCCCAGCCTACCTCTTTCTCCTGTGCTGGATGCTTCCTGCCCTCGAACATCAGACTCCAAGTTCTTCAATTTTAGGACTCGGACTGGCTCTCCTTCCTCCTCAGCTTGCAGACAGCCTATTGTGGGACCTTGTGATCCTGTGAGTTAATACTTAATAAACTCATATATATATATATATATATATATATATATATATATATATATATATATATGTAATAAACTCCTCTCTCTATATATATTTAGGGGAATATACATATATAATATATTATATATAATATATTATATATTATATATTTTTTATATGTATATATATCTCCTTTTAGTTCTTTCCCTCCAGAAAACCCTGACTAATACACCTGTCTTGTAAGCATAGATTTCCAGAAGAAAAACAGTATGAGCGTGAGTAGGGTTAATTAACAAAAATGTGATGTCAAGCAAAGGATATGGTTGTTATCCTGGGCACTAGTTTTAAAAAGAAAATATAAACATACTCAAAAATTTCAAGGCTAATTATGCAATTGAAAATAAAGAATCATATGCTAAATAATTTACAGCCTAAAATGAGCTGCAGAAATCATTCTCATTTACTTTTAACGTATTTGTTTATTGTTTAATTCAGTCAGTTACCTTTTTTAAAGAAAAGTAATTTATATTTTTTTTTCTTTCATTTCAAAAAAGTACAGGGGTCCGCCAGGAGGAACTAGAGCCAATTTAAGACAGATGAAGTTCCTGCCCTGTGGCTTTCTTCTGCTCTTGTTTCTTCCTTGGATTGCCACTGCATAGTTTTGTGTTTATATTTGCTTCTAACTTTATCATTTAAAAAAACCCTGAACTTCCAAACTGATATATTGGGCTTTGATGTATTCCTCTATTCCTGGATCAGTTTGCCCTTCTAGTTTTAACAAATTCTTGGTTTCAGATAAGCAAAACCAACCAACAAACCAACCCAAAAGCAAACAGACAAACAAACAACAAAATATCATCCCTATAGTGCTAGCTGCAGCTACAGAGATCTACCACGTGTCACCCTCCCCAAAACAGGGGCACTTTCTGGCATCAATTATCGGGTTTTCACTATGTGCCTTGCAGTAAGATTTGTATTCATCTTACCTATAAATCAATTGCAAAAGCCCAAATGTATTGGCTATACAACTGTATTATTTTACAGATTTAAAAACCTGATTAATTTAATGGAATATCATTGTAGAGGCAATAATAAAAATAATTGTTTTGCCTCTTCTGTGATAGAAAAAGTAAATTTGTTTTTCCCACAAATTATTTCTTCAGAATTTGAAAAGAAAGCTCACTTTTTACAAAAACTTTCATAAAATCAATGTTAAATAACTTTAATTGTTACAGAAGGGACAATATTCTGTTGAAAAAGTGCCGCTAAACCTCATTAGGTCACATTCTGGTTTCCTGTCTGTTTATCTTACCCTGGGGATTTCCAATCAGTTATTATGGTAATACATAGTTTTCAAGGAGCCCTGCTTTCCCTTTAATACACTTAACTGCTTGACCCCATTATCCGTTCCACCTAGAAGAGATGAGCTCAGGCAAGACGTTAAATCAGAATTTTATTAGGCCTGAGGTGATAACAAGAGTGTAAACGTGAGAGAGTACAACATCCACATGGGCCCTAACCTGCTCAGTGTGGCAGAGTCTTTTGTTATCTAGGATGTCCTTATACCTGTCTACCCCTACACAGAGGTATGTGATACTTATCTTCCTCATTTCAGTTCCTTGTCTTAACATCCATCTCTTTCCTGGGTGAATCATAATCTTTTCTGGAAAAGACACAGACTGCCCAATATCAGTATGCTTGACCGTAATTTGCTGAACTCAACCTTCCTCCTAGTGTTACATCTATGCTGTACTATGGAATTATTTTAAAGACTGGGTAACTGAATGACAAGGTAGAAGTACTGAAAAAATAAACTAAATGTAAATGAGAGAATAATGATTCCTGTACTGAATATAGAACAACAAACCGTGTGGTAGAAACAGTACGAAGAACATTTAAAGACATTTTCATGAGTCCAGGATTCTAGCTTTCCATGTAATCATATTGACCAAAGGGTTCATGTGCAATTCTTACCTTGATTTTCTTTACAGAGATTGAAAAAATACAAAATGATAATCTTTGTAAAAATTTGAAGTGTGTGAGGATTGCAACTGTTAGGTCAAATATGAAACTAATAGTTTTGTGGGTCTAAAATGGTCAAATTAAGCGATTGCCTAATGTTCAATCAAATGATTCATGAATCATTGAAGGGACAATGAATGACAATATTAAAATTCAGTTAAAATTTTAAAATAAACTGTGTCACAAGTTATAACTGGCAGTCAAAAAATTTGACTTCTTTATTACTACAAAATCATTGATGGAAAATCAAGGATTCCTCTCCAAACAAGCAATCATAACTATATAGCTTCAATTCCTTATTTACTATTGCACACCATAATTTATTAAATATTTACTTAATGAACACCTACTATGCTCTAGACAAGTGGTACTGTGTTACAAATATGAGAATAGAGTTAGTGAAGATCACTTGATCAAGTTCATGCAGCATTAAGGGGCAGAATTGGGACATATGCTTTTAATGACCTTTTTATAAATTTTTGAGCCATAGTTTCACTCTTTATGTTTTTTACATTTTGTTCAAAATGTAAAATTCATAAAATCTTCACACATAGGCCTTAAAAGCATTAATATTATGAGAAATAATCATTTATATAAATGTTATCACAAACATTTAAAAACATTTTTGTGATTCTTTTTGAATATATTATAGAAATATGTTGCGATGAGAAAATATTTTCAGTTATGATGAGAAGATCAAATTATCTCTCATTGTTTAGCACTATTCTACCTATACAATACATGACATTGTTATCTCTTTGTCTGCAGGTTAAATATTTTAGGATAAACAAAACTTACAAGTGTCCATAATTGCAGTTTTATTCTCTTACCTTTACAGAACAATAGTATTTCAAGCCTGCAAACAACTTTTCTTTGTGACTGATGTCACTACTATTTAGCCCTTCGAGGTTAGCATTTATTGATTTTGCTTTTGATTGGATCTTACCTACCTCGGTGCTTCAGTAAATTGAAACCTTCTGCAGTTCATGGAAGAAAGCTGAGAGCAAGGCTATGAGAAAATGTACACTGACCTCTATTTGTTTCAGACTATATTGGTAAAATCATTGTCGCTGTGTAACAGAAGTGACCTTGACTGAATTTGTGTAAATGTAATTCATAATATTCTATACAGCTGATGAAAAACTGGCCTTAAGAGGAAGAATTAAAATAATTTTAAAATTAAAAATACCAACACTTGTGCTATTTCATGCAAATATTGCATCATTTGTCACATGCATTAACTTCTGTACTTCCATTAAAGCCGTTCAACCTTCTATGTGAATATTTACCGTGTTATGGGCAATGTGCTTGTTGTGGGGGTTACAAAAGAGAATGTTGTGTGGTCTGCCTCTTACAGAGTTCACAACAATGTACCCAACTTACTTAAAAATTATGATATATTACAACAAATGAAAAACATCATGTGAACTGTGGGAGTACAGACTAGAGGGTCATCATATAAATTTTGGTGTAAACTAGGACTCTTTTATGGGTAAAATGAGAGTCATTATTAATAATTATGCTGCAGCAACAAGAATAAACAGGAATCGTATATTCAAAACTTGGATAATGGGCATGTTAGCTTAGTAGAGGTAGAAGACTTCTCAAAAAAAATTGTAATTTAGCCTTAAATTGGGAGCTATTCAAAGATAGAGAGAATACATAAACAGAAAAGAAATTCAAGGCATATGGCCCAGCATGAGCAGAAGCACTGAATTAAAAGAAAAAAAAAAAAGGACTTGGGAAACCTGCTGAAAAATACAGCAAAAGATCTAGTGGAAAATAAGATTGGATAGAAACAGACAAGATTGTGAAGACGATGTTCTGTTTTGTTAAATAATTTGATATTTATGCTGCCCAGGGATTCAAATGTAATTTAGAGCACAGTTAAATTCCCAGACTTTGCTGCTCATTAGAATCACTTGGGAAGCAGGTGCCGAGGTAGCACACTCTACTAATTAAATGACAATGTTCAGGGGTAGAATCCAGACAATAGTGTTCTAAAGATCTCCAGGTGAATACAATTTGCATTCAAGTTTGGGAACCACCAGTGAAAGCCATATCATAACTTGTTTCAAAGCACCTGGCAACTTTTAAGTAAAATATTCAGAACTGTGTCCAACTACATGGACCTTCTTTATATTTCTCCAAAATGCCAAGCAAGAATTTGAACACATTCACAGTGCCTGTTTATTCTAACTGGAACCTTCTTCAAGAAGATATTTTGTATGAGACTCTCTATAACTTTATTCAGATTTCTGTACGATATGAACTGTTCAAAGAAACATATCATGACCACTAAAACTAATATAGTAACTTTTATTCCTTTTTCATCCAATACACAAATGTATTTGTCTTCTTGTTACTTAGAGCTACCTGATATTATATATGCATTTATTTGTTTAGCTATTTATTTCTGCCCCAAACATTAGACTATGAATAATATATATTTTATATGTTATAATATATATTATGTATATTTCAGATAGCTTTGCCTAAAGAGTGCTTGGCACAGAATACTCAGTATATACTTGCTAAATGGATAAATCATTGTGAAAATAAGGGAGAGTAATGTAGCCATCCTATGTCTCTGATGCAGTTAGAATGTTCCCATTTTTTTAAAAACAGAGCCAAACCCCCATCAGTATTAAACTTGAATCCTATCATTTCTCTGTTGTATATTTAAAATTGATGTGAGAAAATAAACTTAATTTTCTTCTTTTTGAGGGATTATGCTAAGTAGAATGGAGCTTTGAAGTAATAATCTAGGATCCTTTGCCGAATTTGCTGAATTGGTAGCATGTTGTTAGGTTTCACCAAAAACAAACTGCGTTGGAAGCTGCATGACCCACAGATGGTAACCTCCCCTCTCATGAATCTGGGGTTCTGAACCAATGTGAGAATTCTGCCACAATTTTGTAATGAATATTACAGTTTTATTTATCTAAGATTTCCAGATATTGATAATTCAATTTAACTTCCATAGCTGTAAAATAAAAAACTAAAATAATCACATCCAGTTGTTGTCATTTAATGTATTTCTCCATTTCTGAGTTTGGATGCTCAGTTTGCTTTGTCTCTACTAATTGGTAAGATTTGACTTCAAGAGGTTTCTTGAACATCTTGTTAGTCCTCTAGGTCAAAAAACTACCCAGTTCCTTCATGCAGCTTCAAATAGTGGTAACATACTTCAGATACAAGTATTTTAATGTGGGTTTATAAAGTATTCTATTGAATATTGTAAGGTGACTGACACATGAAGAGTGAGGAAAGTAACATATTTTCCAAAATATTTATATGCGGAAAAATTAGAAATTTTCTGTCAGGCTGAGATGTAAAAAGGGCTCTGAAACAAAGCAAAATTAGACTCAAGCTGAACAATCATAGGCAGAACAGTCACTCTTCACTCTAACAGCAGAATCTGTTAAGAACTGTATCACTAAAATACTTTCAGAGACCTACTAATACGGCCTTGATGACTGAAGTTCATTTTTACCTTGTATTTTACCATTTCTCTATTTTAATTTTGAAATTTGTGTGACAAAAATGAATACAAATTAGTTGAAATAGAAAATTATTTTAAAAATACATATATTTATCAATGCATGCATGTATATATACACATATGTATTAATATATTATTCATTTAATCAACATCTTTTACCAAAGTCTAAACCTCACATGATAATATTTTTATATACTCTGTATGAATAATTTCTTTTTCTGAAACACTTGAACTGCCATCTCTAGAGTCAACCTCTGACAAGCATTATGATCAATGTACTCAGATGTCAGTACCCCCAAAAGATAATCAGTTTAGCCATTCTTCCTCTAAGTTTTTTGTGCATACACAGTGAAGTGAAAACAGTCTTTATCCTGCTTCCTCAGGAAGCCCCCACACCGTTTCCATGTTCCCATTTCATTCCTGGGAACCAATTTTTATGGTCTTCATCATACATGTCAAATTCTGCTAAATATTTGCCAACCCTTTAAATTTAAATGTTATAATAGAGTTCTAGGAGAAAGATTTAATTAGGGAAAAAATGGATACCTTTTCTACTATAGTGAAATCTTGCCAGCCTCATAAAACCCCAAATAATGATTTATTTCTCTTAAAAAATGAGCAACCTGAACCCAATAACTTTTGCAAGAATATGTGGCAAGGAATTAGGTTTGTTACTCTTAGGTCTCAAATACCAAATCTCCTTCTGTGCTTTTTTTGAGGTGGGGGTGAGGAGATCATTTTATTTAAAAAGTTTAGTGAAAATAAATTAACGTCAAAGCGGGATTGTTGATAAAATAATGACATAATTCTAATTAATTGCTTTAAAAGAGAAAACCTATAGATCTATAAGCCGAATTTAGCAAGAATATTAGTTTTGAAAATCTATTCATTCTTATTCATAGCAATTGCCAATTTTTGAAATATAATTTGCTTCATCCAGTCCGTTATGTAAAGACCTTGGAAGTCATCACTCCTGTCTTCCTCACAACAGGAAAAAATATTTAAAAAATAAAAATTACCAACTCTTCCTAAATGCATCAGAGAATTTAGATCACAGGGCAAACTCCTGCCAGAATAACTGGTAAGATGTATAGGCAGATAGATACAGAAAATCATGGTTTACTTGGAGCTGAAGCCCAGAAGTTAAAAGCCCAGAAGCAAAAGCCTGAAGCTGCAGCCAATGCTGGTAAGAACATCTTTAATAGTAATCGACAAATTTCTGGATGCTCAGTATAGACTAGCTTGAGAGTTAGCAATTCTGATGGAGCCCAGTCTTAGGTGAGCCCCTGTACATTTGGGTTTTATCTGCATAAGCTCTAGCTGACTCTTATTGTGAAGATGGGGGACAGAGGGAATTCCCTGGCGCTTCTACCAGGGAGAAGGGGCAGAGTAACTATTCTTAGAGTTACTCAGGCCCAGAGTTCTCTTTTTTCCTTAACAAAGCCTACCCTCAAGGAAAACTACCAAGGCCTAACCCACTGGAGTTTTACCCAAGCCTAACACCTGGGGAAAGGAAAATACCCAAATGCCAGGGCTCTCCAGGCTTTGAGGTGAAAAAAGGTAAACAGTCAACTCAAGCTCATTAAAAGATTAAGACTAATTATAGAACTACACAAAACCCTCCTCTGCCACACACACACATCTTACCGTCACATCAATATTGCCCCTTTATAATAAAAGGGTATAACAGCTAAAAATAACTGCAAACCTCAGGTCCTACTTAAAGAATCTCCAGGAAAACTCAAAGACAAATACAAAGACACTAGAGAAAATGTTAGCCTAAAATACCACAGCTACTGCAAACAGCCTAACTACTCACCAGATAAGTATAAAATATCACACTAAAGGACTGTCTACCTCAGTTCTATTTACTTGATAAATCATATCCCGCTTTGAACAAAAAATTGGAAGGTATGCTAAAAGAAAAAATTACAGTCTAAAGAGACAAAGCAAGTACCAAATTCAGGCTCAAATATAAAGATTTTAGAATTACCATACAAGAAATTTAAATATATATAATATGCTAAATGTTCTGGAAAAAGTGAACAGCATGCAAGAACAGACGAGTAATGTAAACAGTGTGAAACTCTAACAAAAAGTAAAAATGAAGTGCTAAAAATCAAAACATTTTAACAGAAATGAAGAATGGTTTTGATGGCTCTATCAGTAGAATGGACACAGCAGAGGAAAAACAAAACAAAACAAAACAAAAACAGTGAGGTAGAATATGTGTCAATAGAAACTTCCAAAATGGAAACAGGGAGAGAGAAAACAATTTAAAAGATGAAATAAAATTTCCAGCAACTGGGGGACAAATACATCCTTTCATGGGCTTATGGGCCATTTGTATACATTGTTTAAAGAAATGTAAATTATTATTCACTGACTATTTTTAATTAGTTTTTCTTATTATTATAGGAATGAAAGGGTTATATTTTATAGATTAAAGCCTATTACCAGATGTATATTTTGCAAACATTCTTTGATTATCTGAGTTGTCTTTTCAATCTTGATGGTATATTTTGAAGCACGAAAGTTTAATTTTGATGAAGTTCAATTTATTCTATTTTTGTGTTGCTTGTGATTGTTTTGTGTATGTTATAGCTATAAAGTCTCTATAAAAATCCAATTTATAAAGATTTACTCTTATATTTCCTTCTAATAATTTTATAATTTTACTTCTAACAGTTACATATTTCATCATTTTGGCTTAAATTATTTATGTGGTTTGAAGAAGGGCAACAGTTTCATTCTTTTCCATGTGGAAATACAATTATCCCATTTATTTTCCCCATCAAATGGTCTTGGTATCTATGTGAAAATTCATTTGCTTATAAACACAGGGTTTATTTATGATCTCTCCATTCTATTTTATTGAGCTGTGTCTATCATTATGGAAGTGTCACAATGTCTTGTAGCTTTTTAGTAGTTTTGAATTCAGAAAAGATAAGTTGTCTTTTTTCTTTCTTTTATAAATTGGTTTGGCTATTTTGGGACTCATGCGTATTAATTTTAAAATCGACTTGTCAATTTCTTCAGGAAAAGACAGCTAGAATTTTGATAGGTGGCAGGCACCTGTAACCCCAATTACTCGAGAGGCTGAGGCAAGAGAATCGCTAGAACCCAGGAGGCAGAGGTTGCAGTGAGCCAAGATCGCACCATTGCACTCTAGCCTGGGTGACAAGAGCAAAACTCTGTCTCAAAAAAAAAAAAAGGTGGCTGATATTGATGTTTCCTTAGACACTGCCACCAAATACATTAAATAAATCTCCCTAGAGAAAGGAACCCATGATGTGTTTACAGGAGCAACCAACAGTTGGTTTGCAGGCATCCTAAATGGTGAATGGCAAGCTTGGGTTTTCCAAGGGTTTCTAATCTTTATATTAATTCTAGAAGGTTTCTAAGATATTATGACTTGTGTTACCAGGGTAACAATAAAAATGAGTACTTCTTAAAATCAGGCTACTTTACAGTGCACTATGGTCCTTGATTGTTATCACACTCCAAATGAGGACTATGTCCATTTAGACCCTAATACTGTTAGACTGCCTATATTGTCTTAACCTTAATTCATTTAATTTGGTTTGGTTTGTTTCATAGGAACTCTTATTAAGGAGTATGCAATGGCATTTTGATGTGATCTTATTGATAATCATAACAACAGTCCCCCTCATGTGGTATATTCTCTCAAGTCTTAAATGTTTCAGATGCAGTCATCCATTGAGAGTGGAATGACCTCAAGAACATAACAAATCATCAAGAAATGGGTCAGCAAGAACATAAAGAATCATTCAGCTGGTATAGAGCTGTGACTTGTGAATTCCACGTTGACACCAAAGAAGACTTGTGAAGCTCCATACTGAAACTAAAGGAGACTTGTAAATTCTACCCTGAGACCAAATAAGTCTTTATGATGGTGACAGAGAGTGGCATCAATGCCTAAAGTTTTGGTCAATCTGTCTAAACTGAGAGGCTGCCAAAAAGAAGGGAATTTTTAAAGTAAACTAAATATGGCCTGAGAAGGACTCTGTACTTCTATATTTGAGTCCTTGTGGATGAACTATAACCTAACTTAATAGGCAGACAAGATTGAAAACCTAACTTAGGAGCATGTACCTGTAACAATACCTGAGTTTTGGCAATTCCCAGCAGCCATACTTCAATCACTCATATAGTAGTCTCAATTACATGTTTTAATGGCAACTCTTAGAAATTTTTAATTTTGGTGAAAAACCTGGTAAGTTATTTTAATTATGTAGTAGGAGTGGAGCTTAGGACACCAGACAGAAGTGCAGATAAGGTTTGACTCTTTCCAGCATAGGTAGGGGTGTGGCTAACTCCACATGCCCCCAGGCCTTACCTAGCTGTAAAGCAGACAAGTGGAACAATTTTCAAAAGCAAATAAGCAGTTTATGACCTTAAAGCATTGAGCAAACCTAATACCTGACCTGCCTAATTTAGACCAAATGTCTTCATTTTATTAATAATCTTTAAAGCTGTCTTTACTTCCCAAAGATTTGTAAAGTCACATTATCTAAAAGGCATTAGTTTTCATTTTTCTTTTAAAATATTTGATTTAAGCACTTATTTTTCTTAAAGTCAATTAATTAGAGCTCTTTTACATAAACATCACACACACAATACATATAACTACACAGACAGATAGAAGAATAACCAGAATTTATAAGATCTTTCATTTGCCAGTTTTAAAGTTGCTTAATTGGATTACTGGCTTTAGGGTGGAGTTCTTCAAGTAACAGGGCCAGGAAAACATGCAGTTTCTAGGGCCTAATAAGCAGGCACAGCTGGAAGACAAAAACAGATCTCCAAAATTTAGGATCTTATTTTTATATCACATCCTGGAACCCCCAAAAGAGAAAAATGCTACAGGAAAAGATAGTGCAATACCTTTACCGTGCACTTTATTGCATGGCAACCCTAAACCAATTAGCCCATTTTGCAATTAGCCCATCCCTCACGGAATTTTTATCCTTCAGTGGGACATGAGGACATTTCCATGCTTTCTAGGTGGCCAAGAGCATGCTTCCCTGATCCAAAGGTGCAAAGAGCTAAGTATTCCCTTATAACTGCCATTAGCCAGCCCTAACAGTCTATTGCCTACCTAGTTATTACACACCAAAGCTCTCTCATGGTGTGAAGTAATTTCTGACACCCCCAAACTAAAAACCATCAGATAACACAATACAAAACAGAACAGAGACTTAGGTTTTGAGAGGAACTTATTAACTTTCAATTCCTGGAGTTTCATGAGCAAAACAGAGATTTTTTCTCAAATCTTGGTCTGTGATGCCTTCTCTGTTTTTCCCAAAGACTTCCAGGCTATTAAAAGTTATCTTAGGGCCACTCATGTGTGCATTAAGAGTGGCAAGACAAAATGGAGAAAAATAATTCAGTCAACAAGAAGAAATAGAAACCTTTTTCCCAGAAAAACAAGGTCCAAAAAGAGAAAAAAACGTGAAGGCCTTTTAAATATACCTATAGCTTGGATATCCACTTTTAATTAAGCTGACTTTTAACCATAATGCTCTCTAAAAAAAAAATGTCCTTTTAAATTTTTTATTATGATACTTTTGCGAGGCCAAACAGCCAATATTTTGGGCTTTTAAACTTCACCAAAGGTAACCTAATAAGCGAAATCAACAAGCCTCAACTAAGGTTATGAATTAACTATGAGTGTATGAGGTATTTTCAAAGAGGTGGTAAGCAGATTTTACAAAATCTAGAGTCTTTCAAGGTAGCTCAAGGTAGGGAAAATTTAAGAAAGGAAACAAGAAGTTGTTCATGGAGGGGAAGAGAAGAAACAAATGGAAAAAGTCACAAAGATATTAACCAGGAAGTACTCAATATAAGATTGAACCAGGCTTTATAATGATAAAATGGCATCTAAAATGATAAAATGACAAAACCTTAGCTGGTGAGCTACAGCATTTGGGCAGGTTCCATTGCTTTTCCCAGAAGGAGTCGAGTCTAGAGTAGTCAATTTTGAACTTGCAATGGCTTTTATCTACTCAAGATAATTTTTAGAGCTAACTATAACATGAACCCCAAAACTCCTGTTCCCAAGATGGTGGAGACCAAAAGAAAGTACCACCACATGGTTACAAGTTCAAGCTCCCAAGGACAAAAATCAAGATAGAGACCTCATCCAGTTTTTTGTTTGTGTTGGGGACCTGCAGCAAAGTTTGTAACTGACCAGCTTGCTGGGCTGTCTTGAACAGCAAGCTTATGGGGTCCTAAGCCCATGTTCTATCCTAAGGTACCCCTCTTTGTGACAGAATGACACAGAAAGACAAATTCATAGCACAAAATACACTAGATTCAGTACAGCTTAAGACTAGCCTCATGAATCCTTTTCTCATTAATTAAACCTTTGCAAGAGATAGTGATTTTTATCATTCCCACAACCAGTTTGCACAGAGAGAGAGAGAGTAGTATTGCCTGAGGTAGGGTGGGGAAGGCAAGAAGCTCAGGGAGGCCAGAGAATGATTCATCCATTGCAGAGATATTGAATCAAAAATTCAGGTGACCACTTTTCAGTCACGAAGGGACTTTCAAGCAGTCCCATCAGCTCTCCAGCTCCTCCTTCAAGAAGAAAAATGTTTCCTGTATCCCATGATCCTGTGCATGCCTAATCCCATCACCCATTCCCATCAGCAAAAAGTACGAGACAGATTTTTTTTAATCAATTAGTCCCTTAAGCTTTTTATTTGCCTTTTGTAAAGTCTTAAATAAAACCACTGAAATTTTTTTAGAAACTTCTGCACATTAATAGGCATCCCTAGATGAGACTAATTTAGGAGCCCTCATTTTTAAATGTACATCAGTGTGTTGTTGTTCATTCAGAATGTTCCACAGCAAGTTATCTTTAGTAAGATTTTGCCATTTCTGTAAGACTTTGCTGCTTCTGGGGCCTAACATTTATGCACGTATAAGCCAGAAAGAACTCAGTTCTTCAGAAATTAAAGATCCCATTTTTATCTAAGGTAGTGTCTTTGCTCTTGGGTTTCCTTTCCCTTGCCAATGATTTTTTTTCTTACCTAAGCATACAAGAAAAATGAAACAAAGGGGTAGAAAACAAAAATCCCTGAGAATTTCCAAAAGCCAAATTTTACAATTCTTGCAATATTACCATTTACTGCCAATTTCTGTCTGACCCAGTCAGATGTAAGAGACCTCTAACTGGATCCAACCCAGTTAATTACCAGATCTAATCCAATTCTGGACCCAGTCCAGTTTCTGTCACAACTTCCAAACCCAAATTTCCAAAAGAAATTTGCTCAAAGAAACTCAGAGAGCTCAAAGCACAAATCCATGGAGTTTCAGACTCCTAGAGAAAACTTACCACAATCCCCAGCTGCCCTGAAAGATCAGCAGACACAAGTGAGTCCAGCAGGTACCTTGTTTGGTCACTCAGTGTTCTTGGGGGTCGTTAGAACCTCTACTTTGGATCCCACTTCTGACATCATCTAATGAAGGAAAAATTTCATCAGAATTAAATTTAAAGGAGTTTAATTGAGCAATGAACAATAAATGAATTGAGTAGACCCCAAAATCATAAAAGATCCAGAGGGAGACTCAAGGGATGCCTTATGGTCACAAGTTTATAGACAAAAAAAGAAGTGATATACAAAAATAAAAAGTGAGGTCCAGAAACAGCTGAATTGATTACAGCTCAGAGTTTACCTTATCTGGACACAATTTGAACATTCAGCAGTATATGACTGGTTGAAGTATGGCTGCTGGGACTGACCAAGTCTCAGTTATTGTTACGGGCACATACTCCTAAGTTAGGTTTTCAATCTTGTCTACCTATTAAGCTAGGTTATGGTTTGTCCACAAGGACTGAAGTATAGAAGTACAGATTCCTTCTCAGGTAATATTAGTTCACTTTAACATATGTTTAAAAATTACAAAGAAATCAGAAAAAAATATTTTTAGACATAATAAGTAATTATAATAAAGGCATAGGATACATGTGTAATATACAATGCCAATTGCTTTTGAGGAGTTGGAAACTGAAATAAAAGATACAGCACAGTTTTTGTTATCTCTAAAAAGAAGAAAGAGAACAAGAAGGTGAAAGGGAAGGAGATGGAAGAAGAGGAGGAAGAAATTTAACAAAATATTTACAGGATGTATATGGGGAAATCTACACAACTGTAATACAATAAATCAAAGCTCTAAATAAATGGAGATATATCATGCTCATGAATTTAAAGACTAAATATTAGGATGTCCTTCTCCCCAATTGCATCTATACATGCAATTCAATCTCAACAAAAATATCAGCAATTTACTTTGTGTATATCAACAAACTATTTTAAAGTTTATACAAAGAAACAAAGGACTCTAAATTACCAACATAATTTTGGAGAAAAATAACAAAGTCAGAGAAGTGATACTACATGACTGACCAGTAAGACTTCAAGACTTACTATTCAGCTATAGTAATAAACACAGAGTTGTCTTAACAAAAGTATACACAAAAAGACTAATGGAATAGAAAAATGAGCCCAAAATGACACCCACACTAGAACAGTCAACTTGTCTTTGCCAGAGGAGAAATGGAAATCTGACAATTGGTGCTGAAAAAATTAAATGTTCACATGCAAAAAAAAAAAAAAAAAAAAAAAAAAGAACACAGATCTTACATCTTTTGTAAAAACTAACTCAAAATAGATTATAAACCTAAATGTAAATGCAAATCTCTCAACTTTCTTAAAGATAGAATGTGAGAAAATCTATGTAACCTTAGGTTTCATAATGAGTGTTTAGATATAACACAAAAGCAAGATCCATAAAAAAACAGACAAGCTGGACTTCATTAAAATTGTAAACACTTCTGCTCTGTGAAAGATAGTGTTAAGGGAATGAAAATATAAGTCACAACTGAGATAAAATATTTGCAAAACACATGTCTGATAAAGTAGTCGTATCTAAAATATACAACAACCTAATTAAAAAGTGGACAAAAAATACAAAATGATAAAATACCTAGGAACACATCTGACAAAAGAGGTGAAATATTGCTATCAGGAGAACTACAAAACAGTGATGAAAGAAAGGATAGATGTCACAAATGAAAAAAAAAATTCAAGCTCATGGATTAGAAGAATAAATGTAGTTAGAATGTTCATACTATCCAAAGCAATCTATAGATTCAATGTTATTCCTATCAAACTACCAACAACATTTTTACATAATTAGAAAAAAAACTATTCTGAAATTTATATGGAACCAAAAAAGAGCCCAAATAGCCAAAACAATTCTAAGCAAAAAGAACAAAGCCACAGGCATTATACTACCTGACTTCAAATTATATTACAAAATGGCAGTTACCAAAACAGCATGGTATTGGTACAAAAATAGACAATGTAGATCAGTGGAATGGAATAGAGAACCAAGAAATAAAGCCACACACCTTCAACCAACTTATCTTCCACAAAGTTGACAAAAATTAGCAATGGAGAAAGGACTTCCTGTTCAATAAATGGTGCTGGGAAAGTTGGTTAACCATATGCAGAAGAATGAAACTGCACCACTACCTATCACTATATGAAAAAATTAACTCAAGATGGATCAAAGCCATAAATTTAAGACCTCAAACTGTAAAAATCCTAAAAGAAAACCTAGGAAATACCCTTTTGGACAAAGAATGTATGACTTAGTCCACAAAAGAAAGCTCAACAAAAACAAAAATTGACAAGTGGGGCCTCATTAAATTAAGGAGTTTCTGCAAAGCAAAAGAAACTAACAACAGCATAAACAGACAACCTACAGAATGGAAGAAAATATTTGCAAACTATACTTTCAACAAAGGTCTATTATCCAAAGTCTATAAGGAACTTAAGCAAATCAACAGCAGCAACAACAACACAAAAGTGAGCAAAGGACACGAACAAACACTTCTTAAAAGAAGACATACAAGCAACCAATAAACATATAAAAACATGCTCAACATCACTAATCATCACAGGAATGCAAATCAAAACTATGATTAGATATTATCTAACATAAGTCAGAATGGCTAGTATTAAAACAAGAGCAGATGTTGGCAAGGCTACAGAGAAATAGAAACACATTTAATTTTAATATGAACTTTATATATGAGCTTTAATATGAACTTTAACATAGAACTACCATTCAACACAGCAATCCCATTACTTGGTACATATCCACAGGAAAACAAGCCATTCTACCAAAAAGATACCTGTATTTATATGTTTATTGCAGCACTATTCACAATAGCAAAGACAAGGAATCAATCTAGGTGCCCATCAAAGATGGGTTGGAGAAAGAAAATGTGGTACATATACACCATGGATTACTACACAACTATAAAAAAATAACAAAATCACATCTTTTGCAGCAACATGGATACAGCTGGAGGGCATTATTTCAAACAAATTAACACAAAAACAGAAAACCAAATATAAAATATTCTCACTTATAAGTGGGAGATAAACCTCGGGTACACACAGACACAAAGACAGGAACAATAGATTCTAGGGACTCCAAGAACAGGAAGAGAGGGAAGGACTGGAAAACTTCTGTTGGGTGCTTCTGTACACCATCTGGGTGGCAGGATCAATAGAAGCGCAAATCTCAGCATCACAAAAAATATCCTTTTAACAAACCTGCACATGTAGCCCCTGAATCTAAAGTAAAAACTCCACATAAATTAAAAATAAAAACAAAAAAGTAGGTAAAAGATCTGAAGAGACACCTCAACAGAGAAGATATATAGATGGCAAATAAGGATTAAATAAAATTCTCACCATCTTATGATATGAGGATTACAAATTAAAAACAACAAAAGTTTACCTTTACATACATATTAGAATAGCTAAAATCCAAAACACTGACAGAACAAAAAGCTGGTGAAGATGTGGAGCTTCAGGAGCACTTATTCATTGCCAGTGGGAATGTAAAATGCTACAGCCACTTCGGAAGACTTGTGGCAATTTCTTTAAAAAATAAACGTAATTTTACCGTATGATCTAGAATCTATGCCCAAGTGAGTTGAAAACATATATTCATAGAAAAACTTGCACACAAATACTTGCAGCAATTTATTTATATATAATTGCCAATTATCAGTGACCAAGATGTCCATCAACATGTGATTAAACTGTGATACATTCAAATAATAAAACATTATTTAATAACAAGAAATAAACTACTAAGCCACTTAAATAAATATTGATAAGTGAAAGAAGCCAGTCTGGAAAGGCTATTTACTGTAGGATTCCCAATATATGCATTCTGGGAAAGGCACAGCTATACTAACTGTAAAAAGTTCACCGGTTGTTCTCGATTCATTGACAAAGTAGAAGCAATGAGTAGAGGTGCATGGAATTTTACAAGACAGTGAAACTATTCTGAATGATATATTCATGGTGTAGATATAGCATTATGCATTTGAAAAAACTCAGATCACTCTACAACATAAAAAGTAAACCCGACCCGGCGTGGTGGCTCACGCCTACAATCCCAGAACTTTGAGAGGCTGAGGCAGGCAGATGACGAGGTCAGGAGATCGAGATCATCCTGGCTAACACGGTGAAACCCCATCTCTACTAAAAATACAAAAAATTAGGCCGGTGTGATGGCGGGCGCCTGTAGTCCCAGCTACTCAGGAGGCTGAGGCAGGAGAATCTCTTGAACCCGGGAGGCAGAGATTGCAGTGAGCTGAGATCGCACCACTGCACTCCAGCCTGGGTCACAGAGGAAGAGTCTGTCTCAAAAAACAAAACAAAACAAAAACAGTAAGCCCTAATGTAAGCCACAGAATTAGTTATCAATATGTGTTAATATTGGCTTATCAATTGTGACAAATGTACCACATCAGAACAAGATGTAAATGATATGGGAAGCATTGGGTAGAGAAGGAGTGTAAGGGAAATTCTCCTCACTGTCTGATAAATATTTTATTATATCTAAAATTTTTCTAAGAAATAAAGTCTATTATTTTTTAAAATTGCTTCCATGTGCTTATGTCTATAGTTGCAATATAAAGAAAGAAAAATAATCATAAGGAAAATACAGACTTCTATTATGTTTGTCATGACTACATGTATTAAACACTAAATTGTTGCAGTACCTTGTAATTTTAATCTCAGTGGTTATTATTTATAGCATATTATTGCCACCAAGACAATGAATTATTTATTATGATTTTTATTCATTTTTTAAATTTGCCTACCATTTTGTTAAAATAACTTTATTGGGCACAGTGAGGAAAGGAATACAGTTATCTATAACTTTACTCCAAATCTTAATTAAGAAAATAAAGGTATTTTTAATAGAGTGAATGCTTGTGTCCCCTAAAAACTCATATGATAAAGCCTAACCCCTGAAAGAGATGATATTAGGAGGTGAGGACTTTGGAGGTCCCATTCACGAGGGTTCCTCTCTCATGACCTAGTTGTGAGAGTGGAGCCCTTGTAAATGGAAAAAAGATCAGAGTTCTTCCCTTCTACCATGTGAGGACAAAACTAGAAGGGGCCATGTACAAACCAGAAGACAGACCTTCACCAGGCGCTGAATCTGCCAGTGCCTTAAACTTCTCAGATGCCATAAATGTGAAAAAATAAATTTTTGTTGTTTATAAGATCCCCAGTCGATGGTACTTTGCTCTAGCATGCTTAATGAATGAGACAGAAATAAAAATTAATGAACAGTATGTTCCATGGAGGCAGTGATCTTTTATCTTCCACATGTTAACTAAAAGAAAAAATAAGATATTGATAGAATAATTCAAGTCCACGATATTTTATTTTTTCTATTTTTGGTTTCTCCCCTTATTCTGAATTCAGTAATATCAATTCCCTTAATAAATGATTAAGAAGTACTAAAATTGGTTTAGTGTTGGTTACAGGACTATTTTAATAAGTAACAGTGAAATTTATGCCTCAAGAAGAGAGAAAGTGAATAAGAAGTAGTAACGATGGCAAAAATGGTAGTGTTTGAAGGTAGAGACAAAAGGTTTTTAATAAATTTTTCTGAAACCCTATGGTTGGAGAGCCTTTGGAAATTGCCATAAAATAAAGAGGATACAAAATGAAGTTTATAGGTTATTGAAGCACTTACCAGCAGGACAAACATTGTTTACATGTAAATACAAATTTATTCACTATTAAGCAAAATGCCTTGCCTTAAAAAATGTTTTTGTACCTGTCAAAGAATTTTGTGGATATAGCCGCAGCCATTATTGCATATAACATTCAATGGCTTTATTGCAAATTTTTCTTTTTTAATGTATACACTTATTTATAAATAAAACTGAGAACAAACAGTATGAGGAAAATAAAGTTTTTTTCTATTGCATATTCTAATTACTCCATGACAAAGGATTTTTGTTTGTCGTTAGTCTCAAAATCTTCACTGTACTTTGGTTATCTTTGACCTTTTACATAAGATGGGGCTCTTGTATCTCAAATCATGTTCATCAACAAAAATCAGATTATGTCTTACTGAAAGGAATATGATGGATGGACTATGACAAGGGCAGCCAAATATGACACATTAGCTTCAAACTACTAAATGCCTTTGTACATGAAAACAAAATTATACAGTTGGTTTTAAAGGCTTGGGGAAAATAAATTTATAAACTATAACAAAGCCAAAGCTCCATTTGGTTTATCAAGCAATTATAATACTTATAAGCAAACAGATTGCAATTTCTCTAAGTATATGAGACTGTCATTATAATACACAGTTAACCCTTGAACAATGTGAACTTAGTGGCACCAAAACACTGTGCAACATTTAACTTTTGACTCCCAGAAAACTTAACTACTAATAACTACTTTTGCCTGGAAGTCTTACAAAAAACCAACAATTAGCACATATTTTGTATATTATAGGAAATATATACTGTATTCTTTTTTTTAAGTTCTAGGATACATGTGCAGAACGTGCAGTTTTGTTACATAGGTATGCACGTGGCATGGTGGTTTGCTGCACCTATCAATCCATCATCTAGGTATTAAGCCCTGAATGCATGCGATATTTGTCCTAGTGCGCTCCTTCCCCTTGCCCCCTGACCCAGTGACAGGCCCCAGTGTGTGATGTTCCCCTCCCTGTGTCCATGTGTTCTCACTGCTCAACTCCCACTTATAAGTGAGAACATGCGATGTTTGGTTTTCTGTTCTTGTGTTAGTTTGCAGCTTCATCCATGTCCCTGCAAAGAACATGAACTCATTCTTTTTTTATGACTGCATAGTATTCCATGGTGTATACGTATTACTTTTTTTTAAATCCAGTCTATCACTGATGGGCATTTGGGTTGGTTCCAAGTCTTTGCTATTGTAAATAGTGCTGCAATAAACATATGTGTGCACGTGTTTTTATAACAGAATGATTTATAATCCTTTGGCTATATACCCAGTAATGGGATTGCTGGGTCAAATGGTGTTTCTAGTTCTAGATCTCTAAGGAATCATGGCACTGTCTTCCACAATGGTTGAACTAATTTACACTCCCACCAACAGTGTAATAGTGTTCCTGTTTTTCCACAGCCTCACCAGCAACTGTTATTTCCTGACTTTTTAATAATCACCATTCTAACTGGCGTGAGATGGTATCTCATTGTGGTTTTGATTTGCATTTCTCTAATGACCATTGATGATCTTTTTTTCATATGTTTGTTGTCCACATAAATGTATTCTTTTGAGAAGTGTCTGTTCATATCCTTCATCTTTTGGCTAAGATCAAGTGTAGTATCTGTTCTTATCAGTTTAGTATACTGTATTCTTACAATTAAATAAGCTAGAGAAAATAAAATGTTATTAAGATAGTCATAAGATAAAACACATTTATCATTTATTAAGTGGAAGTGGATTATCATAAAAGTCTTAATTTTAGAGTAGGTGCTGGAGTAGGAGAAATAGTGGGGGTTGGTCTTGCTGTCTCAGGGGTGGCAGATGCAGAAGAGGTGGAGGAGTTGAAAGGGGAGTTAGGAGAGGCAGGAACACTTGGTATAACTTTTAAGGAAAAAAACCTGCAAATTAAGTCAGAACTTACACGTTCCAACGTATGTCATTCAAGAGTCAGCTGTATTTGAGTTCTATTTTTTAAAAAATAGACTAAAATTAAATTAGATAACAATAATTAAAAGAATAATTTCAACCATAACGAAAATTCATTAGAGTATTTTTAATTAAATTTATGCTGAGATAAAACTACTCACTCATAGTTAATTTGTTTTAAAGAATATTACCTGTTTCTGGCCTTATTATAAAATATATGTTTTATTTCATGAGCTGCATGCTAAACTTAATATTTTGTAGAAATTATTTAAAAAATTAAAGGGAACCAAAAACAGATATTTAAGTAGTGGTATTACATAATTTAAATACTTTAGAAAACTAAAGTTTGAAAATTGCTCTACTTGCAAGATTTTCTTTGAAACATATATTTATCAGTTATATTCTATAAATTGATCCTAGAATTGTCTTTTTCTTCATTCTCCTCTGTACCTTAAATACTCTGCATATTTCAAAGATATTGGAATGTGGACAGAGCTTAATCATAATTGTGCCTAACTCCATAATATATCAAATAAAGAATCCTACAGAAAGTGACCGACTTGTTCATAGTTATCCATTGTTTATTCCAAAATGTATTGTTTAAAATGAAAACACTAAATTGTATCTAATCTCTTCATTATACAAAGAAGTCATTGGAACTTAAGTTGTAAAAAACTAAGACACTGATATTTATATTAAGCATATGAACAATGATATATTATTCCTAGGGTTAAAGTGTACACTGAAAAACTGATGCACAAAGATGCACACTGTATACATGTGTATACATACATGTATATAGTGAAAATGTATAATTAAAAAAATCTGACACCTATGACTAATCAGTCTTTAGTGATTTTTAGAAATGTAAGAAATGTATGTACAATAACATACATATTGTTAGATTCTGATTAAAGGCATAAAGGTACCATGAAATGGAAAACAATGCACCTTTATAATAAACCAAAGGAGGTACATCTATATTCTTATGCTGTGCTGAATAAAATAAAAGACAAAGCTATTAAATCCATATTGTAATGATATTTTTATTTTCTTCTTTGTAGGAAATTACTATATTCACCCTGCTGACTTTTCAGAAATTCTGTCTATAATAATAATAATGATGATTCTACAGTTTTATAGATTATTTGTCTTCCAGTATGCTCTGTGTTTATGTGTGCATTGCCTCATTTATTCTAACAACATTCCTGTAAAGAAAGTGAGGTCAGGCATTATCTTCCTCATTTGCCGGTGATGTAAAGGGAGCAAAGTGAAGCTAAAAGACTCGCAGGGTAAGTTGCAAAAGTGAGTTTAGAATCTAGGTACAAATTATCAGTATTTATACTTTTTTTTTTCTTTTTGAGACAGAGTCTCGCTCTGTCGTCCAGGCTGGAGTGCAGTGGCATTATTTTGGCTCACTGCAAGCTCCGCCTCCCGGGTTCACGCCATTCTCCTGCCTCAGCCTCCCAAGTAGCTGGGACTACAGGCACCTGCCACCACGCTCAGCTAATTTTTGTATTTTTAGTAGAGACGGGGTTTCACCGTGTTGGCCAGGATGGTCTCGATCTCTTGACCTCGTGATCCACCAGGCGTGCGCCACCGCGCCAGGCCTATTTATACTTTTTAAATAACTCGTCACACTTTTATCATATTCTCTCCCAGTAGCGTTGCCAAATCCAGAAAATTAAATCCAGGTGTTAAAACCCACAAAATAGGGGCCGAGCATGGTGGCTCACGCCTCTAATCCCAGCACTTTGGGAGGTCGAGGTGGGTGGATCACCTGAGGTTCGGAATTCGAGACCACTCTGACCAACATGGAGAAACCCCATCTCTACTAAAAATACAAAATTAGCTGGGCGTGTTGTCGCATGCCTGTAATCCCAGCTACTCGGGAGGCTGAGGCATTAGAATCTCTTGAACCCGGGAAGCAGAGGTTGCTGTGAGCCGAGATTGCGCCACTGCACTCCAGCCTGGGCAACAAGAGCGAAACTCGGTCAAAAAAAAAAAAAAAAAAACCCCACAAAATATTGTTGAAAAAAATAAAATATCTAAAGAAATCAAGATATTCCATAATCATAAATCATTCTAAAATTCCTATGTAAATGCAAATACATACACAAAATAATTTTGAAAAACAATAAATAATTTGGAAGACACCAATTCCCTATTTCAAAACTTACTATACAACTAGACTAATAATGACAATGTGGTATGCTATAAGAAAAGACACACAGATAGGTCAAGATTTCCAGAAATTAATTCATACATTTATGGTCATTTGACTTTTTAACAAAGAAGCCAAAGTAATTTATTGAGTATTTTCAATAACTAGTGCTGGGACACCTAGATAACTGTATGCAAAAGCATCGCTTGGATTCCAAACTTACATCAGCCACAAAAAATTACCAAAATTGTTGACAGTTATAAATGTAAGAGCCAAAACTATAAGAATCTTATTGACTTGGTTTAGCCAATGGTTTCTTAGATATGACACCAAAAGCACAAGTGACACAAGAAAAAAAGATGAATTATATCCAAATTTAAAATGTTTGTATTATGAAGACAGGATCAAAAAAGTAAAAAAGACAACAGGCAGAATGGGAGAAAATATTTGCAAATTATGTGTTTAATAAGGAAATGTATCCATCATATATAAAGAACTTTTTATATATTATATAAATTATATATTATTTATAGAAAAAACTTTTCTAGGGTGATGATAGTGTTATACACCTGTAGAGATATGGTTATAAGAGTAAATGTATTCAAAACTTAAATATATATTTACTATTTGTGCATGACATTTTATGAAAACTTTATATCAAATTACAGAAAACAGTAATAAATACTGACCTTTGACTAAAGTTATCATAAAGATGTACTGGAGGAAATACACAAAGATCCACAATTCATTTCGAAATGCATCAAAAATTAACAAAGTTGATAGATGGATAGAAGACAAATTGATATACATGTGATTAAACAAATGTAGCAAATATTATTCATAGAATCTAGATAATGGATGTATTAGTGTTCACTGTAAAATTATTTCAACATTGTTGTATGTGTAAAATTTTTCATAATAAAAATCATATCTAGAAAGACATTAACAAGAGTTTAAGAGTAGGTCTTCTCAGTGTTACTCTTCACCCTTTTTACTAATATTGGAATATAAACAAAAATATTGTTTGTGGAGATTTGGAGAAAGATAAAGCATGTTTTATTATTTTATAACCTAACTTTATAAATGTAGTTATATTATTTATTTATGTTTTCTTTTTCTTTTTTTTTTTTTTTTTTTGAAACAGGGTCTCACTCTGTCAGCCAGGTTGAAGTGCAGTGGTGCAACCAGAGCTCACTGCAGCCTCAATTTCCCTGGGCTCAAGCAATCCGCTTTCCTCAGCCTCCCAAGTAGCTGGGACTACAGGTGCATGCCACCATACCTGTCTAATTTTTGTATTGTATTGTAGAGATGGGGATTCACTATGTTGCCCAGCTAGTCTTGAACTGCTGGACTCTCAAGCAATCCTCCAGACTCAACCTCCCAAAGTGCTGGGATTACAGTCATGAGCCACCATGCCTGGCCTCCTATAAGTAAGTTATTTTACTTTTGAATTGGGTGATGATACTTCTGAGCTTTTTCAGGCCATTCTGTTTAGTCCTATTAGTCTACTGTATTCATGAATGATGTTATTTTTATGTTTAAAATAAAATATAAGTTTTTATTATAATTTGACATTTTCTAAAGTCAGAGATTAACATTACATGAATGCTAGGTATCCACCTAGTCTTAAAACTAATGTTTGCAATTAATTGGCATTCTCTAAAATTTCAAATATTGCAGAATTCTCTACTTCATCAATTTTATGTTAAAATATTGTGTATTATTTTTAATTGATTGTATTCAAAATTTATTTAAGATCTAATGCTCTGAAACACTGACATAACCAATTTAGTACTGATTTAGTATTTACTTAATAGTTAAAGCAGTGTAAATAACACAGTTTGTAATGACACATACTTTTGCAACAGACAAATGAAAACTTGTTATTTATTATTAAAGTGAATTGTTGTACATATACATGTGTATAGGCATATGTATACACACACAGTGTGGGTTGAACTAAGTCTCCTGGAAAGATTTGTTGAAATCCTGTCCACAGTAATTGTGAATGTGATGTTATTTGGAAACAGGGACTTTGTAGTAACGAGTTCATTTAAGATGGGGATCTCATATTAGATCAGTGTGGGCTGTTTACTGGATATTACTTAATCATATCATGATCTTGTATCATATCATCTCTCCTCTTAAGGAGAGACACAGAAACACAGGGGAGAATGCTATGTGAAGACAGAGGCAGAGATTGAAAAGTGTGTTGATAAGACAAGGAACACCAAAGATTGTCAGCAGCCACCAGAAGCTGAGAGAGTGGCATGGGATAGATTCTTCCTCAGAAACTTAAGAAGAAACCAACCTTAGTGACTCCTTGATTTCCGACATCTAGCTTTCAGAACTGTCCTTCTAAGTATGATAAAAGAAAAACTTCAGCCGAATTAAATTTAAAAGCATTTAGTTGAGCAATGAACCATTCGCGAATGGGGCAGCCTCTCAAGCCAGAGTATGTTCAGAGACTCCAGCACAGCCACATGGTGGAAGAGGATTTATGAACAAAAAAAGGAAAGTGAAGTACAGAAAACGGAAGTGAGATACAGAAACAGCCAGATTGGTTACAGCTCGCTGTATGGCTTATTTGAACACTGTTTGAATAGTTGGCTACATTTGATTGGTCAAAACTCACTGATTGGCACAAGTATAGGCTACGGTCTGTTTACATCTTCACTTGTTATAGTTCACAATGTACAGAGAAACCTTTAGGCCAAACTTAAAATACGTAAGGAGGCAGCTTTAGGCTAAACTTGATTTTTACCACTACCAAGTATGTAGTAATTTGTTTATGGCAGTCCTAACACACACAAACATATGTGCATGCATACATACATGTACATATGCATGTATAGACATAGACATGATTATGATTATAAACAATATAAATAATTATGCATGTATGGATATATATAGGTGCATATACATATGCATATATGATTATAAAAATTTAATTCATTTAAATGCAAATCATGCCAGAAGGAAAATTTATCCGTAAATAGAAACATATGTATATTATCGAATCAAATAGCCTTCAAATGCACACATCATGGCATAATTCTCAAATCAAACATAAAATCAACTGAAAAGATCTTTTTCTAAATATGTTTACACTAAAATGTTCTAAATATATGAAATAGAAAAAAACTATATACAATCAAGACCAAAAATAAACTTTCACAAAGACAATTTTTAAAGCCCATTATTACATATGAACCCTGAAAGCATTTTGGCATGGTGTACAACAGATTTCCAGCAGTTTCATCCCTGAAAGTTACTAAAAAGAGATCCAACTAGAAAAGAATAAAAGAGCAAATATATTAGTATTAACACTAATGTATTTATGACTTTGATACTATTTTTCTAAAATTACAAAGCACATTATGTTAAAGAAAGTATCTGACATACAGTACAAACAAGAAATATGTATTCATTGATTAAATTATGAAATTAAAAATAATTCAAACCAATATATTTGTATTAAAGTTATTAATGGTTATCATGAAGACCAAGAAGAAAATATAATATTAATGTTGATATTTTTGTAATATTATAGTATATAAAATATATTCCCTAGATTTATGTAGAAAATATAATTTTAAAGCCACGTTAATATTAAGCCTACTGAAATTTTAGGCTTTTTTTTTTTCCAAATAGCTGTCATTTTAAGCTAATATGAAAAAAACATTTTTTCAATAAAGATTTTATTTTATATTAAATATGTATACATTTTGTTTTCATAGAATATCTTATAAATATATATGGAAGTGTAGAACACTATATGGTAAATTTGATTATTTCACTTTCAAGAAAGATTGAATTTCTTAATATGCTTTCTTAATATAATTACATCATATCTTACAGACACTTCTACATATTTTCAAACACACACTGTTGATGGCACCTCTCCCTCTCTCTTTGTGTGTCTGTATGTGTGCATATATGTTAATTTCAATAAATTGCTAATTGGTAATTACTAAAATAAGCTTTAGAATATTTTAACATATACTTTTAATTTTCAATATTTTTCTTCAATTACATTCTTTGAAGTATATTTTCTCAAAATTAGAGAATAGACAAAGTAGGCAAAAAGATAGATGTGAATCCATAGGTATCATGTTAAAACCAATCATAAACATGCTATGAACCAGTGCTAAGTTATACACCAGGCTGGCTTCAAAAATGATTATCAAACTGTGTAGGGATAACTGAAACCAGTAACAGAGTAAACACTGTGTTAGGATAATAGGGTGCTGACAGGGCGAATGCCTTCCAGCTGAATCATTTTTCCATTCCTGGAATGTTTTGAAATGGAGAATTAAGCATTGTCTACCTCAGGGTTACTCAGTCAGAATGTATTTCTGCAGATGAGCTTGCTGATATGACACAGAAATGCACAGTGATAAGTCTTATGAGTCCCAGTGCTTGCAGGCATGAGTCCTGCACATTGAGCAGGCTGGGTCAGTGCTACATCCTCAGTCTGCTCTAGACAACAACAAATAGAAAACACCGTGTAACTGTAGAACAATACTTGATGGGAATGGGAAAATAAGCCAAGCATTATACTGTGGTGTCTTATGACACAATTGAGAAATGAATCCCTTAGGGGGCCTGTGAGAAATTCATAAATATGTAAAACAGTTAAGTTTTTGGAAAGTATATTACTTTGTAGGATTAGATTTAGAAACAGGGCAGGCTATAGTTTTTTATATATACAAGAGCTTTGTAAAAATAAGATTTTTGATAAATAGCACAAACATAATGGCAAATGGCAAATCAGGAAATGCAATCTATAAATTGTCATCTAGCCGGTATAATTGCAACATTGATTATTATCAGTGCATCCAAGCCAGCTGTGTTAATAATTTGCCTTTTCTTCAATTAAACCATAAATGAGGGGACATACCTACTTATTTTCATGCTGAATTTTTAATTCTCTAGGTTGACTTCCTTCAGTACACAAAGAACATCCTTGCCTTTGTCTGTAATACAAGTTTTCCCAGACAAGGCAGACAATTCTAGCTTTAATTCAAGCAAAATATATATCAGATGATTATTTATTCTACAGCTTCAAATAGTACTAAATATTCCAAACTGAAATGTAAATGGTTTAAAATGATTTTTTAGAATTATGCATATCCCATAATCCATGCAGGTAAGAGAGATTTACCCATTTCTGTGAAAATAATTCTATTTTACTATGCACTTCTGAAAATGAACTCTCTTGAGCTATAAAACAACCAAACAAATGCACGTATAAATGTTTTATCTCTTCAACAATATTATATTAATCAAGTTAGGCTTAGTATTTGCAGCAGGTATCACAGTGCTCTGAGCACAACAGACACTCCAAAAGTGTTGACTTGACTATTCAAGTTAACCATAGAGAAAAGCTTTAGTCAAAATTTGAGAAAAGAATCTATACTTTATATAAATGAACATAATGTGATGTAGCTATGCAGTGCTGTAAAGAAGCATTAATGCAGCAGATAATAATATGATCAAACTGTGTAAGCGCCAAAGGGTTCTTTACAAATTCTTTTAAACTATCACAAGGAAACAAAGCAAAATACAGTTTGTTTTTTTTTTAAAGGGCCATGAACTTATGGTGTACATGAGAAAAAACATAGATGATTCTTTCAACTCTTGGCAACTTACAAATATTATTTTTTTCAACAACAAAAGTACATTTACAAAATATTAATTTTCTTCACTGAAATATATGGAAATAAGATAAATTCTGTAATTCTGAGTTATGAGGTATAATTTTACAAGACATACATAAAATAAGAATAGATGAAAGTCAATTGATTAAATATTAAAATTATAAATATAAATTTAATGTTAAATACAGAAAAACAAAAGGTAAAAAGATTAAATAATTTAAACATTAGAAGCTGACTGGATCTTCTTGAAGAGGTCCTTCACATCCCTTGTAAGTTGTATTCCTAGGTATTTTATTCTCTTTGTAGCAACTGTGAATGGGAATTCACTCATGATTTGGCCCTCTCTTTGTCTATTATTGTTGTATAGGAATTGTGATTTTTGCACATTGATTTTGTATCCAGAGACTTTGTTGAGGATGTTTATAAGCTTAAGGAGATTTTGGGCTGAGACAATGGGGTTTTCTAAATATACAATCATGTCATCTGCAAACAGAGACAACTTGACTTCCTTTCTTCCTATTTGAATACGCTTTATTTCCTTCTCTTGCCTGATTGCCCTGGCCATAACTTCCAATACAACACTATGTTGAATAGGAGTGCTGAGAGAGGGGATCCTTGTCTTGTGCCACTTTTCAAAGGGAATGCTTCCAGCTTCTGTCCATTCAGTATTATATTGGCTATGGGTTTGTCATAAATAGCTCTCAGTATTTTGAGATATGTTCCATCAATACCTAATTTTTTCAGTATTTTTAGCATGAAGGGTGTTGAATTTTATTGAAGGCCTTTTCTGCATCTATTGAGATAATCATGTGGTTTTTGTCATTGGTTCTGTTTATGCGATGGATTATATTTATTGATTTGCATATGTTGAACCAGCCTTGCATCCCAGGGATGAAGCTGACTTCATCGTGGTGGATAAGCTTTTTGATGTGCTGCTGGATTCCGTTTGCCAATATTTTATTGAGGATTTTCGCATCAATGTTCATTAGGGATACTGGCCTGAAATTTTCTTTTGTGTGTTGTTGTGTCTCTGCCAGGTTTTGGTATCAGGATGATGCTGGCCTCATAAAATGAGTTAGGGAGGAGTTCCTCTTTTTCTATTGTTTGGAATAGTTTCAGAAGTAATGGTACCAGCTTCTCTTTGTACCTCTGATAGAAATTGGCTGTGAATCTGCCTGGTCCTGGGCTTTTTTTAATGGTAGGCTATTAATTACTGCCTCAATTTTAGAACTTGTTTTTGGTCTATTCAGGGATTCAACTTCTCACTGTTTTAGTCTTGGGAGGGTGTATGTGACCAGGAACTTATCTATTTCTCCTAGATTTTCTGGTTTATTTGCATAGAAGTGTTTATAGTATTCTCTGATAGTAGTTTGCATTTCTGTAGGGTTAGTGGTGTTATCCTCTTTATCATTTTTATTGTGTCTATTTGATTCTTCTCTCTTTTCTTCTTGTTTAGTCTGGCTAGCAGTCTATCTATTTTGTTAATCTTTTCAAAAAACCAGCTCCTATATTCATTGATTTTTGAAGGGTTTTTCGTGACTCCCTCTCTTTCAGTTCTGCTCTGATCTTAGTTATTTCTTGTCTTCTGCTAGCTTATGAATTTATTTGCTCTTGCTTCTCTAGTTCTTTTAATTGTGATGTTAGGGTGTTAATTTTAGATCTTTCCTGCTTTCTGATGTGGGCATTTAGTGCTATAAATTTCCCCCTTAACATGCCTTTAGCTGTTTCCCAGAGATTCTGGTACATTGTGTTTTTGTTTTCATTGGTTTCAAATAACTTATTTATTTCTGCCTTAATTTGTTATTTACCCAGTAGTCATTCAGGAGCAGGTTGTTCAGTTTCCATGTAGTTGTGTGGTTTTGAGTTAGTTTCTAAATCCTGAGTTCTAATTTGTTTGCACTGTGATCTGAGAGGCTGCTATGATTTCCATTCTTTTGTATTTGATGAGGAGTACTTCCAATTATGTGGTCGATGTTAGAATAAGTGCTATGTGGTGGAGAGAAGAATGTATATTCCATGGGGTGGGGTAGAGAACTCTGTGGATGTCTATTAGGTCTGCTTGGTTCAGAGCTGAGTTCAAGTCCTGGATATCCTTGTTAATTTTCCATCTCATTGATCTAATATTCACAGTAGGGTGTGAAAGTCTCCCAATATTATTGTGTGGGAGTCTAAGTCTGTTTGTGGGTCTCCAAGAACAAACCACTACTCAAGGAAATAAGAGAGGACACAAACAAATGGAAAAACATTCCATGCTCATGGATCATAAGAATCAATATTGTGAAAATAGCCATACTGTCCAAAGTAATTTAGAGATTCAATGCTATTCCCATTAAGCTACCATTGATTTTCTTCACAGTACTAGAAAAAAACAACTTCACATTTCATATGGAACTGAAAAAGAGCCCGTATAGCCAAGACAATCCTAAGCAAAAAAAAAAAAACAAAGCTGAAGGCATTATGCTACCTTACTTCAAATTATACTACAGGGCTACAGTAACCAAAACAGCATGGTACTGGTAACAAAACAGATATATAGACCAATGGAACAAAACAGAGGCCTCAGAAATCACATGACACATCTACAACCAGCTCATTTTTAACAAACTTGACAAAAACAAGCAATGGGGAAAAGAGTCCATATTTAATAAATGGTGCTGAGAAAACTGGCTAGCCATATCCAGAAAACTGAAGCTGGACCCCTTCCTTACATCTTATACAAAAATTAACTCAAGATGAATTAAAGCCTTAAACATAAAACCTAAAACCACAAAATCCCTGGAAGAAAACCTAGGCAATACCATTCAGGACATAGGCATGGGCAAAGACTTCATGACCAAAACACCAAAAGCAATGGCAACAAAAGCCAAAATTGACAAATGGGATCTAATCAAACTAAAGAGCTTCTGCACGGCAAAAGAAACTATTATCAGAGTCAACAAGCAACCTACAGAATGGGAGAAAATTTTTGCAATCTGTCCATCTGACAAAGATCTAATATCCAGAATCTATGAGGAACTTTAACATCTTTAGTTTACTTAGGTCCCATTTGTCAATTTTGGCAAATTTATTTACAGATTATGACATCATGGTCCAGATATCTTTGGGTTTTGGAGGTATTACTGGAAAAAATTCATAGCCAATGTGGCAAGTTGTATATTCTCATTTGAATCTGTATGTATTTGTGTATGTACATGTTTATATGTGTGTATGTGTGCTTTAGGGAGTACCTGATATAAACATTTTATGATATGTTATTTTATCTTATCCTACTGTCCATGTTAATCCATTTGTGGAAGATATTGAAGATTTTGTTAAAGTACTGTCAGAAAATAAAAAATGCACATCATGGAAGGAAAAGGTCATAGACAAATTATTTTGCAAAGTACAACTAGCAAAAAAAAATACATTCAATTGGGAAGACAATATATTTTCAAACTATTTTTTGGAAAAAAGAACTTGCCCTACTACATACACATATGTTTGTAAAAAGAATAAAGCTAAGAGATAAAATTTGATTTACCTAGAAATTCAAATGAATGAAGGTGACTTATAAAGAAATGCTTATAAGATTGACAATTTTAATTTGTGTTCTCTTTGCCTAATCCATTGATGACCTAACAAAAACTTGGTGTTGTTTTATTTTGCTCTGTTTTAAATACTGGCCTTCTATCAACCTTGGCATTTGTCTAATGATGGATATGTGAAGGAATAAAATTTATCTCCTAAATGTACATTGTACAATGCTTAAAAATCACCATATCAAAGAATCTTATAATGGGGGAACTGAAACTGAAGGATTTAATAAATCTTATCCCTTGTCACCTCCTACTTATTAGCAACCTCAAATTTAAGTCTAGGCTACCTTGGTGTCAGATTAGCAGAAGTTGCATAATCTTTGGGGACCTAAAGTTGTGCATTTGCATATTGAACCCTGAGCCTTCAACATAAAATTGTAGGTTTTATTTATAACAATACACTTTTTGAGTTTAAATTTGCCACCTTTGTAAAAAAGTTGTGTTGGAATGTGTGTTTCAGAGTTAATTTAAAGATCAGGATATTCTAGAATTTCTAAGGATATATATTTTAGTGCAGGCATTTTTCCTCTAATAAATTCCTTAAAAATAAAAATAATATTACTGTTGTGATTATTAGTGCAAAATGTTGTTCTGTACTTTTTTTGACTTGAGAGTACATGGTTTTACATAGAGACTCAGAGAGAATAAATTATGTCAGTATGAGTTCATTCATCTCTTAAAAAGCAGGATCTGAGGCATGGGAAATGAATGACCAACGACGGGACAGTTTCAGGGTCCATGAAGCATGAAAGAAAAGAAGCCAGAATTTGCCTTCCTTTATGCTGACTTCTTTCACAATTTCAAATGGATGACTGATAGCAATAAATTAACATGATAGAGGCACAATATTCTTTTTCTCAGATAATGAGAGATGCTTGGATAAAACATTAGAAAACAAAATGTAGACATTTAAATAAGTGACATTAAAAATTAATTATATCTATGTTTCTTATCATTTTGTATTTTTACATAATTCAACAGATCATTCAGGTTATTTAGAGTTTTTACCAAGACTTAATATTTTAGTAGTGCTAAATAACTGCTACTAAGGTGTTGGCTAATAATTTTTTTGTAAATATTTAGATGCGTTACTTTACTTACAGATACTTCATATATTTTAAGGTAGCTAGACTTACCAAATAAATTTAAGCACTATGAAGTCATTTCTATCAAGATACTCAGTTGGTTAAATATTTTTATGCAATCCATGTCCCAAATGAATGCTTCCCATAAATCTGGGTATTTTCAAAGAGGAAGAAATTTAAAATGCCTTTAATAAACCCAAATATGTATATTTAGTCTAACTATTAGTAGGTGTTAATAGACCAATGTGTTTATTTTATTTTTTTGAAAATCATCCTCACCAAATATACAGTAGCAAGCAACAGTAGCAACCTGGTAATCTTAAGATTCTATGATGTAAGGTTTTAGTGTGCAGATATTCAATTAGTAATCACATGAAATCATGACATTAAGGGGCAAAGAAACTAGAACAAAACAAAAATATATGAACAAGATCGAAAGCATTCACAAATAAGATTTGTCAGTCATTTCCACTTAATTTGTTTTCATGGTAAGCAAATTAATTAAAGAAATTGAGGCCAGTGACCTTCTCCTTCTCTTTCACCCTCTCTTTCATTTTTCATTTCAGTCTCTCAAGAGTCACGCTTGACTCAAAGATCTTAAAAAGTAGGGGAGGTGAAAAGCCCTCCAGTTACAATGATCTTGTCTTGCCTGGTATTTATTATTTCTCCTGTTCACAGTAATCATATGAGTTGATTACAAGGAGTAATTCAAATTTGTCTTTGCATTGTTAACCTCACTCAGGTAGAGAAAAAGCTAATCTTGGTCCTCTAGTTTTGCTCAAAGTTCAAGAGGAACAGAAAGAAGAACTGGATTAGCCTTTACACCCTCTCAGCAAGCGCTCTTTCCCCAATTTGTTTTTAGCCTTTTGGGAAACTAGGTGATCTACTCTCGTTTTTAAAGACTCATATACTTTTAGCCACATTCAACAGGAATGAAAAGAACTACCAAAATGTAAATACAAATTATCTAGAACAAGCAGCCAAAGGGTATTTTTTTAAAAATCAAAAGGTCCACTCCTGTATTGCAGCATCTTAGCCAAACACACAATTCTTCTCTAACCCTATTTTCATATAATAATAATTATTATAATTAAAGCGTCACGGGATTTCCAGACTGCTGTATATCAGAGATGAAAAATACATTTAAACTCAAAAGAATGTTGCTGCCTCCTTAGCATTCATGTGTCTGTAGAAGCTGCTCTTATCCTCCTGGTGAGAACTCTGCTATTGTCTCTGTCTAAATAACAGAACCAGAGTGAAAATCTGATGCACTTGCTGCCTAGTCTGAGATGTTTAAAACCACAATCTGTAATTTATTTCACCGTGAGTATCTGTATGTAAGTATATAGTTTGCAAATTATATTCTAAAAGGTAGTATCATATTTTGAAGAATTTAACTTCCTTTCAAAGAACAGGGAGGGCTGTGTTACACTAGTGGAAGCAAGAAAAAATATTAAAAAAAGAAAGTGTGGTAAGAGTGAAGAAGCAAATTTTAACATATCAGACCACACATACACAACTTCGTGGACACATAAACTGTTTCTAGATGTGGAAATAGTTTCATGTGTGGAACTAGGGGGAGGTGTTATAAGTTTGAGATATGAAGAGAAGAGGTAAACGTTTGTCATTAGACTATTAGAAAGCTTTTTTGAGTACAGCCAATTCTTGTTGTTTAATAAGATTGAGTAAGCAGAATGCATTAAGATAATAAACTTTGCATTATGACAGCAATGTGGTACTTTCATCATGTAATTTCCCAGCAAATTTTGTGGACTACAGGGTCCAACTGCATCACTTATAATAGAAGAAATGCAGAAATAGCTTTGGACCTTGAAGTATGTGAATGATAGGCAAGGGCTGTGTGTCATTTCTCTGTGATCTACAACAAGAAGTACATGGAAGGGAATTCTTTTTGATTATAGGGTGATTTGCATGTGTACAGATAGTAGCAATACAGGAAGAGGAAACAAGTTGAAAAACAAAATCAGCTTTAAGTGAAACTATTTCTATCACCAACCTGCTCCTGAAATTATAAAATCTCAAACATTCCTGCATTTTCGTTCAATATTCTAGCAACAGTAAACCTTTTATATCCCTCAAAGGCTTCCAACTTCTAATTAAATTCCTGGATTTGTTTCCAAATTGCAAGTAGTTTGTATTTTAACAAGATAAGATTATTACCAAATAATTGTTGGTTATAATCAAATCATTTTATCATTTTATCTAAAAGAAATACTATGTCTTGTTGCAGAATATAATTAACAGCTGTAGTGACAGAGAACTTTCACAAGTGCTACTACATTGTGTGTGTAAAAATATTTTTTATTAGTCTGCTATTAATAAAACTGCTGAATGTATCCAAGCATTCATTATAAATTAATGGTCTTCTTACTTCATACTAACTATAGGCTTACTCTTCTTATTGCTTCACATTCAAATTATTTAAAGTTCTTTTTTCTATTAGAGCCCTTAAATTACAAAAGACTGGGAACAGACTTGAGTATGAAAAGAGTGGACTCAAAGAACAAAGACCACCTTCATGTACATATTTTAATTAACAAGACTGAGAAAAAAGACCACATAGGTCAACAGGAATATATCATTATTCTAAGAAATCATTGACCAGGAAGATAATGTATAAAATAATAATTTCACTGTTTTTTTTTTTTTTTGGAAAAGGGTAGAAACTTCCAAACTATTAATACAGATCAAACCATTTGTTCACAGGAGCAAGTAGCTTGCTAGTCAAACCACAGTTTACCAATAAAGACTCACTTTAAGACATTAACCTTATGTCCACAATTCCTAAACTAATATCTTTTAAATTTTGTCTGATTCCAATCAATCTTCAGCTTTAAATAATCTACTTTAAACTACTTGAATCTAGACACAAAGACTCTTCAAGTATCTTCTCATGAAGTTCCCCAAGACTCCTTTAGAACTCTGGCAAAGAGGGGAATTTGCTCACCATAGTAACTTCCTTTTATGGATAACTTATTCTGGTTACCATTTGTAAGAGTCAAGAGTATTTTCACATGTTCTGAAAGGAAATTTCTAATGGTCTTTTTGGTTTTTCCATTTTGAAAAATAGGAGCCAGGAACAATGGCTCATGACTGTAATCTCAGCACTGCGGGAGGCCAAGGCAGCAGGATTGCTTGAGCCCAGAGTTTGAGACTAGCTTGGGCAACATAGTGAGATCCCATCTCTACAAAAAACAAAAAACAATTTGCTGGGTGTAGTGGTGCATGCCTGTAGTCTCAGCTGCTTGGAGGACTCAGGCGGATCACTTGAGTCCAGGAGTTCAAGGCTGTAATGAGCTATGATCTAGCCACTGCAGTTCAGCATGGACAAAAGAGGAAGACTTTGTCTCAAAAAAAAAAAAATGCCCCGTGAAGTGGCTCATGCCTGTAATCCCAGCACCTTGGGAGGCCGAGGCAGGTGGATCACAAGGTTAGGAGATTGAGACCATCCTGTCTAATAGGGTGAAACCCCATCTCTACTAAAAATACAAAAAATTAGCCGGGCGTGGTGGCAGGTGCCTGTAATCCCAGCTACTTGGGAGGCTGAGGCAGGGCAATCGCTTGAACCCGGGAGGCGGAGGTTGCAGTGAGCCAAGATTGCTCCATTGAACTCCAGCTTGGGTGACAGAGCAAGACTCCATCTCAAAAGAAAAAAAAAAAAAAGGAAAAAGAAAACTACTATGCACAATAAGTATTAGCAATTGTCTAACCCTCAAATACAGAGCTAATGAAGTTACATTTTAACATTTCAGATGGGGCGTGGTGGATCACACCTCTAATTCCAGCACATTGGGAAGCTGAGGCAGATGGATCACCTGAGGTCAGGAGCTCGAGACCAGCCTGGTCAACATGGTGAAACTCTGTCTCTGCTAAAAATACAAAAATTAGCAGGATGTAGTAGTGCATCCCCGTAGTCCCAGCTACTGAGGAGGCTGAGGCAGGAGAATCACTTGAGCCCGGGAGGCAGAGGTTGAAGTGAGCCAAGATCATACCACTCCACTCCAGCCTGGGTGACAGAGTGAGACTCCACCTCAAAAAAAAAAAAAATAATAATAATAATAATATAAATTGTGAGCGTGTACCAATTTTCTTTCAAAAAAGTTTTCCTGAGATATACAAATATATGACTGTTTAGAGTGATAATTTACTTTTCACTAGATCCAGATCTTTAAAAACTCTAAGTAAGTATTTTCTATTCTCAGAAAGATGGATATGATACAACTGGGGATTTACATAAGTATAGAAGATGGCTTGCAAATGTGTTTCCACTGTGTTAGCTGTATCACTTTGTTAATTGTTTCCTTTGCTGTTCAGAAGCTTTTTAGTTTGACGTAATCCCAATCATCAATTTTTGCTTTGGTTGCCTGTGCTTTTGAGGTCCTTCTCAAGAAATCTTTGTCCATATCAATGCTGTGAAGCATTTCCCCAGTGTTTTCTTATAACACTTTTATAGTTTCAGGGTCTTACATTTAAGGCTTTAATCCATTTCAATTTAATTTTGTTTATTGTGAGAGACAGAGGTTTAGTTTCATTTCTTTTTTTGCACGTGGATATCCAGTTTTACTAGCTTTTTAATTGAAGAGATATTCCTTTGCCCAGTGTAAGTTCCTGGTGCCTTTCTTGAAAATGAGTTGGCTTTAAAGCATAAATTTATTTCCAGGTTCTCTATTTTGTTCGATTGGTCTATGTGTCTCTTTTCATACCAGTATCATGCTGGTTTGATTACTATAGGTTAGTAGTATGTTTTGAAGTCAGGTAATGTGATACCTCCAGCTTTATTCTTTTTGCTCAGGATTGCTATTTGGGGTTTTCTTGTGGTTGTATAGGAAATTTAGGATTAATTTTGCTATTTCTGTGAAGAATGTGATTTGATAGAGATTGCATTGAATCTAGATCACTTTAGATACTATGAACATTTTAACAGCATTAATCTTCCCCTAATCCATGAATATTAGATATTTTTTCTATTTTTCATTATCCTCTTCAGTTTCTTTCACCAATGTTTTATAATTTAATTCTATCTTTCATTTCTTTGGTTATTGTTTTTCCTAGGGATTTAATTTTTAGCTATTGTAAAGGAAACTGCCTTCCGGATTTTTTTTTCAGGTTGTTCACTGTTGGCATATAAAAATGCTACTGATTTTTGTATGTTAATTTTTATCCTGCAATTTTACTGAATTCATTTATCTGTTCTAAAAGGAATTTTTTTGGAAAGGGTTTTTAGTTTTTTCTAAATATAAGATCAGGTTGTCTGCAAACAAGGACAATTTGATTTCTTTCTTTCCAACTTGCATGTACTTTATTTTTTTTTCTTGTCTAATTGCTCTGGCTAAGTATCTCCAGTACTATCTTGAATAAAAGTGGTAATGGATTAATAACCAGAATAAATAACTCAAAGAATAGCAATAAACACAAATAATCTAATTATTAAAAAATGGGCAAAAGATCTGACATTTCCCTAAAGAAAACATACAAATGGCCAACAGGTATATGAAAAAATGCTCAACATTACTAATCATCAGGGAAATGCAAATCAAAACCAAAATGAAATATCATTTCAGGCTGGGCATGGTGGCTCACACCTGTAATCCCAGCATTTTGGGAGGCTAAGTCACGTGGATCACCTGAGGTCAGGAGTTCAAGACCAGTCTGGGTAACGTGGTGAAACCCCGTCTCTACTAAAAATATAAAAATTAGCCGGCCAAGATGGCGGGTACCTGTAATCCCAGCAATGCTGGAGGCTGAGGCAGAAGAATCGCTTGAACCTGGGAGGCAGAGGTTGAAGTGAGCTGAGATAGCGCCATTGCACTCCAGCCTGGGTGGCAAAGTGAGACTCCATCTCAAAAAAAAAATATATGTGTGTGTGTGTGTGTGTGTGTGTGTGTGTGTATATATACACACACACACATATATATAAAATTTCATCCCAGTTAAAATGGTTATTATCAAAAAGACAAAAAATAACAGATGCTAATGAGGATGCAGAGAAAGGAGAATGCTTGCATATTGTTGGTAGGAATGTAAATTAGTACAACCTCTATGGAAAACAGTATGGAGGTTCAGAATTAGAAATACCACATGACCCAGCAATTGCACTGCTGGAAATATACCCCAAAGAAAGGAAATTAGTATATCAAAGAGATATCTGCACTCTCATATTTGTTGCAGCACTGTTTACAATAGCTAAGCTTTGGAAGTAATCTAAGTGTTCATCAATGGATGAATGAATAAAGAAAATGGTATATATACACAGTGAAATACTGGTATATATACACAGTGAAATACTGTTCCACCATAAGAAAATAATGAAATACTGGCATTTGCAGCAACAGGGATGGAACTGGAGAGCATTATGTTTAGTGAAATAAGCCAGGCACAGAAAAACAAATATCACATGTGCTCACACTAATATATGGGAGCTAAAAAGTTGATCCCATGAAGGACAAAGTAGAATGATAATTACCAAAGGCTGGGAAGGGTGAGGGGGGGTGAAAAGAGGTTGGTTAATGGGTAAAAACATACAGTTAGAGAGAAGGAATAAGTTCTAATGTTTGATAGCATAGTAGGGTGACCATAGTGAACAACAATGTATTGTATATTTTTAAATAGGTAAAATAGAACATTTAGAATGTTTCCAACACAAACAAGGGATAAATATCTGAGGTTATGGATATGCCAACTACCCTGACTTGATCATTACACATTGTATGCTTGTATCAAATTATCACAAGTACCACATAAATGAGTACAGCTATTATGTATCAATTTTAAATAGGGAAAAAATAAATCCAAAGTAATAAAAAAGGAAGAAATCTTATAATCTAATAAATAAAAAGTACAGGAGATGATTTCCTTAACTTGGTATCTCTGCTTTGATATCACATCTCTACTTTTCTCACATATTCACTCTACTAATATGATTTTGTTATACATGATTAATATGATCTCACTCATAATGTTCTCATTACTGCACCTCTGTATTTTATCCTTATTGACATTCAAGATTTTCAATACATGGCAAGCTCCTGAATCTTAGACACTACAAGACTCATTAACTTACCTTTCTTTGCTAAGGCTACTACTCTTTATTGTTTCCCCAATTCATTGCATTTTTCATAACTTCAAGCTTTTCACATACAGATATTGCTCAAGCTATTTGTTAAAATAATGAATAAACAAATACTTGGAGAAACGTGATGCACACTCTTCATAAGGTCAATTTTTACACAGTGCATAGCCCCAGATTCCAAGTATCATTTTCCAGATAGGGCAGATAACACAGGAAAACTTTTTGAACTCTTCATATAAAATAAGATGTTAACAAACTCATATCAAAGCTTTTGCTATTAATAATAGTAATAATAACAATAGTGATGAAATAAGCAAAATGCTAAACATTTTTTGTGTACAATCTCATATATTATTCAAAAAGTTATACATTATCTTTATTTTATAGAACATTGTATCGAAGCTATTTAAGGTTTAATATTTTGTCCAAAGTTACATAAATATTGCAGGACTTGAATCTGAACCCAGGTCTGTATTGCTCCAAAGCTCATGTTGCTAAGCAACACCAAATATCACTAAGTCCTTTGAAACATACAGTGTCTTTAAAAGAGGCTAATAAAATGTATTATAATGATTTACTTTAATGATATTTCTAGCTTAACATATTTAGCTTTATTTCATAAGTATGCACTTAAAAGAAAATTAAGTCAAGTATGTTTTCTTATGTCTGAAAGTATACAAGTGTCATAATAATAGCATAATTTTTTGCCATTTTATTAAGGATTGTTATATTTGAATTTCATTTATATGTCTACCTTGTGTAATCTTGAAACTTTTTTTTTATGTTTATTATGTTAGAAAAACATTTAAAGGATGCTATTTAAATATAGTTTACTATATTTTAAATATAGTAAAATATACTATGTTTATATTGTTTATATGTTTATATTGTTACTATGTTTATTGTTTGCTGTTTAAATATAGGTTCTTGGAAACGTTATACCTTGACACAATACCATAATCTCTGAAGCACAAAAGTCATAATATTTTCCTTATTTATTTGCATATTCGACTAACATTCACAATTTCTTCTTCTACCAGGCACACTTCTACAGTAATTAGACAAAATAATGTATTCCCTTCTCTCTTAATACTTATATCTATAAAGAAGATATAAAAATTAAAAATGAACAAGTTAATATATAAAACAAAATAGGCAAGATAGATTGTACCTGATTATTCTGTATCTAATATTATAGAATAGGTATGTTTACAAAACTACACAGATAAAAATACGACGACAGTCTTTAAGTTATTATAGTAAAAACTGATAGGAAGTATACAATTTGTGATATTTCACTTACACTGTTTTTTTTCCTGGTTTGCTTGCACATTTCCTTCTTCCTATATTTGTCTCATTCTAGTGCTAACTCTTAGTGCAATTGCTGTTGGGAAAAAGCTGAGTGTTGGGAGGGAAACTGAGGCAGAGCTTGCATAATGTCCTCTGGAATGTGTCTAGGCTTGCTGGCTCCTTGCTTCTAGGCTCCTAGACTTCTATTCCCATTATCTCAAGTAGCAGAACATGTTCCATATAAATACTAAGCCATCACAGCTGTAAATCATGTGCTTAACGCAACGTGCCCTTTTGACCTCCACATTCTCACCATCTGTTTCTTTATTGGATTACCAATAAATACTGTGGGCTCCCAGAGCCCAGGGCCTTCGCAGTCTCCACAAAAGCGATGGCCCTCTGCTGTCCCACATTTCTCTCTCAAACTGTCTTTTTCTCAATCCTTTGACTCCGCCGGACTTTGTCACCCCTATGACCTAGTGTTGGGTCTGATCACGCCAATATTCCTGGCATCCAACGTGGGGCAACAAAGACCCCAATGAAGGAACGCCAGAGCACGTGAACACGGAAGATGTCTATAAGAAGCTTGGTGGGAAACCTGAGTGCTCAGGAGAACCAGGGTGAAAATAGGACAAAGTGAAAGCAGACATTCTGCTTATTTAAAGTTCTTAAGGCATTTATCATGAAGAGAGGGAGTGAAATTTAGTACTCAGAATTTATCACTCTTCGGTGCAGTAAAGCAGTTTTGTCCATGGTTCCTGGAACAAGGAACTATGGAGTTAGATGAATGGGAGAGAATTGGCAGAAATTAAAAAAAAAAAGCTCATAAACATGGAGCAAAAATTCCAGTCTGTTTGGTCAATGCAGGTGCTAATAAAAGCAGCTCTTGAGCCTTTTCAAACAGATGATGAGGCAGATTCAGATGAGGAAGAGGAGGACGAGTATAAAAAACTAACCTCAGATTCTGAATGTGAGGAACAGGAAATTAAAGAAAAGGAAAACTGAAAAAAGCGTGTTTTACTAGCCCGTCAGCTCCAACTGCCGAAAAAGGCTACCTCCTCTCTCCCCTTAATGGGCAAGAAGATGAATTAGCTACAAAACTTCTACTGTAGTTGCAACGTTAAAACCTGGAGCAATTGGTGGTGTTATAAAAAATTCTATTCAAAAGGCTAGAGCCAAGGGATACCTTGAAGCATGGCAATTTCCCGTAACTATAATCCAGCAGGGAAGACAGCAAACGTCATTCCACTGTGTTTCCAAAATCCATCTACAAAAGGAGAAAGAGATACACAAGTAAAGAAAAAAGTGTACCCTATTCCTTTAAAAGCCAGGGTAAATTTAAAACCTATAATTGATAATTGAAGGTCTTCTCCATGACCCTACAATACTTCAATACTACCTTGTTGTCAGCGTAAACAAGGGAGTAGCCTGAAAGCACTGAGACCACTGACAACCAGTAGCCTTCCTATCAAAAATCCTTAACCTGGTAACCCATGGATAGCCCAAATGCATTCAATCTGTAGCAGCAACTGCTTTGCCAGCAGAAGAAAGTAGAAAAAATAAACTTTAGAGGAAACCTCATTCTGAGCACACCTCACCAGTTCAGAGCTATCCTAAGTTAAAAAACAAAACAAAACAAAACAAAAAAAACAAAAAGGTAGCTTACTAACCCAATCTTAAAGTATGGGGCTATTCTGTTAGAAAAAGGTGATTTAACATTAACCACTGAAAATTCCCTTAACCTAGCAGGTTTCCTAACGGGATTTAAACCTTAATTACCACACAAAAGTCCGACCAGACCTAGGAGGAACTCCCTTCAGGACAGGATGATAGACGGTTCCTCCCGGGTGATTGAGAAAAGAGAAACAAACAATGGGTGTTCAGTAATTGATAGGGAAAGTCTTGTAGAAGCAGAGTTAGGAAAATTGCCTAATAATCTGCTTAAACGTTCGAGCTGTTTGCACTCAGCCAAGCCTTAAAATACTCACAGAATCAAACTCTCTCAATCCTGACTCAAAAGGTTACCTACACCCTCTCTAAAATGAACTTGCATAAGAACTGTTGTTTATGGGAATACATCTTGATGGGGCAGCTGGGTTGTTATGAAATATTCAGGAACCCAGCCCAGCTCTAGAACTCACCTCTGAGCACAAAGGCAATGGTGGGCATGCTGGTAAAGGACCACTAGAATCCAGCAGCCCAGGCCCCTTTCTTTGCGGTCAAGAAAGGCAGGAAAACAGATGCAGGACTGCTACATCGGTGAGCATAACTAATCCGATAAGCAGAGGTCTATGGGTGGTTACGCACCCTGGAAGAGAATAAGCATTAGGATCATAGAGGACGCTCTAGGACTAATGCTCATCGGCTTCGGAAAATGACTAGGGGTGCTGGCATCCCTGTGTTCTTTTTTTCAGATGGGAAACGTTCCCCCCAAGGCAAAAACTCCCCTAATATGTATTCTGGAGAATTCGGCCCAGTCAGAGTGTATGAACCTTTCTCCCTCTCAGACCTGAAACAAAATAGACCTAGGTAAATTCTCAGATAACCCTGATGGCTCTAGTTGATGTTTTACAAGGGTTAGGACAATCCTTTGATTTGACATAGATATAATGTTACTGCTACATCAGACACTAACCTCAAATGAGAGAGTTAACCTCAAGTGCCGCCATAACTGCAGCCTGAGATTTTGGCAATCTCTGGTATCTCAGTCAGGTCAATGATAAGATGACAACAGAGGAAAGAGAACAACTCCCCACAGGCCAGCAGGCAGTTCCCAGTGTAGTGGGACGCAGAATCAGAATATGGAGATTGGTGCCGCAGACGTTTGCTAACTTGAGTGTTAGAAGGACTAAGGAAAACTAGGAAGAAACCACTATAACACAGGGAAAGGAAGAAAATCCTACCGCCTTTCTGGAGAGACAAAGGGAGGAGTTGAGGAAGCATACCTCTGTCACCTAACTCTAACGAAGGCCAACTAATCTTAAATGATAAATTTATCACTCAGTCAGCTGCAGACATTAGAAAAAACTTCAAAAGTCTGCGTTAGGCCCGGAGCAAAACTTAGAGACCCTATTGAACTTGGCAAACTTTTTTTTTTTTTTTTAATATATAATAGAGATAAGGAGCAGGCAGAACAGGACAAATGGGATTTAAAAAAAAAAAGCCACCTCTTTAGTCATGACCCTCAGACAAGCAGACTTTGAGGCTCTGGAAAAGGGAAAGGCTAGGAAAATCGAATGCCTAGTAGGGCTTGCTTCCAGTGCAGTCTACAAGGACACTTTAAAAAAGATTCTGAATAGAAATAAGCTGCCCCCTCGTCCATGCCCTTTATGTCAAGGGAATCACTGGAAGGCCCATTGCCCCAGGGGACGAAGGTCCTCTGAGTCAGAAGCCACTAACCAAATGATCCAGCAGCAGGACTGAGGGTGCCTGGGCCAAGTGCCAGCCCATGCCATCAGCCTCCCCAGGTATGCTTGACCACTGAGAGCCAGGAGGTTCTGTCTCCTGGACACTGGCACTGCCTTCTCGGTCTTACTCTCCAGTCCCGGACAACTGTCCTCCAGATCTGTCACTATTAGAGGGGGTCCTAGGACAGGCAGTCACTAGATACTTCTCCCAGCCACTAAGCTGTGACTGGGGAACTTTACTCTTTTCACATGCCTTTCTAATTATTCCTGAAAGCCCCACTCCTTTGGTAGCGAGAGACATCCTAGGAAAAGCAGGGGTCTTATACACCAGAATTAAGAGAAGGAAAAGGGGTAAATATATATACAGACTCTAAGTATGCTTACCTAGTCCTCCATGCCCACGCAGCAATATGGAGAGAAAGGGAATTCCTAACTTCCAAGGGAACACCTATGAAACATCAGGAAACCATTAGTCCCCAAAATTCTCCTTACCTCTGAGTCTACTTCCTCTGATCCCCACCTAAAGATAATTTTATGGGGAAGAGGATTTGCTTGTGTCTGTCCAGGTGACAATCAGATGCCTATGTGGGTGCCCACCAAACATCTGAAGATCTATCATAAGCCACAGCATCTAGTGGACCCACATGTACAGTGAGAATTGCAGGTTTGAAAAGCCTCAATTTGCTTTCTCTATGCCTTCTGTTAATCAAAAAAGGCCTGTTTCTCATTATCATTGGAAAGTTTTACCTCATGGTAATTAACGAAAGAGGCAGAAATGGAGTTAACAAATGCTTCAGCAATGGCATGCCTCCCAGCTACAGCCACAGAAGTTTTTGCTTCTGTTTCAGTAGATTTACTAACATGGGGGTGAGAGTATGCTTGTGTTTTTTACATGAGATGAATGAACCGTGCGGATGTCCTCAAGATGTGTACAACCATGTAACAGGAAACTGGAGGGACCCATGGATCACAACCATGGACTGGGTTCCCCCAGTAGGAGCCATGAGCCAGTTGAATGTGAATACGAAGATGGAACAAGGACCAACTGGAGTCACAATGCTTAATGGACCAATGCTTTCTGACTCAGCACCTCTCTACCCTGAATACAAGAGACCCTAATAGGCAGGAATATCATCGCCCCTATTCAGCAGGAAGGAGTTACAGAAGACGGACCTTCATCCTTCTGCAAACCCCTAGGATTAAGGGTCCTCTTGTAAAAGGGAAAGGGGAGATATGTGGGAAGCATTCAAACCAGAGTGACTCCAGTTTGAATAAGGGCTAAGAAAAATGAAGCTGGATCACCAGCCTGCAATTAAGGGCTGCACAGCCTGCAATCGCCTTGCTCAATTAAAAGGCTACCTTTTATGCTAGTAATAATGATAGCTAGTAATAATGATACCTTCTTTTACAAAAAAGAGAAGGGGGGGCATGTTGGGAAAAAGCTGAGTGTTGGGAGGGAAACTGAGGCAGGGATTGCATAATGTCCTCTGGAATGTGTCTAGACTTGCTGGCTCCTTGCTCCTAGGCTCCTATTCCCATTATCTCAAGTAGCAGAACATGTTCAGTATAAATGCTAAACAATCACAGCTGTAAATCATGTGCTTAATGCAATGTGCCCTTTTGACCTCCACATTCTCACCGTTTCTTTGTTGGATTACCAATAAATACCGTGGGCTCCCAGAACTCGGGGCCTTCGCAGCCTCCACGATAGTGATGGCCCTCTGGTGTTCCACATTTCTCTCTCAAACTGTCTTTTTCTCAATCCTTTGACTGCACCGAACTTTGTCAACCCCACAACCTGGTGTTGGGTCTGATCACCCCAACAAATTGCCACATGTTCCTATCTACTCTGTAATAGCTAAGCTGTGAGTCAAGGTAATTCTTAGTAAAACTCAGAATCTCTTTCTCAGTCTATGAGGAAGTTAAGAAACCTTATATTACAAGTTTGACTTAAACTGGAGCAATAGAACACAAGATGAAAACAAATGAACAAACAAAAGTGGCAGAAAAAAATGTTCTAAGTGCATCCATGAATATATTCCTTAAAACAATAATACATACTGGTTGATCCTGTAACAATAGACAGTTTATACTGACAAAATAAAAATGGCATGTTCCAATTTAAACTGTCATGCTATTTTTTTTGCTCTTACAATTAAGACATTGTCATTGTGTAGAAAGGGGTGGGTGGGAGACAATGATCCCTGGGTCTCTTATGTTTCTGTACATTTTGAGAGCTGTGACACTGATTGCTCATTGCCATTTTTAAAAAAATCCTTATTAAATATGTTTTCAAGAACGTTTAACTGCCTTGAAAGATACAGTATTTCTCTCCATAGCAAAGAGCAAACTTTTCTGAGCTTGACATGTAGTATTAGTGACTTCCTCCAGAACAAAGAAGGCATATTTACTGCCTATTGTAAAAGTGGGTTTCTCTAAGTTTCAGGTCCCTCTCCTATAATGCATCACATTACATGTGCATGTCTCACCTGGCCCTCTTGACATTACTCTGTATGACTGTGGCTGAGGCTATTGTAATTTCTGAATAAGGACCTTTGTATCTGACCCAAGAGTCTTGGCTCTTCTATCAACATCCATGTAATGGTGTCAGGCTAACTTGCTAGCTTTCAAGTACACTGAAAAATCTCAGCTACATCATAGTTCTTTAAATAGGCAGCTGAAACTAGATTCCTATCTCTCACCATATACAAAAATCTGAAGATGGATTAAAGACGTAAATGTGAGACCTAAAACTATAAAAATACTAGAAGAAAACCTAGAAAAAGTTCTTCTAGATATTGGTCTAGGCAAAAATTCAAGACTAAGACAGACCTCAAAAGCAAATGCGACAATAACAAAAATAGACCAATAGGACTTTATCAAACTTAAAAGCTTCTGCACAGCAGAAGAAATAATCAACACAGTGAACAGAAAACCTAGAGAATGGGAGAAAGTATCTGCACACAATGCATCTTACAAAGAACTAATATCCAGAATCTACAAACAACAGGAACAAAAAGTATCCCTATTTAAAAAGTGGACAAAGGACATAAACATTTTTTCACAATAAGACATACACATGGCCAATAAGCATATGAAAAATGCTCTGGCCGGGCACGGTGGCTCACGCCTGTAACCCCAGAACTTTGGGAGGCCGAAATGGGTGGATCACAAGGTGAGGAGTTCAAGACCAACCTGGCTAAGATGGTGAAATCCCATATCTACTAAAAATACAAAAAAATTAGCCAAGCGTGGTGGCAGGCACCTGTAATCCCAGCTACTCAGGAGGCAGAGGCTGAGGCAGGGGAATCACTTGAACCCAGGTGGCAGAGGTTGCAGTGAGCTGAGATCACACCACTGCACTCCAGCCTGGGCGACAGGCTAAGACTCCGTCTCCAAACAGTTATGTGCAGTAGGAAAGGAGTCAAAGCTCCGGCTTCATGTGTAGACTTCCTAGGTTAGAATTCACAGGGGGAAATAGCCCTGCATTTCTGAGCCATTCAGGACCTTCTTCTGCTACTAGGTGTTTGTGTGCTCTTTCGTTAAATAGCTAAGCTGCTCTGCAATGTAGTTTCTTTATGTGAAATGAGGACTTAAAACCACTTTAGTGTTTCATAATTCAAAATATACTACAAAAAAGTAAACTAGTTAAATTCTCCACTACTGACTTAAAGAAGAAATAGGAAAAGTGGGCAAAGCAGGTGAGAATCACTGCATTCAAGAAAAGAAAAAATAGAAATGAGTGGTGGTAAGGCAAAAACCTCTGTCTATTATCCTTGAGAAAAAGTAAAATAGATGATCTCTATAGTCTCTGGTCTTTTAATTCTATGATTCTATAATGAAGGCTTATATAAAGAGTAAACTTTTAAAAATATTTTATGTAAGAAATAGTTTCTCGTATTACCTCCAAAAAATATCTAAGAAGAAAAACCGTGCTTACATGAAAAGCAAAGCAAATTGAATTCGTTAAAATAACTCTAGGGCACCTCTAGGGCACCCAGCATTGAACCCAACATTGTTCCCTGACGAAATGGGTGCAAAGAAGAGAAACTATAAAAATTGTGAAAAAGCATTCACTCACATTAATCTAAGATGGCATCTGCTGTTATTGCTGAAGCTCTGTTGCTATCAGATTCAGGGCTGTATGACCTTGAGAGAAAAAGTACAGAAGTTTCTGCAAGGAAGAAAAAAATGAGTGATATGTTTTCAAATAGTGAATTATGAAAACTTCTTAAATTAGATTCAAAAAAATTCTTAGACATAAGCTTAAATACAATACACTTAGAAAATGAATTAGAATATTATCCCATGAACATATAAACTAATGAACATCATGGAGAAAATTATTTCTCCCAGCTTATGAACCAACTTTTGCCATCAAATAAAAATACATGTTTATACAATTATATTGGCATATATATAATATTTTTAATACGTTTGTGATGCTATACATCTATGAAATTATACAAATGCAGGTTCCTCTCAAATATGTATACATATGTGCAAGACTTTACAAGGTTGATAATACATTATGACATGATTTTAAAACAAGTTAGACTCCTCTAGTAATCCATTTTTGTTGGAGTTTACAGAAAGTGTTCTTGACTGTGATATTATAGATCATAACTTCTTAAAGGGTAAGGTGAACTAACCTCTAAAAATAAAAATGTAAGCCAGAATTGGTAAAGGAGGAAATACCAAACAAACATAATTTTTAAAGTGGAAGAAATTTAAGTGCTGTCTTTTTTTTTTTTTTTTCATCTCCAGCATCACATGAAATGTAAGCCTGAATCCTGACTCTTTAGTTATTTCTCCTGACTGATTTCTATGTAGTCACTGGAACGACTGTTCCGTGTTCTTACTTTTGATTTTCTGACCTGGTTCTAGCTTTCTGTATTCTTCAGGATGCTTTCAGTTTGCTTTCCTATTGTATTCACTAGGGGCACAGCCTGCCACAGACCAAGGTGTTTTTGCATCCTACCTGGAATCTGGAAAATTGAACTCACTAACTGATCACTCCATTTGCTAGTACTTTAAAGGTAGCCTCTTAAACTTTCAGTACACTCTAATCCAATCAGTTCAGGTGATGATGGATCTACCAGAGATGTATGTTCTGCATATTCTCTGAGAGACTGGAGTGACTATACCCTCAAATAATATGAGTTGGGAAACTTAGGTTTCTAAATTTATAACTAACACTATATAGATATAGTTTAATTTAATAACTTACAGGATTACTCTTAAAGGATCAGAGTTAAATTTCCCTTTAGACATTGAAGTTCTTTAGGTACAATATCTGTGACTAGTTCTATCTCTCTTCTTTTTATACCATAAATAAATTAGAGATTGCTTTTTTATCTAAACTTTAAATTAACAACATGCATATATGTGGTATAACGCCACCGATGCCATGAGCATGTTTCCTGAATAGGGACATTCAGTTTCATTCACTGAAGTGCATTTAAGAAGTAGAGCAATGCAGAGGTTAGATTGCTTAGTAACTTATCCAAGTATTATGAGAATTACATTTTTTATTGTGACTCTTGAAGAATACCTGATCCCCAAACTTTCAGAATTTAAAAAATAATTGGGGGCAGAAATATTATTGTGAAAATTCTGTGCCGCTTCAGGCACTTAGTGCAATAACAAAAAGTTATATTTTGAAATGTGCCAAGTGCCTCCACAACATGTACTCTGTGCAATTATGTATCTGTGTATTGTCTAGAACAAAATCAACTGATGTTACCTTGTTGACTCAAGTATCTACAGCTGTTAGTGCACCTTCTGGCATTTTGGAAATCCTCAAATAACAGTGCAGACAGCTGACAAAAAAAGAATGATGAATTAACACTCAGAGGCAAGGATAATAGCAAAGAAAGGGTAGAAGAAAGTTTGAAAAGTTTGCTTGTAAATATAATATGTCTATTAATTTTCCTGGTGCTCTTAACTGAGAAGATTTAAGAGAAATTATCCTCTATCTTAAATATATCTCAATCTAATATTGTTCTTAACAATAAAAAAATTCATTGATTAAACAATACTTATGGAACACACAAATTTTAGTAATAATTCAATATTGATGTTAGGTTGCCTTGAATTAGACAACGTTCTAATCTGGAAATGTCTTGGTATTTTTAATATGAAAAATCCATTAATGTGTCTACAACATAAACACATTCAAGATGTTCTTGTTTGGTAAAACAACCGTTGTAGGATACATACATTCAGTTAAAGCACAATGTTCCTTAAGAGACCTCAGAATTGAAGTATAATTTTAAAAAATAAAATTTATAAAGTGAGTAGTGTTTAAATCTATTGAGTGTAATTTATCATTAATTCTCCTGAAGAACATTCATTTTGGTTTTCTGATTTTCTGTTTATTATTAACTATTATATTTAAAATAAAAAGCATCATCAGCCCTCAGTCAAGAAGAAATTATTTTTCTGAAAAATTAGAATAGGATTAACACTTCCCTGATATGAAGATACATTGAAATTATAACATTAAATATAATAAAAGCAAAGTTATATTGATACAGATTTGAATGCATCTTGATATATGCTTATGTCCACACTACTTCAAGTTATATCTCTTTAAACTTGTCTGCTATTCTTTTAAAAATGTGTATTTACCCTCTTTTGCACTTAATATAGCCTTTTGTTTTAATAATGTTTCATGTTTTATTTTAACAAATATTTTGTTCTACTGCTTGCAAAAACTTTTTTCTATATTCTAACTTTCTTACACAGAAGAAATATATAATCTTCATTTATATATTGCATAAATTCTTCCAGGTCATTGAGGTTATCTCATATGGCAATGAATATCCTTTATAAATACTGAGTTGAAATCAGTTGCTAACGGAGAAATTTGGTGACTTAGACCAAATCTAAGCTAGGTAGGGTAAGGCCTTAAAAATATGCATAACTATCATGGAGTAGTCATTTAAAGAGAAATAGTAGTAACTTTAGGAGATAACAGTTTAAAGTAACTTCAGAGATACTTTCTACTTACTACTTTCTAGATGAGCTATAAGATCCAAGTTGGTCACTAAACTAAACTCACACTTGACAAGAAGGAAAAGTAGAGAAATGGTAACTGTGAAACACATATAAATGTTATAGCTTTTTCTACTATATTAAGAAATCAGTGTTAATTGCTTATAAAAACTTATCTTCCTAGGGTACACAGGAAAGTTAACATTACCAAGAGTTATCATTGCTATCCGATATCATAAAACTGCTTTCCACTAGAGAAACATACATCAGCAGAAGAAATATTGTTTGGTAGATATTGCTAGAGGCAGAGCTGACTTAAGCACCTCACCGTGTCAAGTAGACCACTTCCTCCAAAAACTGATTGCATGAGTGTCATAATACTATGGAGAACACACTATTTTTTCTCATTGTTAAGACAGTCACAATTCTAGAAAATGGCAGTGTTTCAGCAAGAAAGGTAAATATAAAGCAAAACTCAAAATGCCAACAGTTTTTTGGTACAGTCTAGCCTCATTAAAAATGTATTTAATGAAGTCTTATAAAAAATTTACAAAGGTATATGCTACATAAAACTTAAAAGAAAAGAAATAAGGCCAAAAACAAAGCAGTGTTTTGGAAATGCTGCAGATGAACTTTTTATTCCTCATAATCAGCTTCTCCCGTATTATAATTCTCATGTTATAGAAAAATGAGAGGCACAGAAAGAACAATAAATTTTCTAAGATAACATAGCTAGCAAATTGTAAAAAATATTTCTTAATTCAGAGCCTCTGCATTTAATAAAATTCCAGACATTATAGCTTATTCAATCCTCATGAATAAGGTCAAATTATAATTAATAGTGATTATTAACTATGCAATTATTACAGGGATTTCACCTTGCAGCTAAGAATCTTCTTAAACTCTTACGAACTTTTATTTGTTAAATAACTTGCACTTATGAAATACACATGTGACATACAAAACATCTATGACCACATTAATGAAAGTATTTATTTCTGAGAAAAGTTATTACATAGTAATTATTTTTTACTTATTAGAGGTGGCACATTAATTTATATAGGTCAAACTGACAGCAGAGTTGTCATGTGTATTTTATAGTTATTTGGTTTTTGCATATACTAATATTTATGTAACATACTTCTCTAAATTATAAAAATGTATAGGCAATGCATTAGGAATAAATAAAGAACAACTCTTTAATGTCAGGGGAAGTATGTTCTCATTCAGGATTTCATAAAATTTACCATGAGACCTTGAACAATTTATTTAGTACATATTATGCTTTTACTTAATCCATAGGGAATATAAACAGTTTGACCTAAATTGTACCAAGATTCAGTTTGCAAATCAAAATGTACATGATTTTGACATATTTTAGTATATTCTTAATGATTTTTTTCATCTAACAATTTTAAACTTCTTTAAACACACACACACACACACACACATCTTATTTGATCCATGGTTTTAGTAAGAAAAATAAATTTGCATAAATTGTATTTTTCATGAAAAATATAACAAAATTTACAACCTAGCTTATACATTATAAATACCTTGTGGCCAGTTTGAGGACTTGTTGTTCTATGCAAATTGTCCCTCCTATGTCATTCAAAGTTTTATATAAAATCCTGTTATTCATCGATGAAGCAGAATTTCACTTCCTGAGAAAAATCAACACAGTGAAAAGACAGTAGCTTTGGAGCCAAGCATATATGGGTTTATACCACAGCTATATCACTGGCAATTCTCCAGGCTTGGGCGAGTGCCCTGACACCACATTTCAACTATGTTGTTCTTGCTGTTATTTTGCCTGAACTTTATACCAACTTTGCACCATTTTTCTGAGGAGTGTATGACAGCATCTCAAAAGAAAAGTAGCTTTAATGACAATTTTCTAAATTTTTGTTTTGAAGGGATAAGAAGCATGGAGAAAAAGTATAACCAAAGGATATGTTTTATTTATTCAAATTTTCAATAACAGCAGTGTTCTAAAGTACACCATATTTAAAATAGGGTTAATGAGATTAATGAAGTATACGTAGATGAATGAGGAATTGATTTAGGATATGAAGATGGGAACAAAGATTATAGGTATATTCTTATTGTAGCATCTAAATAAATGGCAACATTTCCCCTTTGTCCCATTCTGTGACCAGTTTCTTATGAATATTTTTCTCAGCAGAGTAGAAATTATATTAAAGTGAAAACTTCTAAGTTTGTAGATAACATAGACTTCTTCCTAGTAATGAAGTATCAAAATAACTAAGATGTAATAAATATTAGCACTTTACATATATTATCCAAATTGTTGTAAAGTATTTTTCACTTACCTTATATATTATATTTATATTTATTTATTTACAAATATATACCTCTTATAGTTACATATGCACATTTGTAAAATATATAAGCAGATATACTTCTAAGGATATATTACTTAAAAACATGCATATATATAATGCTGATAAAATATGTATGAATATATTTATATTTCCTTATATAAATTTTTATATTTTAATTAGCTATAACTAAACATATTTATTAGATATATTAAATCTAATTACAGTTCAAAATTAGAATGAAATAAATATAAACACTTCACATATGGTAACAAACTTATTATAAAATAGATAAATACTTTAATTACATAAACTGATTTATTCTTCAAAACAACTATGGGTTCCTCTGGGAGGGTTCATAGAATAAGGGAACTCAGGGCAGAAAACTTGTGACTTTTCCAAGATCACATAGCTTGTAGGTAGCAGAGCTGTGATTTCATCTGAGGAATATAGCTTTAGGGTATAGTCTCATATGCTCCACACTTTTTGTCTTTGAACAATTAATATTTAATAAATTGTGAAACTTAAAGTTGAGGAAACCTAAAATATAAATGTAATAATACTATTTTTCCATGAGATTTGTGAAGGAGGATTTGAAATGATATGGCACTTGATTGCAAATCTGAACCTCTGTTCTATCAGAAGTTTTAGAAATTACACTTAAATTCTCCTAGCTTTGGATTTCTCAAATGAAAACATGTAATCATATAAATATCATGCATATGTTGGACAATTACATGAAAAAATCTAAGTAGCTTGAGCAACTCATGGTTCCTGGTAATTGATAGAAAACAGAATAAGACAGAAAGAGAAACTCTGGTAAAGCTTCCTCTTATCAAAAAAAACCTTGACAAAAGTAAAATCCTGATATTAAATGCAAATAATTTGATCCCTTTTATAAACTATAGCGCATCCTTATTGGAATACTAATCTGATTTTAAAAAACTTAGTTATTTAAAATTATAAAAGTTGTATATGTAGCATAATCAATAGACTTTATGTACTCCAATGCATATTTCACTTGTCCTGTAGCCCACTAGTACCCCCTTTCACGTTCAATATTCTCCAAGTGTAAATGATAAGCAATATTTCCACCTTGGGTATAGAGGAGCAGAAAGACACTGTAACTGCTTTTTGAGGAGAGGCTAAAAGTATTAAAATTGTTTGTCTAATAAAACTAAGCCTTTTGAAATTATGACTGCTGAGTCTTTAATAAACTAATGGGGGATGTGGATAGGATTAGCAAGGCATAGTCATCCAACCAAAAATACATTAAAATTAGAAGCACCCATTGAAGCATGAAAGAGTTCAATTTGGGGCAAATAAGAAGCACAGAACAAATAATTTCTCAGAGCTGCCAAATTAGATAATATAAGGATTAAGCACCAAAGTCTATGCATTTTACTCATAGAAGAGCTCCTTAGACTCTCATTCAGATATTTCTGACCTTCCCAGGAAAATAATGCCAAAAAGTTTGTCTATCTAGTTTATTCTGATTCCACAGCAGATTTGAGCAATTCATTTAAAACAAAACCAATTTAACTGCAGTATCGTTAAGAATATATGGAGGTACAAGATACCGATTTAAAGAATGTTCCAAAATTATATATATGAATGAACTATAGCATTTAAACCAACCCTTACAAAATCAACTTTTATATATATATATATATATATATATATATATATATAAATTTTTTTTTTTTTTTTTTTTTTTTTTTTTTTTGGAGACGGAGTCTGGCTCTTGCCCAGGCTGGACTGCGTGGTGCGATCTCGGCTCACTGCAAGCTCCGCCTCCCAGGTTCACGCCATTCTCCTGCCTCAGCCTCCGGAGTAGCTGGGACTACAGGCGCCCGCCACCACTCCCAGCTAATTTTTTGTATTTTTAGTAGAGACGGGGTTTCACCGTGTTAGCCAGGATGGTCTCGATCTCCTGACCTCGTCGTGATCCGCCCGCCTTGGCCTCCCAAAGTGCTGGGATTACAGGCGTGAGCCACCGCGCCCGGCTATTCTTAATTTTAAATAAAATTCCTAAAGTTTAATAAAGTTAAGTAATACTGTAAAAGTTTTTACTTGGGTGTCAAGCCACTTTCCTGAAGTCAAGACCTATTTTAGGATATGAAGTTCTAAGCTTCTACTATCAATAGTTTTGACTAAAGAAGTAAAATTTCCAAAGACCCTAGTACAAATCAATACTAAAAGCACATACAAGGCTATTTATGACAGCTCTGAGGACTGACAGTGGAAGTAGTTTGCCCAGGATTTAAGTTCTTTAAGAACAACATTATTATCATAGTTATTTGAGATAATCTTTGATATTTAATTATATTTTTCTTTTACAATAATATTTTTCATGCTTAATTTTATCTTGCTCCAAAACATAATCATCAATAATGCTCTGCAACAATGATTGTTTTCTTGAATATCCCTACTATAGCATTGTGCTCATTTTACACAATGATAATAAGCACAATAAAAACTGTGGTTTCTGATTAAAATTTCAGAGTAATAGAAATAAAAAATAAATGACTCAAGACAACAGAAATTAATGTGTAAATTGCTTCTCTAAACTAAACTCCTGTGTAAATTGCTTCTCTAACCCAATAGTCACTCTGAGCATTAATATTAAAAATCACTGAAGAACATTTTTCCCTTCTATAGTTCAAAATCCATCAGTAATACCCCAGGAGCAAGAAGCAGACCCAGTGCCCAGACCTTTATTATGCAGCAGGAGAAGGAGTCCAGGATCTTTGCAGAGTTCATTGATTCTGGTGCTGGAGAAAGAAAAGAAAACAGGGGAATGTCAAAAGTGCATAGGGAACTAACCTGAAAATTTTCCCCACAGCAAACTTACAATACCTTGACAAACAAAATCAATAATGATAACATTGAATTATAACCTAAAGAATAAAATAAGCACTCATGATTCCCTGCTGATGAAAGAAAGAGTGGAAGAAAGAAAGACACAACTCTTTAGAGAAGAGACCCAATTAAAATTGTAGAAAGTATGAGGGATAGAAAATCACCAATGGAATTCCAAAATGAGAATTATAAACTATATTATAAAAGAAAACTAGTAAATGTACAGTGTATAATTTTAGCAGATACTGTTTTAACTAATTGCTCAAGGTCAATACCATAAACAATGCCTGGGTTAACACCATGTAACTCCCTGATTTATGCACGGAGAAGGGCAAACCAGTTTTGTGGTGTCCTTTCCAATCTGATCATTAAAAAGTCAGAGAAACAAAACTTAAGAAACATTCTATACATAAATGACCTGACTGCTAAAAAATATCAAGATCATAAAATGTAATGGAACACTGAATTTTGTCACAGATTGGAGAAAACTATTAGATTCCCTAAGCTGCTGTAAAAAAAAAAAAAAAAAAAAAAAAACCACAAATTTAGTAGCTTAACGCAAGTTTAATGTCTTACTCTTCTGTACGTCAGAAGTTTGACATGGTTCTCATGGGCTAAAAGAAGGTGTTAGCGGGGCTGTGTTTCTTTATATAGGTTCTGGGATAAAATATAGTTCCTTGGCTGTTCTAGCTTCCAGTGGATGACTAACCTTTTTTGGTTTGACCCATTTTCCTTATCTTTCATGCAAACAACTTCACAACTCTCTCACCTGTCTTCTATCTTCACATCGATCTGTGACTACGCCCAGGAACAATTTTCTGTTTTTAAGGATTCATGCAATAAGAAAGAACCCACCTGGAAAATAAAGAATAATTTGCCTAACTCAGCACCTATACCTTTAATCACATCTGCAAAGTCTATTACCATGTCAAGTAAAATATTCACAGGTATTGGGGATTAAAGAACAACATCTTGGGGAAGAAGAGAGGACGAGCTTAATTCTACTTATCACAGGAAGATGAGAAATAAAACAATCCTAGATTAGATTCCAAATCAGAAAATGAATATTAATGGTGAAATCCAAATAAATTCTGCTGTTCAGTTCATCATACCATATGATAAGGTTTGGCTGTGTCTCCTCCCAAATCTCAGCTTGAATTGTAGTTCCCATAATCCCCAGGTGTTGTGGGAGGGTCCCAGTAGGAGGTAATTGAATCATGGGGGTGGTTACCCTCATACTATTTTCATGATAGTGAATGAGTTCTCCTGAGATTTGATGGTTTTATAAGGGGTTTTCCCCCCACCGCTAACTCTTTTGCCCACAATCTTCTCCTTCCTGCTGCCTTGTGAAGAAGGATGTGTTTGCTTCCCCTTCCACCATGCTTGTAAGTTTTCTGAGGCATACCTAGCCATGCCAAACTGTGAGGCAATTAAACCTCTTTCCTTTATAAATTACCCAGGTATGTCCTTATAGCAGCATGAGAACAGACTAATACACCATACCAATGTTAATCTCTGAATTTTGATAATTTTTCTGTAAGTCTAAAATCTCAAAGTAACAAGTTAGACAAGGAAGTGCAGATACTGGTTGCCTGGTGCAAGAAATAGGGAAGAGGTGAGAGAATGAGAATTAACAGTTAATGGACAAGATTATTGAGGTTACAAAATGTTTTAAAAGACTTTTATGATAAGTATTGAATTGTACACATGACATTAATGAATTTTATGATATGCCTCAAAATTTGTATATGTTTTACAAAGTATAGGGTATGTCTAGTTTATTTTTTAGTCTTTTCAAAGCCAATTTTTAAAAGATTAAATTAACATATAGACTATTGTTAGTACCATTTTTGCTTGAAAAATTAAATAGAATGGAAAACACTATCTCCCCTTACATCCTTAGGTATACACACTTGTGTGACTTTTAAAGACATGTGGCGTATTCTTTGGTATTGAAACTCTTCAAAAAAAATCAGTCTATTCCCTTTGAATAGTACAAATCTTTCTTGTGAAATCTATTGAATTGCCCTAGAGAGTCAAGCAGTAATTACATAGCATAATTTATGCCCATATTACACCTTTAATTAATAAAGAAATATTACAGAATTATGCAGAAAATCTACCAAAATCATGTTCATAAAAATGATAGTACTATACTAAATTTATTTTAAGACCATCTTCAATAACCTAGAGTTTTATTTAGGGTAATAACTTAAACTATATTTTTAAATATAGTTACTCTAGATGACAATTGACAATTATAATTCAATATAAATTATTTTAAATTTTCACTTAAAATGATCAAAGTGACTGTCCCTCTTTTAGCAGTATCATGTGTTTATGTATTATGTGCTTATGTGTAACAGTACTATGTGTACACTGTTCATGTAGCCTGGCACATGACAGTATTATGAGCTTATATGTAGGCTAGTCATGTCTATATTTCCTTTATATTTAAAATTATTGATTTCTATTTAAATATTTTGGTATGTGGAATTTGAATTTCTGTAAGTAAACAAGGTAAAATTCATTAGAAATTTGGTGAAATATTTCCTAAATTATATCAACTGCAAATATGTGACTTCTTTCTTAGTGCTCTATAACTTTTTATTTTAACTTGAAAAAGAAATATCTTTTAAAAGCACTTCAAGTGATACTTTTTCAATGTCAAAAGAAAAAATATATTACTACTAAATAGAGATTTCTACTGGGAGAGTGGTGATTGGGTTTATGGATTTTTGGTATGGTGACTTCTTCCTTTATATTTGAGTCCATGAGAGGCATATAAAAAGTGTTTTACCATGAGGGTCTTGAGTGTCACCAATTAAGATACAATTCTAGGCTTACCACCCCATCAGTCATTAGTTATTGGTATCGTTCAGGACATTTAATCTTTCTTTAACTCAGTTTCTTCATTTGTACAAAATATAGTGATCTAAAATGAAATAATGAAAAAAGAAGAATTAATCTCAAACAGTATTTTTAAAATATTAAGAACAAATCTAATTATCTCTAAAATAAGCCACTTGTTTATTCAAGGATCTCTAACAAAAATTTAACTAAAATTTTCCAGCACTCATTTGATATGAAAATAATAGTTTTATTGACATGCCTATATTGTAAGAACTTTGTGCATAATCATATATATTTCTTTGAATCTTCCAAAACAGGGCTGCTTTTTCAGGTTCACACCTGCTAAGTTACAGTTAATCTGTCTAGCAAGTGCTGATAAATAAAATGCTCAAACTGGAATTATTATATGATTTGTTATGTTTTATTAGGCAACAATCAGATGCAAACTCCAATTAAGTGTTGCTTATTCAATATTAAAAATAAATTTTGTCTAAAGATAAAAGACTAGCTATAGGAGAGGGCATAATAGCTATTTTACCACAATACTCAAATATTTGGAAAACAAAGAAAAATTGTTTGCTCAGCTCTGGAACTGTATAAACTTAATCATTTATTTTAAGATGTATTTCTCTTAGCTTTATAATACTATAGCATTAGTGACTACTTGCCTGAAATATTATCATTGGGGAATATGAAAGAATGTTTCAAGTCTTTGTAAATACCTCTTTTCACACTTGAGACAACTGTTTTGGTGGCCTTCAGTCAAATGACCTGTAAGAACACAAAATAGGGGGGAAACATGCTTATCTTGCAACTAAGAGATTTTAGCATTTATTTCCTAAAATGAAGAAACGTTGAATGTCACCACATTTGCAACTTTGATTTGTATTAATTTCATATTCAAGTGTGGACATTGTATTATGCTAAACCATATTAAATAAAATATTATTACAAAATATGTGACAAAAACTATGGGGAAATATTATATTTCATATAATATAGTTCAAATAAATATTTACATATATTCCGATTAAAGCACTCAAGAATGGACAGTCTAACCATTCTAAGGTCTGTATTTCTTACTCATGCTATTTACAGAATGTATAATGCCTTATATATGATATTAAAGTCTCAAAGCAAAGTTTTTTTATTCTGTAAATAATTCAAAGGAGTTTCTTTAAACAAAGAAAATTCATGGTCTTCTGTTTTTAATAAAATTAAAATTGTCTTAAAATGAGAAAAAATATAAACTTAGCTATATTATTATTTTCATTAAAATGTTTCCTTTTAGAATTGTGTCTATACCTACTCTTCACTTAACATAATCCAAAAGATATGATTAAAAGGTGTTACATCTATGCCAAAAAATATTTATGGTCCACCATTTTATGCCACTTGCATCCTAAAACTTTGCCTACCACAATCTTTTGCATGATGTTTGTAAGACACGAGACTTATGAATCAAGGATTAAAAATGTTATAAGTCACAGATCAGTCAGCTTCATGAGCATTAGCATCTGTGTTGCCTTCCCTAGATCCCAAGTCCCGAGGAAACAACACAATATGGGCCCACATGTACTGCACTTGCAGTAAGTTAGCTTAAAAGAAAGGAACTCCGAATGTCCTGTACTGGGCAATGAGCATGACTGCCCCTCTTTTCAGGAAGAATATATTATCTTTACAATACTATATAGTCAGCATGACTGGACTTGGTTCTAGAGAGAGACACTAATCTTGTAAGAATGTATGCTGTAAAAACATTCATAAAAAGATTGTCCACTGCTAAGGATATCAAGTTACTTGCTTGAAAGCTATACAAACACAAGAAATCCAAAGAGATTCCTACCTTGATTTAATAACTTTTTGGCTTATGCATCTTTTACATGAGTATACCACTCTACCATCTACTCTAATTAATCTAACTTAGAAAGGCTGGGACCATATCTATTTAATTTGTGCCATACAGCATTCAACTAACACTGCTTTCAATAGGTTTCCATACAGGAAGATGAAACCAACCTACAATACTGACCTCAGCAATGCCTCACCCACTGAGTTCCACATCTAGCCGGATCCAAGAAAAAAAAAATTCCCATAAACTATTTCACAGACTTCAACTTGGTTTGTGAGAACAAAAAGTAGAGAAATTACATAATTCATAACAACCCTGGCCAGAGAGTTGAGACTGATCTAAATCACTTTGGGGACTGAAGAGGTGTTACTGATCACTTCAGCTAACGTCAGAAAGAATCTTTCTACTGTCTTTTCTAATTTGATGACTCCCATTGTAGAGATAATTTCCCAAATGGTAAGCATAAGTAATCAGTCACTTATCCTACAAGAAACCTCCCACAAAGACCATTAGAAGCCTCATTTGGGGGAGGAATATGTAGTCATCTGAGGGCTACATGATCTACTGCTTGTGCTTCTTTAAACTCCTATAGCAACCTCTTTGGTTTAAGGTTATGTTTCCAGGAAAGAGGCAAGCAAATTGCTTTATTTTTACATAAGATGTTCAGTCCTAGGTCACATATGGTGACCTTGGAAACATTACGTTGAGCATAACAATTGAGTCTTCCCAGATGAGACCTATATCAGTCAATGATTCCAATGTGATTTTCCAGATAGCTAGCTGGTCTTTAAATTCCTAGTTCAGTTTAAAGTATTGAATATCAACATAGTTCAATTAGAAGACACGTATCCAAGACTGTCCTTTCTGTCTACTCCATCACCCAGGTTGCATTCATCTGCTACACAGAACAATTGAGAAATGGCTATGGAATTGCATGTGCAAAAGTCATCCATAATTGCTGCTATGTGTTTGTCTGGGAGGGACAGTATCAGGGTCCTCCTCCTGATGTTTCCAGAAGACTTCTTGGTAATATTGATGGATATGTTGATCAAATTATGATCAGAATCATTTGGCAGGGTGATGCAGACCTAAAAGTCAGGTTAAATTAAGGTTTGTTTTCTAATTTTTTTTTTTTGAGATGGAGTCTTGCTCTGTTGCCCAGGCTGGAGTGCAATGGCATGGTCTCAGCTCACTGCAACCTCCGTCTCCCAGGTCCAAGTGATTCTCCTGCCTCAGCCTCCTGAGTAGCTGGGACTAGAGGTGTGTGCCACCACACCTGGCTAATTTTTGTATTTTTAGTAGAGATGGGGTTTCACTATATTGGCCAGGTTGGTCTTGAACTCCTGACCTCGTGATCCACACGCCTCAGCCTCCCAAAGTGCTGGGATTACAGGCCTGAGCCACTGCGCCCAGCCAAATTAAGGTGTTTATAATATTTAAAGGAGCACATCGGATTCATTCTCTTTGAGAGAAAAGATTAAGGGGCAGGTCTGGAAGACAAGATCATTAATGTCCCTCTTTCTCCTGTGTTTCTCAAGGTCTGAAGAGTTTCCTTCACAAGTGCCTAAGGTTGTTGCTGTTTTTCCACTATGACAGAAATGATGTGTTCTATTCAAGTAACTATAACTTAATTTTTTCACTAAATATCACATAATCACACCTGGACTTGTCATTTAGAGGGATTGGGTGCAAGAAGTACAAGCACAGTTGTATAATAAAACTTACAGAAATCCATTATTTCCACAACCATTTTCCTCTTGAGCCAGATTTGGTCGACTTAGTAAACACAGTATACAACCAAGTACTCAATCATTATTTTTCATAACTGAAATCATGTCAGTCAAACTAGTGAATGCAGATGCTTTAAACAAAATTAAATTAAACATCTTAGATCCCATTTTCACTGGGCTGTCACTTTCAAGCTGCACCAACCTGATGCTCTGGGTGTGGTGCTATGTGAGAAAAAATAGTATGTCTAGGAACGATAAAGATTAAATCCTGAACATTCAAAAATATTTTAAGAAAACTCCATAGTTTAAAAAAATTGTTTTTCAGGAAGTGGTTAAGAGAAGAAGATTTTTTGCTTGTGTCAACTATATACATACAGCAAATTGGCTTATTAAGATGTTTGGCCCTGGAGGAAGTAAGAGAGACAGGGTTAGAAATTTTTTTTTAATTGACATTTGTGTAGGTCCAAAAAAATAGAATGATGGTAGTGTTACAAATGCTTGTTCCCCGGTGCCACAAAGAAATAGCACCTGAACATAAATTTAATTTTCTCATCAAGACCATTTTTACTTTCTGCAGAAAGGGTACACTTGCCAGCAGTTTTGCCATGAGAGTACACTGAACAAAGGAGACAGGGTTGTTCATAACCTGACGTGTCCACCCCACTGCTGTGTCCAGTTTCCATTGGCTGAAACGGGACCTCACATTCTGTATTTGTCCTGATTGGCTAGCAACTTAGAACTTTTCAAAAGAGACAAAGACCGAGGAGAACAAAGGAAGGAGGAAGTAACTTCTGGAATGCTGAGAAAGGTAAAAACACCTCCCAATAAGGAAGAGGAAGAGGCTATGACCTAATGCTTGCTTGAACCAGTATAAGCATGCCAGGGCAAATATTTAGGCTAAATTGTGGGAGCTAAGAACACAAAGTATATTGATGTCTTTATTACGGCTAGCAGATATTTAAGAGTGTTAGCACAGGTCTTTCAATACATTTTGCTTTTAAGAGAAGTTACTATTTGTTCTTAATTAGGTGGGGAGGAAAGTCTCTTTGAAGAGGAACCTCTACTTCACTTTTTACAGTAGGCATTGTGGATGCCTATCAACATACCTCGACTACAAGCCCATTTTTGAGTGACATATATATAGAAATGTGTCCTTATAGCATATATATGTTATATATACATATATATGTCTGATATGCAGGTTACATTATGTTATATATATGTATGTTATATATGTCTCATGTATATAACCTATATATATCAGACATATCTATGTATATCAGACATAACATAACATGTATATATCAGACTATAAAAATAACATATATAAAACAGATTATATATATCAGACTACAAACATATATATAAAAAACAGATTATATAAATAGATATAAAAGACTATAAACTTTCTGGAACTTTGAAAATATGACATATTAGTTTCAAAGAAGACAATTATGTGGTTGGAGTTAACTGATAAGACTAGAGAAGTACAATTCTAACCTAAAAATTTGTCAACAGTTTTGAAGTAACACTGATAGCCCCATGAGGATGTCAATTGAAAGTCAATTTACCAAGAGCACGTAGAGGCAAAGACCTGCACAATGTGCTTTTCTCTTTATGTGAAGAAAAAATGGCATTTGATTAAAGTCGGACATGCAGCAGTAGCCTTTGTATTACAAACATGTAGTCTTATTATTGGTAGTTAGCCTATGAGAGTGGATGTGTTACAATGAATGAATGTTATAGGATGGTTGATCTGGACACCAGTGATGGTTATCTGAGCTCAATCAGCAATTTGATTACACTTGGTATCAGCAGTCCCTGACTCTGAAGCTCTTCATAACTGACCTAGATACTTTGACCAACAGCAGAAATTCATTTCTACCGTCCACAGACATTAAAAGGGTTATCTTCAATCTGCTAGTGTGCTATTTTCCAAATTGCAAACTAAATAGCTGTCATTAAGAGTAGTCTAGTAATTTGTAAAGTATAGCAAGGGAGGAAAAATAGTTCCAGAATGGTGGATGAAAAGCTCTGTCCCCAGTAAATAACCATAACAAATTTTAAAAAATAAAAATACAGTTTCCAGAAATTGTTCTAAGTGCATACAAAAGATAATAAACACTTGTTCAAGAAAATGTACTAAATCTTTATAAGAAAAACAAGAATGTGTGGACTTGAACCATGAACAATCTTTTCCCCGCTCAGTTCAGCATGATGAAAGCTCCACTCTGAAGGGGTGAGCCAAAAAGATAGAGATTATTCTTTCCCAGCTTGCAGCCAAGGGCAACAGTATTACTTCAGGAGAATCATGCCATTGTTATTTCTCATTCTGCCCAGCAGCATGTGGCAGGGTCTGTATTTCAAATGCGGATATATTAGAGGTAAAGGGCATTCTCCACCCCATTTAGAGGGTGGGATCTCAAACCAGGCATGGAAAGCTGAGGATAATAAAGCCCCTCAACCAACTTGCTCAAAAGGCAGACGGGTTCCGTACTAAGAGTCAAGCTGAGAAAAGAAGACGTTGGGACTGCAAAAAAGTGCTCTGTTCATGAAGCTAGTGTGTCACTCTAAAGGAATTGGGCCACTCTCTCTACTCCAAGCAATAGAGAACTCATGCAGAGATTTTTCCCAGGGGGTGAAACAAGTGGTAATACAGAGTAGTTCAAAGCGTTCACCAGGAGAATTGACTTCATTTAGACCACAATGTAGGGAACTTGAAGGCATTTGCAAAACAGATTTTGGTGATAAGCAATGGAGGGGAGTTTAGATATCTCACAACACAATAGGACAAACTAGAGGCTACCAGGTTACAAGGCACGTGCACACACACACACACACACACACACACCCAGAAAAGAAAGGTAAAAAGACCATTCATCTCGTAAAAACAAACCTCAAAAACTAGCCTCAGAAAACTACTGTTTCAAAGAGACTGTGAAGTAATTTATGCTACAGGGAATTGTTGAACTCAATAGGGCAATCAGCGGGCAATTCATGATGTCTACCAGATAGGGGAGATGCCAACGGAGGTAGACAGGTTAAGAGAAATATAAAGGAAAGACTATCTACGAAAGCCCTGTAGAATCACTATTATACCAGGATGATTGTCTTCATACACAAAGATAATCTCCTTATACCTTAGAGGAGTGACAGCAGAGGCTTTACACTGTATAGAAAATACACTTTACTGGAGGTTGCAGTGAGCTGAGATTGCGACACTGCACTCCAGCCTGGACAACAGGGGGAGACTAAATTTCAAAAAAAAAAAAAAAGAAAAGAAAATACACTTTACTAAAATAGTCTTGCCCAAGTTACTAAACAAATAAACACACAATGAGATAAAAACAAATGCAATCCCTGAAGAAAAAGAAAAGGGAAATCAATATCTAGACTTGATACAATAAATTATCCAAAATGTCCAACTGTAAGCAAAAAATTGTGAGGTACCCACACAGAAAACTGTGGCCCCAGAAATGGGAGATTGGAGAGCAGCAGTGTTAAAAAACTGGATGTGAGATGGCTCAAATGTCAGCCTTAGTAGACAAAATATTCAAAGTAACTATTATAATTACATTTGAAAGCCCAAGGAAAACCATGCTTAAAGATGTTAAAAAAAAAAGGATAAAATATCATTGTCTCATCAAATATAGAATATCACTAGAGAAATAGAAAATATAAAGAGTCAAATTAAAATTCTGGAATTGAAAATTACAATATTTGAAATACAAAATTTACCAAAGGGGCTCACAAGTGGATATGAATTGGCAGAGGAAAATATCAGCAAGCTTGGAGACAAATCTGTAGAAATTATGTGCTCTATAAACAGAAAAAATAAATAAACACATAAATAGAACCTCAGAAATATGTGGGACACTATTAAGCACAACAATATACATGCAAAGGGAATACCAAAAGAAAGAGAACACGAGAGAAATAAAGTAGCAGATAAATATTTCAAGTAATTACTTAACAATTTTATAAAAGACATTAATCCTTAAACCAATAAGCTCAATGAACTCTAAGTAGAATAAGTGCAGAGAGATTCATACCCACATACATCATAGTAAAAATACTTCAAGACAATGACAGAGAACAAATCTTTAAAGCAGCAAGAAAAAACATTTCATCACATTCAAAAAAGCCCCAGTATGAGAAACAGCTAATTTCTGACCAGTAACAATTGAGGAGAGGAAGTGAGAAGACATACTCAAAGCACTGAGAGAAAAAAATATCAACCAAGAATCTTATACTGAGAGCACATGTTTTCAAATATAAAGGTGAAATAAAGAAATGCCCAAATAAACCATAGAAGTTATTTGCAAGCAAAACTGTTTGACAAGAAATAATAATGGAAGTTCTTTATGGTGAAAGCAAGTGACCCCATAATGTAATTAGAATCCACATGAAAAAAACAGAGCACAGGTAAAAATAATTATGTAAGTATGAATGATAGTAAAAATGCATATTTCTTCTTCTTATACACTTAGCCAACTTAATTAGTAACTCTATAAAACAATAGTTATACCATTGCATCATTGGGTGTATACCAGATATAAATATATTACACTTAACAATGAAATTATAATAATTACATTACATATATATATGGATTAGACAAACTGATCAAAATCAGAGAATGTGAGACTAGAAAAAAGTCAACCAACCAATCAACAAACAAACAAAAAAACAATACTCAAGTCTATGCAGTCTATAGGAGAAATACTTTAGATCCAAAGACACAAATAGATTCTGAAGTAAAGGGCAGAAACTGTGCTTTATGCAAACAGTGAACTTAAGAAAGCTAGAGTAAGTATACTAGGAGAAAAAAATGGAGAGAGTTTATTAACAGACAAATGTTTTCAGATGTACAGAAGAAAAAGATAATTATTTTAATAGTAACAAAGAATCAATCCATCAGAAATATATAACAATATAAACCAATATGCAACCAGAAATAGAGTGCCAAGTTTGCTGAAACAAAAACTTACAGAATTGAAGAGAAATAGTCCATTAAATAGCAATAGATAGAAACTTTAATATCCCACTTTCAATAATAAATAGAACAATTAGTAAGAAAATAAAAAGGAAATAGAAGATTTAAACTTTACAAGTCAGTTATACCTAACAGTCATCTATGAAACACTCCATTCAATCAAAGCTGAATTTACTTCTCAAGTGCACCCAGAATATTCTTAAAAAAAATTATAGGTAATAAAATAAGCCTCAATATATTTCAAAGAATTGAAAGCACACAACATATGTTTTGGAACTGAAATATAATAATGTTAGAATCCATAACAGAAAAAATTCTTGGAAATGCACAAATACTATTAAACTAAACGACATGCACCTAAATAACCAATCAATAAATCAAAGAAGAAATCACAAGAGAAATTAGAAAGCCCTTTGATATTGATGAAAATGAAGACAAAACATACCCACATGCATGGAATACAGCTTAATCAGTGCTTAGATAGAAATGTATGCCTATAAATGCCTACAATCAAAGAAACAAAACATTAAAAATAAGGACATACTAAATCTAATATAAAGAGAAGAAATAAAATAATAAAAATTAGAGCGAAAACTAATAACATGGAGAATAAAAAACAATACAGAAAAAAATACAACTAGAGTACATTCAGCATTAACTGAAAAAGATTACACACCATAACCAAATGGAAAATATTCTCAGAATGCAAGGTTGGCTCAACATCCCAAAATAAATTAATACAATATATTGTATAAATAGAACAAAAGACGAAAACTACATTATTATCTCCACAAACTCAAAAAAAAAACTTCTGACATAGACAGAAATTTAATACCTTTATGATAAAGTCCAACACCTTTTATGATAAAAACACACAACAAACTAGGAATAAAAGAAAGTTTCTTCACCCTGATATTTATCATAGCAACTATGCAAAAACCCCAGCTAACCTCATACTTTATAGTCAAGGACTAAATGGTTTCCTTCTAACTTCAGGAGAAGAAAAAGATGTTTTCTTTCACCACTATTATTCAACATTGTATTGGAAGTTCTCACCAGGTATATCATGCAACAAAAGTAAATATCGTACACAGTGGAAATAAAAAAGTAACAACAATCTCTATTTGCTCATGGCATAATCTCATATATAGAAAAGCCTAAGGAATTTACTAAATATATTAAATCTAATATGTGAATTCAGCAAGGTTATAGGATGCACAATCAATATACAAGAATCAATTATATTTGTGTACATGACAATGAACAAAATGAAAATCAAATAAGGAAAAAAATTATTCAAATACCATCAAAAAGAACAAAATACTTAGTTAAGATTTAACCAAAAAGGACATGATATGTTCACTAAAGACTATAAAACATTATTTAAAGAAATGAATAAATGGAAAATTAAGTAAATGGAAAAAACTCATTTTCATAGATTTAATATTGCTAAAATGCTGTTACCAAATTAATTCACACAATCCCTATCAACATCCTAGCTGGCATTTCCTGAAGAAATTGACAGGTTGATTTTAAAATTAATACATATGAGTCACAAATGGTGAAACCAATTTATAAAAGAAAAAAATTAGATGACTCATCTTTTCTGCATTCAAAACTACCAAAAAGCTGTAAGACATTGTGACACTTCCGTAATGATAGACACAGCTCAATAAAATAGAATGGAGAGATCAGAAATAAACCCTTGTGTTTATGAGCAAATGAATTTTGACATGTATACCAAGACCATTTGATGGGGCAAATAAATGGGATAATTGTATATCCACATGGAAAAGAATGAAACTGTTGCCCTTCTGCAAACTACATAAATAATTTAAGCCAAAATGATGAAATACGTAACTGTTAGAAGTAAAACTATCAAATTATTAGAAGGAAACATAGGAGTAAGTCTTTACAAATTTGGTTTTGATAGAGCCTTTATAGCTATAACATACATAAAACAATCACAAGCAACACAAAAATAGAATAAGTTCATCTTCATCAAAATTAAAAACTTTTGTGCTTCAAAATATACCATCAAGACTGAAAAGACAACTCAGATAATCAAGAATATTTGCAAAATATACATCTGATAATAGACTTTAATCTATAAAATATAACCCCTTCATTTCAATAATAAAAACTAAAATAGACAATGACTAATAATAGACATTTCTTTAAACAGCATATACAAATGGCCCATAATCCCATGAAAAGATGTTGGCCAGGCACAGTGGCTCATGCCTGTAATCCCAGCACTTTGGAAGGCTAAGGAGGGTGGATCGCTTGAGCTCAGGAGTTCAAGACCAGCCTGGGCAACATGGTTGAACCCATCTCTACAAAAATTAGCTGGGCATGGTAGCGTGCACTTATAGTCCCCAGCTTCTCAGCAGACTGAGGTGGGAGGATAATCTGAGCCTGGGAAGTAGAGGTTGCAGTGAGCTAAGATGATGCCATTGCACAGGCTGACACCCTATCTCACTCTCTTTCTCTCTCTCTCTCTCACACACACACATACACACACACACACACACACAATGCTGAACATTGTTAGTCTAGGAAAATGCAAGTCAAAACCATAATGAAAACCTCTTCCTACACTAGGAAGGCTATTTTTTAAATTCACTTTTTCAAAATAAAAATATAATCAGTGTTAGAGAGAAAGAGGAAAAAATAAAACCCACATACACTACTTGCAGGAGTGTAAAATAGGGCACCTCCTTTTGGAAACAGATTGGCTATTTCTCAAAACATTTAAATGTAGAGTTTCCACATAACCCAGAAATTCTACTCCTAGGTATGTACTCAAGAGAAATGAAAACATATGTTCACACAAACACTCACATGTGGATGTTTATAAGAGTATTATTCATAGTAACCAAATATCAGAAACTAAACAAATGTTCATGAACTGATGAGTGGATAATGTATATCTGCATAATAGAATATTATTCATCAACAAAAAAGAATGATAACTGATACATGCTACAATGTGAATCAAACATGTTGAACATTTAAACATTCAACATGACATAGCATGTTCAATGCTACAATATCAATGAATGTATTATGCTAAGTGAAAAAACTAGTAAAAAAAATCATATATTTTATAATTCCACTTACATGAAATGTCCAGAATAGTCAAATCTATGGTGACAGAAAGTAGATTGGCGTTTGCCCAGAGTAAGGTATGGGAGGAAATGAGGAAAGACTACTAATTGGACAGGGTTTCTTTTTTCTTTTATTGAGATGGAGTCTTGCTCTGTCACCCAGGCTGGGGTGCAATGGTGTGATCTTGGCTCTGTGCTACCTTTGCCTCTTGATTCAAGTGATTCTCCTGCCTCAGCCTCCTGAGTAGCTAGGATTACAGGAGCCCACCATCGCACCCAGCTAATTTTTGTATTTTTAGTAGAGATGCGGTTTCACCATGTTGGTCAGACTGGTTTTGAACTCCTGACCTCAGGTGATCCACCCGCCTCAGCCTCCCAAAGTTCTGGGATTACAGGCATAAGCCACTGCACCCAGCCCACAGAGTTTCTTTTTATGATGATGAAAATCTTTTAACATTGTTTCTGTTGATAGTTACACAACTCTTTGAATATAATAACACCATTGAATCTTATACATTACATTGGTGAAATATATGTGAGAATTATATCAAAATAAAGCTTTTATATAAAAGAACATACCCCTAAAATAAAAATAATAGCATGTTATTTATTCTTAACCTCAAACTAGGGGTCCATGGTCCCAGGGAAGAAGAAATTTTGATATTAGTAAATTTAACTACAATTTTCAAACTTATGTATCAGCTTCTTGGTATGTTTTAATAAATGGATTGTGTGTGTGTGTGTGTGTGTGTGTGTGTGTGTGTATAATATAGACCAGGCACTTAGGTGAAAGTCTGCAAGTGGAGGGCCCTATCATGCTAGTGCTTTTTCTTCATATGGTGAAATGAGAGATAAAGGTTTCATCAAAGAGATAGCTGCTACTATTTTATGTATAATCAAGTTGCTACAGGGGCTGTTCGGCTGCATTCTATATCATTTCCATTTGACTGGTGAGATTCGTTGTATACTACCACCATGTTAGTCATGAGATCCAAGATATGATCCACAGCAAACTGAGAATTTCAAATCAGAGAGTCAAATGGCCTCCTTGGGTCAGGTATGTAGTTTCAACAAAATTCCAGTAGCAAGACAAGAGGTACTTTTTAAAAACAGTGTATCTGATAGCTGTCCACAACTGAACCTATTAGGGATAGGTAACACATTCAAAATTCCAAAGAGTGCTTCTCAGTGGAGGTTGCCTCAATTTACCAGAGGTTCTAATTATCAAAATATCCATAGCAAAGGTTTTAACTCATAGGTTTTTTTTAGTATATTGGAATCTTAAAAGTACAAGCAGTTCTGCACATCCAATTCCCCTCAATCAGAGAATCCATTCTGGGACTTATGGGATGGGGAAGAGGGAGCATAGAATATAAGAAGCAGTTCATAATACATCAATTCTTACTATACATATAGAGATAGAAACAACAACATACATTACACGGTCCTAAAGGATGCCACACACAAGTTCATGTTAGTGTGCTTTCTCCACTGAAAAACTTATCCAAACTCCAGAAACTTCCACATCTATATTTAAGAGACATAAAAGTTTGGTTCTCTTCCCTCCTCAAATTTCTTTGAGAATGTATAGCCATCAGTCACTCTTGGAATTCATCTCCACCCCTAACCATCTTTCACGTTAAAGCAGCTGAAGTGAGAAGAAAATCATCTTTCACATTAAAGCAGCTGAAGACAGATGAGAATCAATAGAGGACAAGAGTGTCTCCAAACCTGTGATTGAGGGATATTTACTTTTAGTTTCATGCAGCATTATGGTTGTTTGATGCTCAACCAAATTTACAACGTTTTGTTCTAATGTTTTGTACCCCACATTGGCTGTAAAGTAATTACCAGCACCAACAACTTCAGCTTTGAGGATCCCTTGACTCATCAATCACAGCCACATCACTTTGCTTTTCCTCTGGAACCATACAATTTACCGCTCTGGCTGACCAAGGCTTGTTTTCTCCTTCCAGCTTTTATCTTAGGTTCAGGAGGTACACGTGGAGTTTTGTTATGTGGGTAAATTGTGTGTCACAGACGTTTGGTGTACAAACTATTTTGTTGCCCAGGGTAGTGAGCATAGCATCCAATAGATAATTTTTTGATTTTAACTCTACTCCCACCCTCCACCCTCATGTAGGCTCCAGTGTCTATTGTTTCCTTCTTTGAGTACAAGTATACTCACTGTTTAGCTCCCACTTATAAGTGAGAACATGCGGTATTTAGATTTTTTTGTTCCTGCATTAATTTGCTTAGAATATTGGCCTCCAGCTGCACCCATGTTGCTGCAAAGGACATAATTTCATTCTTTTATATGGTTGCATAGTATTCCATGGTGTACATGGCCCACATTTTCTTTATCCACTCTACTATAAATGGGCATCTACGTTGATTCCATATTTTGCTATTGTGAATTGTGCAACGAAGACCTCAAAAGCAATTGCAACAAAAAACAAAAATTAAAACAAAAATTAACAAGTGAGACCTAATCAAACTAAAGAACTTCTGCACAGCAAAAGAAACTATCAACAGGGTAAAAAGAAAACCTACAGAACTAGAGAAAACATTTGCAATCTATGCATCCCACAAAGGTCTAATATCCAGAATCTATAAGAAGCTTAAATAGTCCCTTTTTGAAAGTTTATTTTTATCTGGGTGATTTTCTGTACAGTCGTCCTGATACTATCTCTCATATTTCGGGCTGGTTTTAACTCAGGAGAGAGGGGTGTTTTTCATGTTAGAAAGGATGATTGCAAGAATTTATATAGATGTATTTGGATCTCTCACTTATTCTCTTGCAGTTACTTCACTGGTATTTTAAACTTGATTTGGAGCAATAAAATCTACAATAAGTGTTCAACGCTTTATCTGTGTTTTCACATGAGAGTTGTCTGTCTCACAGAAATTTTCCCAAGACTGCCAAATCCCTTATAGTACCCTATACTCACTGTCAATAACTCAATAAAGATTATTTATGTATTTATTTCTTAATTAATACAATGCTGTCACGATAGAGGACTCTGAACTGTACAATGACCCACCTCTTGCCATGCTTTCCTAACAAGCACCTCTTTCTCTCCCAATGACCCAAAGTTTTAAAAATACTCTGATTTTTGGCTGAGAGCATTCATGAATTTTCTTCTTTTTTTGTGCAGCAGAGTTTACATATTTCTATATCTATTGTCAGGTGACGGAGTGAGAGAAAAGTCAGAACCTTCTGCTCACCCAGGATAAATCATAGTACTAATGATTGCAGTGGAGCAAACTTATCTGAATACCAGACAGCAAGAAAGTTCCTCTTCTGGGAGAAGAGTTACCACCAACCAAGACAACAACACTCAGAAGACTGATTTTTGAACGATTTTCCAACACTCACGTCTCAATTCCTCTTTTCTAAAAGTCAACAAAATCCTGGAGCATATCGCCAGTTTTCCTTAAAATTGATGTACATGTTTGCTACTAATTTCTATGGACTCCCTTAAGTCCTATAAATTGTCTACCAAATCTTCAAAAAAAGCCATCTCACTATGAGCATTCACTTTTTCACACGAAAACGTCAAGAAATAACAAGGGTCTGAAATTTTACCTTACCAGCCAGTCAACAAGTTAGCCTGCCACAATTTCATAGTTACTGGCAGAAGACACAACACTCATGAGTCAGAGAGAAAGGACCCCGTTACTCACAGCACAGCAATCAACGTGAATATCAACACATGATTTCTAGCCAAATCTCATAGATTCAAGGCTATGTAGGCCCAGTGGATGCCTATATATGAAGTGGTTTGCATTAAAGGATAGGGACCCTCAGCTTAGAAAACAATCATGACTTAGCATTCTCGTTCTGTGCTTTGAATTCAGGCACTGCATTTATTGAACTGGAGAGTAAACACATTCACTGTCTGCTACAGAGGGAAACACTATCTCCACATTCCAATCCTATAAGCAAATCTGCCCTTTGCCTCAAGGCAATAGATATTTATCCATGTATTACAAACCCATTTAGCATACAGGCATCTTTAGAAAGACAGCTCAGACCAACAGGCAGAATTGCCTCATCTCAAGATGTTCAGAAATGCAAGACAACCATGGAAAACAGTCTCTCAACAATCCACGCTGGCAATTTGTGTTTAGTTATTTAACTCATATCTCTGCAAACTCAAATAATATTTCTGAAAAATAGGATTTAAAAAAAATGAAATATACACCCTTTCTTATTAATAATATACCATTATCCTTATAAACTATAAGGGAACTTCAAAAATATTTGCATAATTTTATAAAATTTCCACATTATGAGCACAATTAGGAAAATATTCATTTTTTAATACAAAACCCTTTTATGGGAATAGCTTTTTGTCATTTAATCTATTCTTATAATGTTTTATTTTTCTTACACTTTTTTTCAGCAACATTACCTAAAAAATACTCAACCTTAGATCATAAGCAACACAAATTTACAAATTACTCGTGTAAATTCAACTGTTTTAAGATGAGGAACCTGAAGAAAATTGAGCTTAAATGTGAGGTTGTGTTAGTAAAAGTGAATGACTAAGCATGTGGCCTTAATGCACAGGTACTTGACTTCCTATGAATTCCTTTGTGAGAAAAGAACGAAATCCCAAGCCCCTCACATGACTGAATGGACACCCTCTTGGCCAAGGGAACCTAGGAGAAATCGTGAACTCTGAGTTCCCAGCCATGACAGAACGGGAGGTTGGACACACCTTTTTACACCTGACCCCTCACTAATCGTCATTAGGCTTTCTTTCCTAAGGACCAAACAGAAACCAGCCCTTTCAAAAGGCTCTGCAGAGCCGATTTTAAACAACCACCTAATAATGCTGCTCCTCCCTTTTAGCAGCTTCAATGAAACAACTTACAGTATTCCTTCCTGATAAGAGACAACCAACCAGGAAGTGGTTCTGGCCAATCTACGAATAATGTACAGTGAGGACTTTTCATGTCCTCTGCTTCACCTTTTGACTTCAGAGAGCCAGAAACTCCACCGTTGGATCATGTTAATTTTTTGGACATGGGACCCACAGACAGGCATGAAGCTCAACTGTGTATGTGCATGTTTCTCCTTTCATAAATATTCATGACTCCTCCTATAGTTTATTAAATATGTGTATCTGGCCATCCTGCTCAGCATTAATTCCTGTTCCTTTGCCACTCCCTTGAAATGTCTGTTTTCAGCTTCTGACCCAGAGCTATGGTTCCCAACCTGTCAGCATGGCCACACTGCAGACTGCAACCTTTTATGAGAAAGAAAGTCCTTCTTTCCAAATTTATTTGGATTTTTTATTCAGTTAACATCCATTATGATTTTTTTAACATATTTATCCATTTGCATGAAAATATGAAAAATCAAACAAGGAAAAAGTATACATTCATACATATATATATAGAATAAGTAAAAAAGAAATGTTAAATTTATGCCAAAAAGTTAATATATGCAGAAATGTGTGCATGCCATTTAGCAGGAAATGTACAGTGACATTAAAAGTTCCATTTAGATGAATCAATGCCACTATATTATTGAAGCTAAGAAGGATCATCTACATCTATAAAACCTCATATCCTAAAATAGCCTACTTAAAATTGAGCCAAAATGTAGACTGTATATTTATGCATTATGTATATGAGCTAAAAATTGGAAAATGAAGATTGGTAAAAACGTCAAGAGATATTCATTTCACGTATCTATTGAATGACGATTGCATGAGTATAAAAGTTTAGGAGTCTTTAGAGTATGTATAAACTACAAGATAAATTCTCTTCTCATGAAGAGTTTACAAAATATATTAGGTGAGGAAAAACAAGAGAGAGAAATTATCTAAAAATAATAACAAAATAATATTAAAAGCAAAATAATAGCCTGTAATCCCAGCACTTTGGGAGGCCGAGTCGGGCAGATCACCTGAGTTCGTGAGTTCAAGACCAGCCTGACCAACATGGCGAAACCCCATCTCTACTAAAAATACAAAATTAGCCTGGTGTGGTGGCGCATGCCTGTAATACCAGCTACTCGGGAGGCTGAGGCAGGAGAGTTGTTTTAATCGGGGAGGTAGAGGTTGCAGTGAGCCAAGATCGTGCCATTGTACTCCAGCCTGGGCAACAAGAGCAAAACTCCGTCTCAAAAAAAAAAAAAAAAAAAAAAGCAAAATAATACCCTAGAAACACCTACATACTAAGAAAGGATTTTTAAAGGATAATGGATTTAACTTTTATCTACAGATATTGATTGTCTGTTTCCTATCTACTTTACCATCTACTTTACACTATCTACTTTGCCTCACAGCTCCATACCTTCTCCTTGTTTCCTCCTACTTCCCTAACAAACTCTCAGCTGACTGCCTCCATTTGTCTTGCTTGACAAAGCCATTACCTTACAGAAATACTATTCTCCTTATATTCGGCACAGTAGAATTTGACTAAAGACAAATACTTTAAAAATTCAGTTTCATGACAGTGAACCTAAAATGCATGTTTCATCTTGCTAGGCAATCATCACTGGTTGAGTCATCTCTCCCTCTTCCCATGTGACTATTTTAAAACTCACCTTTCTCCTCAAACACTCAAAAATTTATTCTCTGTTCTTGTTCTTAGCTGATCAGCTTTCACCTTTTTTTCAACTTATATGTGTTCATTATGTTCGTGATATTCATCATAATGGTCAAGGGAGTGATAATTTCTCTGACCAAATCTTCATTTTTATTTTCCAATGTTGACTTCTTCCTCTTTGATACATTTTATTCAATTGTATTGAATGTTCAATAATTATTGTATCTTCACAAGCAAAAGTTTAATTTATTCATTATTTTGTAATAATGGTATAGACAAAGTCATATGGTAATAAAAATTCTGTGAGTTAACAATAATTTATGAAATTAGTTAGAAATATCTTAAAGTCAAAATTTATTACAACAATCAATATTTTATTTTTATAGTAAACTAGATTTTGAAAGGATTTTTTTGAGGTGGGGTGAACACATAGAAAATTGAGCTTCTATGTCTTTAGTGTGAAAAACAATATTGAGAAATCTGACATTACATAAGAAGACAGATTCCTAATATTTTACAGAAAGAAAAACTATAGCTGGTGTAAAAAGGAACCAGAAGTACATATTTTCTGACTTTATGGGAGAAAGTAAATTATCTGCCCATTTAATTAATAAAGTGTGAAACTTGTACTTCATGTTAGACAAAGTGAGGATTTTTTACTTTGCTTTGTTTTGGTTTGGTTTAGTTTATACTAATGCCTCTGATGCAGGTCAATGGCTATTCTAGAACTAACAGGTATAGGCCACAAAACCAGATCAATAGATAGGGAAGATAAAGGGATGGTGAAAGAAGTGATCTATGCCACTAAAGATTTTCAGCAAATTTCCACTGAAGGACAATTGAAGGTGAATAAAGGTATATTACTTTCCTAGGCTGCCATATAAATCATCACAAAATTGGTGGTTTAACAGAATACAAAATTACAGCTAGATAGGAGGAATCAATTCTAGTATTCTATACCACTGCAGGATGACAATGGTTAACAATAATATATAGTATCAAAGAGATAGTAGGAGCATATTGAAGGTCCCCAATGGAAAGAAACAAATAATGTTTGAGATGATAGATACAGAATTACACTGAACTGATCACTATACAAAACATATATAAAAACATCACCTTGTGGCCAGGCGCAGTGGCTCATGCCTGTAATCCTAGCACTTTGGGAGGCTGAGGTGGGCGGATCACGAGGTCAGGAAATCAAGACCATCCTGGCTAACACAGGGAAAGCTCATCTCTATTAAAAATACAAAAAATTAGCCTGGCATGGTAGCGGGCGCCTGTAGTCCCAACTACTCGGGAGGCTGAGGCAGGAGAATCGCTTGAACCCAGGAGTTGGAGGTTGCAGTGAGCTGAGATCGCGCCACTGCACTCTAGCCTGGGCGACAGAGCAAGACTCTGTCTCAAAAAAAAAAAAAAAATCACCTTGTATCCTATAAATATGTGCAATTATTAAATTGCAATTAAACAAATTTAAGAAAAAACAAATGTATTCTCTCACAGTTCTGCAAGCCAGCAGTCTCAAATCAACTTATTCACTTACTTCCATCAATGTTCCCCACGAAGGCTTTGGAGGAGAATCCTTTTTTGCCTTTTTTGGCTTCTGGTGGCTCCAGGTATTCCTTGTCCTGTGACAGTATAACTGTAATAGACCTCTATCATCTCATCACTTTCTCCTCTGTGTTTTTCTTCTTCTCTTATCTAATAAGAACATTTGTCACTGGATTCGGGGTCCACTTTAATCCAGTATGATCTCATCTCAAGATTTTTAACTAAATTTTATCTGTAATGATCCTTTTTCTAAAATAGGTCACACTCACAGTTTCAGGATAGACATATTTTTTGGAGGACCACCAATCAATCTTCTACAATAGTGATGGTTCTATTAATACATAGTACTTGCATTTTTAGTTACTATATTTAACTTATGCATGTATATAAACAGATTAAGATAGCATCTTGTGGCCGGGCGCGGTGGCTTACGCCTGTAATCCCAGCACTTTGGGAGGCCAAGGCGGGCAGATCAAAAGGTCAGGAGATCGAGACCATCCTGGTTAACACGGTGAAACACTGTCTCTACTAAAAATACAAAAAATTAGCCAGGCGTGGTGGCAGGCACCTGTAGTCCCAGCTACTCGGGAGGCTGAGGCAGGAGAATGGCATGAACCTGGGAGGTGGAGCTTGCAGTGAGCCAAGATCACGCCACTGCACTCCAGCCTGCGCGACAGCACAAGACTCCATCTCAAAAAAAAAAAAAAAAAAAAAAAAAAAAAAGATAGCATCTTGTTTAGGACTAACTACTAATTTAATTGTAGATGACAAATTCTTATCAATTTAGGGATGATTTCCATTCACTACAATTGAAATAATGAGAATCTTAGATAAGATCTAATTTAAGTAAAAATATATGAATATACTAAGGAAAATCTCTCCACAATGTTTACCTGACGGTCCAGAATTAGGTCTATATGCCCAGCTCTCTGCTGAAGTTCATCTAAACTATAAATATAGTTTACACTAAAGAGACAAAATTAATCAATTTAAGCCTACGTTATTTATCAGAGTAACTGAAATATACTTAAGTTGTTTAGAGAATCAAAAGTAGAGTAATTGATAATGTCCAAAATCACACTTAGTAATAAAAATTAAGCATGGTTCGTTAAAAAAAAATCTTCATTTAGGTGTAATTATATGTTATGTAAATTAAGAAAAACAACTAAAACTGTATTATTGCAGTGTTGTCACTGATTCTAGGACCTTTCAGATGATAGAGCTAGTAATTATATAATTACACTAACTCACATATACATACATATCTATAATTCCTTCTGTATCCATCAACTTGATGAAAGCCAGCTATCTACTGATAGATGTCTGAGTGAACCATGTAAATATTCAAAGCTTCTTGCAAGTTTTTAAATATACATATATACCCATACACACATGTATATATTAAAATAAACATGAGCTCATAATAATATCTTTGACTCTAATCTAGCACCAGAGAGTTTATTATAACCTCTCTCTCTTGCTTTATTAACTTCCTATTCTGTCAGTGAGAAACCTGGCTCCCATTATCTATAATTTATTGACATATTTGTACAAACTTAATATACATAGAAAGTAATTTCAAAATTTGTAAACTAGACTCCTGCATTCCTGTGAGAAACAAATTTCCCAAGAAAAGTGTCCTATTTATGGCTGTTTTGTTTTCTTAGTCTCACAGTTATCCATTCAAATAATTTTTCGAGGTTACTTATCCCTCCATTATCCTCAATTTAATTATGTCATAAAGTTGGATTCATTTGTCACATTTAGCATTCCATGTGGAGACCTTTGAAATCTGTTTATTATTTCTTCTTAATATGTGTACAGTAAGTTTCACTCTTTAAAGGTATTAACAAGTGATAGTCAGTCATACAATACCCCATAGCCTACAGAAGAGATAAATTGCTTATTTTTAATAAAGACTATTAGGTGTAATGATAAGTTAAAAGCCTGAGAATCTTAGAATGAAAGTTACTGAAAAATAAAAAGTAATACATCCGATTTCAGAAAACAAAGGACAAAAAATTACAATTGGGAAAAGATAAATTATATCAGTCAAATACCACCAAAAATCTTAAATAAATATAAACATTAAAAATGTATAACCACATTTTATGTAGCAAAGCAATAAATGCTATAGAGTAAAACTGTAGAGCAGATAGGGGATGGAGGTTGTAGGGATGGAGGTTGTAAGGGAGGTGGGAAGTAATTGCAACATTATATAGAGAAGGCAGAAAAAGTCTCACACAAAAGACATCAATTGGACAAAGGCTTGAGAAGATAGAAGTAGAGTTAGGCATGCAAGTATTCAGAGATGATTACTGCAAGTAGCTGGAACATCTAGTGCTGCATAGTCCACTAGCCACAAGTGGCTATATAAATTAAAATCAATTCAATCGAATTAAACGTAAACATTTAATTATGTGGTTGGATATCAGTGCTTAGTATCCACATATGAATAGTGCAAATGGCATACAATTTCCATCCTTGCAGAAAATTCTTCAGGCAGCACTGGATTTATGTGGACCTTATGTTAGAAGCATATACAAAGATAACATATATGCACATGTACATATACATACACAATGTAAAAAATGAATGGAAGCGCCATTTGAAGAAACATTATTCAGTTGGCATGGAATGAGCAAGAGAAAAATAAGTGAGAAATAATATAAAAGAGGAACTGAGTGAGCAGCCACAGATGAAATACTTATGTGAAGAAATGTGTTGAGAAGAGGCAGTTTGCCACAAGCCCTGAGCATCCCTGCACACTCTTGCTGAGTTTGCCAGAATGCCAGGCTTATCCATCTTTTGATAATAGTCTCTATGGCTAGTCACATAGGCAACTAAATAGATCGAAAAAAACCAGTGCGAAAACTTTGAAACTGCACTCTCCCTGATGGGAGGAGAAGTGGCTTATTTGCTGCTAACTATAATATTTATGGCTTGCTTGAAAAGTGCTTGGGTTCCTCTCTAATCCAACCTACTGCATGTACAAGTATCATCTGGCTTTCTGCATGGCACCTGAGGGACTTAGGGGAAATGTAAACCTGAGCAAATATGTTAATACAGGTATTGCTTGCTATGCCATGAGTAATAAAATTATTTGTCTCATTAGAGTCCCAAATGGGTGCCAGCATCCATGAAGGGGTAACAGGTTAACCCATTAGTTTGTGTAGTAGTGAAATAACTCCCACGATTCTCATTTTTTGGTTATTCAAACACTAATGCAGGTATTGATATGAACACATTTTGCAAATGTAATGAATATTACAGAACTCAAATGGAAACATTATCTGAATAATTCTTGTGGGCCCAATCAAGTCCCTTAACAGCAGAGACATTTTGCCAGCTGGAGTCAGAGAAATATGGCAGAAGAGTAAAGCACGACAGATGAAGCCTAAAGGGAGGTCAGAGAGATTCAAAAGTAAGAAGGATTCAGTGCACCATTGCCAGCTTTGGAGAAGACAATGGGCAGTGTGATTTAAGTCAAGCCCATGGCCTGTAGTAGCTAAGAAAAATTTCCAGTAGATAACCAGAAAAGAAATGGATATTTCAGTCCTACAATCATATGGAACTGAATTTGGCTAATAACCTGAAGATCCTGGAAACCAGATACTCCTCCAGGGCCTTCAGTAAGGAATACAGCAATGCTGATATCTTGACTTTAGCCCAGTAAGCCTGGTGTTAGACTTAACCTACAGAGATCTGAGATAATAAATAGATGCTGTTTTATCTGCTAAATGTGTGCTACAGAATCAATAGAAAATTAATATAGCTCTTAAGTAGAAAAAGAAACTCAGATCTTTCAGAGATCTTGACAAAAATGGTAAAATTTGCTGAAAGTCTTAAGAATTCAGGAATAAATGAAAAATCATATATCCATGTATGTGAACAGGGCCACCTCATTGCCTAACTCCTTGACACACAATGTATACACATGCAATAGGGTGATCCTGGAAAACAATACTGACTATGGTAAAGATTTTATGTTTCCTTGGATTAATTTATATAATTAATGCAATCTCAACAAAATTTCTAGGAATATTATTCTAAAGTACATTTGCACAAACCCATGAGAAAAGTAATAATTTGGGAGATAAATGCAGTGAGGAGTCATACAAATATACTCTAGTTGGAATATCAGTCAGTACATGATGATCCACAGATCAATAGGAAGTAATTTATCATAAATACTGCATTAAGATATACCTGCAAAAGTGTTTACTCTCACCCACTAAAATGACTAGAAATAAAAAATTCTAAGTAATTGATAGCAAGAATTTAGAGCAACTAGAACTTTCATACACAAGTAATGGTGTGACTGTAAATTGTTACAGACACTTTGGAAAAGTGCTCGGAAGCACCTACTAAAGTTGAACATACGCATTTCCTATGATCCAGTAATTCTACTCCTGGGCATATATCCATCAGAAATGCATACCTAGGAAGATATGTGCTGTCTGTTCATATTAACATTATTTCTAATAGTCACAACCTGAAAATCACTCAAATGTCCACCAGCAGTTGGATGGATAAATAAATTGTGACATGCTAACATACCAACTTCTACTGCAATGAGAATGAATGGTCTCTCAGGACATGGAACAATACAAGAATCCTTCAAATATACTCTTCATCAAAGAAAGCTAAAAGCAACCAAAAATTATGATGTGTAATTATATTTGTATAAACCACAGAAACAGATGAATTTTTCTGTGCTGTTACACTTGGGGTAAAGGACAAGAAAGAATGGCAGCAGGGGCCTGAAAGGTGATGTGTTAATGTTCTATTTCTTGGGTTGGGTGCTGGATACATAGGCATGTTCAATTTGTGAAAACTTATCCAGTTGTGAACTATGTGATTTGTACCCTTTTTATGTATATTGTACCTAAATAGTGATTTTAAAATGTGATATAGGATCTACCTTAGTTCATGAAGAAAAAAAATCTGCAATTTTTTTCGAGCAAATAGAATTGAAAACATTAGTAGATGATGATGATAGATAGGATAGATAGATAAGATAGATTGACAAATAGATATCCATATATTAACATATATAAAAGTAAATTCTAGAGATATTAAAGATTGTATAGCAAAATAATAATAAATAAATAAATCTACAATGTAAGAATGTAGACTATCAGAAATAACAAATAATATGATAAATGTGAGATAAAGAGATTACAGCAGACATAAGTAAGTGAATATGAAACCTGATTTCTCAAGGACCTGGCCACTAATGACCTGCAAATAAATAGAGACAATTAGATTTGGAATTTGCTTGTGATACAGATTTTAATTTATATCTATATAGACCTTTGTATTTGTGGCAGATAGTACTCAGCAATGTCAATTTCAAAACTGCTTGTTTAGTCATGCATACAATTTCACAGATATGATGACCTGAGAGATGGAACATTTAACTTAGTCTGTGAGAGAAACATTCCGTGAATCAATATCTGTATTCACTTTATCAGCCTTTTGGTGGTGTCTTTTTGTTCCATAGCCTTATAGATAGAAAGATGCTGTTTCTACTGTTAAAAAGGGGTGCCATTTGACCAACTAGTAAGATCTCTCTGATCTACTGAAGTTTATATTTTGTAATGATTTTAGATCATTTTATCATAACTTTTGTTCTTTTTTCTTTTTTTTTCTTGAGACGGTGTCTTGCTCCGTCGCCCAGGCTGGAGTGCAGTGGCGCGATCTCGGCTCACTGCAAGCTCCGCCTCTCGGGTTCACATCATTCTTCTGCCTCAGCCTCCCGAGTAGCTGGGACTACAGGCGCTCGCCACCATGCCCAGCTAATTTTTTGTATTTTCAATAGAGACGGGGTTTCACTGTGTTAGCCAGGATGGTATTGATTTCCTGATCTCCTGATCTGCCTGCCTCAGCCTACCAAAGTGCTGGGATTACAGGCGTGAGCCACTCCGCCCAGCCACTTTTGTTCTTTTATATTACTTTGTGTGTACTGCATCCTCACATTAATGCTCAATAACTTCTTCCATATCTTGAGTGAGTCCTCTTCGTGTACCTGGTCCTAATTTAAATCATTGATCACATTATATTAATTCCAAACTATAATGTAAAGAGATTTGACTAGGAGATTAAAGTATTTGCCCTTTATTTTGTACAGAGTAGAAGCCATTGATTGAACATTTTAATTAATTGGGTAACACAAATTAGTGATTTAGAAAAATAAATACAGCAATACATTAAAAATAGAGTGGGATGGTACAATGTTAGGAAATAGTAATAGTCTTACTGCTAAAAACATTACATAATATAGCAGCAATAAGAGTTTTAAAGAAAAAGTGGAAACACTTTTCCTTGTGAGAAGACTAAATAATATTTGGTGTGTAGCAAATTTGGGGTATTATCAGAGAGATCAAAGGTACCACTGATTTCTACTAAAAATATAAGTGCTTAGGTTAATCTAGCAATAAGCCATCAAGGGTCAAAAATTTACAGTTTAATCAGTTAAAGGGATTTCCAGGAGTTCCTTAGGGGCATATTTGGGGGAGGGGATGGGGGAGTACAGTAAGAAAGCTGGTTCTGAAGATATCTATAATTTTTAAAATCTATGTAAACATTAAAATATCTAAAATTGGAAAGTCTTCATATCTGTTAACAGTCCTTCATTAAGTATACATCTTCTTAACATTTTTACTGAATTATTTTAATAGGTAATCCAAGCACAAAGCAATACATGAGAAGTCTTACTCCAAATTTTTTCTTTAGGCTTCCCAATGCTCCTTCCCAAATGAAGCTACTTCTACCAGTTTCTTATGAAACATTTCATACATACTCTATGCATATATACCTGTACTTAAATATTGGCCACAAATAACATATTAAATGCAATTCTGTGCACTTGGTTGTATTCATTTAATAATATATCCTAGAGACTATTCCCTATGCAAATATGTAAAACTGCTTTATTCTTTTTAAAACCTTCATAGTATTCAATGTATGAAAGTTTTTAGTTTGTATCCAGTTTTTCAATATCAAACAATGCTAATGAAAACTAGCATTTTCATTATACGAAAATTCCCTGCCTCAGCATTTGTTTGTAAGATAACTTCTATACATTTTAAATGGTACTTCAGAAGTTTATAGATCTGGAACATATCTAGCATCCTAAAACATAGAAGCCAAATGTCACAGGATCCTTAGGGTGAAACTTTTCCAGCAGGAAACCTCTGTGACCAGTGGGGCCTTTGCTTGACTTTTGCTCAGGCCCACTGGGCTCTTCTGGCCTGCTTGGCTCACACTACCAGACTGGATCCCACACCTGCCAAGGGCAAGTCAGGTGTAGAGAGGCAAGTGGTGTGTGAGTGAGTGAACGTGGTGTCTGGACACTCACTACACACAGCCAGCCATGCTGGTTGCTGTGGTGGGGTGGGCAGCTCGAGGTGCCAGCATGGGCACTAACTCTGTGCAAGGATCAGATGTACCACAAGTGGGTTCTGCTGCAGGTACCCACATTTGGACCAGGGAAACATGGTGGCACCCAGAAATTTGGAGACACCAGGAACCACAGAGCCCCAAAGAGGGTGTCACAGCTCTGGCTTGGGGAGCCCCTAGGTCTGCACTCCCTGAAGGGCAACAGCTCTTCTCTCCTTGTCACCCACAATGTGGTGGAGGTGGGGGAGGGGGGTGTATTTCAGCCCTGTTTGTGTTACAGCTCTTTCAGTCATTTGACAGGTCCCAAGTTCTTGTCCCACATCCAGGAAAAATGAGATATGTGGACAACCGGAGGGTAGCAAGTCAGAGAGGAGCTTAACTCAGCAACAAAACAGCTCTCAGGAGACCCGAAGTGCGTAGCTCCTTTCCTCAAGCAAGACATCCCGACCAATGTCCAGCTCTCAGCAGAGAGGAGACCTGTAGAGGGTAGCTCCTTTCTGCAGGCAGGTTATCCCAATGAATGAGTGAGTCTGGCTGAGTCTGGGGTTTTTATGTGCTCAGAATGGAGGAAGTGCATGCTCAGAATGGAGGAAGTCCATGGGCAGCCACCAGCAGGCCTGGAAAAAGCACCATCTGATTGGCTGAAGGTCATCAATGAAGTTCTCATTCTGGGAGCAGACTTTGCTCAGAACTGGCAGTGCAGAACCCAGGCTTCAGATGTCCCTGGCCTGAAGGTGGGGTTTCACTAGGGACCCACACCTTCCCACCTAAGAACCTGTCTGCCTTTAACATGCCACCCACGGAGCCCAGGCTATCTGTGCCAAGACGTTCCTGGAGGCCCATGCCGAGCAACCCTCAGTGCCTCTGGCTCCCTTCCTGCTCTCATTGGTGCCCAAAGTCCAGAGAGGGCCAAGGTAGCAGGGACTGGTATGTTAGCACCACCCTGAGTGTATGCCCACCCAGCCAGGTTGTAACACCACCCAGAATTGCCCACAAATTTGCTTGGCCCTGGAGCAGGCATCAGGATCCCAGAAAGGACAGGGAGTGGGAACAGGCACTTTCAAGCCTGCAGGGGCAGGGGTCCTCCTGGGCCTCCAAAAGTGCAGGGGTGCTGGGATATGGAGCCACAACTGGGCAGCTGTGGTGGCACCCAAAAATCTGAACTCCTGCCTTGCTAACTTGGTAGGGGATGGGGATCTTGCCTATTTCAAGCTCCCACTGGCTTTGCAGAGCATGCAGCCCTGGCCCCACCTCCCCTGCTGCAGCTGGCGTCCTTGCAGCAGCTGTTCTAGATGGGCCGTTGCTGCCATCAAAAATAAGAATATGGCTGGGCACGGTGGCTCATGCCTGTAATCCCAGAACTTTGGGAGGCTGAGGCAGGTGGACTACCTGAGGTCATGAGTTCAAGACCAGCCTGACCAACATGGCAAAACCCCATCTCTACTAAAAATACAAAAATTAGCCAGGTGTGGTGGTGGGTGATATGACATGTGCTATGTCCCAGCTACTTGGGAGGTTGAGGCAGGAGAATCACTTGAATCCAGGAGGTGGAGGTTGCAGTGAGCCGAGATTACACCATTGCATTCCAGCCTGGATGACAGAGTGAGACTCCGTCTCCAAAATAATAATAATAATAATAATAATAACAACAACATATGTTTGCGTACAACACCTTAAGTTTGAGTCTACATAAGTTTCTTTCATTATAAACTACTCTTAGACCTAAATACGTAGTACAGGAGTAGTTAATAATGTGGACCCTGCAGTGATTTGGCAGTAAACTGGCTATCTTACTAAAAAATACAAACTAAAAAAAGGTTTTGACATACTGCTTCTCAATTTTTGTGGTGTAAATATTCTCAACACGACCTCACGTCATATTTCCAACTACCAATGGTTTGACCATTGTCTTTCACATTTTCTAGACATTTAATAAATGGCTGTTGAGAATTTGAGCCAGGTCTAACACACCACCATGAGTCAGTTACCTGGATTCATATCTCAGCTATGCAGATAATTAGCTGAAATACCCATGATTATTTATTTAATTCTCTAAGCTCTAGAATCACAGTGCTCTTACCTGTAATATGGGATGTGTGCGGAACCTGCCTTATAGGACTACTCTAAGAATTACTTGATGTAATTTCTTACCGCTAGTTTACTCCTCAGCTCAGTATAATGAGTTAAATCCAAACCCCTTTATGAAACAATTCCCCAAAGGTCTTCAGATACCCTCTACCAGTTATAATTAATGAATACATTTCCTTTGCTTAACATTTTGCTACCATTCTGCCTACACACATATTCTTGAAATATGTGTCTATCTTAGTTGCCTTTGCATTAATATATCTATCTCCTAACATGTTTAACTACTCTTTTTAGTTATTTGTGTAGTTTTTTTTTTACTCATTCTCACCTTTCAATATTGATATATATAGTAAGTTAAATCTTCAGACATTTCATCTAACTCTATATAGACATTATGAGTGATCTCATCTAAACCTATGGTTCCAGCTACACCATTAATGATTATGAGTCACGATTTTATAAAGTCTGGTGAATTTTTCTTAAAAAAAATTACCAATTTGGTAGATATTTTGCTGGGAACTAGGAATAGGAAAATAAAGTACTTTTTTTTTTTTTTTTTTTTGCAAATCCTTTCAATCTATTCAGAGACAATTGGGCAAAAAACAAAATTTGATGTGATATGACAAGTGCTATGTCTCAACTGTATTGAGTTGCTCCTCATTATGCATATGTGAATAAGACGCTCTATCAGACTGCCTATTTTCTAGACTCCTCCTGTGGCTCCTCCTACTCCACTATGTCCTGTCCTCAATTTAATCTTCTATTTGAAAATCTCTGGCTTCCTCAGACAATGTTAGGGTATCTATACCCTGTACTATTATTATATACCATGAAAACTTTAATAAATTAATTTTTTACTTTTATTGTTTTTCAGTGACAGGATCTGGCTCCATCACCCAGGCTGGAGTGCAGTGGCACAGTCAACTCACTGCAGCCTTAAACTCCTGGGCTCATGCCCACCTCATCCTCCTGAGTAGCTGGGACTACACGCATGCACCATTACACCTGGCTACTTAAAAAAAAATAATATAGAGACAGGGTCTCACTATATTGTCCAGGATGATCTTGAACTCTTGGCCTCAAGTGATCCTCTCTCTTTGGCCTCCCAAAGTGGTAGGATTACAGGCATGGGCCACCATGCCCTGCCTAATAAATTAATTTTATCGATTTATATCTGTTTTTATGCTTGTCCCTACCTCTTCATTAAATAATGAGTATCTAAGGCTGGAACTTTATACTTATCTTTGTACATTTAGAGCCTAGCATAGTGTTAGCTAAAGGGGAAGTACTTAATAAATGCAGTTCTAATTGAATTTAACTGAAAAGTTTAATTTGATGCTTTTAAAGGAATTCAAGCCCAGAAAGAGTAACTAAATTAAATAAACTTAAATATCCCTTCCAACTCTGAAATGCAGTAAAATCATTCTTTGATATCAGAATTATGGATTTGGAAACATTTCTAGTGAAGAAGTATTTCTGGTTTACTTAAAAAATAGAAGCCAAACACTTAGAAAAAGGGGTCAAAGAAGTGCAAGCTTATGTAGGAAATACATACTTTTCAGGCCAATTAAAGCTATCTGTATTTGTGTATACATTTCAGTTATCTAACAGGTGAATAAGAGTGGCCTGGAATAGGGATTATCTACCCCTTCCAAAAAATACATTGAGAAAGTGCAACATTATTTTGTTTCAAGGGGAGGGAAACAAAAAATTCAGATTAAAAATGATGCATTGGGAGATGATAGAATAGAATGTAGTAATCATCAGTTTAGGAGCTATAGCCATGGTTTACAAATTTTGGCTCTTAAGCAGAAATAAATTTAGCATCCTTATAATAATACCTAACACATGGTTGCTCCACTGTCAACCAGCACATACTTGGATGTAAAGTGCCCAACATTACTCTAAATATAATAGACATTATCATTGTTAGTAAGTAAAATTAAATTTAGTTCACATATAAAGGATATTTGTTCTTTCCTCTTATATGCTTTTTATGTTTGTTATTGTTCTTGCTGTTATTATTCTTTGATTGCCAAAAAGGCAGTGAATATTTGTTTGCAGGACCAAACAGTTGTACAGTGAACTAAAAATCAGGCTCTAACAAGAACACATTTTCCCAGTTTTCTGAGAAATATTTCATGTGAGTTAGCACCAAAATCATTGGTCATGTCAAGAAAGATTGCATCTATTGCTTGCCCTTGATTGATCAAGTTTAGATTAGTTTGATAGGACTTGTACTTTACAAAGCCATTGCTAGTATTAACTAATTCCAGGGATAAATTACCTCTTTAAAATAGACCAGACTAATTCCCCTGTTGACTGGCCAGGAGGCAAACTTGCTGGCAAAAGCAGGCAAGTATTACTTCCTCCAACCAAGAAAATTCCAAAAAGTGCCACTTATTCTTCAGGTCACTAAGCAAATGAACAATCACTCTCAATTGTAGTCTTGCCCTTCAGAGTAACCTTTTCTCATCCAGGTACTGAGAAACTGATTTTATCACACATTTCATATTTATTTATTTTTTTTAGTATAAGACTTAAAGGATCAGTAATTTCAATAGTTATATATTTTCTCTTTTCAAAGTGTGGTCACAACATTTTCCTTGGACCAAACTATTTTAAATATTTACAAAAATATATTGAAACAAAGAATATGTTTTACATTGGTTATGTTTTGTGATTTCCCATATTATCAGTTTTAATTCATTTCTTCTTATTTTTGTCTATATAACTGTCATGAAATACTTTTTCATATTTTTGAAATTTGTGTTAAATTGTGTTATATTAACAATTCTCAGATTTAGTAAGTAGACAAAAAAAATGGTTACCTATGGAAAGAAAGATGTCAACCTTGTGCAGGGGAAACCTAACCTCCATAATTTCTTAGTTGGAACAGACTCCTGTTTTAAAAGACAGACTAATAAGAGAAAGACAAAAGTTTATCAACATGAACATTTTATATATACACAGGAGACACCAGAGAATGAATAGTTCTCAAAGAGATAACTTTGAATTGCAGCATACATTGCATCTTCAATAAAGTGCAGAACATTTTTAGAGAAGTGACAAGACAGGAAAAGAGTTTGAGTCCCTTGAGGAAAGGCAAATAAATGGCAGATGGAAAGGTAGTTGGTAAATTTTTTAAATGTTCATTCCCATTACAAAAGAGGAAAGGGTAATAGGTCCCAAGGAAGTACAAAATCTAAAAGGGAATACAACCTTAAATGTTAAGGGTGGAGAATAATATTCCTTGACTCCATGTTCTGCCTTCCAGATACACTGGGGCACCCAGAGTTGGAAACCGAATGTTCTGGGAAACCTTACTACCACAGCATTGTTCGACACAGTAGACATTGCAGTTCTCACAGGTTGGAGTCTTACGCCTTGTGTCTCTCCCAGGCTAGAGTTGCATACTGGTTGCTCTTCAGTGCTGGGGTCCCAGAAGTGGCCCCATGTCCACGGCTGCACTAGACATTGCCCTAGTGGATGCTCTCTACAGTGGTCCTGACCCTACAGCTCCACTAGGCAATGCTTTAATTGAGACTCTCTGTGATGGCTCCAACGCCATGGTTCCACTAGGCATTGCACTGGTAGAAGCCCTCTACAGTGGCCCCATTTCTATAGCAGTTGTCTGCCTGGGCAGAGTTAGCACCACAGGGATGCTATCAAGATTTATTGCCTGTGCCTCCTGGAGGGACAATCTAAGCTGGATATGGGCATGCTTGAACCACATCTGGGTTGGCTGAGGAGTACTGCACCAGAATGCATGGGGCAGAAAATCGAAGAGGCCCTGGGCCATGAATCCTGAGGTCACACAGGTGCTCTGGGCCCCTCCCTTGAAATTGTTCTACATTCAGGCCCTGACACTCTCTGAACTACCTTTGAGGTTATTATTCTATTGACTCAATGAATAGTATCTGGCATCTTTCTATTCAAACTCATCTTCTCTTCAGGTGTTCCTTTGGTTACACCCTTGGTATTCTGTCCTAAACACACTTTCTCCTTTTTTACAACTAGGCCTGGCTGAAAATTTTCCAATTCATTAAGTTCTACTTCCCTTTTAATTAAAAATTCTGGTTTTTTTTTTCTGTCTTGCATTTTATTATAAGGAGTCAAAAGAAGCCATGCCACACCTTTAACACTTTACTTAGTAAATTGTTTCCACCAAATATCCTAGTTCATCTCTCTTAAGTTCTGCTTTCTATAGAGTACTAAGACAGGGATAAGTCAGCCAAGATATTTGCCACTTTATAACAAGGATGGCCTCTCCTCTAGTTTCCAATATCATGTTCTTCGTTTCCACGTGAGATCTCATAAGAATTGCCTTTCCTGAGCGGTAGCTCATGCCTGTAATCCCATCACTTTGGGAGGCTGAGAAGGGGGAATCACCTGAAGTCAGGAGTTCCAGACAAGCCTGACCAACATGGAGAAACCCCGTCTCTACTAAAAATACAAAATTAGGTGAGCGTGGTGGCGCATGCCTGTAATCCCAGCTACTTGGGAGGCTGAGGCAGGAGAATCGCTTGAACCCAGGAGGCGGAGGATGCAGTGAGCCAAGATCGCACCACTGCACTCCAGCCTGGGCAACAAAAGTGAAACTCCGTCTCAAAAAAAAAAAAAATTGCCTTTCCTGTTTATATTTCTATGAACTTTCCATTTATGACCACATAGATAATCTCTAAGAAGATATAGTTTCTCTCTACAGTTCTCCTTTTCTGAGCCCTTACCAAAATTTCCCTAATGCTTCATTTACAGTAATATAGACCTTTTCTGGACTGCACTTCCAAATTCTTCCAACCTATACCCATTATCCAGTTCTAAAGCTGCTTCCACACCCCACTTCTTGGTACCAATTTCTGTCTTAGTTCCTGCTGCTATAGCAAAGTACCTTAGACTTTACTAAGAACAAATTATAAACAATCAAAATTTATTTCTTACAGTCGTGGAAACTGGGATGTCCAAGATCAAGGTCACAGACGATTTAGAGTTTGCTGATCTCATTTATGGTGGTTTCTCCCTGTTTCCTCAAATGATAGAAGGACAAAAGCACAAAAAGAGACTAACAAATTCCCTCAAGTCCTTTTATAAAGGCATGAATCCCATTCGAAAGGGCAGAGCCCTCATGACCTAATCACCCCCTAAAGGGCCTACCTCTTAATAATACTTCATTGGGTACTAAGTTTCAACTTGAATTTTGGAGGGGCATTTCAAACCATAGGAATTATCCAATGCATTATATATTTTTATATTGATGGTGTCCCTTTTCTCTCTCCACAACTTTAGAAAGTTTATGTGAAAATAGGTATTTTTGTTTATTTTATGTAATGTTTGCAATCCCACAGAAAATGCTTGTGCTATAACAATCACTCAATAAAACTACAGAAACCATCCATAGAATAGGTCTTCTTTGACCATCTGTTTATTACAACAATTAGTCAACATTCAGAATGGAAGGAAATATTTCTATTATATTAAGCCATTTTAAGTGTTCCAGCTGCATAACCCAAATTTCCTTGTAACCAATTCATATTCTCAATAATGGCAAATACCTGATATATTTACAAAGCAATTAGCAACTGTCTATGAATCATAGACTGGTGCTTCTAAACAATTCCCCTTCTACAGTGGACAGCACTGTACCAGCTTGAAGTTTGTACAGCTTGAAGTTTAGCCCATTAGAAGAGATTCTATTTTTTTTTCATATTTCCAGAACACCCTCAAGTGGAGCTTCCATGCTCTAATAGTCTAATCCCAGCTGGTACTAGCATATTATGCAAAATGCATAAATCAAAGCCAATTGTTTCTTCTTCAGGCAAAAGATCATAACAAATTTCTCTGGGAGTCCTAGGTGTGTATTGAGGAAGAAGTGTCACTGAATCAGAAGTAGGTGCATTGAAAGTACAAGCCACATGTTCATCCAATTTATTAATAAAGTCAAAATTTGCTTGAATCTTTCCTTGCAAAGGCAACTTCCAAGTAACAGTAGAATCTTGCTACTACATCCACCTGTATTTTTGGGTTTCTGTATCACACCCTACTCAATATGGCTAGCTCATGTTGCATGCTTACATGGTAACTTACTGTTAGAAATTCAGGATTGTTCAAGACCTAACAAGTCCAGGAGTTTTTCATAAAGAAAATACGTATTTTCCAAAGAAGAAATAAATCTAGATCTTTTCTATTTATTTTCCTATTATACTTATCACTCATCTGCCAAAAGCATTTCAAACATCTTTGGATCTAGTGTGTTATAAAATCCAAGTTAAAAGGCCCAAATGGAAAAGGACCAGCATTTGCATTTATATTTCTTCTTTGCAATAATTATCATCTAATAGGTTATATTATTTCATACCAATCATGTACACTACCTCTCTTCCAAACTTCATGCCTTCATAAAGACAGGCATTTCTGTCTGTTTTCCTGCAATGTTTATATCCCAGCACACAGAACAATGGAATATAGCAAGTACTCTAAAAAGCAACTTGTCTTTGTCTTTACTTGGATACAGTAGCCCAACAAATTCAAATTAATGTATCTCCAGAAATGTTTTAGAATAAGCCAGACCCCTAAATTTTCAAAAGAATAACATCACTTTCTTGCAAAAGAGGTTTCCATTAGCATAAGAAGGTCATGTATTGGTAGTGCATGATTGACATCTGGTTTCTTGAAATACGTGTCTTGAATAGACCAAAAGCTGAGAGACTTTATGGTGAAAAGAGAAACGTAGAGTGAGTGAGATGGACTGAATTTCTAATTGCATGGAGTCTATAGAAAAATAAAATGTTATCAAGTGATTATTTTCAGGGTTTTATTGCTATGTTAAGCGCAGTCTTGGGACCAAGTATTGTTTTAGGTATTTGTGTTTGCATGTATCAGTGAATAAAATAGACCATATTCCTATATTTATGGAATATACTTTCTGTCCGAAAGAAAATATTGTTCTCTATGAAATGCATTACAATACCTTTGGGAAGCCTAAAGAAATAAACTTTAGCTTGGATTTTAGAAATGACATTGGGATTATTCTAAAGAACCAGGTAGCTAAGGCAGCTCTGGCACCCTATTTAGAAAGCTGCCATAACTATTACTGACTACAGAACTATGATTAGACAAACACAATTTAAGTAAGGCAATTATGATTAGAAGCCACCATGATCAGAAACTATCAGTACCAGGAAGCTGAGAGAAAAACACTGAAAACCTCCATGATGATAGGTACCTGAAGAAATAGCAAGAGTGGCCTACAAAATATTCTTCCCTTCCATTTGTCAAAATTGCAGGAGTACATCTATCTGGTGTCAGTTAAATCAAACCAAGAACAACAATGTAAAGGATTCTGGGAAATACAGTTTTTAGATTTTGAATTTTGCTAAGGAAGAAGACATTTTAGAATATTGAAATGGATGGTGGCTAACAAGCCATATTTTCTACCCCCGTTTGTTTTCTCAACTACCTCCACACTTATTATGTGTCAGGTATCTTCAAATTATCATGAAAATGGAGGAGATTGAAACCTAGTAGGTTGAGGCAGGTATTTCTGCAAGAACCATGAACAGTAGCAGTAATGAGTTGAGTATATACAATCAGATTTGTCAAACAAGTAAATTGATTTAAGGTGATTATATACAGCTTTTTCACTGAGAAAGCAGAAAGGCACAAATATGTTAAGAGAGAAAACTAAAATAAACATTGTAGTTTTGGATAGAAATTTGAGATGTGAACTTATAGCTGCATGTTATATATATATATCTGTATACATACCTCCATGTATATGCATATATATATGTAGATATACATACATGCATGGAGGTGTGTATATATGTAAAATATATACAGCACATATATATTTATACATATGTGTATATATATTATTCATATACATATGTGTACATATGTATGTATAAAACACATGCACGTGTGTGTTGCATACATACCAGTTTATTAATACCATTTATCAATAACAGTTTATAAATAGCACTTTATAATACCATTCTCCCTTAAAAGGAACCAAGTTTCCTTCGAGAAAGGACTGTTTGCAAGGCTGAGTAGAAAACTAGAAAATGACCTGGAACATGGTGTCTGTGTGTGTGTGTGTGTGTGTGTGTCTGTGTTCCACACACAAGACAGGAAGTAAGACTGTGAAAGTCCCTTCAAGGTAGTTTGCGTGTGACTTTGACACGTTTGCATTACAGGTTCCACACACATGACAGGAAGTAAGAATGTGCTCACATGTAATGCAAACGTGTCAAAGTCACACACAAGCTACCTGGAAGAGACTTTCTCTCTACAAATCTGGGAAAAATTCAGTATCAAAATAAATAATGATAATAAGGGATTTTTGCCAATAAATAAGATAGGCAGGTATGAAAAGAGACTGATAGAAAGAAATAAGTAAATATTAAAAGTTTGATGAAGAATGAGATAATTCCATAGTCTTAAACTACCTCCCCAGTGTTATTTGCCTGATGACGATGATTGTATCAGGTTTTGTAGGATAATGTTTTTATTTACAATAAATGCACACCCAAGTATTTCTAGACAATGAAGCATCATGTCAGCAACTTACACTCAATTACCTCATGAATAAGAATGTTATTTGTGATATTTTTGCAACTTTCTGTAAGTTTTAGATTATTTAAGCTTAAAAAATATTTAACAATAAATCTAATTAAGTAAACTAATGATTCCTTTGATAGATATTTATTGGCATGCAACCCTTTATTTCATAGTAATTTCAGTTTCATAAGTATTTATACTCACTAGTGACAATAAATTTAGATTTTATACCAAATATTCAAATCAACTCTAGTATTTTATTTATATCAGGGTTAAATTATACATTCTTTACCTGATTATGTATACCAAAATATAAACAAACAAAAAAACCAACCTGTTAGTGTTATGCATACAGTTCTTTAAAACCACCTAAAATTTTTTTGTCTTCTTATTTGTATGTCTGATTAGCAGGTATTTTATTGAAATAATATTTTCTTCATACCTTTTCTATATCTTTATGAGCCATTTGAGTAACTTGTAACTCTATCTTCTTTCTTAATAAGGTTAAAACATATGTTCTTTTGTGTATAGAATAAAGTCATATTAGAAATGTTTATTTACAAGTTTGAATCACTTTCTGAGAATATTAAAACATCATTATGCAAATTGTCTACATTTAATTGGCATTTTTGAAACAGAATTTATATTCCAATTTTCTGAGAAGGAAAATACAAGCAACAAAATCATGCATCTTGTATATTTTCTAATGTCTTCCTTTCCTTTATTAAACCTTCTTATCTGTTGCTTTATATGTTGCATTATTTAAAGACTGTTTGACATATTTACTACTTGTGGAGAGCTAATTCAAGAACAAAATTGCTTTTAACATGCTGTGATAGATTTTCAAAAAAAAATCAAGTTCAATTATTTATAGACTAATTTTCTGTTTGCTGTCTACTGAATGGCAAAGTGAAAAGTTCACAAATCCAGTTAGATGACACTTGCCTTCTCATATTCTAGGGCACTGACATTTCTTGGTGGACTGACAGTAAATCTTAAATCCCCAGGCTACTCGTTAACTTTTAGAAGTTGATATAGTAACTTATAAGTTTGATCTCTTTTGGATGACCATGAATTCTGCTTATAGATACTATAAAAAAGTACTTGGGACAGTAATAAATGGTGCCTCAAAGACTAAATTTAACTGTGGTATACTTGGACCATAATCACTACTGATACTTTCTATGAACTTACACAATGATGCTTTAGAGGCTTTAGGGACAACTCTATTTTTCACATCAGTAAATGGTATTTTCATTTCAGACTATGTCATTATCAGACCTATGGGCAGCCATCAATCACCTTGTGATTTCTGAGTCATATATCACTGTTATTAGGGTCCTGCTAGCGTTTAGTTAAAAAAGAAAAAAAATTAAAAGGTGATAGCATTACTGTTAGAGAGAGAAAGTGCACTAAAGAAACCATCACTCAAAATAAATAAATAAATAATGCATTTTAAGAAGAAAGTATAGTCATAGCAAATACACTTTAAATGGCATAGTAGATTTATAAAAGATTTCAGATGTATGAACAGGTTTCTCATAGTGACTAATTGTTAGTAATCAATAAATTGCATGTAGCAGAGTCTTTACAGAAGTATAAGAAAATGTTACATCATTTATTGATCTAGGATATAAAATAATTTAGAAAAAATGTATTCAGTGTTTCAGAATATACATAATTATGTTGAGTGCTTATAGCATATAAACCTTGGAAATTATTTCTCTGGTCATATATTTTATATTTAATCGCCTACAAATTGTCCATTATTGCCTCCTCAGTGATTCTATTTAAAAGTTAAGATAATAGCAAATCTTCATCCATTTTGTGTTGCTTTAACAAAATACTATAGACTGGGTAACTTATAAATAAAATAAATTTATTTCTTATACTTCTGGGGCCTGGGAAGTCTAATATCAAGGGCCAGCATATGGTGAGGGACTTCTTGTGGCATCATTCCAAGATAGAAAGCATGGGAGCATAAGAGAGCAACAAGAAGACCAAAATCACTTTTAAAATAACTCACTCTTGGGATTACAAACCTACTCCCATGATAATGACATTAATTTATTCATGGGGGTGGAGCTCTCATGGCCTAGTCACCCCTTAACAGTCCCACCTCTCAATACCATCTCAATGGCAATTCAATGTCAGCATGAGTTTTGAAGGGGACATTCAAACCATAGCATTTTACTCTTGGCCCTTTAAAACTCATGTAATTTCCATATACTAAAATCATTCAATCCATGTCAATAGCCTTGAATGTATTAAATCATTCTAGCACCAACTCAAAAGTCTAAAATCCAGAGTCTCATTTAAATCAGGTATGGATGAGACTGAAGGAATAATTTATTTGAGGCAAACTGCTCTCCAGGTGCAAGTGTGTGAAATTATCAAGTTGTGTGCTTCCAATATACAATGGTGGGACAGCATAGAATAGACATTATCATTCCAAAAGGAAGAGATAGCAAAAAGAAAGGGGTAATTGGTTCCAAGTAAGTCTAAAACTCAACAGGTAAAACAACTGCAAGTCTTAAAGCTCCAAAATAATATCCTTTTACTTCATCCTGGGCACACTAGGGTGAGAGTTTGGCCCCCAAGGCCTCAGGCAGTTCCACCTTCATGGCTTTAGTGGACTCAATATACTCTTCAGCTCTCTCAAGTTGGAGTCGGGTCTGCAGATTTCCCAGGCTGGTGTTGCACGATGGTAGCTTAACAGTTCTTGGGTATCATTCTGAGAGTGTTCTTACTCCCACAGCTCCACTAGGCATTGCCCTATCTGGAGTTCTTTTCAGTGGCTCTGTCTTTAAGTCTCTGCCTGAGCTCCCAAGCTATCCACAACTTCCTTTGAAATGTAGGTAAAGGAAGCCATGTCCCAGAGCTCTTGCATCCTGTTTGCCTGAAGAATTGGCACCATGTGGAGTCTGTGAAGGTTTATGGCTTGCATCTTGTGGAATGGCATGTGAAACTAAGTTACAACTGGACCCACTTGAGCTATGGTTGGAGCTGCCAAGACGTATTGTGCCAGTGTGGGAAGCAAATACCCAGGGTGGCCCTAAGCAGTGAGCCCATGGAGAGTGCCCTGAGCCCATCCCTCAAAACCATTTGGCTTTTCTAGATCTCTGGGCCTGTGATGGGGAAAAGAAGGGATCCTTGAAGATATCGGAAATGCCTTTTTTTATTTCTGTCATTCTCCCGTTGTGTTGGTTATCTCTTCTGTACATACTAATCTCTTTAGCTAATTGTCCTTTGGTCATATACTTGGTTTGTTTACCTGAAAATGCTTTTTTATTCTTTATATGGCCATGCTAAAAATTTTCGAAATCTTTGTTTTGTAATTAGAAATTGCATCTTTAAGTCATTTCTTACGTCCTGCATTTTACTATATGTAGTTAAAAGTAGCTCCACAGCTGCTTTGATATTTTGCTTGGAAATTTTTACCACCAGCTATCCTCATTCATCACTTTAAAATTCCACCATCCATAAAGCCCTAGAGCATGCACACAATTTAACCACATTCTTTGCCACTACATAACAAGGATGATCTTTACCTCAGTTTCCAATAAGATATTTCTTTTTTACTCTGAGACCTCACCAAAATGACCTTTATTGTCCATATTTCTGCCAACATTTTGGTCACAACATTTAAATAATCTATAAGAATTTCCAGACTTTCCCTACAGCTAGGCTCTTCTAAGCCCTCACCAAAATTGCCCTTATTACTCAGTGTTCAGAGTGTTAGGGTTTTTCTAGCCTACTCTGCCAAATTCTTCCATCCTCTATTCATTAGCCAGTTCCAAAGCCACTTTCACATTTTCAAGTATCTCTTATAGCAACAGTCCCATTTCTTGGTCCCAATTTTCTGTCTTAGTCCACTTTGTGTTGCAATAATAGAATACACAGACTGGGTAATTTATAAAGAAAATAAATTTATTTCTCATGCTTCTGGAGGCTGGAAAGTCCAAAATTAAGGTGTGTCAGTACCTGGTGATGGTCTTCTTGCTGCATCATCTAATGGTGGAAGGCAGAAGGCCAAGAAAGCCTAAGAAAGCAACAAGAGAGAACTAAACTTGCTTTTTACAGCAACTCATTCTTGTGATAAAAACACACTTCCATGATGACAACATTTAATCCACTCATGAAGAGAGTACCTTCATGGCCTAATCACCTCTTAATTAGTCCACCTTTAATACTATCACAATGACAATTACATTTCAACTGAGTTTTGAAGGGGACATTTCAATCATAGCAAAGCAGCAGTAATAAAATTTCACCCATTCATTCTCACTCAGTAAAATTTTTTGAAGGAGAAAATGAGAAATGCATATTTTACCATTGTCTTTCATGTTGAAGTAATCAATAAAAATTTTCTGAAGTACTTCAATACCTAAATATCTGTAGGTTCTTTAGTTTATCTCTACTGGCAATTAATCTTAGGTTTAACCCCAAATCTAAAATCCCACCTAAAATTATGCATTTTCATGAACCTCAAAAATACTGAATACTAGATTGCTGGATAAGCAGTCTGAAAATCCTATTCAATAACTTTTTAATCTGAATATTGAAAGCAAATTGCTAATTATTATAACTCCAATACTCATTGTTTAAACTTTTAGAACATAAACCAAGTAATCTGTAGTATATCTTTAAAGGACTCCTGGCTTACAAATTCATCTCTGTATCTTGTCATGCATTTAGTACTTCTGACATATTTACTAGTCATTTTCCTAAATTTGCCAGTTTTCATGATACTTTTGCTTTGCAAATGCCATTTCTACTCTGGGAAGCTTCTTTACTTCCTGCTCTGTCTAATCAAATTTACTTATCCTTAAAAATCTCAGCTTAAATGGCATTTTTCTATAAAAACTTTCTACATAGTTGTTCTCAGTCTCCCAACCCTAATGGAGGTACTCATTTATTCTTCTAAGTTTGGTAAGCTCTTTTTTGGTAAAGTGATACTTATCACATCAATCTAAGATTTTCTCTTTTTTCTCTTATTATCTTCCTTACCATATTCATCAGCAACACTACTGCCTTATAGTTCTTATATCTATTCATCATGCACTGAGCCAAGAGCAAGATGAAAACACATAAAGCTCTATTTTTTTGCAGTCTTCTCTGAATCTTCCCTTCATCTTTTTTATGAAATGAACGTTATTTTTAGGATAGTTTTATCCTTACATAAAAATAAACAGAAAGTATAGAGTTCCCACGTATGCCCTGTCTCTCCACATACAGGTTGATCTATTATTTGCATCTTCTGTTAGTGTGGTATACTTGATATAATTGATGAACCAATATTGATATATTATTATTAACTAAAGTTAATAAAGTTCATCATTTAGGGTTCATTGTTTGTGTTATACATTCTACGGGTTTTGACAAATATGTAATGACTTCTCAATTATCACGGTGTCATACAAAAACATTTACTGCCCTACACATCTCCTGTACTCCTTCTTTTTTGTCTCTACTCAAACCCCCATACCCTCACCAACCACTGATCTTTTCTCTGTCTCTATGGTTTTACCTTTTTCAAAGTGTCATATAGTTGGAATCATACAGTATGTGTTTGTTTATTCATTCATCTCTTGCACTATATCTTGGTCATTTCCATGTTTTGGCAATTATAAATAGAGCTAGTATAAATATTTTTGTGCATATATAAGTTGTCAACTCATTTGGATAAATATCAAGGAATGCAATTGCTGGATTGTATGGCAAGAGTATGTTTACTTTTGTAAATAACTAAGAAATCATCTTCCACAGTGGCTGTACCATTTTACACTCCCACCAGCGACGAAAGACAGTTCCTGTTACTCCCCATCCCAGTCAGCATTTAGCATTGTCATTATTGAAAATTTTGGCCATTCTAACAGATATGTAGCGATATCTTACTGTTGCTTTAATTTGCAAATCTCTAATGACCTGACATATGATGTTGATGATCTTATATGCTCATTTTCCATCTGTATATCTTCTTTGATGAAGTATCAGTGAGATTTATTGCAAATTTTTAGCTATTTTTTATTGAGTTCCATGAGTTCTTTATATATTTTAGATACCAGTCCTTTATCACATCTATTTTGCAAAAATTTTCTCTGACACTGAGATCTCTCTTTCCATTCTTTGACAAGTATTATTTGCATATGACAAGTTTTAATTTTAATGAAGTTCACATTTTCAGATTTTTTCATGGGTTATGCTTTTGTTTTTATGTGTGAAAAGTGATTGCCAAACCAAGGTATCTAAATTTTCTCCTATGTTGTTTTCTAGGAGTTTTATGTTTTTATATTTTATGTTTATATCTTTGACCCATTTCAATAAATTTTTGTGAAGGTATAATTTCTGTGTCTATATTCATTTGAAATCATAATTTTGTTATTTATATTATTGGTATTTTAGGTATAGTTAAGATAGCAATAAGAAAATGTATACAATTATCAGCTGAAGTGTCATTCGCAAACCCTAAGTGATAGAATTGGACTTGTACTCAAGTCTTCCTGGTTTCAAAGACAAAGATATTAATTATCATGCAATATATTTGATTCAAAGCTCAGTAATCTTTGCAAAGCATAATATCTAGCATACTCTCTGGCACATAGCAGGGCCTTAATAAATCTTTGGTCAAAGAATGATTAATAAAGTAACAAAAGAGATAAAGTTTGTGTGACATAATCAAATACCAGAAAAATCAAATCTGGTATTTTGTTGTTATTGTATTCACTTTTGAGTAAGCTCAATTTTTTAGTGGATGCTTTATTAAATAACATAGATGTAGCTTATTGTCCATAAATTCAAAATAATTAAAATATATGTAGAAGCAGTTTAAAACTTAGATAAATAGATGATAAATTATGACAGATCAATAGAAAGCCATGGTGAGATTTGGATTAAACACATCTTATACATTTTTTTTTTTTTTAACAAACACTAAGTACTGACTATTACTGACATTTAGGAAGACAGAAGAAATTTTTTAAAGTGTTTTAAGTACACATTAACCTTCAAATGGAAGATACTTGGCAAAAATAATCAATTTTATAGCCTTAAACTAATGTTCTTATAATGATAATTTTACTCAAACAATAATTGCGTTTTTTAGATGGGTTAACACTTAGCTCATTTGCATTCAGATTTAGGGATCTACAAAATTACTAGGTAATAGCTACAAAAGGAGAAGATGTTTGTCATAAAATTGTATGCTTTCCATGGAAAGTTACTGAAATCGGTAGATGTTCTTTTCAGCTAATTAATTTTTGGAAGCTTCATCCTCATTAATCATCTGACAGGCTCAAATAACAATACATGCCCTTCTGATCATGAAATTCAGTATTATATCTTTAAAATGCCTTTTTACAGAATTTTTATGACTGCCAATTTGTGCAGAGTCAAGCAGCATTATTGTTTATAGACTAGAGAAGCACACTTGAGTTTTTTAATAAACTTTTGTATCATGCATTCTTTTTTACATGTTTAATGACACTTAACATTATTCTTAAAGTACTAATATCTTTAAGTTATCACAGTTACACTATGAGGGAAAAGATATCAAAAATGTTAATATTTTTTCTAATACTTTGTGAGAGAAAAGACATCAAAAATGATAATATTGGCAGAGTGTGATGGCTCACGCCTGTAATCCCAGCACCCTGTAACCCCAGGTGGATCACCTGAGGTTGGGAGTTCAAGACTAGCCTGACCAACGTGGAGAAACCCCATCTCTACTAAAAATACAAAATTAGCCGGGCATGGTGGTGCATGCCTGTAATCCCAGCTATTTGGGAGTCTGAGGAAGGAGAATCACTTGAACCTGGGAGGCGGAGGTTGCGGTGAGCTGAGATTGCTCCGTTGCACTCCAGCCTGGGCAACAAGAGCAAAACTCCGTCTCAAAAAAAAAAAAAAGTTAGTATGTTTTCTAATACTTTGTGAGAGAAAAGACATAAAAAAAGTTAGTATTTTTTCTAATACTTTGTAATTCATATTTTTTTCATAGAAAAATAGCCACCTTTTAGGTTTCTTTAAAAATGCAAATTTTCCTTATTTTCTACTGTCATAATTGACCCAACAACTAGGCAATTAGGCAAACTGGATAGCTGTCTCTGATTATAATTGAGAGGTACAAGACACTTTTCTCAAGGACATCTGCCTTGAAATTATCTAGCTTATTGTTTCTACCACTCTAAAAACTTTCTATAGGATTCAGTTACGTCACTGAGGGAAGACAAGTCTTTCCCACAATTTTCAATCTTCCTTCAAAGTCCTGGTCTCCAGAGTTATGGACATTTATATGTTATGAAATAGAGTATGTTTGCTTTTGTATCTCCCAGAAGTATTTGTTCCTCACATGCTATAGGTGTTAGGCTTGCAGCCATTGGCTTCCTTAATCTTAAAACTATTTGCTTTCACTCAAAAGATATACATCTTTTTCTTATCTCTTTTGACCACGTAATTTCAAGGAGAAGGGTCCTGAATTGATGGAAAAGGTAACTGAATAGCCAAGAAACTTCCAGAGCAATTTAATGAGTTATCTTCCTATGTAATTATATTCCAAAAGGGATTAATCTCATGTTTTAAATTTGAAAACCCCTATCATATCTTCCCCTAGAGACACTTAGTAACATTTCTAAATCATAGGAACCAAGAATCTTTCCCATGTTTTCAAGAGGAGAATTTGTTTATACTGTGGTGTGTTCATCTTTCTTTCTTAGGAGGAGTGAGGGTACAAGGGTTCCTCTCCTGAATAAACACCTAGACCCTATTTTGGGGCTCTCACAGTACAGTCATAAGTAGGTATAGCAAGACATCTGGCTCTCATTAGATTACCCTAGGGCAAATGGAAATGACTTAGTTAGTCCTGTAGTAAGAAATATTTTGTCTACTTTTAGAATAATACTAGTAAACATAGATATTAAAATCTTAGGCCATTACCTCTTTCGAATCATATTCCTCTAATACCTGGAAGTAAAGAAAGTATCATCATTTTCCATAAATATCTCTGATTCTTACATGTTTCTTTCCAGTTCTTCCTAGCACAGTCACCTTTATTCCTAGGTCTCTTTGCCTTCATCTGACACCCTCTTCCGGCATTTCTAATGAGGTCTCCTTATCAGGGGAAAAGAGGAAACTGAAACTTTTGTCTGCTGTGATTCAATTCTCAGTAATTTTTCATACCTAGTTCTCTCCTTCAACTTTGTCCCCTGACCCCCAAAGTCCTTAAAACTGTTGGAGCTTTTTTGGAGGCTCTCTCTACCGGGCAATGACCCACACATCTGTGCTGATCCACCTGACCCTGCACTGCAATGCCATTCTTTGAAAGGAAATGGATTGGAGGGGGTTGGCCCTTTTTATGGTTTTAGCCTCTTGTTAAAGCATGACAGTAAGTGATTAAATGCTTAACTCTTTTCTTCATGACTAGTTGCTTCAATTAGATTCTTAACACTGACGGCCCATCTCCAGATGCATTTAAGCTTCTCTCAAAAGAAGTGGAATAGTATTTATGCTGTGAGCCCAAAATACCTGAGACAGGTCTCAATCAATTTAGAAAGTTTGTTTTGCCAACGCGAAGGATGCACCCATGACACAGCCCCAAGAGGTCCTGAGGACATATGCTCGCTTTGTCAGGGTACAGCTTGCTTTCATACATTTTAGGGAGACATGAGATATCAGTCAATACTTGTAAGATATACATTAGTTCAGTCTGGTAAGGTGGGAAATCTGGAAGAGGGAAGGGGGCAGGGGGAATTCTAGGTCATAGGTAGATAAAAGATAAAGTTTGCATTATTTTGAGTATTTGATCAATACACAATTTAGTGTGGCTCAGTGAATCTGCATTTTGGCATACACAATAGGATGGAGGAAGAAATCAGACATGCGTTTGTCTCAGGTGAGCCTAGGGATGATTTTCTGTCTGCAGCACCTGTGAAGATAAGCTATCAGTTTGCATTGCCAGGGTGAAATTCAACAGAATTGTTTTAGGATAAAGATCTAGAGGCCTACAAGGAATTTCCCTGTGGGCAAATTGTGAGGGTGGTATGTAGCTCTTTTCTCTTTGTAGCTATCTTATTTAGGAATAAAATGGGAGGCAGGTTTTGCCTGACCTGGCTCCCAGCTCGACTTTTCCCTTGGCTTACTGACATTGAGATCCTGAGATTTATTTTTCTTTCACAATGCCAAACATATATGTTTCTGTCATTCATCACATAAACACAGATACGTTTACTTATTAAAGATTTTGTATAACTCCATTTATTTGAAAAGAAGTAAGTATTTTGATCTCTCTTTCCTCTAAAGGTCAAATGGAATCAGCAAATTCATTAAGAAAAATGAGATTTCAAAGCTGAAACCACCATTGCAAAATTATAATTGAAACAGTAAAAGAGGTGTGACCTAATCAACGCCATCTTGCTTCTAACCTCCAAGCTGCCCTTGTTCATTCCCGGGCGTAGGCTGAATTAACTTTGAGAGGAGCTTAGTTTATAGTTTAGCTCTGAAAAAAGATGATAATAGCCCTTTCCTGAAAAACCCCTTCTTTCCTGGGGACCAGTCTGCCTTTGTAGGACTAACAGATTAGCTAGAGATTAGAAATTACAGTTTAGGGGCCACGAAGGTTCCAGCTGCAAGTTTCTGAACTTCCCCACATTGCTACTGGGAATAACGTTGCTTTTGTAAAACCTGGGATCAGTGCCTGAGATATTTTGCAGACCCTGAGTTCCAATGTACCAGCTGACACCACCCAGACCAGTAATATGTACAAACCTGTTCTGTAATCCCACCAAAGGAACAGAAGAGAGCAAGAAATGCTCGCTTAGACCCCCTGTGATTTCATCTCCGACCCAGCCAATCAGCACTCGCCACTTACCAAGCCCCTCCCCAGTCAATTATCCTTAAAAATTCTGATCCTCGAATACTCAGGGAAATTGATTTGAGTACTAATGAAACTCCTATACAGCCGGCTCTGAGTGAATTAGTCTTTCTTCACTGCAATTCCTCTGTCTTGATAAGTCAGCTCTGACTAGGCAGCAGCAAGGTGAACCCGCTGGGTGGTTACAAAGCCACATAAAGCCATTTACAATTTACAGTATTTTGGTATCTTACTATGCCAAAACAGACTGTCTTTAGACTATCTGCAGAGACCATTAATGTTATATCAGAGAAATGTGATGCTTTACATTTATAAATTAACATGTTTGTGATAGGAAAATGACAAAATGCAGAAAACCGTAATGGAGCTAAAATCATTCAGATATAAATTCCATCTCTTTGTTATGTGCGTGTGTCTATGCATATGTAATTATGCAATGTTTTATACAAGGCGTGATTTGGATCAGAGTGATATAGTTTTGCATACCATGTTACTTAATTTTGTCATCAAACGTTTATGAAATGCATTCAATATGCCATTTCAACATATCATAAAAAATTATTTAGAACCACAATTTTTAAACTGAAAGGTATTATCTCACCAGAAAGATTCAACCTAATATGTTTAAAAATTCCATTGTAGAAATAGACTCAACTTTCTCCACATTACAAAAGTGTTAAATAATTATATTTGAAGATAAATCTCTACATATTTAACCAAAATAGATTTCAACAGATGAAAATGTTTTAACAAATAATATAAACATATTTAATATTTTGATACATAATCAACAACTATCCTTACAAATACTTGCACCAATTCATGCTTACAATGAAGGCACAAAAATAATCAAAAATTATTGCCAAAATATTTTTTACCTTACCCAATTTTATATATGAGAATGTTCATTTCACTGTTTTTATCTCATTTTTATGAGAAATAAATAATTTTTTCATTTTTTTATGTGAGATATATTTTATTCGCACAATAATCTATGTCCTATTAATGGAACTTCTGGATTTATAAGAGTTACCTATGTGGGTCCATTTTTTCACAATTTTTTTTTTTACTACTTGTTAAATCTACATTTTTCTCCCAGACAGTCCTCACTTTATGGCACCAGGGAGCTATATGTGGTTGAATGCCAACATGTCCTCTGGAATATTAAAAGACACTTCAACCTCAAAATGACCAAAACTCAGTTGATTTTCTTTACTATAATTTTGAGCAAAACTCTGAATTTTATATTTTGAAGATTGTTGTATATTCATCTACCCATGGGGGGAACCTGATTATTGCCTTTAACTTCTTTATCTTCTTTACAATTTCTGTTATTTGTAACTCTCCTTTGCTTATCCTTGTCTTTCCACCTTCATGACCACTGTCTTAAACTATTCTCTTATAATTTCTTGTTGGATAACTTTGTGTAGCATAATGTCTGCAAAAACTATAGTAGACATTTAATAAAAATGTGTTAATTTCATTAAATAAACAATTAAAATCTTCCTCATCTGGTCCCTTGTTTAATAAAATAAAAGGGATGGGCCATGTCAAAACTCTGTTTACAAAATGCACTATTTTTTTCAATGATATTTGGATATGAACCAATTTTTTAGCAAAGCTTATATCGCTTGTTGTTTCGCCACTCTTTACCCTCCAGCCTTATTCTTGTACACTTTGCCTCATGCATAATATACCTTCAGTCCATCTGAGATTTTGTCATGTTTCTCTAGCCTGACTTTCCATCTGTTACTCTCAAGCAAATGCTAACCTGCCTGCTAAATGCTGCTGAGTGGAACACTAGACCCTCAAAGACACTGAATCTACTAAGTAACATCATCCCCAAAAGGATTGTTGGAAACCAGATGAAGTTCTCGAGGGGTATGCATTTCTGAATACATCTTCTGAAATTAGAGCATTCTTAGGTAATAAGACAAGTTAATATGTATATGATGAAAATTCATGAAGGAAACAGTGTTAAAAAATACATTATGATATGGAGAAATAAAGGATAAAAGTTAATCTGTTTTATGTTCACTCCCACATGGAACAGAAGCACAGATCTTGCAGAGGTCTATGTCCTCAGCTGTAGTCCTCCCTGTAATCTCCACCAGATTTGAGATCTGTCTCCCCTGTCCCCAACACACATATAAAATGTAAATAAAACTTTATGTTGACTCAGTTACTCTATACAGAGAGTGAGTCATTGTGCTGGGTTATTCTGTCTGAAAACAAACACTTCCTCTTTGAAATGATAGCTACTTTAAAAGCCATAAACGTTGTTGACATTAATTAAAATTGATTTTCTATGTAACTGATAAACGGTGTTACAGAAACTGAGGTATGAACATAGTGCCAGAGATACACAAAAGAAGAAACAATGTTAGGAGTATAATTTAAATGTGTCTAGTCCATTCAACTCGAATATTTCTATTCTAACATTTCACCAGCCTTCGTTAAAGTTTATGAAATACTTTTTAAAGAGCTAATATTTGCCAGGCACTAAGATGGGCTCTAGGAACAAAAATTCCAATAAAACATAACACATGCCCTCAAAGACATTTTGTAGAGGAAAAGATAGGCAAATAAATATTTAATAAATATGAAGAACTCCAAGATAATTGGAAGATGTTAAAACACTAGGAGAACAAAAGTAATATGATTCAGAAAAAAGCATACTGATGGATATGATATTTAAGTTGAGTTTTTTAAATGAATTGGAAAATAGAAGTGGCTGGATGAAGAAGGGGGGAAGAGTCATCCAGGAGGAAATAAAATGTGTAAAGACACTAAAATGAAAATGATGACTGGAGTCTAAATCACATCATCATTGTCTTAGTGATGTGGTCACAGAATATCTGAGACTTGAGTAATTTATAACAAACAGAAATGTATTGGTTCACAGTTCTGAGGGTGAGAAATCAAAGGTCAAGGTGTCAGCAAGTTTGGTTTCTGGAGGAAGGTTGGATGCTCACATGGCAGAAGACAGAAGAACCAAGCAGCAAAACGGATCTGAGATTGCTCTTTCGCAATAGCATTAATCCCACTCATAATGGCAGTGCTTTCATGGCCCTATTACCTCTGAAAGTTCCCTCATCGTAATATTGTTACAACAGCAATTAACTTCCAACATGAGTTTTGGAGGGGACAAACCTTCAAAACATAGCAATCATGTACTATATGTGTACTACGCTGTTAAAGTTGAAGGAAGTCCTTAAAGGTTTATATGCAGAAAGGTCATGATCCAATTTGTGTGGAAGAAGACAAGGGTGATAGAATAGACTTAAAAATTGGCAAATTTTCAGGAGTTCGAGAGCAACCTGTCCAGCATGGCGAAACCCTGTCTCTACTAAAAATACAAAAAAATAGCCTGGCGTGGTGGCAGGCACCTGGAATCCCAGATACTTGGGAGGCTGAGGCAGGAGAATCGCTTGAACCTGGGAGGCTGAGGTTGCAGTGAGCGGAGATTGTGCCATTGTACTTAAGCCTGGGTGAAAAGGTGAAACTCCATCAAAAAAAAAAAAAGAAAAATTCGCAAATTTAAATCCTAAAAACAACTAGGAAATCGTAAATTAGGGAGAAACTGAAATAAGGTAGTGACAAGAGAATGGAAAGGAAAGCAGATAATAAGCATTATTCAGGAGATCCTCTGCAGGACCTTAACAGTACGCATTAATGTGATTTGTGCTCAAAGATGTTACTTCTTAATCCTATCTCTAGCTTAGAATTTTCTTTGGCTAGAAACAAATTGTAAGCAGTTCTCCTTATTAACTAATAGAGTAATGATTATTTACTCTAAACATAATTTCTTAATAGAAAAAATATAGCTTTTTAAGTATAGAGTCAAGTTATTTTTTATAGACTACGGGAATGTCTTATTTCTATATTTCTTTCTGAAAATTTGCCTTAAGAAATGTAAAATGTACAGCATGGTTACCCCCTTAAACAAGAAGGAGGAAGTAAACTGCACTGGAATTCTTATTAGATGATTAGAGCACTATAGTTTCTGAGATGATTTTTTAAATGTTATGTAAAAAAAGTTTTAGAACAAGATCTATTCTAATTGCTTGACATTCATCCTAAATTCCCTATTTCCCATAGTTGGTATCAGAATGCTTAGAACAAATTTCAGATGATCAATATTTCTGGTCTTACAGTCTGTAATAGATTTTAAAGGGTCATGAAAGCTATTGTTTGCTTCTGTGAGTCCTTGTCTTTCAATCATATGTTGTTCTACAATAATAATAATAATAAAAATTTTGTGTTTATGGTAAATATTTACAATTTTCTGTTTTTTAATAAATGATTTTATTATATATCTCTAAATGTCATAAAAGAAAAGAATTGAGATTTAATAATAATTAGGAAAAGTCATCTTAGTAAATATCAGACATTGATCATTATAATTCTAGGTCTATGAATATTTTTTGAAGTTGTTTCAAGCATATAATAAGAAACAGTAAAAGTAAAACATATTGGCTTTCTAGATTTCTCATTTGTCATTTATTTATTTATTTATTTTTTAAACTTCATTATCAATGATTTCTAGAAAGCATTTACAAAATATTGACTCAATCAAATATATGCAAAGTTTTAGAATATTGTTAACGCCAATAGAGATATTAGCGATATTTTATTTCTATAAGATAAATTTGCTTTGGGAAATTTTGAAATCATGAGAGTTTGCTGATCTACTTTTATTTTTTCATTTGACACAAACACACACACGCACTTACATACACAAACACACAACAAATGCAGCTTTTAAAAAATAAAAATTGCATGTTAAATGTTCTTCAAATGACTACATGCTAGATATTACAGGATGCATCTACTTATTTTCCCCACCCCATATACTCTTTATTAGTTAATCATTTCAACCTGGGAGAAATTAAGAAACTTACTTTATCTTATCTCAATATGAATAGTATTGATCTAATACTATTCATATTTATTAAATGATATTCATATTGTCAAATAGTATTTATTAAATACTATTCATATTGCCTGGTACTGTTCAGAATGGCCTTACCTGCATTCTCATTGGTATCAAGAAATGGCCAGCATATGTAACTACACTGGCACCTTTTAGTGTCCTGAGGTGTCTTCTGATCTATATTCCTCCTACATATGGAAAGGATAGAAAGAAGAGTCAATGTTTTGTTAAGAATATAGAACATATAAGATAACTGATATTCCACCATCCTGTTCTCCAGCTTGTTTTAAATTATATATTCTAGAATGTGTATTTGTATGTGCACTATATGAAAACTTCTTTAAAAAAGCCCGTTGGATGTTTTTCAAAAATCTATTCTCTTTTTGTTTTAGTCTAAATAACATACAGGAAATAAAAGAGAGTAAAAAATATGTGCAGGAAAGAACGCAGAGATGACAGAATTACATTTCTTTTCAGTTGAATCACAGAACTTACCCAGTTTACCTTACTTAGTATATTTTCAAGTGTCTCGTATCTTCATTTCTTCTTGATTTAAGGCAGAGGTCAGCAATTATTTTTCTTTAAAGCGTTAGGTGACAATAATGCAGGCTTTGGTGGCATTACAATCTCTGTCACAACTTTTCAGTTCTGCCATGGTAGAGTGAACGTAGTGATTATACACAAATGACTCCGTATGATTATGTTCCAAGAAAACCTTACTTGCAAAAGCATGCAGTGGACTAGTTTTCCCCATGGGCCATATTTTCTAACTGCCATTTAAGGTAATTCATATCTTTATGTCTACTTCATCTGCATAGTGAGAGGAATAATTTCTTAGGTTCTAGAACCAGAGGGGCCTTAGATGAGGTTGGTCACTAGACCACCACTGATAATGTGGGCATTTTCAAACTTTACTGAGACAACAAAAGCTAGCTGACTATGACTGAAGAACTCATCTAGCATAAACTACTACAGTCTCAGTATCTGGAAGAGTGATTAAAGTATTTGTGTTAAGTAAGTGAAGGTACTTTGTTTTGAGGTGGGACAATAATCTCCAATCAACTACTACTAAAGAATACTAAAGTAACAATTAAATGCAGACAAATACCTTTGATTTTGTATCTACTGCAAATAGAACTTTCCTTTCATATAATTCTGCTATTTAAGAAATCAAGCATAAAATTAAGCATATATGTCTTTGTTAGAAGACGTATTTTCCATTTTTTAAATGTATATTCAATATACTTCACACTTTAAATAATTTTTATACCAATGATGAACATGTATTTGTTCATGTGAACAAATGTGAACGACGTGGAATTATTGTGATGTTCCTATCCTACCCTGGAATTATTCCTCAGCTCATTCCTTCTGAAAATAACTCTGTTTACTCTTCTTTTTTGAATGACCATCTTCATCTGGGGAAAATATGCTCACATTTCTTTACCAGTTATTATTTGGCAATAGAAATGCTGCTAGTTCAGGCAAGTGACGTAGGGGAGAAGTGTCTGTTAGGGATATTTCTGGAAAAGTTTCTCAATTTTAAAAAGAGTGAGAAGTCATGAATCTTTATATTTTCCTACTACCATGTGCAGTTGAATATAATATCTGGAGTTGTTGTAGCATTTTAAGCCCATAAGAAGATAAATCTTAGGATGAAACTAAAATGCTTAGAATGGCAACATGTAAACTTGGACGCACAAGGCTCCTAGCAACAATACAAGTTACTGAGTTAACCCGGGACTACTCTATTTACCAGCATCTTGTTATGTGAGGTAACCAACTCTTTTGATGTTATTGCTTGAGGTCTTAAGCATCTTAACTTATCCTCAAGTCTCCATCTTCAACAAAGCAGAAGTCTGTTTTCTCGTGACATTCAGTGTGTTATGATGGTGTCATTGGCACATTTATGAGGGCTTTGAATTATAAAAGTAGAATTAATATCAGATAAAGAACGTGGAATAGGAAATAAGCAGTAGAGCTCAGAAAATGGAGATTTTAGAAGAACTTAAAGTACAAGTCAAATTATCTAGCTCAGTTATGAATACAACGAGAATGCAGTTGTAATATGGAAAGGTGGAAAACATGTATTTTGTAGTTTTTGATGGAAGTTGGTTATGTGCAAACTCACACACACACATATTTATATAATACATATGCAAGTGAAAAGATGCTTACCATCATTAGTAGTTGAGGAAATGCAAAGTAAGCCCACAGTATGAAACGATTAGCAACAATTAGAATGTCTTCAATTAAAAGACTGGCAATATCAAGTGTTGACACTTTATATGATAAAACTGGAAACCTCCTGCACTATTGGTAAAAGTTATAAATAATATAACCACCTTGGGTAATACTTTGGGAGTTTCACAAAATATTAACATCAATTTACCATGTTGTACTGCCATTGTAGTCTTAGATGTTTGTTTAAGAGAAAAAAAATACTCATATAAAAACTTGAGGCTGAGCGCGGTGGCTCACGCCTGTAATCCCAGCACTTTGGGAGGCCAAGGTGGGCAGATCACCAGGTCAGGAGTTCGAGACCAGCCTGGCCAACATGATGAAAATGGTGAAAACTCGTCTCTACTAAAAATACAAAAATTAGCTGGGCGTGGGTGCGCATGCCGCTAATCCCAGCTACTCGGGAGGCTGAGGCAGGAAAATTGCTTGAACCCGGGAGGCAGAGGTTGCAGTGAGCCGAGATTGCACCACTGCACTCCAGCCTAGGTGACAGAACAAGACGGTCTCAAAAAAAAAAAAAAAAAAAAAAACTTGGACACAATTGTGTATAGCACTTTATTTGTAGTGGCTAAAACTGAAAAACAATGCAAAGGTAAATGGCAAAATAAATTTTGGTATAGTCATACAATGGAATATTATCACTAATAACGAAAAATGAGCTATTGATGAAAGCAAGAATAGAGATAATCACAAAGTAATTATGTGAACCTGTTAGCTTATCAGTAAAAAAACCTCAGATCCTTCAGTTTCTTGACATAGACAAGTTGAAGTAAAAGTAAAAATGTAGAGATAAATCTCTAAAATTAATATTTTATTTGGGAATAAAGAATCGCAATTAAGAACACACATGCAGACTAGTGCCTTTGGGCATATTCCAAAAACAAAGAGGTGTTTGGAATTTTTACAAAAAGGAGAAATGTTATATATTTCCCTTTGAGGAAGTTTATTGGCACTAGTAAGGGTCTAGGGAGCTAGCAAGTTTAGATTGGTGAGTGATGGAGGTAGATAAATTAGTCTTAGAGTTGTGGTTAGTCATTTCAGTAGCTATTAGGTGAAACCGGTTTCAGATTACAAAAGGCAGTGTCAGCAGCCAGGCTTGCAGATAATTACATTTTTGGGGCAATGTTCTAAGTCCTGAGTGCCTCTATCTTCTGGCATTTCAACTCTGTTTTAGTTAAGTATCACAAGAATGATCCAATGCCTATGATCAACTTGTACATACAAATGTCAAAACTTATACAATTTCACATTTTACATGTACAGTTTGTCAATTAAATCCTGATAAAGCAGTTAATACAAATGTATTAAATGTATCTAGACTTTCAGATGATTCCAAATATTTCCCAAAAGTTGAGTTTTCTTAGAAACATTGTTACAAACTCCCACAAACATATTCTTTCTCAATTCGTTCCCTCAAATACATTTTGATTTAAATCTGATATACATGTTTTTCTTACAATCAATTTTATCATAGTTAACTAAAGCCATCAATGAAAATATAGGTTATATATATATATATATATATATATATATATATTTTAATTATTATACTTTAAGTTTTAGGGTACATGTGCACAATGTGCAGGTTAGTTACATATGTATACATGTGACATGCTGGTGCGCTGCACCCACTAACTCGTCATCTAGCAGTAGGTATATCTCCCAGTGCTATCCCTCCCCCCTCCCCCCACCCCACAACAGTCCCCAGAGTGTGATGTTCCCCTTCCTGTGTCCATGTGTTCTCATTGTTCAATTCCCACCTACGAGTGAGAATATGCGGTGTTTGGTTTTTTGTTCTTGCGACAGTTTACTGAGAATGATGATTTCCAATTTCATCCATGTCCCTATGAAGGACATGAACTCATCATTTTTTATGGCTGCATAGTATTCCATGGTGTATATGTGCCACATTTTCTTAATCCAGTCTATCATTGTGGGACATTTGGGTTGGTTCCAAGTCTCTGCTATTGTGAATAGTGCCGCAATAAAGGTTTTATATTTTTTGACCTAGCAGTTTTATTCCAAGGCTCACATGCAATGTCAGTAATTTCCACTAGTCAACTGTCTTAGAACGTGGTTTTATATATGGAAAAAAAGTTTAAAATGAGTACTAAAAAGCACGCAAGTGCATGCACACATCTAATTCTGTGAGGAAGCGGCTGATCAGTAACCCCTTTGATTCTCATGGTCTCTGCAGCTTGTCAAGTATCTATTATTGCCAACATGAACAGTTTTAATATATGATAATCGAACTGCATATAAAATGTGATGAATGTAGACATTTTCTGTTTAGAAAATTGCTTAGCATATAAAGGAGTAATAAATAAATGGAAATTTGAAGTTAAATAATAAGATAAAGTCCTTTGGAGGTAACTTTTCTTTGTGACTATTTTTTTCAATGCAATAGTTATTGAAATTCTGTGGAAAATCACTTTGACCAGTCTTTAGACCTCTTAAGAAAAAAACAACTATTTGCTTTAGACATTTTTACATTGATTATTAATTCAAAAATACTAGAGACCATGTTGTGGTCTCTAGAAAGAATGTTCTTTAAAAAATTGTGTTCATTTTAATGAAGTAATTAGCCTGAAGGTACTATGACATACCTACAATTATACCTTAAATTCATTATAGTACAGCAACACTGTATGATAGGAAAAGAAATTGATTCCCATGTGTAGTTTGAAAATGTTTATTGTCACATTAAAAAAAGAAATAGGTGAGTTAATCTAAGTATAATATAATTTGAAAATATTATATTCTAAGTATTATTATTCTACATAAAATTCATATAAATGATAAATGAAATAGATGAGATTCTTTTTTTCGAACTCAGTTTCCATCTTTTATTTCACATTTATAAAATATCTCAATTCAGAGCTAAAATTTTATCAGGAATAGTTGACCTATATTTAGGTGGCATAAAATATACAATTAAAGCAGTAAACTTACATACTCAAATATAGTTAATATACTTAAAAGTATTATGATAACTAGATCAAATACCAAACTTTTTATTCTATTGATATTCACATATACATTAATGGCACTTTTTCATTTTTTTAGAATAATGAATCTGGTTTCAAAGTAATAGTATATTACTTTAAAAACTCTACACAAGTTAAGGAAATTTACTCATACTAAAGTCAATTTGTTGTAATTAACATCGAATTCAAAAGGATATTGCATAAATTGAAAAGAAAAATTGAAAAGAAATTTTGGGGGTATTAATACCAAAGAAACATTCTTAAATTTTCCTTGTAGTTGTTGCTGCCATAACACTGTCCCTGTCCATCACAATTAAAATCATCTGCATGTTGATGGACATTGGAAAAGTGTATAAGATGATGACGATATATTTTATTAAGAAAGTTTTTATGTAGACATAAATTCTTATAGATTACTATATGCAGGGTGATATTATTAAGTAAACATATATCAAACCGCTGTGTTTTTTGTCTTTGATAATTATTTGGCAAATATTCTTATTGTTCCAAGAAAATCTTAAAGAGGAATTAACTGTAAATTTTTGTAAACTTTTCCACAACTCACCCAAATAAGCATTGACAAGTAAACACAAGATTTAAAAAGTATAGTCTTTTTTTTTTTAACATTTTCATAACCTAGCAATTATTCATACCATCTGGATGTATACATAATACACTCTTTACAACTGCACTCAGGATAGAGTGTCCATTTCAGAGAACTGAGCACAAAAGTTTAATATGTACCATGGAGGCAAACATATTCAATAAGAGAATTATCTGTCTCTTGTATTAAAATCCCAGGCCAAAATTTTAGCTATATAGCTAAAGCATGGTCAAAGATAATAAAACCTATTTTTAATATACTGAGACAAAATGATTGTAAAACATCTGTGCCATGGTTTGATTTCATATGACACAAATTGATTACATTTCTTCTTAAATCTACAAGTCATTTGAAACAAAACATATGCCCAACATTAATTTGTCAATGTCTCATATCATGAACTCAATCTAAAGAAAGCTACATATAATTTTTCAAATTTTGAATCCTTTGATCTATCATATTATTAACTAGGTTTTGTATTCTATAGGCAATTAATTGTTTGAATGTTTAATAAATGTCTCTCACTTTTACAAAAAAAAATTTGTCTTTTCTCCGACATTTCTAAGATGTATATAACTTAAATATTGAGTGAATACCTCAGCTAAAAAGTGTTTTCTTATTTGTATTTTGCACCTCTCCAAATTTACAAGCTCAGATTTTGTTTAAAATTAAGAAACTTCTATTCTACTTTAATTCAGATTTTAGGTGATAAGTTTTACGGATTATTTTTGACTCTTCTTATAAAATTCATTATGCCTCTGCAAGTAGTATCTTTTAAGAGTGTCCACTTTATTACCTTTAAAGTTATCATGCAAAGAAGAACCTTTACATTCTCTCATGTAGCAGCGAATTACAATGTCATTCCTCTTTCTCTTTCCTCCTTCTCTTCCTCCTGTTCTTCTTGTTCTCTTCTTCTATTCTTTCCCTTCCTCTTCTTCTTCTCTTTTTACTGTGACAGTCCTGGTAATAGTTTCTGCATCTTCACTTGATTCTGCTCAGAAGTATGCATTTATTTTAATTTTTAAAAATGTTCATAGTTAATTTGTAAGCTAAAAAAAATGAATTAAACTATATTATGTTGTAGGTAGACTAGCAATCCCCCAATATGGCCGTGTCCTAATCTCCAGAACCTATAATGATGTAAAGTTATATGGTATACTTGAGCTTCCCAAGACTATCCTCACTTTCAGTGATCATTGAGAGTAAGACTCATGGGACTCATAAACTGTTATGCTCCTGCTTACAGTTGATAACAGAGAAAGAACACGGATTAAAATCAGCAAAGCGAAAAGGTGCAAAAGGTATAGTTCAGAAGAAACCAAGCCCTGGGTTCCAGGTGTCTCTTCACAGAAGAGTCTCACAGGACACACTTAATTCACCCCACAATGATGTGTAGCTACACATTTTAAATGTTGCCCACAAGGGAAGCTCACCTGAATCTTGAGTCCAGGATTTTTTGCGGAGAGGTCACTCATATTGGCATACAGTGCCTGCATGGCTGACCTCATCTACTCAGATTCCTGACCCCCAGAGAAAAAATAACTGTTCACCATAAATTCATATTTTTAGTATAAGACATGTGATCAAATTAGTATAGTGTGAGCCAAGGTCACAATCATACAAAAACATTCATATCAGGTAGAACAGTCCATAGAATTCAAGAGCTGTTCCCAGGAGCCAGTCAGGGACCAATTCTTGAAACAAGTCTTTCTTGATAATGTGCAGGGATGTGTGCAACCCAGGCTGAGTTCATCTTTTCTTGCATGTATGATAATAGGGAATTACGGTAGCAGATGAAATCAAGGTTGAGATATAGGGATTATTCTCTATTATCTGGGTAGGCCCAAAATAATCACTATTGTTCTTCAGTGGAAAAGGGAGGCAGAAGAGAACCAGAGAATCAGTAGTATAAGAAAACCTGATCCTAATGCTGCTGCCCTGGAATATGGTAGAATAGAGTCGTGAGCCAAGGAATGTGGATGTCCTCTACAAACTGAAATAGGCAAAGAAACGGATTGTGCCCTAGAGACTCCACAAGGAGCTTAGCATCACCGACACCTTCACCACAGCCCAATGAGACCCATTTTGGACTTCTGGCCTTAAAAATGTAAGATAATAAGTTTATGTTATTTTCAGCCATGAAGTTTGTTGCAGTTTGTTGCCACAGCAATATAAAACTAATATAGAGTATAATTAAAGTAAGGGGTATTTTATTTATTTATTTATTTTGAGATGTTGTCTCACTCTGTCACCCAGGCTGGAGTGCAGTGGCTTGATCTCGGCTCACTGCAACCTCCGCCTCCCGGGTTCAAGAAATTCTCCTGCCTCAGCCTCCCAAGCAGCTGGGACTACAGGCACATACCACCACGCCCAGCTAATTTTTGTATTTTTAGTAGAGGCGGGGTTTCACCATATTGGCCAGGCTGGTCTCGAACTCCTGACCTCATGATCTGCCTGCCTCGGCCTCCCAAAGTGCTGGGATTACATGCGTGAGCCACCGCACCCAACCAGTAAAGGGTATTTTAATTTAAAACTTTGATTTGTATAGGTATCACTGTAATTCACACCGCCTACAGAAAATTTCAAATTAGTTTGTTAAAATGTTACATCATTGTGCAGGCAAAAATCATTTCATCTGATTCAATTTTTCTGACAGCAACTAGTTTAGTGAGGTTTCTGTTAAGAATTTTGGTTTCTCAATAGTAATAAGCACATATCAAGTGCTCAATACCTACATGTGGCTAGCTGCAACAATATTAGCCAACATAGTAGAGTACTATAAGGAAAAACTGTAAAAGCCTTTGAAATGGACCAAAGAAAATTACTGGTAACTAGTTAGACATGTAGGCATTGTCTAGGGCATCCTCTCAGGTTATCTCCGCCTTTCATTGTATGAGCTAATTTACAACTCTGTAAATTCTTTAACACACAAACAATGCAAATGCAAATGAACTTTCCTGTGGAAAGCAATTTTATAGTTTTGCATCTATTTCTAAATTTATGTCAGTCGATGTTTTTGTTAAAATATATGTGGCTCTTTGGATTATCCTTTGAGCCACCTGTGATATCTTACTGGTGCCATCATTAATTAATGAAATAAATAGTGTTTTTGAAGTAAAATTGTATATTTTTATGAGTCATGATTTTTCTTTTAAAAAATCCTTTTACTGATACATAAATGGAATTCGAATTTACTTAGAAAAAAAAATGACAAAACATGAATTTAATTCCTTCTATACTGCCCCAAGAAATAACTGTCTTTGAAACCAAGATAAAGCTCAGTGCATCTAGCCATGATTAAAACATGACATTTTCTTATTTCTCATACAGAATGATATAGACCTCTTCAGGGTCAATACAACCAAAATAAAGAGACTTTTTTGGAGAGTGGAATCTTCTGTGTAATGAACACTGATATTCATAAATATAGCAAAGTATTTTATTTCCTGTTACAAAGAAGCATAATTAGTGCATAAAACTTCAAAGCATAGTGTATTCGTTTCCTAGGACTGCTGTAAAAAATAAATTGCCACATACCAGGCAGCTTAAAAAACAGAAATTTATTGTCTCACAGTTCTGGAGACTAGAAGTTCAAGATTAATGTGTTGGTAGGTTTTGCTCCTTTTGAGGTTTGTGAAGAAAAATCTTTTCCAATCCCCTTTCCTAGCTTCTGCTGCTTTGCAGGCAACCTTTGGTGTTACATGTTTCTGCTGCATCATTCTGATCTCTGTCTTCATCTGCACGTGGTGCTCTCCCTGTGTGTACTTGTCACTAAATGTCCCTTTTAAAATAAAGACACAAGTCATATTGGATTGAGGGCTCAACTATTCTAGTATGACTTCATCATAACTAATTAGTTCTGCAATGATGCTATTTCTAAATGAGGTCAGATTCTGAATGAAGTACTGGGAGTTAAAAGTTCAACATATATCAATTTTAGGGGGATGTATTATTTCCTTCTTGCATTGCTATAAAGAAATACCTGTGACTGGGTAATTTATGAAGAAAAGAGGTTTAATTGGTTCACAGTTCTGCAGACTGTGTGGGAAGTTTGGTGCTGGCATCTGCTTGGCTTCTGGGGAGGCCTCAGGAAATTTTTAATCATGGCAGAAGGCGAAGGGGAACAGGCAAGTCACAGAGTCAGAGAAGGAGCAAGGGGTGGGGGGAGGTACTATACTTTAAACAATCAGATCTTGCAAGAACTCTCTATCAGGAGAACAGCACCAGTGGATAGTGCTAAACCGTTAATTAGAAATCCACCCCCATAATCCAATAGCCTCCCACCAGGCCCCACTTCCAACACTAGGGATTACAATTCTTCATGAGATTTGGATGGGAAGACATGTCCAAACTATATCAGGGGACACAATTTAACCCATAATGCATAGAAACATGGAAGAGACTACCAAATATTTGCATGCATATGGTAAAAACTCACCCACAATCTATCAATCAAAAAATAATTATTGTCGACATATGAGTTATTTCTTTCTATTTTGAGTTGTGCTGTAAGTGTTTTATTAACCAAAACTACATTTTTTTTCTGTATGTGCTCTTTATGACCTTTTAAAAATGCAGTACTGTGGCACTTAAAAAACTGTTTCATAAAGATACTTTAGTGGCTCCATAGACACATGTGTTTAGCCAGTTGCCCACTGCTGGATGTTTTTGCTGTTTCTAGAATTTGGATTATATAAATATTATTGACAACTGCATTATTTATATATTTCTGCGTGTATCTTTGATAATTTTCTCAGGAAACCATGCCCAGAGAGTGGAATGACTAGATAGTAACTAACATTTTAGAGCTTGTGAATATTATATGACACTTACTGAGTATATCTGATAGGCCAGGCTTCAATCTAAGCACTTAATGGAAATTAAAATGTTTAGCATGACAATGTCCCCATGAGGTGCATAGTATGACTACCATTTCAACTCCTCAGATGTGGAAACTGAGGCAAATGAGAGGGTCAATAATTTGCTCAGGATCAAATTATTGATCCTGGGGCAAGTATGCAACAGTGTTGGACATTTTTTGCACCAAATCCCACCTATTTCTAGGGCATTCAATGACTTTGTTGATTGCATACATATTGCCAGGTTGTGTTGATGACGGTTGTGAAACCTCAGTTCTTGTCTTCTCAATTTAAAAGAATTTTAGAGACATACAGCAAGGAGATGCAGCATAGAGATATTTATTGCAAAGGAAAAAGAATACTCTGAAAGTTAGGTGCAAAATAGACAGTACACTCTGAGAGAGATGATTCAGAGCGCACTGTTCCTAAGGATAAGACAGCGTTAACTGTTTCTGGGGAAACTCCCTTTATATGAGTCTTACACGATTATACATAAGAGGGTGAAAAGAGGGTGTTACTAGTAAGCATGTTTTGAGTGGTCCTCTGGGGGCACATGCACAATAGCTGTACATGTTTGTTCATACATTGCATGTCGTATTAGCATCTCAAATCTCCACCCAGGGATGTGTTTTTTGCTATTATAATAAGCAAAGATTCAGTCTCAGGACAGGTAAAATCAAAATGTGCATGCTTTCTACAGGGGAAATTCCTTACTGGAGATAACTTTGCTTGAATGAGGTTGACTGCGATGCAAATGCTGGGGCTTTTTGCATTGATGGTGTGGTCTCCATGATTGCCATGTCCTGAGGACATGGTTGACTATCCTGCCTCAGTTTCATATTAGAATATGTACTGAATTACTTCCCTGTTAGGAAAGTCCTAGTGACCAATTTTTCCAGGCATCTTCAGGAAAGTTAATATACTTTATAATAATTGTCAATTTCAAGGGTAAAAAAATCGTACCATAGACTTCATTTGCATTTCTTTGATAAATTTTGAATTTAAAAAAAAATTGTATACATTTATGGAACTTACATATTTCAATTATCAACTATCAGCTACTGGCTTGCAATTTTTCTAATGCCATAAAATTGCAGAATGAGACAGGGTCTTTTAAAAGCATTTATTTCATTCTCAAAATTTAGTTTTGGCTGCCTACTAACAATTATCTGGTTGTCCTCAGGCCAATTTCACGTTGCAGTGAGCATATAAATATCAACTTTTCTTAAAATTTACATCTTTACCATCTTTTCCACAAAAATCCACATCTTCTGTTTATTCTCTTCTCTCTCAGAATCTTGTAACCAGCCAAATACAAAGCAGAACAGAAAGACTAGTTCCCTTTTAGAAGACTTTTCTACCAGCTACTTATCAGAAAAGTTTTTTATTTTTATTTTATCAGAACTGAATTTTTAGTAATGATTTTTCATTTAGCACTCACCTATTTTCAAGGGATATTTTGAGTACAAGATGATCTATCAATTTTTATCTAAATGATAAAAAGTAAAGAATAGTATTTACTTGCTCTGTTCATGCATAAAGGAGTTCTACCCAGTTCCACACACGGGAAAGTACACAGTATCTTCTACCCTCAAATCTATCCAAAGATTACACTGGTAGTGAGAACATAGTGTACCAGTAGTTTCATCAATGTGTGAGTGTCTGTCTTAATCTATGGTATACCAGACTTCAAATAAATGCTTTTTGAATGATGAGTAAGTAGTGCAGAAATAGACTTAGGTTCAGTTGCTATATTTTTCTGCATCACAATACAAGTCTTGGCTGAACATGTTTGAAGCCCTGAAAATAAGGCAAATCACCTCTAGGCTGTATAGTCAAAAACATCAATGTCCATGGACACATTTCTTAGTCCAAAATTATCAGAGATAATATTCAAAATACATTGAATTATGAAATGGAGTGATGCAGGTTACAACTATTTGGTTGAATATAGGTGTGTATATATACTATCCCATTTTGTGATGTGTACTTGCTGCTGTACCTTACAAACTGTATTCTTAACGCAAGAAATATCAGTGGGTTTGCTTTGTCACTGGTCAAACTTTAGATAAATTTAATTGTAATTATGAAAGTTAGCTTCTGGTCTTTTGCCTACAAACCAGCCTACAGAAAAGTGCAAGATCTTTTTGTTTTTCAATTGCATACTTGGAATCGAACAGCTCTCCTGTGAAGATGAAAATTGCAATGTGTTGAATGAGTTTCCACCTCCCATTTCCTGAAAATGATAAAATGAGGTTCTTTAAAAACCCACCAAGGTCAAGCATAATTCCAAAATCTCATTCATCAGTGTCTAGCTGACCTCTATCACTATAGTGCACCCAGGGTACCATTTGGTAGCAACTTAAAGATAATTTATTCAGTCATCCCTCTTGCTCAATTATTTCACATCTGTGGAGCCCTAGGTAAAATTTACATGATCAACATTTTAGCCTCACAGAGGAACTGACTATAATTCACTTGGGCAGGCAAAGTTTTCTTACATCTTTATCAACTTTTCATTTTATTTTACAGTGAAAAAGTTAGTCCTTGCTGTGGTATGCAAAGGAATCCTAGAAAATAACACGTGACTTTTTCTTAAAAGTACTAAAATTAAAAAACACTTTTCACATGTCTAGATTTCTTTCTTGGGATTGAATATATGGTTTGTTCCATGGAGACTATCTAGAAAGGATGTACCACTTACCAATCTCCTCTTAAAGCCATTATTACGTCTAAGTGAACCACCGTTATAGTTATTTTATCACTTTGCATCTCCTAGATTGCTCCCATACAACAGAAAAATGGAAACAATTCAGTTATAGTCCAGAGATACCCAGGCTTTTCTTTAATTGAAACCTTCATGATAATCTGTTGTTATCCTCCAAGTAAAGAAGTTGCAGCACTATGTCTACTACTGAGAATACATTCACAAAAATAGTGTTTATCATGTTTCAGAAAACAATTCTCAGTTATCAGCTTGCTTTTTTTTTTCCTGATAAAGCAACTAAACTGGCTGGCATCTGACAGGTATAAAGTATTGTACATGTGCTCCTCCATGGGATGCCTGTCAAAATCCCTAAAAAATATTGGTTTCCTCCAGCCTTTTTGTTTATAATTCCTCTAACACAAGGCTATCAGGATAGCCTATACTCTCCTACAGACAAACCAGTGACTAGATACATTAGCTCTTTCTGGAGTTGTCTGAAGGTTTCACTTACTGCTAAATCCACTCACAGGGCAAACAATAGCGCTTTACTTTCTCAATTTAAACTGTTTGCTCTGTTTTTTCCAACAACTTTTCATCAGTGAAATACAAGCAGCAATCTCCAGAGTTTATATATCCTGACAATCTTATTAAAATTCACATATGCATCACTATCTCAACAACAATAAACTCTCCCCTCAAAAATGGTAACATCAGAAAATATAAGAGAAAATATAGAAATCTGTAATTTTCAAGATATTGCTAGTTACTTTAAAGCTGATTTTGTCATTTAATACTTGCCCAGTGTTAACACTTAAATCAGTGTTATCAGTGAAAATGATAGACCGATGACAACAAAAGAATCAGCCTAAACATTTTAAAGAAATGGAGCCTAAAACATGTTTTTAATTAAAAGAAAACAAATTTCTCTTTTAAAACCATTTTATTGGTGTTTTGTTCTTTCTTAAAATAATCTCATATTTATACCAAACAGCAATCTCAGAAAGCCCTTTTTAAGGTGGTATGATACCTTTGCCCTCTTTATGAATTTACTGATTAAGTAAAATAATTACATAGCTTTTAAAGCATTTCCAATAAGTAGAATTTAAAAGGTTTAGGAAATTTTACTTAAGTAGAATAAAGTAAAATGTCACTGACCAGTAAGTTAGACCTAAATGACAAATAACAACAAGTTTTTGGTACCGTTTGTGTTCCCAGATATATCACTTTGTGTCAAGAGGGCATGTAATGTGCTTGTATGTTGACAGCACTTCTGGGAACTCACTAATTAGCTGAACTTTTGGAAATTCCAGGAAACAAGGGTAGGTTGAGATGAGCCTCCTTAGAATAGTTCATGTGTCACTTCTGCTCATAATATGATAGCTTCCTGTGTCAAACATCCAGGTGAAAATTGGACAATTTAGTCACCTTTCCAGTTCTTTCTCAATTTCGAATACTTTGATTTATCAATTTATATCTGGGTAATCCGAGTTATTTTTCTTTCTTTCTTTTTGTTTTTTGAGACAGAGTTTCACTCTGTCACCTAGGCTGGAATGCAATGGCATGATCTCGGCTCACTGCAACCTCCGCCTCTGAGATTCAAGCAATTCTCCTGCCTCAGCCTCCAGAGTAATTGGGACTATAGGCGCCTGCCACCAGCTAATTTTTGTATTTTTAGTAGAGACGGGATTTCACCATGTTGGTCAGGCTGGTCTCTAACTCCTGAAGTCAAGTGATCTACCCACCTCGGCCTCCCAAAGTGCTGGGATTACAGACAGGAGCCACCACCCCAGGCCCCTGAGTTATTTTTCTACAATTTAATATTTTTTGATATTTTAATTACAAATCCTTGAAATCCTAGTACTTTTTTTCTGCTTGGAATAATAATGAGTGAAAAGTGAGAAAGCATAGAGAAGATAACTTAGAAAACAATAATAAGAATAAAGTTCACAGTAAGGGGATGAAATGGAAAGAATGTCTTATCTTAGGACATTTAAATATCACTAGAAGTCACTAGAAGACAGCTACGGCTAATATGGAGAATAAAAGCATCAATGAGACTTTACACTGATACATGTATCTTGTATATATTTAAGTAATATAATAGGTGTATTTAAACAAACGGATGAGTAAACTAGGAGTCAGAGAGGTTAACTAATTTCCACAAGGTTATGTAGGATGTGAAATTAAGTAGTATAACTTAAGATTCCTGGCATTGAACCACGTCACTGTATTACCTTCAGGTGTTTCTTTGGGTAAATCTACCACTGACTTATTTCAAAAGTACTGTAAGTATATAGTTAAATAAAATATGTGCATTATTGCTGACAGTAGACTGCAGCATTAAACTTAATAATAATAATAAACCAAAAATACATCCCTGGAACTATTGAATTAACATGAATATAATTGTCAGCTCTGTCAAAAAGCAGTTTTGGCAGTAATTCATAAGGTTCGAGTGTACTTCCTCATCATCAGGTACAGGGGTACCATGACCTCATTGAGTTAATGTTTTCTTGATTTTTATGTTCATCTTTTCTTAATTTTTTTTGTGTGATTTCTTTTTTGGTGCATGGGTTATTTAGTAGTGTACTGCATAATCTATAGACTAGTGAATTTTTTTGTCCCTTATTTGTTTGTAGATTAATTATGTTTGAACCTGAATAAAAAAGCATTCAAGTAGTGTTCCTTATTTTTCCATCCTGAAAGATTTTGTGTATGACTTAATATTTACATCAACTTGTCAATGAATCTACTTGTGTCTTATTTTTGATAGACAAAGTTTTTGATTATTCATATTTGTTATATAGAATTATTCAGTTTAAATTTTCACTTGAATCAATATAATGTTATATATTTCTAGAAGTTCATGCATTTATACAAATATTGAAAATATAAAGTTTTCCATAATTTTTAATTAACTTTTGTAACACTTGTCATTTACTTGAGTATTATCTTTCATTAAATTCTGATGTTTATGTTTGTATCTTCTCTCCAAATGTCAAAGAGCCAGATAATAATGTTGGGGTGAAAAGCAGTCTCCCAGAGTTAGAGTCTGCAATGCAGAGGTTCCGAACTGAGCAGTGGCTCCCTAAAATCTCTCTTTTGCTAAGTCTCCTTGTTTTTCTTATTCTTCTTCCCGAATGCTTGTCATTTTCATTAGGCATTAAAAAAATAAAGAAAAAACTCTACTTTTTTTTCTTATTGACTATCTCTATTATTCATTTTTTTCACTATTTTTTCTTTTCTATTTATTCTTTGTTTTCTTTGATTTTTATTTTTAAAAATCCTCTTAATGAAGACCAAGTTGAAGATATTTGTTATTTTTATATTGTTAACTAGATTTACTTTACTTTTAAACATAAATGCTTAATTTTATCTTACTCTTTGATGATCTTTGAAATCTTTCTAAAACTGTAGAAAAAATCAGTATTTTTAGTAAAAGTACACATTTACGTGCCTCCTCTGTGTTTTGATGTGTGGTGTTGCCATTAATAGTTAAAAATATTTTTAAAATTTTATTTATATTTCTTCTTTGATTGATGAGTGACTTATAACTATATTTCTTATTTTCCCAAGTATATTGCTATTTTATCTTTCTCATACTAATTTATAACTTGATTATGTTGTAATCAGAAAACTCGAAATATTTGCTTTTAATTTTTTAAGTTTTTGGTTAGATTCAATTTATGACACAGTACATGACCAGTTTATGATATATATTAAATGTATTTACAAAATAATTGTTCTGCTCTTGTGTGCAGTTCTATACATGTCCATTTTGTCAATTTCCTTAACTGTATTATTCCTAACTTCAATGTCTATATAGATTTATTATGTGCATTTACTATAAATTACTGAAAGAAGTTAGTTGAAATGTTCCACTTTGAAGAATTTCCTGCTTTTATTTTTTAAAGTTATTTGGTTTCTTTGATCTGTTAGCTATCCTTCATGCAAATCAGTTGGCATGTTTTTTGCTACTTAGAATTTTAACACTTTTATAATTTCTAGAAAAAATTCCTTGTGGAAGGGAATAGGTGGACCAGAGTGACGAGCAGAAGAATTCCAGCTCTGATATAAGCCTGTCATTCTCAGGCAACCCCTCAGGTAGCCCTGGAGCTGAAATGGCTCAATTCATGCCAAATCATCTGAGACTTACTAACTCTGCCTCATATAGTCATGTGATGTGGCTGCTCCAGAAAGGCATTATCGTTGGGGAGGTGGCTGTGTGCCACTGAAGCCATTCCTGAGTCCACTGAGAACTGAAAACTGTAGCCTGACAGCATTCTCAGCAACCAGGGCAACAAGTAATTCCTTGAAGAGAGCTATGGGTTAAGAATCTCTGTGTTCTCCATATAGAGCTACAGTGCTTTTCCTTTCATTCATTTCTGTATAAGTCATATCTTTACTCAACATTTATAGTATATCTCTATTTTCCCATATGTTTCTATTTTTTTCTTTTAACTAGAACATTGAGTATAATCGCATTTAATTATATTATTTACCTATCTGAAATGTAATTGTAGTTTTTTAAAATTTAAGATCTACTTTTTTTTTTTTTAAGTTGGGATCTGAAATGACTTTTACCACTGATATGATTTGGCTCTGTGTCCCCACCCAAATCTCATGTCTAATTGTAATCCCAATATGTTAGAGAAAGGACCTGGTGGGAGGTGATTGGATCATTGGGGCAGACATCCCCCTTGCTGTTCTGGTGATAATGACTGAGATTCCATGAGATCTGGTTGTTTGAAAGGTGTAGCACTTTCCCCTTCACTCTCTCTCTCTCTCTCCTACTGCCATGTGAAGATATGCTTACTTCCCCTTTGCCTTCCGCCATGATTGTAAGTTTCCTGAGTCCTCCCCCAACCATGCTTCCTGTACAGCCTGTGGAACTGAGGGTCAATTAAACCTCTTTTTTTTCATAGTTACCCAGTCTCAGGGAGTTCTTAATAGCAGTGTGAGAACGAACTAATACAACCACTTTAATACCTGAGAGGTATTTTCGCTGGAGTAAAAATTCTAGGGTGGCATTTATTTCTTTTAGCACACAAATGATGTTATTTCATAATCTCATGGTTTCTATTGTTGCTCATAGGATGTCAGGTTACACACAACTGTTGCTCCTTTGAAAGTAATTTTATCCTCTCTCACCCCAGATTTTTCTAAGATTTGATAACTGTCACTTCTTCTCTATTGTTTAAATAAGATGATTTAGGTGTTTAATTTATTGATAGTATCTTTACAGGGATCCAGAGGGTTAACATGGACTTAACATTTGACTATGTCTTTCACAAGTTGTCTTTTTTACATATGCTTCTCCCTCATAGGGTCTGGTTTGTACCAACTATCAATAATATATTTCTCCCTCACCATAAATATTACTATGCTTCTCATTCACAATAGTTATATTTATATTTATATTATATATATTTTTAAATATATATATATATATATGTTTCATTGTGGAGCAATATGCAACCTTGGATGGGGTTACTCTTTCCTGAGAGATTTTAAATTTGCTTTGACTAATCAGCTGGAGATATAACTAGTCTGGAATCACCTCAAGTCAAATGAATACCTGATTATCCATTGATTAGCAAGGCTTTTAAAGCCTATTTTTTTTATTTTTGCACTAAGACTTGACCACTTGCATTGTTTCCTTAACTTAGATGAATCCTTCTTTTGTGTAGTGGGTCTTCTGTGAGAGTACCACTCTCTGTGGCTTTTATTTTGGTCTCTTAAAATTTTTTTTGCCCTATTTCTACATGAGAAGATAAGTAAAAATATATACTCCAGACCAAAAGTGCCTATGGGTTGTTTTGCTCTTTGGACACTAATGTTTCTTACAATTCATCATAATAATTTATTACTATCTTGTTAGCTATTAGATGCTTTTAAAAAGATTTTAAAATATATATTTATCCAATTTCCCTAGTTATTTTCAGCGAGAGTTTTCCCTGATAACTTAGCCCATTATTTCTGGAAAACTGAAGTTCACACATACACATGAACAAAGCCAAACATATGGTTATTGATTATTAGTGTGGCCTATTTCTCAGAGCCACAGGACAGCAACGGATTTTGCTCCTTCCCCAGTAAGGGATGAATGCTTTTCTCAATCTCTAGTAATACTTAAATACAAAGTTAAAATTTTCTTCCTGATGTGATTAACATACAATCCCATTTCCCTAGTCAATCATGAAAGTTCTAAAAGATAGTAACTTACTATGTACATATTGTAGTTAAAGAGGATTTTTGCATGTGCTTGAACTGTTAATTGGTAATAAAGCAACTGCCTTTATACAGTTTAATGTTGGTGAAACATTTGGTAGCCTATTATGCTGTACATTTCTTTAATATGGAAGCATTTAAAGACACTGACACGACAGTTTTAATTGAAACCTAATTGTTTATGTAATGGCTACACTGTACAAAATTAAAAGTGGCCACAATATCAGTCAGTAATAATATGCATTCATGCTGAAAAAGACTCTTTCTTTATAACTACAAGAGAAAGCATATTCAGTAATTTCACAAGTTTAAGATCATTCAATCTTTTTACGCTCAGACAAACAACAAAGAAGCAAACGTGGAAACAAATTCGCATTGTAGCTGAATCTGTTGCTCTTTAATGTCAAAACAGTGTTCAGAGCCTTTCACTCCTATCACTTGGATACATCTGTTACAGACATAAAAGAAAGTATGGAATTATTTCAACATGCATTTGCTTGTTGAATCTTACTCTATTAAATCTTCTCCGGCATATTGCTTTTCAAATCAAAGTCTTATTAAAGACAAGTTTCAAATCTGTTCTCCATAGTAGAGTCATGCATATTAAATGTTAATCACAGCCAAATAAATATCTACAATGGTTAGTTCCAAAATTAAACTGTATTTTGTTTTTGCAGTAAATTGTCTACACTGCTGTCTTACTTGAATGATCTAAGTTAGGACCCAGAAAATGAAATAACAAATTCTGAAGTCATTCTTAATAATGCTTTGTGTAGTATTCATTCTTAATAAATGCTCACATACTCCTCTGAAATAATGAAGACAATTAAAATAATTATTAAATTTACTTAAAATCAAACTGTTTTAATCTCATTTATTCAATATGTTTCTTTTCAGAGAAAAGTTAATATTCAGATTTTATTTTAAGCTAGTTCAGTCAACCAAGAGTCAGATTGTCCTAGATTAAATGGCAAACTTGGATTATAAAATAATCTCCCTTCTCATTACATTAAATTGCAAATTTTATGTGAAAATTGAAATATTCTATTCTTGCTTATGGTTGTGCATATGTCTCTTCCTGTATTTTCCTATTACCCTGTACTCTGTTTGCACAGCCCTTGCACTGAAGTGTAAACATGGTATACCAATCTTATACTGACTTATGGTTAGATCTAGTAATCACACTTGTTTTCTGTTTTTTTTATTTATATGGGGTACATTTAAATATATATATTTTATATATATAATATATATTTTTATATATAATATATATAAATATATATTATATATAATATATAAAATTATATAATTTCATATAATATATAAAATATATATTATATATAATATATATTATATATAATATATATTATATATAATATATAATATATATAATATATATTATATATAATATATATTTTATATATATTTTATATATTTTATTTATATATATTATATATATATTTTATATATCTATATCTATATATATATATATATAGAGAGAGAGAGAGAGAGAGAGAGAGAGAGAGAGAGACAGGGCCTCACTCTGTTGCCCAGAGTGGGGTACAGTGGCTTGATCATAGCTCACTGCAGTTTCAACTTCCCAGGCTCAAGAGATTCTCCCATCTCCGGATCCCTTGTAGATAGGACCACAGGTGCACACCATCACATCAGGCTATTTTTACTTTTTTATTTTGTAGAGATGGGGTTTGCTATTTACTCAGGCTAGTCTCAAACTCATGGGCTCAAGTGATCCTCTGCCTTGGCCTCCCCAAATGCTGGGATTACAAGTATAAGCCACCACTCCCTGTAAGGTATATTTTAAAAATAATCTTCTTTCAAAGAAATCTAAATTGAATACTAGATGGCATTTTTCTACATTAGCAATGGCTATCTCAAGTTGATTTTATAGGACAAAGAAATTTTAAGCACCAGTAATGATGTCTTTTTTCTAATTTTTAAAAATATAGTCATCATATTTATTCATTTCTATTTTGTACTCTATTGTAATCAATTATGCAGATAGTTGAATCAAACATTTTAATTCAAAGCAGAAATGAACATAAATTCTTAGTTATTTTTCAAAAGTCAATCCATTCAAACAAAACATAAACAATACATGTAATCTTATAATTTTCCACTTCATTTTCTAACTTTTTGTTTTTTATAAGTATGGAATGTTTTTTCACTCTCCCACTCAGGTACAAAAATAGTCACTAACTGTTTGGGAATAAGTTTTCAATCCCACTGTGAAATTATTCATAAAGGCATCCTGCCTTCACTAGTAAATTGAATCATACTGTGATGACTATGAGGAGCAGCACTCCCATCAATTAGATGAATATAATCTTTAAAGATAAGCTCAGTTTGATAACCATTAAGTGCACCTTAAATTAAAACAAAGAATATACCTTTTGTCTCAGCAAGAATTAATCCAAAATAGATTATTAACACAATACATATATCATAGTTTGGTTTGGATGACATGTATAGATAATGTGTTTAAATCCACATGGGCAATACATGTGTGTCATTAATTAGGTGGATTGCCTTCTCAATTCAAACTATGTTAAAACTTTGTAGGTCTGTTTCAATTAAACATTTTAAAGCTGATTATGTGTTTACTGAATATAATACACAAATTTAAAATATACTTAGAGTTACATTAGTTTATTTAATAAAAATACAATAAACAGCATTGAGAAAGGAGTCCCAATATAAACAGGTTTTAATAGCTTTATTGGTCGGAAATTTACAATTTTTTCTATATCTCTTATTTAGTGAGCCATTTAATGTATATCACAAGTACTCAGGCTTTCTTTTCCACTTTTTTGTTCTGGTTAAACTAAAGAACATCTTTAAGCTTTACTAAGGAAAAGAAGAAAATCACCCAGAGACTATTATATTCCCAACAAGATAAGGACCTAAGCTAGGTGGAACTGACAATCTTCAAAGTGATACTGTGCAATATAAGTAAAAGTTGGTCTGAACGGAATGTTTGAATTTTAAATGCCTAAACTCAACATTACATCTCTGAGTGTGTGTGCATTTGTATGTGTGTGAGCACATGAGTGGGTGTATGTATCCCACATCTGGGATTCCATCCACAAGCATTCTGATTTTAAATGTACATATTAAATTAATTTTTGCAACCCCACCAAAGATTAGAACACTGCTATGTGCCAAATCAAATTAGCGTTCACATTTTCCAAAGGCCTTCTCCCATCATTTTTACCAAAGTGCAGTTTCTCTCGACAGCATGTAATGCATACAAAATGGCATCAGACTCACTCCTGAATACATTAGCTTAATGTCCAAAGAGCCATTGCCATCCAGCCAAGATGACCTTTACAAGTAAACTATCCCTTTTCCAACAGAGGCAAAATATTACATGCAATTTATTTACACTGCTGAATATTACTAATGATAACTCAGTCAAACCTAAGAGATATACGGTCTTTTATTTTTTTAAGTTTTTTCCCACAATCATGGAGGGTTCTGGAAGCACCTTGTACTAACCACCAAGACATTTACCTGCAAGAACAGATAAAATTACTAATAAATAATAATATGAAATACAGTCCCACATTTCTTATAGAAATATAAATATCATAAGAATTGTTAGAAACAATAGCTCATAATTATGTTTAGTCTACTTACCTGGTTTAATCATCTACTACTTCTTTAAGAATATTACATCTTAATTATAATGCTATCATTTCAATGTTAGTGTCTATCTTTCATACGTATTTGCATCTACAACAACTTTTCCTTTACTGCAGAATGGACTTACATCTCCCTCTCTCCCTGAGAATTTTTATTTTTAAAAACAAGCTGAAAGTTATCCCCTTTAATATACTCTCTCTTCCAGAAATTAATCTTTAAAACCCTACCCTATTCTTTTAAATCACATTATTCTTATAACTCTTAACACATTGCAATATAATTATTTGTTTGAATATCCCAAATCTGTTACCTCTGCCTGCCATTCAAAGTGCAAGCATCAATTCCCACATTTACTTTTTGTTTTCTTTCTCAGTCTGAGTCTCTCACTATTTTTTACCCCCCTTTCTGACCAATTTCCACTTTGTACTGTGGTACACATTAGAAAATGCAAACTCTAATTTGATTTGGCACATAGCAGTGTTCTAATCCTTGGTAGGCTTGAAAAATTAATTTAATATGTACATTTAAAATAAGAGTGCTATGGTAGAATTCCATATGGGGGATACATACATTTATGATTTACGATGAATGAAGCTATACTATGAAGAGGTGATCAATGTTAGCAAGTGGAAGATTGTATGTTTTTGTTTTATTGTAATCTAAGAATATTAATGATGAAAATAACTTCCAGTGACACACATACTTCGTGTATGTGGTATCTTTAGGCAAGAAAAGACTAAGAGTAAGTGATGTGAATAGGTAGAAATAGAGAGGTCAATGAAAAATATAGAAATGGAAGGAGATCAAAGAGTAAAACAAGCCTGTAGGTGCTTATCTGAGTTACACTGTGTATAAACTGATGAATGACCTACAGGGACAGGAAACAGAATGTGGCAGATACTATAATTTGTCTGCTCAAGGGCCATTTTCTTCTCTTTTTATGGTGGCAAGACTTCAGTGGTAGTCCCATTCTCATTAACAGATGGAGTTAGTTAGAAGAGGACACATAATTTGACTCTGGCCAGAGTCACAAGAGACATTTTCCAATCTGCTTTGGCAATGTTTTTATTTATGTTCATAAAAAGAATTTCAAATGTTCTTTATTTCTGTTGTACATTTTCTGCTGCACATTTGATTATTTGAGATATGTCATTCATTTTCTGGCTAGAAGGCAGCTAGTCTGAGTTTAACATACTAAGGACAACACAGGAAAATGATCAAAGAGGCTGGATGCGGTGGCTCATGCCTCTTATCCCAGCACTTTGGGAGGCTAAGGCGGGTGGATCACCTGAGGTCAGGAGCTCGAGACCAGCCAGGCCATCATGATGAAACCCCCATCTCTACTAAAAATAAAAAAAATTAGCTGGGCTTGGTGGTGGGTGCCTGTAATCCCAGCTACTTCTCAGGCTGAAGCAGGAGAATTGCTTGAACCCAGGAGGCGGAAGTTGCATGAGCCGAGATCGCTCCATTGCACTCCAGCCTGGGCAACAAGAGCGAAACTCTACGGGGAGGGTGGCGGGGGATGGCTGGCGGCTGGCGGGTGGCGGGGGGAGCGAGGGGAGAAAAGAAAATGATCAAAGATTCTCATTTCTCCATGATTTGTGAGCTACTTATTTAATAAAACCTAAAGCAGTCCTATAACTAGACTTTTTCAAATTGGTAAATATTATATGTATAATTTTTCAAATATTACTTCCTCTTTCCTCTAGAACTCCAATTAAACATATTTTAGGCTTCCTGATGTCACACAAGTCACTGAAGCTCTGTTCAATTATTTTTATTTCTCTGAGCTACAGTTTAGATAGTTTCAATTGTCTTGTCTTCAAGTTCACATTTTTTCTTTCTAAATTTTTAATGTTCTATTTATCTCATTCTAATATTTCATTTCTAATACTGTATTTATAGCAAAAACAGTCCTTATTGATACAAACTAGGGAAAATGAAAAAACACACTCACACCCATGCACACATGCATACACATACACACTTGAGGTCCTTGTACACTGCATGATTCTAAAATTTAAATGGGTAATTCATTTCAACACTGCCCTCTCATTTCCTTGATCTTCGCATTTCTAATTACATTCTTTTTTTTTTATCACCTTTCTTCTATTTTCATCAGTACACAATGCATGTTCTTTTCTACTGGAAATATGTTATGATTTAATTGATTAATAAACTCTCAAATACAAACCGTAGCTTCTATTTCGACAATTACCATAAACTTTTTATTCTCAAATGGATCTATCAGGCTGGATCTGTTGACTTTATATAGATATTTCCTTAGTGATCTGTTTATTTATCTATCAACCTTTTCTGTTGCTCATGTTTCCATCTCCAATTTTAAGTCAAGGGTCTGTTGCATCACCTAGAAATTTCTGTTATCCATTTTCTTTTTCCTGTATTATGCTATTATACTAACATTGAGTGTGGACATGGAAATTTAAAACTCAGCAGAGTGGCTTTCTCTATATTTGCATTTATATTACTGAATAGAGAGGAATATAAAAATCACAGAATTATGCAGAGAGAAGTGACCACCTTATCCGAGTCCCCTTCTAGCATAACAACTCTTATCTTTAGATTTTTCCAAAGAATAGCCAAAGAAATACCACATTTTATGGTAAGTTTCATCTAATTCTTACAACCTTTCATCTATGAGATCATGTGCTTCTGTTATGTGCACTCACAATATCACAAAATTTCAATCTCATTTTAAAATTATTTTTAATCTGATTTTCTTCATGCAAGTATAAACTGAAATGAAGACAAAATCTGTCTATATTTTAAAGCACTCTTGGCCAGGTGTGGTGGCTCACGCCTGTAAACCCAGCACTTTGGGAGGCCGAGGCAGGTGGATCACCTGAGGTCAGGAGTTTGAGACCAGCCTGGCAACACTGTGAAACTCCGTCTCTACTAATAATACAAAAATTAGCCAGGTGTGGTGGTGGGTGCCTGTAATCCCAACTACTCAGGAGGCTGAGGCAGGAGAATCGTTTGAACCCAGGAGGCAGAGATTGCAGTGAGCTGAGGTCATGCCGCCGTGCTCCATCCTGGGCAACAGAGGGAGACTCCATCTTAAAAAAAAAAAAAAAAAAAAAAAAAAAAGCACTCTCTCTCAAGTATGTTGTATAATACCAGTTAAATAGATGGCAAATTATAAATACCATTTTTTATTCATAATACATATAGTATATATGTAATATATAGACAATACATGTTTATATATACATATTTGTGTGTGTATATATATATATACACACATATACACACACATATATATTATTTACTCTTTACTATAGTGTGAGACAGAATAGTGTAGTGACTACCAAGGTTGTAGGCTCACATTCATACTGCCTAGGTTTAACTTAAGCTATTTCACTTTTAAGCTTTATGACCCTGGACAAATACATCAATGTTTCTTCTGCTTCACTTTATGAAAGTTGAGTATAATAACATAACTTTTTCTTACTTCTTCAAAAGTGATTTAAACATTTTTAAAGTATTTCTGCAGATAAAAGTTGTTAAATCTACAAAAATCTTAAAATAACACCAGCATCATGTTGTTGCCTTAGCTCTCATAATTACTAAATATTATTATGTGTTAAACAAATAAATGAACAAATATAAAAATTAATTTCAAAGTGAAAAGAAAGAATTAACTTCTCATCCAGGCATAGTGACTCACACTTGTAATCCCAGCACTTTGAGAGGCCAAAGAGGGCAGATCACTTGAGGTCAGAAGTTCGAGACCAGCCTGGCCAACATAGTGAAACCCTGTCTTCACTAAAATTACAAAATAAGATGGAAGTGGTGATACATGCCTGTAATTTCAGCTACTCATGAGGCTGAGGTACAAAAATCACTTGAACTCAAGAGGCAGAGGTTGCAGTGAGCTGAGATTGTGCTACTGCACTCGAGTCTGGTGAGAGAGTGAGACTCTGTCTCAAATAATAATAATAATAATTTTTCAAGAAAAGTAATAACACTGACACCTAGTTTTTCTCAGACACTTGCAGCATTTACTATACTATTTGGGATAATGTTGGCGTTACATACATGTTAGATATGAAAATAATGTACTATATTTAAAATATAGAAACTCAGTAAATTCAAATTAAATTTATTGTATTGGAAATGGAACAGAATAGCAGTGCTGCCAGAATGAGTACAAGTTGGGATGAAATGTAGTAAAGTAGAACACAAGTTATGGCTTTACATTAAGTATGAGGTAAATTCTGAATATGTAGCTAAAGAAGTAATACAGACCTGGAAAGATATAATTTTTGACAAGAATTTAAGCATCTTGTGCCAAGAACAAAATAAACTTCTATATCCAATAATTTAACACATATTTACCTTACTAAATACCTCCAATGGCTTTTTAGTTTCTCATTCACTTGTATGGAAATGTCCAGTTCTTTAACAGAATCGGCAGTGTCTTTCATGATCTGTCTCCACCCTGTTATTCCAAACTCACTTTTGAGGGTTTCTCTACGTGAATCATGACCATCAAACATTTTGAGCCATTCACTCTTCCCTGAGAGCTCATTCACACCTCTGTGCCGTGGCACAGTTTGCTTAGTTTTTTCATCGACTCTCCTCTATCAATTCCTATTTTTCTTTTAAGACACAATTAAAAGTTTAAAACTGTTATTAAGATTTCTTTGAAGAAATAATGGGCTTAGGATGAGAAGAATGTGGACATGTCATATATAAAAAAAAAGTTAGAAGTAATATGTGAAGACCTCATCTCCAGACATGGCTTTAATACACTTTATATTTAAATGCCCCCAAGGTAATATTATCAGTTGAGTTGCCAAAATGTATTTCACCCTTGTCAATCCAACTGTCCCTTGATAGATTTCACATAGCTCTAAGAAACATCAAACCCAACAAATCCAAGAGCAAGTTTCTGGATTTCTCTCAATACATTTTCTGTTATGAAACCAATCTTTTTTTCTTTAAAATATAAAACTGACTTTTCACTGGGCTCATTAAGAACTTTTAAAGACTCGTCAATGGTCATGGAATGTATGCCAAAATCTTGGCAGGGTCTTGAATGCACTGGCCCCTCTCTCCTTCTCCAACTTTATCTCATGTCGTGTTTCTTTTTGTTCTTGGTGCTGCAGTCACACTTACCATTTTACTGTTCTTCAAATGCACGTGCTTATTTATTTATTTTTTGAGATGGAGTCTCTCTCTCTTTCCTAGGCTAGAGTGCAGTGGCGTGATCTAAGCTCACTGCAACATTTGCCTCCTGGGTTCAAGCAATTCTCCTGCCTCAGCTTCTGGAGTAGCTAGGCTTATAGGTGCCCACAACCACACCCGGCTAATTTTTGTATTTTTAGTAGACAGGGTTTCACCATATTGGCCAGGCTGGTCTTGAACTCCTGATCTCAGGTTATCTGCCCACCTTGGCCTCCCAAAGTGCTGGGATTTCAGGTGTGCACTACCATGCCTGGACAAAAGCATGTGCTTATTTGTACTTGAAGAACATTACACAAGCTGTTTCCTTTGAAAAAGTTTTTCTTAATATAAATTACCATTTCTTAATCTTTCAGACAGCTTCACAAGTAGCTCTTCCTAGGGAATTCTCTTGCAAATTTGAAGCCTAAGTCATGCTCTTTGGTTGATCGTGTTTATAGACACATAATACATTTGTTTTTTTCAAAGCATGTAACTTGTTTGCAGTTTATTAAAATTTTTTTAAAGATTTTTGTTCTACATTACAATCTCATTGAAGACCTAGACTCATCTATTTTTGCTCATCATTGTACTACCAGAACTAAGCACAATACCAGGTACAAATTGGCATTTAATTAATATTTGGGTATGCTTAAAGAGAAACCAAGAATAATACAGTTTTTCTGAATATGCAATTATGTCCAAAGGAAATAACATTTTGTGAATTTAATAAATTTTTTGAAAAAATTAATTACGTAGGCACTGGGGTGAAGTACACAAAATATTAACTTTAGGAATAATGTGAGACTTGATAAATGGAAAATGCAAAAAAACACAACACTCCCAAATTCTCTTTTCCTCCTCATTCAGTAGTTAGCACTTTTCATTGATTATAATTCAACAATATTTTCTTATTATTTATTTATTTATTTACTTTTGTTTTTTTGAGGTGAAGTCTTGTTCTGTAACCCAGGCTGGAGTGCAGTGGCAAGATCTCGGCTCACTGCAACCTCCGCCTCCCGGGTTTAAGCGAGTCTCCTGCCTCAGCCTCCCGAGTAACTGGGACTACAGGTGAGCATCACCATGCTTAGCTAATTTTTGTATTTTTAGTAGAGACGAGGTTTCACCATGTTGGCCAGGTTGGTCTCGATCTCTTGACCTCGTGATCTGCCCACCTTGGCCTCCCAAAGTGCTGGGATTACAGGCATGAGACACCGCGCCTGGTCAATATTTTCTTATCTTTGAAGATACATGTCATTACAACAAAATTCAATGAATGTATTGTCAACAAAATATGAAAGTGATACAAGAAAGCCAGAGTCTTCTTTATTATGTCTCTTAGGAGATTCTCTCTCTGTACTTAAGATCAGGAATTGTTTTGTTTCTATGGTATTGTTTAGTTAATTTCTGTGAATCTTATAACTGATCAGGTTTTCTCTTTATCTTGGTTAACGGAAAAGTATATGAGCAAATTTTTGGCTACACCAAGTAAGTATATACATTTTTATGAAATGCATATTTTTTGGTGCTGCAGTCACACTTACTTTTAGTATTTTTGTTTGTTTGTTTGTAGCCTTGGTTTTCTTACTCTTATTTTTTCAATATGTTATATAACACACTATAAGTTACTTTAAATTCTTTCTGGAACAAGGTAGGGTAAACACAAACATATGCATATATATATATGACAAATAACAATTAATTTGAAAAAAAGATAACTGCACACATTAATGAAGATATTGCGCCACAATTGGAAACCAAATACAATGAGCTCTGGTGACTTGAAAATGACAGCAGGCAGTGTGTGGACATATGAGGCATTAGGAGAAAAGATATCTCTGAACAAAGGTGTTGCTTTGATTGTGTTACATTAATGACAAGTACACAGCAACAAAGCTCACAGAAGGAGTAGTAGAGTGTTTGGCCTTTTGTTCTGAGACAAATATGAGCCATGACCAACATCATTATATCCATAATCACTTCTGTTCTGTTGCCTTCATGTAAACAATGTAAGAATATATAGAAATTCTTATATTAATATGTAATCATAGGTACCCTACAAATTAGTAAAATAATACATAACTGATACTTTTACATCTTTTTATTTTTTATAATTGGTTATGATATCATGTAACATTTAAATAATTACCTTATTTTTAAATTATATCTAAACTTACCACCAGATTTTTGTCTACCTCTTGTTCTTTTGTTAACTTACAACATTTCCTTCCACTCTCTGGTTCTTTTTTTTTTTTTTTCTTGAGACGGAGTCTCACTCTGTCGCCCAGGCTGGAGTGCAGTGGCGCGAACTCAGCTCACTGTCACTGCAAACTCCACCTCCCAGGTTCAAGCAATTCTCCTCCCTCAGCCTCCCAAGTAGCTGGGATTACAGGTGCCTGCTACCATGCCCGGCTAATTTTTGTGTTTTTAGTAGAGATGGGATTTCAGCATGTTGGCCAGGCTGGTCTTGAACTCCTGACCTCAAATGATCCACCCTCCTCTTCCTCCCAAACTGCTAGGATTACAGGGGTGAGCCACCCTGCCCAGCTCTCCACTGTCTAGTTCTAATCTTGCTTAATATTACATATCCTTACCCTGCTCTGAATATTTTATTGTATTATCGATATAATCTAATCATAGATGTAATTATGCCATTACTTTTTTCAATACTCTCCAATAACTACCACTTGCCCATGACAAGCACTTGACCCTCTAGGGTCACTCTAGGCCCTCTTGGCTCTAGCCTCACCTTTTCCTTCTAATATTCTCTGTATTTCAATTTAGATAACAATGGATTTTAAAATATACCTCTAACCTTTCCATTATTGAATTTTAATGCATTCTTTCTGCTTATTGTGCTATATCCTCAATATTTTAGGGATTCTGATACATAATGTAGATATCACTTTCATGACATCTTCACACATTTGCCTATACCTCCCTAGCCATATCTTTCTCTCTTTTACCAAAACACCATCAGGCTGTGAGTATAAATATTTATCTCTATGTCATAATTTTCTCACTTTTTTATTAAGTTCTTTCAATAAATTACGAGCACTTACCCTTTTATCATCTCCCATAGAGAGAAAAATAGTCTCCTATATAAAATAGACACTCAACAAATATATATTCTGTTAATGGTGTGATACCTATAATGCCTGATTACAGTATTAGAAAATGTCGATGTGCATTACTTGCATCTCAGGAGTGTTATACATCATCCCTTTTTTTTTTTTCTACTAAACTATACTGAGAAATGGCCACAGGAGTGCCCTGGAATAATGTAAAGAAAATAAAAATTTTGACCCGTGGAATTTTAGGAGATTTCATGAACATGCGTTCCCCTTAATACCAGGAGACTCATGCAATTATTTATAGAGATAAGTTATCAGAATTTACATGTGACAAAGATTTATAAAGATTTTACCTATCATCTAAATTTCCTCCTTTAAATACTAATTTTAAAGAAATGGAAGAAATCCCCAGTAGAATCTCATCAGGGGCCTTGTCTCCTTTGATATTTTAAGATGAAGACCAAAGCCAATAGTTTAGACAATGTTCTTTAAACCAGCAAATTACATGAATTTTACATAATGGGCAGCTGGTTTTTCTCAAGGGAATAATAGAATAGAAGTGGTGCTCTCATGTAATCAGTTGGGGTAACAAAAAGGAAAAGGAAAAGCTATTATGCAAATACATGGCTAGGTATTGCTAATCTACTTTGAGTCGCTTTAATGTAGGATATGGGAGAACTGTGGACTGAAACATTTTCTGCTTGTGATCCAATTTCATTATTTTGAGAGTAGACATCTGTATAAAAACAAATATTTCATAACATGGCAAAAGATTATAAAAGATTATCAGTGGTAATTCTAGGTGACGTAGGTGAGTACGTATTATTTCTCTGTTGTGTTACCACCATGCTCTAGTCATTTCTAATGATTTCTCATTGTGGAAGCATTAAAAGTGACATTTATCTCTGAGGAAATTTTGGCATGCATATTTCTAAATCTTAAATTCTATGATTTGAAGTTAAGGTAACAAATAAATAAAATTTATAAATAATGAATATGAAATTATATATATTCCAGTGCTAAATCTACAGTGTGAATGAAAAGTTAAGTATTGTATAATATAAAGAGGGTAACAATCTGTAAACAAGTAACAATCTAGTAAAACAAGAGGTATCTTAAATAAAAACATTTAATATGATTGAATGCATTTGCAATTCAGAAAAATTAATTTAAAAAATTAAGTGTCTTAAAATATGGCTCAATAATACAAGTTCACATGGATTCACATTCCTAGTTTTACTACCGATGGTTCAATATCAGACTCAAAGTCTTCTACGAAACTAAGTTATAGACACAAAGTAAGACACTCCTTTTAAGGCACTCGAATTTTTATTATCCTACACAACTGTCTTGACAGAAATGTAAAAGAAGAAACGACTATGACTTCCAAAATCAATGAGACATTAGAACTGGAGGTGACAGCTTGAATACGATGAAAGTTTAGGAATGATGATTAAAACGAAGAACTATACCCAGTGAATAACATTACTGCTGCCTCTTCAGAAACTAGCACTTCAGCATATTTAGCAGGAGTAATGGCTCTTAAAAGTATTTTTTTATCATAAAAGGTAGCATTATATTTTCTGTAAATTATCTTTGAATCTTTATAGAAATTTTATTGATTTTTTTTCAAAGGGATCTACAGGCTGTATACTGAATAGAAAATAGAAAATAGAACATTCCCCTTTTCCCTAGCATTTTTCCAAACTCATACCAGATCAGAAACAACTGAAAGTGTCAATAGTGGGAGGGAAAAATTACCCAAGGTTGTGAGTTATTAGCAACAGTTACAGAAAGTTCTATTGTGTAATTCTAATCTATAAGTATTCTAATAACATCTAATTATGTAGAGAAGCCTGAAAATAAAATGACAATAATTATGGTAGAAAACGTAATATTTGTATGCTCATAACAGAGAAATAGGAACCAGAAAAACCACTTTCTCATTTTTATTAAATTATTTACCTAAAGGTATAGTAAAAATGGGTCAGTTTGTCATGGAAAGCAAGCAAAAGAAGAATCATTGCATTAATTAAATAGTGCAGAAAAATAGTAATTCCAAATTCACATCATTATAAAGTGACTATCACCACCAATTATCATTCATTTAAATGTAAATGAACTATTTTAAACAAAGGTTGAAAACTCTGTTCTACAGTTAAGAGCATAGATATAAAAGAAATATAATAGGTTATATTGTCATTATGAGAATATAATAATCTAACTCAATTCAAGTCCATAGAAGACTGTCTCACACATATACTCAATACATATTAGCAATTATCAATATTATTCTTGTTTATATTATTCAAGTTTCTATTGCAGTTTTGCTGTTGTTATCGCTTAAACTTATTGCCAACATAGAAATGTAAAAGATATATTCGTTAAGAGTTTAATAGCAATAAAATAAAATGTTAAAATGCAATTTTCTTTACTTGCTTCTTCGTTACATCCCTGCCTTAACTTTACCTATTCTCTACTCTTACAACTGTCTTAGAGAAAGAGGTGTCCTATGTCTTTCTTAGGCAAATTCTAATATCTGTGTTTCCAAGTCTTGGCTCCTACCTTTTCTTGGATCATGTTCCATTAATTTTCTTGATTCTGTCTTGAATATTCAGTTTCTCCCTATTCATCTCTTGTGTATATGTCATGCCAATAAAAACATTAATGTGAACTTCAGATACAATTACAGTTGCATAATATTTAGGGAAAGAGATATGACAACTGTATTCTCCTTTAGCTGGATAATTTAATTATTTTATGGGAACTCTATTTTAAGAGAAACACGGAAATATGCAAGAATGGAAGCTGAAGAAAATATTTGTTATTAAAGCAATTTAAATCAGAGTCACACAGATTCAACTGCAAGAAGAAATATGTGCCAAAGACAATTCTAGAAACATGTCTAGAAACATATAGAGAATTCAGAATAGCCTGTTTGATGAAACTTCAGAATTTTAGTGGAGGATAGATAAAAAGAAACAGTTAAACAGATAAATGAAAATGTCACATTGAAATAGTGACAACACAACTTTGAAGATGAGAAAGAGTGACAGAGTAGTACACGGGGGGAATGAACATCTTCAAGTTAAATAAACAAATCTTTTATGTGAATACAATTTTTAAGAATGAATTATCTTTGTGGGATTAGAAGAAATACGGGTATTAAGTTAATTGAAAGGAATGGACTGGCTGAGTGTTTTTCTTTTCAGTTCCCCTAGGTTTCTCTTTTTAATCTAGAATAGTGATCACATAAGTAAATATTTAGCTTGGGGAGGATATAATTTAAGACATAATTAATAATTTTCTTCACACTTTTAGAAGACTGCAATATAGAAGAGACATTAGAGTTATCCTAAACTGAAAAGAAAAAACATAAAATGGATTTTGTTCCACTATAATGTATTCCCTTTTCAGAACAGATGTCCTAGCAAATACAAGCTTTTTAAAAAGGTGGCACCATCTTTATAACACTTAGAGTCATTGTGTGGTTGCTATAAGATGATTTTAAGTTTACTATGTGAACTTGGGAAAATCACATATCTTTTCTCTTGTATATTTCATGTGGAAACAATAAAAAAAACTCTTGCAAATATTAAATAAAATGAGATAACCTTTGATAAATTGTTCAGCCCAGTGCTTAGCACAGACTGATTATTCAAGAAAATTAAATAATTTGCCTTGACTCATTTCATCCATCTACTCATTTGTTCAAAATATATTTATTATACATCTGCCTCGTGTCTAGATCTGTTCTTCACACTAAGGAAAAATAATGATGACAGACACGGTCCCTGCTCTCTAGCAGGTTATGGTTTCAAGGAATGCTTAAAGTCACTTTTAGTGGTATAATTCATGAACCTTCCTTTCTTATAAAATATATTGAGATCTCTTTAATTAAAAAAAAAACAGAAAAAATAAGTCATCTTTCTACTAACATAAAGTTGACCAAAAAGCTTCATACTCTTCACTCTTCACAAACTCACTTATTATTGAGAAAATTGAAACAATTGTGTCTAATAACTACCTCCAATAGTATCATTCTCTTCTATCCCATTCGCATATTTCAGCCCCCACCTGTTTATTACAGATGACACGGACATGTGGCTCTACGAGTCACACCTCTCTCCTTGCACTCATTCTTATTACATGTGAACTGTGAGTCCTTGTTATATGAAATACTATATCAGGTTTTCAAGTGACATTGAATATCACAGCAGCATAAACTCTCTAAGATCTAATTCAGCCTATCAGTCTCATTGTACTGATTTTTTACTTCTTTTCTTCCAGAAAAGAAACATATTGAAATGAGATTTATAGCTAGATATATACCTGTAATGTTATTTATACATTTCTCTTTTTTTCCTTTGGGAAAAAAGCTTTTATTTATTTATTATTTATTTATTTATTTATTTTCTTTCCAACTTTTATCTTAGATTTGGGGTTACGTGTACAGGTTGGTTACATGAGTAAATTGCATGCTGCAGGGATTTTATGTACAGATTATTTTGTCACCCAGGTAATAAGTATAGTACCCAACAGGTAGGTTTTTTTTTGTTTTTTTTGTTTGTTTGTTTGTTTTTCTTGAGATGGAGTCTTGCTCTGTCGCCTAGGCTGGAGTACAGTGACGCAATCTCAGCTCACTGCGACCTCTGCCTAGTGGGTTCAAGCGATTCTCCTGACTCAGCCGCCTGAGTAGCTGGGGTTACAGGTACCCACCACCACACCTGGTTATTTTTTTGTATTTTTTAGTAGAGACAGGGTTTCACCATGTTGGCCAGGCTGGTCACCAACTCCTGACCTCAGGTGATCCACACGCCTCGGCCTCCCAGAGTGCTGGGATTACAGGTGTGAACCACTGAGCCGGGGCCCCAACAGGCAGTTTTTTGATCCTCACTCTCCTCCAGCCCTACACCCTCAAATAGGCTCTAGTGCTCATTGTTCCCTTCTTTGTGTCCATGTGGACTCAATGATTAGCTGCCACTTGTTAGTGAGAACATGAAGTATTTGGTTATCTGTTCCTGTTTGAATTCACTTCAGCCCCATCCATGTTGCTGCAAACGTCACGTACATTGCATTTCTAAAGAAAAAATAACATATAACATCCAGACAGAAAAATAAAATTAGTATTTTAAGTGACAGGAATAAATCTCATCTTTAATTTCTCAAGACCGCCTCTAAAGGAAAAGTTGTGATTTCTATAAATTCTTGTAGCAAGTTAATTTGACCTAAATTTGAGAAGGTAACAGATATTTCACAGATACTACTAGAAAATACTACTTGAAAATAAAGTACAATTAGCCAAAAGATGAATCAAAATTAAGAGTGGAAGAAAAAAGAATTATTGTATGAAATAATTAGAATGACAGAAAAAAACTAAACATTCCCTAATATTCAGTCCCCTTATTTTACATTAGTTAAGAAACACACATACACACACATAAGTAGGCACATGCCAGCTCAGAAAGAAGCCATATTTTCTAGTCTTTCTTTCAATAAATTTAATTTGGTGAAGCTATGTGAATTTCTGCACAATGGAGTGTGAGAATAAATTAGGTTTAAAATGTTGATATTATATTCTCCAAATAATTAGTTTGCCTTCTGTACTCCTCTTCTCCTTTCCTGAGGGCTGGATGTGACTGGGGCTGGCGACCAAATATCAAATATGCCAATGTCAACGGAAATCAAAGAAAATTATATAAAAAGAACCCAAGGCCCATAATTTCATGGAGAGGAGCTGCAATCCCACTGTGGGTCACTTACTTATGCATAGATTATAATGTAAGAGACATTAAACTTCTATATTTTTTGAATCACTGTATGTTTGAATCTCTGTGTTATAGTAACATAACCTAAAGCCTAACTTTTACTTTTAGAGAATGAATAACATTTAAATAGAGTTAAAAGCCTTAGTCCAAATTTAAAAAGCATTTGAAAACAAAAATTTATCATATAAATGGTAACAATAAAGGTTTATTGCATATTTATTCATAAACCTTGTTTATTATTTATGAATGACAATTTTATAAAATTAACTGGGTTTAGACATTCAGATTAAAATGCAGGAAGTGTTGATGTAGATTTGAAAGTAAAATTATTTCAACTACTTATTTTATGTAACACACATTTGATATGTTTAAATTCATAATAAAAATAAAATTAAAACTAGCCAATATTTCTACTACCAAATATATTAAGAACCTCTTACTACTGTGTTCATGTCCATACTAACTATTCTTTGAGAACCACTCTTTCAAACGACTGAGACTTCAGAGCCATGTATGCTCTACTTAATGCAGCTCTTGGGACAATGCAAACAGACCAAGGTTTAAAAACTTGGCCAAGACTGAAACAATGGATAATGTCTTCCAGAAATTTGAAATTGGTCTGCGTTAATGACTAGAACTGAAGATCAGTATGGTGTGGAGTAAGCATATTAAGTCATGTGTACATAAAGAATAAAGAATGAAAGAGGATCGTGCCACTGCACTCTAGCCTGGGCGACAGAGTGAGACTCCGTCTCAAACAAAACAAAACAAAACCAAAAAAAAGAATGAAAGAGAACAAGATATAAGTGACACACAGGTTTATGGTGAAAAGCAGAGAAAAGAGACAAGAGCACGCCACCCTGAAGAGGTCCTAAGAAATTAACTGCCTTGGGTCTTATTTCTAGTTCTAGATTTTGATCTTCTTTTACGAATGCTAGATGTACTTTCTGCCTTGGTGTGGAAATATAATCCTAAATATTTTAATAAACAGCTGGTCAATCAAGCATACTTAAAAAATATGAACCATTCTTGGCCGGGCGTGGTGGCTCACGCCTGTAATCCCAGCACTTTGGGAGGCCAAGACAGGCGGATCATGAGGTCAGGAGATCGAAACCATCCTGGCTAACACAGTGAAAACCCCGTCTCTACTAAAAATACAAAAAAATTAGCCAGGCGTGGTGGTGGGTGCCTGTAGTCCCAGCTACCTGGGAGGCTGAGGCAGGAGAATGGCGTGAACCCGGGAGGCGGAGCTTGCAGTGAGCAGAGATCGCGCCACTGCGCTCCAGCCTGGGCGACAAAGCGAGACGCTGTCTCAAAAAAAAAAAAAAAAAGAAAAGAAAAATATGAACCATTCTTCAATACACAAATCCTTTCTGTTATACTGGACAGCTGCTAACGTACTAATCAATTTAACTCAAGCACATAGTTTAACATAAACAAATCCTCCAAGATTAGCTTTTTAGTATAAAGACAAAAAAATTAGAGATGGAAACTTCAGAATTCTGTATTGAAAATAATTATTTTGCACAAGATGATTCTCATTGTAGAATGATTTTTTTTTTTTTTTTTTTTTTTTTTTTTTTTTTTTTTGAGACAGAATCTTGCTCTGTCGCCAAGCTGGAGTGTGGTGTGGGTGTGATCTCGGCTCACTGCAACCTCCATCTCCCGGGTTCAACCGATTCTCCTGACTCAGCCTTCTGAGTAGTTGGGACTATAGGCGCCCGCCACCACACCCATCTAATTTTTGTATTTTTAGTAGAGACGAGGTTTCACCATGTTGGCCAGGATGGTCTCAATCTCTCTACCTCGTGATCTGCCCACCTCGGCCTCACAAATTGCTGGATTACAGGCGTGAGCCACCGTGCCCAGCAGAAATTTTTTTCTTATATGTTATTGTTACATGAATTAGTTACAGACTATCAAAAAACACTGTAGTAAAAGATCATTTGAAAAATTCTATTGAAGAAAAGCACAAAAACAAAATGGATTCTATTTTAGATTGAGTCATTAGGCAAGGGCTCTATAAGTAGGTAACATCTAAACTATAAGCAGGATCTGGCTTTTGCGGGTGTTAGAGTAAGAGGCAAACAGAAGCAGAAATATGTTTGCATTTTTGAGGAACTTTAAAGAGAACAAAGCATTATAAACAAAGTGAATAACAGGAAGTGCTAAACAGACAATTGTGGGGCCCAGTAGGTCAAAGTAAGTATTCTGTATTTTGATTAATTTTTACCAGGAATCCTATAAGCAGATAGAGGATTTGTTGTATTTCATACTTCAAAAGTCTTGCTGTTATGTGGAAAGTAGATACGAAGGGGCAGCATGGAAATAGTGAGATCATTTAGAAAATTATTGCAATAGTCTAGGTGTAAGATCATGTTGGCTTGATTTAGGGCATTAACAAAGAAGATATTGAGAAACTAAAAGGATTCAAGATATACTTTAAAGTTAGAGCCTCATAAATTTTTTAAATTGATTAAATAAGGTGAGTTGATAGAAAAACAGACCTCAAGACTGACTCCTAAAATTTTGCTCTGAATACGAGAGCATGGCATTAATCATTTCCACAGACGGAGGAAAGGAAAGTGAAGGAGGAATCTGTTTGAAGGCTAGATATGAAGGGTCTTTATTTAGACATTTTAAATTTGGAAAGCTATAAGGTATCCAAATCAAGTTTCCAATGAGATTATTGGATGGATGACTCTATACCTTAGTTGAGAGATCAGAAAAAAAATTATATTTAGAAATCATTGGTATAAATGGCATATATATCCATGTTACTGAAAGAGAAAAATACAGAGATAATCTAAAGCTTCAGAAGAGAAGAGGAACCAGGAGTCATCCAATAAACAGGTGTTATTTGGAGGCTAAATGGAGTTAGAGCCAATAAAGGGAACTGAGAAGAAAAAATAAATGAGAAGACCATAAAGAAATAGCCAAAAATCAAAAGAATCACAGAATAAAAAGAAATAAAATGTTTAAGACCTGAGAAGTGGCCTGACAAGACTACAGAAAAGTGAAGAGATAAATTAGAACTAAAATTAGTAATATACAAATCATTAGCTAGAGGAGTGTTAGAAATGGAATAATTCAATGTAAAGTTAAATTCACAATTGAGATCTATGGTTAATCTTGGTTATGCTATTTTTCTACAACAATTCAAGCTACTTGATTGTCACTATGAATGTCATTAAAAGTAGAGAAGCAATTTGAGTTGACGAAGATGGCAGCAAAATGCATAAAATGGCAGATCACAAAACTCAATCAGGGTAAATATAGAAGTGGAAACGTGAAAGAGATCCTGGATTTTTAAAAATTGATAGAGGAAAGGAACTGAAGTTGCTAATGAATTAAAATAATTACAGGTGTGGGATTGCAAGAGCAGCTAAGTTGTAAGGAGGGGGATGTTGGTTAGGGAACTGTATGATTGAAATGAAGATTTTGCAAGAGTTGCAGCTATCAAAGATGATAAGAGATAGGACATGATTAAGAGAAATGGAGATAAGAAAGAACAAAACTATGACTCCTGGTTGGAACGTAGATAGTTAAAGAAACTTTCACTCTCAAGAATTAAATCAAGATGGATAAGCTACAGGATCCTAGACTTACAAAAAAATAAAAATAAAGAGCAGAGAATGAAAATAAAACTAAATGAACAAAATTTTAAAACAGGGTGTGCACTGTGGTCCAACAGTGCCTTCAGTATGATTACAGTTTTTTTTTTTTAATTTGCTAAGTGTTGCTTTATGGCCAGTTGTGTGGGCAATTTTAGACTGTGTGCCATGTGCAGATGAGAAGAATGTATATTCTGTCACTGTTGGGTGGATGGTTCTGCAGATTTTTGTGAGGCCCATTTGGTCAAACGTCAAGTTGAGGTCCTGAATATCTTTATTAGTTTCCTGCCTTGATGTTCTATCTAATACTGTCATTGGGTTATTGAAGACTTCCACTGTTATTGTGTGATTATCTAAGTATCTTCATAGGTCTCTAAGAACTTGCTTTATAAATCTGGTTGCTCCTGTATTGGGTGCATATATATTCAGGATAGTTAGGACTTCTATTTGAATTGAGCCCTTTACTATTATGTAATGCCATTAGTTGTCTTTTTTGAGTGTTGTTGGCCTTAAAGTCTGTTTTATCTGAAATTGGAATTCCTGCTTTTTTCTGATTTCCATTTGCTTGGTAGATTTTTCTCAGTCCCTTTACTTTTGACATATGGGCATCATTGCATGTGAGATGGATCTCTTATAGACAGTATAGAGTTGAGTCTTGCTTGAGTTGAGTTTTGCTTCTGTATCCAGCTTGACACTCTGTGCCTTTTAATTGGGGCCTTTAATCTGTTTACATTCAAGGTTAATATTGATTTGTGTAGGTCTGATCATGTTATCATGCTGTCAGCTGGTTATTATGCAGACTTGATTGTGTGGTTGATTTACAGAAATCAATACTAAGAAAACAGCTGAAAACCATACAGTTACATGGAAACTAAACAATCTGCTCCTGAATGACTTTTGAGTGAACAATGAAGTTAAGACAGAAATCAAAAAATTCTTTAAACTAATGAGAACAAAGATACAACCTACAAGAATCTCTGGGAAACAACTAAATCAATGTTAAGAGGTGAGTCTGTAGCACTAAAATAAATGCCCACATGAACAAGCTAGAAATATCTCAAATTAACAACCTAACATTAATCATAGAGGAACTAAAGAAAGAAGAGCAAACCAACCCCAAAGCAAGCAGAATATAAGAAAGAACCTCAATCAGAGCTGAAATGTAGAAAATTTAGATGCAAAAAAAATACAAAAGAACAACAAATCCAGGAGTTGGTTTTTCAAAAGAATAAATAAGATTGATAGATCACTAACTAGACTAATAAAGAAAAAAAGAGAAAAGATCTAAATAAACACAATCAGAAATGACAAAGGGGATGTTACGATTGACCTCACAAAAGTACAAAAAATTCTCAAAGGCTATTGCAAACACATCTCCTCAGAAAAACTTGAAAATCTGGGAGAAATGGATACATTCCTGGACACACACATTCTCCCAAGAATGAACCCAGAGGAAACTGAATCCCTGAACAGACCAATAATGTGTTCTGAAATGGAATCAGTAATAAAAAGCCTATCGACCAGAAAATGCCCAGGACCAGATGGATTCACAGCTGATTTTGACCAGATGTATAAAGAAGAGTTTGTATCATTCCTACTGAAACTACTCCAAAAAATTAAGAAGAAGGGATTCCTCTCTAACTTATTTTATGAGGCCAGGATCATCCTGATACCAGAGACACACACAAGAAATAAAACTTCAGCCCAATATCCTTGATGAACATAGATGCAAAAATCGTCAAGAAAACATCAGCAAACCAAATCCAGCAGCACATCAAAAAGCTAATCCACCCTGATCAAGTAGGATTTATCCCTTGGATGCAAAGATGGTTCAACATATGCAAATCAATAAATGTCATTCAGCACATAAACTGAACTAAAAACAAAAACCAAATGATTATCCAACAGATGCAGAAAAGGCTTTTGGTATAAATACACATCCCTTTATGTTAAAAACCCTCAACAAACTAGACTTTGAAGGAACATACCTCAGAATAGTAAGAGCCATCTACAATAAATCTATAGCCAACATCATACTGAATGGGCAAGAGCTGGAAGTGTTCCCTTTGAGAACCAGAACAAGACAGGGATGCCCTCTCTCATCACTTATATTTAACACAGTACTGGAAGTCTTAGCCAGAGCAATCAGGGAAGAGAAGAAAAATGAAATCCATTCAAATAGGAAGAGGAAGTCAAACTGTCTCTGTTTGCAGACAATATGATTTTATACCTGAAAAACCCCATAGTCTCTGATCGAAAGCTCTGTGATCTGATAAACAACTTTAGTGAAGTTTCATGATACAAAATCAACGTACAACAATCAGCAGCATTCCTAAACACCAAAAGCATCCAAGCTGAAAGACAAATCAATAATATAATGACATCCACAATAACCACAAAAAGAATAAAACACCTAGGACTACAGATAACCAGGCAGGTGCATGACCTCTACAATGAGAATTACAGAACAATGCTCAAAGGATTCAGAGATTACACAAATAGAAAAATATTCCATGCTCATGGATAGGAAAAATCAATATCATTAAAATGGCCATACTGCCCAAAGCAATTTATAGATTCAGTGCTATTCTTATTAAGCTACCACTGAGATTCTTCACAGAATTAGACAAAACTATTTTAAAATTTATATGTAACCAAAAAAGAGCCTGAATAGCCAAGACAATGCTAATCAAAAAGAACAAAGTTAGAGGCAACAGGCTACCCAGCTTCAAACTATACTCTGGGGCTAGAGTAACCAAAACAGCATGGTACTCTTATAAAAACAGACACATAGACCAATGGAACTGAATAGCGAACCCAGAAGTAAGACCACACACCGACAACTATCTGATCTTCAACAAACCTGACAAAAACAAGCAACAGGGAAAGGATTCCCTATTCAGTAAATGGTACCGGGAGAACTGGCTAGCCATTTGCAGAAGATTAAAACTAGACCCATTCCTTACACAATATGCAAAAATTAACTCAAGATGGATTAAAAACTTAAATGTAAAACTTAAAACTATAAACCTTGGAAGATAAACTAGTAAATATCATTCTGGACATACATCCTCGTGAAGATTTCATGACAAAGATGCCAAAAGCAATTACAACAAAAACACAAATTAACAAATGAGATCTAATTCAACTAAAGAGCTTCTGCATAAAAAGTTATCAGCAGAGTAAATAGACAACCTACAGAAAGGGAGAAAATATTTGCAAGCTATGCATCTGACAAAGGTCTAATATCAAGCATCTATAAGGAATTTTAACAAATTTACAAGCACAAAACAAACAACCTCATTAAAAAGTGGGCAAAGGGCATAAACAGACACATTTCAAAAGAAGACATACACATGTCCAACAATTTTATGAAAAATTGCTCAACATCACTAAATATTGGAGAAATGCAATCTCATTCGCAGTGGGATACCATCTCACCCCAGTCAGAATGGCTATTATTAAAAAGTCAATAAATAACAGATGCTGGTGAGGTTGCAGAGAATAGTGAATGCTTATACACTGTTGATGAGAATATAAATTAGCTCAGCCATTGTGGAAAGCAGTTTAGTGATTTCTCAAAGAACTAAAAAGAGAAGTACCATTCAACCCAGCAATCCCATTTTGGGATATATACCCAAAGGAATATAAATCATTCTACCATAAAGACACATGCACGCATATATTCATCACAGCACTATTCACAATAGCAAAATCATGCAATCGACCTAAATGTCCATCAGTGGTAGACTGGATAAATAAAATGTAATACATATATATCATAAAATACTATGTCACCATAAAAAAGAATGAGATTGTGTCATTTGTAGCAACATGGATGGAGCTGGAGACCATAATCCTAAGCAAACTAAGGCAGGAACAGAAAACCAAATACTGCTTGTTCTCACTTAATAAGTGGGAGCTAAACGTTGAGTACACATGGACACAAAGAAAGAAGCACCACACACTGGGGTCTACTTAAGAGTGGAGGGTGGGAGAATGCAGACAATTGAAAAACCACCTAGCAAGTACTATGCTTATTACCAGAGTGACAAATTAATCTGTACACCAAACCCCTGTGACATGCAATTCACCTATATAACACACCTGCACATGTACCTCTGAACCTAAAACAAAAGTAAAAAAATAAGTAAGATGTGGCCTTCATAGAATTGAAGAGACCCACAGCTACTCCTTTCTCTGGTAGAATAATGGAAAAATGAAATATCTGACATGGATGGGACTAAGGAGAAACCAACTGTAACTAAACAACTTTTTAGCAGTTATTTGTGGGATGATGTAACAGATTAGTGTATCAGGGAAGCCCAACCACAGTGTGAGTCAGTGAGAACAAGCCACTTTGTTTCTAAGACTGTTCACTGAACATGTTGAACATCTAACCCAAAAGTTCTGCATAGGGTAAAAGAAGTTAAGAAGGTCATGTAAGGCATCTGGCATCTATCCCAAATCCAAGATTATCTACACCTTAAGGCAAGTTGGAAGGAAACATTTTGGAAAGGAAAATAATTTAAAAGAGGAGATATTATAAATAATAGCATAAAAGGATATGAAATATATAAAATATATGGCAGGGAATGAAGAAAAACAGATAACTTCTACTTTGAAGAGTTGAAAATAAACAGTTTCCATACTGAATGTTCAGTTTGCAGCCAAAAAAAAAAAAAAAAAAAGGAGGAAGCAGTCCTTCAGAGAAAAGACTGAGGATATTAGGAAATTGTAGATATTCTCTAATTTCAAGACAGCACAGTTTAACAGTTTGAAAGAATGGGAAAACAGGCATATAGAGTCTGAGCACAAGAGATACTGAATAGTATGAGAATATACTTGCAGGTAATGACAGGCATCATTCTTGCTTTTCTAAAATTCCTTGTAGTAACCAAGTTAACCTGCCAGGAATAACATTTGTCCTAATAGTCTCTAAGCAATTAGAGTTCATACTATTTAGCTCACTGGGCATTTTTTATGGGCTTTTTATGGGCTCACTAGGCATCTTTTCTTTCTTTATTTTAAAATACTGTGTTTACTGAAAGGTGGTGGAAAATACTTCAAACTCAACTAGTTAGGGGCAAGAATATTCAGAAAATATTCCAAGAACAATCCAATTACATACTGTAAAGGGTAGCATAGAAAGTTCTGCAGACACCATTTGTATTTTTTTTTCTGACTTCTCCTGCAGTCATCTGAGTTCACCTGCAGTCACATGCACAGTTTTCCACCTTAAGCATCTCTCTCTCATCTTCTCAACCTGAAAGGCTTCCTTGGCAGTTTGGCTTTTTTTGGGAAAATACTGTGGCCTCTCCACTTTCAGTGGACATAAATCTAAAATAAAATAAACATAATTCAATCCACGCTAGGAGGATCTAGCCCTAGATGTCCATAGATGTAAGTGATTCATTAATACAGCTTTTTTGGGGGTTTTTATCCTTCCCTTGTGTCACTGTTCCCATTTTGTCTCTTGACTTCCTGGATTCCTTCTTAAATAATCTTACTTGTATGAAATTCCTTTTCCTGGATTTGTTTTTCAAAGAGCATAAAGGCTTAAATTAAGAAAGGCCAAATCTTCAAAGAAAACAGAGATATAAATTTATGGCAAAATGAAATAGAATGAATAATTGTCCATTAAATAAAAGTATATGTTAGTAATATTAAATATAATTGTACATTTGAAACATATAATTAAGTTATACTAGTAAAATACTGGAACCTTACCTCAAAGAATGTGAATTCATTAATTAGAGATGAGTAAAAGTACTTAAATATGAAAAAATAAAACAGTAAAGCAAATTATGCTAGAAAATGTTTAGGAGCTAGAGGATCTTCTGAAATTAGAAACGGTGTCCATGAAAAAGTAGGTGCATTCAACTGCATAAATTTTACATCTATATTAAAGTATATAAATTAAATTATAAATTACATAAGTTATAAATCAAAAGTTTATACATTGTATAAGCATGTATATATTTATTTGAAAAAATATAAACAAAATCAAGAAGCAAACCGTATAGTTGTGGGGGATGGGGCTTCCAATGCAGGCATTTAAAATATCTAAGGAGCTCTCAAGAATTAACAGGAAGGTAGAAATATCCTAAGATAAAAAAAATGGCAACAGATATAATTTCGAAAAGACAATGTCCAAATAATTGCAAATGTTTCCAAAAATATTAATAGTCAAGGAAATCCAAGTAAAGTAATGAGGTTTTGCTGTATACACGTTAGACTGACGATTGTTAAAATGTGGCATGAGCTTTCATACCACACTGATGTGATATGAAAGCTATTATTACATGATGGTAATGGAGATATGAATTACAAAGTGGGGACCTGTATTGAAATGTAGAACACATATGCATTGCTACATGGTCATTCCTGAAATCTACCCATAGAAATATAATTTCAGTAAATAAAGAATAATGGAAAAAAGTATTCTTGCAGCATTCTTAGCAGAAGCAAACACACTCAAACACACATATAAATTTGCACATGCTGGATTGAATACCCATCTACAGAGAAGGTATGGAGTTAATGGTGATTCTTTTGTGCTATGAAATATTATCCAGCCTTTTAAAAAATTTATTGATATACATTAGTTCATATGATAATTCATATTAGATTTATAAAAGTTATATCAGAAAGTAGTATTTATTCAATGAAAAATGGAACAAGGAGAAAAGAGTATACTCTATGATTCTATTTTTTGAAAGCACTTAGTAAAAGCAACAACAGCAACAGCAACAGCAACAATAACAACAAACCCGGAATTTGTAGCATAGGAAAAGAAAACTAAAATTCTATATTGTTTTTTTTTTCCATGGGTTTAAGGATATGTTAGTGGGATCTAAGATTTGAGAACTGGAGAGTCTTGAGAAGATGCATGTTTTATCTATCTATCTATGTATCTATCTATCTATCTATCTATCACCTATCATCTATCTATGTATCTCATCTATCAGTCATCACCACCTAACTAACCATATAACATATATGTCATATTCACAATAACATTTTTAGGCAAAGTATGGGAACATGTATAAACACATTAAAAATTACCTCACTCTATTCCAATCTCAATCGCCTCTATGCTACTACTGGAAACTGCCAGGACTCAAGGTCTTTGCATACGCTATTTCCGCTACCTGTACCTTTTTTATTCCAGATGACCACATGATTCTCTCACTCTTATCTGCTTAACTGACATCTTCTTTATCCACTTTTTTTTTACTTGTGTAGCATTTATTATCATGGAAGAAGCAATATATTTGATTTATGTGTTTATCACTAGTTTATTCCTAATTAGAATGCAAGTTCCATAGTAACAAGCATTTTTATCTAATTGATTCACTACTGTTGTCCCAGAATTTATCACAAAGCATACTATGTGGTACGCCCCCAAAAACAGTGTTAAACAAAAGAATGACCTTGCCTACTGGACTTTGCAATTTGAACCACTTCTTTTCTTTTCTTCTTTTTTTAGTTTACTTTAGTTTTTTTTGAGTTTTTGAGTTTATTTAGCTTTCTTTTCTTTTCTTTTTTAGTTTATTGAGGTAAAATGTGCATATCATAAAATACACCTTTTGGCCAGATATATGAATTTTGAGAAACACATACAATTGTGCAGCCAACGCCACAATAAAGATATAGAACAGTTCTTTCTTGTTACTTTTTAGTGAATCTCTCTCCCTCATTCTTAGCTCTAAGCAAACATTGATTTTTTTCTGTCCCTATAATTTTGTTATTGAAAAAGAATAACCTATAAATGGAATTGCTCAGCACAATGCTCTTGAGATTATTCCATGTCATTGAATTTTTAAATGGCAAATAATATGCCATTGCATGTATAAGACACAATTAGCTAATCCACTAACTTGCTGATAGACATTTCATATTTTTCCCTCTTTTGGTGATTATGAATAAAACTGCTATCTGCATTCACACATAAGATCTGTATCATCATATACTTTTGTTTCTCTTGGATAATGCATATGAGTGGCTGTGTCATATATTATATAAATATATGCATAACTATATTAGAAACTGCAAACAGTTTTTTAAAGTGTTGTACTATTATAAACTCCTATTAGTACTACCTAAGATTTGTAGTTACTCTACAGCTTCATTTTCTATTTGGTACTATTATTTTTAATGCTAATCATTTCATTCTAGTGGGTATTTAGTGAAATATTAATGTGGTCTTATCTGCATTTCTCAGTTGACCAGTTATTTAGCATGTTATGTTTTTGTTTGTCCTCCATCTGTTTATATTTATCTTCATCTATTTAGATTTTGTCTAAATTTTGCTAGATTTTTGTTTACTTGTTACTAAGAGAGTTTTTTATATATTTTGGATAGCAATCCTTTAACATACATATATATGCTAAAGGATATATATATAGCATATACATAATATATATTAGATAATAATATAAGTAAATAATACATATATATAAATTATATATATGTATATATATATATTTTTGCATTTTTTGCCTAGTCTGTGATAGTTTCATTTTTCTCTCTCAAAGCAGAAGTTTTACATTTTGGTGATGTCCAATTTATCAATTTGTTTTATGGATTATGTTTTTCTGTAGCCAATCTAAAAGCTTATTCTCAAACTGAAAAAACATAAAAATAAAAATGCACAGCTGGCTGAGCGTGGTGGCTGTTGCCTATAATTTCACCATTTGGGAGGCCAAGGCAGGTGGATCACTTGAGGTCAGAAGTCTGAGACCAGCCTGGCCAACACAGTGAAACCCTGTCTCTACTAAAAATCCAAAAAGTTAGCCAGGTGTGGTGACGCACACCTGTAATTCTAGTTACTCAGGAGGCTGAGGCAGGAGAATCGCTCGAACTTGGGAGGCAGAGGTTGCAGTGAGCTGAGATCACACCACTGCACTCTGGCCTATGGGACAGCATGAGACTCTGTCTCAAAAAAAAAAAAAAAAACACAGCTGACACAGTAACACAGTTTATGGTGAAAGACACAATATCCCCTCCCAAAATCGGAAATAACACAGTGATATCCATACTCATCATTTCCATTCGGCCTAATAGTAGATGTTTTAGCCAGTGCAATAATATAAGAAATAGAAATACAAAGTTTGTAGATTACCAAGAAAGAAATACAACTGTCTTTTTGTGCAGAAAAATCTATAATTGTCTATATAGAAATATTACAAATAACCTATAAAATGTATTTCTAAGTTAGTTTAGCAAAATTTCAGGATATAAGGTACATATTACACATCCATAGTACTTCCATAGATTACCACTAGAAATTGAAAATTGAAATTTTTTACAGAGTACCAAAAACATGAATACTTATACACAATTCTAGGAAAGTATGTGCACGTTCTGAATACTGAAAACTGCAAAACATTGATGTGCCTTGTTAAACAAAACCTAATAATGTGATAGGTATCATGTGTTCATGGGTTTGAAAACTCATTATTGGGCAGATTTCAATTCTCCTCAAAGTAATCTAAACTGAACTATCAGAGGAAATGTTTGTAAAAATTTACAAACTGATTTTAAAATGTAAAAGGAAATATAAAAGACTTAGAATAGCTAAGACAATTCTGAAAAAGGAAAACAAAGTTAGAAGTCTCTACATGATTTCAAGATTTTTTTAAAATGGTAATAATCAAGGTAGTATGGTAATGGTGAAAAAATAGTCACATAGTTCAAGGAAACAAAATGGAGAACTTAAACGCTGGCCTACATGTGCATGGTAAATTGATTTTGGAGGAAAGTGCAAATGTAATTCAATGGAGAAAGGATACTCATTTCAACTACTGGGCATGCATCTTGAAAGACATAAACTTCAACATACCACACAGCATATACAAAATTAACTTAGAATTTATAATAGATCTAAATGTAAAACCTACAACTTTAATACTTCTTGAAGAAAACATAAATTAATTATGTCAGCGAGTTTGTGTTAGCTTTCTCTAAATTACTGAAAATATTTTAAACCAAGACAGCTTTTAGTGGCACTTTGCTTCTTTTCTTTTACAAGGAGACAGTTTTTGCCCTCTGTCCACCTTGTCTTTGTCACTAAATCTTTCAGAGCACAAGGCCCCCACTTAATAAGGAGATTAGCCAAGTATTATAGAAGAGTTGCATTTTACATGACTGTAAATGTGAAAGTCAATATATGGAAGCACATTCACATACACTTAAAATTATCTATAAATAATCCCTTTAGTCATCCATAAATTTCACTATTATATTGTGTTGAACTGCAAGTTCAACACAGTCAGATTAATTCTTCATGAAGGAACAGATGTGCCTCAGCTCATATTTACTTGGGAGACTTACTAAATGAGGGAATCTACTGCTATATTTACATTTTTATTTTATTCCTTCAAACATTATTTTCTCTGTCCCTTTGCCAAACAGTAGTAATTGAATTTGCATATAATACATATAGAATTGATGTTACTCCCCCAATTTCTATTACGTTCCATTTCCTTTGAGCTAATGTGTTCTTGATCTTCTAGGGAAGTTACACCAATTGCTAGCTTCAAATGCATTGTTTGTCCTGTGTTTTTATGTATGCACCTACCCATCAAAATACACCTTATTAAGTGTACTTGTAGAAATGCGCTTGCCATACATTCAGAGGGGGTTGGGTTATATGAGTTTTTATCTATTGAATATTTCCTCTTGGAGATTTAAAAATTACATTACCATATTCAAAGTTCTATGACGTCCTCCATTAACAAATTAGTATAATTTTGTATAGTCCACTTTTGAAAACTTATTTGCCTTTGGAAAATGTAGAGTAAGGCTATAATACTAGAACTACAGGACTTCAAGTTCAACTGGAAAGCCATAGTAAAGCAAATAGTAAGGAATTAGCCTGAAGATAGTCATATGGGTCAATGAAACTAAATAGAATACAGATATAGGTACATATACATCATATTTAATTTCTGACAAAGACAGCAAGGTAAGTTAGTAGAGAAAGCATAGTCTTTCAAAAAATTATTCTGGATAAAATTTAAAAACAATCCTCAATGCTTTGTACACAATATGCAAAAAGTAACTTGGAATATTAATAGATCAAGAATATAACTGTAAAGCTAAAAATAACAGAATCAGATTGGTTCTTGGCTGGAACTAAAGGAAGAGCAATAAATTGGCAAAAGTCACAGGAACCCATTTGAGGGGATGGAAGTGTTGAATATATTAAAATGTTGAATATGTTGATTGTTGATTTCCTTAAGGTAGAAAATTGTCATGACTTACAAACCTAAACACAATTGTGTGTGTGCGTGTGTGTGTGTATAATCCATAAAGTCTATCTAAAAAGAAAAAAAAAAGTATTTAATTGAAGATTTTTCACCTGATACCTACCCTATCTGGTGGAAAAAGATACACAGAAAAAAATACAATAAAAAATGGTCTTGTTATGCCCTTTCTGCAGTAAAATGTAAGGTCTTACACATCAGCATCCTGATTATATAATTTAGACTTTCTTGTAAAAAGTAAGGCCCAGCATCTTCCACATAGTTTTACCATATTATAAACTACATATTTAAAGATCTATAACATTTCATACATCTGGATCTGTGTGTGCATAGTTTCTTTCCACAGTGTCTCAGAAACTTCCCCAAGTGAATAAGGAATTTAGAAAGGCATACAATTTGCCAAATCTACTCATATTACTAACAAATAGCACAGGTCTATGTACTATTTACATGCACCTAGATGTAATCTTTCTGATTAGTCTAAGGAAAATTATTTGGCCAAATCCATAGAACAATTCCTAAGTCCTGTCTGGTTCTCAGTATAGCTCTGTGTCAGCACAACTTTGACCTAACAGCTTAGCAAGATCTCCTTGGAGTCAAACCACGTTCCTGTTCAGCTTTTCAATCATGCCCTCACTAACCCTGGCCACTATGACCCAATTTCTTCTTTACAGCATTATAGAATTTTGAGCCATGATTTTTCTACTTCAACTAGTATTGAGTGTCAGATAAAGTTTTCAAGGGATCACCACAAACAATTTTATTTAGCTTATGAAAGTTCAAGAGTCATGAGGTGATTTCTCACTCTACTGAATCTGTTCTTAGCCAGCCTTAAAGAGTTAGCCACAAAACAGAGTAGAATTTTCTTGTTAAAAAATATTTCTCTTGCTGAATTCAAGGAAAAAAGAAACCTAAAACCAAAGTAACATTTGTAAGTTTGGAAAATTGTTTATTTTTTAAAAAAAGGTTCTTACACTTGTAGTCCATGGTTATCTATTATGAAGTCCAGCAGTATATTTTTGTTAGTAATACAATATCTAAGTCATGCAAAGTAACTTCAAAAGCAATTTACAACACATTCTGTTAAAAGACATAGCATAAATAATATTTGATATATGTTTTAATGGAAACTAATGTGCTTGCATGAAAATGTCATACCTGTTATTTCTCAATAAAATGTCTCAATTTGTATTAGATAGGCTCAATTTCAAAGAGAGCTGGGGAATTTTAAAACCCAAGAAATGCCTCAAAATTAGAATTAAAACAAGAACAAAAAATCTATTAGGAAGTTTATGGAGTGGTTTAGATTATTCAAATACCCTCCCAATTCAACATAGTGCTTCATTCTGAAATTAAAGAACTCTAGTTAAGATCTGGTTATGATCTTATAAATATATTTTTTAAATTTACATATGAAAAAGCACATATTTTAGAGAAATATGACTATTTGGGACACTATACTGTGCACTGATCATCTGGAAAAAGCATTACACCTCTTACAGAAGTATAATACATATATTCTTGGAATGTAATTTTGAAGGTAAACGTAATCACTCATAAGATACTATATGTATGTGAATAAATCTGGGATGTTGAGATCTTTATTATTCTTAAAGCTCAGTACTAAGCTGAATGATGTTTTCTGGCTGACTAAATAGTCTTGCTGCTTTATGATTTTCAAAGTAAATATGTAGGCTTAGATAACCTTTAGTGAAACTCAGCAACAAATTTTCTTCCCACAAAGTCTCAATTAATATAATTGAATTTCTGAAATTCCCTAGAAACAATGAGGCATATTTTGAATAAATAAAAAATATTTTATTTACATAATTAGTTCTTAAACTTTCAGACATAGTCTGTATAAATTAATTACATAGTTTGATTATCAGTATAAAAACTCAATCATGAGGAAAAATGTCAACGAAGAAATCCAGCAAAGTTCCTAAAGTTTTTTCTCTTCCTCCTCATTTTATTTTAAAGTTGAAATAAAATATAATTAAATCCTCCATGCAAAATCCAAACTCTTCAGTTTTTTAATGTATTCTACATATACGTATTTTATATATTATTTTAAATATATTTTACAAAAGATTATGTATTTTATAAAAATTCATGAAAGAAACAATTTTACATTTTAGTCACGCTTTAAAAATAGAGGAAACATACTTTTTGGACCAATTGATTTTAATTGACATCCAAATCTTACAACTTAAAACATGGAATGCTTATTGATACATATAAAGAACTGCTTTTTGCATTTTAAATATTTAAATCAACAACTTGTTAGGATATTTTCTATATGACTGTAAGGTCTAATTTGAGTGGAATTTATGCATTACTACAACAGAAACAATATATGCATAATATTCAGGCTTGAACTTTATTTTTTTCTTTTAGCCTGATACAAAAAATATTGATATCCACATAGGTAAATAAACTATTCAAACTGTATTCACATATACTTTCATAGTCTAATAGTCATTACCTGCATATTCGTTTAACTCAGCTCAAAATTAAATAGCCAAAATTCTTCACTTTTGAAGTAGAAATTCCACAGTAGTAAAGGTGACACAAAAGAATATAATGTATAGTAGGCCAATTTTTATATATACTAATTTTCACATTTCGTAGTATATATACCAATTTGCATATTTGTAAAATTGTGTTTAAAGCACTTTTATATAGAAGTATCACCACATGCATGTTCATTAGAATGAATAGAGCTTGTTTTGTTTTATCTTATTTTAGAGTTTTTGCCTTTATTCTTTACTTAATGTGTCTAGCACCATTTATAAGCTGGGACCATTTATAATACAACTAATGTTAGACTATGGTAGCATATAGGAGATAGGGTAGAATTGGACAATTTTTTTCCTATGAAATGTGAAAATCTGATTTTCAAACAATCCACTTTCATGCTACACCAGAACACCAGTTTCTTTCTCTTCTTGTCCTTCTTCCTGAAATCTCACAGCCTTTAGTAAACCAAGCTATGGAACAACAGTAAAGTTAAAGACTAGTAACTTGGATGGAGGAAGCATAGCAAAGAGATTAAAAACGCCAAGGAAAGAGAAAGCCAAAAGTGAAAGATGTTCTAGGCAGACCACAGTGGGTAAGGTCAAAGGTAGGGATGGGAATTGGATGAAGGATCCCTAAAAATGGCCAATTACAAACATTGCATCCACTAGATGAGCTGGCAGAATAAACTGTTAAGAAAAGCCAGTCTTAATTTTCCAAGTAACTTTGAGTTCCAGATGAATAGTAATATACTACTCACACTAAACACTGATGGGGGTTGTCTATATGCTTGACCAGTTAACATAAGAAAGTTTGGAAATACACCATCAGGTATTCCTTTTGTGCCTGTAAAACTAATATTAGATTAAGTTTCATGGGTAATATGCATATCAACATATGTTATATGCTTATGTATTTAGATGTAGTGTGTATGTGCAAGCAAGTTAAAAATCAATACGAATTAATTCACATTTTATTTAATAGGGGTTAATTAATATATAAGATTTTGGATGACTTATTTACAGTGGTTTATTTTCCTATATTTTGGAATTTCTACAAACATTGTGTTATTTTAAGATAAACTTTTTTTAAAGAAAGAAAATTCTATGGTTCACATGAAGCCAAAAATAAAGGTAAATGTTGAAATTCTAAATTCTCCAGTTATTTAAAATGTTAGGGCCAATCATTATGACTTTCTATTACCTTTACATTTTAGCTAAAGCCCTTTATCCAGGAGTACATTCCAAATACTCATATCCGAGTTTTTGGAATTATTGCTCTTTTAGTCTTTTATAAACTATTAATAGGTATGTTAGTATACTACAGAATCCTCCAGGTTCAAACTACTCTCTTTCCAGTCACTACTGTTTAGCAATGACACTAACTCTCTTTAGCAAAGCATGACAGTCAGTCTAACCTACCTCTCTATCCTCTTTTTATCACTATCCTCTTGGCAGAAATTTTTCAAAATGGCCAAGTATCAATCTCAGCCATCTTATTGGGCTCCTAATTATATTCTATGATCTAAATTTTTCTCATTTGATTATGAACACCTCCGAACAAACGGAACTCTGAACATGAAGATTATGGACAAATTTTTTTAAAGTGAGTCATTCAAGCCGTTATTTCAATACATCACCTGTACTTCTACTCTTTGTTAACTTTAAATACATACATACACAAGCAAACACACACACACACACACACACACACACACATATGCAATTGGAGAAGCAGCACCATGTATTTTTCACTGGTTCAATTTATACTATTTTGGCAGACAATATTATTAATATTATTAATCTCATAGTTACTTGTTTTCAAACAAGCTTAGATGTTAAAAACTATGAGTATCATTTATATAATGATAAGGGCACCCTTGAGGATGATCATAGCAGTTGGCAGAGAGCATAATAGCATAGATAAGAGGGTTGAGACTGTCTGTTTTAAAATAGTCTGGTTTTTATCTTGAACCTGTTACTGCATATGCTACTTGCACTTCATGATGAGAAATCACTGAATAATCTCAATTAATAGCTAGATTGGCCAGACAGTACTAAGTCACAATGTCTGCTAAAGTTGCGTGGTTCCCAAGTTTCCCATTGGTAATCATTTACTACATAGCAAAGCTCTCTAGTTGCAAGGAAAGAATAATTTTATTTATTTATTTTTTTTGAGACAGAGTCTCGCTCTGTCATTCAGGCTGGAGTGCAGTGGGGAGATCTCGACTCACTGAAACCTCCACCTCATGGTTTCAAGCAATTATCTGCCACAGCCTCCCGAGTAGCTGGGATAACAAGCACCCTCCACCACGTCCAGCTAATTTTTGTATTTGTAGTAGAGACAGGGTTTCACCATCTTGGCCAGGCTGGCCTTGAACTCCTGATCTCGTGATCCACCTGCCTTGGCCTCCCAAAGTGCTGGGATTACAGGCGTAAGCCACCGCACCCGGCCAAGAAAGAATAATTTTTAAAGAAGTACATTTACTTGCTGAAATTGACATGGGCTTATTCATGAAACTTCATGCTTCTGATGGGATTCCTTTTAGGGAAATTTTCAGACTTCATAAAGCATCACAATCTATGAAGCATACCCCAAGTCCATTAAATCTTATCAGCCAAAAGCATCAAATGGTGGAGAAGTTTACCACATATGCAGGGTCAGCTAGCGAATAATTCTAGTCCTCATCACCAGGCATAGCTGGTAGTATTTTAGGTATAAGTAAATGAACAAGAACAAGACAGTGGAATGCCATACACTTGCCTCAAAAACTCAAAGAGATTTACCAGTTATATTTGACTCTTAATTTTTGGATATTTTATGTTTCTTTCTCTTAATCTGCTCTCCACTCACACATCACCCTATTTTGTGTCACAGGATGCCAAACGTTTTGGACTGAATCAACGAGTTTCATTGCCCTCCAATAAGTTTGCAGACACATAACTAGTTCCCAATGCCAGGGGGTTGTTACATTGTCCAAGAAAAGAGACCACATCTGGAATAGCAGCTATAATTGGAGTCACTACGCAATTAATTTCCTTATTATCTATTGTCATTTTTCAATACGTGCCAGACTGTTGTAGTTCAAACCAGGGAAATTAATGGGTAAACATCTTCAAAGCTGCATCATTCAAAATTTTGTCCATGACATTAATCTCGTGATTCCCACAGGGATGGATTATTCCATTTGGACTGCTATTTTAGTAAGTAGGAAGCATTCTAATTGTTTCCACTTGGCCTTTCCTGCTAATGTGGCTATTATGCCAGCTTATAAATGTATTGATTTAAATTCTGCAAACAAGAAGAGCTGAAGAACAAAGAATACTAGTATGAAGCCTGAAAAAAATACAGTTGATTTCAGCTGCATATTAAAGCAATGATAATTTTTTTAAACTTAAAAATATTTAGACATAATGAATTTTTTTCCCTTTGTTGTCATAAAATTTAGAAATGAGACAGCCTATGGAAAGTTTACTTCAGATTCCTCAAGGAACCAAGGTGTTTAATCTCTATCACTCCTGCCCTTGACTTCTTACCTTATACATGCTCCAGGCTATAGGATCTCTAGAAACACCACTGAGTTGGCACCACTCACCATGGATGATATGGTTAGGCTTTCTGCGCCAACCCAAATCTCATCTTGAATTGTAATCCCCATAATCCCCGAGTGTCAAGGGAGAGATCAGGTGAAGGTAATTGAATCATGGGGGCAATTTCCCCCACACTGTTTTCATGATAGTGAACGAGTTCTCAAGACATATGACGGTTTAATAAGGGGGTCTTTCCCCTTTGATCAGCAATTCTCTTTCCTGCTACCTTGTGAAGAAGGTGCCTTGCTTACCCTTTGCCTTCCGCCATGATTGTAAGTTTCCTGAGGACTACCCAGCCATGCTGCACTGTGACTCAATGATCTTTCCTTTATAAATTATCCATTCTCAGGCAGTTCTTTATAGCAGTATGAAAATGGACCAATACAATAGATTTTTGTGCTTGTTCTCATGTTTTATGACAAACATAAATCTTACTGAATTATCTGGTGTTACAACTACCTCCAAGCCACTTCACTGTTCCTTTTGATGTTTGCTACCTAATATGATTTAATAAATCATTTTATGTTCAAACTAGAAAAAGTGAGGGTTTTTTTTTTCTTCCTTTGATTTGCCTTTGGAAATTCTACTAATATACAGAATAACCTAATACAAAGCCTGACAAAGATTTTGGCAAATAATCACTGGAAGTCAAAATTCATTATGTCTATAAACATTTAAAGAGAAATAAATACACTGAGAGAATCACTGAATTTTCAGTCATGGTTCAAAATTCCAGGAATATAAGATAGCTCAATATTGGAAAACTGTAATTTCTCTTTGGCATGGTAATATGATGAATTCTACATAAATATAAATTTTATAATTGTTGGAAAAGATTTAATCAAAAGATCATGTTAAATAATGCTTTCAAGTGTCTCACCAAAAATCAATAACTCTGTTTAAGTAATATTAGGCAAAATCTCACTTGAAAGCGTAAAAAACAAAAATAAATTTCTCTTCATTTATTTTTTATTTTTATTTCTTCTTCTAAAAAAAAAAGGATACATGTGCAGAACGTGCAGGTTTGTTACACAGGTATACGTGTGCCATGGTGGTTTGCTGTACCTACTGATACATCCTCTAAGTTCCCTCCCCTTGCCCCACAACCCCTGAGGCCCTGGTGTGTGTTGTTCCCCTTTCTGGATCCACGTGTTCTCATTGTTCAGCTCCCACTTAAGAGTGAAAACATGTGGTGTTTGGTTGACTGTTCCTGTATTAGTTTGCTGAGGATGATGGCTTCCTGCTTCATCCATGTCCCTGCAAAGGACTTGATCTCATTATTTTCTTATAGCTGCAGAATATTCCATAGTATATATGTCCCAGATTTTCTTTATCCAGTCTATCATTAATGGACATTTGAGTTGGTTACATGTTTTTGCTATTGTAAATAACGCTGCAATAAACATTCATGTGCATGTGTCTTTATAGTGGACTGATTTATATTCCTTTGGGTATATAACCAGTAATGGGATTGCTGGGTCAAATGGTATTTGTGGTTGTAGATCCTTGAGGAATTGCCATACTCTTTTCCACAATGGTTGAACTAATTTACAGTCCCACCAACAGTGTAAAAGCCTTCCTATTTCTCCACAGCTACACCAGCATCTATTGTTTCCTGACTTTTTAATAGTCGCCATTCTGACTGGCAAGCTACGGTCTCACATTGTGATTCTGATTGGCATTTCTCTGATGATCAGTGATGTTAAGCTTTTTTTCACATTTGTTGGCTGCATAAATGTCTTGTTTTGAGAAGTATCTGTTCATATCTTTTGCCCACTTTTTGATGGGTATTTTTCTTGTAAATTTGTTTAAGATCCTTGTAAATTCTGGATATTAGACCTTTGTTAGATGGGCAGATTGCAAAAATTTTCTCCCATTCTGTAGGCTGCCTGTTCAGTCTGATATAGTTTCTTTTGTTGTGCAGAAGCTCTTTAGTTTAATTAGATCCCATTTGTCAATTTTGGCTTCTGTTGCCATTGCTTTTGGTGTTTTAGTCATCAAGTCTTTGCCCATGCCTATGTCCTGAATGGTATTGCCTAAGTTTCCTTCTAAGGTTTTTATGGTTTTGGCTTTTACATTTAAGTATTTAATCCATTTTGAGTATTTTTGTATAAGGTGCAAGGAAGGGGTCCAGTCAGTTTTCTGCATATGGCTAGCCAATTTTCCCAGCACCATTTGGTTAATTGGAGATCCTTTCCCCATTGTTTGATTTTGTCAGGTTTGTCGAAGATCAGACAGTTGTAGATGTGTGGTGTTATTTCTGAGGTCTCTTCTGTTCCATTGGTCTATATGTCTGTTTTGGTATGAGTACCATGCTATTTTAGTTAATGTAGCCTTCTAATAGTTTGAAATCAGGTAGTTTGATGTCTCCAGCTTTGTTCTTTTTTCTTAGGCTTGTCTTGACTATATGGGGTCTTCTTTGATTCCATATGAAATTTAAAGTAGTTTTTTTTCTAATTCTGTGAACAATGTGAACTGCAGTTTGATGGGAATAGCACTGAATCTATAAATTACTTTGAGCAGTACGGCCATTTTCACGATATTGATTCTTCCTATCCATGAGAATGGAATGTTTTTCCATTTGTTTGTGTCCTCTCTTATTTCCTTGAGCAATGGTTTGTAGTTCTCCTTGAAGAGGTCCTTCACATCCTTTGTTAGCTGTATTCGTAAGTATTTTATTCTTTTTGTAGAGATTATAAATGGGAGTTCATTCATGATTTGGCTCTCTGCTTGTCTATTGTTCGCGTAAAGGAATACTTGTGATTTTTGCACATTGATTTTGTATCCAGAGAATTTGCTGAAGTTGCTTATCAGCTTAAGGAGTTTTTGGGCTGAGATGATCGGGTTTTCTAAAGATAAAATTATGTTATCTGCAAACAGAGGCAATTTTACTTCATCTCTTCCTAAACACCTTTTTTCTTTCTTTCTTTTCTTTTTTTTTTTTCTTTTTTGATACTGAATCTTGCTCTGTTGCCCAGGCTGGAGTACAGTGGCACGATCTCAGCTCACTTCATCTTCCGCCTCCCGGGTTCAAGTGATTCTCCTGCCTCAGCCTTCCAAGTACAGGCACCCACCACCATTCCCTGCTAATTTTTGTCTTTTTGGTAGAGATGGGGTTTCACCATGTTGGCCAGGCTGGCCAACTCCTGACCTCAGGTGATCCACCCACCTCTGCCTCCCATAGTGTTGGGATTATAGGCATGAGCCACAGCACCTGGCTAACACCTTTTATTTCTTTCTCTTGCCTAATTGCCCTGGCCAGAACTCCCAATACTATGTTGAATAGGAGTGGTGATAGACGGCATCCTTGCCTTGTGCCAGTTTTCAAAAGCAATGTTTCCAGTTATGCATAAATATTATAAAATAGTTGAATTATTTCAAGTGAACTGATTTCAGATAAAAAACTCAAAATATAATAAAAATTGGCAAACATGCAAAAGCTTTCTTACATTGCAATAATAAGAAATTAGAAAATGTAAAAAAAAAAAACAGCAGTATAATCCCTTTAACACTTACACCAGAACACAAAAATAGATGTGGAATAAAAATTAAGAGCACAAGCCATATAGGGATAAAATCATAAAAGTTTACTGAAAATAGTGATGTTTAGTAAAATATTTAAAAAAAAACTTTGGTGGCATTCTACAATAAATTTTGTCAAAGAGAGAGTTCTCAGAAAATAAAAACACAAATTCGGTGAAAAAAACACATTAGCCAATATAGAGTAATGAAGCTAGGAATTTCATAAAAGGTGTTAAAATATATTATAAATCTATAGAAATTATCATACTTTTGAGTATAAGATTGAGAGATATAAATATCACCCAATCTTAATACAAATTCTAGACACAATTATACATTATGATTTTATATTAAAGGAAAGACAGCATCTTGAAATGGGGAGAAGAGACAGAATTGACAATGATTGGTGTTCGGAGAAGTGGTTAATCACTTTTAACCAAAATAAATTTTAGACAGAAAATATAGACATAAGATACTAAATCGAATACAAGTAGAAGAAATTTCAGCTAATTATTTTATAACTTGGGCTCCAAATATATTTCTAAGCATGAAAATAAATATTGAATTAAAAAACTGATAGAATTTGAAAGAAAAATTTTAAAAATTATGTACAATAAAATAAAAATTAAAGACAAAGATTTTCAAGCAAAGATAAAGTCCTAATGATTTCTCGTTTCTGGTATAGCATGAAAGGAGACTAGAATTCTCCACTCTATCTTAACTAGTGAAAATATGAAGAAACTAAAAAATCTACTACCCCTTCTTATATCTGTCAGAGAAGTGAGGCCACAGAGCAAACTACTGCCCCCGTAATTTGGAGACACAGAAGAGCAAATACACAAATCACAATTTATCACAGCAGAAACCCACTTACAAATACCTTCATGGGAACCAGTGCCAGGGTAGGAAGACCTAACTTGAATCCATACATTGCTAGAAACTCAGTGTAAACAAGTCTGAGAGTTAAACTCCAGGGAAACCTAGTCATAGGGATGTCCTCATGCTTTTGTGAGTTTTACCTCTAGAAGCTTGACTGCATTCTCAACAGTGAATATCAGAGAAAAATAGCCTGAAGCTTGTGACAGAGGCAGGGGGAAAGTAACTATTTTGAAATAAGACACAGCATTCTGCTCTTCTTAACAAAGTCTACCCTGAAGAAAAACTACTTTACCAGAACCTAAACCATAAGAAAATTTTCAGAGCCTAACAATACTGGGAATAGAGGAATACCCAACTCCAACCCAATCTAGAAATCCTGTCCCAACCAAGGGCAGAGTGGAGCTGAGAAGTGCTTATGAAGTTCACTGACCAAAGGGACAGGTTTACTAACAGATGAAGACCTAATCATTGTGCTAAAGAACACGTCCTCACATCCCACGCTTTAACACCACATTACTAAAAGCCTATTTATTCTAATTCTTTGTACTTACTATCATTTCCTAGTATCAAGAAACAATTATGAGGCATACTAAAAGACAAAATATACAGTTTGAAGAGGAAAACTAAGCATCAGGTCCCAACTCAGATATGCAGAGATGTTGGACATATCAGACTAGAAATTAAAACAATTATGATTAATATCCTGAGGGCTCTACTGGATAAAGTAGAGAACATGAAAAAAACACATAGGCAGTATAAGTAGACAGATGGAAATGTTAAGACAAAATTTTAAAAAATGTCAGAGATTGAAAATACTGTAATAGAAATAAAGAATACCTTTGATGAGTTTATTAGTAGACTACACATGGCTGAAGAAAGAATCTCTGAACTTGAGGATATCTTAATTAAAGAAAAGACTCCAAAACTGAAAGCAAAAGGAACAAAGGCTGAAAAAAATTATAAAAGAAAAATTAAGAACTGTGGGACAACAACAAAAGGTGTACATATGCAAAATGGAAATACCGAAAAGAGAAGAAACGAGAAAATAAACAGAAGAAATATTTGAATAAATAATAATCAAGAAGTCCCCTGAATTAATGACAGATGTCAAACTACAGGTCTATGAAGCTCAGAGACTACCAAGCAGGATAAATGCCAAACTAACAACAACAACAACAAAAAAATACCTAGGCATATCAAACTCCTTAAAATCAAAGATAAAGAAAAAACCCTGAAATATACTAGAGGACATAAACAAAAACAAACCCCTTATCTATAGGAGAGCAAAGATAGGAGTTCTTATATTTGATTTCTCCTCAGAAACCACGTGAGCAAGAAGAGAGTGAAGTGATATGTTCAAAATTTGAGAGAAAAATCCACCGACATATAATGTGTTACTCTGAGAAATTGTTTTTCAAAAATGAAATAGAAATGATGTCTTTCTTATACAAATAAAAATTGAGGAATTTTTTTTCCAGTCGCCCATCTTGAAATAAATGTTAGAAGTTTCTTAGAGAAAAGAAAAATGATATAGAGTCAGAAATTTTGATCTATATAAAGAAAGATTATTTTTCTTATTGTTAATTGACTATTAGGGTTAATAATTATCATTATTTTTATCCTGATTTACCTAATGGATAACAGTTTGTTCAAAATAATAAAAGCAAAAATGTATTCAATCACAGATGTGTGTGTATGTGTGTGTGCATGTATATGTGCATATATGAGAAGTGAATGACAGCAATGATACAGGGTTGGGGTGAAAAAATTAGGATTATTTTCTTATTATAAAGTGCTCACAGTACCTGTAAACTCGTATTTTTTTTTTTTTTTTTTTTTGGAAAGTGGGCTAGGATTCGTTGTAAATGTACATTGCAAACTCTAAGACAAATTCTATTTTTCTAGGTATATAATTGATAGACTAAGAAAAGAGAAAATTTTGTCATTTAAAATGCTCAATTGAAATAAAAAAAAGAAAAATTGTGGAGAAAAAATGAAACAAGAAATAAGTGCAACAAATAGAAAATAATTTACAAATATATTGGATATTAAACAACAATCACCTCAAATGTCATGGCCAAAATACACCAATTAAAAACAGTGATTACCAGAATCTATAATTATAAGAAAACTGTATTTTGTCAACAGAAAACCCACTTAAAGACATATAAATAAAAAATAAGGGTATAGGGAAAAATATACCATGATAACACTAATCAAAAGAAAGTGAACATAATTATATTAATTTCAGACAAGAAGACATCAGAATAAGAAAAGTTATGAGAGATAAAGTCACCAAATAATGATAAGTCAATTATCAAAGAGGACAAAGCCACACCCAACTACAGAGAATCATAATATGTAAAGCAAAAACTGACAGAGTTGCAGGGAGATATAGATTAACCCAGTAGTATACATGGAGACTTCAACACCTCTCTCAAAAATGGATGGATCCAGTAGGCAGAAAATTACTAAGAACGTGGTCCAACTCAAGACATCATCAATCAGTTGGATATAATTGACATCTACAGACTATTTTATCAAACCACAGCAAATTATGTATTCTTTTCAAGCTCATATAGAAAATTTACCATATAGGCCACATTATGGGCCCTAACATATACCTAAACAAAAAAATTAAAATTATACAATGTCTGCTCACATAACACAATAGAATTAAACTAGAAAGCAACAACAGAAAGACAAATGGAAAATCCCAAAATATATAGAAATTAACCATATACTTCAAAGAAGAAATCTCAAAAGAAGTAAAAATATTTTGAACTAAATGGAAATGAAAACACTACTTATCAAAATTTGCAGGATGCAGTGAAAGCAGTGCTTACAGGAAAATTCTGGCATTGAGAATATATAATAGAAAAAAAAGAACAACTTAAAATCAATCATCTAATTTTCCACCTTAAAAAAAAAACTAGGGGCCAGGCGCGGTGGCTCATGCCTGTGATCCCAGCACTTTGGGAGGCCGAGGCAGGTGGATCATGAGGTCAGGAGATCGAGACCATCCTGGTTAACACGGTGAAACCCTGCCTCTATTAAAAATACAAAAAAATTAACCAGGTGTGGTGGCGGGCGCCTGTAGTCCCAGCTACTTGGGAGTCTGAGGCGGGAGAATGGCGTGAACCCGGGGAGGCGGAGCTTGCCGTGAGCCGAGATCGTGCCACTGCACTTCAGCCTGGGCCACAGGCGAGACTCCGTCTCAACAACAACAACAACAACAACAACAACAAAAAAAAAAAAAAAAAAAAAAAAAAAAACCTGGAAAGAAGTGCAATTAAATCCAAAGTAAGCAGAAAAAAATAATAATAATAAAAAAAGAGCTTAGAAATCAATGAAAAGCAGTTTATTTGGAAAGACCAAAAAACCTGATAAGCCTCTAGGCTAATTAAGAAAAAGAGAGGACACAAATTGCTAGTATCATAAATTAGAGCAGAGATGATAGAGGATAGGAGACAGGGCTAACAGGCAGCTCCCACATGGACGGATGAAACAGCAAGTGGAGACTCACACCATGATCTTTTGCTCCAAGAACCACTGCAGGAACATACCAGAAACACCAAAAGAATTTGCAGATCCTTTGAAAAAAGCAGCACACGGCTGCAGATTCCACAAAACAGGCAAAAAAACTGAGTTCCCAAAGTATGAGAGGGAAAATACCTGCCTCTGAACACACATCCCTACTGAGAATCTGAAAATCCAGATCACAGGAGAAGGATTTAACCTTATCTAGAGATGAAATGAATTTAGGGAGTCACATAAAATTGAATAGTAAAAGTAGCAGTGGGGAATCCAGCTTGAGCCCAGAGAAGCTATCCCTCACTATGTATCACAGGGGCTCTTGGGGAAGTCAGCTAATGGAATTGAGGAGGGGTTGTGAGGATAAGGAAGCTTCCAACTGAAATTGGTAGTGGTTCAGACTGGGCACAAATTTTCTTGAGCAGAGTCAGGAGACAAATGAGAGCTGTTACAGATAAGAGTGCAGGCATGCAGGAGCCACCGATAGAGTGGGCAGACAGGGAGGGACATGGTCCAATAGCAGTGCTTGTATCCTCAGAGGGTTAGCTCATGGCCTGGGGCAAGGTCTGAGTGGGGTACTGAGTTCCCAAAGTATGGAGTGCAGGGGTGAGACTGGCCTCACCAACTGTGTGGGAGCTATATGAGGTCTCTTGCTACTGACTATCCCCCACTTTCCTGAACTATATGACACAGCAGAGGCAGCCAAGATCCTCTCTGGAACATAACCCCATTGACCTGGAAGCCATCCCCCCATCTGCTACAGAGGTGGCAGCAGGCCCTGCCCAAAGGAGAATCAGAGCCCAGACCCACCGAACACTGCCCCAAGCTTATGGTATTTTCCTATCTGTCCTGGTAGCTGAACACAAAACATAGAAACTCTCGAGAGCTATACAGCCCTGCCCATTGTTTGAGAAACCAAAATACTTACACTGGCCATCTTAGGGCAAGAGCAAGCTTAGATCCCCCTACTACTACTGTAACTGGTGCTCTTTTGAAAATGCCACCTCCTGACTTGAGACAAATCAACTTAGGCCATTACAGCAACTCATGACAGAATAAACCTGATTCCAGGAAGGAGATGTCAACACCTAATTCTACTGCCTGCAGCATTGTGGCTAACCAGAGAACCTGAGTGTGTCCATATGACAACTTCATTGCTAGCACAACCAGAATTGATGAAAGCCAGCACACTAGACATATCCAAGGACTTTCACAGTCTACTTCACTTCCCTGCCACCTCTACCAGAGTAGGTGTTGGTATCCATGGGTGAGAGACCTGAAAATGGATCACATCACAAGACTCATTGCAGACATCCCCGAGCACCAGCCCAGAGCTTGGGAGCCCAATAAGTAGCTAGACCAAGAAGAGCAATAAGAATCATTGCAGTTCAGCAATCAGGAGGCCCCAATCCAAGGGTAAGGTTGAGAGCATGACATCAAGGAATCACCCCCATGGGACAAGAGAATCTTGTCAGCATGACAAGCAGCAGCTGAAACAGCAGCCCTGAGTTTCAGACATCTCCACTGAAATACTGTACCCAAATGAGAAGGAACTAGTAATTCTAGTAATATGAAAAAACAGAGTTCTATAACATGCCCAAAAGATCATACCAACTCCCCAGCAATGGATCCAAACCAAGAAGAAATCTCTGCATGCCAGATAAAGAGTTCCAAAAATTGATTTTTAAGCTACTCAGGGAGGCACTAGAGAAAGGTGAAAACCAACTTAAAGAAATTTTTAAAAAGTACAGGATCTGGATGAAAAATTATTCAGAGTAATAGATATCATACAGAAAAAGCAATCACAACTGCTGGAAGTGAAAGACACACTTGGAGAAATAGAAAAATGCAGTGGAAAATTTCAATAATAGAGTAGAACAAGCAGAATAAAGAATTTTACAGCCTGAAGATAAGGCTCTCAGTTTAACCTAATCATACATATGAAGAAAAAATAATTGAAAAAATGAACAAAGCCTCTAAGACGTTTGTGATTATGTTAAACAGCTAAACTTAAGAACAATTCGTGTTCCTGAGGAAAAAGGTAAATCTAAATGTTTGGAAAACATATTTGAGGGAATAATTGAAGAAAACTTTCCTGCCTCACTACAGATCTAGACATCCAAATACAAGAATCTCAAAGAACACCTGGGAAATTCATTCCAAAAAGATTATCACCTAGGCACAGAGTCATCAGGTTATCAAAATTCAAAAAAAAGGAAAAAATCTTAACAGCTGTGAGAAAAAATCATCAGATGACCTATAAAGGAAAACTATCAGATTAACAGCAGACTTCTCAGCAGAAACCTTGCAAGCCAGAAGGGAATGGGGTCCCATCTTTAGCCTCCTGAAACAAAATAATTGTTAGCCAGGGATTTTGTATCCAGCAAAATTAAGTTTCATAAGTGAGGAAAAGATAAAGTCTCTTTCAGACAAACAAATGTTGAGAGAATTTGCCTCTACAAACTCAGCTGTACAAGAACTGCTAAAAGGAATTCTAAATCTTGAAACAAAACATGGAAATACACCAAAATAAAACCCCTTTAAAGTGTAAATCTCATAGGGCTTAGAAAGCATTAACACAACAGAAAAAAACAAAGGTGTTAAGGCAACAATTAACATGAGGAATAGCACAGTACCTCACATCTCAATTCTAACGTGAATGTAAATGGCCTAAAATCTCCACTTAAAAAATACAAAATGGCAGAATGGATACAAATCCACCAAACAAGTGGTGTCTTGGTGGATGGCTCATGTCTTCAAGAGACTCACCTAACACATGGACTCACATAAACTTAATGTAAAGAGGTGGAAAAAAGATATTCCACATAAATGAACAGCAGAAGCAAGCAGGAGTAGCTATTCTTATATCAGACAAAACAGACTTTAAAGCAACAACAGTGAAAAAAAAAGACAAAGAGGGACATTATATAATGAGAAAAGAATTGGTCCAACAGAAATATATCACAATCCTAAATATATATGCATCTAATACTGGAGCCCCAGAATTTGTAAAATGATTACTACCAGACCTAAGAAATGAGAAAGTCAGCAACACAATAATAGTGGGGACTTCAATACTCCACTGACAGCAATAGACAGGTCATCAAGACAAAAAGTCAACAAAAAACAATGAACTTAAATTATACCTTAGAACAAATGGACTTCATAGATATTTATAGAACATCCCACCCAACAACTGAAGACTATACATTCTTTTCTTCAGCACATGGAACATTCACCAAGATAGAGCATATAATAGGTCACAAAACAAGTCTCTATACGTTTAAGAAAATGGAAATTATATCAAGTATTCTCTCAGAACTCAGTGAAATAAAACTGGAAATTAACTCCAAAAGGAACCCTCAAAACTATACAAATACATAGAAATTAAATAATCTGCTCTTGAATGATCTTTGAGTCAACAATAAAATCAAGATAAAAATTTGAAAAGTCTTTGAGCTGAAAAATAATAGTGACACAGCTTATCAAAACCCCTGGGATGCAGCAAAAGCAGTGCTAAGAGGAAAGTTCATAGTATTAAATGCTTACATCAAAAAGTATAAGAGAGCACAAATAAACTACCTAAGGTCACACCTTACGGAACTAAAGAAACAGGAACAAACCAAACCCAAACTCAGCAGAAGAAAAGAAATAACAAAGCAGAAGTAAATGAAACTGGAACAAACAAAAACACAAAAGATAAATTAAATAAAGAGCCGGTTCTTTGAAAAGATAAGCAAAATCAATAGACCATTGGTGAGATTAACCAAGAAGAGAAAATTCAGATAAGCTCAAATAAAAATGAAACAGAATATATTACAATCGATACCAGAAATATAAAAAATCATTCAAGGCTACTATGAACACCTTTACATACACAAACTAGAATATCTAGAGGAGATAGATAAATTCCTAGAAATATACAACCCTCCCAGATTAAATCAGGAAGAAATAGAAACTCAGAACAGACTAATAACAAGTACCAAGCTTAAAACAGTACTAATAATAAAAAAAAATGTTAACAAAAAAACCCTCTAGGACCAGATGGATTTACAGCAGAATTCTATCAGACATTAAGGAAGAATTGGTACCAATCTTACTGAAACTATCCCAAAAGATAGAGAAAGAGGGAATCCTTTCTAAATCATTCTATGATCCCAGCTTCACCCTAACTCCAAAACCAGGAAAGGACATAAAGTAAAAAGAAAACTACAGATCAATTTCTTTGATAAACATAGATGAAAAATCCTCAAGAAAATACTAGCTAAATGGATTCCACAGCATATCAAAAAAATAATACACCATGATCAAGTGGGCTTCATACCAGGGATGCAGGGATGGTTTAACATATGCAAGTCAAATGTGATACATCACATAAACAATTAAATACAAAAACTATATGATCATCTCGATAGATATGGAAAAAGCATTTGACAAAATCCAGCATCTTTTTATGATTAAAACCCTCAGCCAAATCAGCATAGAAGGGACATGCTCAAGGTAATAAAAGTAATCTGTGACAAACCCACAACCAACTTAATACGGAACAGGGAAACATTGAAAGGATTTCTCCTGAGGACTGGAAAAACACAAAGATGCCTCCACTTTCACCACTTCTATTCAGCAAAGTACTGGAAGTCCTAGCCAGAGCAATAAGACAACAGAAAGAAATTAAAGGCATCCAAATAGATAAAGAGGAACTCAAATGGTTGCTGTTTGCCAAAGATATAATTGTAAACCTAGAAAATCCTACACATTCATCCAAAAAGCTCCTAGGTCTGATAAATCAATTCAGTAAAGTTTCAGGATACAAAATCAATGTACACAAATCAGTAGCACTGCTGTACAACAACAACAACCAAGTTGAGAAACAAATCAAGAACTCAATCCCTTTTACAACAGCTGCAAAATAATAGTAATAATAAAATACTTAGGAATATACCTAACCACGGAAGTGAAAGATCTATACAGAAAAAAAACACAAAAATACTGCTGAAAAAAATCATCCATGACACAAACAAATGGAAACACCTTCCATGATCATGAATGGGTAGAATCAATATTATGAAAATGATCATACTGCCAAAAGCATTCTACAGATTCAATGCAATTCCCATTAAAGTACCATCATCATTCTTCACAGAACTAGAAAAAATAATTCTGAAATTCTTATGGAATCAGAGAAGACCTTGCACAGCCAAAGCAACACTAAGCAAAAATAACAAATCAGGAGGCATCACATTACTTGACTTCAAACTATACTACAAGGCTATAGTTACCAAAATAGCATGGTAGTGTTATAAAAATAGGCACACAGACCAATGGAATAGAGAACCGAGAAATAAACCCAAATACTTACAGCCAACTGATCTTTGACAAACCAAACAAAAACATAAAGTGGGAAAAGGACACCCTATTCAACAAATGGTACTGGGATAACTAGCAAGCCATAGTAGAAGAATGAGACTGGATCCTCATCTCTCACCTTATACAAAAATTAACTCAAGATAGATGAAAGACTTAAATCTAAGGCCTGAAATCATGAGAATTCTGGAAGATAACAATGGAAAAAACTATTCTGGACATCAGCTTAGGCAAAAAGCTTATGACCAAGAACACCTCCCCCCTGGAAAAAAAATGCAACAGAAACAAAGATAAATAGATGGGACCTAATTAAACTTAAAATCTTCTACACAGCAAAAGAAATAAGCAGAAGAGTAAACAGACTGACAAACTATGCATCTAACAAAGGACTAATATCCAGAATCTACAAGGAACTCAAACAAATCAGCAAGAAATAACCAAATAATCCCACCAAAAAGTGGGCAAAGTACATGAATAGACAATTCTAAAAAGAAGATATAGAAATGGCCAACCAACATATGAAAAATGCTCAATATCATTATCAGGGAAATGCAAATCAAAACCACAATATGATACCACCTTACTCCTGCAAGAGAGGGCATAATCAAAAAATAATAAATGGTGACATGGATGTGATGAAAAGGAAACACTTTTACACTGCTGGTGGGAATGTAAGCTAGTACAACCACTATGGAAAACAGTATGGAGATACCTCAAAGAAGTAAAAGTGGATCTACCATTTGATCCAACAACCCCACTACTGGGCATCTACCCAGAGGAAAATAAGTCATTATATGAATAAGACACTTGCACATGCATGTTTATAGCAGCACAACTTGCAACTGCAAGAATCCTGAACCAGCCTAAATGCCCATCAGCCAATGAGTGGATAAACAAAATGTGGTACATACATACCATGGAATACTACTGAGTCATAAAAAGGAATGGAATAATGGCTTTCACAGCAACCTGAACAGAGTTGGAGAACGTTATTCTATATGAAGTAACTCAAGAATGGAAAACCAAATATTATATGTTCTCACTTATAAGTGAAAGCTAAGCTATGAGAATGCAAAGGCATAAGAATAATGTAATGCCCTTTGGGGACTCAGAAGAAGGGGTGATGGGTGTAAGGGACAAAAGACTACACGCTGGATACAGTGTACACTTCTTGGATGATGGGTGCACCAAAATCTCAGAAATTACCACTAAAGAACTTATTTACGTAAGCAAAAACCACCTGTTCCCCCAAAACTATTGAAATAATACAATTAAAAACTAATAAAACATTAAAAAATAAAAACTGAAAGAGCAGAAATCATGACATCTTTTATTGACATTAAAAGATAATAAAGGAATACTATGAATAACTCTGCTCACTGATTTTATAAACTAGGTTAAATGGACTAATTCGTTAAAAGATAAAATCTGTGAATACTTACACAAGAAGAAATACACAATCTGAATAGGCCTGTATCTATTTTTATAATTAATCAATAATTAATAACCTTCCCAAACAAAAATAGCCAGGCCCAGATGGATTCCTGAGTGAAATCTTCAACAATTTTAAGATATTTTATGATGTCTCTACAAACTCTTTTAGAAGATAGAAGCAGAGAGAATACTTCCTAACTTATTCTATGGCCAGCATCATCCAAATACCAAAACGAGACTGAGACATTAGAGGAAAGGAAAGCACAAAAAACCTACAGCCAACATCTTACTTAATGTTGAGGAACTAGTATTTTTCTAGCAAGATAAAAGGCAAAGATGTCTCTTCACTAATTTTTTTCAACATCGTATTGGAAGTCCTAGTTAGTAACAGAAGGCAACAAATGTTAATAAAGAGGTATACTGATTGGGAAGCAAGGAATAAAATATTCTTTGTTTACAGATGACATGATTGTCTATGTAGAAAAATCCAGAAAGATCAACAAAAACTCCTGGAACTAGTCCCAGTGTTCAAAATGCAGTACACAAGGTTAGTATACGAAAGTCAATCACCTTTTATATACTGCAATGAACAAGTGGAACTTAAAATTAATACCATCTACACTAGCACTACAAAATATGAAATACTTAGTTTTAAATCTAACAAAATAGGCACAAGATCTATATGAGGAAAATTACAAAATTCTAATGAAAGAAATTGAACAAGAACTAAGTAAACGTAGATGTATTCTCCGTTGAGATAGAAATACTCAATATTGTGAAGCTGTGAGTGTTTTCCAACTTGATTTATTGATTCAACATAGTTCCAATCAAAATCCCAGTGAGTTATTTTGAGGATATCAGTAACTGATTCTAAAGTTTATAGAAAGAGAGAAAGAGAGGAAAAAAAAACCAGAATAGCCAGAGCAATTATTGAAGGAGATGAATGAAGTTGGAAGATTGATACTACCCAAATTTAAGACTTACTATAAAGCTACAGTAATCAAGAAAAGATGACGTTTCCAAAAGAATAAACAATTATATAAATGGACCAGAATAGAGAGTCCAGAATCAGACCCACATCAATTTGATCAACTGATCATTGACAAAAGACCAAAGGCAACACAATGGAGCAAAGATAGTCTTTACATACATGGTGCTAAAACAACTGAACAAACACATGAATATAAATGAACCTAGGCACAGAGCTTACAGTTTTTCACAATAATTAACACCAAGTAGATCACAGACCTAAATGTAAACAAAAAATAAAATTTTTATAATATAAAGTAGGAGAAAATCTAGATGCCCTTGGGTTTTGTGGTGACTTTTTGGATACAATACCAAAGTGGCTGTTCATGAAATAATTGATAAGCTGTACTTCACTGAAATTAAATATCTGTTCTGTGGAAGACAATGTCAAGAACATGAAAATACAAGTGATTTACTGAGATAAAATGTTTGTAAAATACATATCTGATTAAGGACTCTTATCCAAAATATACAAAGAACTATTTATAACAATAATAAGAAAATAAAATATTCAGTAAAACATGACCAAAGACCTTAACAGACATCTCCCCAAATAAGATGTGTAGATGGTAGATAAGCACATGGCAAGGTAGTCCACATAATACAGCATAAGGGAAATGCAAATGAAAACATCAGTGAGATATCAGCACATACCTATTAGAATGGCCAAAATTTAGAACATGACAACACCAAATGCTGACAAGAATATAGACCAACATTCCTTGTCGATGGAAATAGAAAATAGTAAAGACACTTTGGAAAGCAGTTTCCTACAAAATTAAACATAACTCTTACCACATGATTCAGTAATCATGTTCCTATGGGTAACCAAAGAAGTTAAAAACTATGTCCACAAAAAAAGTACATATGGATGTTTATAGGAGTTTTATTCATAATTGCAAATATTTAGAAGTGACCAAGATGTCCTTCAGTAGGTTAATGCACACATAAATTTTGGTAAATTTAGATAATGGAATTTGAATGCACACTGAAACTAAATGAGTTGCCAAGCCATAAAAAGACAATGAGGAAACTTAAATTCATATTACTAAGTGAAAGTAGTCAATCTGAAAAGGCTATGTACTATATGATTTCAACTGCATGGCACCGTGGAAAAGGCAAAACTGTGGAGACAGTAAAAAGATTGGTGGTTGCTAGAGGATGGGGGAGGAAGGTATAAATAGGCAAAGCACAGAGTATTTTTAGCACAGTGAAAAATATATGATACTATAATGACAGACATACTCCGTTATATATTTATCAAAACACACAGAATGTACAACACCAAGAGTGAACCCTAATGTAAACTATGGACTTTGAGTGATAATGATGTATCAACGTATGTTTACTGATTGTAACAAATGTACCCCTATGGTGGGAATGTTGATGAGGGAGACTATGTATGTGTGGGGCAGGTAGTATATGGGAAATTTCCGCACCTTCCACTCAGTTTGGCTGTATACCTAAAAAATAAAATTTATTAAAAACACATCTTAAACATTAAAAACGTAAAATATAAAAATTACAAACATAAATAAAACAGTCCTAAATAATTAACGTGTCATATGAGTATGTTAATATAAGAAATGACTTCACTAGAATAAATGTACTCAAAGGAACAGAACAGTAAATATAAGCTAGACAAGAACATTCACTAAAACTTATGCAAATATGTCTTAAATCAAGGACAATAAAGTAAATGTCAATTGAAAGTAATTATTTTTCAAGCACCAAAATAATTGATATGTAACATTATTGGGATAGGTATGAAAGAACAAATAATACTCCAACTTTCAAATAGGAAAGTAAACTGATGAGACATTTTAGGACTGTAATTTTTTGAATATATTTAGTATATATTCCTTTTAACTTTAAAAGTCCTCCTCCGGTAATTTTCTTAAGAAAACATTTGAGCAATTGTATAAAGATATATATAATGTTATCTCTTATTAGTTTTGTTTATTTTAGTAAAATTCAGAGGGAAAGGAAAAAATCTATTAATAGGTGGATCATATAATTATATATCCACACAATGAGTACTGTTTAGTCATTATTAATAAAGATGAACATCTGCATATATTGACATGGAAACAATGCCTTCAATATATTGTTCTTCGAGATAAAGATGACTGGTAAAATTAGTCCAAAAGACAAAGAGGAAAGTATTAATTAGGATACATTGCAAAAAAACTGTATATTGTTAAAAAATATAGAGAGCAAAATCCCTACATAATGAACAGAACATCTTACAGTGCTGTGCTTGAGTGACTTTTATATTTTTCAACATATTTCTTTAGTTTATATTATGTAAAGACCATACTCATCATTTTATAATAGATAAAAATTATCTATTGCCATTGAGAAAAAAAATCATAATTTTAATTCTTTTCACCGTCATACATTTAAAAAATTTAACTATGTTCGCTTTTCATTTGAAATGTTTTAACGTTTCAACTTGATACTCATATGAATTTATAATTAAAAAAATCAAAAGTCACTTAAACAAAAAGGAGTAAAAGGGAAGACATTGATAAGACGAAAAACTAGGAAGCTGTAGGCTTATATCCCCCAGTAGATAAATTGAGATTAAAAAAAAATTAAACAAATTAGAGTACCTTTGTGAGAACTAGTTGGACTAGTTGGAAAGCTATAGTACCCAGGTCAACATAAAATCAAGAAAGCTTCCCAGAAAACGGGGTGAGATTATTTGTGATATTTGCATGCCTGTCCATGCCCCTCATTTGATGTGTCGCAGTGAGGTGCAACTGGGAGGAAACTTCCCATGCCAGGAGTCCGCCCTTAGGATAGAAAAAGAGTAGAGTTCATTGAGCTCCTAACATTCTGACTTTACTGGGAGCTGCATGAAGGACAGGTTTCTGTCTCACATGACTTAGTCCACAACAGTTTGGAAGCTGCTGAAAATGGGCAACGTAGCACATTAGAGCTGCAATTAGAGCACATTAGAGCTGCAGCATTGTATATCTAATTAAAATAAGAAAAATGGTACATGTATAAAGTAAGAATATCAGCAAAGAAAAACTATTTAAAAAGAACCAAATGAAATATAGTCTTGAAAAATTCGGTAACTAGTAAAAAATTATTTGTACAAAATAATCTATTTTTTTAAATACTATAACTTATTTAAGCACAGCTAAAGTGGTTAAAGTGGTAAAAACAGATTTTATTCAGAAATTTCTGACAGCAGCAGCAGGCAGAGATTTTAATGGTGTAGGGAGCTGGAGTCATTTTAGGAACAAGATCTTATGTTGCTAGAAACTATGCTAGAGCTTGTTCAAGTCTCTTAACACAGAGGTTTGGATAGAGTTATCATGTTCCAAGAGTTTTATAATTCTCAAACTGAACTAAAAAAATTCACTACAGAGATTCAACACTAGACTTGATCAGAGGAAAGAATCAGCAAACCTAAAAACAGGCCATTTGAAATTACTAAATAAGAGAAGCAAAAAGCAAAAAAACAAAGAAAAATAGAGTGTAAGGGAATTATGGGAAACTATCAAGCCAACAAATATAGTCATTATATAAGTCCCAGATGGAGAAAAAATAGAGAAATAATAAGAAAGTTCACTGGAAGATACGAAGGCCAAAGAAGTCCCAATTTTGAGTAAAGAAATCGTAATAAAAATTTAAGAAGCTCAATGTAATTTAATTAGAATAAAACTGATGATCCCCACATAAAGACATATTATAATCCAATTGTCAAAGACAAAGAGACTTGTGAAAGCAAGATAAAAGTATTTCATTATAAGGAAGCTTCCAAAAGATTAAATATATTAACCCTCTCCTCTCTGGCTTTCAAGATTTCTCCTGAGAAGATGATATATTCAAAGGACTAAAAGAAAAGAAAAATAAATAAATTAATAAAATCTACAAACAAGAATGCTATGTCTTACAAACTGAAGAAAAATTAAAACTACTCCAGATAAATAAAATCTGAGAAAGTTCACTACAATTAGACCTGTTCTACGAAGTTGTTGAAAAAAATATAAAAACATGGACAAAAATAGTAACCTTATATTATTGCAACTTTGGTCATTTTTAATTCTTAAATAAAATTAGGACAAAATCATTGTGAAAAACTATAAATCTGTGCTAATGGTTATATAACATGTAAAGTTATAATTTGTTTCATTGATAATATACAGTATGGGATGAAGTTGTAAAGGAGTACAGTTTTTCTAGGTAATTAAAATTATTAGCTTAACATAAAGTTATTATTAGCTTAAAATAGAATGTTATAACTTTAAAATGGTTTTGTAATTGCAATGGTAACCACAAAAAATGTATTAGCCAAATATACACAAAATGAAATGAGAAGGAAATTAAAGCATGTCACAATAAATATCAATGAAACACAAGAAAGGCAGTACAAGAGGAGAGAAGGAACAAAGAAGTTGTAAAACAAACAGAAAAAACAATTAACAAAATGACAAAAGTCTTTCTCTATTAATAATTATATTATATGTAAATAGATTAGCTACTCAATCAAAAGAAAGGTTGGCTGAATGGATTTAAAAAGAAGATTCAACTCTATGCTATCTATAAGACATACGTTAGATCTGAGGACCCACAGAAGCTGAAAGCAAAAAGATGAACATAGATAAGATATCCCTATCAAATGGTAGATAACAAAAGAACAGAGGTGGATATAACAATATCAGAAAAATAAACTTCAAGTCAAAATCTGTTTGAAGAGACAAAGAAGAACTTATATAATGATAAAAGTGTCAATTCATCAAGAATATATAACAATTATAAATATTTATGCAACAAATGTCAAAGCCTCCAAAATATAAAGCAAATTTTGACAAAATTGAAGGAGAAATAGAAAGCAGCCCATAATAGTAGTAGACTTCAATACCCTACTTTCTTTTTTTGTTTGTTTTTTTTTGAGATGGAGCCTCACTCTGTCACCCAGGCTAGAGTGCAGTGGTGCGATCTCTGCTCACTGCAACCTCCGCCTCCTGGGTTGAAGCAATTCTCCTGCCTCAGCCTCTGGAGTAGCTGGGTGGGCATGTGCCACCATGCCCAAGTAATTTTTTATATTTTTAGTAGAGACAGGGTTTCACCATGTTGGGCAGGCTGGTCTTGAACTCCTGACCTCGTGATCCACCAGCCTCGGCCTCCCGAAGTGCTGGGATTACAGGCGTGAGCCACCGTGCCCGGCCCTCCCTACTTTCAGTAATGGATAAAACAAGCAGACCGAAGATAAATAATATAACAGAGAACGTTAACAACAATACAGACCAATTAGATATAAGAGACATATGCAGAACACTAATTACCCCCTCTCCACCACCACCAAAAAGCACAACATACATTCTTTTCAAGAACACATGGGCATTTTTTACAACAGACCACAATTTAGACCACAATGTTTTAATAGATTTTAAAAGACTGAAATAGTACTAAGTATCTTTTCCAGACATCAATAGTACAAGGTAAATGAAACTAGGCATCAATAGCACAAGGAAACTAGATATGAATAGCACAAGGAAAGCAAGGAAAGCAGAGAAATTCACAAATATATAAAATTAAAATTAAAGAACATACTTTTTTTTTTTTTTTTGAGATGGAGTCTCACTCTGTCACCCAGTCTGGAGTGCAGTGGCTCGATCTTGGCTCACTGCAACCTCCTGAGTAGCTGGGACTACAGGTGCTTACCACCATATCTGGCTAATTTTTGTATTTTAGTAGAGACGGGGTTTCACCATGTTGGCCAGGCTGGTCTTGAACTCCTGACTTCATGGTCTGCCTGCCTCAGCCCCCGCAAAGTGCTGGGATTACAGGCGTGAGCCACCACATCCATCCAAGAACATACTTTTAAACAGCCAATGGGTTAAAGAAGCAGCCAAGAAAAATTCGAAAATACCTTGAGATAAATGAAACCCAAACCACAACCTACTAAAACTTAAGTGATGCAGCCCAGCAGTACCAAGTATAACAAGTATATTTTAAAAACAAGAAAGATTTCAAGTCAGCAACAAAACTTACATTGCAAGGAATTCGAAAAAGGAAAAAAAATAAAAAACACAAAGCTATTATAAGAAATAAAATAATAAATATTAGAATAGAAATAAATGAAATGGAGAAGTGATAGAAAAACAAAACTAAGGATTTTTTTAGAAAGATCAACAAAATTGGCAAGCCCTATATTAAGTAATCAACAAAGAGAGAAGACCCAAATAATTAAAACCAGAAATGAGAGAGGAGTCATTAAAAGGAATTATGAGACAACCATAAACAACCGTAAGCCATCAAATTGGTTAACCTGTAGTAAATGAAACATACAATGTACAAGGACTAAATCATGAATAATAGAAAATTTTTAAAAGTTTAGGATCAGATGTCTTCACTGGATAATTCCATCAAATATTTAAAGGTGAGTTAACATCGTTTATCTTCAAACTCTTCCAAAAACTTGAAGAGCAGAGATTACTTCCAAAAGCTCATTCTGAGAGGCCAGCATTATCCTGATACCAAAGCTAGAGAAAGACGCTACAAGAAAAAACAAAACAAAACTACAGACCGATATAATTGATGATTATAGGTGCAAAAATCCTAAGCAAAAATATTAGCAAATCAAACTCCACAACACATTAAAAAGAATTATACATCACATCCAAATGGAATTTATATATGGAATGCAGTATGTTTCAACATACAAATATAAATCAGTGTAGTACCCCACATTAGTAGAATGAAGGATGAAAACCACATCTTTATCTAATTTCATGCATAAAAAGCATCTGACAAAATTCAACATTCTTCCATGATAAAATCACTCAACTAGGAATAGAAGGAAATTACCTCAACATAGTAAAAGCCATGTATAAAAAGCCCATAGGGAACAATATACTCAATAAGGAAAGACTAAAAAGATTTTTCTCTAAGATCAGGATGCCCATTCTTACCACTGCTATTCAGCCTCTATTGGAAGTCCTAGCCAGAGTAATTAGGCAATTTTTAAAAACGCATCCAAATTGGAAAGGAAGAAATAGTTAGCTCTGTTCACAGACTACATGATCTCACATATAGAAAACCATAAAGATTCCACAAAAAACTGTTAGAAGTAATAAAATCTTTGCTAAGCTGCATGTTAAAAAATGAACACTCAAAAATCAGTTTTATTTCTATCCACTATAAATAAATAATAAAAAAACTTTTAAAAATTAATTTAAAATAGCATCAAAAAGTATGAAATACTTAGGAATAAACCTAGCCAAGGAAGTGAAAGACTTGGATGCTCAAAACTACAAAATGTTGCTGAAAGAAATGAAAGGAAAGCAAAAATCCATGGAAAGATCAAATGTTCATGGCTGAGAAGATTTAATATTGTTGAGATGTTAATACTGCCCAAAGTGATCTGGAGATTCAACCAAATCCCTATAAAACTCCCAAGGGCATTTTCTAAGAAATAGAAAACAAAATCCTAAAATGTTTATGGAATCTCACAGAACTCCGCAGAAGCAACCCAAATGTTCATTGACAGAGGAATGAACAAACAAAATGTGATGTATACATACAATACAGTATTATTCAGCCACAAAATGGAAGGAAATTCTCTCACATGCTACAACATGGATAAACTTTGAGGAAAATATGTTAAGTGAAATAAACCTGCCTCCGAAAGACAGATACTGCTTGACTCCACTTATATAAACTATCTAAAGTAGTCAAATTAACAGAACAGAAAGTAGAATGAAGGTTACTAGGAAATGGGTGGAAAAAAAGGGGAATTGTGGTTTAAAAGGTATAGAGTTTCAGTTTTGTGGGATGAAAAAGTTTGAATCTGTTTCACAACCATGTGAATATAATTTACACTACTGAACTGTACACGTAAAAGTGGCTATGATGGTAAATTTTATAGTGTTTATTTTTATCACAATAAAAAAGGAAAAATAACTTGTTATAGATTGGTCAACAATTTTTATGATGAAAAATTGGTCATACCTGTTAAATTCTTTGAATATGTCATTGAAAGAAAAACAAGAATATAAGTGAGGTATTCTTGAGTTGTAGAGGTACACATTTTAATAACTATGAGAAAATATTTTTACAAAAAACTGAAAATAGATTTATCTGATAATATTTTTTATTTTGTAATTTCCACAAAATTTTTCACAGTATTTTCTATTTCTTATATCATCATATGTATTCACAGAATAATTTAAAAAGACAGTTGCAAAATTATATGTTAAATTTATTTTTACGCTCATTACATCTCATAAGTTAGGCTGCCCTGTCATTAATATCCTCTTACTGATACAGATATTAAGTGACAGTGGTAGATCCTATGAATCTTGATTTTTTAGAATAGCAGGAAGCATATTGCTATATTACTCATATTTGAAGAGAATCTGTGTGTACTTAAATCAGTGTTTGTATATCTGAATCAATATATAGAATATTCACTACTCGTAGTCTTTTGTTATTTGAAGCTAGGATGTTATAAAGCATTTGGAACGTCATTTAAAAGGTATATAGGGCCGGGTGCAGTGGCTCACGCCTGTAATCTCAGCACTTTGGGAGGCCAAGGTGGGTGAATCTCTTGAAGCCAGGAGTTCTAGACCAGCCTGGCCACATGATGAAACCCTGTCTCTACTAAAAATACAAAAAAATTAGCCGGGTGTGGTGGCATGCCCCTGAAATCCCAGCTACTTGGGAGGCTGAGGCAGGAGAATTGCTTGACCCTGGGAGGTGGAGGTTGCAGTGAGCCAAGATTGCACCATTATACTCCAGCCTGGGCAGCAGAGGGAGACTCTGTCTCAAAAAAATTTAAAAAAGCTATATAGCTATTTTATTGTACATTGTTTTATATATACTGTTCACTTTATTTATGTTCATTAACATTTGATGATTATATTCTACATTTTAGAGTTGTTCTTTATAAAATCACTTAAGATTTTTGTTATTGCAAACCTTAAAACTTAGGGTTAGCTGCTTTCAGTTTGCAATTCAAATATGTGTGCATCTGCGGCTTTTGATGTATAATAGCATCTGGTGATGTATAAAAGCTTCTGATGCATAGTTACCCAGCATTTCTCTAAAATACCCATAGTGACTCCCTAAAATAGAAAATATTTAACAACATACAATGCTAAAACTAACAGACAGCAGAGTATTAGAATTTGGACAGAATATATCCTAATCCTAAGGCTTGTGAAAATGGGTTGAAGACAACTTACCGACAGTTTAATATCTGTGAACTCAATAAACTGAACTTGAGAGGAGAAATATGAACATTTTTTGCCTTTCTGATCATTCAGTCCCCTGCTTAGAAATCCATTTTCTCTACCAACCAGAAAGTTGGGAGACAGTGGTCCCCTATTGCATCATAGGTACATTAAAACATAATGAAATATTTTCATTCATTCATTCATTTTGTTATTCACAGGAATAAATAAATCATGATTAATAATTAATAAATTTATTGATTTATTAATAAACCAATAAATTATTATTTATTCTTGTGAATAGACAATGCCTGCACATAGTATACAAGTCAAGGGTACAGCATAAAAATCTCTCTATTCCCCTGTTTCTTGTCAGCCAATTCCCCTCCCCAGAAGTAATTGCCTTACAAAGAATGTCTATGCATGATAAACTATGTAAATGCTATTTTTTAAAATGAATGATCAATAAACTTTAGTAATTTCTAGGTCTTTCTTCATCATAGTGATTACATTTCTGAGCAGTTCCTCAAACAGTGGCTAAAGGAAATTAGTCATCTTCATGCCTGGATTCTCCGTTATGCTGCAAGAAAAGACCTTTCTATGTGGTATTGACAAAGCCTATGGCATCAAGATTAGGAAATTTGTGCTATGATAGTACGCCATTTAACTCTCAAATCCCATACCAGTTTTATCAAATGTTCCAATAATGGAATAAGCTCATTCAAGATCATATATAGTTTTAATTATGGTACTTCTTCAGTGTTATTCAGTCTAGGACAGTTCTCAGATTTTGAAGATTGTAGGGCAGTTATTTCATCCAACGTTTATTAACTTTGACTTATCGGATATTTCCTCATGATTACATTTTAGATTCATTTTATGCATTTTTGATAAGAATATCACAAAAATAATGCTATGTTCTCATTGCAACCTGATAGGTGTTTGTTTTTCTGTTTTTCCTATTTCGTGTGCCAAACACACATTCTTCCCCTTTCCCGAAACTCTTTCATCTTTTCTTCCTGCTGAAAGAGTTCACTGCCTATTTGTGTGCTTATATATATATTTTTTATATTATGCATAATAATTATTCATGATATTAATATTCTGTATATTATTATGTTTTGAGTTTGTTTTTATAGAGATGGGGATTCACTATGTTGCCCAGGGTGTTCTTGAACTCCTGGGCTCAAACGAATTATCCTGCTTCAGTCTCCCAGTGTGCTGGTATTACAGGCATGAGCCACCACTACACCAGGCCCTGTTTTGAAATCTTTAAAAAACCTTGTAGCTGGGAAGAGACCACCTCTCCATAAGCTAGTCAATTCTTAAAAATTGCAAAAGGCCCAGCCAGAAGCATGACTTTGATGTGCACCCTAACCAAACCAATAATGTCTCTACTATCTGACCTGCTCACCCCAAGAGGCAATATTCCTTAATTATCACAGGACCAGGTGCCAGGCAACTAGAGACTACCCCTATAGCTTAAATCCTGCTAAAATTATTCAAGCTAACCAATCCTAAGCTGTTTTCCCTGCCCTGCCCTGACTTTCTCTAGTAAACTCCTGATAAGTCCATGGCCTAAGCACTTCCCCACTCTTTCGTCTCTTCTGCCTCCTGAGCACCTTGGTGTCTTTCCTACCTGCCCGTCACCACATTTCATGCCACCTGTCTCTAGGTGAGTATCATAAATGTTGTTTACTTAAGCCTTTCCTGTGTCTCCTCTTGTGATCATGCCTGACTAATCATCACATTAAAAAATACAAATACTTTCTTTTATAGAGGCCAGAAAATGACAGAAAGTCAAGGACAGTTGACTAGCTTTAGGCATTTCACCTAGCTTTAGTCATGGTCTCTAAAATACAAATAGGAAGACGACATTAGGTGTCCAGGCAAGTGTTTTTTTTTTCTCTCCCTTATACAAAAATATTTTTCAAGGAGAATGTATCCTCCTTTTTTTGGAGGCAGTGTAGTGAATATGTTGCCAAGAATCAATGGTAGGTATCTAATGATGCTTGAGGGAAAGACAGAACTAAAGCTGAACACCTAAAGTTAACTGGGAGGAATATGAACAAAAACCCTCCAGGATCCTAATGACATCATTGTGCTTCTAAAGTAATCAGGCCCCTTGAATCCTTGTTACGTGAGGTAAAGAATGCCCTTATTGCTTAAGTCATTGACAGCTGGATTGTTTGTTACTTGTTGTTGAAACTGTGCCATCTGGTTCTCATCATCATCTGTCCATGATGGTATTTACTAAAACATTCATCATCCTGTCATGTCCTTAGTCATCAGTGCATATGGGATGCCATTGAATCATCCTTCATTTTAATCCTCAAAGTCCCATTGAAAGAAATCATTCTCACACTTCTGCCTAGAAACCATATGAGACTGTTTAAGATCATCTACTTAGGTTATTCATATAGCCATTTATTTTTTTCTTGAGATTTCTAGCTCTTGCCTCCCACTCTCTAGTTCTACATGAAAAGCAAAATCTATATTGCCTTGACTCTTTTAAATTGTACACTTTCAGGGGTGTTTTCATCCCTCTTCGACCTGGATTGTGGAACAGGAAAATGATAACTTCTTTTGCAGAAATATGTTTTGATCTACCCACTATGCATCCATGCTCATCTCTTACCTTCAACTTAGGCATTCCTTTCCCAGTCTGAAGAGGCATTGCAATCACCTGTTCTTTCATGTCTGTCTCCAAAAGCCTATTGTTTATGCCCTGAATTATGTCCACTTTCCTCAAAGACGAATTATGTGAAATTCAAAAATTAGACTTCTTTAGACTCACTTATCTTTCCCTGGAGCAATGAGCATGGAACACTTCATGATGTTCTGTTAAAATGAGCAAGGGAGCAAGCAGGATCACAAAATAGGAAAATTTATTTTATTAATATTTCAAACTTATGAATTTGGCACACAGATTCATTCTCAACAAATTTGTTTGTTGTCTTCATTTAGTCCTAAGCATGTGGGTTGGGTGAGGGAGGCATTTCTGGTATATTTCGCAGGATACTGAAAATAGATCTATTGAAGATCATTTTCTGGTGCTGAGGGTAAACAAAACTGTTTATATTTTCAACCATGTTGAATATCACCTTAAGGCTCCTTCAGTTTGACTATGTTTCAGTTGAATTATATGCTATATTCTGCTGAAAAGACTAATTTTAGAGATATTTTATAAGGCACTGTTACAAACAGTCTTCTGAGACTGGGCTCCAATATCAAATAATTGATAACTCGAAGAAATGTAATTCCAAAGTTTTTCTAGTTAGAGACAACGTTTGTTGGGGTGAAGTTTAACTTTTGGAGAAAGTGGGAATATGGGAATCACTTAAATGGGCCTTTGGTGATAGAAGTGAGAAAGAAACATTTTTTAATTGAAATAAGGTTTTAAAACAATACCAAATTGTTCTGCATATTAATGTCGAAAATTGTTTCCCTCTGGGCAAAATTGCCTCCTTGCAGCAAGATTATTATTATGATAATATTGAAGTCTATTTTATAGAATTATGCAAGAGATTAAAGAGTTTGTTTATTTTTTTCCTCACTTAGAGTGAAAGGGCAGTTGAGAAACTAGGCTCTAGTTCCAAGGGGAGATGATTAAGGAATTTCACCCAGTTAAAAGGAAACTGACTCCTATAACTGAACAATAGCCAGGAGTCTAAGGAACAATAAGTCAATGACAATTGTGTCTTGGATAGAGTCTAGGATACACATTTTGTTTCATGTTTTTGTTGTTCTTGAAAATTCCCTACATTGCTTCCTGTTTGTGCTTCTCAAGTTCTCAGTGAAGTCTTGCTGGATTTTAAGACTAGTCTTACATATTTCAGGGTTTAGGGTTAGGTGTGTATTCATAAGGAATGTATCTATATTTTGACAACAACAATAACCAGAAGAACAATTATTGAATAATATGATAAGTGGTAACTTGCAAGGAATAGGGCAGCTTTCTTCTGTGGCTAGGTAGCTAGTCCTTTAAGTTATTAATAGAGCATGCAGGAATTCCTTGGGAAGCCTCACCCATAAAAGACAGTTCTTATTGTTACACATATAATGAGGGCTTTTATATTGCTTGTTGTAGTAGATACTCTAGTCACCATTCATTTCCTCTTTCTTCTTTTACAACAAAAAACTGATTTTAGTAAGGAACCCAGTAACTTACATGTATCCATGAGCTGTGTAATACTAAGCACAGTAATCCTAATTCTCCCTAGTACCCTCCCTTACCTACTGCAAAATATTCAACAGTTGATACTTCAAAGGCATCCACCAATTGGAATGGAGGACTGTTTTACCACTGGAGTGGAAGTATGGAGGCTTCTTGCTATGAGATACTGAATATGAGAGGGCTGCCTGTAAGAGGTGAAGAAGGAAGAAAGAAACACAAAAAGCAGCTCAACAGTCAAAGGCCGGGTTATTGTGGAGAATAAACCTGAGAGGGGCTTCTGGCCGAGTGAGGTCAGGAGCACTGTTTTACAGACTAAGAATATTTAAGAGTTTAGGGCAAGAGAGCTTATCACAGGCTTGGAATGTTTCTGTGTCTCTGTCTTGCTTATCTGGGAGGGAGAGTTTTTGTGTCTGTTCCCATACATCTTCCTGCAGCTGCAGGCACTGCCTTTCAAGCGCTACTGAGGTAAGGATCCTAGCAACATTAGGTGGATTTGCATCAGTTGTTTGACAAGTGTAGGAAAGAAGAAACACAACTTTTTTCTCACCTGTTGAAAAGTTCGTGGCTGACAACTGTATTAGTTCGTTCTTGCATTACTATGAGGAACTACCTGAGACTGAGTAATTTATGGAGAAAAGTGGTTTAATCAACTTACAGTTTGGTAGGCTATACAGGAAGCATGGCTGGGGAGGTCTCAGGAAACTTACAATCATGGCGGAAGGCAAAGGGGAAGCAGGCACTTCTTAAATGGTGGAGCAGGAGAGAGAGCGAGGGATAGGTGCTGCACACAACCAGGTCTTGTAAGAACTCTATCACAAGACAGCACTAGGAGTATGGTGCTAAGCCATTAGAAACCACCCCCATGATACAATCACCTCTTACCAGTCCCCACCTCCAACACTTGGGATCACAATTCAACATAAGATTTGGGTGGGGACACAGAGCCAAACCATGTAACACCATTATAAGAAACACAGATAAACAAGAAAAAAGCCTAACAAATTTATTTAGTAAAAATTTTGTATGACATAAGAGATTTCAGGAATGATACCCAAAGAAACAGGGAAAACTGTATTTTTGTGCTTAAGTTTGATGATTGGAAAGTCATGTAGAAGTATGACTGCACAAGAGAGAATATGATATAATGGTAACAACTGAGGTAAACTTGCCAATGCCTGTTTGCTCAGATTCTTCTTTGCATTTGTATGTCTTTATTCCTTTCCTCAGGGTATAGGACAGGACACCTGTCACATAAGAGGCTCTCAGAGGAGAAGGGAAGGAGAAGGTCAGATCTTGCATTTTCAGTTTTCTCAATTTCCTTCAGCTTAAAATATTCACTATGCCAAGCTGCCATGTTTTAAGTCATTGTGTTCTGAGCCCCACAAGAAGGAATCCATAGGTATTTCAATATTTAACAAGTGGAAAGGCCACATGTTGGTACAAGTCAGATAAATATCAGCCCTGCTCAATTCCCCTTACCAGGAAATAGGGAGTTGTTAGAGCTGTAGTTAATAAGGTGTGAGGGGGAGGAGGGGGAGTTTGCTGAGCAACTTTTAGGGAATGAAAAAGGGTTGAAAAGAAACACATAATAAGATACAACTCCCCACACCACACACACACACACACACACACACACACGCACACAGTGAGAATGAATACACACATATATATGGTGGATGTTCTTGTGTTTTTATGTACTAGGAAAAACTGTAATAGTCATTTTGTGATTGTAAAGAGAGATGGCCAAGGACAACATTGCTAGAGTATAAAGGGGGAACAAGTTGGGAACATTTAAGGATGTAAATTTAAATGTTGAATCAAATAAACCTGTAGGTACTTTTCCTGTCATAGGAATGTCTGTTATGAAATACTATGAATTTCTGGGTTTATTTTTGTAAAAGTAACTGTAAATAGACATATTTTCCTGTGTTTTTTGCTGCCTAGCATTTCTTTATTAATAGAGCTGGATATCATAGGAAGGGATGAAAGACGGTTAGAGATACAGTGCTATTCCAAGGATTAGTCAAGTGAGGTTTACAGAACTTGTGAAAAAGGTTTAAGGCATAGCTGGAGAAACGCATCTCAGCTAGCTCCCTCTGCAGTCTACCAAATCACATACATAGCAGCAATGTTATTAACCATGGCAAAACATTAGTATAAATAAAAGTAAGTACTTAATCACTAAAATGTAAGTAAAAGTTGAGTAATGATTATATTTTATTTTTAATCTGTTATTTCATGACCCAAATTTTATACCTAAAAGAAAAATTTCAGCTAATATTTCTAGATTATAAGCCTTCATAAATACTTATATATAAAGAGAAAACTTGATAACTGATATTGTATGCAGTTATTGTTTATCAATTCACTAGCATATGAATGTGTAGAAAGTAATCTGTAAAATGATTCATAAAAATCTTTTAAATAATAATTTAATTAATAGAATAAGTCACATAAAATGTATGAGGAAATATTCTCATTTGCCTATTTGTTATTTAGGTAATAAGAAAGGAAATATTTTTTCTTTATCAATTATAAAAAATGTCACATATACTTTTCTGTTTTAAAAATATGTTCTTAATGTATTATTTACATTTTAATTTTTTAACCTTCATTATATTTTAATTATATTTAATTTTTAAAAGGGCAGACAGAATGTCTATGTGACCAGAGAAAAAAGAATGGCTTCTTATTTAGCTTTCTTTTAACCAAAGTAAAACAGACCAAAAAAAAAAAAAAAAACAAAAACAAAAACAATATGCCAGAGCAAAGAGAATAAGATAAATAAATACAAGTGCTACATAAATGCAATTATGTGTGTAAGAATTCAGAGTGAATATTTTTTGAAAATACAAACAATCACAGAGTCTCTAAGTTGGGACCTGTATGAGAACAACATACACAATTATTATCTAATACATTGAATTATAGTTGCTTATGCATAAACAATACTAAACACCTTACAAATATGTATTTCAATGTGTAAAATGCTATGGATTAATGACTGGCTTGTTCTCAAAATAAAGATTCCTATCCCAGTCTTCTATCAATTTTATTAAATCACAATTAACATATGTTCCTGATTTCAGAGCAAAGAACAATTTTAAGAAACAAACATTTATTAGTCGTATGATTTTCTGCCTCTTCCAAGTATAACTCTTCCCAAAGAAAATCCTTCAAACATGTGTCTGATTTTAGTAGAAGTTTGTTGGCCAATTGAACCTCTAATTTTTACATTTTTTGTGTAATAGGACATCTTCATATGTTTCCTTTCTGGTTAAAGCCATTTTTAGTATTTTTTAATTCTTTCTATTGGCTGCCTAAAATTTTGTGGTAACTGTTGTGCCTTTTTTTCTCCTTGAGAACACACATAGAAATAAGAAATTCCATGGCAAAACTGTGTTGAAATTTTTTATATCTTCCTTTAGCCAGTGGCGATGACTCTCTCCTGAGTGTTCACTTTTGATTCAGTTGGATTACTAATTTATATTAGCAAACACCACATGAATAATGTGTGATTGGCTCATTTTCTGAAGTTTAATAATATTAATCTTCAAATTAAGTTGGACAAAATAGTTCATATTTTGTCCAATTCAAACAATTCTTCATTTCATAATCACAGTAAATGGTTGTTTCATTTTTATCTAAGTCAAAAACTTAGTGTTACGATTGATACCTCTATTTCTCTAATTTACAAATCCAAAACATAAGTAAATACTGAGGACTCTACCTTCAAAATACGTACAGATTCTGACACTCAAAATCTCTCCCTAAACACTACCACCCTCATAAGGACCCAGAGAGGCATGAGGTACTGGATTATTCCTTAGTCTCTTTCCTGTTTTCAAATTTGTGTGTTTACAGTCTATGATCAGTAGAGCAGCTAAAATCATCCTTTAAATTTGTCAAAGTCACCCCCTTGCTCAACACAAAACTGTCTATTAGTTCTGTATCACACACAGACTAAAACAAATAACCTTACACTGGCCTAGAAGAACTTCACCACACTTTACCTGTGACTTTACTACTTCTCTCTTTTTCACTCTGCCTAACCACAACAACCATCCTTGCTGCTGCCCAGGATCCCCAACATCATTCTACACTACTGAAGGGTCTTTGTATTTGCTCTTTTCCCCAGATAGCCACAAAGTTTTCTGCTTCTGATCAAATGTCAGCTTTCCTTGACTACCCAATACAGCATAGCAATTTGTCCCTAACCATAGAAATACCTATTTTCCTTACCTTGATTTGTGTATAGTGTGCCACTCACCAGCTGGCACAGTATATATTTCTTTGGCTCCCATTTTATGACTTGCCTTATTTTATTAAAATGAAATCTTCACAAGGACAGTCTTTTACCCTTTAATGTTATGCTCCCAGAGCTTATTGCTGGACTTGGCACATAGTAGGCACTCAGCTATTTATTGAATGAACTTCACAGTGATTAAATAAGTATTTCTTCCCCCTGGCTGCCACCTCCCTAAAGCTTAAAATTTAATGGAAATCTTAGACTCAACAATTGAGTTTCTCTCAGTAGCATTTTTATTGTATTAATATACCCAATAGTATTTCATCATCACATCCTGTTCTGAGTAAGTTTATAGGTGTGTGATTATAAAAAAAAGTCTAGTATTTTTGTTGCTGTTGTTGTTAGTGTGTGCATGAATAAAGTTGTATAAATTGTAAGAATAAAAATATAACTGTTGTTTTACCAAAGGAAATAAATGCAAATATAATGCAGTACTTCACTGACTTACAAATATATTGTCACTGTAATATGAAGATAAATGTATGTGTTGCATAATTATTTGCTGTAAAACATTTTAAAAACATCATCAAACAGAAAAAGCAGCCGATCTCTGTAATGTCAGTCTGCATCACATTATGCATTATCAACAATACTGGAAAATTCAAAATAGAATATTATGTGGCTTGTCTTATTTATAAAATACTAAAAGACATTTGGTTTATTTAGAATGCAACTAATCACTTCAGGTTCTTAATGAGAGAGAATGGAGCTGTCTCAATTTCCTAATATTAAGTAGCTATATTTACCAATTTTCCTGAGAAATTCTGAGGCTTACCAATGTATCCCAATCTCTAACCACAGAGAATGAGCTTCCTTAGATCATGATTGGAAGATGTGCAAACATAGAGCAATAACCTGGTTCATTCCAGGAAATGTAGGAAAGGATATGTATGACATAGGCCATTAAAGGGGAAAATACTTTTCAGAAAGTGTCACTTAGCAAAACAATTACTTTTATTAAAAGCATATACCCTGAGTTTTTTCTCATTACAATAGTGACTCGTGTGATATGATAAGAACAGAAAGGTGCAGAGAAAATAATACTTACTCCACCCAAGTATAAACATTTTCAACAGTTGGGTAAATATTCTTTTAATTATGGGGTGTGGAGTGGTAAAGATTAGTCATAATGTATGTAATTTCATAATAGACTTTTACCATTTAATAATATAAGTTTTTTGCCATATTATTAAATGTTCTTAATTAATCATTGTGAAATGCATTGCTAGTTTCATATGATTAAGCCATGGATTTGAATAGGTAAGATATAATAGTATGGGGGTGGAGGAATGGGGTGATAAGAAGCTGATAGCTAACTCCATTTTATGTACATATCTACATCATCATTTTAGGGGTTTTCTCACTCAGTTTAAATATTCCATTCCATTAAATATTCCTTTGGGCAAATAGTTTTTTTCTAAAATTCTCAACAGCATCCATCAGAAATCTTACTCTTTGAATCTCTCAGAAATATAATCAATTCAAACTAGGATCACTATGGCTATTTTTAAGAAAACATTGGTGATTATTACCATCAGATTCTTTATTTGTCACATACCAAAGCAGTGGCTGAAATGAATGATCCTATCATCAGCTTTCCCTTCTGTCCCCTCTTTACTTTTATCCTGCTCTTTCCTTGTGCTTTTGAGGGTGATAGTGGGGAGCAGAGAATTACCAGTCTCAGTAAAGAAATATTCATATTTGGTGAAGAAAGTCCTAAAATGATAATTCAGACATCTGGGTAAAAAAAATGAGTTAGGTATTATCATCCCTGATTTCATCATGGTAGCAATGGGCCTTGCTAGAAAAAATATAAAATAAAATAAAATAAAACAAAACAAAACATTGTCCAGACTCCCATGAAGCTGCAGTTTCGTCTCAGGTATCAGTGAGAGTCTATGGAAATATTTGGGCATATTTTGTTTTCTGATATAGGCATCCCTCTTTTCTCCTTGTTGTTTGCCTGTTCATCTAATGTTTGTAACCAGTGCTATAAGGCAGAAAGTCACCATGAGACAGGTGACCATGAGTTTTACAGCATTCATTATGGATGGTAGAGCAGAGAGACAGAAGAAGTCTGTAAAATGATGATCTCAAGACACTAATGAACTATCCCAGGATTTCCTAACTCTGACCTTTTTAAATTAAAAAATTAATTTTCTCTTTCTTTAAGCCAATTTTATCTGTTAACTACTTCATGTAGCTGCAGGCAATTCTCAACCCTTCCAAACTCACTACGTTTTTAAAAAAATCTTATTCCATAGGTAAAAACAACCAAAGAAAACTCTCATACACCATGAAAATTTTCTCTAAGAAAATTGTAAAATAATCTACATTATATAATTATAGTATAATCCCTTTTTGTTGTCTTACCTAAACCCAGATCAAAACTGCACATATCGTCTTTCCTGCAGCTTTCTTAAGAGACTATGTTATTTTCCCTCCTCCCTCATATGACAGAATTTGAGAGAATCTGAGATGAAACTCCCTCCTCTTGCCTCACTGCTCCTTCTGCACAATGACATGTCTAACTATATAAACAAATGTCTTCTCTCCTTTAACATCATGCAGTTTGACTATTCTCAAATCTATTCTGGTTTCTGTTTTCTTCTGATTCCTTCTGCTTGGCCTCCAATACTAAAATGATACAAATGACTGCAATATTCACATATATGACAACTATGCAAATTATTAGATTCTCATTACATCCAGATGTTCATGCTCATTGTACTTCAACCATCTAGCCCCATATAAGCAAGCCAATTGTCAGCACCATCCATAGACTTCATTTCTAAACATTTAAACTGAAGATTTACCAGATTTCTACTTTCTCTCCTACTCATACCTATGGGCCAATACTAAAACTTCTCTCTTGTTGATAGTATCATTATTTTTCCTTTATTCCTGTTTGATATATGCTTAAAAAAAACAACAAAGATCAATAAAACTGTCTGCTTTCTCTTCCCTTCTATAGCCAGGTTACTTAATAGTTTACCAAGGAAAGTACATAGTGTGTTGGCTATGCTGTCGCTAAATTATAACCACAAACCACAATTGGGCCTAAAAAACTGTCTGTAATTCTTATGCATATTCTACACCATGTGGCTTTTCCATAGCAAGAAAGACAATAGGAGCAATTAATTCTGCTTGATGATAAAATTTTTCTGATATTCCTCAGTGTTCCAAAGGAAGCACGTTTATCTGCATACGCACACACACACACACACACGATCATAACATTTTTGAAGATAAAAATGTAACAATAAAAAGAAAAATAATTATGCATATACATATATGTTATATATTATGTGTGTATATGTGTGTGTGTGTGTATGGGTGTGTATATATTATATATATATATAATTTTCAGAAAACTGTATGCTATCTATTGTACCTAAAATATATGAGATTCATTTAACAGATGAAACTGGACTATGTATGGGAGATTTGTTTACCATCCTTGTGCATTTTCCATTTTAGCTTATTAGAAACAATAAGCAAAGAGAAAAAAAGTTTGTGAACAAAGGAATAAAAAAGATTATATATGTATTAAAATAGCTTCTTCTCACAAAGTAAAAAATGCTTTTAATTTGTAAATATTTCTAAAATACAAAAAAGCATACAGTAATAAAAAAGCAGGAAGATAAAATTATCAAATGGAGTCATATTTTGGTAGGTAATCTAATAGTTTCATGTGTGATTACAAAAAGTAGAACATATTGGACTTTTTTTAACTTATTTTTTTCTGTATGAATTTATCATAACTGTATTTCTTCATAACTATGTAAACTAATGCATATGTTAATTAATAGGTTTAATCATTCCATCATGTGTATATACTTCAAAACATCATGCTTTATATAATAAATGCATATAATTATATTTGACAATTTAAAAAAATTAAAATTAATTCTAAATGCACAGTTTAAGGATGTCACTCTGTTCCATAATATCAATATTTGAAATAAAGTTACACAATCTACTATTGACATCAGTTGGTTCCAGGTTATAAATATTAGGAATAATGTTTCATGAAGTTTTTATATATACATAACTTTATGCAATTGATTATTTGTTTAGAATTAACACATTTATTCTGCTTAGAATAAATGTCTAGTAATAATATTTCAGGCTGTTAATACTAACAAATAATTCTTCAGGAAGGTTGAAATAATATGTCCTATAATATACATTTGAAAACTCAATATTGTAAAGATAGCAATTCTTCCAAGATTAAATTATAGCACCAAAATAATCTGTTACAATTCAAAATGGATTATTTTCTAGAAATTGATGAGGTGATTTTAAAATTATTTGGAAAGACAAAAGATCAAGAGTAGCCAAAGCAACTTAAAGAAATGAACAAAAAAGTTGAAGTACTTCAAAATTTATTATAATGCTACATTAATCCGGATAGTGTAGTCTTGCCAAAAGGTTAGACAAATAGGTCAATAGAGCAGAATGGAGAATACAGAAATAGACCCACTTATAGACGGTCAAATGATTTTTAAGGATGCCAAAACAATTCAATGGGGAACAGAAAATCTGTTCACCAAATGGTGCTGGAACAAGTGAATATCAACATGGGAGGAGAAAGGAAGCCAGCCTCTATTTCACACAATGCACAAGAATCAATTTTAGCTGTATCAGAGTCCTAAATGTAGAAAATATCTAGCATAATGTTTTAGAAGATAAATAAAAATGGTATCTTTAGGACCTATTGTTTAGCAAATATTTCTTAAACCAGAGAAAGAATCATAAAAGAAAAAAGACAATTCATTAAAATTACAAACTTCTCATGAAAAAAAAACTACAAATGAAATGAATAGATATGCTAAAGACTAAAAAGTACTTGAAAACAAAATACATTATGAACTACTGCAAATCAATTACAAAAAGAAAAACAACCCAATAAAAATGGGCAAATGACTGAAAAGCATTTCACAGGAAAAAATAATAAGGAAGAGTATGAAAAAGTGTTCAACATCATTAGTCATCAGAGAAATGAGAATTTTAAAATCACAATGACACAGCAAAACCTACCCACTTAATTGATTGGCTTAAACAAAAAAAGATGAACATCTTCAAATACTGTATTATATTAGACTGCGACCCACATACACTGCTGGTAGAAGTGTAAAATAGTACAACTGCTTTGGAAAACTGTTTACGATTTCCTTAAAAGTTAAACATTTATGTACCCTATAATCAGGATATTCCAAGTCTAGATGTTTATCCAAACACACTTAAAATGTGTCAATATTATAAGATTATTGATAATAGCCAAAAAGATAGTGATGACCCAGATATAAATCAATAATAACTGGATAAATTGTTGTCTAGGAATACAATTAGTAATACTCAGCAGTATTGAGGCATATACTAGAAATATGAGTGTACTAAAAACTGAGGATCTCTAGAAATTTGAAACAACATGATTGAATCTTAAATGTGTTAAGTGCTAGAATCTAAATACCAAAATTGTACAAACAAAATCAAACAAAATATACTGTGTGATCCCATTTATGTAAAATTCTTGGCTTTAATAATGGACATGGATTTTCTACTTGTCAGCATATGATTTAAAAAACAATGGAACAGAAAACCAAATACTCCATATTCTCACTTATAAGTGGGAGCTAAATGATGAGAACACATGCACACAGAGAGGGGAACAACACACACTGGGGCCTTTTGAAGAGTGGAGGGTGGGAGGAGGGAGAAGATCAGGAAAAATAACTAAATCAGAAAAAATAACTAATGGGTACTAGGCTTAACACCTGGGTGATGAAATAATCTCTACAACAAACCCCCATGACACAAGCTTACCTGTGTAACAAACCTGCACATGTATTCCAAACTTAAAAGTTAAAAAAAAGACATATTTCAAATATTTTATAACCTGCTCTCCAGCAACAGTGTTAGCCATTGTAGCAGCAGTAAAGGCAGATAGTAGTGATTGTTTCTAGCAAAGCAAGTGAGGTTAGTGGTGGCAGCAGCGTTCTGACAAGATTGTCCCATCTCTGTATAGTACACTTCTGTAAACACAAAAAATGTCAAGTGCTCGCAGTACGGATGTCCCAAAATTTCATTAATTAGAGTAGTATTTCAATGCTATGAATCTTTTAAAAAATTATTAAAAACTTCCAGAAGCTCAGCAACAGATGTTTCTCAATTCCTGGTCACCAAGACTAAGATTCAGAGGAAACTGTAATAATGAGATTCTGAAGTGCTGGAAGAAATATCTGTGGAAAAAGCAAACAAGTGTCTAGCACAGTAGTTGAGTTTAGCACTCATTTCATGAAATGTTTCTACAGATATGCTAATTACTCTAAGTCGATCATTACTAAACATGTATCAAAATATCACAGTATACACCACAACTATGTATAGTTATTATGTCAAATAAAAATAATAATAAAAATGTTTCTAACCTGAGGACATGTTCAGAAAAACCTTTCTACCTTTTTATTCAATTTCCATAGTTTCAATATTTCATTACAAGACTGTATTATCCAGTCCTTGCATTGGCATAGGGCTGAAGTCATGGGTAAAACTTTTCTAAAATGTTACATAATTTTTTTCTAGATCGCATCCTTCAAAGCTATGAAATGCTCTTTTTTATTAATACATTAAATTTTTACATGTAGATTTTACCTTCTTGAAGTCAAAGTCCTCCTTGAACCTACTTCCCATCAAAGGGATCATTAAATCACATATAGTAAACTTCCACTCAACTTTTCCACCAGAACATCAAACTCTGGCAACTCTGAACTGTGACTCACTTGCCTTGCCATCCTGCTGTAAAATCACTTGCTAGTCACTCCCATTGGCAAAAAAAAAAATAAAAAATAAAAAATGTATAACACTATTTCAGTCCTCCTGTATTTATTTTTGTGATTATTTGTGGCAATGATAAATTCTTGTTCTTAGATACTCTTCTTTTGTCTCTCAGAGGTCAAAGGAGCGTGAGGGTTGATTGCTAACTGGACACCAGTAGGTAGTACTTGTGTTGATGCTTCAAGAACAGCCTTCTCTTACACCTTTACTCTCATTTCTGTTTTTCACACTGCTCTGTCACCTAGCTAGAGTGCAGTGGCACAATCACAGTTCATTGCAGCTTTGACCTCCTGGGCTCAAGTGATTCTCCCTCCTCAGCCTTCTGAGTCAGTGGGACTACAGTTATGTACCTCCACGCCTGGTTAAATTAAAACAAAAATTATAGAGATGGGGTCTTACTTATTGTCCAGGCTTATTGTAAACTCCTGGGCTCAAGTGATCCTGCCACCTCAGCCTCTCAAAATGCTGATATTAAAGGTGGGTGTCACTGCACCCAGCCTATTTTTAATTCTGGAATCAGGCAATGACTATTTCTATAAACTAGAATGAGTCTTCTGATGAGCCAAGCAGAGGAGGTTGGTTTTATGGGCAGAAGAGGACTGAAGAAAGCAGAAACAGGATTGGTAGTTTAAAGGTTATTTCTCATGTAAAGGTTAAGGCAGAGACTTCCTTATCAGGCTGGCTGTTTCTCAGGAGTTCAGATGAGGATCTTAATTTCAGCTTGGTGGCCTGGAATTTCAGCATGCATAACTCCCTTTTGGCATGTTCTGATGGGCCTAGAGCAGGAGCTTACTCCAAACCTATGACCTCATATAAATTTTATTTAACATACATACAATCATAACATGAATTCATTTTATTTGGATTCAAATAAAATAATTCAAAATAGAACAAAACAGAAATACATATCTAATATTAATATTATCTCTAGGATTTTCCACGTATGTGTATATATATGTGTGCATTTATATGTGTGTGTGTTATAGATGTTGATGTGTGTATGTGCTTGCCTGTGCATAAACATTTCACATTTTAGAGGATAATATGCAAAATGTATATATATATATATAATGAATTCTATATATAATGAATATATATATATAGTCATTAACCATTTCAAGCTGCTATGCAGTCTCTAAGTCCTTAGTTATTTTGTCAGCTAAGAAGTTCTAGTCCGAAATGAAATCCCTCACCTTCACCAATGGGCTGACCTTATGAGCTGTAATGCTAAAAACTCAAGATATCTTATGCTTCTTGTATCTCATAAACAGGTTTGATAATGGAGAGCCTGCAGAGTTCTCATAGAAACCATTATTTCAATAACAAGACTTGATAATAACACAGAAAAGCAAAAGGATAGCTGACCCTCTATTAGCACTGAATAAGAAAGCCTTTATTATTAATGGAGAGTCACTAAGATTAAAAGATCAAATTCTTTTTTCTATTTACCTATTTTGTGATTATGATCCATTTCATTTAAACTGCCTTTCTTAACTCTAGTGTGAAAATGGTGCATAATTGCAATTGAGCCACTCATTTGGGGCTGGTACACACAGGGTTCAGGTTACCATCTGGTACTAAGTTAATTATTTTAAACCACTGAGGTTTATTTATTTCACTATTTGCTACCTCATCTTTGCATTTGCACATTTGCCTAAAAATATTCTGCTATCATAAAAGGCTTTGTCTGTTTCCAAAGATGTTGATTGATTTTGTCATATAGTTTATCTTTTCAGAAACAAGACTCTGTATTGTATTACTATCAGTATAAAATGTTTACCTGGTTACTTGAAAAGCCACTTAGTCTTTAATTTTACTGCAATAGTCACATCATATGTGTAGAATAAATGTCCATGTTATGGTCACATTTGTTTATTTGTCTCATGAACAGGTAACATTTATATTTGGGAAATTCTGTTAGAATGCTTGTGTTTATCACTGAATGTAGAGAATGAATGAATTGACTAGGAATGAGCCCACTCTACCAGCCATATATAGAAATGCCATGGATGTCACAAATCACACATATTCAAGAAAACATCATTCTGATTATTCAAGAAACTGACATTTCATTATGATAAAAATCTTTTTATGGGGCCTAGAAGAGTTATATAAAAATTCAGGAATGACTGTCCAAATATTGCCTAATATTTTGTGTTAAAATAATTTAAATCACTATGAAATTCATGTTAGGTAAACATAAACTAGTAGTTGTTATTAAAAATAAATGTGCTTTATTCAGTACTGCTGTTTTAAAAAATGCAAGTTCTAATTCATGTAGTATTGGCAACAATAACTTTCATATAAATGTGATTAAATTTTATTTAGTGTCACTTTTAGAAATCACAAATCTCAGTATTCAAAAGCTGCTATTAAAACAACCAATGCAATAGTATTAATAATGATGTTTAAATATTTAGGTTGCAAATTGAAGGTGATAAGCACTTCTTTGTTTTAAGCTATGTGATACAAAATAAATATGTCTTAAAATTTTTCTCAATGCTAAAATTAGCTTATAGATTCTTTTATCTAGGAACAGTCTAATGAATCTCACAAATGCACCTTTGTTTTAGTTTAAACAGCCAAGCATAATAAATGAAGTAACGTGGTACTTGCTGAGTGTATTCAAGGTAATTGAAATTTGCTTTTATAGACACAAACTGTTGACCTTTGAGGAAGCTGCTGATGGGATTCTACTGGTCTTTATTGGCACTAAAAGAGAACACTCTCCTTTTACCCTGCTTATTTTTTATTTCCAACATGAAAAAATTTGCATAAAATTAATTGACTTAGCTGTATTTTTATTATCTTACTATATTAGGTAAGAAGAAGATCTTAAGTTATAACAGTAAAGCCCTATAAAATCATAATCAAATACAGATAGAACCAAATACATCTCATTAACCTGTAATTAAATCAAATTTTGATCTGCAGGAAGATACAAGTTTGAAGATGTACATATATCATTGATTAGGCAAATGCTTCCAATGTTCTCTTCCAAAGAACATGCAAAATGAATACTTATTAGTGTACAGTATGTAAAACAATCAATCTGAAATTCAAATATTTTATTTTTGAGCATGTGCAAATTTGCATCAATTTCTCACGAATATTATTCTGTGAAGCCATATGCTTGAAAAGAACCTCTAATACCCACATGATAATTTACCTTTTAAGAAAAATTTCTTTAAATATCTTTTTAATCCTCACTGCTCCTATAAACTGTATTAAATAACTTTAAATTATTAGAATTAACTCAACTTTACCATGGAATTTAAATTGCTGCATTTTTTAACAAGTTTTTTTTTTCTTGAATACTTGCTTATTATTTCCCAATATGCTTATATTCTCCTGATTAAATAAGGCCTTCCTACAACTCCTTAACAGGAATTAATCTGTTACTTCCCTCTCCTTTCAAGGTTCTTTTTTTAACCCTAATTATAGTTCTGAGTGGAGTAGGTCTTATTTGTTAAGCCCCTGGATTAAAAGAAACTCTCATTTAGACGTATTTGTATCCTCCAGGAATGCTTAAACATAATAGATGTACAATAAATATTTATTAAATTGCATTGCAAATTAAGAGTCTGATTCTTTGGAATTACTTCTGCAAAGAGTAATGCATTGTAATCATCTTGATACCTAGATGTTTCAACAGCACTAAATAGGAATGTGTGCATACATACTTGAATAATGAATAAACAAAGAAACACTCATTGTCTGTAAAGTAAAAAAAGTTATTACTATATATAAATGCATTTATTTATTTATGATTTATTGTAGAAAAAAAAGGGTGGTAATATTGTCTAGAACAGAACTATTAACCTTAGCACTATTAACATGTGCTGAATAATTCTTTGTTTTTGGTGACCATGCTGTGCATTGAAGGACATTTAGCAGGAGATGTCCATAATGTCTTCCAGATCATGGCAATTGAAATGTCTCCGCAAGCCAAAGATCTGCAGGCATCAATATTGTCTCTGGTTGAGAGCCACTGGTCTAGGAAAAGACGCCATTGATCAATCCTCACTCTCAAAGTTGAGCTTTTTACTGCAAAAACTTTCCCTTGAACTTATCAAATGATTGAACAGGTCAATTAGGCAGTTTTCTCTAAAGAAAATCACAAAGAAAGAAGAAATAGAAAATTATCTTTATCTCTAATCATTGAGACTATTAGGAAAAAAAAAAGATAATTAAGAAATTGCAATATGATTCCTAATGTGACCACTCTCTGAGTTTTGGACCAAAGTAAGGAGACTTGTGAGGTGGTTTGGGAGATTTTCTAAGGAGAATGGGCTTTTCCCATCTAAATGTTTGGGACTTTGAATAACAATGGACTTACAAGCTGTCCCTGACAATTAAAGTGTGGCTGTTTTAAACTAAGCTTGTTGGTGGAAAGTGGGTAGACAGGAGGAAGGCCAGAGTTTAGCTTTCTAAAGTCTCTTTCGTTTCTTGCTTGTAGTTTATGGGAAGCTGAATTCCCTGCAGAGGGTATGTAGAGAGCACGAAGGTAGGGACTCAGTGGGCATATCAAGGAATCTGTCAAGGTAAGAAGGGGTAGCCTGAACCAACTGCCAGTCAACTGTTGAGTCCTTGAAAAACCACTAGGAAAACAAAAACAAAAACAAATGCAAACAAATAAAACTTGATCACCCATAGCTAAGTTCTTAGATTTAATGTGGTAAGAGAAAATATCAATTTGACAGAGTCTTATTACTATCTCAAAAGGAAAAAATTCATGGGAAAATATTTTATTTGGACTTAGGAGGAGACATATTATGATATAATAGTTTTGAATTGGTGAATAAAGTGAACACCCTGACGTAAGAATCTTGAAGCAAATCCTGACGAACTGTTCGTAATAAACTATTTGAGGTGGTTCGCAGTGTTATTATTCAGAAGCAATTATTTCCTGGAGACAGTAACTAAGTTTCTTTTGCTTATTCTCACTATTGTGTAAAATCGGGACAGTCAAATTATGTTGGTTTCAGTTCTTATGCCAAATGGAGGACAAGGAAAGAAGCAGATGGGTGTCTAGTGAGAATCAAGAAAGGGCTATGTTTTCCAGAAAAGAAGCTAAGACATTCCTATCGTAAGGGAGACAGGACTTAAAGTAAACCATCCTAAGATTTTAGCAACAGTAGGCAGCAAAATTCTCAAGGATGGAATCTGCCTTACCTCAGGCCCCCATCCCAGGGGCAGGTTAAAATCACATTAGAACAGAGACCCAGGGTGGGGCGTGGAGTGTTGTTACTGAGAATACTGTGTGGATTTCAATATCTGTGTCTCCTCAATCCACATATGATTTTTGAGGACTTACTACACCAATTCCCAAACAACATTTTGGGTAAAGAGTGATGAGAGAGGGTTCAGAGAGGAAAATCTGAGAATTTTACCTAAAGAACTGTTTGAATAATTGTACCACATTAAGCTTCCAGGATCTGGGCAGCATTTTGTTCTTCTCCACTGCTATACAGAGAATCCATCCAAACAATTTTAGGAATCAAAAAGACATATTTTATTTGTTTATCTGTGTACGATGTGTTTTAATTTGTGAAGTCTTATAGTAAATAACTGTTAATTGGAGGAACAAATGTTCATGTGATCTATAAGGAGTGATGAAGAAACACACACACACACACACACACACAAATAGTGTCAGAGGCCTCGAAGCTACTCTGAAATTTAAAATCAGAGAGAAAATAATATTCTAGAGAAAGGAAAATCTAAGCAAGTTATGAAGATAAAAACCAACTGGCAATTTTAATATTTAGGTCTTGTCAGGAAAACAGAAGCTATGTTAGAGATCTCATCTGGAAACACTTAAAACAGGGAGTTGGTTACAAATTCACTGAAAATCAGGACAGTAAAACAGTGATGGCTGGGAAAGAAAAAGAGAAATGGTTTGCTATCCCAAAACTGGTGAGCTACTGCCAATTGTGATCTTGAGTCCACAAGCTTGAATGTGGACTCATCTGGAAGATAATAGAGGATGAGGGTGATCAGATATGAAGGATGTGGGGGGGTTGTTATTAAACCGATTTAGCGGAGTTCTTGATACAAGATAATTTTACTAGGAGGTACACACATGGATGAGCTTAGGAGAAAATTCACGAGGCTGACTAACATTGGGTTGAGCAAAAAATCTTCGCCACTTGAAGAAAAAAATTAAAATTTCAAGAGAAATATAATACTTCATTTAAAATGCCATTGATGTTTACAACAGTACATTTTACACAATATTGTGGTATTTTAAGGATAATAGAAATTATCTAGCTATAACTAGCTATAATGATTTTCTGCATATGAATAGGCTAAAATAGCAGCATTAATATCTTCTCTACCAAAAAAAAAAATTACTTAGTCACATTTAGCTTGTCTTATTTTCCTGTACTAAAAAAGAAAAAAAAATAGTATGGTGACTATAGCCCACTAAAATGTGATCTAGTTTTTTGTTTCATTTTGTTTATTTTATTTTTATTTTTTTCTCTGGAACATAATCTTATTTTATTTTGCAAAATATCTGGTTTATATTACTCCAACCATAAACAAAATTGTAGATGTTTACAATAAAAATGCAAAATTTAAATGCAGAAATAGGACATGACAGTTAATATTAGAATGGATTTCAAGTTTCGTGTTCCATTTAGAATCATAGAAATTGTAAGTATTTTCACTTAAACTTTGTTTACAGTATTATGATTTTTTTTCTTTGACTCTTACTTTTGGTAAACACAGATTTTAACAACTGTTGAAGACCAGAGTATGCCACCCCCAAATATGAAGTATTGTTGAGTCGAAGACAATTAAGAATAAGCAGATGCAGGAAAGGTCTCTACCCTCCTATTTGCCTAAATGAAGGATGTCAACTTTCAACAATGAGATTTAGAAAATATGATTAAGTAGAGAGTTTATTCAAGTTCAAAACTTGAGGATCTCCGCTTGGGTAACAAAGACTCTAAAAGAATGGGGGTCAGTGCTCCAAAGTGGGAAAGTTATAGTTTCACTTACATAGGCAGAGATAGATAAATTTAACAGAGTTGCGGCATTTTCCACACAAGGCCAATACATACATCATAGTGATTTAATTGATTACAGTTTGCTACATCACAAGTAAGATTGCTTTAACATTACTTAAAAAGGGGTATTAGACCCATGGGGGCTCTTTTCCATGGTGCTTTTAAGTCTTTCTTAATCATCTACAATACAAGAATAAGAAAGGAAGTTAAAGGAGAATTTGCAACAACATGTCACGTGACTCAAGCCACAGCGTCACGTTCCTCTCGAGGCTCAAATAATTTAAAGTTCTCCCTAGAAGGGAGAACAAATCTTAACTACTGAAAACAGCTTTAGATGCTTATCATCTGAAAAAGAGACAAGAAAAAGAGACTAGCAAAATCTACATTACTAGGCTTTAGTAACTAGCCTTTACCTGCCATTTGTTGGCCTTCTCAAAAGTTACAAGTCCTCTCTTTTTGTCTTGTCACTTCTGTAAAAATTTACTGTTAAAGAACAAAGGTTGACAATGCTGTATAAATTGGAATTCAAAACTACCTCTTTGGTAACTCCTCATTCCCTGGGTGTCTCCTCTGTATATATGAAATGTACATATTATACAGGTGAAGAGAATTTTTCCTCTCCCTATGAGTGATTGAGTTTGCTGAAATAAACTGACAATAGGCAGATCAACAGGTGAAAAGGTGTAAAAATGTATTAACATACTTAAGCACAGGAGCCACACAAAATATGAGAGTGGAAATAGGGCCAGTTAATTGAAGCTTAACCACTCTTATAGCTGCCCAGTGGGTTCACCTTGCTCCCTGCCTAGACAGAGCCAATTTATCAGGACAAGGGAACTGCAATAGAGAAAAAGCAATTTATGCAGAGCTGGCTGTGTGAGAGACCAGAATTTTATTATTCCTCAAATCAGTCTCCCTGAAAACTCAGAGATCAAGTGGGTAGGGCACCAGTGAGTCAGGAGAGCTCATTGGTTGGCTCGGGTATGAAGTCATAGGGAATCAAAGCTATCCTCTTATGTTGAATCAGTTCCTGGGTGGGGGCCACAGAACTGGTTGGCAGGTCCAGGTGGGGCCATCTGGTTGTCAGAAATGCAAAAACTGGCAAAGACATCTTGACAGGCCAATCTTAAGTTCATAGTAGTGATGTTATTCTCAACAGTAATTGGAGAAGTTGCACATATTATGACCTCTGGAATAATGGTTAGTAATAGTTAGAATTGCAGTCCCTCTCATCCTTACTTTGCAGCTGGTGGCCTTTCGTTCATTTTACAAGAACGGTTTAGCTTTTGGGAAGGACTATTATTTAAAGTATGAACTAAATTCCTTCCCAAGCCTAGTTTGACCTACACCCAAGAATGGATAAGGACAGTTTAGAAGTTACAAGCAAGATGGAATTGGTTAAGTCTGATATCTTTCACTGTCATAATTTCCTTAGCTATAATTTTGCAAAGGCAGTTTCACTCTTGTCACAGGGGAGAGGCAAGTGGGGAACTGTAAGCAATTTTAGAGGGGAAAGAAACTTTTAGGGAAAATAAATGGACCCAGGAAGCAGACATTATGTTTTAAATGATTCTCTGGAATTTAAATGAGTCTGAGATACAGGCAATATCTTGTGACAAACTGTCCAGGTGTGATTACATTTCTCATTCTTCTACCTGAAATAGTGACATTTCAGGGAGGGGGCAAAAGGCAATTGTGTTTTTGGTGGTAGGTATGGTTTTAAAGTAGTAAGGAAATTTCAGAGAAAAACTCCCCCTGCTGGGGGGTGGGAGGAAAACAGGAAAGGTCAGAAAGTTTTCGAGTTCCAGGCCAATTCCAAAGCCTCCCTATAGAAGTTTTAGGTGTTCAGCATACCAAAGCAACAAACTTTGTGGGTATTATTTTCTGAGACGCAACAAAATGGGTCATGTTTTGTTTTCTTTCTCTCATTAAGTCTGTCTTTTATTACAGGGGTGCTTTCTAAGAACCTATGAGAGTTGAAGGAAAAATTAATTTTCTTACCCCTATGCAACTCTTTGTAAAATAAGTGAATTTATTTTATTGAATAGCAAATTTTATTGAGATGATTGGAAAACAGCAAAATATTTGAGAAATTTGTCATTATAACAATCAATACATAGCATGAAAGGATCTAACGTAAGTGGAAAATAGCATGAAACGAGAAGGCTAATAATGAAATCCAGATTCTCTTTAATACATTCTATTTTACCATTTGACAAAACCATATCTAAAAAGCACTTAAGAGAAAATCATCTGTACATGTGATTAAGGTAAATTTAGGGGTTTAAGTGAAATGTTTGGACAAGTACCAAAACCATTTTATAAAATTTGCAATGAAACAAACTTTTGGGTGCAGCTGCAAGGTTGGATATATACCTGCATAGACTAAAATTTAACCATCTCATCTCATTTTTGAATGAAAATAAATTTCAATTACTCTTACAATATTTCTGAAATGTAAAACAAAACTTAATTTTACTTTTCCCATTTCTATTTTTAATGCCTTATTTAAGTGACAGACTCCAACAAACTATCTAAATAATGTGCTCCTGTTAACTTTCTTTAATATGCCAAATCAGTTTAATTACAGTTTCTATAAATAATCTATGCAAAATACTTCCCTGAAAAGAATGCACTTTTCCTTCTGTGTGTGGCACATTTTAATACTTAAAAGCATTAGAACAGATGTTAGGTGCCTGCTAAACTTGTTTTCAGTTTTCTTTTATTTATATGTTAATGAGAATTTAATTACTTCATGAATACTTAAACAACCTGAGGATGCCTGATATCATTAGCTTGAACATGACAAGCACCTCAAGTGACCACATGGGAAGACAAAAATTGCTTTTAGTTTACTTGAAGACAGAAAGATGAATTCATTTCACCCCCTGCTATGTTTTACCTGACACACAAAACTGAAAAAGCACAGACTCAGTCTTGCTTCAACGTGACTGAAAGGATTTCAGCAAAGCACTCAAGAGCATAAATTCTTCCTATTTGGTTTTGCTTCGATGTCTTTTAATAACTACTCTAGCAATACTCTGCTCTAAAATCTTATTTCACTTGCAAGTGTTCTGTTAAAGCAAGTCACTCTTTTTTATGTATTATTTCTATGGTAATCTTAGCAGAACTGTGAACGTTTAAAGTATTATTTATGTCACTGAAAAATGTCTCCATTTAAGCTCAATTGAAAGGTTTTATTTAGCTAAATGGTAGGAACTCATGTAAAGCAAATAACATTTGTAAATTTTTGCATATTATTTTTACGAGCACAAATGGTGAGTTAAATATAATTGCACTAAAAACATTGATTATAAAATTTTACAGATATAAATATGGATCAAATAATTCTCCATAGTGATCATATATTCATTTTAAAAAATAAATTTTTTATAACAAAATACTGTAAATTAACATTAAATATTGTCCTCTAGAAGGTGAAAAATATTCAACACACCAATATGCACTTTTATCCACTGCGTAATATCTGGAATGCAGAGGGAATTGTAAGGGATATAATAAGGATCCATTAGAGATAAAACACAGTATTCTGAAAGAGAAGAAAAGATAGAAAGTTTCAAAGAAAAAGGACTTATAAAAAAACTATTTTAAAACCATGCTTCTATATCTTTGACATGGTTAAATTTGCTATAGTTGCCTCAATGTCCTTTGTAGATTCGAAAAATTTTCATCATTTATGATTGAGAAATAGTTTCCTATATTTGAAGATATTTCTATAATTTCTGATTTATATTTTCTTTCCTTACTATTTGCTAGGAATAAAGATGATAGCTTGTAGATAAAGGTAATTTGCCTTAGAATAATATTTCTAAAATATTTTCCCAGAACAGGTTTTATTAAAACAAAACACTTTTTCAACATATGCTGACATTAAAAAGAAAAACAGCAAAACAAATAACAACCAAAAGGATTAACCAGTTTCCCTAAGAGTAGAATTTACCCAAACTTTTAGTAGAGTAATATAATTTGTGAATCTCTCTGAGGAGCCTGGATCAGAGTTTTGCACAACTTGGGCCTCGGACATGATGAGGTGGCTTGAGCTCTGGGGCCTTTACAAGTCTGGACTGGTTCTACCTAGCTGCTGTGGCCTTGAACTTCATATTTGCTTCAGCTAAAACTGCTGTGGCAAACAAATAGCACCATACTCTGCATGTGCTATAACATGGCAGCATTAGCATTCCTGGTGTTCAGTCTGCAACATTTCTCAAACTTATCTGATCAAAATCTCCCTTGCGATTATTGTACTGAAAAACACTTAGGAACTAGTAGGCAAGAGTAATTTCTTTTTCAACATTCTTTATCTTATGTGTGGAAAGGTAAATTCATTTATACTTCAATGCAATATATTTTTTTACCCCATAACAAAATACCATCAAATATTATATATGTAAAACTATATATATGTAAAACTATATATATGTAAAACTATATATATGTATATATATATACACACACATACACACACAGACACACACACACAAAGTTCACAAGAATGATTTAATACACAGAAATACCTCTTATGGAAGAAAATCAAATAGAGGACTACTAGAATTAACTTTTATTCAAAAACATCCCATATGACAAGGCTTTTAAAGAGCATTCTAACTTAGAAAAGGAGGAAGGAATGGTTTTGGGGGCTTTACTAAGGCAGATTGGAGGGTGTCACACAAGTTTCACAGAGAGGAAGACCTTCTTCTTTCTGATTTGCTGATTGCCAACCATTATTTGGGCAATTTGGATTTTACCAAGATGGATAAAGAGGAACATCTTAGAACCATGGTGGAAAATTCTCCATATTTCTGGGTCTGTCACAATTAATCAGGAAATTATATTATTGGGCCTACAGAGAGAGGAATCAAAATATTTTTATTAATACTGTAATATGCATATTTTTGTATTTTGCCAGAAATATTCAGCTTATTTGACACTTACTGGATGATTCTTGAGCTTCTTTTTCAAAACTTCATGTCTTGTATTTCATCCAAATCAGAGATTTTGCAAGTCACGACAACTAATTAATAGCTGTTATTGACAAGATCTACATATAGCCAAAAATGTAATAGAGTAGTAAGAGAAGGAGCAAAAACTATCTTAATACAAAGCAAAATATGTATCTCTGGGGCTTAAACACAAGGGGAGGAAATCTTTTTTCAGTGTTGGTTTCTGTTAAATATACCATTGTTCTTAAAACTAATTTTCATAGTATACATTCTTTAAAGGATGTGTAAATGGACTAACGATGCATTGACAAAGAAAAATTTGCACTGAACACTTGTTAAAAACAACGAGGAACTTTCTATAATAATGGTCAAGACTATTGCCATGTGGGAGACAACTTGTAATCTACTTCTTTGAAATAAAAGATGGAAGAGGTTTTAGCACCTGTGTGAGCTAGTGAAAAAATAATGAGTAAGTTGAAAAAGTTGTGGAGAAAGTTGATGAATATGATGAGGCCATCAGTATTTGCTACGTGGTGCTTATTGAAGTTAGTTTCTAACTCTTCCAGAGACTAGGAGATTGGGGACTATCTTTCTTGATGATTACCTTTCAGAGATGGCTCCCATATTCTTAAGAAAACATTTCTGAGTTGAGGAAGACTTACATCTGAAAGTGTTACCAGGGGTCCTTGCTCCCAGAGCTCCCAAGATGGTGGTGGGCCACTTCCAAGATGGTGGCAAGCCTCCTGTTCTCTGACCTGGGTTTCTTGGCCTCACGGATTCCAAGGAATGGAATCTTGGGCCATGTGGTGAGTGTTATAGGTCTATTAGAAGTCGTGGGTCACGGAAGAGAACCCTGGAACCCAGTGACTAGTGTTCAGCTCGATTAGGACGAACCCAGGCACTTAGCCCTGCAGGAACAATGGCAAGCCTTTAACCCCATTGGGAGCGGCAATGGGCGCCTCCCTGGGTTAGGAGCACAGCCGGCACCCTACTGGATCTGGAGGGATGGAAGTCAGCGGCAGGTCAGCGACGGCGGCAAAACAGCAGTGGTGGACGCGAGCAAAAACTCAGCTTGAGCCATAACAAACATGGACCAGAAGAGTGCAGTTGCAAGATTTAATAGAGTAAAATAGAGTAAAAACAGAGCTCACATACAAGGAGGGGATGCAAAGGGGGTCGCCGTTGCCAGCTCAAATGCCTGGGTTTATATCCAGATCCTTGTCCCTCCCGCTGTGCTCTCAGGAAACAGATGATTGGCTATTTCTTTACCTCCTGTTGTTGCCTAATTAGCATTTTAGTGAGCTCTCCTTACTATCTGATTAGTCAGGTGTGAGCTAAGTTGCAAGCCCATCTTTAAAGGTGGAAGCGGTCACCTTTCCAGCTAGGCTTAGGGATTCTTAGTCGACCTGGGAAATCGAGCTAGTCCTGTCTCTCAAAAGGGGCAGAGAAAGAGTCTGCAATAGCAAGTTTTCTAAGAAAAGCGAGATCCAGGTGGCCTACAGTAAGAAAGAAACATGCCTAAGCTTTAGTCAAGTTGAAGGGAACAAAGAAAGCTGTCTTGGTCAGTATCAATTAATCATTGAATATCAAATAAAATATTGATTGAAATTACCTTAAATGGGAAACAAGCAATATTTTCTTTATTTGTGAGCAAAACTCACATAATTATTTGATGAAAATCTTCAGTTTAAAATACTGTACGTATTTAGAAACTCTGGTACAATCCAAATAATAAGTGGCAAATTTGAAAGATCCAAACAGAGAGAAAAAATAGATATTTAGGATAAAAAACTTTTCTAACTAGCATCAACCAATGAGAAAAAATAAATAAAATGCCATATATCTTAACTACAAACTCCCATAATGTAATTAAATCAAAATAAAGCACCCATATAAGTAAGATGTTGTTACGTTAGGATGTACATGCTTCAGAATAATTTCTGATTGTCTACAAATTTGATAGGTAACAATTAATTGCTTTGTATGTAAGATTATATGCAAATTTCATGCCTTTGACACTTAAGGCTCAATTATTCTAGCAGTTTCCAAATCATGTTAGAAAAGTAACTTTTTTAACTTTTAAAAAATGCTATATTATGTATAAATATAATTGCATATAAGAATTGGCTTTAAAACATTACATTAGAGAATATATACTGTTAAGGAAAAAATATTTATTATACTTGTTTAAAACAGCAAGGAAGACTTTTATTCAGGGCCATCACGATAGGTATAGGGACTATCTTAATGAGATTTCTCAGTAAGGGAGAGAGATTGTGCTCATCTATGAATACAACAAAGAAAAGTGGAAATATATATCCAAGGAGCAGGGTTGGGGTCAGTGGATAAAAAACTACTAAGAGGAAACTTAAGTTTCCTCTTAAGTAAGGGAGATACTGGATCAACCAAAGTGACAAAATTCTTGCTGAAGGCAAATCAGAGTGATCAAATATTACCTGGGGGATGGTAGAAAATGAGTAATTTATTAAACTATTAAAAGTAATTAGATATCAAGGGTGGGATCTTCTGGCTAAATTGACTTAGCAAGATTCTTGCTAAAACCGTACTTTACTTGCTAAAACTGTACTTTATGAACACAGAGACAGAAGGCCAAAGTTGAGCCAAGTCAAACAAAGGGCTCAGAGAAGCCTGACTAAAATTTAAAAAGTATTTTTCAGTTCTATCTATGAAGTTAGGTTTTATAAAACAAGGGTCACTCTAACAGAGAAATGTTAACCAGAAAGCCATTCATCATGATATGTTTATATATATTCCTTTCTCCATCTGGCTTTAGGATATAATTTCATAGAAATATTTCTGTTTTTAAAATTAGTATTATGTTAAACTAGCTGAAGGGACACAAAAAAGGGTCCAAGCCTACCTCTTCCCCAATTCAATTTATCCATAAAAACAATAACCTAATGATGACAGTGATGGATATGAATAAACAGGCAGATAATTGGATGGATGATATTAGAGCTCAGAAAACAATAGCCTAAAGTATTGATCTTTGGCATGCTGACTACTTTCAACTGAAGGAGATTGCAAAGTCCTAGGAGCAGCTTTAGAAGCAAAGTCTCTCTCTGACTTCCTGCCCTGATGTCTCTTGCTCCTCTTTCTCCCCCAAGGCAATCCATAGAAAGTAGAGTTCATCTTCACAAAGGCAGGTCATATAAAAAGAAAAATTACTCCAGTATTTCTTCACCCTTCTGTGTAGGAGCTGGCCATAAGGAAATTCTCTGACCCACCTTGTCGGATGGTTGGTCATAAGACTCTCATTCCAGAGGGTCCTTGCCTTATACCTAGGAAGAAGAAATGCTGCATAGAGAGGCCAAGAATAATCTAAACAGACAGGTCTTGCTGACCTTCCCCTCTAAGTCTATTAACACTTAGACCAGTCCCATTTCTACACATCTGTTCATTCTTCATCTAAGCCAAGCATAAAATGGATGATTTTCCCTGGGTCTTTGGGTCTTTATTTTTGAATTCGTCCATGTCAGGTAAAACTTTGAATAAATAAATTTGTTATGCTTTTCTCTTGTTAACCTGTCGTTGTTACAGGAATGTCATCTATGACTGTTATGGGTGAGGAAAGGTATCACATCTTTTCTAACCCTTCAATAGATAGATATAGATAAATAGACAGACAATAAGTCAAACACTGTAAAAGCCAACAAAGTGTGCAACACAGAATGTATGAAGATAATTACTAGAATAGTGAGCATAATAAATATTCCCAAGGAAGTAAGAGAAGATCTTGTTACATGAACTAGAAAGATTTTTTTATAGTAAGACAGTTAATTGCATATGAGAAATATTATATTTAACTAAAGGATCCAAAATAATCAAAAAGGCCAACAGGTAAGAAATGCATACTTGTGAGAGCAGCAGTAGGCAGACAAATCCTAGGCAGACAAGGGCAGGTCCCAGTTAAACCCCACCTCTAAGCCCAAAACAGCCTGAAACCTGCAATCCAGAGTGAGAATTTCTATTCCTGTTTGCCCACTCTTTCCTGATTGGTTCTTTCTGAATAATGCTTTTTAACCAATCAAATGTTACCTTTTCCAATGCTACCTATAGCCCACTTTTCCCCATTCTGTGCCTGTAAAAGCCACAGACCCAGCCACACTGAGAGAGAAACCACCCAATAGGTGGTTGACCACCCTCATGTCCCCTTTCTTCTGAGAGCTGTTTCATCACTCAATAAAATTATTCTCCGTCATCCTCATCCTTCAATTGTCAGCGTATTCTCATTCTTCTTGGATGTGGGACAAGAACTTGGGAACCACTGAACACAGGTATGAGCTATAACACAGGTGGGCTGGGGCCGAGCTGGTATACAAGCCAGGTGTGGTCCCAGCAGGCTGAGTGGGCAGGCCACCTCCTCTGGCAGGTAGTATGGCTGAGTAAGGCCCTAGTGGGAGCATCACCAGCCAGGGGTCCCCAGGCTACAAAGTGAATGAGAAAAATCCTACATCATTTCAACTAAAAAGCACAATAAAAAGTTTTCCAGAAAGGCAGCAAGAAATATTAGAGAGATAACATATAAGAAAAAGTATGATACCTTAAAAAAAAAGAAAAAATAGAATTACTAAGATCTAGATGTTAAAAATACAAAAGAAGCAGAAAACACATTGAAAAGGGGAAAAGATAATCAATTCTATAATAATAACAAATTTCCTAGAACTAAGGAAAAATAAAACTACTGACAACTGGGGCTCACAGAGTACCAAATAGAATTGACAAGGAAAATGACTATCTAGTCACATTAGAGTGAATTTTAAATACCTTAAATACGTTGAATTCAGCGAAGACTCCCTGTAAAGAAAAAAGAATCTGAGAATCTGACTGATAGCAAACTTTGCAACAACAACATGATTTGCAAAAACACAATGAAGTAATATTTTGGAAGTGCTGAAGCTAAAGCAATTTAAAGGTAAAATATTTATGCAGTCAAATTGTCATGTAATGTGATAGTGGAATTAATATAATCTACAGCATATAACCCTTTAAAATGTTTGGCACAATATTGTTTTATTTGGCTTATTTCACCAACAAGCAATAGAAATTAATGTAAGAGTTATAGAAAGGAGGGGAAAAAAATAACATGAAAAATTTCTTGTTACATGTTCATTACATATTTAGCATTTTATTTTGTTTGGTATTGTTTTTTAAAACAAAGTCTTGCTGTGTCACCCACACTGGAGTGCAGTGGTAAGATCACGGCTCACTGAAGCCTCAAACTCCTAAGCTGAAGTGATCTTCCTGCCTCAGTTTCACGAGTAGCAGGGACTACATGCATTTGCCATGATGCCCAGATAATTTTCTTTATTTTTGGTAGAGACAGTGTCTCACTATGTTGCCCAGCTGGTCTTCAAGTCCTGGGCTCAGGCAATTTTCCTGCCTTGGCCTTCCAAAGTGCTGGTATTACAGGCATGGGCCACTATGCCCAGCCTCATTATGTATTTGCTGAATACATGAATAAATGATTATTAAAACAAATAATGGTTAACAGTTTTCTGCAAGGTGTTGAGATAGCATGCACAAAATCATATTTAAAAGAACCAGTCTCTAAGTGACAATAATTGGAAACCTAAAATACTAAAATAATGACTGTCAGTTCCATTCATGTAGCTGAAAGTAATATTTCTTGTTAATGGCTGAATAATATATTCCAATAATATACATATATATATAGTACATATATGTATACACACACAATAATATATTCCATTTTGTGTGTGTGTGTGTGTGTGTGTGTATATATATACATAGAGAGAGAGAGAGAGAGTCATGCTTTCTTTATCCATTTATTATAAGCCAAGCACAGAAAGAGAAATAGTGCATATTCTCACTCCTATGTAGATCATGAAAAAAAATGGACTGCGGAGGTAGAGAGTAGAATGGTGGTTATCAGAGGTTGGGAAGAATGTGGAGTGTGGTGGTAAAGAGAAGTTGGTTAAAAAATGCAAAAGTACAGTTAGATAGAAGGAATAAGCTCTAATATTTCAGTAATATAGTAGAGAGACTATAGTTAACAATAATTTATTGTATATTTCAAAATATTTAGAATTAAAATATCCCCAACAGAAAGAAAAAGGTAAATTTTGAGGTGATGGATATTCCAATTACCTTGATTTGATCATTACACATTGTTTACAGACAACAAAATATCACATGTACCCCCCAAATATGTACAACTATTGTATGTCAATTTAAATTATTGAAAAATTGTGGTTTGGGGACAAGAATAACCTTAAGGTTTAGGCTTCTTGGCAAATCCTTAAGTCACTGTATTTCTCAATGTTAGCTTTCTGCTGTTGCTTTTTTCTGCCACATAGTATATCTCCTGATGTTTAAATGCAATACTTTGGAAGATATTCTGAATTTTTTTAATAAAAAAGATATTTTATTTATTTGTGGGCTTTTAAAAATAGATTTAAGGAGTATAAGTGCAGGTTTGGTCCATGAATGTATTACATAGTGGTGAAGTCTAGGTTATTAATGTAACCATCACCTGAATAGTGTACATTGTATCCATTAGGTAATTCCTTTTCCCTCACCCCCTTACCACCCTCACACCTTTCTGAAGTCTCTGTTGTCTATTATTTCACTCTCTATGTCCTTGTGTACACATTATTTAACTCCCACTTTTGAGAACATACAGTATTTTACTGTCTGTTTCTGAGTTAGTTCACATATGATTGTGGTCTCCTGTTCCATCCATGTTGCTATAAAATAAACAATTCCATTCTTTTTTATGGCTAAGGAGTATTCCATTGTGTGTGTGTGTGTGTAGATAGATAAATAAATAGATAGATATAGATATATGAGATCTATATACCGATATATGGGAGCTGCATACAGATAGATATATAAATATCTATATATAGATAGATATATGATTTCTACATATAGATATATGATATCTATATATAGATAGATATATGATATCTATATATAGATAGATATATGATTTCTACATATAGATATATGATATCTATATGTAGATAGAGATATATGATATTGATATCTTTTTTAAAAATCTAAGCATCCATTGATGGACATTTAGGTTAATTCCATGTCTTTGCTCTTGTGAATACTACTTTATATACATACAAGTGAAAGTATCTTTTTGATATAAGCCCTACCCAAGTAAACATAATCTCTCACAATAAAGGTCAATTCATCTCAGGTTCTGTTACCTCATGTGTTATGTCTGGCTCTCAACACCAACAAGAAAAACTACAAAATATGCTAGAAGGCAAAGAAATATATTTTAAAAATCAGCAGAGGAAACATAAGAAACAGATTCAGACTCAGATGACAAATTCTGAATTTATCAGACTAGCAATTAAAAATAATTATAAGCAATTTGCTAAGATCATTCATGGAAAAAAGTGAATATAAAAGAATAAATGTTGCTTTATTTGGTTTTCTGTTGCTATAGCTGAATACCTAAGTCTTGTAATTTATAAATAAAGGACCTGTATTTCATATCATGGCCAGGAAGTCCAATATTGGGCAGCTGCATCTGGTTGGCTTCTAGTGTTGTGTCTCAACAAGGTGGAAGGCATCACAGGGTGAGAGAAGGCACTGGAAAGCCCGACTTGCTTCTATAACAAATCCACTCTTGTGATAACTTACTCCCATGATAATTGATTAATCTATTAATCCATTCATCAATTAATTTCTTGTGACCCAGTTACTTCTTAAAGGTCTCAATTCAATACTGTTGCATTGGAAATTAAGTTTGAAAAGAGTTTCAGAAAGGAAAGGCATTCAAACCATAGCACATGGGTAATATGAAATGAGAGACTGAAATTTTAATAAAGAATCAAAAGGCAATGCTATAAATTAAAAAATGTATGAAGAATTCTTTTGTTGCCTTCACAAATAGATTGAACCCATTCAAGTAAAGTATCCAATGACCCTGAAGATATGACAATAATTACCTACGAATCTGAAATGCAAAAAAAAAAAAATACAGAAAAGGAATTTTTAAAAAATGGAAAAATAGAACAGGATATCCAAAAATTGTGTAAAAATGTAAATAGGTATAACATGTGCATAATGATGATAGCAGAAAAAAATGTGTAAGGTGTAGAAGAACTATTTGAAGTAATAATGACTTCATATTTCCCAAAACTAATGATAAAATTCAAGCCACATAGCCAAAAAGCTCAGATAACACCAAGAGGAATAAATACCAAAAACCTCACACCTAGGTATAACATATTCAAACTTCAGAAAACCAAAGACAAACATAACATCTAGATAGAAACCAGGGGATGGGGATAGGAATGCCTAACATATATAGACACTAGGGTATAAATTATATCCAACTTTTCATCAGAAACTGTACAAGAGTGGAGTAAGCATTTAAAATCTTGAAAGAAAGAACTAAAAACACAACCAATATAATAGTGAAGAACAAGTTGAAGGACCGACATTATCCAACTTCAGAACTTATTATGTAGCTTCCAGTAATTAAGACAGTATGATATTGATGAAAGAATAAGTAAATAGATCAGTGGAACAGAATAGATAACCCAGAAATAGATCCACACTAATGTAGTCTACTTATCTTTGACAAAAAAGAAATGGTAATGCAGTGGAGAGAGGCTTTTCAATAAATGGTGCTAGAATATTTGTACATGTATATGCACAAAACCAAAAACGAATCCAACTCACACCATATACTTCTTTTCACAAAATTTAACTGGGAATGGATTAGACACCTAAATATAAAACACAAAACTCTATACTTTCTAGAAGATATTATAGGACAAAATCTATGTGACCTTTCATTTGGCAATACATTTTTAGAAACAACACTAAAAGAACAATGCGTCGAAGAAAAAATTGATGTTGGACTTTGTTAAAATTAAATATTTCTGCTATACAAGTGACACTGTTAAGAGACAAGCTACAGACTGGGAAGTAATATTTACAAAACACTTACCTGATAAAGGACTTACCTCAAAATATGTCAAATAACTTTTAATATTCAACAATAAGTGTACAGTTTAATCAAAAATAGACAAAGGATTTGGATAGACACTCTATCAAAGGAGATACATGATATATATCATACATATATATCATACATATGATATACCATACATATGATATACCATATGTATGATATACATCATATATATGATATACATCATATACTCATATGATATACATCATATACTCATATGATATATATCATATACTCATATGATATATATCATATACTCATATGATATATATCATATACTCATATGATATATATCATATACTCATATGATATATATCATATACTCATATGATATATATATCATATACTCATATGATATATATATCATATACTCATATGATATATATATCATATACTCATATGATATATATATCATATACTCATATGATATATATATCATATACTCATATGATATATATATCATATACTCATATGATATATATATCATATACTCATATGATATATATATCATATACTCATATGATATATATATCATATACTCATATGATATATATGTGGATATATATGGCAAATAAGCATATAATGATTCACAGTATCATGTGTCATTAGGGAATTTTAAATTAAAATGACAATGAGATACCACCACACAACTATTACCTCTACCACACAACACCTTCCAAACTGAAAACAACTAATGCTGTAAAGAATTCAGAGCAGTAGGCTCATTCATTCCTTACTGGTAAAAATGTGAAGTGGTACTGTCACTTTAGACATTCCAGAAGCTTCTCATATAGACAAACATATTAAAGCAATGTTTCTCATAGCTAAACATAGTGTTTTTTCACATTTGATTTATCTAAGTGAAGCGGAAATATTTGTTCACACAAACACTGCATACAAATGTTCATAGAAGTTTTATTCATAATTACCCAAAACTGAAAGAGACAAAATATTGTTTCAAAAGGTGAGTAAATAAACAAATGTTTCTGGGCAATGAAATATTACTCAGTAATAAAAAGAAATAGTTACCAAGCTATGAAAAGACTTAGAAAAACCTTAAATGCATATTGCTTATGGGAAAACAAGTCAGTCTGAAAAAATATTACTATATGATTCCAACTATATGACATGTAAGGAAAAGGCAAACCTGTAGAAATGGAAAAAAATTAGTGGTTGCCAAGGGTTAGAGGGAGAGAGAGATGAATAAATGGTGCACAGAGATTTCTAAGGCACTAAAATTATACTGTTTGATACCTTAATATTGGATATATGACATTACACATTTGTCAAAATCCATAAAATTGTATGACACAAAGCCTGAACTCTAGTGTAAACTATGAACTTTAGTTAATAGTAATGTACCAATATTGCCCAATCTATTCTAACAAAATGCCACACCTAATGCAAAATGTTTTAATAGGAAACTGATTGGAAGGAAGTGGAGGTATATGGGAGATCTGTACTGTCTCTTCAATTTTCCGTAAACCTAAAACTGCTCTAAGAAATGAAGCCTATTAATTAAAAAAAAAAAATCCTACAATAAAGACAGTACAAATGTCCTTAAAAACAAACTCCAGGTAAAAGGGTGTTAGTAACTCTCTTGCAAGATGTGCAAAAATGTGAGCAAGCTATCAAGAATTGTGTCTCAGCATTTGGGATGACATTGGCAATCCAAAATTTACTTTGCATGTCTCAGGTGTGCATTTAGGTAAGATAAGCAATTATGTTTTAAATTGGCTGAAACTGAGCTTCAATAAAAGGTCCACATAAATGATAATTGTGTGAGAAATGCTGAATGCGTGAAATATATTGGCTTCAAATAAATCCTACATTTATTTATAATGGCTCCAAATTTCACACTCCAAATTATCAGTTGGTGATGGAACATGTTTTACAAGGGCAAATCTCTGAGTAGCCTATTTGAGTAGGAACAAGATTTCTTTGTGGGAGAATGCTTTCCAATTCTCCTGAACAGTGATCAATATGCCACATTCTAAAATGAGTGGATATGTCTAGTATTCTAGAAGAAAATAATGCTTTATTAAAATTCAGTTAAGCAATAATAGAATACAATGTGGATAAAACAAGATTAGATATGGGTAAGAGATATTGGAATTGACTCCCCTTTATATGTGAGGGTATAACATGTGAGTGGCTGGGACCCACAATGGAGAAATTCTCTAACTTGCATTGACTCTACTGTTATTTCTAACTTTTATGAGTTGTGTTGCTTAAACTCCAAGTTTAGCAGAACCACAGCTGTCCCTCTTTTGCACTTGCTTCTCTTGAGAACACCTCAACACAGCACAAAATCTTGAGAGTATAACTAAAGAAATAGGGAGGAAAAGCCACTCAGCCTTATCCCAACAGATTTGATATATCCTTTTTTCCATTCCCATTACCTGCTGGTCCTTATCTCTCCTTCTTTATTTTTTTCTTGAACTTATCAGAGACAAAAAAGTAATAACTTCTATGGAAATGCCAGCAAAGTTGTAAAGCTTGGCTAGCAAACAATATAGGTCCAGACTAATGCATTATGAAGATGAAGTACTAAGAGGAGCCCAGAACTTAGACATATTGACTATGTCAGGGGAAACCCATAAGATTTCATAGAAGAGGAGGATTTTAGCTGCATCTAGAAGGATGAATAGGCATTTGTCAGACAGTAAAGATGGGAGGGAGCATTTCAGCCACAGAGATTGTGTTGTTCAAAGGTAGGGAATAAAAAGCAACATGAGGAATTCTAAGTTTCTGTGATAGAAAAATAGATTTCATGATGCAGATTTGTGGAAACTGAGACTGGAGAGAGCGAAGTCTAGAATTAGAAACTAGCCTTCTTTGCCATGAAAAGAAAAATGAACTTTATCCTATAGTGAAGGGGTGCCAAACAAAATGCTAAATGAGGGTTATGGTATTATTAATTTATTTTATAGAAAGAAAACTAAATTTGAGAATAAAATTTAAGCATAGGAATCCAGATGTTGGACTCATTATTTTATAAAGTGATGGTGCCTTGACCACAGGCTTTAGCAATGAAACAGGGCAGAAGAGACTGGCCTGGGCATGTGTATTTCTGAGCTGAAATCAACATTACTTCATGTAATCTTCATAACAACTTCTGAGATATGTGTTTTTTTTTTCTTGTTAAAAAGTTTTCATTAGGCCGGGTGCAGTGGCTCACACCTGTAATCCCAGAAGTTTTGGAGGCTGAGGCAGGAGGATTGCATGAGTCCAGGAGTCTGAGACCAGCCTGGGCAACATAGGGGCACCCAGTTTCCATAAAAATACAAAAATTAGCCAGATGTGGGGGCACATGCCTGTAGTTTCAGCTACTTGGAAGGCTGAGGCAGGAGGAGTGCTTGATCCTGGGAGGCTGCAGTGAGCCATGATGACCACATTGCCCTCCAGCCCGGGAAACAGAGGGAGATTCTGTTTCAAAAAAAAAAAAAAACAAACAAACAAAAACAAAACAAAACAAAACAAAACAAAACTTTTCTTTTTATCTTAAAGATAAAAACAATACTCTGAGAGATGAAAGTAACTTGTAAAAATGACTGTGGATCACAACTTTAGGGTTTAAATCTGAACTTTGAACTTCAAGACCAAGATTGAGTACACTCTAATTTGAAAAATAGAATTGTATAGCTTGGCAATGCTTTTTTTTAATTTACAAAGGTAATTTAAGATTATTAAATCATTTATTGTTAAAATAAGAAATAATGCACATACCAAAATGTACCTCCTCATCCCCAGAAAACCAAAGCCCTGCTCAGCAGTTTCTCACAAAATGAACACATCTGTATCAACACACCATTTAAGAAATAGAATGTCATAGATGGCTCTTGAATGGGCAAAAGCCAGTAAGATTCTTTTTGAAAATTGGCACAAGACAAGGATGCCCTCTTTTACCACTTCTATTCAACATAGTAATTGAAGTCCTAGCCAGAGCAATCAGGCAAGAGAAAAAAAAATAAAGGGCATCCAAACAGGAAAAGAGGAAGTCTAACTATCCCTGTTTGCAGATGACATCATCATATATCTAGAAAACCCCATAGTCTCAGCCCAAAAGCTCTTTCAGCTGATAAACAACTTCAGCAAAGTCTCAAGATACAAAATCAACATCCAAAAATCACTAACATGCCTATACACCAACAACAGTCAAGCTGGGAGCCAAATAAGGAAAGAACTCCCACTCACAATTGCCACAAAAAGAATGAAATACCTAGGAATAAAGCTAACTAGTGAGGTGAAAGATTTCTACAAGGAGAACTACAAAACACTGCTCAAAGAAATTGTAGATGTCACAAAGAAATAAAAAACATTCCATGCTCATGGATAGGAAGAATAAATATTGTAAAAATGACCATACTCCCCAAAGCAATTTATAGATTAAATGCCATTCCTATGAAACTACCAATGGTGTAATACCCAGAACTAGAAAAAAACTATTTTAAAATTCACATGGAACAAAAAAAGAGCCTGAATAGTCAAGGCAATGCTAAGCAAAAAGAACAAAGCTGGAGGCATCATGCTACCTGACTTCAAACTATACTACAGAACTGCAATAACCCAAACAGCATGATAATGGCACGGAAACAGACACAAAGGCCGATGGAACAGAATAGAGAGCCTAGGAATAAGGCCACATACCTACAGCCATCTGATCTTTGACAAAGCTGACAAAAACAAGCAATGGGAAAATGACACCCTATTCAACAAATGGTGCTGGGATAACTAGCTTGTCATATGCAGAAGCCTGAAACTAGACCTCTACCATATGCTATATTACAAAATCAACTCAAGGTAGATTACAGACTTAATTGTAAAACCCCAAAATTTAAAAACTCCAAAAGACAACTTAGGCAATACCATTTAGGATGTAGGAACTGACAAAGACTTCATAAGAAAGATGCTAACAGCAATCACAACAAAAACACCCATTGAAAAATGGGATTTAATTTAAACTAAAGGGCTTTTACACAACAAAAGAAACTATCAATCTACAGAATGGGAGAAAATCTTTGCAAACTATGCATCTAACAAAGGTCTAATATTAGCATCTAAAAGGAACTTAAACAAATTTCCAAGAAAAAAAACCAAACAGCCCTATTAAAAAATAGGCAAAATACATGAACAGACACTTTTCAAAAGAAGACATACATGTGGCCAACAATCATGTGAAAAAGGTCCAATATCACTGATCATTAGAGAAATGCAAATAAAAATCACAATGAGATACCATTTCACATTGATCAGAATGGCTATTATTAAAAAGTCAATAAACAGGTGCTGGTGAAGTTGTGGAGAAACAGGAATGCTTATACACTATTTTATATTTCTCCCATTGGAGTGTAAATTAGCTCAACCATTGTGGGAAACAGTGGGCAATTCTCAAAGACCTAAAGACAGAACTATCCTTCAACCCAATAATCTCATTACTGGGTATACACCCAAAGGAATATAAGTCATTCTATCATAAAGACACGTACATGCCTATGTTCATTGCAACACTGTTCTTATAGCAAACACATGGAACCAATCTAAATGCCCATCAATATCAGATTGGATAAAGAAAATGTGGTACATATTCATTACCATGGAATACCATGCAGCCATAAAAAAGAACAAGATATTGTCCTTTGCAGGAACGTAGATGGAACTCTAGGTCATTATCCTTAGGAAATTAAAGCAGAAATAGAAAACCAAATCCTGTATATTTTCATTTACACATGGGAGCTATCCTTAGCAAATTAAAACAGAAATAGAAAACCAAATCCTATATATTCTCATTTACACATGGGCACTAAATGATGAAAACACATGGACACATAGAGAGGAACAACAGACACTGGGGCCTATCAGATGGTGGAGGGTGGGAGAAGTAAGAGGATCAAGAAAAATAACTAATGGATACCAAGTTTAACAACTGGGTGATGAAATAACCTGTACAATGAACCCCCATAACACAAGTTTACCTGTGCCACAAATCTGCACACCTATCCCAGAACTTAAAATAAAAGATAAATAAAAAATAGAATGAAACCCTTCCAGCTCCCATCGTCCTCTTTAGCCCCTAATCACTATCCTAATCACTATTCCTCCTTACAACCTTTTTTCCTTTTAAGTAGCAACTATCTTGACATTTATGCTTATCACTCTGCTGCTTTTTTTAACTTTGATTTTCCATAATATAATTTTCTTTTATTGTTAATTTTAACCTTATGTAAATGGAATTGTACATTTTATATTCCTAATATGTTGGTTTTCTTGGCCTAGTATTTGTAAGTTTTATTCATATGATGGTATATATTTGTACCAAATATGTACAAAGACATTATAATATCCTTTATAAACATGGATACATAATTTTTAAACACAATATTAGAAAATTGAATTCAATAATAAACAAGAATAATATATCACAACCAACTGGGATTTATCCCAGGGATACGGGGTTGGTATTCAAAGATGAATTTGAAAATCAATCAATTCTCCTTATTATATTTGTAAACTAAAAAAGTAAAATCAACGTGATCATTTAAATTAACACAAAAAAAGCAACTGACAAGACTGAAGTTTCCTGGTTGTTTTATTTTTGAATTCTAGAATTTTTATGGTTTTTTCACCTTGTGATGTACTGTTCTCTGCCAAAATTCTCAATTTTTTAAACCCCTTTGATTATTGACAGCATAATTAATTTAAAATTTGTGATAGTTTAACATCTTGATTCTTCATGAGTCTCTTTTACTAGCCTTCTATTTTTATGCCTTGCTATTTTTCAAACAGACTTTGTTGGCTTACCATATAAGCGGTTATTTTTGACTGTGTCACAGGCATTTTATTTATATAATTTTTTGTGGGAATCTTTTTTTGGACTATGGTCACGTTATTGTTCTCCAGAGAGGAATTATCACTACTTTTGGCACATATTGCTTAGTTTTTACTAAAATTATCATCATTTCCTAGGAAATTTGGCATTTTCTAAATGTGACAGAATATTGGTAATGGAATGACCAATCTCACTCCCAACAGTGACAGGAAAAAGCAAACAAAGGAAAACTCTAAATATAATTTGTCTGTAGTACTTCATGCTCCAACCTCTGAAAAAGTCACTGTGATCATCAAATATTTTGCTCTGATTGGCCAAAATTGAGTCACGCACTTGAGCCTGGATACAAAGAATATTCACCCAATCTTTAAGAATGTGAGAATGAATTATCTTGAGGAAAACTGTGGTACATTAGTAAAAAATAATTGGATGCTAGATGTGAAAACAAAAGATGTTGACTAGCATGTATGATTTTCATTATCTACTAACTTATCTAATGGATTTATGACCTATCTTTTGACTTTTTATCTAAGCAATTTCTTTTCAGTTTTTTAACTTGCACCTCATGCGTTTTCCTTAATGAATAACTTCTCTTTCCCCTCACCAGTAATGCTGCTTCAAATGCACTTGCCTTTGTATCTTCTCTCCCCTCTACATCAGATATCCTTTTCCTTTGTCCATCTGAAAAGGACATACTGATCCTTCCAACTTTTCCAACATGGCCTTCTTTGTGATTTCTTATTTCATTGCATAAGAAAGTTAAGATGCATGTTCTCATATTATGTAACTTACCATATGTAATTTAGTTGCTTTCCTCTCTTCCTACTTGATTCTATCTTTTTGACTGCTAGTTGTCATGTCATTTTTTGGTCAAAATTTATGATATCTATCAAGCACATTGCTGATTCTAAGTAAATGTTCCTTGAATAAATAAATGTTGAAAATCCTACATGGAGGATTGTGGAAATATTTGCCTTAAATAGTGTCAAAATATAAGCTAAAATATATATTTTAAAATATGTTTTCTATAAAACTCATTCTTTAGAGCATAAAAATTGAAGGAAGAAAATAACTAACAATACAGGAACTGCAAATGGATACTTTTGACTTCATTCAAGTGAAGAGGCAGGAAAAGCTTATTTTGAAGAAGAGAAAAGCAAAGAAGTGAATATGGAAACTGATAGGATGTGAGATTCTGTGGTTCCAAAGATAAAGTGAGAAATTTGTAGCATAAAAGCTGATACCCTAGTGGGGCCTGTTTTCTCTTATCGCTTGCGTTGTGTCAGATATCTTGTTGAGTTATGGTAAACTTCCTCTTTGTTCAAATATATCAATTGAGTTTGTATTACTTGAAATAAACAAACAAAATTAACAGACTATATATGGTATGTTATTTCTAACTGGGCTCAACTCTCTTTCTTTCGTATTTCATTCACATTTTTCCTGAAGCCTTACTAAAAGCAATGTAAATTTTAATCTTCCCATAAAAAGTGGGCAAAGTATAAGAACAGACACTTCCAAAAGAAGACATTTATGTGGACAACAAACATATGAAAAAAAGCTCATCATCACTAGACATTAGAGAAATGCACAAAACCACAATGAGATACCATCTCACGCAAGTTAGAATGGTGATTATTAAAATGTGTGGAAACAACAGACGCTGGTGAGGATGTGGAGAAATGGGAAGGCTTTTACACTACTGGTGGGATTGTAAATTAGTTCGACCTTTGGGGACAACCGTGTGGCAATTCCTCAAGGATATAGAACCAGAAATATCATTTGACCCAGAAGGCCCATTACTGAGTATATTCTCAAAGGATTATAAATCATTCTACCATAAAGATAAATGCACACGTATGCTTATTGCAGCACTATTTACAATAGCAAAGACTTGGAACCAACCCAAATGCCCATCAATGATAGACTGGATAAAGAAAATGTGGCACATATACACAATGGAATACTATGCAGCCGTAAAAAAGAATGCATTCATATCCTTTGCAGGGACATAGATGAAGCTGGAAACCATCATTCTCAGCAAACTCAGAAAGCCAAACGCCACATGTTCTCACTCACACGCAGCTGAACAGTGAGAACACATGGACACAGGGAGGGGAACATCACATACTCGGGCCTGTCGGGGTGTGGGGGGAAAAAGGAGGGCGAGCATTAGGACAAATACCTAATGCATGTGGGACTTACAACTTAGATGACGGGTGGATAGGTGCAGCAAACCATCATGACACATGTATACCTATGTAACAAACCTGCACATTCAGTACGTGTATCCCAGAACTTAAAGTAAAATAAAGAAATTTTAGTCTAATATTTTGATTTGAAAATTTTGTATGATAATTATTGAATACTCTTTTGAAGATATCTGAGAAGTAAACATATTTTTTTTTCTAATAGAACAAGCAAAGTAATTTTGAGTGTCTTAATGAGAAAAACAAATGACTTACTACTTTATTTGGACATAGTCCCAATGTTATTCTGGTGAAATTTCATCTAATTGTATATTCTGAATAATTTTCTCATTTGCAATCTTATTACTCTGAACAGTGTTCTCAGAATGTGGTGCAAAAATCAACTGGATCAAAACCATATTATAGGATGGTATTACAAAATGAAATTCCCTTGTCTGATCCGAGTTACTAGATTACAAGTTTTAAATGTGGGACCCGAGACTATACATGTCTAACAATTGCTGCCGGAGATTATTATGCATCTTCAATATAGAATATGTCAGTAGAAATAATATTAATCAATACTTAATTTAGTATCTATGCTTTAATACCAATGTATTCTGTTCTTATATTAACTTTAAAGGACAAGCAATATGTTTAATTTTTTTCCTCTTCTAGTAATAAGTATTTGGGAAAGTAACATCAGTGTTATAACACTGTCAAATAAATAAGTATTTCTGAGAAAGGAGATATGTGTCTTCCTCAAAACTACCCTAGTACTCAGTACAAGTTTATGCAAATACTTTGCTCCCTGTTTTTCTGCAGAGGTGTTTTAGATATGTACTTAATATTCTGTATGAGTTCCTTATGACTATTTATCCAGGTGTACTTCCCTGTTCAGTTGGTTTACCATTTGCATCAGAATCACATGGAGTGCTTTATAGGAAGGCATGTTTTATTGACTCTCATGAATAAAAACCTTCTGGAGTGATGTCTTGACATTTTTTAAAACAATCTACAATGTTTATACTTATACATGCTAGAGTTTAAGAATCTGTAATCTACAACATATGTCTACAAGATATTTTACTGCTTTCAATGTTTACATATTAAAATTTTTCCACATTTTAAATTCCCATTTATTTAATTAATTTTATTTGAGTACCAGTCAAATTGTTAGAACAGCACTCATTTGAAGAAATTAAATCAAAGTGTTTGTCTAAAGATGGCCAAAAATAAAATGAATTAATTTAATGAAATACCACACAGCAGATAACTTCATTAAAGGGAATTCTTAGACTTAAATAAGCTCTACAAAGTTTTATCAAATAAGCAGTACTCTCCAATGCACTTGACCTTTAATAATCAAACTCTTCTTATATCCAGTAAAATCTCCCAGAGGCTGAGTTCTACTTTCCCTTACAAAGGAAAATGTCCACTTTATGCAAAGCAAATAAAATTGAACAAATCTTAAAACCACTGTATGCCATGAACAATCTTAACTAAAATAAAATAATACTATAATGAATTTTCAAGAGAGTAGGGATGATTTCAACATTTTGCAATAGGCAAATGAGAAATAGATATGCGAGCAGTCTCCCAGACTTTAAACAGCTCATTATACACACCTGCCAACAGCTACATTAAACATTTAATAACAGTAGGATACACCTTACCCTCACAGGTGATAAATGAGGACATTTCAGCATTTTCCTTCTTCTGTGATTTTTGTCTTCTTTGCTAAGTAAGTTCCTACTTTTTAACGTTCAAAACAGCATTATTAGTGAAAACAGAAAATTTTACCATCCTTTCATAGATATATATCTTTTCTTAAATTAAAACACTATGTGATTACATTTATGTGATTTTCACTTTAATTTAGTGTTACATATTCAAGGCAACTCATGATGATTATTTTCAATGGGAAAATCTAGAAGGTTGCTCTTTTCTTGTTTTTCAAAACATGCACATTTTTATTCCTGAAGAAATGTATAGAATGTTAGAGCATTAAGTTTTTTAAAAATCAACCATGGATATGAGCCAAAGTCTAAATATCCCCTTTACCTCCCAATTAAATATAATGCAAAATTTTAACAATTGAATGTTAATAATAACTCTTCGTTTTAGGGTTCAATTCATATGCACCTCACACTGACACAGTATTCATTTTTCTGAAAAGGAATCAGAAAAGAACTGGCAACCCAAATAGAGGGGCCAAGAAATCACTTCTCTTGGGGGAAAAAGAAAAGAAAGAATGAAAAAAAAAAGAATAAAAACATGAAAAAGTGTGTAGAAGAGATACCTCAGCTTCCTCATATTTCTTTTCATTATATACTAGCTCTGTTGTAAAAGAACAGAATGCTAACAACCTAGTGCTGAATTTTAATAAGAACCGTGTGGTCAAACATACTTAAATCTCTCTGCACAAGGGTAAAGCATGCCAAATGTTCTCACTGTAGTGTCAGAAAGCAACTTTAATTTTCATGAATTTAAGACAGATTTCTTCTGAAAGTATAATCACAGATGATTTCCCTAATCCCACTCATATGTAAGAATCAAATAAGATTCAGAATAATCTATTAAGAACACATTATTTTCTTCATCCTAAGCTAGTAGCTTATAGACAATAACTCTCTTTATTTTTCCAAAGAACTGTGAACCAAGGTTTAATACCTCTCATAGGATCTGATAGCATATTTTCTAGGACTGGGAAGTATAATAGCCACATTATTTTGTTTCGTTTTCGTTTTTGAGACAGGGTCGCTCTGTCACCCAGACTGGAGTGCAATAGCATGATCATGGTTGTGTGCAGCCTCAACCTCCTGGGCTCAGGCAATCCTCCCACCTCAGCCTCCCAAGTAGCTGGGACTATAGGAGCATGCTACCACACCCAGCTAATTTTTGTTTTGTGTGTCTGTGTGTGTGTGTGGAGAAAGGGTTTCATCATGTGGCCCAGGCTGGCCTGAAACTCCTGAGCTCAAGAAATCTACCCACCTTGGCCTCCCAAAGTGCTGAGATTACAGGTGTGAGCTACCTTGCCCAGCTAGTGGCTACATGTTTTTAGTGGCAAATAAAATATTACCCACTTTGTTCTCTGATCACACATGCTATACACATACTCCTTAAGATGCTCAAATACTCTCAACTGAGTCATACAGTCTCTATGATTTCATGGCTAATGAATCACATAGTACAGAGATTAACCAACTACAGCCTGTGGGCCAAACCTCGTTGGTGACTGTTCTTATCAATGACTTTTTTTTTTGTTTTTTTTTTTGAAACACAGTCACACCCATTTGCTTACATATTGTCTATGGCTGCTTTAGCTCTACAAGCAGCAGATTTGAATAGTTACGACAAAAAACATCTGGCCTGAAAAACTTACCATCTGGCCCTTTATATAAAAAAATTCTCAATCCCTAAAATAGAATCTTTTCTGCTAGTGAAATAGTATTTCTGAATGTCCCGTCATATCAGTTAGGTATAGTTCTCTGAATCATATACATATGTGTGGGCGAGTTTGAGATGATTGGGCCAGAAATCAGAAGAATGTACTTTTCTCATATTCTTTCTTCTATTAAGAAAATACGCATACACAGGAGATTAACAACTTATCATGTTACCTTATCCAAACTTTCTTAAAGCGCTAGCAATATCTGTACATATAAAAAACTTCATGGAAATTTAACATATAAAAATAGAGGTGCTCCTATTGAAGTGGAGGTAGGACCCTCAACCTGGACCAATTGGCTACTTCATTCCTCCTGTGTAAGGCTTGAGTAGTCATATAGAATATCCATACAGCTACCTATTTATTCTACTCTACTTACATGTTCCACAGGCATCTCACATTCTACAAGTGACTTACATCCCCAAGGATGTCTTCTGTTTATCTACACCTTGGTTCTGTGAGTAGCATGGCGATCCACCACAATATCGCTTAAATCGTAATATTGGTTGTCATTTGTGACTTTTGCCCACCTTATGTTCTATAGAAAATTTGTTATAGAAATGCCCCATCAATTATAGATTCTTACAGTTTTTCCAATACAGTCATGTTATTTACCTCTTGTGACATGGCTCTGAGTAGGGCTTCATCATCTCAAATCTGGGTACAAGCAAAGCCTATTCAATGATCTTGCTGTCTCCAGTTTTGCCTCAGTGTATCTTTTCACTAATGCAAAAGTTGATTTTTTTAAATGAAAATGATTATGCCATAAGTATATGTAATTTGGTTTGGTCTTTTGCCTTTAAGGTAAAATTCAAACTCCTTAACATGATATACAGGGCCTTTCAATGTCTTGCTTTTGCATTTTTCTCTAGCTGCCTTTCTTATCACTTCCTTGTTCTCAGACTTTGGCTTATTTTATACACACCGAACTATAGAATCATATGTGGAAAAATATCTAGAAAATGTAACCACAAAATCTGCGATAACTGAATCCAATATGCTAATTTTATAATTTCAGTTCTTTTTACAACTTTCACCTGGGAGTTCTCATATATATATGTGTGTGTGTGTGTGTGTGTGTGTGTATAACTTAATAAATATACTTTTTGTTTTATAACCTGAATGACCTCTTGAATTACATAAAAAATTATAAGGGTGATAGGGTTTCTTATTTTTGCCATCAGGCAACTAATTATATTAGGAAAGAAGGACAAGAAAGAGATTATCTATCTATCTATCTATTTATCTATCTATCTACGTGTTGATAATCATTGTAAACTTAGCTGACAAATTGCTGAGGGGAAACTGATTTGGAGTGAAAAGGAGATGATGCTTTTGGGATCTCCTGGTAGAACTGATCCAGAGTATTCTAGAATGTTAGAATTCTAAAGCATCTCAATAATTAGCCCAATTTCATTTTTAGAAGACTGGAAAAGAAATGCTAAAATGTTAGATGAGTAGGTTACGAAAATTTTCTCCCATTTTTTAGGTTGCCTGTTCACTCCAATGGTAGTTTCTTTTGCTGTACAGAAGCTCTTTAGTTTAGTTAGATCCCATTTGTCAATTTTGGCTTTTGTTGCCATTGCTTTTGGTGTTTTAGACATGAAGTCCTTGCCCATCCCTATGTCCTGAATGGTAATGCCTAGGTTTTCTTCTAGGATTTTTATGGTTTTAGGTCTAACGTTTAAGTCTTTAATCCATCTTGAATTAATTTTTGTAAAAGGGCTAATATCCAGAATCTACAATGAACTCAAATTTACAAGAAAAAAACAACCCCATCAAAAAGTGGGCAAAGGATATAAACAGACACTTCTCAAAAGAAGACATTTATGCAGCCAAAAGACACATGAAAAAATACTCATCATCACTGGCCATCAGAGAAATGCAAATCAAAACCACAATGAGATACCATCTCACACCAGTTAGAATGGCAATCATTAAAAAGTCAGGAAACAACAGGTGCTGGAGAGGATGTGGAGAAATAGGAACACTTTTACACTGTTGGTGGGACTGTAAACTAGTTCAACCATTGTGCAAGTCAGTGTGGTGATTCCTCAGGGATCTAGAACTAGAAATACCATTTGACCCACCCATCCCATTACTGGGTATATACCCAAAGGACTATAAATCATGCTGCTATAAAGCCACATGAACACATATGTTTATTGTGGCACTATTCACAATAGCAAAGACTTGGAACCAACCCAAATGTCCAACAATGATAGACTGGATTAAGAAAATGTGACACATATAGACCATGGAATACTATGCAGCCATAAAAAATGATGAGTTCATGTCCTTTGTAGGGTCATGGATGAAGCTGGAAACCATCATTCTCAGCAAACTATCTCAAGGACACAAAACCAAACACCGCATGTTCTCATTCATAGATGGAAATTGAACAATGAGAGCACATGGACACAGGAAGGGGAACATCACACTCTGGGGACTGTTGTGGGGTGGGGGGAGCGGGGAGGGATAGCATTAGGAGATATACCTAATGCTAAATGACCAGTTAATGGGTGCAGCACACCAGCATGGCACATGTATACATATGTAACTAACCTGCACATTGTGCACATGTACTCTAAAACTTAAAGTATAATAATAAAAAAATAAATAAAATAAAAAAAAAGAAATGCTAAAATGTTAAGGGATTTGACTAAAGTCTCAACAAGTACCTGTCACATCACTCATATCTTAAGCTCTGAGTATTTTTGTTAAAAGTCAAGATCTGGATACATGGGAACTTTGGTAGAGGTTGAAATTAAAAAGAAGTGTCTGAGAGTCTTCTAAGAATTTGAAGCTGTGAAAAATTGATGAGAGTCTCCAATAAATAAATAGAAAAATAAGGGTTTTAAAAATTGTATTATGTTTGTTTGAATTCCTTGTGGTCAAAGTTCATTTCTGATTATTTCTTTTTATTGACTGCCTGACATACTGACTGAAGGAAAGAACAGGAACAATCAAAAAGAAAAAAATCAAATAAAGGCAAGTGCAGGGTTACAGACGTGAAGCAAAGAGAGTGTGACGAGGGAAGGTTGGTCAGCAATGTCAATGTTGCAGAGGATGAAGTAGAAAGAAAGAAAGAAATGTTCTGAAATGTTTTGATTTGCAAATTAATCATGAACTTGCCAGTCAGAAAAAAACCCTACCAATGAAGGGGAAAACTAATTGCAATATCGTCTGGTCACATCCAAGATCTCTTAGAAAGTCCTTCTGTTTGAAGACAATGAAAAAATGTCAGCCTCTAGGAGAAAGAACAGACCACTCATAAATTGACTGAATTGAACATGAGGACATTAGTCTTGCCTAAACTTTTATTTTTATGAAGATTATCTCTCATATTGTTCATTAAATATATTTATGTATTTTACTCATAACATAATATGAATTTAAGGATAGGGAGCATCTATTCTGAAAATAATTGTATTCCAAGGAGTTTCAGCTCTGGGTGAATATATTTAGAAATAATTAGCTCCTCGAGAAGAGTGAATATGTTCTAAAACCATACCTAGAACAAATTAACTCAAATTAATAAATGTCATTGACCTAAAGATTAAATAATATAAGCCCCCCCCACCCCCTAAAACTGCTACTCATTTCCAGGTAAAAGCCTTTTCAGAAATTACCCAAATCAATGAGTTACAAGCATCCGTTTTAATTTTTTCATAAATGTAATGAAAATTTTTTTAAATGTACTTTAAAAAGCTTTAGTAAATTGCAAACTATACTGCATCCAAATCTGGGTTATGAGAATTATAAAGGTAAGTATTTAAACATAACTCAGTGTAAAAATCCTGAGTAGTTAAAAGCTAAATGAAGTTAACATAATAAAATATAGAATAATTAAATGACTATAGTGATCTTAGGAATAAGAAACTTATAAAACAGTGTTTGCTAACAATAATCAGTCAATTGTCATTACCTGGGTTTCACTGGGCAACTGTAGCATTGTGCTGATGGCTTACAGGGCTCCTTCTCAGAAAACGAACAGTATATTCCTTTTGTAATCAAATGCCACTTAAATCAAAGTTAAACATTAAACCTGAGGCACGTAGAAGACACATATTATTATTGTATGATTATAAGATGTTCATCTAACAGTGGAATTAAGAGATATAAAACATTTTCTGAAAAGGGAAACACTATGCAATATTTATTATTGTAAATTATCATGATATACTAACAAATATTATTTTTGAATGGTAAGTAACAATAAAATAAATCTCCCTATATGGTGTTTTCTCAATAAAGCTGTAATTCTACCACTAAATACAAAATACACACTGTAGAATATGTTGGAAATAAATTAATGATATTTGTATTGCTGTGTACATGATTACATCCTTTTCAAATCCCTGTGTATCACTTTTTATTATGCCACGGAGATGAACACCAAATTATTTGGCTGAACAAAAAGGGGCAAGCATGAAGCAACAGCTTAACTGTAAAGCAGTTCAGCAGCAAAATGCAGTTAGACTATTTGTTGTAGTCAGATCCTTAGGTTAATATGAAGTTGTGAGGAGGATGGCTGAGGGGAGGTTCATATGTCTAGAAATATTAAAAAGCAATTTGCACCAGGAACACATCCTCACCCTGGACTGCCTTTGAACATGTTTACAATCCAGTAAGAAAATCTGATGTACGTTTTATTTCAGAATTGAGTAAAACAGGTGTTAGTGCAGTCAGGAGTGGAAAGACTGAAGGGATGTGAAGCTGCTTGTTAAACTTCAATAGAATATATCAGTCTGTTAAATATTCATGTGGACTCATGTAATATTTTGCTATTTTTTCGAGCAAAATATCTCACTAGCTTTTGAATTCCTCCAAAAGAATATGTTCAATTTTCCTCCAGCATATTTCTATGGCTCTTCTATTTTCTTCCCACATTTTAAGGAAATGCTTAGAAATCAATAAAAACTAAATATGACTCTTCTATTTATTTATATTTCTGACAAAGATTAGATTTATCGATACCAAAATTATAACCCAGAATGAATACTCAATAGATGAGTTTGCCTCTAGGAAGTACTATGTAGATATGCGGTATCCTAAACAAATAAACAAAACAAAAATTTTAATATATCTAAATAGAGCATGTCTTCGAGCTTACTTTCAGAAATCCCATTAACTGATTCTATGTTCACACCTCCCTGTGGTTCTTGAATCTTTCTTATATGTCCGTTTTCCTTTTTCTCTCTAGGCTACTCATATTTGTTCGTTCCATTATTGGTTCGTTTTCAGCCTTGACATTGTATGGAGTGGTAGGTCCAGTCTAACTCTTGTCTTTTTTAATCCAAATTTCTTGAAAGGAAATACACACATGCTCTCTCTCTCCCTTACTTCCCAGTAACTTACAGGACAACTAAAGTTGGTTTTCATTAATATGTTTGCCAATAACATCATTAAGGTATAAATAATATGCTGGTTGTTAGTTTTTTTTTCCTTGTGTCTTCTGTTGCACTGGTGGATGTTCACCTCGTTTAATCTCTGCTCCCATATCTAATGTGATACTATGCTATCCTCCCTTTCCTTAGACTGCTTTGATTAATGTACCATTTAATCTTCAGGGGATTTTTTTTCTCCTATCCACTAAATAATAATTTTGCTCAGAGTTTTATTCTTAGCCCATTCTTCTTCTTATATGTTTCCCCCAGACAATCACCAGCTATACTCTACTGATGCCTCAATTAAAGGAGTTAAGGTCATGACATCTCAAAATATGCCTACTCATTATATTCATCTGAGAAACACCAGATGCAGATAGGACTATCTATCTTGTCCTCTTCTACTCATAGTAAGCCACAACAATTTCTTTGATTGGCGGAGTGTGGTGGCTCACGACTATAATCCCAGTGAGGCGGGAGAATCACTTGAGGTCAGGAGTTCAGAACCAGCCTGGGCAATACAGTGAGACCCTGTCTCAAAAATAAAAATAAGTACCCCCTCCAAAAATTTATTTGAGAAAGATACTCTTTCTGTACCAGGATGAGAAAATAACACTTATCACCAAAGGCTGGGAAATGATGCCACAAAGAATCTCTACAAATAAATGTACTAAACAAATTATTATCTTTCACTAGCTTTACATCCCCCCCATATCTTCCAGTGACTTCCTTACAATTTACTGCCCCTAGCCCCAAACCCCTTTGTCTTACCCTTTCTTTGCAAATGTATCATTTCCTTGCTTAAAGGTACAAAAGCTTTGTGCTTTGGCTATTTATTCAAGTCTTTACTCTCTTGTGAAGATCACTGTGTACATGTAAAAACTAATAAAACTTGTATGTTTTCCTCCTGTTAATCTGACTTCTGTCCATTTGATTCTTAGATTTAACCAAAGGTCCCAACTAAGAATTATAAAGAATAGGCATGATTTTTAGCCTTCACAATACAATTCAGTGTTCCAGCTTATAACTGTTTTCTGACCAAGAAACACATTGTTTTATTAGTTTCTGAATATCTCTACCTGGATTTTCCATGGGCACCATACTATCAACATTAAAACAGTGAATTTTTATCTTGCCTTTTAAAGTTCTTGCTCTGCATTTTGATTATAGACATCTCTATCAATTTAGTTATCCAAGAGAAAAAACTGACACTCATCTTAGACTCCTCCTATTACTATATACATGGCATTCAATAATCTGAAAAACCTCCCACATTCATAAAACCTTTATACCTTTGTCTCTGTCCTAGGCCAAGACATTTGCTTTCCTTAACTATATGACTACGAAAATGTCTTAATTTCGTCTGCAGTATTATTTTCATCACATAGGTTTTCTTCACAGCTAGAGTTAACCACCTTAAAAACAAATTGGATTCTGGCATATCCCAGATAAAATTCTGCAATTATTCTTTATCTTAGCTAGTGTAAATTCTCAGTTCCTTAAACTGACAGAAATGTTTCTTCAAGTTTTGCATTCTGACACCTGCTCACGTTGTCATTCTTATCTCAACATTCATGATCCTGAAGCCTAATCAACTCCCAAGACACTCCCTATCCTATTTATTTTAATCTATGTGTCTTTAAGATGGTTCCCTATCCAACATCTCACAACTATATATGACTAACACCTGCTCTTCATTAAGTCTCAAAAGGTATATTTTCTCAGAGGTCTTTCTTGAGTTTTTCACAATACCCTGTGTATAATAGTTCATTGTCGTATTATCTTAGGACAGCAGAGACATTAAGAGTGAATGGCTTTTTGGTGAATCTCTGGCTCTTGATGGAGAGTTGAAATGACTGAAACTCTAGGTACAGGGAATATCAGCAGCTTCTGACATACTATATAGTTTTGAAAGCGGCAGAGATAATACTAGGTAGCTAAGTCAGTGTCACTGGAGATGACCACTGTATTGATGGTCCTCAGTCCAGATTAGCTTCTGTCCTTCTGCTTTATAGCATGACTGTTAGGTGCTAGATTGGGCTAACACTACCCAAACTAAAGAAAAATATTAGCAATATCTTAATATATGAAATATCAGTGAATGAAAACATTTACTTTTGACTACTAATATATGTAGTAAAATTTAACCTAGTATCTAATGCAGGAGCTGACTCAGACTGTTGTTAAGGAAATTTTCAATGTCTCATTGCAACCAACAGATTTTTTCCTAAAACAGATTCCTATTAACAGACTTTTGTATGCAAAAAGTTTGAGACAAATAAAATGGTTTTAAATGTCTTGAGAGAACTATTGTTAATTGATGTGACAGAAAGTCCACCATGATAAAAAATATTAGCTAGTAAAACTTACTTTAAAAAATCTAACTTTAATAGAAATGCCAAAAAAGTGTAAAAAGAATATGCATCCTACAGAAAGTGTTGTTTTTTTTTTTTATGTAAAATATTTGAGTACTTAGTCGATGACCATAATGGAGTAAGGGAATCCTTTGTGACTATAGCAGCTAATATGGAAAAGCTGGAACTAGAATCATTGTATTTGGCAGCAAATTTTTTCCTAGCCCAAACTGATGAAAATTCCTTTATCACACAGTATGTTTCTTACTGAAAGATGCGTCCAGTCTTTTAATCCACAATATTTGCTGATTTCCATTAGACGGAATATCACAGGAATATGTGTAGTGGCTATGTATTCAAATATCAAACAAATGTTCTCCCTTTTAATATCTGAATTTTAAGATTTTAAATTATTTGTAAATATTACTGTGTTTTATTGTTTTCTGTTTCTTTTACTTTTATTTTGCAATATGCAAAGTTTAATCTCAAGAGAAGATTATATCCTTATACAACCAAAATATAATGAAAAGAACAGAAGAACCAAAGACACTGATATCTTTTTACTTTGTTTTCTTTGTGTATTTTTATAAACTGTGTTTTTTGACTTCTATTACCATTTATGCTTAGTCTATTAAACATAGATTCAATCACACATCAAGTTCAAGTTTCTTTGAATTTTACTGCTAAAAAGAGTCAACAAGAAATTTTTAAAATCTTACTACTATGTATTTGAAAAGATTAATTTAATATTAAGACAAAATTATATGAAGTACAATGTAAAGATGACATCTTACACTCTTGGAACAAATTAATTTCAGTTTCACAGTCAAAGACTAATGAAAATTTAGGCAGTAAATTTTATTGACACTCTATGTTTTCAAGATTCAAACACTCAGACAACATTATTTGTATAAATCACTTCTTATTTGAGGGGTGGAATACTATTTAAGTATAAAAACCTCGTCTGACTTACGTTACTTTTGATGCAAGAAGTTGATTAAGACTATTAGCATATTTTTAAAATTTCATAACAAGTTTCCACTGTTATAGTTTTCTAGTCAATAGAACATGGTATGTCAGTTACAATCACACATCCCTTAATGAGGGGAATACATCCTGAGAAATGCATCCTTAGGTGATTTCATTGTTGTACGAACATTGTAGAGTATACTTACACAACTTAGATGACATAGCCTAAACACCTAGATTGTATAGTATAGCTTATTGCTCCTAAGCTATAACCCTATATACAATGTTACTATATTGACTGTAGACAATTTTACCACAGTGGTATTTGTCTGTCTAAACATATGTAAACTTAGAAAAGGGATAGTTGAAAATATGATATAAAAGATAAAAATGGTACAGCATAAGGTATCATAGATACTGTTTGGTGCTTGTAGGGCAATTACCATGAATGGAACTTGCAGGGCTGGAAGTTGCTCTGTGTGAGTCAGTGAGCAGTGAGTGAACATGTTACCAAAATGCCAGGGGTTCCATCTAGGCCCTGCTGCTTGCTGCACAGAAAATCAATCACTAAAACAATGGGTGTTGCCAGGGAATAAGGCTTAATTTGGGTGCTGCATCCAATGAGATGGGAGAGCACTCTCAAATTCATCTCCTCAATTGACTAAAATTATGAGTTTATATTACATGGAAGAAATGTAACCATGTGTAGGAAAATAGGAGTTAGAGAGGGTTACCGAAGAGGAGTTGGTCAAAATGAACTAGGTGGTCAGTTAGGCAATCATGATGGGTGAGGGGTCTCATTGTGCAGATGCAGTGATTTGGTAAGTTTCAGTTCCTTGATACTATCTGGGAAGACTTATTGTTGGTTTCCTAAGAAAGGAACTCAGATAAGACAAATATAGCTTTTTTCAAGTTTTAGACTGAGGGGGTTAATTTCTATGTTTTTTCAAAAGAAACCATAAACATCAGTTCTATGGGAGAGTTGGGTGGTTTCAAATGTGAAGACCTAGGACATTACTGTACACTACACCATGCTTTATAAACACTGTACACCTACTACAGTAAATTTATTTTTTAAAAAATTTCTTTCTTCAATAATAAATAAAACAGTTTATGGTAACTTTATAAAATTTGTAATTAAAAAATGTGATTCTTGTAATAACATCTTAAAACACACATGCAGTGTAGCTGTACAAAAATATTTTTCTTTATATTCTTATTCCATAAGCAGTTATATTTTTGAAATTATTATTATTTTTTCACTTTTTACCTTTTGTTAAACACTAAGACACAAACACAAACATTAGCCTAGGCCTACACAAGGTCAGGATCATCAATATTACTGTCTTACATCTTTATCTTATTCCACTGGAAGGTCTTCAGGGGCATTAAAATATACAGAGCTGGCATCTCCTGTGATAACAATGCTTTCCTCAGAATACCTCCTGGATGTCTTGTCTGAGGCTGTTCTACAGTTAACTTTTCTTTTAATAGGTAGACTTCTCTATTTTTAATAGGGAGTACACACAATAATGATAAAAAAGTAACGGATAATAAATACAAACTAGTAGCAGTTGTTTATCTTCATGATCAAATATTATGTAGTATATATAATTGTATGTGCTATACTTTCATGTGACTGGCTGTATAGTCACATAGGTTTGTTTACACCAGCATTACTACAAACTCGAGTAATGCATTGCTGTATGGTTTTATGATGGCTACAGTATAATTCAGCAATAGGAATTTTTCAGCTTCATTATAATCTTATTGGACGACCATCATATGTTTAGTTCATAGCCGACAGAAGCATCATTATGCGGTGCATGACTGCACTTCTACCTAGGATCCTAAGGGAGTCTATCCATCTGAAAAACACTAAATGATATTGATAAATTCAATCTTTTTGGGAGAATTATTTAAACTTGAATTTGACCAATGCATCTGTTCTCATACTACAATTTCAATTTGTATAAAAAGCTTCTGCTTCCCGATCAGTGACCTGTTTTCTTCCCCCCACCCCCCCAACAGCTGAAAATATCTTTTAGAAAGTTTTTTCAGATTCTACTTCTATTTTTCCAAAAGAGTCGTGTCATTAATTTTGTGCTCAAAACTCCGAGTCATGAACTCTCAAGATGAAATGCAGCAGTTGTTAGTATTAGTTCTGGTTGGTAATTTTAACTTAATACTTTCTACCCCTTTGCTTCACTTTAATTTATTGTTTAATTTATTGAAACATCTATAAGCTTCTCTTTTTTCAGTCAGCTTTGCTTCGGTATAAGTGCTTCGAAGTTACAGACAGTTTATAAATTGCAAGATAATCTGTAATTTTTTAGAAAAGTAAATTCTCTCTGTGTCTGTTGCATTCCTTCTCTCTGCACTTCTATTACTTATCCCTTTTGCTACCCTGGTTATTTATTCAAGTGCACACAAGCCTCCACCATTATCCTCTTTCTACTTTTCATTTCTAGCATCAACTAAAATTGTATAGATAAATGGGAATTGCAGGCATCTAATGATGTATTATATTTTATTTATATGATGTCTGCTGTAGTATACAGCAGGTAAGGATACAGCACCATGTGAATATATGAAGTTTTTTTTTGTATCGTCCATTTTTTCTATTGCATTCTTACACCTAGTATTTTTCTATTTGCTGATAAAACAAACTCTTTATGTGCTTCTAAGACCATATAATCTTTGAAATGGTTGGATCTATGCTTCAAACTTAACAAATATTAGAATATTTCTGATCTGGCTTGTAGAAGAATAAGTAAAATATATTTGTTGATGTTTAGTCAGACAAATGCAGGTTTTCAAGAAACAGTCAGACTCAGGATCTTGGGAGTAATTCAGCCCAATAACTGAAGATCTACATTTCCCTGGTTTCACCTATTTCTGCTCATTTTCTATTAGCTTACTGAGTATATGAGTTTATTAGTATGACTGAGCCAGCACACTTATGCTTTGACCTCTACTTCTAACCTTATATTCAGCTTCCAATATAGAGTTTACTCCTTGAGGGGTAGCACTGACATTAAACATTTTGAGAATTATATCACTGACACTAACACCTATATCATTATAACTCCAAAGCTGCAATTGAAAGGTCACTGTATCACAGTAATAAGGTGGAAAGGGAAAAGATGATATCAATTTATATTGTTTAAAATTGGTTTGTTGTTGGCATAACTAAACTTTTACGACAATAGTGAATGTTAAACTACATAAACGCTTAAACAATTAAAATGCACAACATTTAACATTTAAGAAGACAGCAGGCACCAAGCAGAAATATACACAGATAGATGGATACATATATAAACCAAGAACAAATTTATACATGTTAATAAGAAGAAACTAACAATACATAACCCCATTAAGTTAGCCAAGATTAATAGCTAATGCAGAGGCTCATTTATATCTGGCTATCAACACTGCTGGAATGATATTTCAATCTAGTTCATCTTGCAACTCCTCTATAATCCACGTGATCATTTTCCATCATACTGAAAAATCTCTCCTTGTCAAAACATCCATGTAAACACAGTAGCTGTACAAAAATAAAATATTTTAGATATTTTGTCACAACGTTTGTAAGAGTCTTTATCATAGAACCACATGTATGTTTCTTCTCTAAACAGGTTCCTTTTCTTCAGTGGTTACCAGTTAATTCAATTTACTGATGTAGAACAGTGTTTCTCAAATTTCTCTTGCACCAGTTTGTATTGGGGTTATTGTGTTTAAATTTCTAATGACTCCCCAAGTGACGAAGAGGTTGCTTGTCTGGGGCCATAGTGATGAATATATTGGTAATGTAATTGTTGAGACAAGATTTAGCACTCATAAAAAGCTATAATATATAAAGTATAAATAAACTTATAAATATGATTTCTAATTTAATCCTTCTAATGTAAAAAAGTGATGGTATCCATTACTACCCACCTTTGAGGAAAAGAAAACTTTCTCGTGACTTTACTTAACAATACCAGTTTATGCAAATCACAATCTGTGATGTTTCAAAGCTATTAAATTTTATGTAAGCTTCAAGGGCCTAATTTGGAGATGCAAAACTGGACATGGTTTCTTATTCTTTGCATTCCTTTCATAAGAAACCTATTTTATCTTAGAGCCATACATATACCTCTGAATAAGTGGGGAAATTCTCTTATATAAGGGCTTTTGGAGAAGATTGATATTTTAAGATATCTTGCTATATTCATTCATAAGAAAAAGTGTGAAAGTATTTCAAATGTGAAATCAGTTACTAAAACTGGCTCAACTGATGCGGAGAACATTTAGAACAATAAAATACTTCTACTGAGAGTTTTAAAAAATCACCACATTCTAACTATATATAAGAAAACCTGTTCTAGATTGCATTATATTTTGATCATCCTCCTTTTGGAATTTGAGGCCCACTTAATACCAACATATTTTTGTATTCATTCCATAAACACTATTATTATCACATTACTATCAAGGGAAGGCCATTGTCCCTCCCGTCTCCTTTTTATTTCCTTTATCCCCAAATTGTTCTGTGGATTTTGTTATTAACATTGTAATTGCAGTGTTTCCTTCTACACCAAATGGTAACACAGCATATTCTAGAGAACCCATGATGTATTAAACAATTCTGCTTACTACTTAAAGCTTTGTAATATCTTGACAGGATATTTTAATATCTGATCCTTGCCTCCACTGAAAGAAATCTTCAGTTCCTAGGTGTTACAGTTTGTATAATTTCCCCACGTAAATCTCATGTTGAATTGTAATACTCAGTACTAGACGTAGGGCCTGGTAGGAGTGATTGGATAATGGGGGTGTATCCCTCATGACTTGGTGCTGTCCTCTTGACAGTGAGTGAGGTTTGAGGGATCTGGTCACTTAAAAGTGTGTGGCACCTCCTCCATTTCTCTCTCTTGCGCCGGCTCTGGCCATGAAATGTGACTGCTCCTGCTTCACCTTCTGCCATGAGTAAAAATTTCATCAGGCCTCTGGAGAAGCAGATGCCGGTGCTATGTTTGCTGTACAGCCTTCAGAACTGTGAGGCAACTAAGGCTGTTTTCTTATAAGTGACCCAGTTTCAGGTATTTCTTTATAGTAATGCAAGAATGGCCTAATACACTGGATATCTCTTCCACTCAAATTCTATCAGAAATGTTTACTCCTTCTTCCTTGTTCTACATGTAGGTGGTTTGACATTCACCTGGTTCCCCTCTTAAATGTTTAAATTCTTGATCCTCCACACCTGTATAGAATAATTCCGGCCTCTTGTAATTGCTCCAGTCTACTAACCTTTCAACAACACTCCCCAGAACTCATTGAAGTCCTTGGCACCCAGCCTATTCTTTTTGTTGATGTTAGTGTTTATGTGAATGACCAATGCTACACCAGAACCTCAGAATTTTAAATTTTCTCCAACTCCCTATGTCTTTCTCTGTGCTTCTTTCTATAGCCAAGACGTCATCTTGGATATTGTCACTATTTGCAACTGCTCTGTTTTAAATAAAACTTAAATGTACCTCTAACATTCCTTTTTCTAATCATAGACTTCTATTTTCCTAGATGACTTCACCTCATTTCCACTACATCTGTTTGACACTGTTATTTTATCTTTCTACTTATTGAGTTTATAAGCTCCATATAATAATAATTATTATTATTCAGCAGGGACCCTGTGACAGGTCCTTTCAAAAGCTGTGTTCTCCTTTGGGAGGTCGAGGCAGCGGATCACGAGGTCAAGAGATTGAGACCATCCTGGCTAACACGGTGAAACCTCGTCTGTACTAAAAATACAAAAAATTAGCCAGGCTTGGTTGTGGGCACCTGTAGTCCCAGCTACTCGGGAGGCTGATGCAGGAGAATGGCGTGAAGCCGGGAGGTGGAGCTTGCAGTGAGCCGAGATCACACCACTGCACTCCAGCCTGGGTGACAGAGCAAGACTCCGTCTCAAAAAAAAAAAAAAAAAAAAAAGCTCTATTCTCATCACCCTGAACCCAATCCTAAATGTGTTCACCTGGACTTTTTGGAAAGGCTCCAATAAAAGTTTAGGTCCCAAAGTTACAATATTCCTAAAACCCCGGGATATGTTAGATTATTATTATTATTAAGAAAGGTCAAATGTATTTCCAAAATTAAAGTAAGATGTTTAGTTTTTCTTTTGCTTCTAACCAAGAAACTGTGAAGAATACAAATATCTGTAATGGTTCTTCACAATTGACTGTTTTTATTTTAACATTTTAAAGTGAAATCTATGTCTTGATTTGTCATGTATGTGTTTATATGCAACTGAAAAAAATATTAACAGGTTAAATAAAACTAAAGAAAATGATATTATGATTCTTCAAGCAAACATCTCTAGGAGCTGCTGTGGTAACATGGTAGAAGGAGGTTCTTTTCTGATTGGAACACTTGGGAAAGTCTTCACAGGATAGCCACAATTTTTATTGGAACTTGAATATTGAATAAAAGAAAATCATTAAAATTCATGCAAAAGAAAACTGAAAACTAAATCAGAGGATGAGAGAAAACAAGAGAATTTGTGGAATAGTGAATACTGCCAAGTAGGTCCGCTGCAAAATAATAGCCACAGGTGCATATTATATTCAGCAGGTGGCCTCTGCCTTTCCCAATGAAAGTGGCTACCTATAGATAGGGCCCTCACTTTTCTGTTTATCAAAATCCTCTCCTCTTTTACCCTAGCCTCTTTTTAAAAAATTAATCCACAAATAAAAATTACATATATTCAATGTGTACAACATGATGATTTTATATATGTATACATTGTCTAGTGATTACCACAGTCATGTTAACATATAATTACTGCAGTCATATTAATTAGCATCACCACCCAGAATTACCATTTGTGTGTGTTTGGTGGGTGAAGGCACCTAAAATCTGCTCTTTTATCAAATTTCAAGTAAACAATATAGCATTATCTATAAATTCTGGGCCCTTGTAAGACTTGAGTACGAAAGCTTTGAAGTTGTTTGCAGGTAAACAAGTGAGAGGAGGTCGTAGCTGGGAGGAGGCCCCAAACACATGTTGGAATTTAATTGGATAAGCCTTAAACATGCCTTTAAATTTTATCCTGCAAGATAGGAAAGTGGCTTTTAGGAGGAAACACTATGCCTAGTATACCAGATACTTTCTGACCAGTACCCAGAAAGACTGTAACCTTTTTGATCTGTGTGTTATATTTATAATAATGAAGTTTAAAATAGCATTAGCCATTCAGACTGCCATGTCACAGACTTGGCTGAAACAGAACATACAGAAAATAAAGATTCCTCTGTATTTCTAATTTTAAAATCTGATTGATTTTCTGGTTATATACTTGTATGGTTTTATTTGTTTTTGTGTTACATAAAAATTGAATTTTATCCTTATATTTCATCTTTTAATTTTCAGTTTAACCAAGACTAATAAACTAATTCAGATTTTTTTAATTCAATATTTTTCATAGAAATCTACTAAGACAGTTGTAGACATTGGTCTTTTGGTATTACAATTTTCTCACCCTCCCAAATTTGTGACATTTGTCTCCTCCTCTGATTGAGGTGGTAGTAGACATTTCCCTTCTTACTAATCTTGGTACTTACAACTTCCAAACTCTACATATCTTAGTCCTAGAAATATTAATTCATGGTATAAAAAGCTAACTCAAAACCTTCTAATTACTTTTTCAGACTGTAATGTCTTAGAGTTCTTTTAAAATGTTTTCACAATGTGACCTTAAAATACCTTCTAGCTTAGACATAACACTTCAGCTTGAAACCACACTGCTTTCCAACACCAAATGCATATTTCCCCCATCTCTGGGTTTTTGATCCTTCTCTTCCCTCTATTTTGAATCATGGTTATGCTCTCCCTATTTGAGTCTTAGTCTGTAACCCATCACTCCATAAAGTTTCTATTTAACTACCAGAAGTAGTAGAGATTGCACCCTGCCTTGAAAAAATATATATTATATATTTGGAAAATTATATACATAATACATATTATATATAATTTGATACAAAGATTGTACTAATTCTCTTGAAATATTCAGTTTTTATAGAGAGATATGTTTGTATATAAAATAAAATTTTAAAATGGCTTTAATTTAGAAAAATAAATTGATTGAAAAAACAAATTTTTTAATGACAAAAATGTGATGATCATGACACTTATGAAGCAGCAAGGAATTTTCTAATAATGCATTTCAGGAGTCTGACCTGATCTTTGTTCTATTGAATAATTTACTAATATGAATCAAATCAGAGAGAACACAAAATTTACAAATGATTCAATTCTGAGGAGAATATAAAATATATTGTATAATATTTGCAGGGAAGGAAAAATTGAGAAATATGAGAAAAGAGTATTAAAAACTGTAAAATAAAATCTCATATTATACTTACTTAAAATCTCATGTTATACTTACTGGACACCCTACCATCTTTCCAACATGTTAAATTTGCTTCCTTTTCATAACCTTGACCCTTGTTTCCTTGTTTGAAATATTACATCCCAATCTCTATATGGTTAATTATCATCCTCTTGAGGTCAGTGCCTAAATACCTCATTAAGAGAGTGCAGGCCTTCTAGGAGAACCTGCTCCACACTAGCATTCACATTTACCACCTCCGCACTTTTCTAGGCCCCCTTGTCTTTCTCTATTTTTTTTTTTCTGTAGCACTTTTTAATTTTCTATAGTACACAGTTTATTCATTTGTTTACTGTATTGTCTCTGCAACATCTCCACCCTCAACCCATAGAGACACATACACACTAAATGTATGCTTGGTAAAAACAGAACTTCTGATATTTTCTCTTACTTGAAATAGTCCGCCAGTTCCTCAAAATATTAAACATGGTGTTACCTCAATACCAATAAATTCCAAACCTAGGTATATGTAGAGAGAGGTTAACATGGAAGACACGGAGACATTCAAACTGAATACCTGCAACTAGTGTGAAAACTAATTTTTAAATGTTGAAGGGATGGAATCCATAAAACTAATATTTTTAGACCTAGGGACCAGAAAAAAGAGATTATGTCTTTTTTGTGTGTGATTTGAACTTGTAAAGAATACCGAATAATTTATGATTATTATTTATTGAGAAAAACCAAAATGGAATATTAAACAAAATGATTTAGACATTTTGCTGTCATTTTTTAACCTTGTAAAACAATTTATGTAGTGCCAAGTTTATTCCTTATTTGTTAATGTGTTCTCTGGACTCATTTTAATATATTGCTTTGTACTTACATTTTTATAATTTATCACGTAATTTTGCTTTATAAGTAAGTACAAATATTTTAAATTTAATTTTCCATGAGATATTATAGTTGCTCTTAGGGCATTATTGTCAAAGACTTAGATGATTCTTTTATGAAAGAATAAACATTAATATAGTTTGTGTTATTAAACTATTGCCAAGATTTTGCAATAAAACATTAAAAAATAGTCTGTTCTTCATGGTGTTTTCTGTTGTGTTATTGACTGCATGACTTGTTGAATGAGTGTTGCAGAAATTGGTCATTTATATTGCAAACATCAGAATCAATTGAAAACCAGCTGGCTCTATGACTGCTGGTATTGTGAGAGAACACATATTAAAGTGACTTGCTTGTATAACCCCGAAAGAAATTCTAAACTGATTTACATATTTCATACCTTCTTTGTATTTATTATATTGTATGTATTTATTTTGTTTTTGATGTAAGTTTATTTTAAAGTTTGGGCTTGTATTTTGGGTGCTGTGTGGCAGAGCTACCCTTGAGGTGTTATTCAGTTTGAAAAATAATTGAGTGGTTAGCAGTATCATTGCTTCCTTAAAATAAACTGACATTTTCAGTGTAAACTTTATAAAGCTGATCAAATTACTTCTGGGATATGTTGCTAAAAACACACTTTACTAGAACTCAATATATTTCAGTGACCTTATAGAGAATAAATAAGGTTAATTTAACAATGTAATCCATTTTATCTATCTGCATTAAAAAACACCTGAAATTTTTGTGGCTTAAACCAATAAACTCTGGTCAGGAATTGAGGCAGGACTTGAGTAGGCAATATTATCCATGTGGTGGTGCCCATGGTCACTAAAGCTACTCAGTTGCTTCCTGGGCTGATCTGGAGATATGAGAACATCTTAACTCACATGCCAAGGCCTCAGCAGGAATATCTTAATAGCTAGCTCAGGTAGAATCTTCTTTTTGAATTTTCCTCATGGTTTATCTAGTAAGTATCTTACTTGCATGATGACTCAGGACCCCACAGACAAATGTTCCAAAATATAGGACACAAGACCAACCAATTTTGAAAATTATAGAGCTAGAGAACTGGTATACCATTATCGCCAAACAGGCTCTGGACTGGCAGGAAACTAGTTAGCCCATTTTTAATGTGAAGAGTAATAGAACTCAGCTTTTGACTGGACAAGTATCAAAGAATATGTATCCATTTTTACCATGAAAGTGAACTAAATTTTAAGACCCTGGACAAATGTTCCTCATGTTCCCTTTAATGTATAATCAGACTATTAAGAAATACCTCTTTTTCTCTTTGTATGACTTTTAAAAATCCATCCTTTTTTTGTCTCAGCAAAAGTTGAAGCAAAATTTTATTTCAAATCCAATAGCATGCAAACTCAGCTATTTAGGACTTCAATTTTAGAAAAAGTCAAGTTTGTCTAGACCCTGGTCAGGTTTCTAAATGAACTGTTTCATTGTTTCTGGATTAGCAGAGACCTAGGTTCGCTGTTTCAATTTAGTTGAGCTGCCCAGTTTTTATAAGAAATTCTTGATAATTCATGGGGCTTTGTGATTCTATTTGAGTTTATCTCCATGTTTCTTTGTAAAATATGACAATACTTGTCAAAACCTTGTGAACCCAATAGAGTTGGCTGAAGCTCACCAGTTTTACATTTATTTGGAAGCTTGCTTGGGCTTGACTGAACATGAAATGTCAAGCTAAATGTTCTTAGTTTAAAATGGTAAAAGTGAAAGCAAATACATTAATGCAAATTCATGTAAAGCAGACACTGTAAGTTAGTATTAACTTCAATAGCAGTTAAAATCGAGACCATCAGGAAGTGAGGAACGAGATCTAGTATAATTTCTAAAGTTGATGAAATTTGTCCTCAAAGTCCTGTTAACTCTTTCTAAATTATTTACTCTTATTTTAGCCTGGATCTCATTTATAAAATAGTCATGCTTTCCCTTCCTGTGGCCCTACATGATCTCTTACATTGACAACCTTCTCCACAAATACCCTGTGCACTGGGAATCTTCTACACCTTTTTTCTATGTTAAAGCTTAAGTGATATTTTTATTTATTTATATGTATAAGTATATATAGGTATAAGTGTATATATGTATGTATTTTATGTATATATGCTATATATTATATAATATAAATTATGCTTACATATATACATATATGTATTTTACATATATATATCTGTATGTGTGTGTGTGTGTGCATATATGTATATATATCCCACTTTGAAATGAACTGATCATGAAGACCATGAAGGACCATATCACTAATATGGTCTCACACCTTAGTATAGAATTGACATTATGATTGTCAGCAAATAGGTTTATTTTCCTTTTTATAAACTAATATAATATGTTAGTATATTAGGCACTACATTTTGAGTATTATACCTCACATAATGCACACTCAGTTCTGTCATTGTAATAATACATTAAAAAAAGACAACTGTATGGTCAATGCATAACATATTTTAAAGTAATTCTTTAAAATCATGTTAAATCTGATTGTTGAATCATTTAAATTTCATCAGAGAAACAATTAAAGCTATTGGCAAAGAAAGTAAACAAGCATATTAAAATATTAAAAGTAGCAAAAAAAGTTAAAATGATGAGAAGTTAAAATGCAAACCCCGTTTTATTATTATTTTTTATTTATTTTATTTTAAGTTCTGGGATACATGTGCAGAACGTGCAGGTTTGTTACATGGGTATATATGTGCCATGGTGGTTTGCTGCACCTATCAACCCTTCATGCATTAAGTATTTGTCCTAATGCACTCTGTCCCCTTGCCTCCCACCCTCCAACAGGCCCTGGTGTGTGATGTTCCCCTCCCTGTGTCCATGTGTTCTCACTGGTCAACTCCCACTTATGAGTGAGAACATGCAGTGTTTGGCTTTCTGTTCCTGTGTTAGTTTGCTGAGAATGATGGCTTCCAGCTTCATCCATGTCCCTGCAAAGGACGTGAACTCATTCTTTTTTATGGCTGCATAGTATTCCATGGTATATATATGCAAACCTCATTTAATTGTACCCAGGAATAAGACCTCCCTATTCTTTTAAAGTCCCACAAATATAAAGATTAAATATCGATGAGAAGCAGAAGTTTAGAAATATGTAACTCTCTGATTCTCAGAACCAGCAATAATTAAAAACAAAACAACAAGCAAAAAACCCTGAGTCAGTTATACATGTCTGCCTATTTATTATTGGTTATTGGCGTATTTTCTGTGTTACAAATCATTCTGAAATATAGGTACTTATATACAGCAACAATATGCGAGTCAGAAATTAGGAAAGATTTAACTCCAGTATTGCTTCCAAGTATCTCAGTATTGCAGTTAGACCGTGGGTAGTGTTGGAATAATAGGGGTCTGGAGCAGCTTGGGTGAGTAGGCATCTCTTTCTCTTTCAGTAGTCTCAGTAGCTCTCCACGTGTTGTGTCTGCATGGGCCAGTGTAAACTTCTTCACAGAATGCAGGCTTCAGAAGAGTTGGCAACTTTGCTCAGTGCTCCAAGAGCAGTGCTGTAGTAACCACTGAGAAAGTGCATCACTTTAATGGCCTCACCTCACAAGTCATGCAGCATCACTTCTGCTACATTCAGTTAGATGCCAATGAATCACAGATGCGTCCAGATTCAAGAGGAGGGAGCAAAAATCCCTCTCCCATTACACAAACACACATGCACAATGGGACCAATGTCAAGGCCAATTTTAAAAGGAGAAGGTGGAATGAAAGACTTGTTTTACACAGTTTTGAAATAGGTATGATGAAGAAGGAAGTGAAATATTGATCTTCAAAGATATCGATGAGAAGCAGGAGTCTAGAAATATTTAACTCTCTGCTGCACAGAACCAGTGATAATTAAAAACAAAACAAGCAGAAAACCCTGAGTCAATTATACACTTCTGCCTATTTATTATAAACTATTCCCCTTATTGTTAATAATGACTGCACTCTAAATCATGCCATAAGTTTTTTTTTCCCCAAAGTTTTTTTCTTTGTTATTCTTCTAGGCACATTCTATAAAGTGTCTCACCGTGTGTTCAGCAGGTTGGCATTCTTTGTGAAAGGGTGAACCTGACCTTAGAGATAGATAAATTCAGGGAAAAGTCAGTAAGATCTTTGGTCTTCCTCTAGACTCTATGTCAAAGTAATGTCTCGGTAGCTCTTTCATCTTTATTAGAGTATTGCACTCTAATATTATTAGTATCATTCTTAGTGTTGTTGTTCTTGTTATTATTATTGTACCTATATTCCTCCCTGGGCTGTCAAACTTTAAAATATAAGAATTCTACATTTGTATTCATTGTATTTGGTCAACTATTACATAAGTGAAACATACAACATTTTTCTTGTTAAGAAAGACTGTTAGCATTTTTTTCAATATCTTTCACAAAGCCACTTAAGCATGCAATATAGGGAATTTCATTTGGTCAGTAATTTCCATTTGAGCAGGTACAAGATAGAGCTGTCATGAGTTTACATCTTTTATATTATCTGACTACTACAAAGGAATAGTTGAAGTAACTGTAGATAATAGCTTAGCCAGCAAGTTTTCCAGAATTGGAGTTTAAAAAAAAAGAAGGACGTTTGCCACTCTTTTATGTTCTGCATACTACCTTAATTTAATTGCTCTTCGTGAGTTCTAACTTCAATCTCTGGAATTTTGCTTTTGATTTTGTCTTGTCTTTCTCAATTTAGTCATGACTTTTTGAAAACCATAATCCAAGATAATTCTTTTCTTTCATTTTATAGCTATGCTAAAGGATATGGCATGACTAGATATCATCAAAGAGTGATATTTATCTTTGACTAAATAACTCAAAAAATGACAAAAGGAGGAAATATTTTATCTATGAACAAAAAATATTTAACCAAGCAGTCATTCTAAATAAATGCCGACAAATCCCCAGTCTTGTTAAACTATTCTCAATTGTGTGACGTATCAGTAGAGCACAGAATTTAGAATCATCTACAATATATTTGAAAGATACAATCTTTTACTTCTTCAAAGAGGTTGCAAGGAAGTTGCGTGAGTACTGAAAATAAATTGTAAACCAGGAACTGTTTAGCAAATCACATAGCTTCTAATTATTTAAACTAAAGTAGAGAAGACCAGAGTGAGAATCAATAAACTATCACTCAGCATTTTAAAAATGTTTATCAATCAGTTCTCTGAATATATGAATATATATTCAGATTGAATATCTGAATGACTGAATATATGTTAATATTACGTTGGGGAAAGAAAGTAAAATATGACATTCTAAAACCACAATGAAATCTTTAGGCAGGTCACACTGATATTCCTGTCATATTGCTGATTCTCTTAGTGTGATTGATCAGTCTAATTTTCTGAATACATCAAAACGAGACAGATAAAATTAAACAAAATAGCACTGATGACACAAAATTGTCAAAAACTGGTATTCAGACACACCCCACTGTGACACTGAGAACCACATCTTATTTAATCAAGAGAAAAAGACAATCAGGCACTTATGTTGTTCATTCAAAAAGCCTGCTTCTCTTGCTTCCAATTATCCCATTCTAAGTTTCCATACATAATGATTCCAAGCCAAACTCAACTTATCGTGCTGATACAACATCCTTATTAAACACAGAACATAAGGATATAACATTAATACATCTTGGCACAATAAATCACTTTGCATTCCTGTTTGCCCAGGCACTCATATCTTGAGCCATCTTTCTTTACACCATGAAGTCTAGCAGAATTCCCCATCTATACTCTAGTATAAGTTACACTATTATTTTATTTTGGCACCTTCACTGATTCCAGAAGTATGCTTAAAGACATAAAAATTGAATTGTAGGCTTGCTTATCATCTGCATTAAATGTATAGTTAAAAGTGACTGATAATTAAAACATTAATTGTTCATATGAAAGCCACCAATCTGAAGGTTCAATAAGGAATGTAACAAAGTCAATTTAAGAGCCTAACTCTTAAACTAGATGAATACACTACCGCATTTTAAAATCTCATCAAACTTTTTTATCCCTTAAGATCACATTAAACTGTGTGCATGCATATGTGTGTGTATTGATGAAGAAAGGAGCATCTAGTAATTTTCTTCCCATGAGATACGTAATTATTGTGCAAAATGCATATGACTCGGCTGGTGATGTGTATACAATATTTACTAACCTCACTCCACTAGATTACACGTAATTCCTTGTCTACTTCTTAGTAAAAAAAAAAATAGTAAGGATCAGATGACGTTTACCTACAATCATTATCAACATATACTAGGTTATCATTTTTATATTAGCTACAAAATAATTGAAAAAATATTTTTACAGTTGGTCTCCGAGAAGTAGAAGGATTTAGATGTAAATACAGTTTACTAGGGATAAGGGAGGAGACTGGGAGGGAGTGCTCAGAGAGAGACAGAGAAAAGAACAGTCCAAAAAAGAATAATCCTATCTGCTATACTGCCTCTCAAATTCAAACTTTCTCAAAAACGTTGCCTCAAAAGGCACATTTTGTTTCTGATTACTGCCTGCCAGCAAAGGCTGTGTGCTCCTGAGCAAGGCTGAGGAATTTCTTTCACTATTAATCTTTCATCCTAGAACAGACAACCATCTGTTTTAGAAAGTTTAGCAGGAAGCACTTACTCCAGTTATGAAAAACAAAAGAAAATAAAACTTGCCTTTAAAAAATTTTTGTCTGCCTTTGGTCTATAATTCCATTACCTTTTTACACCTAACAGCACAGGAGAGAACAAAGTTATAGACCCACCCTCAGGGCTGGGTTCAGGGCTCTGGCACTTTGAATTTATTCACAACTTCAAAGTATCTAGAATAACTCCTGTTCAGTTATCGCATGTGTGTGTGTTTGTGCATATGTCTCTGTTTCAACCACCCTCTGTTGCTCAGGCTTTTTGTATTAAAACAATCATCATCCATCAGTCTTTCCTCTAGTCTGAGTTATATGATGCAGAAGAATATTCACTCTGCTCTTATCATCCTCAGGAACAAACATTCAGATGGGATTGCCTTCCCCAATGACCCATAAAACATTGCTTCCATTATTATCTCTGTGTAGGCATTTGAATGTGAGGTATGCCATTTTCTTTGTTTTATTCATAGGCACATTTCAAAATGCCAATCAAAATCACTGGAGAAACTGCTCCTGTTTGGGGTGAAAATGATGGTCCTTGACAGTATTTCAAATTTTTGGTCATGTTCCTCAGTGATACATTTTTATTTCTCCTTAGTCAGAATAACAATTTGTAAAACCAGTGTTTTTAGCAAATGAATTCAGGCTTTGTTCTGAAATATGTTAGAATTTACACTTTAAGAACTACATTAAGTAATGTATTATGTGTGATACAGCCCTATCACCATATTTAAAACAGCTTTGTAACATTTTAAATGGTTACCATTTTTTTGCTGTTTTTTCTATATTATAAATTGTTTTTTCTATATTATAAATTGTTTTAAATAAGATCTTAGTATATTAGTCATTAATAAAGAATATGTTTTTCCATTTTCTTTCAAAAACAATTTTCAATTATTTGAGCTGCAGAAATGGAATTAGAATTATGTGTCTCGGAAATCCAATATCTTTCAAAGGAAGAAACAAAGAATATGGGGTTTGAATGCGTAACTTTAGTGGAATTAAACCCTTTCAATTATTTGATTTGTGCCCGTGGACCAGTCTTTTCATTCTCACTACTGTAGTTTTCTCCTGGATAGAAGAGAGCTAATACCACACCTATTACTAAAATGCCCAGCATTGCCCGCATGTAGTTCCCAGACAACTCGCTCTTTGCTCCCTTCTGCTTCCCTGCACACACCTCAGTGTAATGGTGACAATCTAGTGGAATTATATACACACAAGAGCGTTTTATACACATTTTAATTTGTGTTAGGCACTACACAAATTAAGGAACCTTAATTCAATCAAAACTTTTGCATTAAGTAACTTATTGAACTCACTAGAGATGCAGAATTAATTTTCAGTTTACAGGGGTAGGATTTAAAATTATTCCATTAACATTATTAAATAAAAATATAAACAACTTTTCCTTTCTACTACAGAAGAGGTTTCGGCTTTTAACCTTCAACTTTTGTTATAATAGTTGAATAGTTTTAATGCTTGTACTTATTCTGTTTAAATTTTGATGTTTAATCTTATGTGATCAAATCAAAAATGTCATTTGAGAAATGCTAAAGTATATAATCACTTTAATGTAAAGTCATATTATACTTTGAGAATGGTCTAATTCATCTAACTCATTTTTCAGGTAGGGAAACTAAGATGTAGAATTATCAAGGAAGTACATGGAGTCCTTCAGAGTAAAACCATTAGAGGAAATTTTTAAAAAATTGTTTTTTAGCTAATGAGTTGACCTAGGTCCAGAGCCCAGCCTATTGATTGAGTGTTTTTTTTTCAGCCAATACTTCACAGCTCACACACACAAGGTTGTAACATATTTTGAAGGTAAAAATCAAATCAAAACAAAATAAGATGATCATGTATTTAATCAACCTAAATTAATAGCTTCACAAGTCATATGTATGTTTCTACTCTGGTTGTGTAATATGACCACTAAAATAAAGGCTTACAGTGACATTTAAAAGCCAAGCAGGACTGAATTTTATATCTACCCTATATCTACCTTATAATTCTACATCTAGCATCTTGTTAAGTAGAGATTAAGTATATTAAGACACATAGCAAGACAAACACATTTTATGTACATCCTAATAAATAGGAATTTTGTGGGTGGACAGTAATGCAATATTTTATGAAAGTTTACCTAAGAGAGCTAAAGGATGAAGACTGCAGCTAGAGTTAATATCTCTGAAACAGAAGAAATTTATAACAGAAGAGATTTCCTGAGAAATCTCTTGGAAACAGCACGTTTTCAGGTAATTTCTCTATCAGGAGTGGTAATTATGTGGTTTTTGCTATTACTTTTAGTGGCAAAACTGCAATTACATTTGCACCAACCTGATATTGAAATGGTATTATTGACAACAGTCATAGTGACTTATTTTTCATACAAGTGAATAATCGCCAGAGGAGCTTTTCTGGAAATGCTTCCTGTTGCCCATCTGAACTACAATCTAAGACTAAAACAGGCTCCTCTATGAGAAACACAAGACCACTACACCAACACATCTGTTGACTGGCCCACGTATCATTACTTCTTCCTTCCCTGCTCAGAATTCACTGTCTTTGAAAATGGCATGATAAAATCATTACACCTGTGAATATCACAGAGGACACATGAAAAAAAAATATGGGGAAACTGGAAGGAAAAGATTAAACTTTTAAAACAGCATTGGAAATAAGAGTCTTTCAAGCAAAAAGCACTGCGAGAAATTTGGGGGAAGCATGGAATTGTAAGATTAACTGGGAAATGACAAGTAAAGCAGTATTCTTTACTTATTGGACATGAGAAAGCTAGAAATTAAATAACTGGTCCAGTGTTTCCCATATAGTATATCAGATAAGACTGAAACCCGTTTTCCTAATATCTTGTCTATACCGTTTGAGCTATTTTGTACTCCAAGATGCTCTATTGAAAAATTGCATCAATCATTTGTGTACACTTTTAGGAAAATGTCTTAGGCATGGTTTCATTGCCTATTTAATTAGAATTATTTTTAAAAATGTTCAAAGTAAAATATCTTCTTTCGTCTCTATAACAAAGATTGTGTTGCTGTTCTTTGTTTATTTTTTATTGTGGCTAAAAAAACATCAGATCTGTTTTTTGTTTGGCTAACTGTATGTGTGTTGTTGTGTAGCAGATTTCTAGAAACTTTTTATCTTATATAACCAAAACTCTATACTCATTGAACAGCAACTATTTCCCCCTTCCTCTAACTCCTGACAACCAAAATTCTACTTTCTGCTCCTATGAATTTGACTATTTTAGATAACTCATGTAAATGGAATCATGCAATACTTGTCCTTCTATTACTGTCTTATTTTACTTGGCATAGTATCCTCAAGATTCACCCATGTCATGATATATGTTAGAATTTCCTTCTCTTTTAAAGCTCAATAATATTCCATTGTATGTATATACCACATTTTCTACATCCATTTATCCATATATGGACATTTACATTTTTTTCTGCTTTGTGGCTATTGTGACTAGTTGTGCAATGAATATGGGAGTGCAAATATTCCTGTGAGATAATTTTTTCAATTCTTTTGGTTAAAAATCTAGAAGCAGGATTGCTAGATTATACAATACTTCTATTTTTAATTTTTGAGAAAGCAAATACTGTTTTCCATAGCAGCTAGCTGTGCCATTTTACACTGTCACCAACAGGGCACAAGGTTTCTAATTTCTGCACATCCTAGCCAGTATTTTTTCTCTGCCTTCTTGATAATGGTCATCCTAACAGGTATGAGCATGAGCTGATATTGTGGTTTTGATTTGCGTTTACCCAATGATTTAATGATGTTTAGTATCTTTTCATATACATGGTGGCCATTTGTGTGTCTACCATGGAGAAATGTCCATTGAAGTCATTTGCCCATTGTTAAATTGTTTTTTAATTGCAATTGAGTTGTGGAAGTTCTTAATAAGTTTAGGATATTAAACATTTATCAGATATACAGTTAGCAAATATTTTTACCATTCCATAGGCTGTTTTTTACTCCATTGATTGTTTCCTTTGTTTTGCAGAAGCTATGTAGTTTGATGTAGAACCACTTGTGTATTTTGCTTTTGTTACCCATGTTTTGGATACCATATCTATTGGGGGAGCTCGCCCCCAATATTTCAACATAGGTTCTTTCTATTTTCCATAAGTGTTGGCTGGCTGAGAACTAGAGATAGTATAAAGAGAGGAATTTTACAGCTGGGCCGCCAGGGGTGATATTACATATTGGTAGGATTGTGATGCCCACCTGAGTCTCAGACCAGCAAGTTTTTATTAAGGGTTTCAAAAGGGGAGGGTGTGTAAGAACAGAGAGTAGGAACAAAGATCACATGCTTCAAAGAGCAAAAAGCAGAACCACTGATAAGGCTCTAACAAAGATCACATGCTTCTGAAGGAACAGGGCAAAGGGCAAAAGCAGAACCACTGATAAGGGTCCAACAAAGATCACAGGGCAAAGTGCAAAAGCAGAACCACAGATAAGGGTCTATGTTCAGCAGTGCACATATTGTCTCGATAAACGTCTTAAACAACAGAAAACAGGGTTCCAGAGCAGAGAACCTGTCTGACCACAAATTTACCAGGGTTGAGTTTTCCCAACCCTAGTAAGCCTGAGGGTTCTGCAGGAGGCCAGGGCTTATCTCAGTCATTATCTCAACTGCACAAGACAGGCATTCCCAGAGTGGCTGTTTATAGAACTCTCCCTAGGAATGCATTCTTTTCCCAGGGTATTAATATTAATATTCCTTGCTAGGAAAATAATTTAGTGATAGTTTTCCTACTTGCATGTCCATTTATAGGTTTTTTGCAAGAAGAAAAATATGGCTCTTTTTGCCTGACCCCACAGGCAGTCAGACCTTATGGTTGTCTTCCGTTGCCCCATAAAAATCGCTGTTATTCTGTTCTTTTTCAAGGTGCACTGATTTCATATTGTTCAGACACACATGTTTTATAATCAATTTGTACAGTTAACACAATTATCACAGTGGTCCTGAGGTGACGTACATCCTCAGCTTATGAAGATAAAAGGACTAAGAGATTACAGTAAAGGCCAGGTGGGGTGGCTCACACCTGTAATCACAACACTTTGAGAGGCTGAGGCAGGCAGATCATGAGGTCAGGAGATCAAGACCATCCTGGCTAACATGGTGAAACCCTGTCTCTACCAAAAATACAAAAAATTAGCCAGGTGGGGTGGCAGGCGCCTGTAGTCCCAGCTACTCAGGAGGCTGAGGCAGGAGAATGACGTGAACCTGGGAGGCGGAGCTTGCAGTGAGCCGAGATAGCGCCACTGCAGTCTGGCCTGGGTGAAAGAGCTAGACTCTCCGTCTCAACAACAACAACAAAAAAAGAGATTAAAGTAAAGACAGGCATAAGAAATTATAAAAATATTATTTGAGAACTGATAAATGTCCATATTAAGATGAAATCACAATTTATGTTCCTCTGCCATGGCTCCAGCCAGTCCCTCCATTCAGGGTCCCTGACTTTCCATAACACACATCCAGGAAAACATTGCCAAAACTAAGGCCAAGAAGCTTTCCTCTTTTGTTTCCCTCTAGGAGTTTTAGGGCTTCAGGTCGTATGTTTAAGACTGCAATTCATTTTGAGTTTTGGGGTATGGTGTAAGATCAGTGCCCAATTTCATTCTCTTGCATGTAAATCTCTAACAATGTTTTGCATAGTAAGTGAACACAGTAGTTGCAACATGGTTTGAAGTCATTATATTTAAGTAAAGTACACATTATTTTTATGAGGGCTTTCTCCCAGTGCATTGCCCAAACAAAATGTATAGAACCATATTCAAAGAGAACTTAAAATGTGTGTACCATACTCTATGAGAGGTCATTCTTTTCTTAATATAGCTGCTTTTATAATGAAAAACTATGTAGAAATGAGAATGGGGAATTCAAAATGTAACTGAAGCAAGTGTGAAACAAAGTTTGAACACTGTTTGGCAGTACCTTAGTTGTAGAGAAAGTGTAACACAGCTGCCAGAAGTATAGTATTAATAGAATTATAGTATTTAGAGTGGGATATTGATAGCTAATTTGTACTTTAATTTTCAGGCACTATATGTTAAAAGAGATGTAGACAAATTAAAATCTGGTCAGTAGACAATGAGAATAAGAAAAAAAATCATATCATAATAGAAAATGCTCTAGAAATTGACTTCTTTTTACTCTGGGGAAGAGAAAAATCAGGAAAATGTGGTGAGACACAACTACTTGAAATGCTATTATAAGGAAAAATAATAAGACTTCCTCTTTTAGAGGCTGAATCAGAAGAAATTAGTAAAAAGTGCATTAAAAACTGTGAATTGATGCATTACAGGATACATTTTTATGAGTATAGATTATTAGAATGTTTACAAAAGGATAATCATACATTTCTACTTGATAGTGTGTTGTTCAGATGGTCACTTCTATACTTAGTCATCAGATTTGTTCCTTGTTATTTGTGTTAGGTTATACATTAATTGCCAATTAATTACTACCCAGTCAATCATATTGATGATGTAGCAACCTGAAATGAACATTTAGCAAAAGGAAATATCTTGATGGATACTTTGTGTTCTAGTTATTTATATTATTTAGAAATGGGTTGTGTCAATAATTTCTGTATATTACAACACATTTCTATATACTACTTGAATATAAAATTCCCAATAATACCAGTATTATTTCTACTCCTAGTAGAATTCCAGTACAAATCAAATAGCACTAGATGTAGATTCTAAAATCTGTCTCAAAGATAAGGCTGTATGTTGAAAAAACACACAAATCAATGGAGCCTCAATAGTTTAATGTGCAATGTGATGGTTTCTAGTTTGTGTTGATGCAGTTACTTTTTGTTTCATCACAATTCTTACAATGAACAGTGCTTCTATAATTTAGGTAATTCCAACCCCAGCATAATTTGTCTCAATAAAATGGAGCAGAGAATTGAGACAACAGCAAATATAAGGTCTCAGTTTTTTGTGTAATTTCATCACCATTTCCTGTGCTAGGGACCTCATTTTATGAGAGACAGTTTGATGGTGGAGTATCTTTTCTTTCAAAATTACTTTTATTTTATTCTTAGTGTTTCTTATGTTTTAATCACTCTTAAATTTGTTCATGACCATAAAAAGAGAGCACGAAGATGCTAAGTATACAAAATGACATTGGGGGAATAATGTTTATAATTCCACTCTTATTTCCATTTTTATTACATGAAATGCCTGAGTGTCCTTCCAACAAATCCTTTTTTTTCCCTCTTAAGTAGGTTTGAATTTGTGTTTCTCTCATTTGCAACTCGGAGTACAGATAACATAATTATAAGAATAAAGGTCAGAGGGATTATAAAAGAGGGGAGTGATAAGGCTCTGAAGTGTAGCAGCAGAAATAACATTCTTGTAATTTTCTTCAAAAGAAATACTTTGTTGGAACAATTGATAAAAACTAACATACTTAGGAGAACCAAATTCTCATTAATATGCTAGTATCACATTGGGGAGAATTATAGGATAAAACACAGTCCAGAGTAGCAGATTCACAAAACACATTTAAATTCATTAAAATTCTATTGAGTTTGCATTGTTGTTGTCTTGGCTACATGATGCCAAATGATGACTTTGGCTGAATTTTAAATCTTTGAATATATTATTTTGTTCCTGGGTAGATATAAACTTCAGAAGATGCTTTATTAAAGACATTCTTTAAAGTACTAAATTTAAAATGTACTAAAAATTTCCTATTGACATGACAGTATTATATTAACTTAGGGTACTAGTTTAGAGCTCAGCTTGTTTTGGCTTTCTTCCCAATAACAATGTTACCAGCGAACAAGATCATTCAACAGTCAACAACTTTCATTCAACCCAGAAGTCTGCAAAATGTTTCTGTAAAGGACACATAAATATTTTAGGCTTTGCAGGACATAGGGTCCCTGTCACAGTACTAGATTCTGTTGTCATAGTGGGAAAGAAACCATAGACAACACTTAAACAAATGAGCTTGGCAGTGCTCCAATAAAACTTTATTTATAGAGACTGAAATTTCAGTTTTCTATAATTTTTATGTTTCCAAACATTATATTTTTTGATTTAAAAACAAAATTAAACATATACAAAGCGTTCTTAGTTTAGAATGTGACAAAATAATAAAATGGACTGGGTGTGGCTTGCAGATCATAGTTAGCCAGTCAGTAATAGACAGTTCTAAAAAACCAAAAACTGATTAGCTATTTGTTATCCATTTTTTAGATATGGTTTTTAGTCCCAAGATATCTTAAAGAACTTGAATAAAATTGCTTCATAGTTATATAATGTATTTAGGTATATTTGTTTCTTCTTTTACCAAGTATTTAGCATACAACACATAGATGTAAAAAAGGGCATATAAGTTAGTTTGAAAAATATCAATTCTGAATTTGCTAACTCTATTTAAATATTTTTCTGCAGTAGTTGTTTTCCTAACTCTAATAAGGACAGCATTCAAACATCTCTGTTATGGGCTTAATCACCTGACAACATATGCTTTTCTGGCCTAAAGCGAAAGTTCCAAGAATTTTTCTAAGTTAATTTATTTGGTTCTAGTACACTTTTTATTTTTAAGCTTTTGTTTCTTTTGCCTTTTATCCCAGTGTTGTTAACATGTCTAGCTGCAATGCAGGTACTTAGAGCACCATCTAGAGATGAAAAGTTAAAATTAACATAAAAAAAGAAGACCTAGAAGCAGTGTAACCAGAAGATGACTTTGCAATTTACAATTAGCGTGCAAATTATATTTTCAAATGATTGGTTCTAAGAAAGTCACACATTCCTAATTGAAAGCAAATACTTGTTTAATGTTGATGCTCTGCATGACTTTTCCAAAAATACATTGAATAGCTTCAAACTATAATTTGCATTCCATGCAAATAATTAAGATAATGAATAGATTACTGTGTATTTAATCATATTCATATAAACCTCTTATGTTGAGTAGATATATTTTAAGAAATCTCCTAAATGCCACACATATAAACATAAAAATACAGAGCAATGTAAATTGACATGAAGCATCTCTTTCCTTAAGCTCAAATTAATTTATTTATTATCATATATATAAACATAAATATATATATTTTGCTGACTATATGGAAGTATACTCTAGTTTTATGAATATAAGCAGTACTTATTTTTTTAGTTTGCAGAATATAATAAAAGATTTGCAAATACATAAGGAGTTTAGTTGAATTTCCCTATTATATAAACATCTTGATTCACAATGAATCAATAATATATCTATTGTTCTATTAATTTACTTGATAGCAAAGAGATTGGGCTTATTTTCTCAATTAAAAAGCTAAATGAAAAAGGAATACTATTATTTTAAAATAATATCTATATTGAAATAGATTATGTTGGTCCAATCAAAATAATACCTCTCTAATTTTGACATTTCAATTCCCTTGTTTCCTGGAAAATCAGTTTTGTTCCCAGAAATTGCCAAGATATTGGTAGTACTTGTTGGGAACATAAATGACAGTCTAAACTGAGTCCCTTTTGCCACCAGTTTATAGGGTGTCTATTTTGTCTCAGTTGTACATAAAATTTTATGTATCATCAATTCCCCTTTCGGTTTATCCAAAAATTTACAAAGTAAAAAATAAATTTACAATTAATAAATATGGGAAGTAAATCATTTAAATTATATGATAACAGACATGCATCCCAGGTGTATCTGGCTTCAAAATAAGTTATCTTTCCATTTTTCAGTTCTGCAAGGTCCTGGAACAAGGTCAGAGTCCTGTTGAATGTGTAAAATAAACTGATGCTAAGAAATTCATCATACAAATTGGAAGTCAGATTACCAGAGATCTAAGCCCAGGATACTCTTGCCATTGGCAAGAAAAATTTACAGAAGTAGCTAAAGCTTTCTAAAGCATTATATACTCATTTATAACGTGGGGATAGTAATCCAATTTTTAACAGTTATAAGAGAAGTAAATGTAAACTATTTGATAAACACATGGTGGAAATAGATTGATATTAATTTAATCAATGATGTGGGAAAATAAGCAGAGCAGGGGTCTCTTAATTATCTGAGTGCTGTAAACCAGAACTTGGATTGGTAAACATACTTTGATTGCATGGTAGTTGATTAAAAGGAGGGAAAAAGCAATTCAAAGAAGGAAGAGACTGTTGAGATCATCCCACATTACCTATTCTTGTTGTTGATCAGAAATCTGAGATCCAGAGTGGAGGCACGACTTTTCTAAATCTCAGTAAGTGCCAGGGGGGAAGATGCATCTCTCTTATTTAATACCCCACCAAGTTTTCTTCAACTCCATCATGTGCTTTTTTAACTTAAACATTTAATGTAAATAGACCAAAATCTATGCCTTTTTAAGTCTGAGTACATTCTTGACGTTTCTCCTCAGATAGAAATGCACTGGAAGTAAGTGTGCTATCACTTTAAGACTTTTCAAGGTAGCCCAGAATTTTAGACAAGTTCCTGTTCTGCCTTCCCATCATAATCACTAAATACTTAGTATTCAGATAACCACTGCCTGAGGGTCTTCAGTTTCCAGCAGTAGATTTTACCTTCCTGGTGTGCAGATGCTTTTCCAAACATATGGATCACATGAATAGTAGAGTGTGCCCCTTCTCTACCCAAAAGCAAATGCAAATTCTATATAATTTCATTTTTACATTTGGATATTTTTATCTTTAAAGATTTGTATTTTATAGCATCATATATAAAATTAGTTTACGAAGGTTTATTACAATCACAAAATAAATGACACATGAGAAAACGGAATAAAGAATCTAGATATCAGAATTGAAAATGTTAGCTTTGTTTTCTGACAAGTCTGTTGCTGTCTAAATGATTGAACAGACGTGTGATCTTGAGGTAGAGGAAGGGGAGAATCGGAAAGATACTGATTTAAATGCCTGATTCCTCATTTGGGGAATTTATGTTTTTGAGTCAGTTGCTTAATATATCTGAACCTCAGATTCTACACTTATACATTTAATACAATATCTGACCTACTTAAATCTCATGTTAAATTAGAGACTCAAATTAAATACTGGATTAAAAGATACCTAATATTTTTGAGACCTAAAACTGTATATTTATTACTTAAGTCATTCCACTTCTGTATACTTTAGTTTTTCAGCAACTAATTTAAGAATAGCACATTCTGTTTATAGAAAAGACAAAGAAAAATGACGTACTCTGTGTGAGAGAGACAGTCAATGTAGATCCAGGATTTCACCTTGAATCACTCTCAGAGTACAATAGAACTGAGGCTGCAATAGCAGTAAAAGATCGTCTGGGTGGGGGGTGGTGGGGAGGTCTGGTGTGCAAATCTTTAGAGACTGTTTTAAATGAGAACTTTGGGCAATTAAACACAGTTTCAGACAAGGTCAAATTTTTCTTTGTTAATTGCAAAATTAAAAGACGTCAAGCAGAATTTCCCTTAGAGGTTGCAATAATGAATAAGGTTAAAGCTCTAGTTGTTTATCATTTTGGTTTAACTCTCATTATAGAATATGGAAAAGAGGAAAACTGACAAGAAAGAAAGATTCTCCTCTACTCTTTCTATCTCCCTAATGTGAATAAGGAGAAAAAGACAATTTACCCATTTGCCCTTGCAAAATAGAAGCAGTTAAAGACATCTTAACTTAGCAGTTACCAGAATAGTTTTACAAACTTTTCTCTCTTAATAATTTGCGATTAATAGAACACTCTGAGAGTTAAATTATAAAACCAGTGTGAAATGAATCAAAGAAAAGATATTAAGGCCACCAAAAATTGCCTCTTAAGCCTTTAAAATTAGAACTGGATCATAACTTGATGTTGATATTTAAATATCTAAAAAGAATACTATGTTGGAAATGTATAAAATAGAGAATAATCACAAATTCTTATATTACCTACTGAAAAATTGTCTAAGAAAAAATGGGTTCTGATCCAAAGGTTAGACTCTTCTGGTTCCAAATGTATCTCTACTATGGAGAAATTAATATCAAGATATCTTAGGCAGCTGAAAATAAAATTGTCAAATCATACTTCCTTTTAAGAAAGGCAATGTAACATGTTGCATATTAGTAGCGATTCCCAAACCAGATTACTGGAATTCAAATTCTGGCTCCTCCAATTATCTAGCTATTTTACTGGAAATTAACCTCTCTGACTTTTAGTTTCCTCATCTGTGAAATGAGGTTACCAAGAATATCTTCCTCATGAGATTACTGGGAGAGTTAAATTAGATAATGCCAGGTGAAGCACTTAAAACAATACTTTACATGTAAATGTATGTACATAGTAGGTGTAATTTGACTTGCCTGTAGAATTTCTGTGGGGAAAGATGAGCTTAGTCATAGAAAATCCCTCTTGTCCTGATGTCAGCCATATTTCTCACACTAAAGGAAATATTTCCACTTTCTGTGTGCTTACCTAACCTGAATGCATCTCTCACAGACAGATTCACACTCCAGGGCCAATTGCTGGCAAAGCAGATTTCTTAGCCTTTAAACTAAGGGCTAGTTTTAGACTGTGTTGAATTGAACAAGGTAACAGTATTCTGGGAGATCAGCCAGGATTCTCTGTGAAGTTCCTCTTCATTTCAAATGTAAGCTTTCTTTGAACTACATTAGGCCACCTGAGTCTCCTTTTACAGATACCTAGTCAGAGAGAAATAAGAAATAGATTCTTATGCCAGTTTACTTTCTGTTGACACAGATAATGTCCAGTAAAACCTGCTTCACAATCAGAAGTAAACACGATAAATACTCAATTCCAAAAGACATCTGACAACATCAGAATTTTTCCCTTGTAGTACTTGGTTTCTACCTTTGCTTTATTTCTGTTGCCAGATTACATATTACTTTTAATTTCTTTTTACAGTGACTTTGATTCACATTGAAATAAGTGAATCAGCAAAAAGGAATTCCTTTTATTTTTAAGTATTAGAAATCTCATTATTGGAAATCAAAATATGTAGATAGATAGATTTAAACATTCTCAACAGGCATCATTTTATTAGTTTTTTTCATCCACTGTCAAATTGGATTTATTTTGCTATATTTCATAATCATAATATTTATCACTAATTTGTTTATCTGTGTATTTATCTACCATTTATTTATCACCTCTCTTCCTCCCTCCATCCATTATCTAACTGGTATCAAAATAGCTGATATAATTACAACAAAAACAAGAAAATAAAGTATATACAGATTCATTATAGCTTAATAAAAGTACCACTTGGTTTTTGAAACACTAAAAGTAGCTACCTTCCTGGTTTTCATGAGGACAGGGATTTTGGAATCTGGGAAAACAGTGTGTTAAATTTATGATGTGCATTTTTTCTCCACTTTTCAGCATTATTCTTTGCTTCTGTTTGCCTTAAGATAGAGGAGATATTTTTATGTTTGATAATATTGATATTATTATTTAACTAATAGTTACCAAAAAACAGCAAAATACTCTGTAAAAAATGATTTTGTATGATAGTTTATTCAAAGAATGGCAGAAAGTATCATATCAGCCATCCACAGTATTTACAGACTGAAGCCATATTACTTTTTTTTCAAATGTTAGAAAATACATCAGTGAATCAGTATATAAATAATCCAAAACAAACTATATTTTCAAGATATCTTATTTTGGTGAGTGAATATATCAAGTTTTTATTTATTCTTTTTTTATCCAACAGGTTCCCCTGGATATAGTGATTGAATGTCAGTTATGTTCTACAATGTGCATGCATACTGAGGAATAAGCCATGGTCACTACCCTAAAGAGGCTCATATTCTAATAGGAGAAAGAATGAGGTAATGAATAGCTCAATGGCAAGTGCATTACACAGGCTTATAAAAGTAATACAGTGTTGTCTCAGAGGAGTAAAGCATCAGTTACTCTGAAGTTAGGGTCAAAATTAATAATAGAGAATTGAAAGTGGATCAAGCTGAGATATAATTTTTTTTCTGTTTTAAAAACTCTTCAACCAAAATATGTCCATATGTCTTCTCTTAATATTCTATCCAAATACTGATTTTTTTTTCCTCTCCTTATGGCTTGCTTTTGGTATATTCACTCCTACATTTACCTTTTTTTTGGTACAGTTTCCCAATAATGTTTGTCTTCATGGCTGTAGCAATTCCAGGATTTTTATCTGCACATGACCACATCCAAAAGAAAAGTGTTCTCTGACTCTCTTTGAAGAGTGAGATGACTTCTTCTCCAAAAATATCCATCAAAGTTCTCCTCACTTCTGATTTTTAAGATTTGGATCATTTTTATGAGCCAATCTGTTTTGCAAGCACTATGCCACGCAACAATCTGCCAGACCTGTGTGCAGAGTGAGTGAAATTAACTTTATTGGGTTCAGATAACCATGGCTCCTTTCAGCAGCTGAGAATGGGAACATATTTCAAACAGACTTGGAGTATTGGAAGCAATGTCAGAAAGACAGTCATAATATCTATCACAGAGGACAGGTAGGTAGATTTGGTGTAATCTGTTGCTTAATGGTAATTGATAAGGCCCATGGTGACTTCAGGGAGCACAATTTCTGTAAAATAGTATGTTTTTAGACATGCAGAAAAAAGGAATGTGAGAAATTGGAAATAATTATTTCACAAAGCTAGTCTGTAAAGAGGGAAGAAAAAGCAATAACATACATGAACATCAAAAAATGCTAAATAAAAAAGATGACAAAGAAAATGTCTTTGTTAAGTGAAAAAAAGAAATAAATAATTTTCTATGTCTGACATTATATATGATCACCAGGACAAAAGCATAATATTGAAATAAAATAGCAACAAATGAATTAGCATATTTTATTCTGCTATAAGTTTAAAATGTAATTTGATAAACATTATTTTAATTATATATTAGAAATATCTACAATCTGTCATTCTGACTTAAGCTATCTTGATTCAATAACTGAAAAACTTCAAGTTAGTTTTGCACTCTTCTCATGACCTTTACATTGTACAAAATTATTCCTTTGACCAGCATTTAAAAAGGATAAAAATGTATCAAGATAAAGTGAATATTAAGGAGATTATTTCATTATGTAATGAACAAGCTACACTATGCCAACCATTGTAAAGAATAGTGATGGACAAGCTAGATAAGGCCCCTCCTCACATGAAACTCATTTCATTTAATGATGATTTGCTTCTGAGAATGTTCACTGATATGGAGATAAATTTTAGGCCATCTCAAGATTAAAATGAGTGCTAAATGGATTGGTCTTTAAAATGTAAAAGCTTGCATAGGCCTCAGAAAAGATCTTAGGCACTTACAAGTTATTAATAGAATACATTTTTAATAAACAATTATCAAAAAAATGTATGTATGAATTTTAAATGTATGTATATTATATGTAGATATGTACATATGTGTGTATGTGTTTATATTTTTAAAAATGGCAAAAGTATATTTTTTGTTTTAGGAAGAAGACATACTTAATATTCTGAAAAAGAATTGAGGTTAACCCAACACAGCATTTAAAATTTCTAATTGTTAAAACACGTTTCAGACACCCCAAATTTTTTCAATTGTATCAGTCAAACGTATGAAACATACATTATTGAGTGTAATTATGAGGTGTAAAATGTATATTCTCTAATAATCAGCCTCATGATTTTTTAGAACCAAATGTAACAAAGAAGATAAATAAAACTTGCTCTTTGACCTCTCTAAGGATCAGAGAAGTGCTATGTAGGAATGATATCAGTATGCAAGTAGAACAGGCTTCATTAGTTTGCCATCTGTCATTGTAGATAGATGCTAAAATGTTGCCATTGTGAGGTTCATTGAGTGGTAAAATTATAATTAAAAATCATACATAGATTTAAAGTCAAAACCCCCAGAAACAAACCAGCTGCCAAATGTTGACAGAGATTCTGTGTCCCTTTCAAAAGATTAGATGAAGGAAATATTTACATGAGGGTGTATATGTGTACATACATACATATGTATGTGTGACGAAGAAATTATATACACACACAATCACAACTCTATGTTTCCTTATAAATCAAGATCAGCATGGCTGGTCTTTGGGATTAATTAAAAACAGATAAGAGAACAATATCTAATATTTTTCACAAGGCCTAGGAAATTAAACATATATTAAAGAAAACAAATGATTGTAGACAATTTTCTTATGATAGCTGCATTTAGTGCTCAACAGACATTTTAAAAAATAAAAGACGTGGGGCAATATAATACATCAAATCATACCAATAGGAGCTAATTTTTCAAAAGTGTAATTAACCAAGAATTTATTTAGAACAATTTAGAATATTTTAGAATAATTTAGAATGGTTATTTCACTAACAATGTGTGCATATGAGTGTGTATTTTATAGGGTTTAAAAGGAATTATTAAAAATATAATAGAAACTGTGAAGAGCTTGGATACTGGGATCTTGGATAAACCAAAAATTTGCTTTTTTATTCTGCATCTCTTCAAACAGGATTTGGCTTCCAGTGGGTTGTATATATAAAGCCCATTTAATTATTACACTTATTTTTCATAAGTATAAAAAGGCTTGGTATAGCCAGTAGGAAAAAGTTATATGTCTATACACTAACAATGAATAATGCATAAATGTATTTAAGAAAGTATTTTTATTTACAATAACGTGAAAAATAATAAAACATACATAAATTTAACAAAATGAGCACAATAATTATACACTGAAAAATACAAAACATAACTGAAAACAATTTAAAGACCTAAATAAATTGAAAGACACTTCATATTCCTAGATCAGAAGATTGTTAAGAAATCAATACTTCCCACATTGATATAAAGATTCAATAAAATATCTGTAAAAATCCCAGCTAGAATTTTCTCAGAAAATGAAAAGCTGATCCCAAAATTTATATGGAAATGCAAAGGGCTTAAGATTATCAAATCAGGCCTGGCGCTGTGGCTCACGCCTGTAATCCCAGCACTTTGGGAGGTCGAGGCTGGTGGATCACGAGGTCAGGAGATCGAGACCATCCTGGCTAACATGGTGAAACCCCGTCTCTACTAAAATACAAAAAATTAGCCAGGCGTGGTGGTGGGAGGTGCCTGTAGTCCCAGCCACTCGGGAAGCTGAGGCAGGAGAATGGCGTGAACCCGGGAGGCGGAGCTTGCAGTGAGCCGATATCGTGCCACTGCACTCCAGCCTGAGCGACAGAGCAAGACTCTGTCTCACAAAAAAAAAAAAAAAAAAAAAAATTATCAAATCAATCCTAAAAAGGAAGGACAAAGTTGGAAAGGTCACAGTTCCTGATATCAAAACCAACTACAAATCTATAGAAATACAGACTATGATAAGGATGAACATGTACATAAATGGAATAGAAGTGGGAATCCAGTAATCATCCTTCTCATTTATGGTCAATTGAGTTTGATGAGAGTGCCAAGACCATTCAATAGAATAATCACCTTTACAACAATTGATACCGGGAAAATGGGACATCTACATGTAAAAGAATTGAAAGGAGAGTTCCCTGACCTCCCTTGCAGGATATGTGACAGGGGTGGAGCTCATCTGCTCAGCCTCCGCCACTGCTCAAACTCCTCACAGGAAGGGGAGCAGACAGATGGACAGGGGCGGGAGTGGGGACGAGTAGTTCTGGGCTCTGGCCCCACGTTGACGTCTAGGGGTGTGTGCCTGTGACTCTTCAAGCCCCAGCAGGCTTGCTACAGTGCTCTTTTAGCTCTGCCATCCACAAGCAGCTTAAGTGTTAACCAGCTCAGTGCCCTCTTGGTACCCGGGTTCTTGTCTGGTGTCCAGGAAGAATCAGGTCACATACGGACTTGAAGGATGGTGAATGTGGGATTTTATTGGGTGATGGAAGTGGCTCTCAATGGGATGGATGGGGAAATGGAAAGAGGATGCAGCGGGAAGATGATCTTCACCTGGAGTTCAGTTGTCCCATGGCTGATCTCCTCTCTGACCCTCCCTAGCCGAACTCCTCTCAATATTCAGAGGTTCCTTTTCTTCTCACCTTCTCTGCTACACCACCCTTCTGCTCCTCTGCCCTTCTGTTAGTCTGCTCCTCAACTCGTCTCTGCTCATGGCGCCTGGGGTTTGGGGTTTATATGTGTATAGGATGGAGGGTGGGGGGCGCAAAAGGCTACATCTGGGGGCAAAAATAGGAATGCCTATTTTCATTTAGGGCCGCAGGTTTCCAGGCTTGGTGATGGGGCCTTTTCCAGGTAACTGCCCTCTTCCATCCAGTATTTCCCTGTTTTTGTCCATATCAGAATGCAACTGGAAACTTTGTAATATATATATTTGTATAAATTTATACATGAAATTCATAGCAGTATTATTCACAATGGCCAAAAAGTGAAAACAACTCAAAAGTATATAAACTAATGAATGAATAAACAAAATGTTGTATTTCTATATAATGAAATATTATTCACCAGTAAAAATAAATTAGGTATTGATACATGCTACAAAGTGTAAGAACCTTGAAAACACCTCAAAGAGGGAAAGCAATCAGTAACAAAAGAGCAAGTATTGAATGATTTCATTTATATGAAATGTCTAGAAATCTACAGAAACAGTAGGTACATTAGTGGTTGTCAAGATTTGAAAAAGAGGGGTTAGGATGGGAAGTGACAGCTAATGGGTATAAGGTTTCTTTTTCAGATAATAAAAATATTTTAAAATTTATTGTGGGGAAGATTTTGCAACTTTATGAATATATGAAAAACCACTGACTTTATAATCAATGTAATGTTTAAAAACATTGTATTGTATAGTTTAAGTAATATGCTATGGGAATTGCAAGTAATTGTATGATATGCAAATTTTATCTCAACAAACCAATTTTAAAAACCTATTTGAGAACTTTTTACCTTAAGAACTTATTTAAATTGTTTTGTTAAGATTTTGTTTTCTGAATTAAAGTTCAATGCAATTATAAAGTTAAAAATATTTTACAGCTCAAATTTGTTTAAAAATCAAAGATTTGATTTAAAAATTTTAACCTTATAATTAAATTATTTGAATATATATTTTGTCATTAAGTGTTGAATATATAGTCATTGGTTTGTTACAATACATTGAAAATGACAACTGTTTATTTTTTATTTACATACATTTAGTTGAATAGATGTCATATGTAATTGTGATTCTAAAATAATGATTATATACTAAAACATTTGTGTTTTAATGAGTGTATGAAAGAGATAAACAAGCAATTTATTATCTCAAATTTGTTAATCATGAGAAAATTTTGTAAATACACTAAGTTTATGTAATACTAAAAATGCCAATTAAAGTCCGCTTGTCATTGATTAGATCAAGCTAATTTTAGAATATAAAAACATGAAAGTGTTATAAAATTTAATTAATATTTTAAAATTTGTCTCCAATTTAATATTATTTATTCATTAATTTATGAATTTGCACCTTTCTTACACATATCTATTCTTTAAAGCTTTGAAGTCAGCAAGACATTTTTGAAATAATTTTTTTAAGAAAGCTGAGGTAACAAATGCTTTGCAAAAGAAAAGAAAATAGATTATGGGATGATAAATCTTTAGTATAGTATAGGATGGGCCACCAGGTCCATCCATGTTGCTGCAAAAGACGTGATCTCATTCTGTATAGGGCTGCATAGTATTCCATGGTGTATATATACTACATTTTCTTTATTCAGTCTACTATTGATTGACATTCAGGCTGTTTTCATTATCCTAAGCAAACTAAAGGAGGAACAGAAAACTACATACCACACGCTCTCACTTAAAAGTGGAAACTAAACATTGAGTACACATGGACACAAAGAAGTGAATAACAGACACTGGTGCCTACTTGAGGGCGGAGGGTGGGAGGAGGGTGAGGGCCGAAAAACTACCTATTGGGTACCATGCTTATTACCTGGGTGGTGAAATAATTTGTACATCAAACACCCACAGCACTCAATTTGCCTATATAGCCAACCTGCATGTGTACCCCTGAACCTAAAATAAAGTTAAAAAATAAAAAGAATAGGATGGGAAAGTAGAATAAAATAGAATAGAATGTGAGGCATCTCATTTGAATTGTTTGTAAACCTCTTTAAAAGTTTAAAAATTTTTAAGGCTATAACTGGTTTTTCAATCAGAACATCTGAATCCAGACCCTATATTCTTAATCCCGTTACCTTGGCAAGCTCTTCTTTTGATATACGAGAAGGAATACCAACTCAACTCTTCTTACATAGAAAGAAGGCATTCTTACATTTTCTAAGTTTATAGATGGAAATATCCTAAAATTATACCCTCTTTAAATTCTCTTTTATCAGCAGTCGTCAAAGTCTCACCAGCCTCCTTCATCATGTACCTCCATCATGAAAAAAGCCCACTGGGAACACTGTATATAGATTTATAGAGGTTCATAAATATTCTAAAGGAAGTAATTCAATGCTACAGCTTCCCCATTATTGTTCAGGTCAGATTCCCTTTGTCAATAGAACATTCTATGGTCTGGGTGATCACTGAAGAGTAATTTCTCGTAATGAAAGAGTGATGGGAGATAGAGAGTCCACCAAAGAAGGAAATGTGTCTCAAATATTCCTTAGACTCAGAAAATTAATTAAAATCAACAACAAAAAGCCCCAAGACTTATCCACATTCTCTCAATGCAGACAATCCTCTTCCTCCAATCATCTTCCCAGTGCCCAATCATTCTAATTTCCTTTCCAAGTCAGAAACTTTACTGAGACAATGTACCTAATCTTACATTGCTTTAATAGTATTTTAGAGGAGATTGTGCAAACACTTTACAGAACCATGAAGGCCAGAACAGTTCTTTAACCTGATATTTATTAGTTGACTAATTCTGTAAATATTTACTGAGGATTCATTAGTAGATAAGGCTAAGCATAGTGAATCTGGAACATGCTAGGTACAGGTACACCGCCTAAGTGAATCAAACATAGATTCCTTTTCTTTTCTTTTCTGTCTTTCGAGATGGAGTTTCGCTCTTGTTGCCCAGGCTGGAGCACAATGGCATGATCTCAGCTCACTACAATGTCCACCTCCCGGTTTCAAGTGATTCTCCTGCCTCAGCATTCCGAGTAGCTGGGATTACAGGCATGCATCACCACACCCGGCTAATTTTATATTTTTAGTAGAGACAGGGTTTCTCCATGTTGATCTGGCTGGTCTCAAACTCCCCACCTCAGGTGATCTGCCCGCCTCGGCCTCCCAAAATGCTGGGATTACCGGCGTGAGCCAACGCACCCAGCCAAAACATAGAGTCTTATAAAAGAGGCCAAAGAATCAAATAAACACAAAAACAAATACGGTACTACACATATGCAACGATCAGGAGTTATAATAACCTATAATTGTGGGGTCACTCATTCAAAAAGTTGAAGTAAAACTAATTTCCTTGAGGAAATGATACTTGAATTAACATCAGAACTGTGAGTAAGAGTTAAGTGAATGGAGGAAGAAAGAACATTCCCAGGAGGGAGAACAGCATGTAGAAACACCTTTTGACTGGAGGGAATGGGCATCAAAAATATGATGGCGGCCAGTGTGGAATGAGACAAGGGAGAGGGAATGTTGTAAAGCTGAACGGGGTATAGTGACCCATTATTAAAGGGCTTAAGGAAAAATTGGAGGTTAAATTGTCTATTTTTTCATGGCATAAATCTGGAAAACACACATACCATTTTTGAGAAAACTTTGTATAGTTGATGATCAGAGTTTGTATGAAATAGCTTATGGAAAGACTAAGGTGTGAGCAGGAGAACATCCTCCAAGAACTCCAACATTTGAGAGACTTATAAAGTAGCATGATATTTTACAGAAAATGAAGAAGAATCTATTAGTCATGCAGAAGTAAAATAAATCAATACTGTGTCATACACGTCAAGAAAAGACCATGCTTCAAAAAGCAGGGAGAGGTAAGCAGTATTTAATGCTGCTACAAACCTTAAAAGTAGGACTGAATTCCTTCCCATGGATGTAGGGCCATGGAGGTCATCTGTCACTACAGCAAGATTGAGCCTGTATTTGGACTCAACAGGGCTGAAGAGTGAGTAGGAGAAAGAAATATAAATACTTCCAATATTTAAGAAAAAAACTCTATTGATAGTACACGTCTAGGTTTGGAAATAAAGTATATTCTTCTACAACGTATGGTTCTTTAATGTACGTTAACTCACTGTTGACACAAAATGAAATATTAGATGTTTCATTTATAATTTATATTCATTCATATGTAATTTTTATAGCTCTTTAGTATTTTGCAGTGTTCAGGGGTAGCTTTTTCCCACAATTAAAACAAAAACCTTACAAATACATACAGGCCTTTAAAAAAAGATGAAAATCCTGCAAAATTGTGGGTTTTTTTTAAATGTAATTTGGTGACTTACAAGATCAGTTTCAGTTTCTGCTATATTAAATTATCTGCTGTATCTAAGAGTGATTTGTTTTCCTGTACATGTATCTAGAGTTAAGTTTAAAAATAGATTTTTAATTTTATTGGAACTGTTTTTTATAAGAAACAAATGCATGCTTAAAGAAATAAGCAAGAGCTCTGGGATTCAAGATTGCAACAGTCCACTGATTAGAATGCTATGTACAAATACCAGTGGAGATTTTAACTGTGCTATTATTGGCATTGATATTATTTTGGTTACTAAGTCTAAATGTATTGAATTGTTCAACACTAATCCCATTTTTCCTATCTGCTGTATTATTTTTGGCATGTGATTTCACATAATATATTCCAGGAATGCATATATGATCATGTAACAATAACTGTATACAGATGATCTGACAGCATAATAGCTAAAAATTATTTAGTATTTATTATGTACCCATCATTGTTCTAAGCAGTTTACATGTAACAGCTTATTTACCCTTCGTGGCAATCATCTTAGGTACTGTCACTACTACCTTTTTATAGGTGAGGAAACTGAGGCACAAACATGTAATGTGTTTCTTTAACGTTTACATATTTTTGGAGATCTTTAAAGCCCAAGACTCATTGTAAGTTCCATGTGTGTGTTTTTGTTCAACTGGCTTCTCTGCATGTAATATCCACTGCCCTCCACTGCCTAATATCCACTTATCTTTTGAAGTTCAGCATGAATAACTGGAAGCCTTCTAAGGCAATTCCATTCCTGCACCCCAAGACTGGTTAAGATGTCACTAAATATCAATTTAAACACAACAAAACAGCATTCTCTATGTTTAGCAGAACATAGGAAGGTACATATAAGTAAAAATATAATTTTGGATAATAAAAACCATCATGAGACTATCACATTGCTTTATTATTTTTAAAAATATTGCCTAAAACTGTGATATTTATCTGAAATTTTTAGCCCTTTGATAACCCTAAGATAGCATTGACAGAAACTGCATTTCCTTTTTCAAGGGTGAAACTAGCTAAATGAGATCTGAGAAAACAATCAATGTTACAACACTGAAAAAACTAATAGAGGGCTGGAACAGTAAGCAATATGGTGTATTTCTAAACTAAATACAATTTGGGAAATTGAAATAGTGAAATTAAAACCTACTGAGGCATAAAAAAGGAATTTCCACAGTCTATCAGTCACAAAAACATTCTAATATTATACATTTCCATTATGCCGTGATCAAAGTAAAGACAAATCAACCAAAGTTTGCAAGAAAGGATAAAGATTTTTCTTTGTCCTAAAGAAATAATGTAAACCTCCAATTAAAAGGTAAATTAAAGGGTAAATAATATGTCTAAAATAAATTTGAATTATAAAGCTATTTCTTTTATTCTCAGAAATTATTTATACCCTTAAAACCTCTGAAATAAATTTAGAAAGAAGTTACTTCTATCACATTTTTAAGGAGAGATGCAGGGTTGAAAATGTTTTGTGCAATGAAAATAGTATCAGTCTTGCAATTTTAGAAACTTGGTTTTTGTTTTTATTCCATGCCTTAATCACTCCCTGACTTTAGGTAGAACACTTGAAAGCTTTTGATCTAAATTATCCCCTATTGTTAACAGAGAAGGATACGTGCCCTGAAATTTTCCTACAGTGAGGATTAAGCGAGTGTCACTTTGCAGGTGAAAAAGCACTCCACTGAGGTCAGGCATTGCTGTTAGAAACCTTCAATTTCTCCCAGGTCTCTTTTGCCCATCATGCACACATCATTTTACAACTTCAGACTCAGGGATTTGCGTTCTGATTATATTTTTATTGTGAAAGCAATCTCTTATCTCAAATCAACCTTTTTTCCTCTGGTAATTTGCTAGGTAAGAAAAAAATTAAATTTAAATTTAAAAATTGGTGAGTTTTTCTTGTATAATGCAAGAAAGACAGATTCAAATGAATTGTAGCAATTCACCAACATTATTATTCACAATTAGGAAATAAAGACTGTTAAAAAGCACTATAAATAAATGTTTAAAACTGTCTAATTTGACAAACATTTCTATGGATTTAAATTAAAAAAATTATTCCTTGGATTAAAAGCCTCCTGGTGGATTTTAACTTGTAGAAATGTAGATTCGACTTGTAAAAACAATTTTTTCTTTGTTGATCAACCCTAGTTAGCTTTTGTTATTTTAATATACTTTTGCCTGTTTGTGATGAAACAGTTTGTGTATTTTTATAAAAGAATAATCATATTTATAGCATCAACATTTTTCCCTGAAAACATTTGTTTACATTCAAACTAAAAGGGAGTTTCTTTCTGAATTTATGTTTGGGAAGTTCTTGAAGGTATTTGCATCATAGAGCTTTGAATTGAAATTTAAACCTGAGGTCAGAAGCGATGTTGACATATATTAAAAATTAAAATACTCAAAGCACACAGCATGGCACAACTACAGTAATGAAGAACACCATGAAACCAAAATGTTATATTAATGACAGTTAACCTTAGTGATGTTAACTTTTATTCTGTGCATTTTAATGTTTGCTTCCATTTTCCCTATACTTTGACACTGACTAAAATCCACATATTAATGCATTATAATTTATGTCTTGGACCTCCTAGAGAAGGAGAGAATGTTATCTTCAGAATACATTTTTTTTCCAGTGGCAATTAAACATTAACTAATTAATTCAATGTCAATTAAACATTAACTAATTAAAATTGCCCTATTGAGATATCATAACTCTTATGAAAAATCTTTACTTTGAAATGCATAACTTTTGTAAAAGTTAGAAGTGGATGTACTTTTTGAGAGTTCTAAATCATGTTCCCTAATTTACCAGAATTATTGCAGTTTTAATTACATGAAACCCCAAACTATGGGTATCCAGACTAATAAAGTATAAGAAAAATTATGGAAATGAGATAAATATATGACACCTTGTACTCCACATACTGTACTCAGTGACAGAATGGCACAACATATGGAAATCTAAGTATAAAGCAGTGTGAGTATAAATTTGAAATTAAATAAACAAGTAGTTCTGGGCAAGGAACTGAACTTGAGAAATCTGACTACAGATGTCATTATAGAAACAAATGCAGCCCAGAGCTGTAGAAATTCAAAGCAGGCAGCTCCAATCCGATGACTATGTGAATATATGTATGTATGTATGTATGTAATATACATTTGTTTTCAAACAAGCATAGCAAAACCTGTCCATAAGAATTTTTGTTGCAGGTCACATTGGCTGACCTGAATCTCTGCGTTATTAATGAAATTTCAGCAATTTTTGTTAAGTAGAAGTTGTATAGATTGAATGTGTTCTGTTTTTCTCTTCTTCCCCCACCCTCATTACTCCCTAACTGCTCTGCCTATGTTAGCAGCCCATACTGTTTTTAGGCAAATGTGAGAAAAATCTGTAAGTAGTTCACAATCTCACCCCCATACCAACCCTGCTCAAAAAGTAAATTTCTATTGGAATCAGGAGATAATGAAAGGACACACGGAGAACTTGGCTTAGCAGGTGACCATTTATGGAGAGATTAAACTTTTATTGGAAGAAAGCAGTTTTAAAGTTTATGATTGTATTTTTAGCAGAAAGAAGAAAATCAAAATAAATTTAGAAAACCTATATTTAAAAACTCAGTAAATACTAATTCTTCAGAATAAGTGAAGCAAATTTACATGTAAAAGCTGAGTAAGACATGATACTAGAATAATAAGATATGAGGCTTGAGCAGTAAATTGAGTTTCTATTTTAAAGAACTTTGAACGTTATAAAGAAACATTCACATCTAATTTGGTACACAAGTCTGAGCCACTGAATTTACTGAATTTACTTTGTCCAGCAGATTAATCAGGCAACATTACCTAGTTTGGATTGAAGAAGAAAGGGGTACAAGTAGAATAGTCACTGAAGATATTATTAATATAGGAGAAGAATACATTGGAAATTTTTATTTTTGTTAAGACACATTCAACAATAGCAGAACTGACAGTTCTCAACAGAAGACATGGAAGAACAGTGTAAAAAGACCCTGAATATCTTTTCAAAAAAACGGGGTATGATTCAGGTCTCATCTATAGAGAAAAGCTAAGGTCTCTAAAATGGACACCTGAGCAATTCTGCATTAAGTCAAGTAGCTCAGAGCAACAACAACATCAGAACTGAGTATCTGAGCATCATGGGTACTGCGATTAATGTCATTAGTTCTATTAGGTTCTGGGCTTTTGCTTTTGTTTCACTGCTGAAACGGGGCTTGACACCTGCCGCCTGTCTCTTTTGATGCCTATTGTCTCTAAGCCCTTGTCCTGGTTTGGATCTTTGAGTACTCTCTGCTCTGAGGCTGCCTGCTGGAATGCACTGCCTGCTGGAACCCATCTGGACTGCCAGATACATCCTGCCACTGCACTGTCTGAGCACTGCATGCTGTACAACTGGCTGGGCTTTCTTATATTTCTTGTAACTAATTAGTCTCAGTGTACAGAGGCGTTAAATATTCACTTCCTGCATATTTCCAGGCTGCCTTTTCATCCAACCTACCATGTTCTACATTGCTGTTTTCAAAGCTCCTTGGAAATCCCTGAGATGTAAGAAGTAAAGGGAAATAGGATAATAGAAGCAAAAGGGTAAAAATGACTCCAAGACTCCATTTTATTCACTGGATGAAATAAATAGAAAAAGGAAGTCAGAAGGAAGAACTGGTTTCAGAAAGTTTTATGAGAAGGGGATTTATTATTTTAAAAAAATTTAGTAAATGTTAAAATACTGTGACTTAGTTGTGTACAAATTTTCACAATGTTTTCACTAAATTGATTATTATTAAAAGGACATCTTTTCATTCCCACTTCTTTCCAATGCTATGATTTTAATAAAATGGCTATTTTCTGAACCAGATGCCCACAGAGCATTTTGTATTTGAGTATATTCTCACAATTTTTCTACCCACTACTATAATAATTACGTGAAACAAGTGAGACTCTGTGCCAATTTTATCAGCATTATATAATAAATTTTAAAATATTAAATAATTAAAAATAATTGATGCTTTTTTAAAACCCAAATCTTTCTGATATACTATTAATTTATAAATCAATCAACATTTCCTCTGTGTGTATATAAGTGATTATTTCAATGAATTACTTTTAAAAAAATCACAGTTAAAGATAGTTCAATTTACTGGGCTTTACTGAAATTCTATCCTTATAATGCAGCTATCTTAATCGATCCATTTTAAAACCTTTTCATACAACAGTAATTCAACTTTTAATGAATTAGATTTAAATGACTGGAGAAATAAGCAAATTCTATATAGATAGCATATATAACATTTTCTAAGAAGATGTTAAAATATCTTTCTATTATAATCATAGGTCTTCAAAGAATATAGGCTGTAATAAAGTCAATGAGTATTCACAGCTGACCACAATAAAATATCTTAAGTTCTGATACTTACCTCGGACAAATATTTATTAAACTTACCCAAAGCTTTAATAAATATAAAACAATGACTGGATTTATTTTATTGTATATATTTTCACTTCTATTCCAATTTTGTGTACTTACATTCCACGTTTAAGCAGCCTCAAATCTAGATAACTTTATTTTCTCCTAAAATGTAATGCCTGACGAAAGAGCAATTTTGGACACAATTTCCTTAGGCAGCATAAACTACACAAAAAATGATCATAATGGTTATATCATGCTCTCTATGAATTGTTATTTTTGCAAATTTCAGACAAGCTTTTTGAAAATATTCTTTTAAACATGTTACACCCACAATGGTTGAAATTTGACTTTATTTAAGTCCTCTATCTGAGCATAAGGTGCACCCAAACAGAAGAATCCTTCATGTCTCCTCTTAATGCAGATAATCGCTAATCAATGTTAATGGTAATTTCAAGAACAATCCAAAAAAAATACTATGAAATGTAAGTTATGTGTTCACATACACAGAGACATATTCTAGTACACATTTGCAATTGCTTCTTCAGAGTATGGAGCAATAATTAAAATGACAGAAGACTTGTGTCCTGTAATGATAATCTTATAATATTTTTAACTATTACTCAACCTCTCAGAAATTGCTTTTATTCTAATTAATAGAGTTACTTTCATTTATTCAGTATTTAGCATCTTCTGTGCAATAGATACAATTTACTTGCTTAGGTTTCAAAGATTGTTCTATGATAAGTACTCTAATAATTGAAAGAGCATTATGGTGTATTGTGAAAATGAACACTAACAACTATGATTTTTCACAGGGAGAGGAATACTCTATATGAAGTTCTGAGATAGTTTTCACAGATGAGGGAAACACTTGAATATAAAATATTTATTGGATAGACTATTACATGGAAAGAGCAATTTCTTATTTTTTTAAAATAATAATTACATTGGAGTCTTGAAGGACAAGAGAAATTTTGCCTGTCAGAGAGAATGGGAAAGTACTTATTGGTAGGAAAGTCCTTTGAGAACTAAAGCCCAGAGATATAAAGCTAATACTTCTGTTGAATTTCAATCACAATTAATACATTTTCACCTCTGCATGAAAATCAGTAGATCTTTCTTTCAAGATAGTTTCTCTAATAAAAATGTACCCAACTAAAAAAAGCTACCCCAAGGTATTAAAATAGTTTATCTAAGATAGTCTTCTATTCTGAGAAAGAACTCTTACGGAATTCTGTTACCCAAACACCTGTCAACTGATCAAATGAAGTTGAGATATCACCTAGACTGGGTTACTTGGTTCATGGTGGGTTTTAAGTAGAACTTCTCACTTTACTGATTAATCAACATCAAAAATTTAGAAACTCCATAAGAATTTCCATGGGGGTAAGTTAAACTAGAACAATACCAGAAATGAGAAAATAATTATTGCTTGACATAGAGATATGTAACTCTACTTGGAAAGTGTTGGTGTGTGTAAGTGTATGTGTGTGTTTGGGGCAGGGGGGTGGTTCTGTACTGGCTATATCAGAAACAAAAGCTAAAAATACCTTACATACTGTAATAAAAATAATATGATGATTTATTAAAGTGATGAACTTTTATGAAGCAAAATGTGAAATATCATGTGTCCTGACTTCAGGAATCAGTTTAGGCAAACCTCCATTTTGTTTTGATCTTTATAATTTATTGCTAAGATCCCAATGTATCTACCATGTCTTTCAACTGATTTTGACAAAAAGCAATACAATGCCCTCACTTGTATGATCCAGTAATTAGTATACTGACAAAATTTGGTAATTCTACAGATCTACTCATTGTTTAGGTTATACAGTGCTTCTATAGAATTTAATTTTATACTCAATCTTGAATACAGTCTCTTTGGAAAAACAAAGTCAATAAATAAAATTCACAAATTGCTGAACTACAGTAACAAGACAAAGGTGCATGCAAATGTATGTGTGCCTGTGTATGTGTATGTAACAAAAAAACTGCTCTCATAAATTTAATGTCTTTACATTAACAAACTTTCTTCTTTGTATTTTTATTCCCATTTTGTAAGTTTATTTATTCATTTATTTACTTATGTTTTGAGCATCATCTCTTCTGAACATCATCAGGTTTTCATGTGATGTCTAGAAATACTAACATTCTGAGGCTGAATTCAAGGCCAATAATAGACAACAAGACAGATGAAAAAAATACCTGGATTAAATCAGTGTGGTAATGAAACAATCAACTCTGTATCTTGTGACACTTCAGAACTTCCTCTTATAAAGTTAATGGGTTTTGTTATTGTTTAAGCCATGTTAAATTCAGATTTCTGTTATTTGTACTCAAAGTATCTTCATTAATACATTGGATTTGGCTCTAAACATACTTGCATTGGGGTCTTGGGTCCTCCGCTTACTAACTGTATGACTTGACTTGCAAATAATGCAATTTCTTTAAGGCTTACTTTGTACAAAGAATTATTTTGGCAACTAAATGACACAATATGTATGAGCATGTATTGACATTGCAAAGTTGTACATTTGAGGACTAATGATAATAAACTGCAATGAATAACATGAGTCACTATATTTTATCTTATAGGCATTTGCATTTGTCAACAATCTGCCTCTATTCAGTATTTTCAATTTTGTCTTTTAATATTTATTGAAAAATAATCGTAATTCATGAATAAATCCAAGCTAGTCACTGCCTGTAAGTAAACCATGATTCGATTTATTTGAAGTATGTTCTTTTCTTTGCATGGAATAATCTCAAATCATGCTATATCTATTTAAGTCATAATTGACTCAATTACAATACTATTAAGATACCCCCAGCCTTCATGTGACACCCACAATGATTTCTCTCTCAACTGAACAAATCTTAGGAAAAACACATTTGGTCCTAATTACTTATTTTCCTGTAACATTGTATGTATATTGTTAAATTATTGTATACAATAACTTAAGTCATTTTAATAAATTGTCATCTGTTAATCTGTTGCTTTTTGTATCGATACTCTACAATTTTAAACTATCGAATGTCTTAATGTCATTTGAATATTTACATTACATGTGCACTTTACATTTATGTCCACTTATTCGAATCTAAATCATTTTTGGAAGCTTTTTCAATATTATTACCTTAAAATATCTATCAATAATTCAAATTTTTACACTCTTCTATACGATAATCTACTTTATGGATTTTTGGTTTAGTTTCTATCCTCACCTAATTGTTGCATTTTGAAATGCTGTTATTTCCAACCATATTTTGAGTTCTATGAATAGAATTATTACGCGTTATATATTTTGCATTTTCTACACTATACTCTGCAATTGGTACAAAGATTATTTTCCTTAAAAATGCCCATGAAATGATAAAATTGAGAAATTCAAAACTTTCTAAAATATTTAGATTGCTACACTGAGATTGGAAGTGAATACACACCTCCAGTAAATATATAAACTGATAAAAATGGCATGTTAGACTATGAATATTTTTATTAGTAAAACAAATACTATAATATATACCTTTTTAAAGTTTAAAACAATAAAATGTATTATTATAAATTTACATTTATTTATTTTTATTTATTTTTAATTTTATTGAAATTTTAAATTCAGGGGTACATGTACAGGTTTGTTATGTAGGTAAACTTGTGTTAATTTTAGCCTCCCCTTCATTGTTGCAATGTAAATTTTATTTATTATTCATATTATACCAGCTAAGAAACACATTTTTCCTTTGATCATGATTCTTCAGACAAGTTCAAGAAATGTCTTTTGAATTTTATGATTCTGAGTTGATGACTTTTACAATCTGGGCACCGCCAAGGTTCCAAACAGAATAATATAGATGCTATGTGCAACTCAGTGAGAAAAGTATTTCTCAGCTCCTCTCGTAAAGTATAGGTATTTAAATATTTCATGTCAAACAAAAGAAGACATGTATTTTATCGGAGTTTGATTTTCCATCTTACCTCTTCTCAGATAAGAGTGTACTGCTGTCCAAAGGCTCAGGAGCACTTTAATTCAGGTTTTCTTATTCATGAAGGATGAGAACAAAGTATCTACTTTACTCCATTATTGCTGTAACTTAGTTTTAAAAATCCTGTTTATCTCTTAAACATGGAAGTGACACGAAACTTGTTTTAACTGTTTCTGAAATGAAAAGCAGAACAAAACAAACAAAAACCAAAAATCTATATGCACAGACATGCCTGCTATATACAAATAGGGCAAATTAAGAAGAGCAAGGCAATGTATGTTTTCAAGTGATGTTAATTCTGAAAACAAAATGTAGAAAAAATAAAATATTACAGGGAATCAAATAACTATTACTCAATTGAATTTAAGGAAGGGAATTGAAAGATTGCCAAAGTAGATGAGTTAAGTGGGCCTTTTGAGAATACTGAATTCTGGATGGTATGGCTGTGTCAGAGTGCCCATATTTCTATAATATTTCATTGATATATCAATCACATGATTAATGTGTGCTATTGGTTTTTAGTGATTCACTTCCCCAAGTAATCTGTTTGTTAAAATTATTTGACTTAGGAGAGAAAAATACAACATGCTGTCATTAATATAATGTCATTTTCTAGATCAAAAGTAATAAAGTCATTGTTGACAATCAAATTTGAGGCACACAATATTTTAATGGAATGAAATACACTAATAATATTAGTTCATAATTATTAATGTTACTGTTTATTTTAAATAGACAAAAACACAAACAACACAACAAGAACAAAATGTTGTGAGATGAATGAGGAGAAATCCAATAATTACCCATTAAATTAGTTGAGACACCCCTGAGTAGGAGATATTTGAGCTGCATATTGAGAGACAAACCTAAGAAAACAATTGGGAGGGAAAATATCTTTAAGTTGTCTAAGAGTACATGACATTTAAGAAATCATGTGCAAATCAGTGTGACTGGAGCATAGACTTCCAAGAGAAATAGGTTCAATGTAATTTATGAAGAAGTCCTATACGACACATTTATTTGAGGGTTTAAAAGGATTTTACATTTTGTTTTTATTGATAAAGTAGACCACCCTCACAATAACAACTCTCAACAAACTGGAAAAATATAAAGACTCATTTTTCAGAGCATTATTTCTGGCAGCCTTAAGAAAAATAGAAATTGGAGGAAGTAGGATTCCTAGTTATGGGGAAATGTCAAATGCTCCATAAGTACTCAGGGAAAGCTGTAAGTACACTAACATGATACTTTTTAAAAAATTTAGGCCAGGCACGGTTGCTCATGCCTATAATCTTAGCACTTGGGTAGGCTGAGGTGGGTGGATCACTTGAGCCCAGGAGTTGAAGACTAGCCTTGGCAACATGGTGAGACCCTGTCTCTAAAACAAATACAAACATTAGCCAGGCGTCGTGGTGCACACCTGTGGTCCCAGCTACTCAGGAGGCTGAGGTGGGAGGGTCACTTGATCCCAGGAAGTTGAGGCTGCAGTGAGCTGAGATCGCACTGCACTCAGCCTGGTTGCAGGAGTGAGACCCTGTCTCAAAAACAAACAAACAAAAGCCAATAAAATAAAAAAATAAAAAATTTAAAGTAACTTAGAGTATAAAAATATTAACATACACACAGGTATAACTAAAAATCTCATGACAAAATTTTTAACCTTACTATATTTGATAAGCTCTGATGAATTTTTCTATTTTGTTTTATTTTTATTAATAGACAAGGTTATCATGACATAACTAATTGATTTCACAGCCAGCTCATGGGCTATAACCCACACTTAAAAAATAGGGATGCTATGGTTTGAATACGTCCCTCAAATTTCATGTGTTGGCAATGTAATGCCCAAATACATATGTTGATGATATTTGAAGGTGGGGCCTTTGGGAGGTAAGTAGGATTAGATGTGGTCATCAGGGTGGGGTCCTTAGCTTGGAACTGGTGGCTTTATAAGAACTCCAGCCCGGGCAGCAGAGTGAGACCCTGTCTCAATTGAGGTAGCAGGCTTGTTCTGTCTGGCCATGTGATGGGACTCCCACCATGTCACCATGTTGTGATATAGCAAGAAGGCCTTCACCAGATGCTGGTGTTGTGATCTTGGACTTTCCAGCCTCCAGAACTAGTTGGAAGAGAAGTTTTTATTTATATATATTTTAAAGCATCATACATTATATATGTATATTAAGATGTTTACATCTTTTTTATTAAGAATTGAATGACAGATGCATAGTTCTGTCAACCCACTGCTACAGCATAAAAGTTAAATTATAGAAGGCTAAAGTTACTCAAAAGGAATTCATCTTTGTTTTGGAATGGATAACCTATAAAGTTAGAAAAAACGTCTTAAAAGTTTTTATAGTCAGATGTCTGTCATATGACAGAATAGGACACTACAGGCCCCTACTGGCCTAGATCTGGCATTGCTTGTGTCACTTTGCAGGCAGTCTCTAGTCATAAATAATTATCTACTCTTTATAAATTACCCAGTCTGTGGTATTCGGTTATAGCAACAGAAAATGGACTAATACAACAGGGAAACTAATAATGAAGTTCTGAATTGAATTATGGAGGTAAGAAAAACTTTCAAAGTACAGTTGGTTTAAGAATAATAGCTAACATTCATTAAGTACTCGGTTGTCAAGCTCATTTTATAAAGCATCTTACTCAATCATATAAAATTCCCAGGAGGTAGTTGCTATTTTTATGCAATTTTACCTATAAGAAACACACACAGAGAAAGAGAAGTAAGTAACTTATCAGAAATCACAGGTTGAAATATTAGAGCAGAAATTCAAACTTAGATTGCTTAATTATGTGTTTTACAATTAAATTGTACTACTGCAATAAGGTGATTAAATAGTCATGAGAGATAGGAGAAGAGTAGAAGTATTCAGAGATACATAAATTTTCCAAATATAACATTATAAAATTGTTATCTTGAAAACATATATATATTATATTGCGTATAGTCAAAGCCAATATTAAATGGGCAGTTGTAAAAATAATAAAAATTTTGTATAACTTTAGACAATGTCTAAACCTAAATTTTAATAAGGCTGTTAAATATATTTATTTAACAAAATTATGAGTTTTGACATGGCATAAATTAGGACTTTGACAATGTCTCTATCTACATAGCTATTTCTGTCATCTGTCCATGTATCTTTCTATGTATCTATCTGTCTATCTATCTATCTATCTATCTATCTATCTATCTATCTATCTGTCTATCCTGTTTTTTAAAGAAGCATAAACACACTGAAAACATGAAGGGATAAAATATCTAGGTAAATGAAGCATTTAAAATCAGTACTGCTTGGTAAGTTTTCAAAGAAGAGAATGAATTAAATGAATTTGTCATAAGTGCTTTTAACTTTCAGCAATCAATTCTAGGAGGAAACAAAAAATGCTACTACATAAAAAGTATATGCATTATTAAGCAAAAGAGTCAACATAGATTTCCTGGGAAGAAGGTCTTTAAAATAGTTTTATTTCTTTTTATACTGAAATAAGGTTATTTCAAGACTCCCCCTAACAAAAACAAAAGCAAAAAGAAATGATTTTTTTAGTAGAATACTTTTAAGGAGGCATTGACTTTAGCATAACAAAGTGCAATAATATTTCTTGGGTGACATGTTAGTTTATTAAATTACAACTTGAGTAATTGAGACCCAACATTCATTATGGATCCTAATTAATTACATAACCAACCATAATAAAAACATGAAAGAATGTCATTTATAATGGTGAATGATAATATTAGTACCTTGCCCATGTTTGGGTTGCATTCAACCTATACCAGGCATTTTTAATATTTCTTATACTGATAATGTAAAAATTGTAACATCCTTCAAGGTCCAATGTGAATTGTATGTCCATGAAATTTCTTAGTATTATTCGTGTATTACATTTTCAGTTTGTGAAGGAATTTAGAGGAAAGGGCAAAAAGCCACAATAAAAAGAAATTTTGTAAAATTAAAGTGAACCGTGTTATTTTTGTGTACTCCATGATACATAAAACAAAGATTATCATAGAGTAAGTACTGATTGCATTTTAAAAACTACTTATTTTCATAGTAAATCATACAATTCCTTGTAATCCTTGCTCACTAGACAAAATTCTTCAGTGTGGCCAGGCATTACTATCCAGGCTACGTTGCCTTTACCATTCGAATGAAAATGGCCAGAATCATGAAGACTGTTTTCGAGGCTGTGGATAAAATTTACTTCGTTTTAACAATGATGCTTCAGATTACTAATGCCTGTTTCAGCAGTTAAATTCATGCACGCATTGGCCCTCTTTGGTGAGCAGAACCATTTGTCACCTCTTCTTGGTAACTACTCTCTCTACCTAGACTTCCCTGCCAGCACCTCTTTGAACTTGTGATAAAGAAAGTTTGACATTAAATACTATTGTTCAACTACAAAGCACCTTTTCAGTTAAATATAACAACAACAATGCATTTATGTATGTGTCATATCGACTATAAATTGATGGCTTGTTAATTATGTTTTTTTCCTAGACACCGTAAAAAAGTTACTGGGATAATATAATTTTGTCCTTGCCACAACCCAAGGCGGGATTGTATTATGATTATTTTACCTAATTAAATGATGAGCAAATCAAAATTTTGAAATGTTAAGTAACTTGTTCATGGTATTCTTACCAGTAAGTGACAGAACAGAGATTTGAACCAGGGATTGTGCTTCCAGGACTCAAGCTGCTACAGACAGAATTGAAAAGTAGAGTATTAAACAAACAATCCATAAGCATATATAGCTAACTTAAAGTTGTAAAAATAAAAATAAATATTTTGAAAAGGAAAATTATGCTTTTTATCTCATTTCTTTATTACTTGGCTCATTGCTCTCTTCTAATATACTGTTCTCTAAATCCATTGACTAGGGGTCAACATCTAAGTCTCTTCTGGAGTCAGAAAAGAACAGGCAATAAAGTTCTATAAAGTCAATCACTGTTAGAATGATATCTACAGCTAATAGATTCAATATTTGGTTGAAAATATCTTGTGGTTAATACATCGTAAGATATAAATAGTAATAAAAATATTTTGGAGATAAAATACTTCTTTAGTGTGTGAAATTAAATATAAATACTACATAAATTCAAGCCAAATAGCTAAATTCAATTTCCCATGTAGAGCACATTTATCGTATTAAGTATGGAGCAAAGAAAGGGAGGTCAGTGTCCATAAATGGTATTTTTTCCGAAATAATGTAGTCTCTGCTCCCATAACAAACAATATCTCTTCAGTGACAGGGCCAACTATTATTTTTATTTATTTATTTATTTATTTGTTTATTTATTTATTTAGAGACAGAGTCTTGCTCTGTCGCAAGGCTGGAGTGCAGTGGTGCGATCTCGGCTCATTGCAACCTTTGCCTCCCAGTTCAAGTAATTCCCCTACCTCAGCCTCCTGAATAGCTGGGACTACAGGCGCGCGCCACCATGCCTGGCTATTTTTTTTTGTATATTAGTAGAGACGGGGTTCCAACAGGTTGGCCAGGATGGCCTCGACCTCCTGACCTCGTGATCTGCCCGACTCGGCCTCCCAAAGTGCTGGGATTACAGGCATGAGCCACCGCGCCCGGCCCAGGGCCAACTATTACTAACTACAATGAGCAATGTGTCTTCTTGTACCAGGTACAGATCAACAGCTCTGATTCTCTATCTTACAGCTAACGCCTGTAATCCCAGCACTTTGGGAGGCCAAGGGGGCCAGATAGCTTGAGCTCAGTTGTTCCAGAGAAGCCTGGGCAACATGGTGAAACCCTGCCTCTACTAAAAATAAAGAAAATTAGCCGGACATGGTGGCTTATGCCTGTAGTCCCAGATACTCGGGAGGCAGAGGTGGGAGGATGACTTGAGCCAAGGAGGCAGAGGTTGCAGTAAGCTGAGATGGTGCCACTGCACTTCAGCCTGGGCAAAGAGCCAGACCCGTTCTCAAAAAGAGAAAAACAATAGGAAAGAAAAGAAAAGAAGGAAGGAAAGGAGGTAATTTGTGTAAATGCTCAGGTAAAATTTTGCTAGACAGCTTATTTCAACTATAGCTGACTTGAATTCCAGTGAGCCCCAGTTCCTTAAATGCACCAAATTTCTTCTGAAAATTAAGGTCTCCATGGTTGCCAACATCTTCCATGACAGGCAGGTTTAGTTTCAAGGAGACTGTCTTTACTGAAATTGTCCTTAATAGTATTGCTTTTATTAATTCCTATAGGTTTTAAAGAAAAGAATTACTTCTGATATCAGTTAAACACTTTGAGTTTACCAAAGAGTAAATCTCAAAATAATCAATTCAAATACTCAGAGCCCTTGTTATGCTTACCGGAGGAACCCTTAGGAAGATTCAGAAAATTGTGTAATTGCTTATGTATAGCCCAAAGGTTTCCTCCTGAATCATTCTGTATTGTAGTAATGTTTTCATTTATTATACTTGCTTAAAATAAATATATATATGGAATTATATAAACATGTTGTATTTGGTATTGTATGAAAAAGTTTATTCTTTCAATTTTAACTTAATAATAACATTAAAATAGAGGATTTGTGAAGTCTATTATCAAAAATATTGTATTAAAATTTATTCCAGTACAGCATTGTATGGTGGATATCAAGAGGAGAATCAAATTAAAATGCATAGGTGTTTTTATTAATAGAATGTATTGGGCTTTCAAAAAAATAGCATCTAGTAAGGCCCTCCAGGATTAGTTTCAGGCCCATAGCTATTTAACATATTTATTAACAATCTGGATAGAGTGCTGAAGAGCAGATGATTCAAAATTGAGAGGAAGAGCAAATACTACGCTAGAAGATTTAAGATTCAATGAAATCTAAAGAGATTAAAAGAATGGGCAAAGGGGTGCTTAAGTCAGCTTTAGTACATGCATTAGTAAAGAAAGAAGTAAACATTTTAAATCAGAACTTTAAGCAGATTCCTCTTTTGCAATGGAGAGATTCGCAACAATGGGTTATGCCAAGCAGCATTCAGTATGTATATAATTAAATTATCCAATTATGCACATTATTGTTTAAGATCCATGCCTATGTTGTGCCAAAAGGAGACTCTCAGATGCAAAACAATGAATGAATCACCACCACAGAAGAACTATGGACAAAAGGTTAATTTTATCATAAAATGATAAAAAAATTCAACAGTTGGATATAGAACAGGAGACATGAACTTAAATCATAATGCAGGATTAAACCAGAGCAGGGGCATTGTTCTCCAGTTTTCTATAAAGAACATACTGACAATGTGGAAAACATATAGAGAACACCCAGAGAGAAGAAGAGTCATAAAATAAATCACAGTGTGGAAAATTTAAAGAGTAAAATGTGAGTGATGCAAACAGAGATTATGATGAATTGAAAAAATGAGTAGCTATTAAGAAATCATTTGATTATTATACAGAATTTCCTGAAATAATTTAATTAAAACAAAGAAAATACAGATAGAATTGTTGAGGCATTTTAAATTCAACAAAATCCTTCGCTGTTCATAATGATAGAGATTCACTGCTCTGGGTTTCAAGACATGTTTTTGTGCAGTTCAGACAGTATATTTTCCTATTATTTTTCAGACATTTTGCTTGTGTTTTGTTAACTAATACTTTAGTTGTCCAGTAAACTCATTGTGGGAACTTTAGTTTTGAAATATCCTTTTAAGGATCTTCTCCAGTATATTTTATTTGTTTTTTTTTAATAACTGCACATTTGATTTTATTTAAAGGATCTGAGAAAAAGAGCAGGAAAAATAGGACTAGAAAAACTAGGACAATTCATTGTAAGGTTATAGCAGCACTAGCCTATATTATATTCACACATAAGATGTTATAAACAATGAAAATGTAGATGTAACTTTCAGAAGAAAAGCATGTTGATATCTAATAGATGTCTAATGGAAGTATTTAAAATTAGCTAGATGTTAGAAATTGCATAAGCATGCACTGAGAATATTCAGGACTAATTAGGCATAGAGAATATTAGGGAGTGATTAGGAAGTTAATGTGATGTATCAATTATTTTAAAATGAAGAGGGATATAACTGCATTGAATATAAATTGTGATTTCTAGACAATATAAAAAATTGGTACATGTAGACCTAGTAGGGTGCTGTTTCATTTTAAAAAATCACATTACTTTTCCAACCATAAATTCCATGTTCTATATTAATTATCTAAAGAAAGTTTAGGGGAATATAATACTAAATATTTGCTGATTTTAAAGTAACACCTATTTTTAAAGGGACTGGTTAGCCCAGAATATGCATAACATTTAATAATAGTGTTTAAATAAATTTAAAGAAACTAATTTGTACCCTAATGGGACACACTGACAGGCAGGAAATGAGAGATGTAAAGATGAAATGGTGTTAAAAACCGGGAAAAAATGGAGAAAGGCCCAGGAATTACTGAGAAGGTTGTGTTTTGTGTTGGTAATGTGTTAAAGCCTCCAGTTTAACTGTTTCAGTGGTTTGGAATGATGCTTCCTTGGAAAGGCTTTGATAAACCTCAGAGGAAGACCAGTGATGCTTGGTGAGGTATCTGTGATTTGTAAAGGAGAAGTGAAGGCAAGTAATTTCAATTAAATATTAATTTAATGAGTTTAAAAACATCAGAAGTATGTTTAAAAAGTTACTCTGGACTTACCAGTGTATTAATACTGGTATTCATCCAGAATATCAGTAAAGACAGGATGATTTCTGTCACATCACATCCATTCTCCACAAAATTATCTCATGTAACAATTACGGTTTTTATTACTTACCATGAATGCTGTAATTTTTACCTATCTTGTCTAGAGTTTTCTAAAGGTTTTTTTCCCCTTTTCAGAATGACAATTCCCTTTCGTTGAAGCCTAATCCTTTATAACTTTCTGTTAGAATGTAGTCTTTTCTTATAATTATTTTTTTCCTTCTTTTCTGGTTGCTAGTTAGCATTAATACATCAATGCATAATTAGGTTAAAAATACTCTTTAAATGTATTCTGCTAAAGATATTACCACCTATTAAATTTGCGACAAATCTCATTATTAAGCACGCAAGCCCAGCCTCCTCCTTGGTATCTAATAGAAATATGAGATTATGATTCTTAAAATATCATTGAAATGAAACAAACATTTTCTATTCTCATTAAAATCTAAATTTTTCCCTTAGGAGTTTAATTTAGTGACATTTTCTGATCTCATATTACCTTTGGTTGCTATTCAAAAAATAGAACTTAGCTTTAATGTTGTTTTTATTACTTAAATTAAGAACAAGCATTACTAAGCACAGTGTTATGCATTCTAAGTGAAAGTTGCTTTTAAAACAGATACGCGTATTTTATACGTCTTTAATTTTTAAGGAGACTTTTTAAAAATTCAGACTTTATACAATTATGTTGGATGACAGTAGTAGTGGATTTCTCAAAATTATAACTGATGTAAGTCCAACTATATCAGTTAGTGCCAATAATAAACTACTACTAAATAGTTTTTGTGTATTTAAAGTTATGTCATTATGCATTTAAAAAAATTAGAATGGTAAGACCTATACATGCAAAATGCAATGGGATTTTCAAAAATATAGGAAGAAACTCTAATAATAAAAAATATCTTGAACAAAATAAAAGGCAACATGAATTGTGCTTTAGACACACATTTTCTGTGTCTGTGTACATATGTGTAAAAAACTGAACTTATGCTCATATGAAGTGCATAAAATTATGTGTGATTTTTCCTCTTGGGCAATGTGGTGATTGGAAAATTTCTGAATTACTTTATATGTTGTTACAACTTTTAAAATACAGTACTTAAGAGTTCTGATCCAAAGATAAAAAAGGACTTTATTTACCTTCATTTTACTAACTTACAGAAAAATATAAAGGAAAAAGTATAATCGGACTTCTATTGTTACCTCTTTTTTTTTCCACAAACACATAAGCTGAGCTGACTAGCACATAGGTGCTGGACATGGAATAGTAAAAATATGAACTCATCAACCATTTTCATGGCTTTTGTTTATGTATCACTTGTTAAAAGTTTAACACCTTTACTACATGAATTTTCTATAAAAATTTTTTCAAATATTAAATTTTTAGAATTGATTTTATTTAGTTATGATTAATAAAAATTAAACATAGAATGAACTATGAAATTCTATTAGAATTTATAAAATAAACCTAGGTTTTCTTGACCATAACTACCAAATTGTCATCAGCACACTACATCTAGTATTATAGAAGTTGCACATGATGTGTTTCTCAAAAAAAAAATTAGTAAATAATACTCAACAAATATGTGTAAAGAAGGAAAAAGGAGCTTTTTTCTAATAGTGAAAAAATGCTTCAATGAGTATCTATTCATACTCATCTATTTTTGATTCTTGCAAAACTTTAATATGGTAGGACGATATTTGAAGATGTTTGAAATGCAAAATTTACTCAATGAGACTTACTCCCCAAGGTCATATGTCTTGCAGCTTTGCAAGATGCTGTTTTTGGCACATAGGAACCAGGGCTCTGGTACCAGTGCCTCATTAGTTTCCTCTACAAAGGGATGAATTCCCTTTCAGAAGAATTAAATGAAAAGTCAGATAAAACTAGGGCAGAAATTGCTGCCATGGATACAAAGCTGGACCCAGTACTATAGTTGCGTATCTGAACAAGTTGTTGCACAAAACTGCAGGAAGAGCAAAGGAAACAAATAGAAGTGCTGCTGCCAAAAGAAAAGCATTCCAAGGACACAGTGGCAAGCATGACCCTGGTTTAATTTAGCTCTCTCCCAGTCAAAGTCACCCTCACATCATTAGCATGAAGAGACTGGTAATGAAGGAGGCTGTTGGGGGTGGGGAGTACATCAAAATCATTCTTGAGACAATCGATAGTAATTTTTACAATACTTAAATGAGGACTAAAATCAATACACCCTAGAAAGATATTCAGGCTGCCATATAGCTAAAAGAATGGGAATGACAAAACTGATAAAAATTAAATACAAACTGTCAGATTTAAAAGATGAAGATAAAATAGCAGAAGTTTGGCCAGCAAAAGAAGAGAGAAATTTCAGTAATATATTGTCTTCCTTTAATGTAACACCTTCCACAAAACAGAAAAAAAAACTTATGCTTACACAAAATAAAATAAAACAAACAAAACTTATTGGATTAAATAAAAAGTAAAATTATTTTATAATAAAGGGCATAAAACACATTTTATACCCTTTATAGCTATTTAAAATATTCTGAATAAGTTTTTAAAATTATGAGAATGTCATGTGATAAAGTAAAATAAATTGAATAAAAATACTAAAATAAAACTTCTTCTGAATGGAGAGAAGAAATGGAAGTTGCATATTAAGTTTCAATTGTGTTATTCACTGAAGTACATAATGCATGCATTTGGTATGACTATGATGAGATCATCATTTGTAACTTCTAGAATGTCATATATATTCTCTATCTATCCATCTATCTATATACACACTATATATATATATATATATATATATATATATATATATATATATACTAAGTGATTCAGAAAATGTGGCTGAGAGAGCATTAGGAAGTTACAGGATAGAAATAGTAAAGGTGGTTTTAGTGGGATACAACGCTTTCAGCCATAGGGCAGTAGGGAATTCTAGAGAAAATCTCACAAATTTTAAATAATTATAAGGTGTTCCTGAGAGACCTATGTAAAAGATATGACAATTGAGCTGTGTTGATGAATAATTGTGTATTTACCAGATGGCCAGGGGTGGAGTAGCATTCTAGTTGATGTGTCCTAGCAAAGTCTTTGAGGTATGAAACAGCAATAGTGAGTTCAGGGAACTGCAAGTGGTATTTTACATCCAGGGCATGAATTGAGGCAGCTTTAGTAACACCATGGAGGAGGGTTTTAATTCACCTGTAACTACAATCACCTCTACCTTCTGAGACATACCAAATAAACCTACATTTTAAAGAAAAGTATTTACTATGCCAAAGCCTAAATCCTTTAGCACCACTTTTCAGTCAATGTGCCATTTTCAATGTTCTACCAAATAAAAATTCTACATCTGTGCCGTTTAATAGGGTAGCTACTAGCTCCATGTGGCTCTTTAAATGTAAATTAAATTAAATTAAGGATTAATTTTCTCAGTTGCCCTAGCCACATTTCAAGTGCTTAATGGTTAAATAGCGACATACAAGTGGAAAGTGCAGATATAGAACATTTTCATCACCTCAGAACTTTCTATTGGACAGTGCTGACTTGGAGTGCCACCCTTGATGAGAACAGAGAGAGAAAGGAATGGAGTGAGAAGAAAAACTGGAAATCCATTAATGACTGAGAAAATGGAGGACTTTTCATGACAGATGAAGGCCTCAAAACATTGTTCTTTTGACAATACAAGACAGTAAAATAAATTAAACTTGGTAAGCATAATGAAAGGATTCGTATATCAGAAAACTTAAAAAGTGCTGTAATTTATTGAACTTCTATATGTATCAGCTTTGTGCTAGGATTTTAATCCATTTTCCCACCTCCATACTCTGTGATGCCATTTCCCCACCTCCATACTACTCTGTGATGCAGGCATTCAAAACTACTGTCAGATCTATGATAGGGACATATAGTCTCACACCTCTGACACTAACTTTCTTCATCTCTCTTCAATCCCAGTGTCCAGTTACTCTTCTGTCATCACCAAAGACTTTAGTTCTGTTGGAAAGTTTCTCTTTTTTTTTTTTTTTTTGAGACGATGGAGTCTCGCTCTGTCACCCAGGCTGGAGTGCAGTGGCGCGATCTCGGCTCACTGCAAGCTCCGCCTCCCGGGTTCACGCCATTCTCCTGCCTCAGCTTCCCGAGTAGCTGGGACTACAGGCGCCCACCACCATGCCCGGCTAATTTTTTTTTTGTATTTTTAGTAGAGACGGGGTTTCACTGTGTTAGCCAGGGTGGTCTCGATCTCCTGACCTCGTGATCCTCCAGCCTTGGCCTCCCAAAGTGCTGAGATTACAGGCGTGAGCCACTGCGCCCGGCCGGAAAGTTTCTCTTACCTGCCACCAAACTTACCTTAGGTGTCTTTCTTTGTTCTTTTCTTAGATATTTTTCTTAAGTGTCCCTCACACATGATAATATTTATTATTTCCCTTCTTTTATTTCCTCTCAGACTATATTATACATAACAGTATGAGCCATATTTAGACTATTCACCATTTTATTCATACCACATTCTGCAATGATGGATACAAAATAAATATATGTTTTTCAACCTTAATTACATGTAGTCTTAGTAATGGTTTTAAGGTAGCTGTTACTGTGTCTCATACTAGCAATCCAAATCTTAAATAGGCTAAGTAATTTACTCAGGTTCAGTCAACTAAAAGACCAAACAGGGAAATTTGAAACTAGATAGATCTTTTAAAATTCTATTTGTCTGTGAAGACTGGATTATAGTAGGGCTGATAGTAGACTTTTGGAAGCTATTTAAAAACTATGGTAATAGAATGTTTAATGATTAGAGTTTAACTAAGGCAGAGATATGATAAATAGAGAAAATAAAAGGGTCATATGAGATATTACAAAGAACATTTGCCCAGAATTTTTTCACCATTGGGATGAGAAGATGGCAGTGCAAAATCTCAACTCAACGGTTACTCCTAGATTTCTGGTTTGGGTAACTCAGGAAGTAAAGCTGTAATTTGTAAATACAATGATTATAGGACAAACAAAAGGTGTGGAGAACAAATTATTGGTGTGTTGTCTTTGAGCTGCGTTCAGTACATTCAGGTGGACAAACTTAGTAATGAAAGAGCAGGAGAGACAAAGAAAGAGACAGAGAGAACGAGGGATAAAGAGACAAAGAGAGCAGAGTGCAGCATTTTTTGAGTCAGAAAATATTTTAAAATCATTGGCTTATAAATGCAAGTGACCAAAATCAGTTAATGATAGCTCCTAGAGTGAACATTTAAAGTAGGAAGAAAAGTCACTGAGAACAAAGCAAGACAGAATTGAATATGAAGCATACCATTTAAGTCTGAAACAAAACAAAATCTGAGAATCATATGCTTTGAATGTTAGAGAGGAAAAAGATGAAAATAAAGAATTCAAGGAAGAAAGACTGTTAACTCTTAAAAATGATGGAAAAGTTTCCGGTAAGATATCTTAAAAATCAATTGAATTTAATTATGCAATAATTACCAAGGACATTTCCAGAACATCATCAGGGATGTGATAGTGCTATTGTAATTAATTGACAATTATGATTATGTAGTGTTTAGTTTTGTACATTTTGTAGCCTCAAAATTGGGTTTTACTGCCCAGTAAGGAGATACACACAGATGTACACACACAAATGATAAAAAAAGGTGAGAAAAGTGTTTGAATAGGCTTAATCATAATTTTTCTGTCTTTGTAACTTTCTGTTTTTGTATTTTCAGATTTATTTGAAAATGTTTAAACTGTAATTCTTTTAAATTTTATATTTCATATATGCCATTTTAGCAAATTTTCTTTGTGTTAAATGTTCTGAGTAACAATATTTACATATTCAAGAACTGAAGAAATCTGAAATATAAAATAAAAGAGAAACTAGTTTTTTAAAAAATGTAATTTCAGCAAAATAAATACTTTATTGTTGATGATGTTATAAATTTTCTCAAGAGAATAAAGAGCAATGAGTATAATGATAATATGTGAAAATATGCACACAGATTTTGCCTATTTCCCTTCTGCTTGACTTTGTATACCTCTTTTGGACTTACTGTCATTCATGACTAGAGAACAGTCCTTCTTTGCTCATTGTCTTCAGTTGCCATTATCTGCATTTCTAAAAACAAAACAAAACAAACAAAAAAACCCACACACACTTTTTCTTAGAAGCCCTCTAACAGCACAGTACATAAAACTTCTTCATAGCTGCAATTTCCTCAAGGTTCCTCTATTTGTCTGGTTTTGAAGATTCTCCAAAGAAGAGAAAATATATTGATATAGACAGATATAAGGAGATATATGTGTATATAGACATAGACAGATGTAAAAGTAGACACAGACATGGACATAGGAAAGGACATATCCTGTTTGGGAGAGCTTGCTCAGCAGGGTTCAAGAAAGCCTCCGCCCTCTCTCTCTTAAGCCTCTTATTATTCCAAAATTAATTCAAGAATCCATGTATTAGGCAAGACTATGAGACTCTTCTATGTGAAACAGATCACTTTAGAATTTAGATCTCTCTATTTTTATCTGCTGAGAAAAAAAGCTTTAAAAATTCTATCATGAAAACTTATTTAATTATTATATATTACTATATTTGATCTGATAAAAATATATCAAGATGATTTAACAGAAGTACTTTGTTTTTATGAAGAGAATCTAAATAAAATATACTAAACTAATATCACAATGATCTTATTATTAATTTGATAATGCAAGTTCTCTATGATCTGATGCCAGAAAGCTTTGACCCTTGGAAACCTGACAAAGACCAAAAGTCTTAAGAACAGCAACCTGTCACTTACAATTTGATATTATATGGGGAAATATCTCAAGCTCTGGCTGATGAAAAGTAAACTGCCCAGCAATATTGATTTTTCAAATAACTAAACTAGACAGATAGGATGACATTGTCATCAGCTTTACATAGCGGTGGTTGAAGGTGAGAGATGTGTGGAAAAAATTATTCCCTATTCTATCGTTTTTGTGTACAAAGAAATACTACAGTGAAATTGATGATGTAGTTTTTTACTTTTTACTTCTGAACAGAGAAAGAATACATTAAATGACTTTTTTAACTATTCATATTTTATAGTCTAAAAACTGTTTACTGTTCACAGGACTTAGCTTTTAACTTGTTGTTCTGAAAAAAAATTTCCCTTTGTGTTCTCTTCACTTATAATTCTACATTTTTAGTCTTACCCATCTCTTTTATTCTTATGACTTTAACTATGATCCACATGCTTTACGGCTTTATACACAAAAGCTCAGACACCTCCTTTGAGCTCAAGGTCTAAACTGAGTATCCTCACTTGATATTTTTCTAGCATTATTTACTATCCAATAGTATATATTACTATTAATCAAGATAAAGACATTTAGCATGAGATATTAGAGAAATATGAAGAATGGAAGGTGGAGTTATAGATAGAAGAGAAGAATTGCTTTCCTCATGATGGTGGGTCAATTATGTGAGATGTTTTTGAGAAATTTAGAATAGTAGCTTTGGGTGTCTTCCTTCGCATTTGGAAATACAGAAATCTTGGCTACAGCCAACAGGTTTGTGTAGGTACAAAGTTTAGGGCTTTAAATGGTATTACTATGGATACTTTCAACAACACATAAGCTATGTACTATTATTTCTGTTTTGCAGTTGAGAATACTGAAACAAAGGGCAACTTGCCTATCCTCAGCAACTAATGTTTAGATAAAGGCCTTTCAGTGAAAGTCTATTAAACATAAAAGTCCAGTTTCATAACCATGAGACAATATATACTTCTATACAACAAAAATCTGTTCTATTATTCATACATTTTATTTGGACTCTCAGTTTTAATTGCTGTCTAAATGACTTACAAAATATTCCAGATACTTTTGAGAATGTGTACATTATGCTTCTTCCGAAGGAGGTATCTGCCTTTGCTATCACTGAAAATTCAACTCAAGAATCATCTCTCTTGAAATGATTTAGTGTAACTGTTACTTTCATCCTCCTCTGTAATTAAACTGTTCTTTTTCTGTCCTTACATAGGCTGATACATATCTATCTCTAGAATTATAGCCATCAACATGTAATATGTTATTCATTTGCCTACTTCCCTTCCAGTCTATATCTTCTTGTAGTCAGAAACTATATTTTATTTACATTATATTTTCACTACATTTTGTGATACACAAAGTCCTCATCAATAAATTAATGTGTCAATGAAGCCCTGAAATTTTTCAGTATTTTTAGTGTTAATTCAATGCATTGTCTGCCTTCTGTATATTTATTCACTTATATTGATTCCAAGAAGAAACTATTACAAAAAGTTACTATAATTAATTTTTCTCCCATATTTAACAGTATTTGGGGAGGAGAATGCTTAGAACACAAAACTGAACATAAATATAATGTGGCATTATATTGGCTTTATTCTTATGTCACATTTCAGGTAAAACTTTGAGACTGTAATGACATTTGAGGTCTTACTTCCTTACTTCATGTTTACAAATAGGAGAGAAAGAATATAAGGTTGCTTTTACCTGTTTACTAGAAGGTAAGTTTCTGTCTTTTTCTTTTTTTTTTTTTTTGTTTTCTTTTTCTGCTTTCTTTTTTATTATTTGGTATTATTTAAATAGACCAACATAGCAAGTAGAGAAGAAAATGTTGAATAAAAGTACAATTATGTTTATACTTTTAGGTTGTCTAGTAAACACATAAGTTATCCATTAAAATTATATTGCCTATATAGTTTATACAGATTCATTGGAATAATATTTTAATAATTGTTATTTTATCCCCCTCACTGTGCTCCCATCCCTGGAGTTTTATTTGTTTTTAGGATTATTTAAAAAATTAATATGAAACAAACAAAAAAGAAAACACACTTAATAACTGGTGGAATTAGTTTAAGTTTGTTTCTTTTCTTTTCTTTTTTTTTTACAGAATTTACTTTATTACAGAATTTATTGTGACATTGGAGAGGTAATGCTGGGATACAGCTTCATATCTGCCCAGATTTCCTCTCATTGTCAAAAGTAGCTGTAAAATTTGGCAAAATATAATATATTTAGTTTTTAAATGTATCAACATATTTCATCTTGAATTCTCTATTAAGGATGACACCTAATTCTGAAAATTTATCATGTGGAATTTATGTGTCACTCAAAAGATTTATTTAATGGTTTTGAGTCAGGAGGTTTCGTTTTGGTCACAATTCTAATGCCAACACACTTGTGATTTTAGGCTATATCAACTAATTTTTACAATTCTATTTCCTTTCTTATTGATTTTTAAATGACAAAATTTTTGCTAGACTATCTTGTAATCTTTTGCAGTAACAAAATGGCACGGCTCTACATATTAGAGGGAAAATTGCCTTAGATATGGCCAGTATAGTTTTTCACAGGTATTATGATATTAAGCAATTCCATTTGGTTTATACTTATTATGTTGTATTATTTTCTTGCCTGTATGCATATTTAAGGTTAATTAATTTGGGCTTGGGCAAGTAAAATCAGGTTTAGTTAATGACTTCTATTTTTATATTTCCTTCTTTGTCAAGCGTTATGCACATGATGAATGACCTCTTTTTCACTGAAGTTGCATCCACAATGAACTGCCTCCACAATGCAGCTGGAATATTTTTATTCGTATACCTTTTATACTAAAATTTGAATGACTTAACTGCATAGTTCTGTAGACCTACTGCTAAGGTGTAAAGGTTAAATTATAAAATGAAAGGCCAAAGTTACTCAGAAAGAATGCATCTTTGTTCGGAATGGATAATCAATAAAATTAAGAAAAATATCTTAAGTCTTAATTATAGTCTGACCTCTGTCATTTGACAGAATAGAACACTATTATGCCCCTACTGGCCTAGACTGTGTCACTTTTCAGGTAGTCTCTAGTCCTATTTGTTAGACCTCATAAGGCAGAATGAGAAAGTAATGAAAGAAGATGCAAGTAACAACTATAAAATTCAAAGGCAGACATGGGAAAAGAGATGAAATCAAAATCCTACTAGAGTAAGGGTACCTGCCTACAATAGAAGCTGTGTGCATGTGTGTGCACTAATGTGCATGCATAGTTTTGAGGCTCTAGCTGAAGGCATGTCTATATCCCAAGAGCATATTGTTCTTACATGCAACGTGTGGTACCTGACACAAACTCTCTCTAAAATATGATTATGCAAGAGAAAGAAAAATGTGTACCTTTAATGCATAGACTTCCTCAGAATGATGTATAACAGAATTTACGAAGGAATAAAATTGACAACTCATGAAATAAATATATATATACATATGTTATTTATTGTTTTCAGTAATAGGTACTGTGGTACTTCCAATACTTAGAAATTTTAATTGAAATGTTTTTGGTCATGTGCGCTGCCAAGTGTTACATGTGCTGTTAATTATGACACAATAATTTTCCTTTAAAACAAATATAGCTACAAGAGGCTAAAAATTTAGTGAGTGACTAATAAAAGCTCAATTTGATGAACATACATGTGTTGAATACCCATAATATATGACATTCTGATCCCTTCTATGTGCAAGATTTCCTTTACTCTTGCTTCACCTAGAGTTATCTTTCTTCTTTCAGTTGTAAAAGGAATAATGATGTAACTTTCAGCTTAGTTATTATTTCTGCGTAGTGAAAGATAAAAACATAACAGCAACATTAACCATAATTATACCTAAAATGTATATTTATTACAAAAAGAATATGAGAAATTTTTTCAAAAATTGTCCTAATACCCATAGGCAACTAGTATTACGAATTGTTATAGTTCTTTACCACTTAAATTTAGGTATAGTATCATCAAATACACATGTATACACTTTGTATAAAGGTGTGATTATGCAATAGCATTTAGAGCTTGGCTTTTTTTACCCAGTAGCAGTTTGTAAACTTTTCGCAATGTCAAATATCTGCTTTCATACAATAATGTTATGTTTACTATAATTTTATTCTATAAATTTAATCTGTCTCACTCCATGTGTGCTACTATGACAAAATATCTGAGACAGGGTAATTTATAAAGAACAAAAGTTTATTTCTTACCTTTCTGTAGGTGAGAAAATCCAAAATTAAGGCACTGGTATTGGTGCTTGGTGAAGGCTGCTCTCTGCTTCCAAGATGGTGCCTTATTGCTCTGTCCTCAAGTGGTGGAAAGGAAGGCAAGAGAGAGTACTTTCTTCAATCTTGAGCTATTTTATAGGGATGCTAAGCCCAGTAATGAGGGTAGACTTAACCACTTCCCAAAAAGCCACACATTTTAACACACACTGTTGCATTGAGGATTAAGTTTGAACATGAATTTTGGAGGTCACAGCACCATCTTTTTGGATCTATATAAGTATCTACCATCTTTGCAGTTAAGTTTCGGCAAATATTGTTAATAACTTACTTCAAATCAATTCTTAACAGTGAATCTTTTGGTAGATAGTGCTAAACTATGTTATGATTTCAATAGCATTCTAAAAGAAAATTTGTTGAATTTTACACAAAACCAGTTTCTATGTTGTGGTTCTTAGAATCAGAGTCACTACACTGTGATATGATTCCCTTTCATTGGGATTTCTATTGACTTTCTGCTAAAACCAGAACTATTTTTGAGCTCATCATGAAACTTGGTAAAAATAATTTCTGAATTTGACTTTGCCTCAAAGTCTGAATACCCAAAATGTTGACATCTTGTGCTGTCCTCTGACTATATTTTAGATGCTTTCTTGTAACACTCAGGCCATAACTCACTGCTAATTTATCCTTATGGGCACCAACTCATTCTCTGGAAGTGACCAGATGATGAGGATTGAGTTGTACTGAGCTGCTTGTGTTTCTTACTCTGGGAGGATTAGATCACTGCCTGTGGAAGTGCCCAGCAAATTGAGTGCCTCCAGATGAGGCTCCACATGAGGCTGCATTCATTTATAATGATGGGAATGATGGCCTCTGTTTACAGAAAGAACTCCCAGATTGCAAGAAAAAGTGGGATGAGCTGAGTCATTTATTTTTATTACAAAACTTAAGCAAACTGCAAGTGGAATACCAACAGAATATATGCTGTAATAGTAAAGAGAAACAATGCAGGTCTGTGTATTATAAAATAAAGACAGTTAAATTCACACACACACACACATGCACATACACAAACACACATGAAGTGTTGGTGAAATATGATTTACACAACTGACCAAAAACAAAAATTAAAAAATGCCAAATACTTATAAGGGAGATACACTCACTCTACCGTGAGATTTGTTTCCTGCTCACCCAACACAACTTGAAGAGAAGAACTTTACGTAGGCTTGTTTGGAAAATAAGAGATTGGACTGGAGAGAAGCCAATAATTTGCATGATCAAAGTGAGCATTGTTGTGTAGTCTGTGTTCAGAAAAAAAATAGATTGTCAATATGAATAATCTGTACAATAAATCTTAATTTTTCCTTAAATATCAGTAATAGGAATATGAGACAAGTGTCTGCATGACTAATTGAGAAAAAAAAACTTAATGACAAAAAGCCTCATTACTTATTTTAAGGGTACGTTGTAAAAGTTTACAAATTAAAAGAAAAAAATGTATTTTTTTAGTATGTCTGTGTATTTGATTTCTAAGTAAACTTTTAAGTTCATTAACTTTTTTATGGTTAGTAATCTCAGAAAGGTATGTTGCTTATTCAAGCTGACTTCTATTTCTGATAATAAAAGATTATAATGAATAATTTGAAGATATTTATTTAGTAGGTAATGATTTTTCTAAAGTTATTAACATATATTAAAAGGATAAATATATTTACTTTTATAAATAAAATAGTTATAAATAATTTCAAATGCAAAATATTACCAAATTTAATATAGTAGATATGTATATCTATATCTAGATACACATACATATTCATAACCACAATTTAAATGCTTGATAAATAAATAAGAATCACACACACACACACAAAAAAAAACAGTTTATACCATTCTTCCCAGGAAAGGTTTTATGGAACTGTCTTTAGTGCAGAATTACATAAACCTTAGCACTTTCTCAGTATTTAAATTAGATTACACATTTATTGTACACTAAATACATGATATTGTAATAAACTTAAATGAATAAGAGTGAGTTAATTTAGTTGCCATATAATTATCTCAACAAGAAAAAAGCAAATGTGTTTTATTACCCTAATTAATACATTAAACTTGTAAAGAATTTGAACATTTAACTGGTATTTAACAAAATAACTGTAGTGAGTTGATTGGATATCAATTAATTGCCCAAAATTAGCATGTTAATTAGCATGTATTCTACTATAATGGTAATTATCTAGGAGATTGTTAATTGAAAGACTTTAAGCTTTTGTCCTCAAAGAATGGAATTATATTGATATTCTTACTTTTTTGGAAAATCTATATAGTAATAAATTGTATATACGTTATATAATAAAACTCAGGAACTTGTAAATAAATTAGTATTTAATTCCCTGAATGCATTAAATCTACTTAAACATATGTCATACGGTAAAAAAAATAAATTAGATCTCCATTTATTTTTTCTAAGGCAAGACACTTAGCTCAGCTTTTTCTAATGTTTCTAATGTTTACAACACTTTGAAAAGTGTAGTGATGCGCTAGAGTTGAAGAAGGACATCCAGCTTGGATAACTTGTCATATATGCTTATCAGTTATTTCAATTTAATTTTAGAATTTAAATTATCACACAAATTATTATCGCATGTAATTACATTATTAACTAATCGCTACGGATATACATACTTTAACAAATATATGAGAGATGGATGGAGTCCTTTTCTTGGGCAAAATGGTTCTAAAATCTATGTAGAACAAGAAGCAAAACAAAGCAGAACAAAACAATCATGCTCACATATCATCTAGTTACCACAGTAACAATAAAAGTCAGGCCGACAGTTTTGAACCATTCAATGACACCCATGTAGTAACTTGACTATGTGTTTTTTGTTTTTTTTTTTTTTTTTGAGATGGAGACTTCCTCTGTCCCCCAGGTTGGAGTGCAGTGGCTCGATCTCGGCTCACTGCCAGCTCCGCCTCCCGGCTTCACGCCATTCTCCTGCCTCAGCCTCCGGAGTAGCTGGGACTACAGGCGCCCGCCACCACGCCCGGCTAATTTTTTGTACTTTTAGTAGAGACGGGGTTTCACCATGTTAGCCAGGATCGTCTGGATCTCCTGACCTTGTGATCCGCCCGCCTCGGCCTCCCAAAGTGCTGGGATTACAGGCGTGAGCCACTGCCCCCGGCGACTATGTGGTTTTATAACAACCATATGTTACAGTCTTTTTGTTGTTCTTGAAGAGAATAGAAAATAAGTTGGAATTTATAATCATTATATCATCAACATACTTAGAAAGGAAAAGAAGAGAATATTTATATATATTGAGGTATACTGAGGTTCTAATACTTTCCTCTAGTTCCAGTATTTTACACATTTTACTTTAGCTTCATATTAGTTCTAGGAGCCATTGAGCTCCTAGATCCATATCTAGGATCTGGTGAATTTACTCCCTTTTCTGAGGGCAGAAATACTGTATCTCAGAGGGGTTAAATGACTTTCCCAAGGCCACATATCTATTATACTTATTCACTGCATGGCTACATTTCTGTCAACAGTGGACCCTATATGCAGGAGAGTGCTATCATGAAATTGTAATGAAAATTTTCTACTGCATAGTGATGTTGTAGCCATCCTAATGCTGGACAATGCATGACTCACGGGTTCTTGGTACTGCTGTTGTAAACGAACCTACTGCATTGCTAGTTTTATAAAAGTATAGCACATACACTCATGTATAGTGCATAATACTTGATAATGATAATAAATGACTATGTTGCTGGTTTATGTGTTTACTATAGCTTTTATCATTATCTTAGATTGTATTCTTTCTACTTATTTTTTAAAAAGTTAACTGTAAAGCAGTCTTAGGTAGGTCTTCCAGAAGATATTCCAGAAAATGGCATTATCATAGGAGATGACAGATCTGTGTGTGTTATTGCCCATGAAGACCTTCCAGTTGGCCAAGATATGGAGGTGGAAGACTCATGTTGATAATCTTGACTCTGTGCAGGCCTAAGCTAATGAGTGATTGTGTCTTCATTTGTAAAAAAAAATAAAAAGAAAAAATTCAAAAATTTTAAAAATTGAAGAAACTTGTAGAATAAGGATTTAAAGAAAGAAAATATTTTTGTGCAGCTGTACAATGTGTTTGTGTTGTAAGCCAAGCGTTATTACAAAAAAAGTCAAAAGGTTTAAAAAATAAAATATGTTTAAATTTAAAAAGTTAGCATAAGCAGGATTAACTTATCATTGAAAGAAAATATTTTCATAAAGTTAGCATAGCCTAAGTGTACAGTGCTTATAAAAGTCTACAGTGGTGTACAGTAATTTCTGGTGCCCTCACATTCACTAACCGCTCTCTTACTGACTCACCCAGAGCAGCTTCCAATCCTACAAGCTCCATTCATGTTAAGTGTTCCATACAGTTTGCATCTTTTATACCATATTTTTACTGTACCTTTTTTATGTTTAGATATGTTTAGACACACTTGTCATTGTGTTACAATTGCCTATGGTATTCAGTAACATATTGTACAGGTTTGTAGCCTAGGAGCATTAGGCTATGCGATATAGGCTAGGTGTGTAGTAGGCTATGCCATCTAGGTACTCTATGATATTTACATAATAATAAAATCACTAGACAATGCATTTCTCAAAATGTATCCCTGTTTTTAAGCAACTCATTACCCTAATTGGAAGAGCCAGTGTTTGAAGTTAGGTCTGCCTTGTCCCAAAGCTTATTGCTTTTCCCACTGAAACTTATTGTCTTCTTTTATTTACCAAAATTCCTTGAATAATACTTCAGTAGAAATATTATCTCTCACAATCAGTACCTCTTACAGTTTCTGATGTAGTTTTTCTCTCAGAGCAAAATAATAACAGCAGTAGCAAAAAAAAAGACATATATAGAGGATTATTAATAGTCAAGTGATGCAGAGTTTTTGTTGTTGTTTTTGAGATAGAGTGTCACTCTGTCACCCAAGCTGGAGTGCAGTGGGACGATCACGGCTCACTGCAGCTTTGACCTCTCAAGCTCAAGCAACCCACTCACCTCAGCCTCTCTAGTAGCTGAGACCACAGGCGCGTGCCACCATGCCAGACTAAGTTTTCGTATTTGAGACGGGTTTTACCATGTTGCCGAGGCTGGTCTCAAACTCCTGGTTTCCAGGGATCCTCCCACCTCAGCCTCCCAGAGTGCTGGGATTACCCTGGTGCAGAGTTTTACTCTTTGTGTAGTGCCTTAGTATAAGAAACTCCTATCAGACAAAAGAGTCTAATGACTGATTTCTAAATAGGCATATACATTCTAATGATCGTAGGTGAAACTAAATGTAATAATAATAAAAATAACAGAATGGTGTTTAGAATTTCTACTAAGTAGTTTGAGATAGCAAAAGGACACATTATACTTTTACCTACCTTTCTGAGCTACTCCCTTTCATGACCTATTTGCAGCCAATCGAGGAACCTGGGATTTACAAAGCATTTGCCCAAAAAACTAACTGAACTAGTGCCAACTTATCTAATTTCCTTTAAACTTTATCCAATATGTGCTGAATTGGCACATTACAAGACTTTGAGTAAGTAAGGAAAAAGCCCCATTCTTAAATGCTAACCAACTAACATATTCTTAACTTGCTACTAGCAGTTTCTTATCTCTGAAAGGTTAGCAATAGATAAGAAAAATAAATTATTTTTAATAATAACACCATTGATGTATTTTGCACCTATCAGAGCCATAACTATACTAATAAAATAATTATTGTTTTGGAAACTTAAATCACATTGCTCACCACATATCTTCACACTTAAGTGAAATTTCTCATCATGGTCTTAACCCAAGGTGAAGATTTGAGCAGTTCTTTTATGCTCTACAGGGTTTAGCCATATGCCAGTTTAGGCTGATTCAGTGAGGCTTAAACACCTAATCTGAGTATAGACATATTGGCTGTCAGAGACTGATACTGCCTAGCTAGGAAAGGGGAGATGGGCTGAAAAAAGTTGCTCTTGGAAGATTATAAGTATCTAGCAAAAGAAATTATAACTGATACAGTGGCATCTTCCAAAAACCAGAATTAAAATAGGATTTTTAATATTGTTTGTTTTTGTATAACTCATTAAAATATTTCTCAGGATCTCTTTAAAATTTTGGACTGTTGTGTGGTGGGGGGGAGGGGGGAGGGATAGCATTAGGAGATATACCTAATGCTAAATGACGAGTTAATGGGTGCAGCACACCAGCATGGCACATGTATACATATGTAACTAACCGGCACATTGTGCCCATGTACCCTAAAACTTAAAGTATAATAATAAAAAATAAATAAATAAATAAATAAAATTTGTTATGAGATTGAAAATAAATTTTTGTAGCTATTGAAAATCACTTTAATGAATTATTGGTAATGGCTACTATAGAATTCCTTCAGCAGAGCTTCTAACATTCTTCTAGTGTGTTACTTAGGCTAGAAAGCTAAAACTACATATCCCAGGCACTCTGACAGATAAAGACTTTGGAGGAAACTAAATTTGGTCAACTATAAATGGAAGACAAAGTCAAAGAAATACCATCTTTCCAAAATTTTGTTTCTTATTTCTGGCAAGCATATTCCTAAAGACGTGGAGTTTTCATGCAGAGGAATTAAGTGTTGAACTACTTCCTTTGTGAGTGCTTACGGTCAGTTGCTATGACAGCAGTTGCCAGACTAAAAATCTGGGTATCAAGAAGCAGCTTCAGAATAGTGACAATAATATATATACTTTTTAGCTTGGAACATGGCAACCAGAATATTTTTTAAATTAATGTTTAAATTTACCTACAGTATAATTCACTCTTTTTGATATCCAGTACCACCATGAGTTTTTACAAAAGCAAAGAGTTATATAACATCACTACACTCACTATAGATAATGGTTCCATGTATTTGTTTTCTATTGCTGCTGTAACAAATTACCACAAAGTTAGTGACTTAAAACAGCACCCCTCATTTTGTTAAAAAAATCTCACAGTTCTACAGGTCATAAATCTAGTGGTCCAGCTGTGTGTTCTGCATAGTCTCATAAGGCCAAAATAATGGTTGAGAGAGTGATCCAGACTCTGACCTGGAAGTGCCAGGGGAAGAACTGACCTCCCAACTTCTTTAGGTATTGACAGAATTCCATACCTGTGGTTGTAGGTCTGAGATTTCCATGGTGGCTTTCAACCAGGGATTGTTCTTAGCTTTTAAAGGCTACTTACATTCCATGGCTTGTGGGATCCTTCATGCTAAAGCCAGTGTTAGCATGTTGAACCCTGATCATTTTTTAACCTTTCTGACTCTTCATCTGCTTTTAAAGGTTTATGTGATTATATTGGGCCCACTAAAATAATCTATTATAAACTCCCTATATAAGACCTGGTGATAAGTAACCTTAACTACATCAATAAAGTCCCTCATGTCATGTAATATAACTTATTCACAAGGTAATTAATAAGTGGCAAATGTAATTGAGGCTAAACTTCTACTTAACACATGCCATCACCCACAGATTTATCTCCTCCTTTTTCTATTATTTTCTCTATAATTTCATTGGCTGGGTTTTCTAGCAAAATGTTGAATAGTAGTAAGGATAGCAGATATTTCATCTTGTTCTGATAATCAGTAATATCTTTTTGAATTTGGTCAAATGTATAAACTGTCACTGAAGAAAATAATATTCATAAATAAATATTTTTATTCACTTCGCAGAGATCAGGATTCATAATGGTATGAAGAATTAAAATCACAGGAGACATTTATTATTGTTGTTCTTATTGCTATTATTTGGCCACATGGCATCCTACCTGTGACAGGAATAATAATAGTGATGATGATGATGATATGACAATAATAATAATACACATTTATTGGGCCTGTAAAAGAGATATTTAAAGATCCCAGCACAGTGTCTTGCATATAGTAAGTACTTATATAATCATGAAGATAATTGAAAGATACTCATGCCTCATAGACATTTAGTTTCAAAATAATAATTATGTGTATTCCTTGAAAAATTAAGCAATTATTTTTGGGATGATCAGTTAACTTAGACACTCTGCCTATTATATTACCATCCAGTTTTTTCAAGTAATAAGCATTTAATTTTTCTGTGAGAGTGTTCTATATAATTTGAGGTTTTAAATACACCCTAATCACATTACATTCAATGTCAAAAATATTTATGAGTTGGTAAAAATACATTTAGAAATATTCTTATTAAATACCTCATCTAGATCAGAAATGACCTTTATTGATTAGCAGGTAATTGACTTTTGTCTTTCTATCCAATCAACAACACTGATGACCTTTGGAGAATAAGGAATAAACTGTCAAGCATATTCTTGATGTCCCTTAAACAATGTTTTTTTCAAATAATCTGTTTTAGTGAAAAGGCAATGCCCCAGTAAAACTCTATAATTAACAGAAGAATTGATTTACTATTTATTTTCTTAGTCCTTGAATAATGTCCTTTTTATGTACTTGTAGGCAGGCATGTTACATTTTTATCCCTTTCTAAAGCCTAGGAAATTAACAGTTTGGTGTGCTACATGACCTGAAATTAATTTGTGTATCGTCAAACAATTATTACCTAGTGACTTCCAGTACAGTGAGTAATTGTTTGTTTTACTGCGTATCCAGTAATTACAGTGTTAGCGAGCCTTTAAAATGATGTTTCATTTTTTTCCGTTCTTTATCCTTTAAGAAAAAATGATTTCAAAAGAAATTATTTACTGGATCTATGTTGTCAAAATACTTAGATAATTTTTCTGGTCACAGATCATTGACCCAATATTCTGGAGTCATTATGCTCATTGGACTCTATTAGATGCCAGACATATGTGGTAATAGCTCAATTCAGCCCTCAAAGTGAAGACACAAATTTTCAGTCTGCCTGTAAAGATAAAGTACATAATGGGTTGAATCAAACACATCAAGTGATCATAGCCAAAATCATGTGCAGTCCTTCAAACTTTAGATAAAATTTTGAGTCACCTTCTACTTCATTTACACCTTCCCCTTCTTACAGCTAATATCACATAGTTTCAAACTTACCAACTGAAATAGACATTCAGCATTTATTTTATATATAAAGGAGAGTATTTAGCTCCTAAACAGAGTATTTAGCTCCTTTTACTCACAACTGTTGCCTGAGTTAGGGCTACATCCACAGTATCTTGCAAACACACAATGAATATGGAAAACATATGGTGAGTTAGGTGTATGTATCAATTCTGAGTGTGTCAAGAGAACTTTATAAAGATCTTATAGTAGAGATAAACCCAAGTGTCTCCAAGCTCTGATAGCCTGAAGATATTTGGATGGATAAAAGAGGTTCACATTAAGTCACAATAGTATCTTTTCTTGTTCTGCTTTTGCTTCCAAATTATGAGACCTCTTTTTCCATTGAAACACGGTTTGAATATTACAGATAGTACTCAAGGACATATTGGTGATTATTCTTCCTAATTAATGCTCTCTGTCCTATACTAACCAACTTTCATGGAAATCTTTTCTCTTGGAAAGTTATCGCCAGGAATTTCAGATTGTTGATATAATAGCTCTAGTTCCTGCTGCCAATGTTTCACCATAATGTCCTTGGACTTCCCACATTGCAATATATTTGTTAATCTTCCGAGGGCAAGAATCATATCTCCATATATATTAAACTATTATATCCCCAATGCTAAGTACAATACTTAAACAGTATTTTTAATGAAATTGTATTAAATTGAGATTATATGTTTTATTTTTAATCAAGAAATACAAATCGTAATTATGTTATAAAGCATAATGGTTAAATATATGTAGACATTGTGGAATGGCTAAATGAAGCCCTTTGATATATGCATTATCTCATATATGTATCCTTTTTGTGGTGAGAATATTTAAAATCTTCTCTTAGTAGTTTTCAAGTGAACTGTATACTCTTATTAACTATGGTCAACATGACGTAAAATAGTGCTCTTGTAAATCAACATTGTCTATCTTCTGTTCTTGTCAATACCAGGGTGGATTATAGATCTTATTCCTCTGCTTGTGCTGTATTCAGGCACCTGGATTTCAACCATCCTCTTAGATTCTATGTTAATAACAAATATCCTGTGTTAATAACAAATATCCAGGAGCAATACTTCTTTATTTATTTAATTTTTTTCAGTCTCTCTTTTTAAGGCCTCTGGCATAAATATAACTGTTCCATGTTTGATCTGAAACATTTATTCCATGAGGACAAGAGGGAGGGACTATTTATAAACATGATAATGAAAGTTAGGTTACAAATGTTGCTTCCAGAGAGGGAACACTACTTCCTTCACAGGGGTAAAGACAGGCTTTGAAGCAGCCCAAATATATAAAGTGAAACTTGTCTCTGGTTAAAATTTCATGAAGATTCTTGGGCTCTAGAACATCAAAGGTCATTGAAGTGAAGAGGACCATTGCATTTCACTTTTGGATTCCTTAAATATATTAAAAGTATTTCTCTATGATGTAATTATTAAACATTGTTTCTATTCTATAAAATATCAAAAAAATACTTTCATAGTGACTTGGAAAATGGTGAGTTATACTGCTTGACAGATTAGAGTTAGCTTTAGGATGTTACTTAGTATCTATGCATAATTTTCTTACACATCAGTGGAGATACTTGTGAATGTAGCAGACAAATTGAAAAGCATAAGATCTTTATATTGCCCTTAAAAGTTATAAAAGGTATACATACCATGTGATGTTTATATAAGCATTGGGAAACTAAGAACAGAAGATTTTTTCCAATTTTCTTATCCGACTTCTAATGAAAAATCATTTTGTTTCTGTTTTTAAAAATTCTAGCAAATGCTGTTTCTTTGTTACGTGTTTAGTTTTTATTATTTGCTTTTGTAACCATTATTTGACAATTTTCAGAATTATTCATTGGTGTTCCAACTAACAGTTGGAGCAATCATCATTATGACCCATGAGGTTTTTTGTTGTTGTTGTAGCTGAATATAATAGACAGATCAATCTTTTTATATTTTAAAGTACTTTAAACAATTACAGTCTTAACAATTTTTAATGTCCAGAATATCTTATCTTTTATCTAATAGAAGCCACTTAAATTTGGCTCCTAGATACCATGGATGCAATCCCATTAGTCTTGTTCAGCTTTCATTTTGCAAATGTTCTGATCCAAACCTAGAATCAGGTATTGTTTGTAGTGGAAAATTGTACTCAGAAATATCTAAGGCCCTCAGCTTTCTTGTTTCTTTTGGGTTGAAATAGCTTGTAAGATTTTTCAATAGGAAGATTTATGAAATCTCTGTAATGGCGACATCCCTTTCTTCACTATGTTGATCCAGTTTATGGACATGTCCTTGCTTGAAGCTGAAGATGGAGGTTGTGGAGTAGAGTCATGAGTCAGCAAATAAGTTGATAATGAAAGCAAGCCTTACATGCTTTGACAGATTCAAGAGTCCTGTCATGCTCCATCATATCAAAATCGCAGCGGGAGCAACATAGTTGACACTGAAGCAGCTGGATATAACTGTCTTATTTATAAGATCATATTGATGAATGAGACAATACTAATAAACACACTTTATGTAGATGAGATAGGATTGTTTTAGCAGCACTGTCCATATGGTGCATTTATATTAAAGGAGAAGAAATGCTGGGTCTCAAATACTCAAAGGACAGGCTGACATTAATGTTCAAGGTTAATTTTAAGACATTAGGTTAAAATTACTAATGCAATATTAAAAGTGTCTAGGCTGTCAAAGAAATGACCAAACAAAAATTGCCAATTATTTTGAGGTTAAATTCCAATGCCTGGGTGAGGAAAGAGGTTTTTCTTGTCTACGTAAAATAGTGTTTATTTCCTTCATAGTTTGTTGTTACACAACAAAAAAGATAAAAGAAAAAGGCCTTACTCAACGTTGACAATTCTCTTAAACACATGGCCAGTTTCATTCAGTATAGTTATATTAAAAAATATTTTCTTACTCTGAATATGGTATTATAATCCATGGACCAGAAAGGTAAGGAACATTTTTGCTTATTACTAAGATGCTATCTTCCATTATGTGTGTGCCAACAAAAATGCCACTGAAGGTCTTTGGAAAATATTTGACTTGTAAACAAATCTCTAGGGTTTATTAGGAAGGCTCAGCAAAAGTTTTCTCCACAGATAATAAATGCTCTGTAGAGGAAATAATTCCTGTGCCCTATCTCCATTTCCAAGACCCTAAAAAGACGGCAAACACAGGGATAAAATGTTGTTTTAGGTTTAAAGAAGTTGATAAAAAAGATGTAGACAGGTTCAGAAAAGCTCATCTCTAAGAAAGTAACAACTACTGAATTTGTCTCATCAGAATGTGAGATGACAATGAAGCCAAAAAGGAGCAGACAGTCAAACTACCTAAAATTTATAAGAGTGCCTGAATTGTATTATGCATTATTACATTTTACTTGAGAGGTAACAGTATATTTCATTAACAGAGTAATATTTACTACAGGAAATTTTCTTTTTTTAAGTTGTAATTTTTTCTGCCCTTAAAAAAATGAATTTATTGATGACCATTATAGACATGCTATATTACAAATGTAATATTATGAGACTGAGTACAAACAGTACATGTAATTGCATATACCACAACTGTTTATAACACTCATTTATTTATTGGCTAGAGATATCTCATTTTATATGCAAAATTGATTAATTACATTTATATGTGTGTATGCATATGTGTGTAAAGATAGATGATAGATAGATGATAGATAGATAGATAGATAGATAGATAGATAGATAGATAGATAGATAGATGCTGTTGTATTTTAGTCATGTTCCAGGGTTTTTCTTGGTGGGAAAAGAATTAGATACATATATTCTTTCATTTTACAATAGTTGAAAAAGGTTTCTGGTCATTACGTGAATACAAATTCCTGTTTTTTTTTTTTTTAAGATTTAATTGCTGTTTAAGTGAAAGGTCTCTAGTATAATCTGAAATTATTTGAAACATTTTCCTGTCTAGTTATGTTGTGAAGTAGCTATATGATTAAATTTGTTTCACTTAGTGTTTCTTTAATGTTTAGGATTTTAGAAACCCTCTTGGCCAGGCTCAGTGGCTCATGCCTTTAATCTCAGCATTTTGGGAGGCCAAGGTGGGAGGACTGCTTGCGGATTGTTGGACTTCAAGACCAGTCTGGGCAAAAAAGCTAGATCCTGTCTCTACAAAAAATGAAAAGAATTAGCTGGGTGTGTTCACATGTGCCTGTAGTTCTAGCTACACAGGAGGCTGAGATGGGAGAATTACTCCAGCTTATGAATTCCTGGCTGCAGTGAGCTATGATTATACCACTGCACTTCAGCATGGGTAACAACATGAGACTCTGTTCCCCCAGCAAAAAAAAAAAAAAATATATATATATATATATATATATATATATATATATATATACACACACATATATATATGTGTGTGTGTGTATATATATATATTTTTTATATATATAACTTTTGCTTTTTACTCAAATCAAAATCGTTAAAGTATATTCACAGAAATTGAATATATTAACACTTTGCCTACGTGATAAAAATCCCTCTAATTCTCCCTCCACCTTATTCTCTCTTTTATATACATAGATTACAATTTTAAATTAATTTTTGCTTTACCTTTCCACGGTTTCCTTTTGAGACCATATCTAAGCAAATATGTTTGATTATACCTCTATTTAGAACATATGATGTAGTATGCTATAAAAAATCCTTGGCAATATTATTTTTTTGCTAACTTATTTTTTTGGTAACTTATGTTGTGAAAATCCTACCTAACAGAATAGAAGATTATCCTCATTCTTTTTTTCTTAAATATTTGCTTTGTAAATGTATCATAATGTATTTATTAACTTCTCTACTTTTGCATATTTGCAATGTTGCTATGTGAGCAATTAGGCCATTAATTACAATCTCATTTTATATTTTTGGTAGTGTATCTTTGGGGTAGATTCCTGGAAGTGAGATTTCAGTTCAAGCAAATATAAAATTTCTCTAGTTACTGCAGAATTTCCTTCATCTGAGTGTGCACTGCTAACTTGCAACCATTGATGATAACATCTATCACCTATTAGAAATTCTATGATGAGCACAATTTGGCTTCTGTGATTTTATTCATGACAACATTAATGTAAAGATCACCTTTTGAGCAAGAAATTAAGACTCTTTTCTGGTTTCCTCAAGTTCCATTTTCTGCCATATCCGTGATCAACCAGCTCTAACACATCTTAGATAAAGCTTACCTTCAAAAGATTGACCTTTAAGTTTCTTAACTTCCTTTAACTTCTTTGACTTTCTTCTTCCAATTCTCTCACATTCCCCAACCAAATGATTTTGTTACATTTTCTTAAATGTTAATTTTTTTCTGTTACTTCGAACTCCAAAATCCTTTAACCTCCATCAAAATATTTCTCAAATCACCTGACTGAATTCTCTGTATTTCACACAATTCCTAGGTTATCCTGATATAAGTCACTATAGATTTGTGTTATACTATCCCAACTGGATCTTATAAAAGTACTCAGCATTACTTCATTTTTATAAATTTGCAACATTGTGTAAAAAGTGCATGCCTTGGAGTTGGACAGCTGCCTGGGCTTGAATTCTGGTCCCATCTACTGACTGATTGCCTTGTAGTACTATACTTAGATGTTCTAAGCCTGATTTCTTCTTCTGCTTGTTGCTCAATGTCTGTCATTTTCATTTTTAACTGTCTCTAATATTATTTTCTTCTGCTGCCTTGATTGTTTACATGACAATTAATTTAAAAAGCAAAGAGGATAAAAACAGTTATTCCAGTGATGATTGAGTTAGTATTACTTTCTAACCCCATAATTATTAGTCAGAATGTTCTCATATCATTCAAAAAAGAGAATTTTTTCTCTTTATATCCTCTATGTTACACTTTAACTTTGTAATGATATTTGCTTCTAGAATTGTCTATTGATCCAGGCTTCCATACTCTACGTTCTAGTTCTGCATTCCTAAGTTTTGATGAGTATTTACACTTAACTATATAATTTCAATTTAAGTGTCCGATTCTTAAACTGGAATAACTATAATTTCCTATAAATTATTTTTTCCCTCACATCCCTGTTTTTATATGGTATCACTATTCTGCCTGTCATCTTAGATTTACTTTTTTTCTTTATATCCCATACAATCATTTACTGTGTTCCTCAGCTCCTTTATTCCACACAAATTTTTCATCCATTTATTAATCAATTCATTATTAAATAAATATTCATTGTGAAAATATTATATTCCTATCATTTATATTAAAAATGCTTTAGGTATTAGAGGACCAGTGATGCAGATCCTCCATCATAGAGCTTAAAACAGAATGCAGAAAACAAATAAGCATTGACATGAATACAGTAAGTTCTACAGTAAAGGACACACAGGATTTAGAGAGAACAAACCAATACTGCCAGCATAGGCTGTGAGGGAAAGGCCTTGTGAGAAAAAAGAAACTAACTTTTAAATTGAGAAGTGAAAGTTTAGTAGGACTTAACCAAGTGAAAAGGAGAGGAAAAAAGTGTCTTAAGCAGAGAAAACTTCACTTATAAATGTGCAGAATCTAAGAGGAACATGGTAATGTTGAGAGAAAATAGAACAATTTTTAATGATTGGGGCATGATAGGAAAAGGGAAATGGTAAAATTTAAAGCTAGATAGGGGTTGGAGAGGGATGGAAGGGATAGAAAAACCAGATAAAGGGGGACATTATGACTAGGGTAAGATTTTTTTTTTAAGTTTATATTATGGCAGATGCTGAGAGATGACTTGATCAGCTCTTTATATTTAAACGTATCTTAGTCTCAGTAAAATGCAGACTATAAATTAGGCAGATCAGTTAGGATATTCTTGGAACCATATCTCAAAGAGTTAAAGAAGCCAGTGACTAAATTTTGGGGTTTGTAGGGTAGGAGATAAGAAAGAAACAACTTGCTGAAAATCTGACACTGAAATTGTGCCCCAAAGAGTAAGAAACCAGTAACTAGCAGAAACTCTTGAGTGTGCAAGATAGCAGACAATGAACAACTTGCAGAAATGTTAAAACTTCCTCTACTTGGCCGAGCGCGGTGGCTCACGCCTGTAATTCCAGCACTTTGGGAGGCCAAGGTGGGCGGATCACAAGGTCATGAGATCGAGACCATCTTGGCCAACATGATGAAACCTCTTCTGTACTAAAAAAAATACAAAAATTAGCTGGGCATGGTGGCGTGTGCCTGTAGTCCCAGCTATTCGGGAGGCTGAGGCAGGAGACTAGCTTGAACCTGGGAGGCGGAGGTTGCAGTGAGCGGAGATCGCGCCACTGCACTCCAGCCTGGGCGACAGAGCGAGACTCCATCTCAAAAAAAAAAAAAAAAAAAAAAAAAAATTCCTCTATTTGTGAGATCAAAAGAAAATTGGTTGGAATAAAGATGGCCAACAAGAGTTTGCACAGAATGAGCTTGCTGATGTCACAGCCTGATATCCACTGCACGTTTCATATTAATTCTCCTCAAATTTGGACAAGCAACCCATGAGGTGGTATGAAGAAATAACTGCACATGCCCAAGGACTTTCCAGGCCTCTCCTTTCCTTCCCCTAATCACCCACTCATCTCAGAACCCACCAGCTGAACGTTTTATAATAAAAATACTGCCATGAAGCCAGCCCAAGGAGACAGATTTGAGTTTGACTCCTTCTCCTTGTGAATCGACTTTCAACATAAAGTGTTTCTTTTCTCAAAAAACCTAGTGGCATAGTGTTTGCTTTTGGTGCATTGGGCACTGAGTCCCTTTTGTTTAATAACACTCTTAACAGTAACAAAGTGATAAATGCTACATGAAATTTATCTGAAGTAAGGTAGTAATACTTAAGATGTAAATATAAACAAACAAAAAATATAACAATAAAAAGATTCCCTTGAATTAAACTATGAGCATAGGTTGTCAAGTGATGTGTTGGGGGCCAAATTCAAAGTTTTATAGGAACACAGGGCCACTCATTAGTATATGTATTTTCTATTGTTGCTTTCACACTTCAATGGCAAAGTAAAGTTGTTGGAACACAGACCATAAATCTTAAAATATTTACTATATATCCCTAAGGAAAATGTTTACCAACTTTCTTAATCCATTTTCTGTTACTTGTAGCAGAATACCTAAAATTGCATAATTTGTAAAGAAAAAGAATTTACTTTTTACAGTTCTGGAGGTTGAATAGTCCAAGGTTGAAGGGCCACATCTGCTGACAGATTTCTTGCGGGTGGGGTCTCTCTTCAGAGTCTAAAGATGGCATAGAATAGGACATGGAAAGGGGCTGAGTGTGATAGCTCAGGTTTCCCCTTCTATTTTTTTCTTTTTTTTAGTTTTTTTTTTTTTTTTTTTTTTTTTTTTTTTTTTTTTGAGACAGGGCCTTGTTCTGTCTCCCAGCTTGGAGTGCAGTGGGACGATCACAGCTCACTGCAGGCTCTTCCCATTTTGAATAAAGTCACCAGTCAAACAGCCATGATATTCCATTAGTGCATTAACCCATTATTCCATCAATCCATGATTGGATTAATGTATTCATGAGGCCAGAGCTTTCATGACACAATCACCTCTTAAAGGTCTCACCTCTCAATACTGCTACGTTGGGGATTAAGTTCCAACAGGAGTTTTGGAGGGGCCAATCATTCAAACCATAGCATTCAGCCGTTGGTCCTTGAAAACTTATGTCCTTCTCATATACAAATGTATTTATTTATTTTTATCTATATTCCCATAGCCTCAAAGTTTTAATTCATTCCAGCATCAACTCAAAGGTCTAAACTCCAGAGTCCTATATGTGATATCAAAACAAATTATCTAGTTTCAAGACACAGTGGCAGGATAAGCATAGAGTAGATATTCCCATTCAAAAAGGGAGAAATGGGCCTAAAGAAAGAGGTTCAAGGTCCCAAGAAAGTCCAAAACCTGAAGGCAGACACTAAATCTTAAAGCTGGAGGGTGATCTTTCTTGATTCCATATCCAGCATCCTCCACACACTGGTGAAGCATTTGGGTCCCGAAGGCCGGAGGCAGCCCCACCTCCACAGTTTTCCTGAACTTTGCTCATGTCTCAGCTTTCCCAAATTAGCATTGTACCTTTGTAATTCTACAGTTCTGAGTTATTGGTGGTGGTCCAGGTTCTGCAGCTCCACTCAGCATTGCCCTGGCAGGGGCTCTCTGCGGTGGCTCCACCCCTACAACGAGTCTGCCTGGGCCCACAGCCTGTTCAATACATCCTTTGAAAGGCAGAAGCTGCCATCCCTCCATAGCTCTGGCATGCTGGGGAGCTGCAGAATTAACACCATGTAGACACCTTCAAGATTTGTGGCTGGTACCTCTTGGAGAGGCAAGTCGAGTGGCACCTCGGGCCTCTTGAACCACAGCTGAGCTGGCAGAGGGGTGCTGCACTGGAGTGCAGGGGGCAGAGGCCCAAGGGGGCCCTGGGTAGCAAGATAATTTTGTATTCAACTTTAGTTATTAATAATATAAAGTTGTAAAAATCTAAATAATGTACATTATTTTAGACTCACAAATTCAAGTAAATGGATAAATAACAGTAAAATGAATTTTATGTGAACAAACAAAGGAGTTTTACAAAGTTTGAGTCAGTATTTCTGGAGCTTTGATGAGAGTTTTCTGTTTTTGTTTTACTCAGTAATTATTCCTTACGACATTCTACAACTTGGCAAACTAAGATTGTTATTCTATAAACAAATGCAGTAGATTATTACTCAGGCCATTTGATTTCTACTTTGTAAAATAGGGAGAGAAATGTGTATATGTTTGGAATATGTTATCAGTAGTTCCATGTTAACTTTAAATAATAGTTCTGCATTTCTTTATTCTTGCCAATATAACATCCTTCATGTGATGTATAATGATAAAATACATTTATCATCTATTTTTATTTGTAAATATTTCAGAACACACTTGTTAGGTAATCTTCTTGCAATTTCCATGTACAAAATGCTTCTCATATACCTGGTGGATAAAACATTGACTATGATACTTCATTTATTTCCAGGAGATCTTAAATTAGCAAGAAAAAAATTCAATATAGATAAATAGTTGAAGTGATTAAATAGATATAGAAGTGTCATGAAAAAAGAGTAAAAATTAAAGTAACTATGGATGGAGACTAATGTTTAGAGAAGTGAACTCTGATCATTTTCCAAGATTAAAAATTTCATCAAAAGAGAATTCAAACATTTTCCTTTCCTTCTCCCTCAATGGAACTGAATGTTTTTGCTATCAGTGTAAGTCACAAGTACTATTATTCTACCTTAAACTCTAATCTGTTTTGAAGTGGATACTGCTTTCTCATTTGCCCCTTGTAGTGCACAGCTTACAAATTCACCACCTGATTTAAAGGTAAGAAAGGCAACGTCATCCTCATTTCCCTCCATCTGTTGTTTCTCAGGAAACTTGTCTCAAATCCTGAATGCCTTTATAACCTGCAACTTCAATTTTTTTTTTTACCTTTTTATCTCTGTAATATTGTTGCAAGCTTTATTGACTTCTCTCTTTTCTGCCACCCTCTATCTTCTCAGTCACCCCTGAGATTCACCATGTGCCAAAGTAGGCAAAGGCACAGAGAAGAAAAACATGACACAAAATGCTGGGCTCACCAGGATGGAGTCGTCTGCTCCCTGGAATCTTGGCTCCTCAGGCTCTGGCTGCCTTAGCAGCACTTGGAAGCCTCCAAACGATTTTTATTTTTTGGATTTGTATCCAGGTTTTCTGGGGAAACTTTATCTACAGTAAGCTCGTAGACACATAAAAAGGTATAATTCTTGATTGAAATTTAAAATCAACTCTTCATAGTGTACAGATTTTGGTCACAAGCCAGAACATTCATCCAACACATGCATGCATGTTGCTGCTCACTCCAGCATTTTTGGATATAGTTTGAAGGTAGAGTCAATGGGATTTGCCCAAGATAAGGTTGCAGAGGGTGCAAGAGAAGAGCCAAGGATGATAAAGCTTTTGCACTCAGCACCTACAAAGTTGGCATTGCATTTCCTTAAAGGGGCAAGTCTACAGGAAGAGCTCTTGATAGGAGGAAATTATGCAGGTGAATGTGTGAGTCTGAGATTAAGAAGACAGATCTGGGTATAGGTATGAATCTAGGAATAAACTAATTTAATTTCAATTGATGAGATATATAAATGAATCTCCTTATTGATTTTAATATCATAATACCCCAGGTACATGTAATCAAAATACCCAGAATTGTGAGACTCCTTTCTCTGAAGCCCTCATAAATAATGGCTGTTTTTTTAAATTTTGCAAACTTTATAACTTTAAGACTAAAGATAGAGTAGGGTATTTCTTAATTCTCATTGTTGCTTTCAATCAGTTTTTCTTCCTTTAAAATATGTAACACAGCCTTAGGAAGAGAGTTGTCATACAATAAACTTTAGATGAGATCACTAGAAAATGAGAACAAACTATCTTTACAGAAAATTTTTATTGCTATCACATTTTTGGTTTTTTGCCCGAGGGGTTCTTTTTTGTATCACCGTACTCTGCTGATTTTCAGTAAAAATCCAAGTCATCAGATTAACACTGGACATACAACACGTGCAGCCATCTATCCAGTGACCCCTAGTGTTACTTTCCTTCACTTCTCAATGATTTTTAAAAATCCTGACTCAATGTTATTCTCTGAAATCCTATTCTATCTTAATATTTAGTGATTTTAACATACATGTAGACTATCCTTCCCACACTCTCGTCTCTTGAGTTTCATGAAATATTGTCTTCCATTACTCTTATCCTTCACCATTTCATAGTCATTCACCCTGTAATTTCTAGTGGCTTCAATGCTTCCATAATTTAATTTTTTTTTTTTTTTTTTGAGACGGAGTCTCGCTGTGTGACACAGGCTGGAGTGCAGTGGCGCGATCTCGGCTCACTGCAAGCTCCGCCTCCCGGGTTCATGCCATTCTCCTGCCTCAGCCTTCCGAGTAGCTGGGACTACAGGCGCCCGCCACCATGCCTGGCTAATTTTTTCGTATTTTTAGTAGAGACAAGGTTTTACCGTGTTAGCCAGGCTGCATAATTTCATTTTTAAGCTTCCCACTATCTGACCAAAATCGGTTACCTCTTATCTTTTCAACTCATCACCTCTGTTACCTCTAATCCATTCTATAATCTCATTATAGAATGAAAATTCTATAATCCAATGTTTCCAACAACTTTTCAGTTTCTTTCACCCCAGAGTGTCGTTTATTTTTTCCGTATGTGCAGAAAGGTGTTAACAATAGCAAGTCTGAGACCACTTATCCTCAAAACCATCTGCTCTTAAGGTTGGCCTCTGACTGGTATCTGGGAACTGATTTTGAGTCAGTTTCTACTACCATAATTGATAAAAGCGGGTTATTATGCCTAAATTGCTTGTAGAAACAATGTAGTTTGTGCTGAATGCCTGCATAACTTCTGAGAGTCTGTCATTTTTCTATACACCAAACAGAGGGTACTCACATGTCCAATCTACAAGAGAAACCCTGGGCACTGGGTCTGTAATGAGCTTCCCCGGTAGAGAACACTTCATAGATGTTGTCACAGCTTCTTTCTGGTAGGATTATTTATGTCCTGTTTGACTTTATTGGAAGAGGGCCTTTAAAAACTGGTGCCTGGTTTAACCAGGACATTGCCCCATGCAAATCTCCCTGTAGATTTTGCTTTGCATCCTTTCACTGTAATAAATCATAGCCATGAGTATGACTATATGCTGGTACTGGGAGTCCTCCTAGTGAATCATGGAAACTGATGGCAGTCTTGGAGATCAACATACATTCTCAACTTAAACTTTATTATCAGTCATCACAATCATCGTTCTCTTGCATTTTCTCTCACTTTCCTTTGCCCAGCTCTCTTTTTAACTTATTGTCAGCATCTAATTCTGGCTAAGTCAACTCTCCATTTGTTTTATGGTAGCTCCCACGTGAATAAATGGTGGGCGGGGGTGGGGGGGGAAGCACAAACCATAATAACTGACTTTGTTTTATTTCATGATCATACCACAAAAATAGGCTGCTATTTATATCTAGCAAAATGTAACTACATTTCTCAAGCGCAGTGGTTACCTATTTTCCTAGCTAAGCATTTCAGTGTATACTCCCTCAATATTTTACTCCTTCCTTATCCTAATTCTCTGATTTTTAATTTGTCTGAGAAATTGAAACATATAGCAGTGAATCACCTATACACTGCCTAAGAACATATGCTTTCCTGATTGTTACTATATATGAGCTTCTATCCAAGGCACTCCTATGTTTTTGCTTGTGAACTAGGTTGCATCTCCTCTTACCTTCAAATGTATGGATCCTGTGATTTCATAGTTTCTATTCTGTATCTTCAACATTCCAACACCCCAGTATTCCCCCTCTGAATAAAAAGTGCTCTTCTTTCTTGTTTTTATTTAAAATCTTTCTTAACTGCAGTTCCTAATTTCAAAAAAATTGCCCTAATATTTGCTGTTATTTTGATGTTTCTTCCTGCTCAATCTGCATGAAGTCTCTAACACTTTATTTTCCTTTCTATCTAAATCTGCACTAATCAGGAATTTCTCCTCAAACTCCAGTTAAATTCTTCTTGTCAAGGTCATGAATGACCACCATATTGCTTAATCCAATAGCTAATTCTTAATTTTCGTCTTAAATGAGCTTTCAGCAGGTTTTCAGATTGTTGTCCACTTCCTCCTTCACACATATTCTTTACTTAACTTCCAGGATACCATGTCCACCTGGTTTTTCTCCAACTTCAGTGGCCACTTCTAAGTTCTGCTATATATTTCTCACTCTTTACCTTGATCACTTTATATTGTAGTGATCCATGGATCAATGTTGAGGGCCCATGTTTTTCTCTGTTGAGCTAGATATTTCCTATGCGCTCATCCACATCCAATATTCATCCCCCAGCACTCTGCTCTGTATCCCAGAAAGCCAGTATCTATGAGTGGATTTGGTTCCTTTGCCATTTAGGTTCTAGCTGGATTTGGCTAATGGCAGGCGAGCTTGAATATAATGAGGTTGGCATATTTACTCACCTGGTGTTCTCCCTCCAGATTTTCTGAGTTAGCTGCCTCCATCCACCAAAGGCCAACACTCCTCTAGGGAAGCTGATATCAAACACCTATTCTTCAGACTCTGGTAATTACTCTATTCCCTTGTTATTTGTGGTCTATCTGCTGATAAACCTTCCCAATCTTTCTAGCTTCAATATACTGTGACATCTTTGCTATTTCTTCATACTTTGCCCACATTTTTTAAGATATCATTTTATTTCATTTTCCAATTTTCTCCTTGAAGTGTGCCAAATTTTGCTTGTTGAGATCCTAGCTGGCTCATAGTAGCTGCACACACAAAAGAAATTATAGAATGAAAGGATGAATCAACAATTGAACCAATAAACAAAATATCTCCAATGCACCAAGGATAGAAATACAAAGTGGCCTCAAGAATAACAGATCCAGAAATTGGAATACGATTAGAATGTCACCCAAAGTTATCAGTCCTAAAGTGTTACAAGCTTCTCCATTGCTTCATACCAACTTCATGGCAGAATGTATCTACTGAAATATATATATTTTGTGAACTTTCAGCAACTAAATTGTGATATTTTCAGTCTGGAATCAAAATTTCTGTAACTTTTTATTCCTGGGAAATTAAGGGAGGTAAGAGATGTGCACATATTTTCAGCATCTACACAGGGTAGCTGCAGTCTGAAAGTTAAAGTAATGCCTAAAATATTGAGTTATTAAGCTGCAGAATAGTATAGGGCAAAAAATTGATTTGGCAGTCAAATATATGAATTTTTCCAACAATACGAAAGGGTATTGCATGTTATATTAAGGGAAAATACAAACATTTTCTCAAGTTTTTGATATTCATACATTTATCAAAAGGAAAAGAAACTAACCTTAATTTAATGCCTATTAACAGGTCAACAACAGTATTTTTCAAATAATCCCTTCAAGTTTTAGTATTTCTGTCTGCCAAAGTTAAGTTTATTTATGCACTGAGAAACTGAGAATACGTGGCATACTGAATATTTGTGGAAAATAAATCTACCTGTATGATTTACCATAATAGAACAGTATATTTGTAGGAATATATATTAAAATTAGAAAATTTAGCCAAATTATTTATTATAGAATAAAATGGACTTTTAATGTATTAAATACACAGGTCTTTAAAAATTATCTTCATAATTTTATGTCTAGTAAACACAATTTGCCACACAGCAATAAATAGAATAATTAGTATTAAATTTAAGTTATATGTGAATTGAAATAAAATCAGTGAAATTTGAGTATTTTAAAGAAGAAAATTAAATTTTAAAAGTGTAATTAAATGCTCAAAATCATCCTCAAAGAGTATATCTCTATTGCATTTAATTATTTTTTAAATAAATATAGAAAAATAATTCATAAATTAAGAAAATTTTTTATGTGATAAAATTAACTTTAGTGTATATGTTTCCATGTAGATGAGTAAGATAATACTAAAATATACAACTCTGATGTCATAATTATAGAAAAAATTAATATCAGTATTGGAATTATGATTTGATAGTAGTAATTCTACACAGTAACAGGTAACATACATATCAAATCATAACTTTCACATTTAACAAACAATTTAAACATTATTTGAATAGGGGTGCATGTTTTAAGATATCACAGGAAATAAAATTCAGTAAAATAAATTCCAACCCATTGTACAATTATAATACACTTGCTCTTCTGTAATTGTATAATTAAAGAAACACAGAAAGAACAACTTTACAAGTTTCCAGAATCAATAATTCCAATGTTTGTATAGCCTTACCAAAATGACACTATATACTCAGCAAATGACTGAAAAACAATTTAGTTGATAGAACAGATATCTAATTCACAAAATGCAGACTCTAAAGTAGAAAGCTGATATTTATTGAGTACTGACAGTGCTATACTTTATTAATTACGTTTAAGGATAGGAAGTGCAGGTGAGTAGGAACTGAATATCAAAGAGAGGGAGAAAAAGATATTTGTGACTTTAGGAGTTTTTCAATGATTGTATATAATCAAATAATATTTGTAAAAAGACAGCATGAGATGTTTCTAAAGTGTATTCAAATAGTGCTGGGATAACTGGTAAGCCACTTGCAGAAGAATGAAACTAGATCCTCATCTCTCACGTTATACAAAAATCAACTCAAGATAGATCAAAGACTTAAATCTAAGACCTGAAACCATAAAAATTCCAGAAGATAACATTGGAAAAACTATTCTAGACATTGGCTTTAAGCAAAGACTTCAAGACTAAGAACCCAAAAGCAAGTGCAAGAAAAACAAAAATAAATAAGCGGGACCTAATTGAACTAAAAAGCTTCTGCACAGCAAAAGAAATGATCAGCAGAGTAAACAGACAACACACAGAGTGGGAGAAAATATTTGCAAAGTATGTATCTGGCAAAAGACTAATATCTAAAAGATAAAAGGAACTCAAATATATCAGCAAGAAAAAAACAAATAATCCCATCAAAACGTGTGCTAAGGACATGAATAGACAATTATCTAAAGAAGATATACAAATGGCCATCAAACATGAAAAAATGCTCAGCATCACTAATTAGTGAAATACAAATCAAAACCACTAATCAGGGGAATTCAAAAATCCCACTAATCAGGGAAATGCAATCAAAACCACAATGCAATACCACATGCAAAAATGGCCATAATTTAAAAATCAAAACTAACAGACGTTGGCATGGATGTGGTGAAAAGGAAACACTTTAATACTGCTGGTGGAAATGTAAACTAGTGCAACCACTATGAAAAGCAGTATGGAGATTCCTAAAAAACTAAAACTAGATCTACTGTTTGATTCAGCAATCCCACTACTGGGTATCTACCAAGAGAAAAATAAGCCATTCTATGACTAAGACACTTGCACAAGCATGATTATAGCGGCACAATACACAATTGCAAAAATGTGGATCCAGCCCAAATGCCCATCAATCAATGAGTAAACAAATAAAATGTTTATATATATATATATACACACACACTTAGAATAAGGTAATATTCTAAGCTAATATTGGTATTAGAATATCATTATTCTAAGTATATATATATACTACACTAAGTAGTATATATACTACAGTAAGTATATATACTATAGATAGATAGATAGATGATAGATAGATAGATAGATAGATAGATAGATAGATAGGTGATGGAATACTACTCAGTCATGGAAAGAAATGAAATAATGGCATTTGCAACCTGGATGGGGTTGGAAACCATTATTACCATTATTCTAAGTGAAGTAAATAGGGAATGAAAAACCCAATATCATATGTTCTCACTTATAAGTGACAGCTACTCTATGAGGATACAAAGGCATAACAATTACACAATAGATTTTAGGAAATTGGCAGGCAGGGTGGGAGAAGGGTGATGGATAAAAGACTATTCATTGGGTACCGTGTGCACTACTGGGGTGAGGGGTGCACCAAAATCTCAGAAATCACCATTAAAAATATCCACGTAACTAAACACCACCTGTTCCCCAAAAACTATTGAAATAAAAAAAAAAGAAGGAAAGATCATTTACTAATATACTACTTAAAAAAGAAAAACTTGAAGAAAACTATACCAAAATACATTAAAATACAATTGTTAAAATCATGGTAAAAATAAAATAGTAACAGTAGCAAGAGGGATAAAAAACCACATTAGAGGAATAATATAAGAATGACAACGGACACCTTATTGAAACATACACACACACACACACACACACACACACACACACACACACACACCCCAAAAGACAATGGAGAAAAATCTTTAGTACATTAAAAGAAAAAATAAAACCCATAAACTTAAAATGCTATACTCAGAGAAAATATCTTTCAGAAAAAAATATGAAAGTAATATATTAGGAGAACTATGAATGCTGAATTAATTTAGCAGCAGCAGACTTGCACTATAAGAATAAGAATGTTAAACAAATTCTTAGAGGTAATAGACAAATTAAACCAAATAGAAACCTGTATCTACAGAAAGAAATAAAGAAAAATAAAAGTGGAATTCTGTGAATTAATACAAAGTCCTATTTGAGGGCTCCTTAAAAGATAATTGACTGCAGACAGTAAAAAAATATAATGACCTATGGTTAGGCTAGTAACATACATAGAGATAAAATATCTGACAACAGTGGCACAAAATTCAAGAGAGGATGAAAGAATTATGTTGTGAGTTTTTAATAATACATGTGGAGTAGTATAATGTTTATGAAAGTTGGAAGATATCAATTTAAAAGTGTAGTCTATGAAATTTAAGGAACCACTGAAAAGGTTAAACAGTGATTTTGCTAAATGGTGAATAAAGGAGATAAAAATAGCATCATGAAAAAATATACAACTAATTCAAAAGAGGTTGTTAAATAGGAAAAAGAAAAAAGAGATAAACAAAAAATAACAAGATCTTAGGTTGAAACCCAACCATATCAATACTTACATCAAATATATATGCTATTAACTTCCAAATTAAAAGGCAAAGACTGTCATATTCAACAAAAATATGATTCAACTGTATATTATTTACAAAAAATATCATTTGAAATGCAAAGATACAGGTTAAAATGTTAAAGATGGAAAGAGATGCATCATGCTCTTACCAAAGTTAAATTCCAGTAGTGGTATTTTTTTCAAAAGAAATTTGAATTGGCTCAAACAATGAACAGCTGAAACTTTAAGTAAAAATGCTAGTGAGATATGCAAATGTGAAATTCTTAGAAATATATTTAACAAATATATTGGGATATATTTGACAAAAGGCATGCAAGACCTGTGCACTAATTACTACACAACATTGCTGAGATAAACAAGACCTAAATAAATAGAGAGATATACCATATTTGTGGGTCAGAAGGCTCGATATAATGACTTTTTCAATTCCTTCCATATTGACCCACAGATTCAACTCAGTCCCAGTGAATATGTGAGCAAGCTTATCTTTAAATATTGAAAAGTTGATTTGAAAATGTATATGATAAATGCCACGTAGCTAGAATACTTCAAATAATGTTGAAAAGAATAGTTAAAACCTATAACATCTTACCTCAAAACTTCTTATAAATAAAGTCTATGTGCCATTATATTAAAAGTGCACATGTATATCAGTGGAACACAATGGTTCCACACATATATGACCAACCGATTTTTGGAAAGCATGCTGGGTAATTCAATTTGGAAATCTTTTTTTTTTTCAACAAATGGTGCTGGGACAATTGGAGAGACATATACATTAAAAAAAATCTTGGCTCTTGCCTTATACCATATTCAAAAACCAGTTATTACAAATGTATCATAGATATAAAGGCAAGAATTAAAATCTTAAATATCTAGGCAAAAATTTAGGGGAAACTTATAATGACGTTAAATTTGGTCAAAATTTTAAAAATATGATTTCAAAAATATGAACAATTTAAAAAATCAATAAACTTGATTTCCTATGAAAATGAGAAGGCAAGGGACAGACTGTGCTGTTTGCAAAACATAATTTTAACAAAAACATTATATTTAGAACATATAAGGAATTCTTATACTCAATAATTAGGAAAAAAGCAGCCAAATATTGTAAATGGGTAAAAGATTTGAGTCATGAAAAATACATCAATTATACACAATTACATATAAAGATACTCATCATCATTAATCAAAAAAAGAATTATAAATGAAAATCACAATGAGTTACCACTGGACACATATTGGAATGAAGGGTAGGCAAGGCTGAGGGATACTAGAATTTTCATACACTGTTGCTGGGATACAAATTGATACAACCACCTTGGAAAACATTCTCTGACATTCCGTGTCTAGGTATTTATCCAAGATAATGAAAGCATATGCCAGCACAAAGATGTGCACACAAATGTTCATAACAGATTTGCATGTATTATCCAAAACCTAAATATAACCCAAATGTCCATTAGTAGGCAAATGGATAAACAAAGTTTGGAATACTAATATACGAAGATGCTATTCAGCAACTAAATAAATTAAATATTCAATCTATGCAACAATATGAATGTATCTCAAAATAATTAAGCTGAGTTAAAAGGAGATAGAAAAAAGTAGTATATATTTTCTTATTCCATTCATATAGATTTCTAGAAAATACAAATTTATTTTTAACAAAAGAAAATATATCAGTTGTTGCCTAGGTACGGGGGAGTACTTGGGAAGAAATGGTTTTGAAAAATCATAAAGAGGCATGAGAAAAGTTTTGGATTTTGTGTATATGTTCATTGTCCGTATTTTGATGATGTTTCCATATATGACTATGTCAAAATTTATCATTTTGTTTACTTTAAATATGTACAATTTGATAGCTTGTTAAATATTCTGTAATAAATTTTTTTCAAAATGTCAGTGGCTTATATTTTACATATTCTCACCAGAAACAATAAGTATGTGAGGAAACACATATGTTACATAGCTTGATTTAGCTTAATTTAGCTGTTCCACAAGGTACACATATGTCAAAACATTGCATTGTACATCATAAATATACATAAATTTTACATGTCTATTAAAAAAGAAACTTAATATAGCCTAAAAATTTCAGTGGTTTAATTGAGGCTAGATTGTTAAATCTGGAGAAATGTTCTCAAAGAATATTGTCACTAGTATTAATTTCATTTATAAATGTGAGATTATATATTTATACACACACATCACTAATTTTAGATATGCAAATGTGATCATTAAAAATTATAATTTAAATAGTTTAATTAGAATATAACCAATTTTAATTTCTCTGACAACTCTTCTGCAACCTGAGAAATGCCCTATGACAACAATGACCCTTTTATCCGTGGCCATAACTGAGGGAAGAAGGCACCTGATCCAAACTAGACCAATGAGCGCCTGTCTTAAGAATTTGTATTAAAGTCTGAGACATATCTATGGTTCTTTCTTAATGACTTCTTTGTGGGGTCCCATGTTGAGCTGTGCATGTAGAGAACTGAAGAAAGCTAACCTACAGAGAAAGAGACAAATTGAGCTATGTTAAGATAAGAGCTATGACAGAATGCTATTCAACCCTAGAAAAAGAATCTGAGGTCACATCTACCTTGAGACACAAAAGCTTTCCAGGTCCTAGTCTAGTCTCAGGAATTTGGGCCATATGTGAATGAACTATAATTTATGTTTTTACTTAAATAATATATTTCACTTTCCCCCCACCTTCCCTCTTCCCTTCCTTCCTCTGATTCTCCCTGTATTTTTCCCCTAAATAAGGTTGAATAAAATTCCTGTTATTTAGAAAAAAAAGATTCCAAGGAAAGAATATTATTTTTGTAAAGCTCATTTAAAAGTCAATTTCCTTAATATATATGATAACTTATAATCAATTATATTTGTGTGTATATATACATGAAATAAATATATTTCAGAAAATATATCTATATATTTTATGAAATGAATAATTTCAAGTTTTAGCCATTCTCTTTCTCAGATGCCAAATACTGACATAAGAAATCCCACTTGGATTCAGAATAGCTTATAAGACAATTGCTAAAATGACCAGTAAAATTGACTTGGGTAATAGAGTTTTAAAAAATATGTATCATACAAATTACTGTATCTTTCCTTTTCTCACTAGTCTGTGATGGAAGACAAGCAATGATTTGCTTTGAGAAAATGGAAGAGATCACTATGCAACCTATACCTGTAACAAAATTGCACATGTACCCCATAAATTTATACAAATAATAATTTTAAAAAAGCTGAAGAGATGATTTACATTCATTGGAGGCCAATGTGGTTGTGGTCCTCAACATGCAAAGACCAGGTTTCAGTCAATAGCACCACCTGCTAAACTTTAAGGAAGCTGAAAAAGCCAATGTCCAACACTTTTCTGTGTAGAGAACTTATCTAGTCTTTCCTTTTCTTAGAAGGTGCTGATACTATCATTTTTAATAGGCATTTGATTAAAACATATTGGATGCCACTTTATACATACCAATATATGGGTTTTTCTAAGCCTTTTTTCTTTCTTCTCAAACAGGATGTGCAAAACTATAACCTACTGCCCAATTTCAGCTTTCTGTTTTATGGATCTGTCCCCGAGGCTGCATGACAGTTTTGCTGAAATTGAGCCAATGCATCTCAGATGATCACACACAGGGTGGTCTGTCTGCTGCTTTCACTTTCCAAACATCCATGACTATGTGAAATTGTTTTGTGTTGTGCTAGGACCATCTTCTGCCCAAATGCCTGTGGCTTCCCTATTTCATCTCCTTCTTCAACAGCTGTTTGGGATTCTCTCCTACAGTCATTGCCACCTTTACTTATGAAAAAATTTCCCACCGTTTGCAGATTCTTTCTCTAATACTACTGGCTAAGTGACTCAGCTGGAGAGTACAAACCTTATCTTTTTTATCTTGGCACTCTGGGAGTCTTGTAGAAGTGCAGCATTTTGTACAAAAAGATGTACACAATAGTGTTTGGTGCATTTAAATGAATTTTATATTTTGGATATGAAGAAGAGAGAGCAAAGTCTTTCCTTCCAAATGTGTTTTCTATGCCTAGAATATCCTGGTGAGGAACAAAGGTGATTCAGAATTTTTTGAGAGTTAAGTGAAAATCATTATACATACATTTTATGGTCACTGGATTAATCTCTAAACAAGTTGGTAGACTGTAAACACAAACTGGAATATATTAGAAAAAACATTTTGGAGACACTGTAGTAAATTTAACAAAGATTTGAGTTAGAAGACCCATATATTAAACTAGACCCTGACAATAAGCTGTGCTGGAGCTTGTCTTGATGTATGCCATGGTCACAAAATAAAAACTTAGAATCCTGGCACACAAACTACCCCTCAAATTTCCTGGTCCCACTCCTTCTTTAATAATAGTTCCTCTTATTTTTTTCCCATAAAAGCCACTTCTACAGCCTCTCTTAAGCTTTATAGGAAAATCATGCTTCCTGGTTTCAACTTGCTTATAATCCTCTTAGACAGGTTTGGATATACTTACCTCTCAAGAAAAAAAAATGAGTGTTCATTTCAGGTGCATTCTGAAATTTTTTTGGCTTCTGTTACTTTAGATTTTAACAATAAAGATTTGTGCTTCATAAAGCCTCTCTTACTTCTGTTCCCAGTGCCACTCCCCACTCTGTTCCAAAAAAAGAAAAACTCTTTTACTCTGGGAACTGCTGTTTGTATATAAGCAATAAAAAACTTCGTCATGATGTTTTTGGCACTTACAAATGAAACTTTGCTTCTCAAGTTTTTGGTTTTCTTAGGAGGAGGGCTCAAACAGGCAAGCTTCCTTACCATAGATTACTCTGTTACTGTATACTGTGTTGAAGAATGGGAAGATTTTTACAAAGGGATTTCTTCCAGTCCTCAAATGATAGATATTTCCCTAATGATTCCACTTGTCTCTGGGCCTGAAGACTGAATCATGTGTCTATATGGTAAAAGGTAGGAAGTCTGTTTTGATAGTCTCCAACAAAGAAAGCATTTAAAGACAGATGTACTCTAGAGTGCAGGTTTCCCCACAGACTAACTCTGTGATCTTGAAGAGCTTACTCAACTTCTCTAATTTTCTCAAAAAATAATAGTGCTTATTTTATTACAAAAATTAAATGGGACCGTGCGTAAATATACTTTGAAGCTCCTGGCATTTAATAAATACTCAAAAATTGCCTATATATATCCTTAGTTTATTAGGTACAATAGTTAATATCTAAAGTAAGGTAATAAGCTATGTGGCCCTCTAGATAATATTTGAGAAATTTTCTTGATCCAGAACAATCACATCTCTTGGTAGGTCTTCATGATCTCACTCATTTTGAAATGTGCTCACATATTATTCACAGGGATTATCTACTTACTATTTTTGGTGAGAAAAGACAGTACATACAGCTGGGACACAAAGATAAAGAGAAGTATGGAGTAGAAAAGTAAATAGCAATTTACTTGATTTCTGGAGGCAGGTTTCTACATCAGTAGAATGAGCTAGGCACTTTGCTGGCACTAGAAAGACAGAAAAAAAGTCCAGAACAGATATTTTTCTGTTTATCCTGGAATAGTCAAATATGCATACAAATCTGCACTAAATTATTAGAATGAATTACCATAACGTTATGACATAGGGAAGAATATCAAATGTGCAGGAGGAATAAGAGAAAAGCAGTTTTCAAAATGTTGGATGTGCTTCAAACAGGGAGGCCATAGATTCCTTGAGGAAAAAAGGTTATTGCTGGATCTGAAAAATAAGTTAGTATTAGCCAAGAAAGAAAATGACACAGTATGCAAGGAAGATAAAGCAACATGTAGGAAGATTTGTGGTTAGACAGAGCAAGACATGTTTTACAAATTCAAAACCAGTCATATCTCTGGGGCAGAGAAAAGGGAGAATATTAGGCTGAAGGTCAAGACCTTATACAACAAAAAGATGCTTCCCCACCCATTATCTTGCTTGCCCCCTCCACTGCTCTGGGCTGCAATTTTCCACATTTTCGAGACCCATGCAGATTCTCTTCTCTTATGATTTAAAAAATATATATTTACATGAGTATCTCAACTATGTTAGTCTCCCTCCTACAGCATCTCTAGGGTTATAATTGAGAGAGGGAGTCAGCAGCCCACATTAGTTTGTCATCTTATTAAGAACCAGAAGTCAATTTTGATATACTGTAGAAATCTAATTCTTCAAACTGACAAAATTGATATTTAAATCAGGCTATTGTAATAATCCTCAAGCAGATTGCATTGCAGGTGTCTAAAAATCTTATAAATAACCTTTTCTAACAAGCAGTATGCTGTATATCATCCAAAATGGGAAAGTAAGAGTACGTGCTTTTAAAAGTGCACATTTTAAACTTTTACTCTGGTGAATTATGCACAAATATCAGCCTTAGATTCAGATATTGGCAGGGTCTTGAGTTAGTATTAGGCCTCAAGATACCAGAACTGTACTGATACTTTGATTCATGCAATATTATTACTGAAACGAATAATCAAGCAAATAAAATAAATAAAATTGGAACAAAAATTAGCAAAGAACCAAAAGCAACTAATGTGGCAGCAAAGCTTATTTTCCAAGCCCAGTTTTTAAAGAGATGTATATTAGATAGCATTTACGATGCATAGCCAAGGACAAATTAAACAACAGCATGAACTTTGAGAACATAAGAAAAACAGTAACTAGAAAATTTAGCACCGTTGCTGGATCAGGTGATATCTCATATAAAGATAATACAGAAAGAGCAAAAATAGTCATTTTCAAACTTGCTTTTATTAATATACTTTCTGTTACAGATACTGTTTTCAAACTGGAAAGACTAGAATAAACATGGCAAAGGAATTAAAATACCCAAGTGTGTGAGAGACAGTTACATTAAATTAAGTCATTTCTCTGGACCTAGATGAATCTCAATTCAAACATAAAGAAGCAACAATAAACAACTACACCCCTTGTATGATTGACTAAACCCCATCTGTAGCCCTGGCCGATCAGAAAGAGTTTTCACAAAGGAATTGACTGATCACATGGAGAACACATGGTTACTCATAAGTGAGGAGACCAGAAACATAAGCAGTGAGGTGGTGGTGGGGAAATAATAATCCTGCCAGTAGTAGAAACAGTCCTGCCAAATAGTAGTAAAGGGTTTTATTTTTAAGGCAGTGGTTAACTTGGTAAACATTTGTTGAATGTCAGTCACAACCTCACTTATTTTCAGGGCTGCAAATAAATGGATTGCTGTAAATAAAGCCAATGAAGTTGCCCCTATGTACCAGACTGAGGATTAATACTATATCCCTGTAGTCAAATATTTCACAATTTCTGAAAGCAGGCCAAAAATAAGCAAATAATACTTATAATACAAGGATACAAATAATATTTGAATGACATCTATATAGAATATATCAAACACATGGTTTAAACTGTGCACATAGTGCAAAGATATGAAGATATTTTCAGCTAAGAAGTATTTAGAAAGATAACCATTGTGGAAGTTTTGCCTAAATGTCACTTTCAGATCATCTTGTAAGAGAAAATCTTATTCAAGTTAGCTTCAATGGAGGCTTTACAGGAATTTAGCAGAACTGTCAGTTCAATTGTTCTGTTTAAATATATGTAGTCAATTCTTAATTATTCCTGATCAATTTACTAGATTGCAGATTAACAGTGATTAAGGAGCAGTCTCACTCTGTACACAATTATTCTCTATTTTCCTCATTCTATAGGCTTCCCTTGTATGTTGATAACTCCCAAATCAATATCTCTAAGCACAGATTTTCCTAAATTCTGGGTTCATATAGACAACTGTAGCCCACCATTTCCGCTTGGATGACACAAAGGTCCCCCAAACGCAAGATTTTTCAAACTAAAGATATCCTCTTTAAAAGGTGGTATATTCCTTTTAAGTGCTTGTGTCTTTATCCACCACAGCTGAAAACTTAAATATTGGTTTGAGATCACTCTTATTAACTACAGATGATCAACTGTGAACTCTCTACAAATTTTATGAACTATATACTATTGTTATAGGCACAGAAGATATTTTAAAATTCATTTATTTGTAAATATTACAATATATCCTTATCAGGCATCACTTTTGCATAATGTAAACTTTTTCTGTAAATATTTTACTAGAGAAGAAATTACTCTTTTTTATACAAGTAAATACATCATTATAATACATGTGGCCTGCAATCAAGTAAAAGTTTGAAAGCATCTGCTATATCTGTGCATACAACAGGAGCTAATACTCACAAAAAAAAATGAATCTGTAGAATGTTGCGTCACGACACCAGTAAAACAAATGAAGCGACTCATTGCACTCAATTGTGCAAAAATATTATAAAATAAAAATTTACATAATAAAGTTATACTTAAATGATCATTATTATCAGCTTTATATAATGGGGGCTCTCTATAAGTATCTTTTACAAACAGGTTTCTTTCTTTTAAAAGGTAAAAAATTTCTTCTGGATTGCTTAAATAACTTTTAAACAAACATACCAATGTAAACATAGCATTCTAAATTTTATTGAGGAAATACTGTCTTATCCTGCACATGAATGAAACTTGAGGACCTTATGCAGAGTGAAATAAACCTGTTATGGAAAGATAAATACTGTATGATTTCACTTATATGAGAAGATATTAGAAACAGAAAGTAGAATGGTGATTGCCCAAGGTGAGAAGTTGATGGGGGCGGGAAGTTAACTGTTCAATGAATATAGAGTTTCAGTATTGCTAAATGAAAAAGATGTAGAGATATGTTACACAATGATGTGCATATAATTAACACTACTGTACCATATATTTAAAAAAGATTAAGATGGTAAATTTTATGTGATATATTGTTACCACAATAAAAAAGAAATATCTAAAAAAAATAAAAGAAATGGTATTTGAGAAAATTTTGATATGCCATTTATATGCTCATTAAAGTTATTGAAGGTAAATAGCAAGGTTAAGAAATATATATTTATAGTTTGGATTTGAATGTGCCCTAGGATTCTAAAAAGTACAAAAATATCTTTGCCATCAGAAGATACAAGTTAGTTTAGAATCCACAGTTACAATTATTAGTTATTTTGCCACACATTCAAAGAAATTATGAAGCCTTTTGCCTGCTGTTTTCTATCCTCTAACCTACTTATCTAAAAACTGCCTTAAATTCAGTGTTGTCTTTTTTTTTCTGGTTAACAACTTCGTGGGTTTTATTAAAATTTTTAACTGCAGGTTTTAAAACCTGAATTTATTTACCTATTATACAGTTGAACTATGATTTATTATTTCTATAACAGTCTCTCTTATCTTATAATTTGTAATCAAACTTTAATGTGTTGTTTTTTCTATGTTTTATGAAGGATTTAATTTCCTACTATGCAGATTTTGGAGAAACACATTATTTCTTTTTAAAATAAGCAAAATATTGCCAAAATAAAGGGCTTTCTTTCAGTTTGTGGAAAACCTCTTAATTGCTTTGAAATCATGTGATTACTATAAAGTTATGTTTAATACCAATATTGTTTTACAATATTAGCTTACTTTATCGTTTCAAATAGTCTTACTTTTTTTGTTGTTTTTCTTTGTCCATATGTAATAGACTTAGAAATTTATTTCACAAGATAGCCTAATTCGTGGCTCCTCAAGTCTAAAAACCCTTTTATAAAAGATTACCATCTGCATGTCATTGAATAACATATGTATGATTCCTGAGATATATTATTTATAATGTAATAATCTTGCCAAAATTATGTTTTCAGTAATATATACTTTCTTAATGTTTCTGCACTCCTGACATGATTGTTCTATTTTTTTCAAATTAGTCTCAAATGATGCAAATGCTGGATCAAAATCAATCTTAGTGGGATCTAAATGCCAAAGTTCAGTTTTCCTCCGCCCATAATGAAATCTCTCCTTACTTGATACTTGAGTCCAAAGATGTACTTACTGTACTGATTATTTAATTGGTGAAGGGAACTATAAAAACCTCCCAAAATGCAGTGGTCCATAACATTATCCACCATATTTTCTAAAAAGATTCGTTTTTTTTTAGTTTTATGAAAACTACTCTATAAAATTTATGTAGTGATGATAAAGTGACTATCCTATACCAGTAAGATTGACACATCAGGATCAAATTCAGATGACAGAAAGTGAGAGAGAGAGAGAAAGAGAGAGAAAGGTAAAGAGATTCAGAATTATATTGAAAAACAGGTGAAAAAAAGAAGCAATATTCATGAAAAATATTACTGAAATATATTAATATGTCTGGTTATTGGTAAACTTGTTACAGGTATACTGGTCTCTTATTTGGGGTAACTTTAAAGAAAATCAGTGTGTCAGTTAAATGCATTAAATTTGTTTATAAGTAAAGTAATGATATTGCTTTAAATTTGATGATTTATGTTCATTTAACTAACGACTGAATTAAAATTATAAAGAAATGTATATAGTACAAAATATTAAAATGCATTGTATGACCAAGAGTATAGGAGTTGATCAGAGACTTTCCAGAAAATTTAATGTCTAAATAAAGTTATCTCGATCCTTTTCTTCCCATGTCTTTTCTAACAGTTCTGTGGAAATTTACCTGCCCACTTCCCACTAAGGTTCATCTCACTATACCAGTTAATTTTGCAGAGAAAACAAAAGCAAACAATACTATTGCTTAGCAAGTAAGAGCTCTGTATCCCATCAAATCAGAAGAGGAGAACAAAAAGGAATACTTTAACTCCATTCCTTGGGACATACAGCACCTATTGACGAATATTGCCCATGCATATGATTCTTTTCAGAACAGTTTGCCTACTTCAAGACACCTGCTATTGATATATCTACACTTGGTATTGATATATTGTAAATGATTATGGCTGACAATTTATACATAACTATACTTACTCATGATTAACAAAAGAGAAAGAAACATTCAAGCGAATAAAAATGATAATTCTCAAATGTTTCCAGTGCAATAGTATGTCACTGCAACATGGACTGAAACAATGAAGTATGTGGTGAATGGCAGTTCAGAATAACATGCAAACCTGCTTAACTCCAACTCAGTATCTTTTCTCCTTGATACTCTAGAAGATAGTTACCTGGGCAAGAAGATTAATATAAGAAGTGTGTTTGACTAACCAAAATCTTTGAATAAATCTTGGGTGCAGGCACTGTATTAGGCACTGGGAATGTGAGACCTATTAAAACATCAGTACCACGGTTCTTATAGGCTCTAGTAGGGCAACATCAAACAGGAAATATTACATTAAATATTAAGTTACATCTGAGATAAATATCTGTTATAAATAAGCAATGCAGTAAGATCTCATAACAAAAAGATCTAATATGTTAGGGCTTAAATAAAGGTTTTTTAAGAAAGTTACTTTATATCTAAAATTTGAAGTGCCAGGATCAATAAATAGTTAATCAATTACTATATTTGTGAAATTTACTCAAGTAAAATTGAGGCATCAAATTCTTCTTCTACGGATATTTTGCTGGTTAAAAATAGCACAGTCCAATTAACTTCCTGGTTCTTTCTTCATCATCTGTGAAAATGTAAATCATACCTGTCACTATCACTCCTTATTTTCCAGCAATAGTATAAACATTTCTCAGAAAAGATGTGAAAAAGGAATTTAAAAATCTTAAAACTGGATAAAATTAATGTGGTTATATTTCATGTCACTACTTTATGCCCAATTATAAAAGTCTATGACCTCTACATATAATTGATGTAGAAGGCATAAAGAAGAATTTAATAGGCTTTATGACCTTACTACAGCTTTTCAGTCCTGTCAGTTTATAAATCTATTATTTTATCTAACCATTTTTGAGCCAGACTGCAGTAGACTCGGTTAGATTAATTCAACCCTCTCAACAATCAATAATGATTTTGAAGCTCAGGACTATGGCTTACTCATTATCAACTAAAGCCAAACAGTCACTTAAAATAACTTTAAATACAATGAGATTTGATCAGGTTTATAAAAAAATGAAAAAAATTTGATTGCATATTTTCTTTTTTTTAATTCAGCTGCTATAGCTGAGGATTTACAAAATTCTTAGATCTTGAATTTGATTGCTATTTTTACTTATTTTTGTTTTGTGTAGAATATGAGAAAAATAACATGGAGTGTGAAAATTATATGAAAAGTAAGCTTTAAATGACATCCCCTCCCTATAAACCCAATGAAACTAACTTCATGGCAATATCAAAAAAATAGCAGGCATTTTTTTTCTTATTACAATTGATATTCAGAATGTAAATTTTGTATTTTTGAAAGTGGTTTTTTGCACAGGGTTGATTTGGATTTCCTGGAGTTCTCCTTGAAGAAAACAAATGTGTTCAGACTGACTGAACTACAAATAAGCAGTAGCATGATATCCATCTACAGGTATTTGAAAGAATAAACAAAAAGAAATAAGGAAATTTAGGAAGGCTCAAAATTATTACATCAGTATTAGGGATAAAAGTGATAACAAAGTTCAGGTTAAAAAAGATGATGAATTTAATTTTCCACTGAAAAATATATATTCTTATTGGCAGACTCATCATTACATTATTTTAAAATTTTCACAAATATGTGTTGAGACCATTTCTCCTAATCTCTACAAACACACACTGAGCATGTTAAACTATGTTTTTAAAGTAATAGCTAACACAAATCTTTTTATCTTATATTGCAATATTTTGAAGCACTTGTGTGACCTATTATTTAGTTGTTCAAAGTTTAATTATATGGAAAAAATATAATTTTGATTGCAGTTAGTGGAATTAATGTGCAAAGTTACAGTTGTGGTCTATTAGTTCTCAAAATTTCCTATTCATTGAAAATGTGATTTTTCTCCTCAATTCTCTCTCCATGACTCATCCATAATCTTTATACAGGTTTTTCTCATTCTTTGAAAGAAAGGAGAGAGATGGATTTACCTTGTGAGCTGTGCCACACTAAAGCCCAGTCTGACCATAAGACCAGGGAAAATGTAATATACTTTATCCTCTTCCTCTTCCCAAGGAGCATAAACTGAGAGTAAAACTGAAGAAATAAAGGTTAACTAAATTATAGTTACCTAAGGGAGTGAACCTGAGGCCACAGTTACTCCTCCAAAATTCCTGTATCCCTTTTGCTTATAAAAAGAATTCAAGGAACTAGGTTAATCACAAACTAATAATGAATATTCTGGGAAGTTTGGTAGCCATTAGTCAATCATCTATTTGCTTATTTCTGTTACCCAGTGACATTTCTATATGAATAGACTGAGACCATTTCTGCTATACCTTCTCAATTTGCCTTTAAAAATCTACTTAATTTGAAAGTGTATTTCTTGGGTTGCAATCCTCAAATTTAGACCACATAAATTCTCCACTTACATTATTTTGCCTCAGTTTCTTCTTTTAGGTTAAAAAAATTACACTACTATTTATGCTTTCTTTTCTATTGCAAACTACCTTTTTTAAATTTTAAGGTAATACAAATAATTCAGAACTCTAATGATTTAATGAGATATGTATTATCAATGAGACCCAAGGGAATATTAAAGGAAAATCATTGAATAAAATATAAACCAAGTAACAAATTATGATGGAAAATTTCTACCAGAAGATGGAAAGGAAAATCTGGAAATAAACAGAATCAATCATGAGTAATGACTTAGTAACCTAATTGGTTAATAGAAGAACTCAGGCTGGGAACCTAGAAAAGAAATAAATTCAAAACTTTCTAGACACAGACCAAAAAGCCACCAGCTTAAAACTGACAAATTTCTATGGGAGAAATTCTTGTGACTAAAAATGAAGTGGAATATGTAGAAAGCTTCCAGAAAGAAAGTGGTCTACGGCAAAGTTTCTTTGGCTCTAGGTTATAGACAAGCCGCTAGAGAACAAATTAAGTGGTGAAACTGCTATGCGTATCAGTCACTATCTGGCTGGTTTCCTGAGATTTCTTCCATGGCATAAAATAGATCTTATAAAATCGCTGGAATGTCTAGCTGAGTGTATGATGTTTGGGAAGTGTCACTCTAGAAAGCAATAAATAAATAGAAGTCAGTTCCCAAAGTACTAATCTCAATAAAGTCCTCTTTAATCTTTGCAGTGGTATCAATAAAAGTGACTAGCACAAAATATCTGAGATTTTAGTTAAGTGTTGCTACTGGCATTTTAGCAAAGAAGTTTGTAAAAGTTTAAGAGGAAGGTAAGACCAAATAAAATATTTGTATTCTTGTATGCTACTCTTTTTATTTAATTTACTTCCATATGTTCTCTGTGTGTGTACCTTTCACAGGACTCTGTGTTATAAGGCCAAATACAAATTTTAAAAGAGAGGCTGTTGAAAATAAGCCTGTTCTCCCTGTTGAAAATAAGACAAGAGACTTCCTAAGCCTCTTTTCTTAGCACATTTACATTAGAATTTTTAAGATTATAAAGCCTAGTCTGTATCTTTTAAATTAATATAAATCAATGTAAATCAGAGTTGTCCAACCTGAGGCCCGTGGGCCACTTGAGGCCCAGCCCAGTTTTGAATACAGACCAACACAAATTCATAAACTTTCTTAAAACAGTATGAGATTTTTTTACATTTTGGTTTTTAGTTCATCAGCTATAGTTTGTGCATTTTATGTGTGGCCCAAGACAATTTTTCTTCCAATGTGGCCCAGGGAAGCCAAAAGATTGGACATCCTTGGATGCTAAATCTTTTTCTGGGAAATCTCTTGCCAGCTTTAGAATTCAGGTATATCTTTCTCAAGAACCTGAGAACTATCTCTTGAAATGTAATCATTGTGAAAGATTAAAAGTCACTGTCTCCCAGTTTCTGTGGGAAAGTAGGAACCTAACTTGGAGGGGAAGGGTCCCTCCAAGTTGAAAAACTACCTACTGTCATAAAGATATGAGAAAATGATCCTTCGGGTAAAGCCAGTTAGCAAACATATATGGCCACTCCAATTACCAGGTGAATCTAGAATGAACTATGTGTGACAAATGGTATTTTCAAGACTTCTTATTTGAGGGCTGGTTATTCTTTACCTTGAAAATATGTTATGTAATTGTTTATATCTACTTGGATATATACAAATGATATGTTTGGATGCCCCTTCCACATCTCATGTTAAAATATAATGCCCAGTGTTGGAGGTGGGTCCTGGTGAAAACTGTTTGGTTTATGAGGGCAGATCCCTCATGGCTTGGTGCTGTCCTCGTGTTTAAAATTGTGTGGCCCCTCTCCCCCACTGTCTTTCTTGCTGCTGCTCTTTCCGTGTAACACATTTGCTCCCTCTTTGCCTTCTGCCATGACTGAAAGCTTCCTTAGGTCTCACGAGAAGTTGAGGAGATTCCTGACTCCATGCTTCCTGTACAGCCTGCAGAACCATGAACCAATTAATTATCTTTTTAAAAATACATTTTTAAGTCTCAGATATTTATTAAGAGCAATGAAAGAATGGCCTAACACAAAAAGGGTGAAATTTATTTTGATCTTTGCAATCTCTTAGTAGAGTGCCTATGATGTGCACTCATCTTGGTTCAATACTTATCCAATAAGAAAACTGTTTTATTTATCTTTTTTCTTTCTGAAGAGATTTTCTGGGTTGGCAGGAGGTTTTGTTTTTAATTATATTTCCCTAACAGTGTAAGTATCTGGTTGTGGTCATTTTAAAAACCATAGTAAAACCTTTCTTTTTCATTTTTCAAATACTTTTTACTTTCTTCAATTATTTAAAAATTAATTTCCTCATGATTTCATTATAAATCATAAAGATGAAAATGTTACTTAAGTCAGTTTCTGGCTGTTTTTCTATCTGCAAGCAATGTTAGAGAAAAATTCTCTATAACGAAAATGGCATGAGCATAGGAAGGCAAATCTTTTCCACTCTTAATTTTTTTTTTTTACAAATTACATTTCCTCAATTTAGGATATATCATATCAATTTATGGTGTCAATCTACTTGGAAATGTAGAATTAGGTAAGTGCCCTGATACGTACTTGTATGGTGGGCACACTCGATTTCAGTTTCTGTGCATATGGAGTAATTAAATGGAATGCTAAAAAAGATAAAGATAAGAGAGTTAAGCCACTGATATCCTTAAAGACACTCTGTAGCTGGTTCTATGTGCAATATAAGAATTATCTGGGGAGATGGTTTTTGAGTATTCATACCTCAAAAGGGAGATAAAGTCAGGGAGAGTTCTCCCCTTCCCAGACACAGAGAGAGAGACAAGACAAACCATATTAGCTTCTCTAATGTTAGTGTCATAAATTAACACAAGTCCATACAGTATATTATCTTCAAAATGTTGAATGTGTGCCGCATTTAAAGGTTGAATATTCAGGAAGCAACCGCTGTTACTGAGAAGAGTGTGAAAAAGTACACAACCATGGTAGGAAGAAAAAAAAAAGAAGGAAGGATCCACGTGATTGGCAAAGCAAACAAATTAAAAAAACACACCTAAAATGTGATGTGGAATCAAGAACAAGATAACTGAAAATTGATCAACACTAAATAAGGTGTTTCCCTAGTAAACATTTTTTTTATTGTTGTTGTTTGCATCTCTGCTGACTGCCATGCCATTGTGCGTGGCTTGATTGAATTTACAGTCTAGTAAAACAGGAATGGTAGTTATACGGTAGCATAATATTTTAAAAGGATGAAACTATGCAATAATACTTTTAAACAGTATTTGTTAGGAAATAATTATTGATATCTAAGCTCTTTTGAAATACATATTAGTTGTTTAAAAATAAAAACAATTTTGAGTAATATATGAATATATCTAAGCATTAGTTAACTTACGTATTTCTTTTATTTTCTGGAATAGGTTATACTTTATTTCAAAACAAATTAATTTTTATAGTTTCTCTGTTAAAATTAATACACATTCAACTTAGAAATATTGAAAAATAGAGAAATATATACATGAGAAAACAAAAATTGTCATCCTACTATCAAGAAATAATGACTGTGAAGGTTTCTACATATGTCCATAAAACATTTTACATGCTACAAATATTCTTAAAATACAAGTTGTCTTGTATTGTTTCTTCCTTTGGTAATATTTTGGGAATCAACCAATACTCTCCTTCAAAAATTTACCTGTATGAATAACATTCATACATGTAGATTAAATACTCTATACATTTTTATGAATGATTGCCCAATTTATACTTTGGTGGATGGGGAAATAGGTAGATTGGCAGGTAAGTAGGTAGATAGAAAGATAGATGAATGAATAGATAGATGGATAGATAGAGATAGAATATGTCTGTAATAAGGTAAATAGGATAATATGAAAACTCACTCACCCCACCATTACCATTTACTAACTTTTCTACTCCTGAGAATAATGTTTTGAGGGAGAAAACAACCATAAGAACAGTACAATTTTATCTAATGGGCTGTGAGAAGCTGGGAATGTGATCAAGAACTATAAGGATAACATCATGCATGATTGGACATGATGGGAAAGAGAAGAAAAAAGATAAACTACTGGACCACAACTGTAATGGAGTGTGACAAAGTCCCGTTGCAGTTAAAGGTGAGAAAATATTGAGAGACTTGGAGTACTTGAGAATAACAGAGGAGGTTATAAGTTTTTAAGTGACTTTTTGTTACATCATTAAATATGTCACTATTCAACAGATGCCCAGATGTCACCACAATCAGACAAGAAACAGGAAAATAAACAAAATATGAACACCTCCAAAATAACACAGTAATTATCTAGCAATAGATTTCCATCAAAAAGAAATGTTTGAACTCCCAGAAAAAATTCAGAATAATGATATTGAAGAGCATTAGTGAAACATAAGAAAACTCAGGTAAGCAGCAGAAAAATCAGAAAAACAATTTTAGATATAAATGAGAAATTTACCAAAGATATAGATATCATGAAAAATAACTAAACAGCAATTCTGAAATTGTAGAACTCATTAAATAAAATTTAAAAATACATTATAAAGCTTCATCAGTAGATTAGATCAAACAAAAGTAAGAATTTTAAAACCTGAATACAGGTCCTTTGAAATAATCCAGTCAGACAAAAATAAGGAAAAAGAAATTAAAAAGAATGAACAGAGCCTATGGGACATACGGGACACCATAAAGCAAGCAAATAAAAGTTAATGTCCCAGAAGGCAAAAAGAAAGCAAAAGGGATAGAAAATCTCTTTAAAAATGCCTTAATCAGGGAATTCCAAACAGATAAAATTCAAAAAGCCTTCTTTATGGCACATTATATTTAAACTATCAAATCAAAGACAAAAAGATAATATGTTTATTGAGGCACAGTTCACAATGGCAAAGACTTGGAACCAAACGAAATGCCCATCAATGATAGACTGGATAAAGAAAATGTGGCACATATACACCATGGAATGCTATGCAGTCATAAAAAATGATGAGTTCATGTCCTTCACAGGGACATGGATGAAGCTGGAAACCATCATTCTCAGCAAACTAACGCAAGAACAGAAAACCAAACACTGTGTGTTCTCATGCATAAGTGGCAATTGAACGATGAGAACACATGGACACAGGAAGAAAAACATCACACACCAAGGCCTGTCATGGGGTAGGGGGCTAGGGGAGGGATAATATCAGGAGAAATACCTAATGTAGATGACGGGTTGATGGGTGCAGCAAACCACTGTGGCACGTGTATACTTATATAACAAATCTGCACGTCCTGCCCATGTACCCCAGAACTTAAAGTATGATAATAATAATAGTAATAATAAAAGGACAGAGAGATAATTCTAAAAACAGCAAGAGAGAAACATCTAGACATTTATAAGGGAACACCCATTAGAACATCATTGCATTTCTCAGCAGACCACTTACCAGGGGAGAATGAAATGATATATTCAGAGTGCTAATAAATAAATAAATAAATAAATAAATAAATACTACCAGTCAAGGCATGCTATATCCAGCAAAGTCACTTTTTAAATAAAGGAGAAATAAAGACTTTCCCAGACAAGCAAAGCCTGAGCGAATTAATCACAACTAGGCTCGTCCTATAAGAAGCACTAAAGAAAGTCCTACACCTAAAAGTGAAAAAACAATATCTAACATAATGAAAACCCAAAAAAGTATAAAACGCACTGTTAGAGCAAACACACAAATGAGGAAGAGAAATAATTCAAATTTTACCACTATAGAAAATCACCAAACTACAATAATAAATAAAGAAGAATGAAAGAAACAAAAAAGATGTAAAACAACTAGAAGTCAATTAAAATCAACAGAATAAGCCCTCACATATCAATGAAGACTTTTAATGTAAACTGATTAAACTGCCTCTTATAAGGTATAGATTAGCTGAATGGTTTTAAAAACAAACAAACATGATACAACTATATGCTACTTTCAGGAAACTCATCTCAAAGCTAGGGATACATATCAACTCAAAGTAAAAAGATATTCCATGCAAACAGAAACACAAAACAGGCAGGAGTAGCTATACTAATATCAAATAAAACAAACTTCTAGTAAAAAACAGACAAAAGAGGCAAAGAAAGTAATTATATAATAACAAAAAGATCAATTCAGTAACGGGATATAACAGTTGTAAACATATCTGTACCAAACACTGGAGAACCCAGGTATAGAATGCAAATATTTTTGGATATGAAAGGAGAGATTGGCTCCAACACAATAATAGTTGGAGATTTCAGTATTCTACTGTCAGCAGTAGACAGCTTAATGAAGCAGAAAATTAACAAAGAAATATTGAATACAAACTGGACTTAGAAACATGGATGTAACAGACCTTATCAGAACATTTTATCCACAACTACAGAATATATATTCTTTTCATAAGCACATAAAGGATTCTCCAGGATAGACCACGTTAGGTCACAAAAGAAGTCTCAACAAATTCTAAAAACCAAAATTATATCAAGTATCTTTAGTCTAAAACGAAATAATACTGGAAATCAATAACTAGAGGAATTTTGCAAATTCTAAAAATACATGAAAATTTGAAAAAATATATTCTCCTGTATGAGCACTGGGTCCAAGAAGGAATTAAGTAGGAAATAAAAAAATTACCTGAAACAAATGAAAATGGAAACACAACATACCAAAACTTATGGAGTACTGCAAAAACAGTGCTATGAGTGAAAGTTATAGCAATAAACACCTACAAAAATTACAATAATTTTAAATAAACCATGTAAAGATGCACCTCAGGAACTAGAAAAGCAAGAACAAACCAAATCACAAATTTGCAGAAAATATATTTATAAAGATACAAAGAATATATAATATATAAAAGAATATATATTTTCTAGATATATATATAATATGTTGTGCTATTAATATATATTTTCTAGATATATGTAATATGTGTGATATATATATATATATATATATAAGCTGGGCAGGGCACGGTGGCTCACACCTGTAATCCCAGCACTTTGGGAGGCCGAAGCGGGCAGATCACGAGATCAGGGGATTGAGACCATCCTGGCTAACACAATGAAACCCCATCTCTACTAAAAAAAAAAAAATACAAAAAATTAGCCAGGTGTGGTGGTGGGCGCCTGCAGTCCCAGCTACTTGGGAGGCTGAGGCAGGAGAATGGCGTGAACCCGGGAGGCAGAGCTTTCAGTGAGCCGACATTGAGCCACTGCACTCCAGCCTGGGTGACAGAGCAAGACTCCGTCTCAAGAAAAATAAAAATAAAAAATAAAATAAAATAAAATAAAAAAGCCATTATATTAAAGTTTGCTAATACATATATATATAAAATAACAGATGTTATTATATATTATATATATATAAAATAACAGATGTTATTATATATTATATATATATAAAATAACAGATATTGGTGACTATGAAGACAAAATAGAACTTTTATACACTGTTGTTGTGGAATGTAAAATAATATAGTTACTATGAAAAACAGTATGAAACATTTTCAAAAAACTAAAAATAGAACTGCCTTAGAGTCCAGCAATCTCCTTACTGAGTATTTATCCAAAGGAAAAGAAATCAGTATATTAAAAAGATAACATAACTGCACACCCATGTTTATTGCAGCAGTATTCACAATAGCAAAGATATGGAAACAATTAAAATGTCTATAGAGAAAGGAATGGACAAAGAAAATGTGATACAGATATACAGTGGAATATATTAAACCATAGAAAAGGATATCATGTTACCATTGAAAAGAATGAAATCATGCAACAACAAGGATAGAACTGGAGGTGATTATGTTAAGTGAAATAAGCAAGGCAGAGAAAGACAAATATTACATGTTGTCACTCATATGTAGGAACTAAAAACGTTGATCTCATGGAGGTAGAGAGTAGAATGATAGATACCAAAGGCTAGTAGTGTGGTTGTGGCAGGAGGGTAGGGATGGGGCAGACAGGGAAGGGGAGAATAAAGAAAAGTTGTTTAATGGTTAAAACATACAGTTAGATAGAAGGAATGAGTTCTAATGTTTGGTAGCAGAGTAGGGTGGCTATAGTTAACAACAATGTATTATATATTTCAAAATAGTTAGAAGAGAGGCCTTGAAATGGTCTCAATGCATTGAAATAATAAATAGTTGAAGTGATGGATACCCTAAATATTTTGACTTGATCAATACACATTCTATGCATGTAACAAAATATCACCAACACATAAATGTGTACAAATATTATGTCTCTATAGAAATGGGAGAAGACAGAAATAAATATAAAAGAAACCAATAAATAGCTTACTAAAATAGTCAAATGGTTGCTTATTTAACTAGAATATTTGTAGACATTTTTGTTATGATTAGCTACTTGAGAAAACAAGATGATCAAAGTCGTAAGTCACCCATCTTTTGATGAGTTCACCTCAGATGGACTTACCCAGTGAATTATTTTATTGATGTTCCTCAATATGCAACTTTTCACTTGCTGCTCTAGATTTAGCCTTGGAAGCATCAGAGAATTCAAAAGCAGTTGCTGGGTGAATCACAATAATGAAGTCACAAAGAATGGAAAGAAAAATATTCTTTTTTTGGTGATACCCTATCTCTACAAAAAATTTAAAAAGTACTTGGTTGTGGTGGCATGTGCCTGTAGTCCAAGCTACTTGGCAAGCTGAGTTGGGAGGATCTCCCAAGCCCAGGGAGGTTGAGGCTGCAGTGAGCCATCATCATCGTACCACTACACTCCAGTCTGGGTGACAGAGTGAGATCTTGTCTATATATGAATATTTATGTAAATATAAATATATGAATATTTATGTAAATATAAATATGTGAATATTTATGTAAATATAAATAAATGAATATTTATGTAAATATAAATAAATGAATATCTATGTAAATATAAATAAATGAATATCTATGTAAATATAAATATATGAATATCTATGTAAATATAAACATATGAATATTTATGTAAATATAAATATATGAATATATAAATATAAATATATATGAATATAAATATATATAAATATATAAATATATATATATATATAATTAACTATAGATTACACTGAACCATCCTGGGTTTCTAGAACTAAGTACAAACTATTTAGCTGGGAATAACGAGACTACAATCTCTCTGGCCAATTTCAGAATCATTAATTCCAAGAGTTTATTTGAGTCTTTTACGTAAGTGAACATCACAACAGTGGATAGAAAAATTCCTATTTTTTATTTTTATTGATTGGCTGCTTTTAAAGTTAAAACGGACACATCTGTCAATTTTTATGAAGGGCAGTTTCTCTACAGCTCCTGGTAAACTTCGTCAGAATACAACAAGGGAAATGTTGTATTCTCTGTATACAATGCAGAGAAATTGATAGAAAAAAATGGAAGAAATGGTAGCTTGTTAGTCAACCTAACAATTATAGACTATCCTATTTGTGTTTGCTGATTTGACTTAAAATCGATACAGAATACAATAAAGTAAAAGCCTACCAATAATGCAATAAAAAACTCTGCATCAATGACAATGATTTTTTAGAGTAGTTTAAAATGAAACTTTTCATTGAATCATGTCAGCAGTTTAAATTATCATCTGTACAGTAAATACTGTGATTCTCCACCCAGGTGTCTTTAGGGCCAATGTACTCACATGTGGTTTTTCAATAAGAATTTCTCCATCATCAGGCACCACAGTGCCTGGCTGATGTAGGGATACAAAGCCCTGGCACTGCTGTTCCTACTGGAACAACTCTGAACGATTAATGCAAATCTCAGAGGACAGGCTGAAGCCTCCATTGCAACCACATTGTAGAGCATTCCAATCCAATTCTGTCTTCCTGTGATGTTCAGATTTGTATGTCAACTCAGCTAAACTATGATTCTCAGCAATTCAATCAAACACTAAAGTTGGCTTTTCTGGGAAGATATTTCGTGGATATGATTAAAGCCCATTATCAGTTGGATTTAAGTAGGAGATAATTTTAGATAATCTGCTTGGGTCTGATTCAATGAGTTGAAAGGTGTTCAGAACAAACTGGAGCTTCCTGCTGAAGAAATTCTGCCTGTCGGCAACAGTTTCAGCCCCTCCCCAGAGTTCCAGGCTGCCTTTCCTTACAGCTGCCTTAGGCACTTCAGATTTGACTAGCCAGTCCCAATTGTTTAAGTTGATTCCTTGAAATAAATATCTTAATGTATGCCTCTTACGTATTATTTTCTCTGGTTAAACCATGATGGTTACATTCCCTCATTTTCTTATGGACATATCTCTCTAGAGCACCCTGGACACACTGTTTGCATACAACTCCAGGGAACACCATCTAAAATGGTGCATTAATCATTCAATTTTCTTCATCAAATCTGTCCAACTCAATTAATTTATTACTTGAATCAGCAAATTATATCCATAAGTTCTACTGAGTAGCTGATTTTAGAACAGCCTCTGAGTAAAATTGTAGTTCTTTTAGGCACACCTATTATTATTATTTTTTTAATGTGACTTTTCACTCTTTCTGAGTTTCTTAACCAGGTACTTATTTGATTTTATTGCTTTCACAACTCATGGTCAAATTCTTTCTTCATCCTAATTATATTGCCTTTTATGACACACACTTTCCCCAGAAGTTACAATACTTTTGAGTGATCAGCTGCAGTGAAATCCTCAAAGCTCCTTAAAACTATTTCTACAATCCAAGTTAGCACTCTTTTAAAATTCTTCACAGTGACTATTTAAAAATGTTTCAATTATCCTCCAACATTCCATTTCCTTAACTCTGAGAAGGGCTTTTTCTTTGCCATCTTTTAAACAGAAATAGAAACCTTCAAACCGGAACTCACTCATATTTATATCAGCACACCTCTAGAAATCCTGTAATAATTTCTTCTTTCTATCATAATAAGAAAACAAAGAATGTTTCTCTCCAAGTGACTAGAAAATTCTTATCCTTTGTACTGTGGGTCTTGTTGCTTTTTTTGCTTGGGTACCTTGTTTCATTCATTATTCCTTTGCCCTGTAGTATAAATCCCTATAGCTTAAAAACAAACAATCCTCTCTGCATTTCATCGTCATTTCTATTATGCTGCCCACACGTTTCTTAAAAGAGTTCTCTACATTAGCTGCTCCTCTCTTGCTTCATACATTTTGGATTGCACCCCAGCCACTAGACTGAATGGCTTAATTTTTAAAGAAGACTAATAACCGTATCAGTGTCAAATAAAATAAACTCTTTTTAGATTCAATGCATAATATGCTTAAGCACACTTGTCATAAAATAATGTATTCTGTAGGTTTCTTTTCATCTTATTTATGAGTTAATTTCGCCTTCTTAAGTGCCTCCTATCCAGAATTCTTCTCTCACATATTCATTCAAAAACATTTTGTTAATTTTTTATTTTCAGTTGCTTTATTTTCTTTATCTACACACTTATCCTAGGTGATCTTAATAATATTCTTCCAAGTGCTATATGGTTATTGTTTGAAAGGTCCAGCCAAAATATCTCCCTACATTTGAGGTAAATGTAGACCATTACTTACTGGATGTATTAATAAAGTAAATATCTACCTTTTCCCTAGAAAATATGTTTTCAGATTGTGTCTTCTTTTTCTCAATATATGCAAAATTCTATCCAGTTCAATTGTCCTGGGTGAACGCCCGGGTTTCCCTTCTAACATGTTCCATGGTCTTACCACACCCTATACATGCAATGAATCAAAATATCGCCAATAAGAATAATCATTTATGGAGTCCGACATGTTACAAGTAGAAATTTTTTAAATTTTCTCTAATTGGCCTCATCTGGTTCTGTGGCAATCACTGGAAAAACTTGGCAATTGGGACATCTCCATATTTTCTGGCTTTAAAATTTTTAATTTCAGTTTTAGTGTTAGTTCTTCTCTCTCCGCTGATCTTTCCTAATCTTTTTTTAGGATGGTATTTGGGAGCAAAATTAAGGTCCTCGGGGAAGAACATTATACCTAAATGCTGTCCTCTGAACATTTGAGGGTCCACAGGGTAAGATATTGAGCCAGTCTTGTCTATGAATATCCTGCCTTGGTGTATACTAAGGATGTGTGGTTGATTGATCTGGTCACTGCTGGTATCTGCTGCTGAAACCAAGACATCTGAGAGAGCATCTTTTTATGAGATTTGTTCACTTTGTAGCCTCCTTCTTCTGAACAAAGGTCTATTCTAATTTATTAGTTATTTCAGAACCTATGAATTTATTCTTCCAGCCTCTTCACACAATTAAAGAGCCAAAAAAATGCTGTGTTTTATGTGACTCCATTAGGCTATCTTGGTTTCTCCCATAGCCATCCTTAAATTAGTGCAATGGTTGTCAAACTTAGGTGGTTTGCTTACCAGGGAATATGAAACATGTCAGGAGGCATTCATAATTCTCATGGTTAGAGTGGGATGCTACTGGTATCTAGTTAGTAGAAGCTAATGATACTCTTAAAACATAAAACACTACAATATACATAACAGCACCCTAGAAAATACAATTATGTGGACAAAAATGTTAACACCGAGGTAATAAGATTCTACTACAGTGCCTTTGTGTCATTCAGGACTTGGCATTATATAAAATGCAGAGCTTCTTTGAGAGACTTCTAGATTACCCAAGCTGCCCTAGAGTAAGTGGGGAGCAAGCCCCAATGTTCTCTGATTCAGCTAAACTTATTTAAGGTTTTTTTAATTTTCAGTTTCTAGTTTCTCTACCTCTCCACTCCAGTGGAAATTAAGCAGTTCCCTCCATCATTCTGCATTCTTTTTGTTAAAAAAAAAGACAATCCTTCAAGACTATTGTTTAGCTATTAATTTTAATAATTGAGCTTGAGCCTCTAAATTAAGCAACTGTTTCTTTGATCTAGGTGTTCCTCCTCACTCCTCAGTCTGACTACCCACAAAGCAGTGATTTTCCCTATTCCTAATGTAATTCTCCAAATGCTCACAAGACTTCAAGCACTTTTACTTCAGTAGCATTGTACTATTCACCTCTGTAGCTCTGACCTTTACCTGGCACAGAAGAAGCACTTGAATAAATGCCAAGTGGAAGAATGGTGAACAAGTGGCATTGTATTCTATATGGACTCTTCCGTGTTTCTCTGTTTTTTTTTTTTTTGTTTTTTTTTTTTCTTCTTTTTTGCTTTGTGACCACCACTTAACTAGCAGAGAGCAAGGTACCTTAATCAGGGTTTGTGTCTCTGGCTCCTTGACTGTTCTCAACTGCTCTGCATCCTTGAGCAAGTTCCCTTTCTTTGACACTGTTGTTATCTTCCATTGTATTAAAGAAACAAATGTGCAATTTCATTTTAATAGTAGATAAAATAATACTAGGAGTAAATCTTGCTTTCTCTGTGATATATTTTGGCTGTGTTTCCACCCAAATCTCATCTCAAATTGTAGTTCCTAAAATTCCCATGTGTTCTAGGAGGGACCCAGTGGGAGGTAAATGAATCGTGGGGGCAGTTTCCCCCATGCTATTCTCATGATAATGAGTAATTCTTCATGAGATCTGATGGTTTTGTGAGGGGCTTCTCTCTTTGCTCAGCTCTCATTCTTCTCTCTTTTCTCAGCTCTCATTCTTCTCTCTCCTGCTGCCTTGTGAAGAAGGGCATGTTTGCTTCCCCTTCCACCATGATTGTAAGTTTCCTGAGGCCTTCCCGGCCCTGTGAAATGGACAGTCAATTAAATTTATTTCCTTTATAAATTACCCAGTCTCAGGTATGTCTTCATAGCAGCATGAGAATGGACTAATACAGTAAATTGGTTCTGGGAATGGGGCACTACTGTAAAGATACCCAAAAATATGGAAGTGATTTTGGAACTGGGTAACAGGAAGAGGTTGGAACAGTCTGGAGGGGTCAGAAGAAGATAGAAAAATGGGGAAAGTTTGGAAATTCTCAAATACTTGGAGGGCTTGGAAGACAGGGAGATGTAGGAAAGTTTTGGAACTTTCTAGAGACTTGTTGAATGGCTTTGACAAAAATGCTGATAGTGGTATAGACAATGAAGTCCAGGCTGAGGTGGTCTCAGATGGAGATGAAGAACTTTTGGGGAATTGGAATAAAGGTGAGTCTTGTTATATTTTAGAAAAGACATGGTGGCATTTTGCTCCTGCCCTAGAGATTTGTGGAACTTTGAACTTGAGAGAGATGGTTTAGGGTATGTGGTGGGAGAAAATTCTATGTGGCAAAGCATTGAAGAGAAAGTGGAGCATAAAAGTTTGGAAAAATTGCAGCCTGACAATGCAATAGAAAAGAAAAATTCATTTTCTGAGGAAAAATTCAAGCCTTCTGTCTCCTGAGCATGTCAGAGACTTATGCAACAGCCTCTCCCATCACAGGCCCAGAGGTCTAGGAAGGAAAATAGTTTCATGGGCTGGGCCCAGGGCCTCCCTGCTGTGTGTAGCCTAGGAGCTTATTGCCCTGTGTCCCAACCGCTCCAGCCATGGCTAAAAGGGGATATAAGGTACAGCTTAGGCTGTGGCCTCAGAGGGTGCAAGCCCCAAGCTTTGGCAGCTTTCACATGGTGTTAATCATGAAGGTGCACCAAAGTCAAGAATTGAGACTTGGGAACCTCTGCCTAGATTTCAGAGGCTGTATGGAAATGCCTCGATGTCCAGGCAGAATTCTGCTGCAGGGGCAAAGCCCTCATGGAGAACCTCTGCTAGAGCAGTGTGAAAGGGAAATGTGGGGTTGGAGCCCCCACACAGAGTCCCCACTGGGGCAATGCCTAGTGGATCTGCGAGAAGAGGGCCATGGTCCTCTGGACTGGAGAATGGTAGATCTACCTACAGCTTGCACCCATGGGTCTGGAAAAGAGACAGGCACTCAACATCAGCCCATGAAAACAACCTGGAGGGAGGATGTGCCCTGCAAAGCTACAGGGTCAGAGCTGCCCAAGACCATGGGAACCCACCTCTTGCAACAGCATGACTTGGGTGTGAGACATGGAGTCAATGGAGATTATTTTGGAGCTTTCGGATTTAATTTCTGCCTCTTTGGATTTCACATTTGCATGGAACATGTAGCCCAATGTGTTTGGGCCAATTTCTCCCATTAAGCAAGGGTGTATTTACTCAATACCTGTATCTCCATTGTATCTAGGAAGGAACTAACTTGCTTTTGATTTTACAGGCTCATAGGCAGAAGAGACCAGCCTTGTCTCAGATGAGACTTTGGGCTTGGACATTTGAGTTAATGCTGAAATGAGTTAAGACTTTAGGGAACTGTTGGAAGGACATGATTGTGTTTTGAAATGTGAGGACATGAGATTTGGGAGGGGCCAGGGGTGGAATTATAAGTTTTGCCTGTGTCTCCATTCAAATCTAATCTTGAATTGTAGTTCCCATCATCTCCACGTGCCATGGAAGGGACATGGTGGGAGGTAATTGAATTATGGAGGCAGTTTCCTCCATGCTATTCTTGTGTTCTCACGAGATCTGATGGTTTTATAAGGAGCTTCCCCCTTCACTTGGGTCTTATTTATCTGTCTCCTGCAACCTTGTGAAAATGTAATGTGTTTGCTTTCCCTTCTGTCATGATTGTAAATTTCCTGAGGCCTTCCCAGCCCTGTAGAACTGTGAGTCAATTAAACCTCTTTCCTTTATAGAATTCCCAGTCTCAAATATGCCGTTATAGTAGTATGAGAATGAACTAAGACACTCTGCTTCTCATTCTTCTTTTATTCTACTCTCTTCCTTATTTCTTCTCTCTCAAGGCCAGAATTTTATTCTTTTCTCTTACCTTATATACTTCTCCCAATATAACTCACCCATATTTTCCTCAAATTTCTTCTCATCTTTCCCTGATATTATTCTTCTCACTCATCCATCTCTCTTCTCAGTCATTCTTCTCTTTCACGTTTCCTCCACTTTTCTTTTCTTTTGTATCACAATGTGTTATCTCTGAAGTAGTATGAGTAGCTAAGGGAATACAGACTGCCTAGGCACAAATCACAGATTTGCATTAAGCAGCCATGTGACCTAAAGCAAAATGTTTATCTTCAGTTTTCCTTATTTACAAAATAAAGATTGAAATTTCATTTAGGAAATGGGGGATTAGGAGACAGGGCTGGAGCAAGATGGGCAGACAAAAGTTTCCATCTATTTTACCCCCCTACACCCCCTACAGGACCACTAAATTCAGCAACCATCTACATGAAAAAGCGCCTTCATAAGAACCAAAAATCAGGTGAGTAATCACAGTACCCGATATTAACTTCATATCACTGAAAGAGACATAGAAAAGGGTAGAAAAGATCATCTTGAATTCCCAACAACACATCTCCCTCATCTCCTGTCATTCTCCGAATGGTGCAAAGAGAGAATCTGTTTTCTTGGGAAGTGAGACTGGAGCAATTGTGAGACTTTGGAGACTTTGCACTGAACTCAGTGCTTCCCTGTCACAGCAGAAAACAAAACCAGACTGAACTCTGCTGATGCCTGACCACAGAAAGAGCATTTAGACCAGCTCTATCCAGAGGAGAATCACCCATCCATGTGGTTGGAACTTGAGTTTTGGCAAGCCTCGTCACCGTGGACTAAAGGTTCTGGGGCTTGAATAAACTTGAAAGGCAGTCTAATCCACAAAAACTGCAACTCCTAGGAAAGTCTGAGTGCTGAGCTGGGCTAAGATCCAAGGGATTTGGGGGGCACACAACCTACTGAGACTTCAGTTAGGGTGGCTAAGGAAGTGCTTGTGCCACCACTTCTCCAACCCCAGGCAGCACAGCTCCCAGCTCCCAGAGACCCCTCCCTTTCATGAGGGGAGTGGGAAGAGGAAAGAGCACTTTGTCTTGCATCTTGAATACCAGCTCAGCCACTGTAGGATAGGGTACTGGTCAGTCATGAGGCTGCCATTCCAGGTTCTACCTCCTGAATGACAGTTTTAGACACACTATGAGTCATAAGGGAATTTGCTGTCTTGAAAGGAAGAATTCAGCCCTGGCAGAACCCATCACCTGCTGACTAATATGCCTTTGAGCTCTGAATAACCAGCAGTGATACCCAGATAGTACACCATATGCTTTTGTGAGACTCACTGGTTTCAGGTGAGATTCAGCACATTCCCAGCTGTGGTGGCTATGGTGAGAGAGTCTTTTTGCTTGAGAAAAGTAGAGGGAAAAGTAAAGAGGTCTTTGGCTGGCAGGTTAGGTACTATTTAGGCCACAGGGGGGCTGGAGCACCAAGAGGGATCTTAGAGTCCCTTATACTAGGCCTTGACTCCTGAATGGAATTTCTGGACCAATTCTGGGTCACAGGGGAGCCCATTACCCAGAATAGTGAGTCCCAGACCTAGCAGTATTCACCACAAGCTTACTAAAGAGACCTGGGGCCTTAAGGGAACTTTGACGGCAGCCCCACAGTACTCCCTATGGACCTGTGGTAGTTATGGCCACAAAGTGAGGCTCCTCTGCCTTTGGAAAGCGGGGGAAGAGTAGGAACTACTCTGTCTCATGGTTTGAGTGCCTGTGCAACCACAGTGCAATAGAACAACAGGTTCTAAGATTTCTAAGGTTTCTGACTTCAGTCTCTGGCTCCCAGACAGTATTTCTGGATCTGCCCAGGACCTGGGAGAACTCATCACTCTGAAGGGAAGGACACCAGCCTGTCTGGCTTTGCCACTTGCTGATTTTAGAGCCCTAGTGCCTGGAGCAAACATAGGAGGTAGCCAGATAGTAGTTACAGCAGGCCTTGTTTGAGACCCAGTGCTGTGCTGGCTTCAGGTGTGACACAAGCAGTCTCAGTAGTGGTGGTCAAAGAGGTGTTTGTGTTCCCCAACCCCAGCTCCAGCAACTGAGAGAGAGAGAGAGAGAGAGAGACTGATTGTTTGACAAAAAGTAAGGGAAGAGAAGAAAAGTCTCTGGCCTAGTAATTCAGATAATTCTGCTTGATCTTAGTCAATACCACCAAGGTGGTACCTCTATGAGTCTGCAAGAACCACAGTGTTACTCTGGGCTTAGGGTGCCCCCTAATGCAGACACAGATTAGATCACAACATCCAAGTCCTTTTGAATACCTGGAAAGTCTTCCCAAGATGGACAAGTACAAATAAGCCCAGACCACAAAAACTAAAACAAATACTTAACTCTTCAATGGCCAGTCACTGACAAACATCCAAAAACATCAAGACTATCCATGAAAACATGATCTCACCAAAGGAACTAAATAAGGCACCAGAGACCAATCTTAGAGAAAAAGACATATGTGACCGTTTAGATAGAGAATTCAAAATAGCGATCTTGAGGAAACTGAAAGAAATGCAAGACAACACAAAGAAGGAATTCAGAATGCTGTATGACAAATTTAACAAAGCACTGAAATTATTAAAAAGATCCAGGCAAAAATTCTGAAGCTGAGAAATGCAATTGACATACTGAAGAATGCATCATAGTCCTAATAGCAGAAATGATCAACAGAAGAAATAATTAGTTAGCTTGAAGACGGGCTACTTGGAAATACAGTCAGGAGAAAGGAGAAAACAGAACAAAAAAGAATAAAGCACATTTAGAAAATGGCTTCAAAAGAACAAATCTAAGAGTTATTGACCTTAGGGTGGAGGTAGAGAGAGAGAGCTGTCTGTAGAAACTGCTGGGTGAAGTCATTGCAAAGTGCTCAACTTGCAGGTCAGTAAGAAGAATTGACCAATGACACTATAGGTCTCCAAAAAGAATGTTTTTTATTAGAAAGAAAGAACATTGCAAAAGAGCGCAGCGGGGTGTCTCAGCAAGAGAAGACTGAGTGAACCATGGTGGCTTTTCCTTAGGAGCATTTATGGACCTTAAAGCAGGAGCTCAAGTGTAGTTTGTATGATAAATGATGACATTTCTAGACATTTTGTTGCCTTAATGTAGGCAAGGGTTGCGCAATGAGTGTATTAGTCAAGGTTCTCTAGAAAGACAGAGCTAATAGGATACACACACACACACGGGAGTTTATTAAGTAATATTAACTCACGCAATCACAAGGTCCCACAATAGGCTGTCTGCTAGCTGAGGAGCAAGGAAGCCAGTCTGAGACAAAGGCTGAAAACCTTGGAGTTTGATGTTCAAGGGCAGGAAGCATTCAGCATGGGAGAAAGATATAGGCTAGGAGGCTAAGCCAGTCTAGCCTTTTCACGTTTTTCTGCCTGCTTTATATCCTGACTGCACTGACAGCTATTTATATGGTGCCCACTCAGATTAAGGGTGGGTTTGCCTTTCCCAGCCCACCGATTCAAATGTTAATCTCCTTTGGCAACACCCTCACAGACACACCCAGGATCAATACTTTGCATCCTTCAATCCAATCAATTTGACACTCAGTATTAAGCATCACAAGTTTACTCCTTGTCAACTGGAACACATACATATTTCCTAAGATTGTACATAAACTTCAGATAAAGACAATAATAAAATCATAATTATTCCTAACATAATGTAACTATCCTTCATACAACCAGAAACACACCAATCTCCAACCCAAATGCTATTACATAAGGTTAACAATACTAAAATGCTGATATGAAGTCAACAAATCTTATGTCATATGATAAAGGAAAAAGGACATAAAATGAAGATTTTTTTTAGTACAAGTGTATGCATACACAGTATGTTTTTCACAAAAGAAGATTCTCATGTCAGTTACAGTCCTTGTTTCTGCAACTGGTTGCGTGGTTGTAGCTGGTATTGATTACTACCTTCTTCTACTACCCATTCTGTATTCCCTTTGTCTTCAGCAAGCACCTCAGCCAGTCAATTTATGTTTTTTTTTTTTTTTTTTTTTTTTTTCTGGTGGAGTGACTCAAACCTTCATTCCTGAAGGGCCATTTGTATTCCTGCCTGGATTGGGCTGTTGTAATTTTCCATTGACTCTAAGCACAGGACATGGTAACACTAAGAGGTGCCCTAATGGATCTCCTGTATTCCATGCATACTCTCGTACTGTTCCTTATCTCCATTGTAGAGTAGTAGCTTGATTTCATCTGGATAGTCTGAGTCAATCACCCCAGCCAACACCGTAACTCCATTCTTAGCCTGTTGACTGAAGTGTAGGAGGATCCCAAAGTGTCCAGGTGGCATTCTCAACTTCCAGTTTAATGGAATCTTTGTTGTGTCTCTTGGTGGCAGCATTCCTCCTTCTGGAATGAAGACTTCTAGGCCAGCAAAGCATAATGACATGGGAACAGGAAGCAAAAATTTTGCTAGTGGATCACTAGGGGTGATGGTGAGTGGTGCCACTTCCACTTCCACACCTTAATTCCTGGACCACTGAATCCTGGCTATGGGAGAAACAGTACCATATATTATATGCTGATTTAGAGCATACAGGACCTTCTGGAGAACTTTGTTCCAGCCCTGCAAACTATTGTCGTCTAGTTGGCATTGTAACTGTGACTTCAAAAGGCCATTCCAGGTTGGGCATGGTGGCTCATGCCTGTGATTCCAGCACTTTGGGGGGCCAAGGTGGGCAGACTACTTGAAGCCAGGAGTTTGAGACTAGCCTGGCCAACATGGTGAAACTCCCTCTCTAAAAAAGCAAAAATTAGCCAGGTGTGGTGGCATGTACCTGTAAGCCCAGCTACTCAGGGGGCTGAGGCAGGAAAATTGACTGAACCCAGGAGGGAGATGTTGCAGTGACGTGAGATCATGCCACTGCACTCCAGCCTGTGTGACAGAGTGAGCAGAGTGAGATCATGTCTCCAAACCCCTCCCCCAACCTAAAAAAATGCCATTCTACTGTTCTATCAATCCAGCTGCTTCAGGATGAAGGGAAGCACGGTAAAACCACTGAATTCCATGAGCATAAGCCCACATCCACACTTCTTTAGCCATTAAGTGAGTGCCTTGGTCAGAGGAAATGCTCTGTGGAATATCACAACAGTGGATAATGCATTCCATGAGTCCACGAATGGTAGTCTTGGCAGAAGCATTTCATGCAGGATAGGCAAACCCATATCTGGAATAAGTGTCTATTCCAGTGAGGACAAACTTCTGCCCTTTCCATGATGGAAGAGGTCCAATATAATCAACCTGCCACCAGGTAGCTGGCTGACCACCCTGAGGAATTGTGCCATATCAAGGGCTCACTGTTGTTCTCTGCTGATAGCAAATTGGGCTTTCATCAGTGGCCATAGCCAGGTAAGATTTGAGGAGTGAAAGTCCGTGTTGCTGATCCCATTCATAACCTCCATCCCTGCCACCACAGCCACTTTATTTATGGGCTTATTGGGCAATGACAGGGGTGGCTGGGGAAAAAGGCTGAGTGGTGCCCACAGAACAGGTCATCCTATCCACTTCAATATTAAAATCCTCTTCTGCTGAGGTCACCCACTGGTGAGCACTCACATGGGATACAAATATCTTCACAGTTTTTGAACACTCAGAGAGGTGCCTCCACATATCTCTTCCCTAAATGTCTTTGTCACCAATTTTCCAATCGTGCTTCTTCTAAGTCCCTGATCATCCAGCCAAATCATTGGCTTCGGCCCATGAATCAGTATATAGTCACACATCTGACCATTTCTCCTTCCATGCAAAGTGCAGAGCCAGGCGCACTGCTCAAAGTTCTGCCTACTGGGAAGATTTCCCTTCACCACTGTCCTTCAGGGATGTCCTAGAAAGGGGCTGTAGTGCTGCAGCTGTCCACTTTCAAGTAGTGCCTGCATATCATGTAGAACCTTCTGTGAACCAGGCTCTAGTCTTCTCTTCCTCTTTCAACTAATTATGGGGAACTCTCTATGTGGCCATCAGTGCAGGCTGGGGAAGAGAAAGCAAGGTGACAGGAATGGAGACCATGGGCATTTGAGCTACTTCTTCATGTAACTTACTTGTGCCTTCAGGACCTGTTCGAGCCTGATCAGGTATATACCACCTCCATTTGATGATGGAATGCTGCTGTGCATGACCCACTTTATGGCTAGATCGTCAGAAAGCACCCAGTTCCTTATAGGCCGTTCAGGTCATCTGGTGACTTGATGACCCATAGTCAAATGTTCAGTTTCCACCGAAGCCCAGTAACAGGCCAAGAGCTGTCTCTCAAAAGGAGAGTAATTATCTGCAGAAGATGGCAGAAGATAGACAGTAGTTATCTGCAGAAGAGGCCTTGCTCCAAAATCCTTGAGGCCTTCGTTGTGATTCACCTCTGGGAGCCTGCCAGAGGCTCCAAACAGCACCCTTATCTGCCACTGACATCTCAAGCACCATTGGATCTGTTGGTCATATGGCCCAAGTGGTAGAGCAGCTTGCACAGCAGCCTGGACCTGTTGCCAAGCCTTCTCCTGTTCTGGACCTCACTCAAAACTGGCAGCCTTTTGGGTCAGTCAATAAATGGGCTGGAGTAACACACCCAGATGAAGAAAGGTTTGCCTCTAAAATCCAAATAGTCCCAATAGGCATTGTGCCTCTTTTTTGGTTGTAGGAGAGGCCAAATGTAGCAACTTATCTTTCACCTTAGAAGGAATATCTCCACAGGCCCCATACCACTGGACCCCTAAAAATTTCACTGAGGTAGAAGTTCCCTGAATTTTAGTCAGATTTATTTCCCATCCTTTGGCATCCAATTGTCTCACCAATAAATCCAGTTTGTTTGCTACTTCTTGTTCACTGGATCCAATCAACATAATGTCATAAATAAAATGGACCAATGTGATATCTTTTGGGAGTGAAAAGTGATCAAGGTTTCTCTAAATAAGATTTATGACACAAAGCTGGAGAGTTGATATACCCCTTAAGTAGCACAGTAAAGATACATTGCTGGCCTTGACAGCTGAAGGCAAATTGCTTCCGGTGGGCTTTATGGACAGGAATGGAGAAAAGCATTTTCCAAGTCAATGGCTGCATACAAGGTGCCAGGAGATGTGTTAATTTGCTCAAGCAATGAAACCATATCTGGCACAGCAGCCACAACTGGAGTCATCACTTGGTTATGGTTATGATAATCCACTGTCATTCTTCAAGATGCATCTGTCTTCTGCAAAGGGCAAATGGAAGAGTTGAATGGGGGATGTGGTGGGAATTGCCGTCCCTGCATCTTTTAAGTCATTGATGGTGGCACTAATCTATGCAACTCCTCCAGGGATGCAATATTGTTTTTTCTGGGTAGAGTCAGCTCTAATGGCTTCCATTGGGCCTTTCCCACCAAAACGGCCCTTATCTTACTAGTCAGGGAGCCAATGTGAGGGTTCTGCTAGCTGTTAAGTATGTCTATGTCAATTATGCATTCTGACAATGGGAAAATGACAACAGAATGAGTCCGGGGACCCACTGAACCTACTCTAAGTCAGACCTGAGCTAAAACTCCATTAATTACCTGACCTCCATAAGCCCCTACTTTAACTGGAGAACCACAATGATGTTGTGGGCCCCCTGGAATCAATGTCAGCTCAGAGCAAGTGTCCACTAGTCTACAAAATGTCCAATAATTTTCCTTTCTGCAATGCACAGTTGTCCTGGTAAAAGGCCAGAGGTCTCCTTCAGGGAAATATGGGAGAAAGATTAACAGCATAAATTGTCAGTAGCGTAGTGGGGTCCTTCCTCAAGGGGACCCAGGCTTCCCTTCATTCAAGGGTTCTGGGTCTGTAAACTGGCTCAAGTCTGGAAATTGATTGAGGGGCTGTGATTCTTTGTTTTTATAATTCAGATTAGTCTTTTGTCCATCTGACCTGCCAGTTTTCTGCTTATATAAATTAAGTAGAAATGCAGTGGGCTTCCTATCAATTTCACTGCTAGGAACACCGTGATTAGTTATCCAGTGCCAGATCTCTACATGAGTCAGACTATTCTGATTGCTGCTTTTCCTCTGCTGTCCATTATGGTAGCTATGCCCACCTTGCCTTTGATGGTTGAGTGCTGCCACTTGTCCTCTGCCACCTCGAGATCCAATTATTCCCATTGTATTTAAATTTTGTAGTTGAGTGACTCCAGTTCTCACTGTTAGATCTGACATACAGAGAAGATAAATTACAGGGCTCTTCAAAAATTCAGGTTCTGCCCTCACAAATCTATTTTGCAAGGCATTGGTCAAGAGTATATCTTCTGCACCCTCCCAGCTGGGATGAGTAGGTCTAAAGTGACTAACCCACTCCACCATCCCAATCTCCCTAAGCCTTTGGATCCCTTCCCCTACGTTAAACCAAGAGAGATCAGGCATTTCCAGCTCACTCACAGTGGGCCACCTTTTAATCTATATTTCAGCTAAGCAAGCAAATAAACTATTAGAACGTTCTATAACTCCCCAAGCTGCAACATTAAATACAGAGTCCCTACTTAGTGGGCCCAAATCAATAAATTCAACCTGATCCAACTCTATGTTCCTTCCACCATTATCCCACACCCGTAATATCTATTCCCATGTCTGTTCTCCAAATTTCTGCTTAAATAAATTAGAAAACTCAAGCAGTTCTTTGCAAGTATAGTGGACCTCCTCATGGGTCGCACTCTGAACCTAACCTCTAGGGGCCCACTGGGACTTTGGTTGTAGGTCTAGAAGCAGACAGGGACGTTGGGGGTGGCTCCTGAGGAGAATCGACACTGTCTTTCCTGGCAAGTGCCTCAGGGAATCAACAGGCCATCACTGTTACCTCAGGCCTCACAGAGTTTATCTCCTCAGACAAAGGTGGAAAGGCTGATGGCAGAGTGGATTGGGGAAGGGATGTTGCCCTTGCTGGGAATGGGGAAGCTGTTTTTTTCTGGCAAGAAAAGTTCATCAGAGTTCACAAGCTCAGTGTCCCCAGCTTCATCAGGGTCCTCCCATACATCTCCATTCTTAGTTGCAGGATCCCATTCTTTTCCAGTAAATGACCTCACTTTAACAGCAGACACCTGGCGAGGGTGTGCATGCACCTTTCATTGCAGGTCAGCCACTTTCATGAAAAGAGCTTGTGTGTGAATTTCCACAGTTTCAGCTATTTCTCTAAAGGAGATAAGACTCTCACTCAGGGCAATCTTAGCAGATTTGAGGACCAGTATCTGCTCCTGAAGCTGGGAGTTAGAATCCCTGAGTTCATCATTTACTTTCATCACTTTGTCCAGTGAACTTAGTAGCAACCAACCAGCTTCATTATGTTCCTTGGTTCTCCACATATGGTCAAAGGTATTATGTATAGAGTCACTAAACTCCTTGCCCCTCATGAGTGGTGAATCAGCAGTGTCAAATGCATTTATTTTGCCTAACTCTCTAAACAGTTCATGCCAAGGACTATCAGTGCTCTCCATACTATTAGAAATAGATTCCTTAGCATTTTGGGGGTCTAATCATATTAAGCAGCCAACTCCAGAAACCCCGAAAGCAATGAAAGAACTCCATCCTTAATATTCTGTTCCTCTTGAACCACTCCTGATACCAAAATCTGTATTAGTCAGGGTTCTCTAGAGAGAAAGAACTAACAGGATATATAAAAAGGTGATTTTATTAAGTAGTATTAACTCACATGATCACGTGATCACAAGGTCCACAGTAGGCTGTCTGCAAGCTGAGGAGCAAGGAAGTCAGTCCAAGTGCCAGGGCTGAAGAACCTGGAGTCTGATGTTCAAAGGCAGGAAGCATCCAGCACATGAGACAGATGTAGGCTGGGAGGTTAGGCAAGTCTAGCCCTTTCATGTTTTTCTGCCTACTTTATGTCCTGGCTGTGTTGGCAGGTGATTATATGGTGCCCATCCAGATTAAGGGTGGGTCTGCCTTTCCCAGTCCACTGACTCAAATGTTAATCTTCTTCAGCAACACCCTCACAGACACACCCAGGATCAATAATTTGCTTCCTTCAATTGAATTGAGTTGACACTCAGTATTAACCATCACAATGATTTTCAGCATGCATGCATTCCAGAGATATATAGAAATTCTAGTTACTTAAAAATTTTAAGTTGAAAAGAGGCCTGGAACCAGGTGACAACTTTAGATAATAGAAAATCTAATTTCTACTCAATTCCTCAAATAAAGAATTTTTTGTCTCCAGACGGCCTGCTTGATGGTCCCCAGGTGGTCTTTGCTCTCTTCATTATACTTCTGAGTTTCTCAGATAAGGAGTTTTTTTGTTTCTGGGGCCTGCTTGATGGTCACCAGGTGATCTTTGCTGTCTTCAGAAAGTTTATTCAGAGGGATGCGAACAGAATTTCCCAAATTTGGAAAAAAATTAATCAATATCCAGATACAAGAAGCTGATAGATCACCAAGTAGAGTGAACCCAAAGAAGACCACCTTAAGACAGTTAATAATCAAACTCTGAAAGGTCAAGCATAAATAAAGGGTCCTAAAAGCAGCAAGAGTAAAGAAACAAATAATATACAAAGGAGCTCCAATTCTTCTGGCAGCAGACTTCTCAGTGGAAACGTTACAGGCCAGGAGAGAGTGGTATGACATATTTAAAGTGCTAAAGGAAAAAAAGCAAAACAAAACCCTTTTATCCTAGAATAGTATATCCAGTGAAAATACCCTTCAAACATGAAAGAGAAATAAAGACTTCCACAGACAAACAAAAACTGACAAATTTCATCAACACCAGCTATGTCCTACAAAAAATGCTAATGGGAGTTCTTTAATCTGAAAGAAAAAAGACGTTAGTGAGTAGTAAGAAGTCATCTGAAGGTACAAAGCTCACTGGTAATAGGAAGTACACAGAAAAACTGAATATTGTAAGATTGTAATTGTGGTGTGTAAACTACTCTTATCTTAACTAGAAAGGCTAAAAGATGAACCAATAAAAAAAAATAACTACAACAACTTTTCAGAGGCAGTACAATAAGGTATAAATGAAACAGCAAAACGTTAAAAATCAGGAGGATGAAGTTAAGGGGTAGTGTTTCTTTTTTTATTAGTTTTTTTTTTTTTGCTTGTTTGTTTGTTTATGCAAACAGTGTTAAGTTGTTATCAGCTTAAATGAATTGATTATAAGATTGTATTTGCAAACCTTATGGTAACCTCAAATCCAAAAAAATACAATGACTACACAAAAAATACAAGCAAGAAATTAAATTATACCACCAGAGATAATCACCTTTACTAAAAAGAAGAGAAGAAGGATGGAAAGAAGAAAGAGAAGATCGCAAAACAACCAGAAAACCAATAATAAATGGCAGGAGTAAGTCCTTAGTTATCAATGATAACATTGAATGTAAACAGACTAATCTCTCTAATAAGAAATGATTATATGCAGTAAGTCATTAATTGCATGTAAAATGCTTACAAGTTTGACTCACAGTAATTAGGACACAAATCATGGTCCAAGTATAAATTTTAGCTCTGTTTAATAGTATATCTTTGTCTCACTCATTTCATCACACTCTCTCTTTTCTTTTTTCTCTCTGTCTCTCCTTCTTCCTCTCTCTCTTTCTCATTCTTTCACTCTTGTTTCTTATGTCTTCCCCTTTATTCTCTCTCCTGGTTCTCCCTCAAATGATTTTACTTCTCACAGTTATAATTTAAGAGCCTAGAAAGTTTTAATGTTAACAAGCATTTTCAGTTGGACCCCTCGCCAGACAGAGGAGAAACTATCAGATTTTAATAGGTTATCTGATTTTGTTCTTTATTTATAGGATGACATAATCTGTTTGTCTTACATTATCTCTATTTCTCTTCTTTTATTATACATCAAATTTGCTATCCTGCCATGTGGATTTTGTTCTGCTATTTCCTCTCTAGAGTTTCTCTTTATTAACAAATTCTGATAAAATACAAATGTCTTAATGCTGTAACAGAGGCTTCCTTCTTTGTTATCCTATTCCAGTCATTATCTTATCTCATCCAGGTTCCAAAGAAGAATAATTATAAGGCAGGCAGTGGGCTTCAAAACCTGAATTATTAACAAACTTGAGCCTGATAATGTCTTAAATATACATGGATAATAAAACTAAAATGTGAGTGTTGATACTCTCCTTAGTTTCATCACAAGAAAACACTCTGGAGCTACTCTTCTTCAAAGGAGATACACGTTTCCCCAAAGAGTCTCTGTCATAAACATGGGTCTTATTCCAGGTATTAGGGTATTGCTATGTATCTTACAGACTATCTCTTTGGACAATATTTACTATCTATTGCTTGAGCCTCTCCCAGTATTTTGTGGCTGAGAAATGGTTATTCCCAAGCATGTCTTTCCCACTAGGACCCAAAATGTATCTATTATTACAAATATTGTTGCAAACTTCAGATCCTCTTTAGGTAGACAGATACAGAATACACAGTCTAAATTAACTGTTTGGGAATATATTTAATGACTAGTTTCAAAGTTTCAGGGATAACCTAGTTCTCTCATAGTCAAAAGAGATAAATTTATCAGTAAATTGATTTCTGGAATTAGAGAATGTTAATGATTACTTAAAATTATTGGAATAAAGACTATTTGATTTTTATTTCAGTAAAATAATTTTTATTTTTTAAGCAAAATATTTTGAGAAACTAGGCTGTGGGGGACTGGGACATCTCAAGTGACCATGGAAGTTGAGTAATTTGGACCTCCAGCAGACAATGCAGTCTCTATTGGTAGCTGTCTTAGGCACTCTTTCCTGTTCCACAGCTGAGCAGAATTCAAATGATCATCAGCCATCTCCAAATACTAAGTTTTTATGGTAATTAGAGCCAAATGTTTTGTGAATAACAACAGAAGCTTCTAGAAGCAGATTGAAAAGTACTGATTTAGTCTAAATCTTGTATTTTAAATAACAAGCCATTGGGACATATACATGATTAAGTGACTTACTTAAGATTAAAAAATAACAGCAGGACTCTTTCAACCATATTATTCAGCTCATCCTTTGACAGTCACTGCATGATTACCCTGCCATGAGAATTATGAGATATAAGATATTTAGCATGTACAGATAAAAAAAGTCGGGTCTGCATGATATGCTTCTTATGTTGGAAATATTTTTATGATTTTAGGTGGCTAATAAATACCACTGAGCTATGATGCTGAGATAAATATTTTATTTTCTGCCATCGTGGTGATTTCATAAAAGTGCATGAAGAACCTGCTCTCTGTGGTACATTCTCCTTTAGCTTTTTCAGAAATGCTTGAACTCCAGTGAAAAAGTGATTCACCTAGAATACTCCTGTTTTCTAGTAAGATATTAATTAAGTGGAAACTTTATATTGTAAGAGACGAAGATAAATCTTTTTTAACTAGTAAGACTGAATTGAAAACAAGTTGTGTTCACTAAAAATAAATTATTTTTCTTTGAAGAGTTAAATTATTTCTGACAATATTTTGCTATATGTTTTTATGATTATTACATATATAGAAAATGCTTTTTTGTGTAAATTGAAGAAATAATAAACAAAATATAAATTAAAAGAATGGCAACCATAGCAGAAGCTTAGCATTAGCTGCAAGCTATTTCCCACTGTAAGATATAATAGTTACAGCATTTTCAAATCAAACTCTTATGTTTACTGTGCTGTGCTTGGCTTCTCACCCTTTGTAATTTACTTTTAGATATTCAGCCTTGATATATTTATCTGTAGTCACTAAGTATCTCATGATTCTCGCTTCATATCATAAATTTCTCAAGTACATTTGCGGGTTCAAAAGAAAATGACAAGTCAGGAAAAAGGATCTAGCCAATTATATATGTATATATATACCTCAAAACCCACATAATACAATTTTTCTCATTCTATCTTGTTTTCTTTTAACGACCTTGCCAGTAACCTTTAAAAAACAGTTACAAAGTGATAAATATGTGGCAATTTACTATAGCATCAGTGAGTATGTCATGCATAACCTATCTATAGAATGTTCCATAAGTGCTTTTTAATGACTCCAAAGAAGAAGTTGGTGGGTATAAAACAAACTGAAATAAAAGCCTCTGGCAAAATGTTGATGTTTTGATCACAGCTCATGTGAAAAATAAGCACTACTAGTGGTTTATGACAGTCCCACAAGAAAACCTTACATAGAATATGAAATATAAATGTAAAAATGACAGAAACCTAAGTTAAAGGACATTCAACATGAGTACCATATTTTCAAAGTTTGTTTGCCCATACCTTTCCTGTCATATTTAACTGAAATAATATTTGATGAGCAGATAAGGATAATACATAAACATAGATTTTGGTAGCTGACTTTAACACAATTAATGAGCACACTAACATTAAAACAAGACAATCTACATTGGCTATCCAATCAGAATCAGAATATTAATCATTTTCCATTAAATTTTACTGCCTTTAGTTCACATTGCTTTCTTTTTCTTCTTCTTCTTTTTTTTTGGTAAATTTATTTGTTTCCCTCCTCACTCTTCATTCTTCTCTATGAAAGCCACAAGTAGTAGCATTGCTATGAATTCATATTCAATAAATTGCTTATCAATATCTCTTTCAAATAATAATATTCAGTATTTTTGGCACCGTGAATGTGTAACTGATATACCCTTAATTTAATTCCATTCTAATAACTGATTAAAACTATAATTGCTTTCCTTAAAATGTAAAAAATAGCTTTTAATTAGGCTATTTGTTAAACGTTCTCTTTCTTCACATTCGTTTTTACACATAGTTCTGAAATGTACTCTTTAAATTTGCCTAAAACTTGTTATATTTAGTATTATCAAACAAATTTCTTGTTTTGCATTTATTTCCATTGCACTTTTTTGTGTGCATTTGTATGTACAACTCACCATAAATGGGAATGTATATTTTTTGTAGTGATAAATCATAGGGACGTGTATGTGCAACTAATTTAATGGATAATGTATGCCAACCATTTTAACAAAGTATATTAATCTTCTCCAAAACTCTGAACACTTTTATAAGTATGGCATACTTTTCCCTAGATTATTTCATGTAAGGTTTAGTTTCATGTATTCATGAAAATTGCTTTGGTGCTTTCTCTTTGTGACATACAATATAATAGCACCATAAAGGTACAGACATGTCAGTCCGAGGTGACAGAGCTAAAATTATATATAAGAAATTGCCCAAATACAGATCACTTGTTTGTTCTATAGTTTAGTAGTTTCATTTTTTATTGACAAAGGGGAACATAAAAACTAGGAAGGTTGTTTTATGTTGGTGTCTTTTGTAGGTTATCCTTACAAATTCCAGATCCTTCTTCTCTTTACTTTAAACTGTCAGACATCCCACTGAGCCTTCCTGTGGATGCCTCATTGAAAGTTTCTCCATGTGTTTCTGAGTGATGTGAAATCCATGAGGTGAAAAAACATAAATTACTTCTTTTTACTGGAGGACTTGCATATCTCCAAGGTTTAGAGGTAAACGTGTTTTCCAATATATACATTTTTTTTAAATAAAATGAGAGATGATAGCAGAATGCATTACTTCAATTAAATTTAGTTTGACTCAAAATTAACTCACCTTACATGTACAAAGTACCATTTTGAAGGAATTTTCCTAGTAAAAAAAAAATGAACACAAAACTATAATCTTTTTATATCTACCAAAAATGAGGCAGTCACAGTTCATAACAGATGTTGAACAAAACTGAAATAAGAACAATGGAATTAAAGCTTATGAAAGTAATGAAAGGTTTCCCAATCCATAATTTCAAAGTGAAGTAAAAAAATAGAAGTAAAAGGAGCATAGAAATAGGATATTTGATGTTTTGTAATAGTATCAAGCAAAAATTGAAAATCACAAATAACAGGATAATCAATATTTAAATGCATGTCATTACTAAAATATATCATAAATGACTATTGATTATATTTATATCCAATCACATCAGCAAATACACATTGAGAAAATTAACACCAATCTGAAAGCAGAAATTTGAACTTTTGTTTTAACATTGAATCCTTTAACTGAAAGCCTCATTGATTCAACTTTACAAGATTGCTTTGTAAGACGTATTAAAAAGTGTATTAGTGTTAATTTTATGTCTATTAAACTGTTTCTCATTAAAATTTTTAAGTCTTAAATGGAAAAAAATTACAGCTTCTGATGCTTCACATGTATTTTTCTCCTTAAGCGTGAAAAAGAAATTTATTTTTGGTTTTGTTGTTGATGTTACTGTTTAGATTAATAACAGAAAAAAATAACAACTTAGAGCCTAACTTTTTCAATTTTATTTCTGAGAGGCCCTGAGAAATAGGAAAGGGTGCTAGCTTTGACATGAGGCAGACAGACGTTATATTCCAGGTTTAGCCAACTGAACAAGTTTGAGACCTGGGTCAAGTTATGTACCTTCTCTTTACTTTGTAGGGTTACTTTGCTATAAAGCATTTAATAATCTTTTTGGGTGTTCAAGGGAACAATAACAATACTGCTCTCTTACAATCCATAATGGGACCAGTTGTGGCAGAAGATTTAGAGAGATGAAGAACAAAACATATTAATCAATATAACAAAGTAATAGTATTGATAATGGCTAACACTTATATATCATATGTATTCTGCTTGGCACTCTTCTAATTGCTTTGCATATATAAACTAATTTAATAAGCACCCAAATCTATTAATGTTAATCATGCCAAATTTGCTTGTAAAACAAAGATGTGATCTACTACTGAATATTACTCAGCAATACCGTATGCTTTTAAAACTGCCCACCTCCCCACCCCACCCACACTCTCTTCATATTGAAATTATTTATTTCATCACAAGCCATACTGGACAATGGTAGAACTCTCATACTGATAAAGCACTCATTCATAGTTAATGAGAAAAGTAGGCCAATCCTTAAGAAATGTTTCTCCCTAAAAAAATGGACTCTCTTTTCTCTCTCTTATCTCTCAGGTAAATGGTACTTTCTCACATGGAAATATGTAATGTATGGAGGGAAACCGGGAGGCTGAATTATTCCTCACATATAATTCTTTCCTCCTTGGGAATATGGTTAATGGAGCATAAATATTCCCTAAAAAGAATTGGTATTCAATAAATTGAATTTAATAATTTGGACAAGTCCACAAATATTTTGGGGCACTTTAATTTGTAGATATATAATTTTTCTGGCTTACTTTTTGTTTTATTTTATTTTATTGTTTCCAACTTTTTATTTTAGGTTCAAGTGGTACATGTGCAGATTTTTTATATGAGTAAATTCTGTGTCATCAGAGTTTGGCATACAGAATTTTGTTACCCAGGCAATCAGCATAATACCCACTTGACAGGTAGTTTTCAATCCCCATCCACCTTCTACCCTTCAACTTCAATAGACCTCATTGTCTGTTGTTTCCTTCTTTGTGGCCATGTGTACTCAATGCTTAGCTCCCACTTACAAGTGAGGACAAGCGGTATTTGATTTTCTGTTTCTGTGTTAATTCGCTTAGGATACTTTCCTTTGAATATCATTATAAGATAGTTCTTTAAATATCTGAAAATATCAAACATGCATATTTTTTAACATGTTTTATGGAATGATTCTGATAACTACGAGTAAGAGTTTACTGGGGATATTATAGAAACTTCGTTTGTCTTACAGATATTTAAAATGATCAGTGGAGACAAAATGTACATTAAAAATGAGAAGAATGCAAATAAACTACAATTTTCCTTTCGTGAGTTTTTTTTTTTTTTTTTTTTTTTTTTTTTTTGACGGAGTTCCGCTGTGTCGCCCAGGCTGGAGTGCAGTGGCGCGATCTCGGCTCACTGCAAGCTCCGCCTTCCGGGTTCACGCCATTCTCCTGCCTCAGGCTCCCGAGTAGCTGGGACCACAGCTGCCCGTTACCACACACGGCTAATTTTTTTTTGTATTTTTAGTAGAGACGGGGTTTCACCGTGTTAGCCAGGACGGTCTCAATCTCCTGACCTCGTGATCTGCCCGCCTCGGCCTCCCAAAGTGCTGGGATTACAGGCGTGAGCCACCGCGTCCGGCCTTCTTGAGATATTTTTTACAAGTCAAATATAGTTAGGAATGACTATCAGCTTGGGTTTTATATACTTAATTTATACTGTTCTTATAAAAGTCAAACTTTACCTAAATTTTATTGTAAGTACTCAATAACTCTAACATACTTACTCTACTTAGAGGCTAAAAATAGTCTCATCACTGTCGTGGTCAGAAAATATTTAAATATGGAATCAAATGTCACTTTATCTTTCTGTGCTAGGACATCATGAAGAAAAGACACAAATATTTAGCTAATTTCAAACTATAGGATTTTAAAATATAGGAATTAATTTTTGATTACTATAATTGTTTATAATAACGCTAGTAATAGCCATGGAACTGTTAGATCAGAAATGCGATTGTACAGTTTTAAAACCAGAAACAATTATTTATTTGCATATAAATTTGCACAACTTAAATGTTTGTTTGCTTTTTCTCACACAAATTTACATTTTCACTGAGTTGACTAAAGTCATTTGAATTTCATATTATCCAATGTCTTCTTTGAATGACTTCATTGGCCAGTATGTTTTTTTAAGACTTTTATTATATTTTAGTTTTAACATTGTTTTTAGTCTATTAAAATGATGCGTTTAAAAAGAATAGCATTATCAACTGATCCTCAGATAATCAGAAAAAGTAGCAAAAGATGGGATTTCCGGAATTGTTCTATTATTCTCCTTTTATTATGATCTAAACAGATGCTTATTTCCTCAGGAAATAAAGCACTTTCTGGAAGACAGTCATACTAAAGTGTACCTAACTCATATCACATTCCATTACGGCAAAATATTGTTTCCAAGAAGAAATCATCTGGGTACAGTCTCCCCTTAGTTGTACTGAATGATAAATATTTACACTATGGATAATATCTTAACTTTCATTTTATACAAATATCTATCTTGTTAAGTATAGCAGAACGTTTTATCTGTGTGGCTTAATTTTACAGAGGAAGAATAATCAACATACAGGTAAGTTTAAATGAAGTTAACACCATTATAATTAATATACTACTCTTCATACAACACTTAGACTTTAAAATATCCTAATATGAATTCTGAAAGGTTGCAATAAAAATAAAAATACCACTTGCTAGATCTGGATAAAAAGTTAGGTTGTATTTTAATTCCCCAAATTTTATTTAATTTATTGCTTAAATTATTTTAATCATATAGCTGTAATACTGATTGTCTTTAAATCTTTGCCAGTGAAAGTGTGGTCAAGCAAGCAATGCTTGCTTCTTTTTGGAGCTTGTCAGAATTGAAAAATTCAGGCTCTACTTCAGAACTTTTAAACCAGAAATTGCATTTTAACAACATCTGTACTTGTTTCATATGTACATTAAAGATTTGGAAGCACTGCAATAAAGAATGTTGGAAAAATTTTGCTTCATTTTCTTATCTGAGAACTCAGCATGTAAAACTAAATAAGCTCTATTGCTGGCAGAGAAAAATAAACATATATAGAGAGAGGCATGTTGGGGAATGTAAAAGATGTACTACTATAAAATTTACTCAAATTATATTTACATTTATACATATGTCTATGAGGTTTGGTAGGTGGTTCTGGTGTAATAATTGTAAAAGAGATAGAAGCTGTCTTTACTATCAAAGAGTTTACCCATGAGCAGGAAAAATACAGTGTGCTCTAAGGTTACTCAAAAGATCACAGACCTTAGACCTTGAGGTTCATGGAAGAATTTCTAAACGCAGAGCTCAAGGAGTTGCTAATGTATTGTATATGTCAGTTTTAGGAAAAATAGAATCAAATATTATTTCTAGGATTTTGTCTTCAGCAAATTATGAGTGGTGCCATTTATGAAGGTGGATAAGTTTGGTAAAAATGAGTAAGGGAGACAAATCTACATATTAAACTGAATACTTCAAGTAAGCAATTAGGTCCGTGAGTATGGAGAACAGAAATTCAGAGTTACAACTTTTGAGCCATCAACCCATAGATGGCATTTAAAACCCTGAGACAGAATGAGTCCATCTAGTGTTACTGTGCAGAGGGTAAAATAGGGACTTTGAACTAATCTCTGGCCTACCACCACTTAAAAAGAGACCAAAAAAAAAGAAGTACATCTAATAAGAAAAATTAGGAAATTACCCAGTAAAATCATAGGCAAATAAGGAAATTGTTGCTACAAAAGCCAAGAAAAAAGTTATTTTTTTATTTTTTTCAAGAAAGAAAGAACAGACACACCTCTTGAATATCAGTGAAAAACAAATAAGAATATAATAGTGATTATTAGCTTCATCTGCCTAAAGTTCTTAACAAGAACAGTTTTAGGTGTGTTGGAGTTGAATATGGAAGTGTAATGCATTGAGAAGGCAACAGCAGGTGAGAAAACGAGTAGAGAGTGCGAGAAAACTCCTTCACATTATGTTGCAAAGGGAATGGAAGAATTGGGTAGAAGTCAAAGAGTTCATTTTGATTGAAACAATGATCCATAAAGGAAAAAAAAAGATATGACATAATCAGAAAACTGATCATCATCAGTATTTTCTAGAATTTGAATAAAGAAAGAAGTGTCAGATTGAGGTAATTAAAGAATTAAGCAAGGGCCAAGAATTATAAAGGGAATTTTAGGTATGACATGTAGTATGGAGTTTAGCAATGAGGAGTTATTGATAGGCTTTAAGCATTGGTACTTCACAATCAGAATTTAATTTAGGAATGTTATTAACACTGCAATTGAAGAATAGATTAGAGAAGCACAAGAGAGAAAAAAGATAGACTGGGTAAGAGGACAATGTGGTCATCTAGGTGAGAGAAACAGTCTTTGACTAGGGTTGTGGTAGTAGAGTTTGAAAAAGATGGAGGGATTAGAGAACAATTTAGGAAGTGGAATGAAAGTAACATGTGGGTAGATTGCAGTAGGTGAAGGAAGAGAAGAATAAGGTGATGCTTAAATTTGTGACTTGACCAGTTAGGCTAAGCATCGTAACATTTGTTGGGATGGGGGATGTTTTAACAACAATAGGGAATTTCCTATGTTTTAGGCACTATATTTCTTACTGGACTATGAGAATCCAATTAGTAGTATCCATTAGGCACTTTGGTACATAGTTTGGTGCTCCCAGCAGTGATCTGGCATGGAGAAATAAATATAGAAAAAAAATAGTATTGGTCAGGAGTGGATAAGGTATCCAGGAAGGGAATATAAAATTAGAAATGAGCATAGAAGAGAATCCTGAGAACTTATCAATATTTAAAGAGAAGAGAATACAAAAAAAAAAACAGAGTTTACACAAGTAGATATGTATAGAAATTATCATATCACCAATAGTTTTATAGAAGCAGAAAGGATAATACCTTTTGAATTAATAGACTAATTATAAAAATGATTATTTTTCTACTCTCATGCCACTAGGAAAAACAATGTTTACTAATAAGATTTTAATATTTTTTACTTACAAAATTTGAAAAGATAACTTCAAGTTTTCTACTTAATAGGCATTAGTCAAATATAAATGACTCTTGCTCACACCTTCCTTTTGGTCATGGATATACATTTTTTCAAAGTTCCACACTTCAAAAGTTTTTCTTCTAAATGTATGGACAGTTATTAAGATAATTTGGCATTCTCACAGCACTCAATTTGCTTCTAATGTGTTAATTCTGTAATTGGCTCAAATTACATGTTAAAAATTTATACAAATAATTTTGCATAACTATGGGGTATAATGTGAAGTTTTGATATGTGTTTACAATGTGAAATGATTAAATCAAGCTAATTAACAAATTCATCACCCCACATGAGTACCTATTTTTTGTACTGAAATTATTTAAAAACTTATTTTTAGCAATTTTTACATGTACAATGCATTACTGTTTATTTTAGTTACTATTCTACTGCAATAGATTTCATTGCTTAAGCTTAATCCTCCTAGTTAACAGAAACTTTGTACCCTTTGATCAATATCCACCTTTTTTCCATCTTCCACTTCTTCCAGACTCTGGTAAACCCTATTGTCTTCTCTTCTTTTATGAGTTCAAGTCTTTTAGAATCTACACATTAGTGAAATCATGTCATATTTGGTTTTTAATTCCTGACATTATAATTGGCATACTGTCCTCTGGGTCCATTCATGTCGTTGCAAAAGCTTCCCCCCTTTTTAAGAATGAGTAGTATTTTTTGAATATGTAAGTTAAGCAGATCTGTCTTGACGATTCTGCTATGGGAATGGATTTCTGCTTATCTGTCATAATGAAATGAGCCATAAAGTTCACAGAGCACATTGGGAATATATAGGAATTAAATAGAAGGGAAGTATTTTTCAAAGCCCTTGATTACTAAAATTTTATATAAACATCACACACACATATATCTACAAATGTGCATATGCAATTTCACATACTTTCTAGAACCAATATAAAAAACAAACCAAAAAAAGAACAAATTGCTGTGTATTCAAAGGTAACATCAGGTGATTACGCTGGTTGATTTTCAGGTGTTTTTAAACAGTTTTACTAAGTTAGCTAAATCAACCTATTGTAACATTTTTGTAAAGAGTATTTCAAGGCACATTCTTTTATTTCAATTGTAAGAACTATCCTGATGGTGTTCTTATAAACCATATGGTCCTTCTAGACCATAAAAGAAAATGGTCAAGTCTAGCTATAAAGCACTCATCAGAGCGATTATTGTGTTAATCCGTCATTTACCCTTAAATAAGCTATCACTGTGAATTTTAGTTATAGCAAATGGTCAGAGGTCGTATGATGTGGTCTGATAGCCCTTCAAAGACATTTAAAGATATTCCAAAATATTTTAATGCCCAAAGACTATGAGTGTATGTTAAAATACTGAAAAAGAGAATTTTAAAGCAGAACTTTGAGCAGCAGTTAGAATTTGCCTGCATTTACAACATGTGATGGAGATATAGTCTACACAAATATGGTAATATAATAATATAGATTGGAGCTTATCCTATGCTATATTTTAATTATAAATTTTACAACTATAATTAAGATATTTAAATGCAATCTTAACATGATTTAAGCTTGGCATTATTTCTCTCACTAATCTTGCAGAGTTTTATAAAAATGTAATCAACCATCTCAACACCTTATATTAATATAGTATTATTTCATTTTTTAAAATGAGGACACTGCACCACACACTAGTTAATTAACTTGAGAAAATGAAGAATTAATGAGAGCAGTGACTCCCGCTTTAGTGAAGGTTAGCAAGGCAAACTGACAACATATCCACTTGTGTAATTTACACAGTCCATTTATTTAGCCTAGTTGGTGTTAATTCTACAAGGGTTATGATTAGTGCACTTTAGAGAAGTAACCTAGTTCCTCCTAATTCTAAGGTCGAAAGGTGACCTATCGTTAAAAATGGCTTTCCACAGGGTTCAACAATTTATTGCCCAAAATCATTTTCTCCTGCTTCCTAGTAGCATTTATTGAGAAACAAGAAAAATGAGTTGGCAGAGAAAGGCAAACTCCAGTATGCTCTATGGATAATTACTTTTATTAATTTCAATTAGTCATGTGAAGTATAGGGCCATCAGTCTTGGGCTCAAAATAAATATACTTTGTGGCATGTGTAAATCAGTTATCAAATGTATTTTTGGCAACTAATGCCAGATTCATCTCTGCATTACCTCATCTCCACAAGCAGAGACTTTTGTCACTCCTGGAGGACTAGTTTCTTCTCAGCTATAGGGCAGGGCTTCTTCCTAAATTTGGTCCAATTACTTGCATCATAATTATATGGGTTGTTAATTGGCATGCACATACAGATACACACCAGACATGTTTAACAATAATATTTTATGATGATCCCAGAAATCTACATTTTGAATCAACACTTTAGGTGACTTTTTACTTCTTTTTGAGACGCAGTCTTGTTTTGTCACCCAGGCTAGAGTTCGGTGGTGCAATCTCAGCTCACTGCAACCTCTACCTCCTGGGTTCAAGCAATTTTCCTGTCTCAGCCTCCGGAGTACCTGGGATTATAGGTGTGTGCCCCTACATTCAGCTAAGTTTTTTTTATTTTTAGTAGAGACAGGGTTTCACCATGTTTGCCAGGATGATCTCGAACTCCTGACCTCAGGTGATCCACCTGCCTCGGCCTCCCAAAGTGATGGGATTACAGGCGTGAGCCACTGCGCCCAACCAGATTTTTAAGAGCATTATAAACATTCACTTAAGAGTGGTCATAACCTGAGACCAGATATACATGAAATTCCTGTAATTCATATTTATGGAATATTCAAGGAAAAAACTGAAATGATTTTATTAATTTCATCCTGCTTAATCTTAAATATCTGTTTTACAGTTTTCAATTTTGACTTCCAAATTTGGCTTCTTCCTGGAATTTCTAACTTGGAATCATACGTATTCCTAAAATCTCTTTTAAATGCAAAGTCCTTGCATTCTATATACTGGTCTCTGTTCATAATCTTATTTTAATTCCAGAACTCCTACCCAGAGGCTGTTAGCTTCTGTTTGCTGACAAATAATTTATCTTATGGAAATAATGTCTCTGGATTCTCTCCCTCTGTCTTACTCATGTTTTCAGAAATCCTAGCATTTGGCTACTCACCCTTAATGACAAGCACACACTGGTGCCGCTTGGATATGGTGAGAGACTGTAGCATGTTTGTTCATGGGAGCAGAAGTTCAGCTCTCTCGAGACTTAATGCTAATGGGACAATTTATAGCATAGAATCTTATTCACTATACTAGTAAGTTCAATGCACAGACCTTTGATGTGCTTTGAAGATTTATAAAGTGAAACTTATTAAACATCACCTCTATGCTGAGACTATAGACATGAAGTGATAAAAATCCCCATTTCAGCTCATGAAACTTAGTAGTCTAATTTAGCCAAAAGAAAGAAAATACAAAACAAAATATCTATAAATCACATAAAAAAGTATCCAAAAAGTTAACATCTATTGACTGTCTATTGTACTATAGGCAAGTGTGAGATACTTTACTTAAAATAGATACATTTAAGAAAGCCTGCACGTTTAAATTCTTCACAAAATAGTGGGGAGGATACATGCATAAGATATAATAGTTATAGTATAGAATTGTGTTGCCCAAGATGGCAGCTACTACCCATGTGGCTATTCATTTTTTTAATTAAACTTTTTATTTGGAGATAGATTCACATTTATTTGGAGATAATTTCACACGCTGTCATAAGAAATAATACAGATGGATCTCTCATGTACTTTTTTTTTTTTTTTGATGGAGTCTCGCTCTGTTGCCCAGGCTGGAGTTCAGTGGCACGATCTCGGCTCACTTCAAGCTCCACCTCCCGGGTTCACGCCATTCTCCTGCCTCAGCCTCCCGAGTAGCTGGGACTACAGGCGTATGCCACCACGTCGGTCTTACTTTCTGTGTTTGTAGTAGAGACGGGGCTTCACGATGTTGGTCAGGCTGGTCTCAATCTCCTGACCTCAGGTAATCCACCCACCTCGGCCTCCTGAAGTGTTGGGATTGCAGGCATGAGCCACCGTGCCCGACCTCATGTACTCTGCACTGTTTCTCCCAATGGTGGCACCTTACAAAGCAATATTACAATATATATCTGAGATACAGATACAGATATGATACAAAATATTTCTGTCACTAAAAGGATCTGATATGTTGCGCTCTTAAAGCCACAACCATTTCCTTCCTTCTCTACCAGCTCTTTAACCACTCATCAGTTTTCCATTTCTATAGTTGTGTCATTTCAAAAGTAATATAGCATGCAATCACTTGTGATTGGATTTTTTACTAAGCGTACTTCTCTGTAGTTCATCCAGTATGCTGCATATATCAACAGTTTATTCCTTTATATTGCTCAGTAGTATTTCATGGTATAAATATAACAGAGTGTGTTTAACGTTTTCTAGTTGAAGGTTACCTGGATTGCAGTTTTTGGTGTAACAAATTAAGCAGCTATAAACCTTTTTGTGTTTGTTTTTGTATGAACCAGATAAAGATCTTCATTTCTTTAGAAAATCCACCAAACCATTTTTCAGAAGTGTATTAGAGATCCAGTTTCCCAATATTTGATACTGTCAATATATACTTTAAAAATTTAATTCAATGTAACTATTTTGATAAATGGTGATCTCATTGTGGTTTAATTTGCATTTCCCTGTTGGCTGATGATGTTGAAGTTTTCATGTCTTTATTTGCTCTCTGTATATTCTCTTAAGTGCAATGTCTGTTTATGTCTTTTGCTCATTTTTTCAAATGGAGTGACTTTTTTAAACATGAGTTTTGAGAGTTCTTTATATATTCTATCCTTTTATCAGACATGTCCTTTGCAAATTCCTCCCAATCTGTATCTAGTCTTTTCATCTTCTTAACACAGTTGTTCACAGATAAATTATTTTTCGTTAAATTTGATGGGAACCAAATTATTATTTTAATTTTATAGACAGTGTTTTTGGTATCAAGTCTAAAAACTCTTTATCCAGCCATAGACCCCTCCGATATTATTTTCTATATGTTTTTACTAAAATTTGTGTTAGTTTTCTTGTTTGTTTAAGGTATAAGGCTTAGGCCAAAGTTCAGTTTTTCTTTTTGCAAGAGGATGTCCAATATCTCCAGCATCATATATAGAAAAGTTTACACTTCTCTCATTGAATTGCTTATTCAACTTCATCAAAAATAAGTTGGGTGTGTTTGTGTGTATTTCATCCCTCTGGTAGTACCAGAATTCCTGATTGCTACAGTTAGATATTAAAACTTAAAACTGGGTAGATTTATATTTTCCACTTTATTCTCATTTAAAATTGTTTTACCTATTCTAGCTTTCTTGTCTTTTGATATAAACATTAGAATAATTTCATTTATATTTACAAAAACATGTGCTAGGGATTTTGATAGAAATTGCAAAAATACTGTATATAAATTTGGGAAAAATTAACAACTTCAATTTTCTGGACATATGTCTTTCCATTTATTATGGTCTTTTTGAAAAGTGCTTTGACCAGCATTTTTTACTTTTAAGCATATAACAACTGTCCATGTTTTGTTAGATTTACACCTAGTATATTTTTTATTTTTCTGATCATTGTCAATAGTATTGCATATTTTTTTAAAAAATTTAGTGTCTAGATATTCATAGTGGTATATAAAAATACAATTTTTTAAATGTTTATCTTGTTTTGTATCACATTTCTGAATTCAATTATTAGTTCTAGGAGTTTTGTTGAGAAGTCTTTGTGGTTTTTTTTATGTAGGCAATAATGTCTTTTAATCTTTTAATCTTAATCTTTTAAATTTATTGAGGTTTGTTTCATAACCCAGTGTATGATCTATTTAGGCATAAGTTATGTGACATTTGAAAATAATCTGCATTTTGCAGTTGTTGGGTGGAATGCTCTAAAAATATAAATTACATTCTATTGGTTGATATTGTTGAGTTCTTCTGTATCTTTGCTGATGTTCTCTCCCGTTGTTTTATCAAATCTCAAGCCAGGTATGTTGAAATTTTTAATGGTAGTTGTGAATTTGTCTATTTCTCTTTTTTGTTTTTATTTATTGTTTTATTTTATTTTATTTTATTCAGTTGGTTTTTCCTACTTTCAAGTTTGTTACTTGATTTTTATAGAGTTCTATTTTTTTATTTGTAGTGATTTTGAGCATATCACATTCTTTAGTGGTTGCTCTAGTTATTATGTGATATATGTATAACTTGTCACAGTTTTCAGGTGTTTTTATTCTATCAGTTTGATTGTAGCACAGAAACATCACCTACTTTTATGACTCTTTGTCTTCTCCCCACTTTATAATATAACTTCTTTAAATATTGGGAAAGATATGGACATCTAAGTATGTGAGGGTCAAAGATTTCCAGTTACAACCCAAAGAGGACTTCACTAAGACATATGATAAGCAAATTGTCAGTAACCAAAGACAAAGATAGAATTTTGAAAGTAGAAAAGGAGATGTGTCAGATACAAGGGAATTTGGAAGATTTCTCAGCAGAAACTTTTCAGGTCAGGAGATTAGGATGATATATTCAATGTATTGGTAAAAAAAAGAAAGAAAAGAAACTTTCAACCGATAATATTTTACCCAGAAAAGCTGTCTTTCAGAACTGAAGGATAAATAAAGACCTTCCCAGACTACTGAAAAGTGAGGGCACTCATCACCACTAGAGCTTCCTTACAAGAAACGCTAAAAGTTCTTCCACCTGAAAAAAAAGAATACTTATTAGTAACATGAAGATATATGAAAATAAATAAGTCATTGGTAAAAGGAAGTAGACAGTCAAATTTAAAATAGCCTAATATAATAATGATGTTTAAATTATTTTAAATATAATGTAAAGATCAAAAGAAAACTATTAAAAATAACTGTAGCTACAATAATGTATTAATTAATACTCAATTTCAAAAGTAAACTGTGATGTCAAAAACCTTAAATGTTTGTGACAGTGTTACTGAAAGTGTATGTTTTGCTTGCAATTGAAGTTAAGCTGTTGTTAGCTTAAAATAGACGGTTATAACTATGAAATATTTTAAGTAAGCCCCATGGTAACCACAAGACAAAAAATATATACTAAGTACAAAAAGAAAGAAAATAATTAATATTATTATATAAAATCATCAAATTACAAAGTAAGGCAGAAATAGAGAAAGAAAAGAATAAAGTAACCACAAAGCAGCCTGGAAATAATTAACAAAATGGCAATATTATGTCCTTATGAATCAATACTTTAAATATAAATGGAGTAAATTTTCTAATAAAAAAACATAGAGTGGCTGAATGGATTTGAAAAAGACCCAACTCCATGTTACCTACAAGAGATTCACTTTAACTTTAAGGACACATATAGATTGAAAGTGAAAGGATGGAAAAAGATATTTCATGCAAATGGAAATGAAAAGAGAGCAGAAGCAAATATATTTATATCAGATAAAAGACTAAGTAAAAAACTGTAACAAGAGACAAGGAGGGTCATTATAGAATAATACAGGATTTAATTTATCAAAAAGTTGTAACAATTGTAAATATCTATTTACACAACATCAGACTACCTAAATATGAAATGCAAATATTAACATATCTGAAAGTAGAAATAGATAGAAATACAATAATAGTAGGAGACTTCAATATAGCACTTTAAATAATAGAGAGATCATCAAGTCAGAAAATAAATAAATAAACATTGAATTGAACTACACTTTTGATCAAGTGGATCTAACAGATTTATACAGAATATTACTTCCAACATCAGTAGAAATCATTCTGCTCTAGCTCACAGACACCATTCTGGAGAATAGACCATATTCTGGGTCACAAAACAAGTCTTAAAAAATTTAAGACTGAATCATATCAAGTATCTTTTATGATTAAAATGGCATGAAACTAGAAATAGATAAAATAAATTGAGGAAAACTTACAAACAGATGAAATTTAACACACATCTAAACAACTAATGGTTCAAAGAGGAAGTAAAATAAATAAATATTAAAACAAAAATAAAACACAATATACCTAAACCTAAGGGATGCATCTAAAAAAATTCTAAGAAAGAAGTTTATGGTAAAAATGCCTGCATGAAGAAAAATGCAATATCTCAAATAAATAACACAAGAAAATAGAAAAAGAAAGATAAACTAAGCCCAAAATTTGTAGAAGAAAAGAAATAACAAAGATCACAGCAAAAATAAATGAAATAATGGCCTGAAAAATAATAGGAAAGACAAATAAAACTATGTTGTTTTTTCAAATAAATAAACAAAATTGTCAATCCTTTACCTAGGAAAGAAGAAAAAGAGATAAATACATAAAATCAGAAAGAGGAGGAAGTACAATTGATACCACAGAAATGCGAAAGATAAGACACTACTATGAACGAGTAAATACCAGATAGTTGGATAAACTAGAATAGATGAGTAAATTCCTAGACACTTACACCCTAATAAGATTGAATAAAAAATTAAAAGTTCAATACACCAATAATGTGTAAGGAGATTGAATCCCTAATAAAAAGTGTCTTATCAAAGCCCAGAACCTGGTGACTTCATGAATGCTTTTTAGCCAATATTTAACAAATAATTAATATTAATGCTTGTAAAAATCTTCCAAAATATTGAGGAGCAAGGAATACTGAAGTATTCATTTTACAAAATCAGCATTACTCAAATACAAAATCCAGACAAGAACACTACAAAAAAAATTATAGGCAAATATCTCTGATAAATACAGATGCAAAATTCTCAACAAAATGCTAGTGCAGTAAACTAAATAGCAATTTAATATATCATACACTATGCTCAAGTGGGATTTATGCATGGGATGCAAAAATGTTTCAATATTGAAAATTAAAAATGTGATAAATCACATTAATAAAATGAATTTAAAAATATGAACATCTCAATAGATGTAGAGAAGGTATTGGCAAGATGTAACATCATTTTATGGTAATAACTCCGAACAATTTAAGTATAAAGGAATGTTTGTCTACAAAATAAAGGTCACACATAACAAGCCCACAGCCAACATATCCATAGCAAAGAGCTAAAAGCTTCTCTAGGATCTGTATCAGCAACATGATTCCTAATTTCACCACTTGTATTCTACATAGTACTAGAAATCATAGCCAGAGCAATTAGGTAAGAAAAAAAATATTTTAAAAAAAGCATCTAAATGGGAAAGAAAGAAGTTAAGTCGTTTCTGTTTGCAGATGACATGATTTTATATATAGGAAAGTTTATAGGTTTCACTAAAAAGCTTTTAGATTTCAGTAAAGTGCAGGCTACACTTTACACAAAATCATTGTGCTTCTGTACACCAACATAGACTAGTCAAAAATAAAATTAAGAAAATAATATGATTTACAATAGCATCACAAAGCAAAAAATACTTGCTTGTGGTTGAGAAGCAACAAGGAGGGACAGGGGGATTACAATGGGGCCTAAAGGAGTTGTAGGGAATGATGAATATGTTCATTATCTTCATTGTGCTGATGGTATCATGGAGGTAAACTTATGCTAATACTTCTACTATTAAATATTTGCGTTTTGCTGTTTAGTTAAATCTATGAGGAAAAATCTTAGCACAGTGCTGGTATGTGATAACTATATATTACCATCATTATAACAATTATGTATATGTATTTACTAGTTGGAATATATATTTTTATTACAGACATTTGTAACATATATGTCTGTATACATCTTTCAATTTTTTTAAAAACCAGTAATTCTGTTTTCTGTTTCCACATTTTAAACACATTTTTGGTACTTTGACTCTATTCCTGGAAGTTGAAATGAACTGCTTTTCTGGCAACTAGGCTAGTTGGAAGGTTGATAATTTCTTCTGTCTACAAACAATAGTGCAACATCAACATTAGCTAGCAGAACCAGAACTTTTTTAAGTAATACCATCACCTGCAAAGAAAATAATTCTGCATTATGCAATTTATTCTGTTTCATAGCTTTGGAATTGATCAGGTGACTAATATAGAATATGAACATGAATTAATTCAAATTTCAACACCAATAAAATGTTCTTTGCTTTCTAGTTACCATGATGACCTTTCTTCGTTCTCCTCTATTACCTGTCATTCTCATTATATAACACTCATTGAAATACGTTCAGTTATGAACTTAATCTATAGGTGTCTAGTATAATTTTCTTATTTTCTCTTTGCCTGACTATATTCTTTTATTCTGACACTTACTAAAGAAGATGGAAGTGAAAACATATAAACTTATAAATAATAGTCATCACATGTTTTATTGATTATATAACATTAAAATGTAAATATATCAGGCAAAAACCTTTATGTATAAGGTTAAAAGTGAATAGTGTATTAATTGCCTGGTATTTTTTACTGAAGTGATTGATGGTTGCAGGGCATATGATTTCTCCACAAAAAGTTTTTAATAGGACTCATTGATTTTTGTCTTGTGATTTCAGCTTTCCTAGACTTCGACATGGACATATTATATAATTAAATTACTAACTTCAATGTGCATAGAGGCTTATTTTCCTCTTTTAACTCAAATGTATTGAATAAAACACACAGGGTAAAATTAGCACGACATTTCATATGATCATACAGAAAAAAAGCTTTTAATAATTCCAGAACAGAGGAATATTATTTTCATGTATGAAATTGATATTTGACACCAGCACCACAAGTAATAATACAGAAAACATTGACTACTTTTTATAATAAACTATTATGTTTGTTTAGTTTTAATCTTCATATTTCCAAGGTATCAAAATATTTGACTAATGAAAAATAAATATGGGCACTCAGATATTCATTAAAAATCTACAAAACTGGCAAGACTCATTCAGGAATTGAATTTGTGTCAATGAACAATATGTCTTTGGTTGTGTTTGTAAATTAAAAATAAAATTCTAAGCTCCCAACCATCTGAACAAACACCTCCTCTTGGCCAAAGGCATTCCAAAGTTAACCTGAATAACTAGTGGAGGCAATGATGGCAAGAAGGGGTCAGATATGCTTCATTTTACCCTCCTTCTTTTTGGAATTCAGGAAAAGTCGACCAGCATTAACATCAACACACACCTTAAGTCTGAAAAGAAACATTTACAAACGATTCTCTCTGAAGCCTGCTACCTAAGGGCTTCATCTGCATGATAAAACTTGCTCCCCACAATCCCTTATCATCACCCAGACATTCCTTTCTATTGATTCCAGTTCTTTAGAAAATAACTTACCTATGTCAACCAATTGCCAGTCAGAAAATCTTTAAGTCTACTATGAGCTGAAAGCCCCGCTTTGAGTTGTCTCACCATTCCGGATCAAATCAATGTATATCTTACATGTATTCAGTGATGTATTATGTCTCCCTAAAATCTATGCAAGCGAGCTGTACTCTAACCTCGTTGGAAACACGTCATCAATACCTCTTGAGGCTGTGTCATGGGCTCATCCTTAACCTTGACAAAATTAACTTTTTAAACTGCTTGAGACCTGTCTCAGGTGCTTTTGAGTTCACAGGTTTAAGCTCTCAAAATGAATTAGATTTTATGTGAACTTAAAAATTGCTTTTCCAATTTTAACGTAGTGATATTCCCTTTTGTGTTATCAAGATGGCATGAATTGAATGGTATTTAAGTCTATGTAGGACTGTTGTTTCTCACCTATAGATATGTAATCCATTCATCTATATCAGCATGAGTGCTATTGACTTCAGCAATAATTATTGTATACAGTAACTTTGAATTAATCATTTAAATATACATAAGATTTCTAACTGAGCAATGCTGGTAATAGTAGATTATAATAATGCAACCAACAAGAAAAATAAAAGACTTAAAAAATAACGGTAACTGTTTAAATATACCTTTGTTATGCTTATCACTATTGACCAATGCATTTATCTAGGAAACACATTTATTTAGCAATTAAAGACTACATTCCTGAGTGCCTCTATTAATTTGCAAAAACAAAATAATATGAATGTGCATAGGAGAAATTGTTAGGGTTCATCCTGTATGTTAAGTCACCAGTATTTTTCTTGGCCACAGGAAATTAATCATTAATTATGCAGTACATTAAGGAAAGAGATGGGTCTCTGTTGTACTCAAACTTTATTAAAGTGATGTTGAACATACATTAAATAGTGGAAATACTGGCATTTTTCAAAGCTGGCCCACAATATACACGTTTACTTGTTTCAAAAAAGAAGTGTTGAAAACAATAAATATTATCCATGTAATATTTATGGTTTCTTATACCAAAATATACAGCCTGCACCACAATATTGAGTTTCTAAGGGCACATGAAACTTTAGATTTTTATCCACAGAAGTTGGGTATAAGACATCATACTCTTTATTAAGGCATTACAAATCACATATTGATGACAGAAACCCTATTACTTTTTACAGTAAATTAAAGTGTTTTGAAACCAAAAGACATAAACTTATAAAAGATTTACTGAGTGTGCAACAGACAATTTAATTCAGTCGAAAATGTATTAATGGGTACTGCTTGTTTGCTTTCTTCCCTTTTCTTTCCAGAGGCAATCATTTCACAAGGATAATATCAAGGTTTAAAGGCATTTTGCTTTCTAGCTGTATTGAATACATTTTAAAATTTGGTTTATATGCATATATATGTAAAAAGATTATGATAGATAGCAACACTTGCTTGCTTATTATTCACATATCATCATTACACAACTGGGAAGATAGTCTTATTCAAAAAATTTAGAATGCATCTGCCAACAAAGGAATAAGCTTGTTATCTGATTTTTGCTTTGCGTGTCATCACTTTTGCTTGAAGACCATAATTGTGCCAGGATACTAATTTTATTAATTTGTTTCAACACTGTCAATTTCAGGTGTGAATAACCAGTTTTATCAAAGCCGTTTACTTTATTTCAATCAGAGACAAAGAGTAAAAATTACACTCATGTGTAATACAAAATTGCTTCACCTAATGAATAGAAAAAGAAAACATAAAATTATTATTTTGCAAAATGTCTTTCTTTTTAGTCAACTTTAGGACATTATCCACTGAGAAGTTATTTTAAAAATCTGTGAAAATGTAGTGACATTTCATTGAAAGTAGGTTTTGAATCATTAAGCTTACTTTAGAAATAGTCATCAAAACTTGTCATATAAATAATTATAAGGTATAAAACATATATTTAGAGAGTACAGAATTTAAATGAATCATTTTAAGGAAAGAACATCTTTTAGTTGATTTTATAAACTCATTACGACTAGGGAATCTCCAGGGTATCAGAACACTGAGTGATAGAAATGTAATATTCACTACATTGCCGAAGACTTTTCCTAATTTTTGGTCAAGTAAATTAAAAGCCATAATTCAGTACAAACTAAAATTACTTACTTGAACCAAATTATAAAGGTATGGATGTAAAGTTTCCTCCTTAACTACACATATATATATATATATTTGCTATTTGCTATATTGCTCAAACATTAGAGAGGGCTTTACTCTTCTATATTAAATTACTACATATTTGAACAATGTTGAATAATGACCATAATTTTCAAAAGATGTTTATAAAAATGTTTGAATTATGTAAGTTTAGGTTTGTAAATTACATTGGTTTAATAAACACACACACAATCAAAAAACATTTCAAAAAATGTAAAAATCACACTCGAAACTTTTTCAATCAGGTCATCAAAAAGATATTTTTAAAAACTGAAACCAGGTCTGACCTCTGGGAAATACCACTTGTTCAAGCTAATTCCAGATCTGTCATCACCGTCTGTTTAACATTATCCTCCAATCAGTTGGGGGTTACTAGAATATCAGTTTTCCTAATATTCATATTTTTTAAGTTCTTGAGGATTTTCTAGTGATGTATTCAAAGGCCTTCTTGAAGTACATATAAATTTAAATGATTGCTACTTATAATTTCATCTGTGAATTAAGATTTCAGACTGATTCTTTTTCATAAAACATCTTGATTATAACAGAGAATCTCTTGCTATTCAATTTAATTACAAATGAATACAATGAAATAATATATATATTGCTTCTTAAAATCTGTTAGTTGCACATTTAATTTTCTAGTTTATTGCAGTGTTCCTATTGTTATTAAAAGTATAGAATAGACAACATGGCACTTATAAATATCTTCAATATTTTAAGTTATACATTATAAAGCTCTGGTAATTTAAAAATGTATTTAAAATATTTTATGTTTTGGGGGCTTTAGTTTTCCAAATTTTTATAATAAATACTGCTTGTTCTTAAAGTTCTAACTTAGATTTACTTCCCCTGTTTAGCGAACTATATATCTTTTAGGTTTCCTGATACAACCTGTACACAATTTGGTATATTTTATTAGTTTGTGTCAAATATTTTGTGATCTTCATATAAATGAAATACTTCTTTTGTGTTATTTTGTAATCTTTATTTAAATGAAATACTTCTAATAAAGAATTGAATACAGAAAAATATTTTTAATGTATCATTGTCAGTATTTTATAACAGAATGATGAAATGTTTTATTTTGATGAAATTTATACTTTTTAAAAATAGAAAGTTAAGATTTTTAATTGTAGCATTTTTAAACACTTGAGTTTTCTCAATGAAAAAATATTGTTTTGTAATTGAGCATGCAAAAGGTATAACTCATAAGCTTAAAAAAGGTAAAAAATATGAGATGTAAGTACTCATTGAATCTTTTTTTTGTTTCTTATTTAAATACTTTTTTACTAAAAAGTCTTCAGTTAATCATTCTATAAATATTATGTAGAATATTAGTGAGAAAGTGCTAATTTAGTGAGAGTGAATATTGTTGTGGATAGTTTTGGATAATTATTTATCTCTAATGACTGGTCATTAATCATATATTTATGACTTATTCTGCTTCATGCATAAATTATCAATATATTTCTGACTCTATCTGATTTTCTATAATTTTGCTGACATAAACTTGACTCATAACAATTACCATAAAAGCATAGATTGTGAATGATAATTGGGGAGGTCCATGGTCTATGGAGGAAAGGAAATATCAGAAAAATATTCTCCACTCACTCTGTGCTGTGCTTCTGAAATTAATGTCAATGTGTCTGGCATAGATACTTGAACCATAGTACTTTTGAGACTCTAGATCATATAAAAATATTAAAAGCTTTTTTCCTGTTAATTGAATTTAAATGTCAAAGATTAGATGTGTTGATGATGCAAATTAGAAGCAATAAATTTTCTGTTATTCTTTCTCTGAGAAAATATATTTGAGAAATAACCAAAAAGGTCTACAAATAATAAGAATGTAAAAATGTAGACACTGTAAAAACAAGCCAGCAAAACAGGTTACCTTTACTCTTTTTCTGAGAAATTATTATATAGTAAAGCACTATTCTAAGTGATAATTAATAGAATCCTGGCAATCCTAGAAAGTATGTATTATTATACCAAATATTCTGATGAAATACTTAGACACAAAGAAATTAATTAAACTCAGAAATGAATAACCTCTGAGTTACATCTTCTAAGTCAGAGAACAGTAATTAACATCCAAACAATCAGCATATGAAAGCTGTTCTTTTAATTTAACTGCTATTTTAGATTTTATTTATGAGGTAACATAGCAAATGCAAGCAACTCTGTAACATTGTCAGTAAAACTTGTAACTGAATCTCATATAATATTATACTGTTTTCAATTACATATTTATTTTCAGTATATTATGTCATTGGGCAGCTTTATTAAGTAGGTGCTAATGTTTTCTTCTTTTCCTATTTAAGCAAACTGAGGCACATCAGATTAAATCATTCTGCAAATGTCATGCCATTAGGAGCACAGTATGTGGAAACATTTCTTTCCTTCATTAAGAATGTTGTCCAAGAATCAATATGTCAGTTAAGCAAGGGCTGGTTATCTTTAAATAAGACTTGTACTAGACATCCTTCATTTAAATTGTATGTAATGTTCTCCTCTCTTCTCAGAAAAAGCTGTTCATTCTAAAAAAGTCCCTTGCCTGATTGCATTATGTAGTGACAAATGGGAAATTCAGATTCTTATTTTCCCTTGTTTTATAGTCAGACAGATTAGTCTAGTGGTTAGCATTTGTTTCTAAATAAGTTGATGATTATAGTCCTTTCTCCTAGATACAGTTGACTGGTCCAACAATGGGCATTTGACCCAAACTAAGATAGTCAAATTTCCTCCTCATTTTTCTCCAAAAATTAAAACTGGGAAAGAAAACACCAGAAATTTTTAGATGTAAAATTTAGAAATACTGACAACCAAACCACTTTCCACTTATAGAAAGGATGACCTTCACTGGGAGAGGCTGGAACACATATCCCAAGTGAAGTAGAAACAAGAAACACAAAGTCATAATGTTAGTTTTATATTTGGTCCCAATTATTTCTGAGGCTTAGATACATTGTAGATATTCCTGTTACAGGATTCTTCCAGTGCTGCTTCAGCAGCCAAAAACCTCTGCAGCCACCACCACCTCTGCCTGGGCTCATACCCACTAGGATCTCAAAGATCGTGACACTACCCTCAGCCTACAGCTGGACCCAGTGTGCTGTGAGTGGCTTCTGCATTGTGCACCAGCATCTGGATGAAGGGAACAAGATGACACCCCAAAACTCAGAGATGCTAGCAATTGCAGAGCCCCAAGGGGTGTTACAGCTCCTGCTTAGGGAGTCCTGAGGTGTGAGCCCCCAAGAGATGTCACAGCTCTTCATTCCAATAGCTTGTACCTTGTTGAGCAGGAGCATGTTATAACGCTCTTTCTCCCATAGTCCAGTGAATCAGAGCATGTTACAGCTCTTTTCACCCCTGCTGTTTAGCGGGTTCCTGGTTCTTGTCCCACAACCAAGAGGAATAAGGTGTGCAGACACCAGAGAGTGAGTAAGACAGAGAAGAATTTTATTGAACAACAGAAGGAAAGCTCTCATCTGTGAGAGGGGATGTGAGAGTGGATAGTTGACTGTGTGGCTGAGTCCAGTGTTTTTATGGGCTTTCAATGGGGGAATGTAAGCTGATTAGTCCGTAGGTGGTCTTTGGAAAAAGCACCATTTGATTGTTTAAAAGAAATCATCCAGAAGGAACCAATTGAGAGAGAGTGGATAAGACATGGGTACAATTTGACAATATCTAGTATGTTTACAGCATAATGACTCCACTCTAGAGAAACTCTTACAGTCACATTCAGCCACTGTGTTAGTTAGAGTTCTCCAGGGCAACAGAGCTAACAGATGCAGAAAGAGAGAAAGAGAGAGAGAGGAAACAGAGAGATTAAGGAATTGGCATATGTGATTGTGGGGGGTGGCAAGTCTAAAATGCATACAGCAAGCCAGCAGGCTAGAAATTCTGTTAGAATTGATGCTGCAATCTTGACTCCAAAGTCTGCAGGGCAGGCCAGTCTGATGCTGGAAACTCAGGTAGGTTTTTAACAGACAGTCTTCAGGCCTAATTGCTTCTTCAGGTAAACTTTTGTTGCTCTTAGGACTTTCAATTGATTGGATAAAGCTCATAAACATTATGGAAGGTAATCTGCTATACTTAAAGTTAACTATAAATATTGGTCATATTTGTGGGTGCCCTCACAACAACGTCTAGACTAGTGTTTGATCCAACAACTAGGTAGCATAGCCTAGGGAAGTTGACACATCAAAATTAATTATCACAGTCATATTTTAAAAAGGGTACATATTTCATCAAAAATTACCTCACTGAGTTGTAGTTTTTGGGTTTTTATGGCTTGCCAAGGCATCATATATAGTAAGCCTACGAGAGTATCTTTATTAGTAAAACTTAAATTATGTTACAATTTCATACACTGAATAAAATTCAAAACTGTATATATTTTATTTCCTATGAGAAATTTAGAGGTAGTTTAACATATATTTATATTGTTTGAGAGGTTAATATCTATTTTTATCAACTTATTAATGTGCCATTTTTAAAATCTACAACCTACCTCTCATTATTGCCAATTGGTTTCCCATTACATGGCCTGAAAACACCCAAGATAGTCCTAAGAAGTAGATGATACTCTTGATGAGAACTGACAAATGCTGATTGCAGTGTGATAATATTAATGTTCTGGACAAATTCACAAAGGCTAATTCTTTGAACCAGCAAACAATGCACACTAAATGCCAATTAAGTTTTTCTTCTAAATTTATCTTGCATGTCTCATCCCTAGTGTAGCAGACTATTTCAAATACAAGGTCAAAATAGTCCTAGTGCTTACATTGATCTAAAATGTGTTGTTACTTAATTACTAAAAGGAATCTGGGGGGAATATAGCACAGCCACTCTTGAAAACAGGAAGAAACATGCATATATGAACAGAATTATTATAGACTAAATAATGATTGATAAATATCTACTCTCTTGAGTTACAGATAAGTCCTTGTTTCATTTGAACACAAGATCACTAGTTACAATTCCACTTTGACACGTTGAAAAACAAAACTAATAACATTATGGTATTGTTAACGATAACCCTTCTATTATGTTTTCATCTATAAATAGTTGACAGAAAAACTGAGAAAAATAATTTTTAAAAAGTAATTTAAAAATTGTAAATAATTTGCATCCTTTATCAGTATTCATTCCCTGTTAGAGTTAGCCCTGGTATAAAAGAATTTGATTGCATAGCGGTGGAGATAGTTTTTACAATTGTCATGACTCACTGTTTTCTAGTAAATGCAGAAATAGCTCTGAGGTTAATCTTCCATATCAAAATAAAATGAGCAGCCACCTGCTCTAATGGCTTCTCACTGCCACGAATGGGCTGACAGGCCAGAAGAGCAGCTGGAGGAGGAAAGGCCTTGTGATGCCAGTGGTTTGTTTACCTAACACTACTTCAACTCATTTTACTTTATTTTTCAAGTGGTATTTATGGGTATCTTCTGGATATGTATTTCCATTCAGAATATGCACAAAAAGTGTTACATCCATTTCTGACATTCAGAAATTTAGCAAGTTATTAATTTTCTTATATTTCAGTGAATATATATTTTTATTTAAAAATTAGAATAACATCAGGCATATAATTTTCTACCTGCCTCATTTCATTAAAAATATTATGATTTTATGATATTAAAATATTTTAGAAACACACATTACTGAACTCATAATATTCTGCCTTTGCCAATATGACTATTTAAGCAATGTGTATTTAGATTGCCTCGGTTTCTAGATGTTATTGTGTTTTAATGAACCCATTTAGCTATACATATTAGTACATATTTCTGAATATTATATAGGAAGTTAACCTATAAGCAAGTTTTTTTGGATGAAGATTTCTGAAAAATTCATAGGCTTGAAATGTACTTGCCAATTTGTCTTTCAGAAATTTTTAATCAATTTATACTCCCACCAGCACTGAATGAAACCATCCTCCAGATGTGTCATTCTGGATGCTATATTAGCTACTGATTTCTATCTTTTCCAAGTTAATGAGTAGAAAATTATACTACTTTCTTGTTAACATTTTTCTGTTTTTATTTTTTTATTTTTTGTGTGGTTACAATTTTATTACCTTTTAAAATGTATTTTATCATTTAGAGTGCCTATTCTTATTCCTCTGCCAATTTTTGTAGGATGCCTTATAGTCCCAACACATTATTATATAGATTATACATATACAAATAGAAAACATCAATATCATTTATCATAAATGTTCTAAATATAAGGATTTAATATATTGTAAACACTACATATGCTATATTTTACATCAAGCTATTTTTATATATGATTATTTAAACCACTGATTCCCTTTACGTTGGTCTTTTCCTTTATTTTATTTACAGATAACACTAGAAAAGCTATTTATATGCATATGATCTTTATGTTTTAGTATTTCAATGTGTACATATTTTAATTTTTACAATTAGGCTCATAGCCTACAGTTTTCTATCCAACTAATTTCATTTAATAAAAAATTGTGACTCATTTATGACATTAAATATTTGAGAATTGCATGATGTCTCTCTATTTCTGTCTGCCTCTTACCCTCTTACTCTCTCTTTCTCTTTTTTCTAACACACTTCACCCTCCCTTTAATTTTTGCTTTTGTTTTTGAGTTTGGTGGTGTGCGTGTGTGTGTATGTGTTTGTAAACCAAATATCTTTTAAGGAGGCATCATTATTTATCTGGAACATATTTGCATTCTGAAACACTCAATGTGTGTTTCACATTATGACTATGTGTTACCAGAATGTGATCTCACTGTATTTATTTTAATGATGTTTTCTCAAATTAATTTTAAAATAGTAATTTAATTATTTCCAATTTTTATTCTCAGGACACTTATGATTCTTGAGGTGGAAATTAATTAATACATATTCTTTTAATATCATGTCTTCATTTTCATATATTTGATTCTTTATTCTTCATTTGAGGGAACTTACTCAAGTTTATCAATCACATTGTCATCAGTGATTCTCTCCCATAGTATGTCTTATTCAATGTTTGTTAAAAGTTTTCCATTGCTTTTTAATTTCATTGTATGTATTTTATACATTTTACATTCACCTTGTCTTGTTCCTTTCATCTCTGTATGCAGCTTTATTTTTCTTGTCAATTTCTATTTTATAGAAGGTGTACATTCCTGTATATTATTGCATATCGGTGGAGATAGTTTTTACAATTGTCATGTCAATCAATATGACATAACTATTTATTTATATATATAGTTTTCCAGTTTTCTTCTGAGTATCGATATGTTTTCTTTGTTCTTCATTTTTATATGCAGATGCATTTCTTTTAAGTCATTCTCAAATAAAAATTTTCAGATTCTATATTTGTCAATACCCTCAATGAATCTCTAAATATTGCTTGAAATTCCTTTGAAAACATATTATTTAGGGAAAATGCAATGTCTCAGGCTAGATTGCTTGTGTCCATATCTGGACTTCATCCCTTATTGCTAGTGCTTTGGAAAAAAGGACTTTAAAAAATTCAAATTCTTGGCCTAAAGTCTTAATATGAATCATCCTGTCCTCACTTACTGGGGTGATTTTCCTACCAAAGTTTATAATTTTAGTTTTGGAGGTTTTATTGACTTTTATCTTCTTTGGGATTTTCTAGAAATTTTAGCCAGTTATGCCTAGACACATTAAAAAAAAATGGATACACTGAGTTTCACTTTAGATCAAATTATTATAGAAAATCAAAATGTCAAACACAAAAACAAAATCACAGAATGCTCTGCTTATGTGTGTGTATGGTGAGGTGGGGGCAAAGGGGGAGAGACATGGGCACTAATATTGAAAATCTAAATTATACTATAAAGCTATTGTAACCAAAACAGCATGGTACTGGCATAAAATAGGATAAGTGTCACCCGCCCACAGCAAACAAAGGTATTACAAGGTAGAGGAAAAGCATCTCCAGTTTTGGCGGACTTTTTGTTTTTTAATGACAGTTTAGCCATTTTCCAGCTTTTTAGTATTCAACAAACTCTAAAACTTGTCAGTAGTCTGGAAAATCAAAATATAAATATTTTATAAGAATTAGGGCCGGGGCGGTGGCTCACGCCTGTAATCCCAGCACTTTGGGAGGCCGAGGCGGGTGGATCATGAGGTCAGGAGATCGAGACCATCCTGGCTAACAAGGTGAAACCCCGTCTCTACTAAAAATACAAAAAATTAGCCGGGCGCGGTGGCGGGCGCCTGTAGTCCCAGCTACTCGGGAGGCTGAGGCAGGAGAATGGCGTGAACCCGGGAAGCGGAGCTTGCAGTGAGCCGAGACTGCGCCACTGCAGTCTGCAGTCCGGCCTGGGCGACAGAGCGAGACTCCGTCTCAAAAAAAAAAAAAAAAAAAAGAATTAGATAATATATATTCTATATATGTTATATATGTGTGTGTGTATATATACATATATGACATCTGACTTGTCATCTGACCCATAGAAGGCGATTAAATAATAGGTGCCATTGCTATTTCCTGGCATTCAGGCATATTCTAGGACATAGTCTAAAACTTTTCTCTGATGTTGTTTCCAGTTATTTTATGAACTCTTGATGAGTGTGGCTTACCTGGTTACATTGTTAGTTACATTCCATGAATTTAATCATTAATATCCCTGTTTCATGACAGAATAAGTACAGCACCTAATTAAAAAGTTTGTTTATAATGTAGTGGAAATTTATTTATTTCAATAATGACTATAGTAATTCAAGTGAAAAGCAATCCAAAGGGAACTTTATGAAAAGTGGAAAGTATATTATTAATAACAAAATTTTTAAAATTCATGTATGTGAATAAAGTTTGTACTACATAATTCTCAGTTTCTAAATGTGTGTTTTAAATGTTATTAAAAAATCAGAAGTTATGAGAATGTACTTTCCATTTAGACTTTTTTATTATTATATTATTTAATATATGATGATACAATAATATTACTCTATTAAAATGATATTTATAATACAATATAATAATAATAATGTCAATTTTAAAACATTTTTATTATTGACATTTTAAAAGCTTTTCTACTATGGGAATCAGATTCACTGGTTGTTTTAATAAATTCTTTCTTTTATTACATGTATTAACACTCTGAGCAAATGTTTTTAGTCCAACATTGACCAGTCATCGAAACAAATATAATTCAGATAACTGTGCTACATTTACATATTTTTAATTATTTATTTCTGCTTTGAGTAACTATCTATGACTTTGGAGCATATAGACATTTGCCATAGAACAGACAGAATTTCACGCTGTATGTACAGGCCAAACTTGTTTATGCCTTAAATGTCTTACAATATTTCAATAATGTCAGTTTTTTAGCAAAAGTGCTTTCATGTGTTTAAAGCCACACTTAATGTATTATGAAAATCCTGGCATGAAAAACTGAATGATTGATATTTAAAAGACAACCATGGAAGTCATTTCAACAATAACATGTTGAATCACTCTGCCTTCTGTTTTTAATAATAATCACTCCTATTGTAGTCCAGCAAGTATGTGCATGTGTACATATCTATTTGTATGCTGACACACACTTGTAAGATGTATATGTGTACATTAATTAGGGTCTAGGCACATTTATTGAGATTTATATTATAGGGAGGTTAGTTGTCATCTAGAAAGTCAGTATCTAAAACATAAAACCTATATAATAAATCTTATGGCATAAAACTGCTATATTCAAAGTATGAACAAAGTGTTGCAGAAAAAGGAGGTAGTAATTAATTGTGTCTCACGGGAGGCCATAACTTCAAATACGTTGGTCTTGACAGAAAAATGGCAATCTGCCAGAGTTAGAAATGGTAATGTGTGAAGGGCATTTTAGGGAGAGTGCATCTGCATGGCCAAAGGTAAGGCAGCAATGAAAGGGAATGTGTTTTGGAAATGGTGTATAATTTGCTGTGCCTGGGGAATAGTCTTAATTGTGGGTCAGAGGAAGGGCAGTAGTACTCTAGAAATGTAGATTGAGACACATTATGAAGGCTTTTAAATACCAAGCTGAGAACTGCAAATGTTATTCTCCACACCAAGGGGAGTTCTCAGTCATGGTTATCCCATGGTTGTGTTGGACAAAGTAAATTTTAGCTGGCATTCAAAGGACGCATTTAAAGGCAAGTAGCCAGTGAGAAAATTTAGAAAGTTATTGCATGATTTTGAACCCAAAAATAAGCAAGGGCCTTTAAAAGAAATCTAGGTAATTACCATAGGAATAGAGGGGATGATGTGAACGATATTTTATAAACTATATTAGGAAGCTTGTGGAAAAAAAACATACTCTGAAGGTCTAGATAATTATTATTTTCTCTCCTAGATACATATTTTCACCAAGGGCAAAGGTGTTTAAATTGTACTGTTTGGGACACTAGTGGTCCTGAGGAACTTCTGACATCAAACACATATGTATATATATACATGCATTCATATTTACATATATGCACACACAAATACATGCATTAGATACTTACATATTTACATAGTATGCTTCAAAGTATAAATTTTGTTAAAAAATCCTGATATAGCCAATTAGGCAATGTTTTTTACAGCTGCAGCTTATTAAGTTGCAAGATTCTTCATAAGGAGTAATTATTCTATTCTTCATAATAATTTAAATTTTGTGTTGTCTGTTTCTATAGGCACACATCGCTATTCTATACATCATTCTGTGGCATATTGCTCTATTGTTAGTGAGATAATAAAATACTTTCGATGGTCAAATACAAAATTAGGTCCCAGAGTGCTTTTTTAAAATGGTAGAATTTGATCCAACTTTTAGAGAGTGATATATAATCAAGGAGCTGAGAGGGCTCAAGGGTGTATCAGGCTAGGATAATAATAGCTATACTATTGTTAACTGTATAAATCATTGTTAATATATGTAAATTTGACTCAAATATGGCAGAATTATATACTTAATATTGTACTTTTTGTCTGCATTTATTAGATCTTCAAGTAGTACTATTAATAGAAATTTTAATGACAAAACTAAAAAGCAAAGAAGTAATAATACATTAATCCAAAATGAACCAAGCTATATTCAGCTTAACAAAGCATCATTAAATAAACTAAAACAACACAACCTATTTCCAGATTCCTTTTCCAATATTTGTCTTCAGTATTTATATTCACATACGAATAACTTGGATTTTTTGCCATTCTATAATGTTCTTCATCATGACTCTGATATACTTCTGTTATTGACTTAAATTAATATACATGCTTGTTAAAATCCCACTTATCCTGCAAGACCTGGCTCAGATTCTGTATTCTAAACATAGCCTTCTGAAATACCAACCAATAGGAAGCAATCTTTCTCTGTTCTGAACAACAGGAACATGTTGCAATTTTTATTATGCTTTCCAAATCTAATTTCTAACCCACACAGGCAAAAGATCTTGGTCTGTTTAACATATTGGATATTCTCAATACATCCACAGAGTGCAAGTTACACATGGCCATCAGATTGGTAAACCCTGCATATATAAATTTGTGTACACATACACATAATATCTACATCGCACTTGAATATAAAATCAATGCCTTTGATATACTACTTAAGTACAAATTATATAAGATTATAAACTATATGATAAAACTAAAATCCTCATCTAAAATATTTTCATTGCAAAGAAAAATAAGCTTTTAGAAGAATTGGTTTTCTTATTTTTATTTTCTGAATAACCACTCGCTACTGTTAGTGACATTGCAAATTGGCACATCAGTATTAATATTATTAATGCAATTAATTATTAGTCTTACCCATATAATTTACTAGAGAACATAATCTTAGAACCAGAGTTGAAATTATATTTCAGTATTATATTATTGATTGTTATTTTGTTTCTATATGCTGTGAGAATGAGGCTTCATAATTTGGAGATTTGTGGAACTTCAAATTACATACATTCTTTTATTCACCCTACATGAATTTTGACAACTCTTTACTTACAGAAAGTATTTCACCCACTCCACTCCATTCCAAAATATTTTGTTCTAGTTTAAACTCATATCTTACTTTGAAATGATACATAATAGATCCTCAAAGAATGCATAATAATAATATTGCATTATATCAAAAATCTGTCTGCATCATTGTGAATTTCCTAAATATGTCATCTTTTCTAATTTGTAATAAACAGGACATGTTTTATGACTGCCTCTTTGTTCTGAATTACCTGTATGGAAAGGTGCTATAAGTAGAAAGTAAGAAATAAGTGATTGTGTTGGAGTAAATGCACCTTTTAATATAATTCACATGAAGAGAATCTTAATAGCAAATGAAGTTACAATGATTACATAATGTCTTCTCAAAATGCCTTCCCTCTTGTATTTCTGGTAATGGTTTAAGACCTTTACAGTAACAAGAAAGAAAAGGTGAATAAACAAAGATAAAAATACCTTCTAGCAATAAAGAATATTGCTATCCTCCATAAGAACCGGATGAGTGGAAATTGCCTTATAACTTTTTTCACATTACAAGGAATAATTCTGGATTGAGGCTAAAAATGATAATATAAAAACTATCCAGAAAAAATAGATGTTGTAAGGATTTTATAGCTAAAGGTAAAACATAAATCTTGGAGGATCCACTGTGATCCAAAGCAGTTACTGCCAGATAGTATTATTAGTGCAGGTCTTAAAATAAAATTGAACTCATGCAAAATACTTTGAAATGACTTTGGAAAAGGCAAGTATCCTAACATGCATTGGAATAAGCATTTGAATATAGTAGGACTCTTTATTATTTGCCTTGAATTATTTGTAACACACTTGAAAATAATTAGCAGACTAAATATATTTTAAATGATTGACTATATTATCCAAGTGATGCATTAGCAATCACCAAAGTTTAAGTTTACAGGAAAAAAAACAATAAGTCAACTACAAGCTCTTTCACTATATGTTACTTATATCTACTGCATAGTAGATGGTCAATAATTATTTAGTGAATTCCATCAGATTGGCAAACCATGCACATAGAAATTTATGTACAGATATACACAATATCATATCACACTTGCATATCACATTAATGTCTTCAATATGCTATTTAAGTACATATGTACAAGATTATACATTATTTGATACAACTAAAGCCCTCATCTAAAATCTTTTCGTTGAAAATAAAAAAATAATATTTAAGAAGAATTGGTTTCATTATTTTTATTTTGTGAATAACCACTCAATACTGCTAATAACATTGCAAATTGAAGTTAAGCTTGTTAGATTTTTATAAGTAGGTTTATGCTTTATTTGTCCTTGAATAGCTAGTATTTATCTTATAATTAATATCCCCAAAGGGAAACTCTTGATTCTCATATTCCCATTCCCTTTTCCTATTTCAGTAAATGGCATAATTATCTCATCTATAAGCTCAAGCCAATAAACAAAACAACAAAAAAACCCACTCAAAACAAAGTCACTTTTCATTACTTTCTTTATCTAGCTCAATCAATTCTATCAGTTCTATCTAAAAAACCTAACAATAATAATCAATATTGTTAAAATGGCCACACTGACCACAGAAATCTACAGACTTAATACTATTCCTATCGAACTACCAATGTCATTTTTCATGGAATTTGAAAAAAACCCTTCTAAAATTCATGTGTAACCAAAAAAGAGCCTGAATAGCTAAAGCAATCTTAAGCAAAAACAACAAAAACAATAACAAAACCCCACAATCCCGAGCAGAAGCATCACGTTACTTGATATCAAACTGTAGTATAAGATATAGTAACAAAACCAGAATGGTACTTGTACAAAACTGAAACATATGTAAACCTAGGGATTATTAGAAAACAAAACACACACAAATACATAGATGATGGAAAACAATAGAGCACTCAGAAGTAAAGCCAAACACCTACAACTGTCTGATCTTTGACAAAGTTGACCAAAGTAAGCAATGGGGGAAAGCCTCCATAGCCAAACCAAAGCCTTCCACTCTCTGTGTATCTTAACCACCACCCTTGAAAAATCCATCACACATTTTGTCCTGAACCAATTTAATAGTCTTCAAGACTGATCTTTTACTTGTCCTTTTTATTTGAGTCTTGTTCTCTGTACTCTCTAAATTGCAAACAATATGATCTAATAATTATTACATAATAAATTAAGTAGATCATTGATTCTGTTGCTTAAAAATATCTGTGCCTTCCCTTTAGCCTTAGAATAAAATTCTCTCTGATCTCACTTTACAAGCTCGTACATAAAGTGCCTTCTGACTTTCTTCATCCTCTCCTATTCATCTTCTGATATGTCTCTCCTTCAGCCACATTGACTTTCTTTGTACATTAGTCTCCCCTTATCCCATGGTATTCATTCAAGAATTCCAGTGGTTGTCTGAAACCAGAGATAGTACTGAACCTCATATATACTATGTTTTTTCTATACATAAATGTCTATGATAACGTTTAATTTATAAATTAGGCACAGTAAGAGATTAACAAACAAGGTAGGATTTTTCACCTTCTCTTTGGCTTTTCTGAATTGCCAGAATCCCTACTGTTGCACTTTGGAGCCATTACTACTTGAACACGACAACTTAATATAGTTATTCTGATTTCCAAGCTGGCTACTAAGTGGGTAGCATGTATAGTGTGGACACTCTGTGGAGACACTGTGGAACCAGTGTGGAGACACTGGATGAAGGGAAGGTTCACATTCTGGGTGACATGGTTTTATTATGTTACTCAGAATGGTGTGCAATTTTGAATTTACAAATTGTTTATTTCTGGGATCTTCCATTTAATACTTTCAGACTGCAGTTGATCACAAGTAACTAAAATTACAGTAAGTGAAACCACAGATGAGAAGGGACAACTGTATTTAAAGTTGCAGTGCTTTTTCTGCTTCAGGATTGTGGCACTAGTTTCTGCTTCTTGGTAGAATGCTCTTTCCTCAGAGATTTGCATGGTTGACTTGTTATCTAGGTCTTACTGAAGAAGTCACTCTTGAAAAGTCTTTTCTGACCATACCCTCCTAGTCAGGCTATGAATACTCTCTATTATAGGTCCCAAATTTATTTTATGTTTAAGATATAACAATCGTCTACTTTCATAGCCATTTATTTATTTACTTCTCTACATTTTTGTCCAACTTTCCACTATGTAGGAGCTCCACACAGATAATATGTCTTGTTTCACAACTTTGAAGAATGCCAGAAACCTGTAAGAGAGTTAGAAAATGAATTTTAATGAGAAAGAGACTTAATAATTCCATTGGTAGTATAGAGGATGGACAGGTAATTATTGAAAATATATCGAATAGAGATTTTCCCTTTGAAAGCTGGTGTAATAGTCTAACTTTTTCTTTATGTGTGAGTGTTGACAGCTTTCAAGGACCACTCCCCTGTCTTCTGCCCTAGTCTCCCTTCTAGGCAAAAAAATAAGAAAGCATGACACCCTCTCCCTTTTTGCTGTGTGATGTTCAAGCTAAGCATGCACCTGTCTACTTGAAAGCTCTCACCCTGTTCCCAATCATAGTGAGACTACAGTCACTTGCTCCTTCATTCCCTGAAGTCACTCAAGCAAATTCTCTACCACCTTATGAATTGCCCTGTTCTTCACAGAAAGTCCTACTATGGGGTAATACATTTTTTCATACCCTCTTGTTGTGTGTCTGGATCATTGTATTGACATCTAACCTATTGATTAAAAGGGAGTCTATACCATTTTTCCATGGTGACCACAAGAACTGGTCCTCCCTTATTGAGAATTCTAACATCAAAACTTATCAATAGCATATCACTATAAAATATTCTGCTTATATTTTATGCAAAAATACAAGTTAACATAAATATTTTAAAATTATTTATTCCCTATTATATTCATAACTTCAGAGAATGTTGTTGATGTTTTCACTAAAAAATGTTTAGAGTTTTTTTTCACTTAAAGTAAATTTAGAGGCTCTTAGATTAATATCAAATCTGTGTGAGTTAATATTGTCTTAGTGATATTAATCCGAAGTTACCAAGATGTATATTGCATTTATGTGATTAGAATCATGGCTTTCTAATTATAGTGTATTTACTTGGTTGTTAAAATTAACATTTTGTGATGAAATGAATTAGTACTCATTATTAAACTGTGTAATCTAAATATTTGCCAAGAAATTACCAGATAATTAGTTCCTACAAACTGTATGTGGTTACGAAGATGTCATGTAAAAATAATATTCAAGAATTTATCATGGAAAGGAGAAAAAGTTGTCAAGATGTGATTTGAAAGTTCTATGTAATCACTTTGCTACAAGTGCATCTGAATATTATATACTTTATTACAATAATTTCAACTCAATAATATAAACATAAAATCGGAAAATAGTCACTTATGCTTATATTTAGTTATTGAAAGACTTCAGGAATATTTTTAAGGACTAGCATAGACTAGACTTTTAAAAAGACTGGTGTTAATCCCAATTGTGTTGATGAGCATTCATTACTACAGTTGACAAAACAACAGCACATACTTTACTCCATATGGTGAGGTAACACAAAGAAAGTATTGTTATTGTGTCTTAATTTGCATTTCTCTAGGAGGGAATGAGCTTCCTACAGGGAAGAGGAATGTACCCAAACGTGCATTATAGAGAAATATAGAGAAAGTTGTGGGAAGAATGACTTTCTTTCAATGTGGAAAATCCTTAGCTTCTATTAATTGCCTAATAACTTAACAAGGGTCAAGGCCAATATTGTTTGGTCTGTGTCCTGCAAACTCAGCCTTGATTCCTTATATTATATATTATATGTTTTAAGTATACAAAATATTTAAAATTATTTTTTATTCTGATTTACCTTTGTCTCATTGAAAGGCGTATTACTCATTTTTAAAATTGTATTGAATTTATGGAGACATTCATTTAGCAGATATTTATTGGGAGCCAAGTATATGTCAGTCACTATGCTGTGATCTGAAGATACAAAGTCATGAAAATCAACTTAGGTGGAAGATCTTTTCAAGAATTACAAAACACTGTTGAAGGAAATTATAGGTTACACAAACAAATGGACAAACATTTCATTCTCATGGATTGGAAGAATCAATATTGTTAAAATGGCCACGCTGACCACAGAAATCTATAGACTTAATGCTATTCCTATCAAACTACCAATGTCATTTTTCACAGAATTAGAAAATAACTCTTCTAAAATTTATGTGGAACCAAAAAACAGCCTGAATAGCTAAAGCAATCTTAATCAAAACAACAACAACAATAACAAAACCCCACAATCCAGAACACAAGCATTATATTACTTCATATCAAACTGTACTATAAAGTATAGTAACAAAACCAGAATGGTACTGGTACAAAACTGAAACATATGTAAACATAGGGATTATTTAAAAAACACACACACAGATGCACAGATGTTGTAAAACAATAGAGCACCCAGAAGGAAAGCCAAACACCTACACCTGTCTGATCTTTGACAAAGTTGACCAAAATAAGCAATGAGGGAAAGACTGCATAGTCAATAAATAATGCTGGGCTAGCTGGCTAGCCATATGTAGAAGGAAATTTGGACTCCTACCTTTAACCATATATAAAAATTAATGCAAGATAGATTAAACATTGAAATGTAAGACCTCAAACTATAAGAATCCTAGAAGAAATCCTAAGAAACAGCATCAGGACATCATCCTTGCAAAAAATTTGTTGTCACTGCAATAAAATCAAAAATAAACAAGTGGAACATGATTAAGCTAAAGAGCTTCTGCACAGCAAAAGAAACTGTCAACTGAGTAAACAGACAACCTACAGAATGGGAGAAAATATTCACAAACTATGATTCTTACAAACATCTAACTTCCAGAATCTATAAGAAACTTTTAAACAATTGAACAAGCAAAAAAACGAAAAACAATTAAAAATGGGTAAAATACATGAACAGACACTTCTCCAAAGAAGACATGTAAGTGGCCAACATACATATAAAAATGCTCATCATCACTAATTATCAGAGAAATGCAAATCTAAGCCACAAGGAGTTAACATTACACACAAGTCAGAATGGCTATTATAAATAAGTCAATTAACAACTGATTCTGGCAAGGCTTTGGAGAAAAGTGAGTGCTTATGCACTGTTAATGGGGATGCGAATTAGATCAGCCACTGTGGAAAGCAGTCTGGAGGTTTATCAAAGAGCTGAAAACAGAACTACCATTGAACCCAGTTATCCCATACTGGGTATATATCTGAAGGAAAATAAATTATTCTACCAAGAGGACACATGCAGTTGTGTGTTCATCTAAGCAGTATTCACAATAGCAAAGAAATGGTGTCAACCTAAGTGCCCATCAATGCTGCACTGGATAAAGAAAATGTGCTACATATACACCATGGAATATACACAGCCATGAAAAGCAATGAGATCATGACCTGTGAAGTAGTATGAATGCTGCTGGAGATAAATATCCTAAGCAAATTAATTCAGAAAAGCAAATAACGCATGTTCTCACTTGTAAGTGGGAGCTAAACCCTGAGTACTCATAGAAATAAAGATGGCAACAATCAGCGAGGCATGGTGGCTCACGCCTGTATTCTTATCACTTTGGAAGACTGAAGCAGGCGGTTGCCCTGAGGTCAGGAGTTTGAGATCAGGCTAGCCAACATAGCAACACCTCATCTTTACTAAAAATACAAAAATTAGCCAGGTGTGGTGGCAGGCACCTGTAATTCCAGCTACTCAGGAGGCGGAGGCAGGAGAATCACTTGAAATGGGACTTGGAGGTTGCAGTGAGCCAAGATCACGCCACTGCACTCCAGCCTGGGTGACAGAGTGAAACTCCATCTCAATAAATAAATAAATAAATAAATAAATAAAGCAACAATAGACACTGGTGACTATTAGAGGAGAGAGAGAGGGAGGGAGACAAGGATTGAAAAACTACCTATTGGATACTATGCTCAGTACCTGGATGATGGGAACAATTATACCTCGAATCTCAGCATCATGCAATATACCAAAGTAATAAACTTGCACATATACACCCTGAATCTAAAATAAAAATTGAAATAATAATAAATTGTCCAGGTACAGTATCTCATGCCTATGATCTCAGCACTTTGGAAGGCCAAGGCAGGAGGATCACTTGAAGCCAAGAGTTGAAAACATGTCTGGTGAATAAAGCAAGACACCTGTCTCTACAAAAATTATATAAAAAAATAGCTAGGCATGGTATTGTGCACCTGTAGTCCCAGCTACCTGGGAGGCTAAGACAAGAGGACTGCTTGAGCCCAGGAGTTCAAGGCTGCAGTGACTTATGATTACACCACTGCACTCCAGCCTGTGCAACAGAACGTGATCCCATGTCTTAAAAAGTAATAATAAATAAATAAATAAATGCACCTTCAGAGTGACAGTGTTTAACACATCTGACTCAATAAGCCAATACAAAAAGAAAAAAAAGAATAGATTGCTAACATAGAAATTATTTTTTGACCCTAATACAACTAATTTAAAAATCAATTTTTAAAAGATACAAAAGCTCACTTGGAAAGTCAAAATGAAACATATATGATGCATAAGTCAATTAAAAATAATACTGAATTTCAGAAATACTTAGAACTACATGATGTTGAATATATATTATCATTGGTTGCTTAAATTCTAGGGATGTAAAAACATGGGAGCCTTACACTCTAAAAGGAAAAAACAATGTTTAGTATAAAAAAGCTGAGTATCCAATAAGATAAAAGAATAAGAATGCAAAGCCAAGTTGAAGGAAATAAACTATAAAATAAGTTTAATCTCATGGGTGAAGATAACATTGCTAACTCATAAAGGATTTTTAAAGATTAATTGAATGAATTGTAATATTTAGATCAGTTCCTGGTTGTATGAAGTTCTCAGCAAATGTTTCCTAATATTAAATTAAATTAAAAGGAAACAAGCATTTTTAAAGTAAGCATTCCACACAGACCTTAATTTAACTGATATTACTATCTAGTGTAATGGAAGACTTGATGGAACAAACTTAAAAATGGGTGCTGGCATCTAAGACTGGTTAAATAATAAATGCAGCAAAAAAATGAAATAACTAGGGGAAACATAAGTATGAGGAGAGGAAGAAAAATGTGAATAATGTAGGAAGACTGATTGAGAAAACTTTAAACCAAGATTTGCTTTTGAAATTACACTTTTTTTGCTGGCTTTTAAAAATAATCCTACAATGTAAGCAATACTATCCCATTTTACAGCAGTGGAAAATAATACCGAACAGTGTGGTTTACTCAAGGTAAGGAACTTCAAAAGTAATAGAAGTATTGGAATTGAAACCACATGTTTTAACTCATGCTATCAGTCCTTCCAAAACCTCACAGTTTAAGAAAAACAAAAAATCTATGACTTAAAATTTGAACGATTTTGGAACTATCAGTAGAGATTAAGATATTTTCTCTAAAAACATGTCTTAGAAAGCTCATTCCATTGAAAACAAATGAGTAACTAAAATCAATGACATTTTAAGAACAATGACCATCCACAGATATTTAAAATAACATTTCCTACTAAAAGAAACCAAAGGCATTTGGAAACACGGCTTATTCCATGTCTTGCTGGTAATATAAAATTTATTGATATGGTATGGTAGACAACAAGCAACTATTGAAAAATAATTGCTTCTTGACAAAAGGACACTAGAAGTCCCACTGGCCAAAGATAGGATAACACAAACAACAAAAAGATTAATGCCTATAATTGACCATATTTAATATGTATGTTGATATGGTTTAGCTGTTTCCCCACCCAAATCTCATCTTCAATTATAGTAATCTCCATGTGTCAAGGGTGGTGCGGGTTGGAGATTATTGAATCGTGGGAGCAGATTCCCTTGTACTGTTCTTGTGATATTGAATAATCCTCATAAGATCTGATGGTTTTATAAATGGGAATTCCCCTGCACAAACTCTCTTGCCTGTAGCCATGTAAGAGGTGCCTTTGCTTCTTCTTTGCCTTCCGCCATGATTGTGAGGCCTCCCCAGCCATGTGGAACGGTGAGTCCATTAAACCTCTTTCCTTTATAAATTACCCAGTCTTGGGGGTGTCTTTATTAGCTGCGTGAGAACAGACTAATACATATGTGTAAATGTATATGCATGTATATGCATTATTTGCATGTGTTAATATGGCATAAAGTCATAATTACTAGAGCAAGTTATAGTTAGGCAGACTGAGTAAAATAAACAATTCAGGAAGTATTCTTGTTGTTCTTTATGATTAAACACCTCTATGTTTTTCATTTTTCACAGATAAATGTTTTCTTTTAGTCACTACCTGAGTGAAATTTGTACATGTACAATACATATGTACATATACTTCAAAATGACCTACTTGCTATTACTTTACTTTAGATTAATAATTCCTGAACTGTGACTTAATATTTTTGCTGGGTCATTGGCTTAAAAATCAATTAAGATTTTGTTTGAAAATCTAATTCCAAATCCTTTGTGGGATGAAACTTTCCTAGGAATCAACATTTTCTGTCAACTTTGATAATGATTGTTTTTTAATGAATGTTTGACAATTGAAAGGTTGTCATTAATTGTACAATGATGAAGAAAAGGGTTATTTTCCTAAAATGAATTTTAAAAATAGAATATTTCTTCATAATTTTTAATTCTCCATGTAACCCTGCTAGCTAAATTCAATTTTATTGTTTATTATCTAGAAGCCACATCTTTTGTTTTAACTGGTAACTGAAATTTTAAAAATTACTTTTCAAATGGAATGTTTTTCATATGCAATCATTTTGAAAGGTATTTTTTAAAAGAAAAATGAACATATAGAAACTTAATGAATCATATTTAATGTATACTAGTAAAAATGTTGTATTGACTTATCAAGACAGTAGATTATGAAACTATATAGGTAAACTAAGTTTATAAATGCATTATTTTATAAATGAATACAGGAATAACATAAACTAAATTGACAGTTTCTTTATTCCATAAATAAGTTGGCTTATGTCGGATACAGATAGATTTAATGCTCATTTTTTTGAAACTTAAGAAAGAAGAGATGTTTTAGATGGAAATTATTGGTAGATTAGAATTAAGATAAAAATATTTTATTTGCTGAAGTACTTGCCTCCATTCTGTGTTTTTTAAAAAACTGAAATATGTGTGTATGCATATTTATCTATCTATCCAGCTAGAAAAGTGTATTCCTATATAGCATGCTATTGAATGATGCTGGACTAATTCTTAAATGGAATCCACTACAGGAAAAGACAGCTAGCCAGACAGCTTGGAAAATATCTGCACGTCTATCACTCAGCTAGCCATTCAAATGAAAAATCCTCCTCGTGGCAGGTGAACAGCCTGGAGGTTGTACAGTTTGTCATAGTAGATAAAGGCTTTTTTTCATATTGAATTAATTTTTACACAGCAATAGCAAAAGATAGATTGAATATATCACATGAGCCCAGAGTATCATATATGTTTTAATGACTTAAAAAATTCTCTTGAGTATACTCACAATGTTGTTTTTGTTCTTCCCTCTGATGACATTTTATGTAGTGCATTTAATGAGAATATAATATTTACCAAAATTTCTAGTAAACATTATGAAAAAGGAACAGCCCATAGAAAAAGAAATCAAGCCTTAGATGGCAAACAGGATGACATATTAGTTCCTTGTGACACATTGAGGGCAAATATTACTAAAAAAGACCCAGTTACAAAGCTGCACAGTCTATTCTCCCATCCTTATTCTATTCCATAAAGGGAATTATTCTCCAGGGACATCTACTGAAAGCATGTAAAAAAGAAAATGAGGTTAGTTTTATTAATTTACTTTCTTCACAACTGAATAGCCATAGCTTTATTCTCTCATTCCCCTTGGCACTACTTTGTTCTTTTCTTTAATAACAGTAAATGTGAAAAATCAGGATTTGTTTTATTTGGCTTCATTTCACTGGGAGTTCTTCAGGGAGAAGAGATTTGAAACTATTCACCACAATGTATAGGATATCTGGATTCATTTTACTGATGATGCGGTATCATTGTAAATGACTCACTTTGGAATGTACGGCTTTATTAGAGCATTAAGTCTTGAACTCCTGACTCCCTTTGAGTGGTGCTGGCAATTGCTTAGGAAGAATTGCTGAGATCTCTAAGTGTATTCCTTTTTACAATGTTCTGTTGTCAGTGAAAATAGAGCTTGTTGGCAAATATAGTTAGGGCCATGAAAAGTAGAGCAATTGGGATAAGCATTCCATCATACACTCTATCATACACAAATATAAGTGCTTTTTTTTTCTACAAAGAAGCAAATTCACATGATAACCAGAATATCTAGATGAAAGTCTTCAGCCTTCCTCCAATGTAAGTGCTAAGAATGTAATAATAATTAAATTGGTCAAAATATGTATTCAGATGTCATTATGGTGCAATATGAGAGACTTTTATATAATGAACAAGAAAGCACAAGTGAGGTATACACATACAGGTGTATACACGTGTGTCTATACACATACAGGTGTATACACGTGTCTATACACATACAGGTGTATACATGTGTCTATACACATATATATATAGTGGTGAAAGAAAGAAAAGTCACAATAAGTGTTGAGACAAACTTTATACTGAGAATTGGTGAGTTTTTTATGAAACAACTTTTAAGTGGAGAATTAAAGTTTAGAATAAGTCATCCTTGCAGAATGAAGTAAAGTCTTTTTATGCAAAAGTGGCAACATACATAAAATCCCTGAATTTTAAAACCTACTACCACAGAATTTCAGAAATGTTCAGTAGAGTATGAGAGTAATATCACACATCTACATTTTTACTCACCCATATCTATCAATTACTTTCTAAAGGCTAGGCACTTTGGTAGGCATGAAAAATGTATTAACTAAAGGCTAAAAACTTGTACTTATGGGGCTCCTACCATAGCAGAAAACAGAATAGAAGAATAAACAAAGGAGTAATTAGTGAGTTATTAAAGTAAAACAAAGTCCTTAAATTTGTTGCTTCTCAGTTTGCTCAACAATAAATGAAGCATTAACATTATTTTGTGAAGTTAAGAAATCTACAATCAGGATAAAGGTATGGTCATTTAAAAAATTGTATGACACATTACTTCATGTTTTTAATTTTAATATTCCTGCGGAAACTCTTATAGTTTCTTATAAACTCCTATATAAAATGCAAATAGACACTAAAAATTGGTTTGCTATCTTTTTGTAAAATCAGAATTTAAATTCAGCATTTTGAATTTTGAATAAGAACATAGTTCCTTTTGATAGTTTTCTACTATGAAAGCACAGATTACTGCTCACAGTGTTTGTAGACATTGAAAATAAATGTATTCTTAAGAGAAACAAACATAATATCTTTAAAAAATAATGATTTATTACAGATAAGGCTAAAGTTCTCTTTTTCTCCAAACTAGTTATCTACTACTTGCCCAGTTATTAACCATTTGAACACTCTGCCAGATGTTTTTTATGCATATATATTTGTAAACATATGCTTATAAAATACAGAGAATGTGTAGTGATATTTTATATTTGTAATGTATATTCACCTTACTTTGAATACATTTACAGCAATATGTTATGGTTGTCATATGACGTCCTTACAATTTTCTATACATAATGCTGTTATTCAATTAAAATACATTAGTCATGCAAAGAAAAGAGCAACACAAAATGTAAAATAAGGAAAGAAAAAGACAGTAGAAAAAGATCCATAATAATACAGATATTAGAATGAGCTGATAAGGTTTTTAAAATAACTGTTGCTAATGTTAAGTGTTACAGAAAGTAGATGAAAAGGTGAACAATTTCACTAGAGAATTAGGCTTCAGAAATTGTGATTCTAGATTACAAAATATAAAATCTAAAATTAAAAATTTGCTAGATACCTTTATCATTACATAGTGACCATCTTTGTCTTTCATAGTTTTTGTCTTGACATTTATTTTGTCTAAGTATAGCAACTCCCACTCTTTTTCCTTTCCCTATGTCTATATCAAAATATTTCATGTTCCCCATAAATATATACACCTACTATGTACCCAAAAAATTAAAAGAAAAAAACTTTAAAAAATATAAAAACAAGAATTTGTTAGATGAAATTAAAAGTAGATAAAATATAATCGAAGGCAAGCGCATAAAACTGCAAAATGGTCACGATAAACTTCCAAAACAATATACTGAGAAGACAAAATATGATTAAAAACATTGGAAACAGCAATCGAGACACAAGAGTAATTGTAGGTTCAATATTCACGTAATTGTGTTCCACAAGGAGAGAGGGAAAATAATGGAAAAAAATCATATTTTAAAAATGGCATTTGTTTTCTAAACATATGAAATACATGAATTCAGGTTCAAAAAGCTCGCCAAACTTCAAACAGAATGTGCTGAGTCATGAAAAGTAGAATTAAAGGAGAAATCTTAAAAATAGAGAGGAAAATAAATAACTGAGCAATGGTAAGAATAAAAGCCAACTTATCAACAAAAGTATGTAATTTTGGATGCCAATTGATTGAATTACTTAAAGTTCCAAATGTTAGCCTACTGGAATTTCATACCTAGCAAAAATGTCTCCCATAAGAGATAAATAAGTTTTCTACTAAATACAACAGAAGTTGTCACCAGAAGAACTTTACCTGAAAGAAAGACTAGCGAAAATATATTCAGAATGAAACATGGTTATAGAAAGGAATAAAGAACAACGAAAAAGGTAAACCAGTGCATAAAGTTAATGGGCACTGTTTGAATATTGACTTTTAAAACAGTGATAGTAATATATCGTGAGGTCTAAAATATATGTGGAAATTGAAATCATTGTAAAAATTACAACCAGGAAAATTATGTTATCATGTTTTAATATTCCAGCATTATTGAAAGGTAGTAAAGGTATAATTTGGGTTAAATTGTATTACTTTAAAAATAAACTCTACAATCTATTGGAGAACTAATAAAATAATAGAAAATGAATGTGTAAGTACATTTCAACCACAATGCAATATACTACACACTCAAAAGAATGACTAAATGAAAAAGACAAAAAATGCCAAGACAATAAGGATGTTAAGGACTTTCTTCACTCTTACAATCCACCAGTTTGGAAAAATTCTTTGGCAAGAGATCTACTAAAGCTGAACATAGGCAGGCATACCCTATGAACCAAAATTTATACTCCTAGGAATACAGCCAGGAAATACACATACATTTATGCATCATAAACTAGTCACAATAGTCAAACACTGGGCTTGGACATTGAGATATACTTATAAAATGGACTACTAAACAATGGACATAATAAGGTGCAATTGTTCACAACAAGGATGACTCTTACATTTATTTCATCAAAGGAAGCCAGAAAAATTTTCATGTATTTTATAATTCTGTCACGTAAAGTTTTAAGATTAGCATGACCAGTTTATTATTTTGAAAGTCAGTATACTGCTAGCGTTTATTTAGAGTGAAGGCCTGCTGGCAGTAGCTTGCTAGGTATCTGATGGATGTTCAGACATCTAATGGGGTTCTGGTGACATTCTTTTATGTTCACTTGTTGAAAAGTTATTGAGCTTTTCTGTATGTATAATGTAGTTTACTGATATTGACAATTCTAAAGAAAGAATTTTTACACTCTTTACATTTTGTGTTTATCAAGGAAAAACTGTTTCCATCTGTTTCGGGTTACTTAGAATTATTTGTAGTCATTTTGATTATTGTAAGTCATGAATATCTGTTAAAATGTAATAAATGTCTTCTCACCTAATACAGAGGTTATATGGATTTTCTTTTTTGTTTCATAATATAGTAAAAAAATCATAGTTTTTAACATGTAAAACCTTTTTTGAATGCTTGAAAACACTCAAATTTATTTTGATAGGCTACTTTGTTTGATTTGCTCATATTTGATAATTTTTTATGTTCCTATCCTTTCCTCATCATTTTGGTAACTGAATTTACACTGAAAACACAGTACAAATAGTGCTTCTTCCTGTTACTATTTTTTTCTCCGGAATATATTGTATAAAAAGGAATTATCACTTCATTGAAGCATTGGTAGAATTCACATTGTAAACCTTTTGACTCTGTTTCTTTTTTGTGAGTGTAGTTTTCATTACTATTTCAATGTATTGTACTATAAATGGTCATTGAACCTTATGTTCTCTTCACCCAGGCCAATATTTGGTTCTAAATATTCTGTAAATTTAAATTTAATTTTTTTGATATAAATCATTTTAAAAGTGTGTTTGTGACTATCTAAATGTTTCAGTTAGTTTTAGTGCTAGCTTTATATTGCTGATATCTAATTTTATTAAATTTGTGTTATCGACTATGCTGTTAACTTTCTAAAATGTGTCCAGATTGTTTTTGTTGAGCAATGTCACTTTTACTGGTCCATATTTGAAAAAAGATGTGTATTTTCTTTGCTGAGTGGCATGTATACATTTTACCAAGGGTCTGTTGTGTCTAAACTGAAATTATCTTTATTTCACCATTTTCTTGAATTATAAATTAGCAGGGTACAAAATGTTGGTTTGAGGATTATTTTTGTCAGAATTTTTCATTACCTGACTTCTGTGTCTTTAACTAAGGTGTCTTAGAGTCAAATTGTGTCTATGAGGTCAAGGTGCCTAGAAGGTCAAATTATTTTCTTATGCCAGTTATCTATCTTTAAATTCTAATATTTTTAAAAGACATTTTCTAGGTATTTGGTGATCTGACATTTTATTACAATATGTATGGGTGATATCTTTTTATATCTTTCTGATATTCACTGTGGTTTCCAAATAGGTCATTTGAGTGTTTAAAGAATTCCCAAAGTGCTAAGCCACTATATTTTCGAACATTGCCTTTCTTCTACTGTTTTTATTTTCTCTTCTTATGAAATTCATTCCTGTTATATATATATTATATCTTCTCATTCTGCCATCTACACCTGTTAAATTTCTTTTGCTATTTTCTTTAAGTTGTCTTTCAGTTACATTTGAAAATAATTTCTTTAAATATATCGTCTAGTTTACTAGTTATCTTGTCATCTATTTTATTTATCTGGTCAGTTTTATTTCAGTAATCACAATTTTTGTTTCGGAAAATCCTTTTTCTCCCCTCCAACTATTCCTGGTTCTTGTCCTTTTTGATACCCATTTGATCCTTATTTTTATATGTAATGCCTTACATTTTTATTCATTTTTATTCTTGCTCATTTTATATTCCGGCTTTAACCTAACCATTCCAGTATCCCAGTATCTAAGGTTATCAAGCCTATGATAGTACCGCTTTTTGTTTCTTTGAATTCTATTTATGTTGACTCTATCCCTTATCTATTTAGTTTTCTTTAAAAAATTATTAATTTGTATTTGGGTTAACTTCTCAAGTGGAACATTTTAGAGATTCCTTGTTTTACCTCTAGTTTATTGGCTTGAGTTTCCTAGGTCACAGGTGAGGATTTTTTCACTCACACTTTTCATGAGAAGGAGATTGGCAATTTCATTTGTTTTTAAAGATTTTGTTTTATAATATTTGTGATTGCCATAATATTTTCATGAGTGAGGTCTCTTTTTTAGTTTGAGTCCTTATTATTTACACATTTCTCACTTGTTCATTAAACAGTCATATAAATATTCAAAAGTCTATGATGCTCAACAGATGCTGAGAAACACATTAATTTATTAGATATTTGTTGAGTTCTTAATATTAGTGAACTTCTCATTGTTTTTGGTGATGAAATTGTCGTGATTGACAATACAGTCACGGTCTCAGTTTTAATCATCTTAGAAACTGAAATACACAGTAAACAAATAAAGATTATCTAACATAATTGTAATAGCACAAAAGAGAAATACAAGGGTACAACAATAGAGCAACTTGACCAAGGATGGGGAGGTGTCTGATTAGATCATATTTTCTTAGTGAAAAGAAAATTGAGATCGAATTCAGGAAGTAAAAGAAGCAGTCAAGGCAGAGAACAAAGCATTTCTACGTTTAGAAAACAGAAAGAGGGTTATTGTGGATGTAATGCTAGAAATGAACAACTATAGACTGAGTGAGGTAGAGAAGGGCAAGATGAAACACAGGTGGCAACCAGAGGCCTTGTGGACTGCATTAAAAATTTGCACTTTATTTTGAGTTGAATAAGTAAAAATTGATGTGTTTACCTAGGGAATTTAACATAGTTATATTTCTAATATATATCTTACAATATAAAAATACATATATGTACATACCATTTTATGTATAATTTATAACATACATATATCTGTATTTATATGTATGTATACATATAAACATACATATATAAATGTAGATAAATGTTAATGGAATAAATTCAACATTATCTCTAACTTCAAGTGACTCCCTGATATGGTTTGGCTGTGTCCCCACCCAAAAATCTCACCTTAAGTTGTAATCCCCATAATGCCCACATATCATGGGAGAAACCAGGTGGAAGTAACTGAATCATGACGGCAGTTTCCCCCCATGCTGTTGTCATGGTAATGAGTGAGTTCTCAGGATATCTGATAGTTTTTTAAGTGTTTGGTAGTTCCTTCTGAGTTCATTTTCCTTCCTGCTGCATTGTGAAGAAGGTGCCTCGCTTCCCCTTCACCTTCTGCCATGATGGTAAGTTCCCTGAGGCCTCCCCAGCCCTGCTGAACGGTGAGTCAATTAAACTTCTCTCCTTTATAAATTACCCAGTTTTGAGAAGTTCTTTATAGCAATGTAACAATGGACTAATACACTCCTTTGTGAAGTAAATGAAATAAACAGTGGGTGTTTCTGGAGATGCAAGTACCAGAATAAAATATTAAAAGTGTATTGTGAGATTTTGTGTGTGCATGAGTGTGTAGGTATGAATGCATTTTCAGTGGAATAAGAAAAAGTGAAAAAAGGGCAGAGAGTATACATGTCAGCTGCTAATCTTCTTGCTAAAAAAGAACAATATTGAGTAAAACTTTGTCTTCAATAATGCAAGGCTTAAATGATTCAACATCAAAACTCATTATTGCACTTGTTAACAGAAATTCAATCAATTTTCTGACTATTTTGTAATATCCAGATATTTTGTTATAGTGCATGAGACAGTTGGATGCTTTGATACCTTTTTCTATTTATGCTTTATATTTATTCCTTTTGGTTATGATACGAAGCTTGTTTAGGGGTAATAGTTTTCTCTGGTATTTTGACATACAGATATGGACTCACTTTTTTTCCCGTGAAAATGAAAATCAAAATACGATTCCAACTTTTGATATTTACAAATTTTTTCCAACCTTACCTTTCCCTTCTATGTTCCTCTTTCTTACCTTGAAAATTAAATCAGACCTTAATTTTATAAAACTTCTGAAAATTAATGTATATATGATACAGACCAAGTTATGTAACCAATTAACAACTTGGTTATCTATAAAATAATAATATCAACTACTTCACAGTGTTGTGTTAAGTAATAATACCACCATCTTTTTTTCCATTTCTTTTATTTTGACATTTATCAAAACTGCCATATTCTTTTCTGAAAGGTGGCAAATACTCATCAGAACAGCACTTTCATCCATTTGCAGTGACAAATTCTTGTAAACAACTTTTTTTATTTATCTTAAGTAGTTTTCTAAGAGTTTAAATAATATTAATAAAAACAGATTAGTATAAAGTATACTTTGTAAATTTTGAAAACTGGTTGAATTCTAGCCTTTTTAAGCAATGAATAAATGAAAGGGATAATAGAAATCAGCTGAGTCCAAGCTGAATTAATATGATAGAGCTACTTGCTATCCCCAGCTATATGTATTTCAATTATATAAAATTAATTATTTTCAAAAATTATCCTGTAAATGATTGTTTTTGAATTTAGCATAAAATGATTGTTCTCTTAAATTTTCACAATAATGCAATCAAATTATATTAACCATATTCTACAGTTCTGTCTTTTAATATCGTAAGTTTTAATATTGTATTCACAAAAAAAGCTTTATTTGGAGAGTAATTATGAACATTTATCAAAATCAATTTTTGACTTGAGTCAGAATTGGCCTATTATTAATGCATAATAATAATGAATAATCTAAGGAGATTTCATTTCAAATGTCCTTATTAAGAATCTAGATAATACTCCCTTAGTGAATTTTAACATTTCTAGATGCATACAAAATAAAGCACTATATATTTTCATCTCTGTCCAGGATGCTAGTTAAGACACTGTTGGCTTTGTTATACATGAAAATTAAAAAAGAGTCACAAAACTAGCTATTTTTGTTTTTCATTAAATAACTTTTGGTGAAATGAAAAGTCTTGACCAAACAATTTCCTTAATAAAGGATTTTTGAAAGACATTTTACTTTGATTTGAGTACCTTATTGGCAAGGTTATGTATTTAAGATAATTTTCATATAGGCATCATCTTTCCAGCAATCTCTGTGGTTACAGAATTAGTTCTCTCTTTTCTTATAGAATCCTCCATGGGTGAACCTCAGACTCAATTAACCAACTATGAAACTCAAAAACACTACTAAGTATAAGTTGAATTATTATAATTACTTTTGCTTCTTATACTTTATTTTAAGAAGTTCACTGTAGGTCAAAATTCATAAGAAGTACTTTCTGATTATTTCTAAGAATATGGTTTTCTTTATGACATGTATTCCTTGTATAATAAAAATGTACGTAAGTTTGCCAGCCATGAGTGCAAATGAAGTCATAATAGTGTATAGATGCAAAATTTTGATTCTGACCTCCTAATTGTTACGAAGGGACCCAGACAAAGGCCATTTTCCATATGACATGAGTGGGAAATGGATCTTACCACCTGGCCACTATATTGTAGCTGTTAGATATCCATAATTCCCTGCCAGGTGTGAGACTTGCTGCTGGTGCTGTAGTGAGATTCCTCAATGAGACTGATATACCATACATGGCTATCAAAGCTAAAAATCATTTGCTGTATCATTATAATACTATTAGGTAATGCTTTTTCAGCAAGGAAATTTTAGACTAACCTTATCACTTAGAACATTCAGAAAAACTTGACATAATTAAAAAAAAAAAAACATGCCTTCCAGAACTAGCAAGGCAAGAAAGATATGTGGGACTAACCTCTAATCTGGTTGAGAAACAATGTTCAGAGAGGTGAGTCAACATTTAGCAATATGTTCCTCTAGATGAATTTGCCATTTTTACAAGCAGTAGCTAAAAGACTGTGGACCTGAGCAGAGATGTAGGCAGGTTCACAGAGCAAAAAGGATAAAAATTAGAGATCAGAGACTTCCCAAAACTTCTGTCTATACTTGGAAATGCTACACTCTAGCACTAATAATGAATGCAATACAAACTAACACTCACAGAGACTAAAACCCAGTTTCAAATTTTATCAATTTTCTATTGACTAAATGTAATCTAGGATTGCAAGGGTCATTAGATTCATCACTAGACAGAAACCTAAATTTCTTCTGGAGTAAGATAACATTATTCACCATCAAATTACCTGTATTTTTTTTCTAATGTAATGTCTTGTACTCTATCAAAAACAACCAGGCAAAATAAGAAAACATGATGAATGAAAAACAAAAGAGCAGAAAATTATGAATATACACACAGAATTTCAATATAATGGAATTATCTTGTAAGAGCTTTAAAATATTTGTGATTAAATAAATTCAAAAAATTAAAAACAGAACATTTCAGCACAGAAGAAAACCTATGAATGGAATCAAATTAAATTTCAGCCTATAAAAATTCAAAAACATGAATTAATTATTAAATGTCTAGACAAATAGCAGACTATAAACACATGCAAAAAGGATTTTTAAATATAAAACTAGGTGAGAAGAAAATATTATACTGCAAACAAAAGAATTGAAAGTAAAGAAAATAATGAGATACCACATATATTTTGAGAATGAAGAACATTCTCAGGAACCAAATTATAAATAATACGAAACCTATCAAGATTACTCCAAAGGGAAAGGCAATGACTGTTGGAGGAGGCTGGGAGAGATGCCAGAGTACAATGCAACTCTGACCCCAAATGAAGGAAAGAATAAAGGAAAGATAGCTAAGAGGGAGCATCTTAGCCTACACTGCTTAGGCTGCATCTAAGGACAATTTAGCAAGACGACAATCCTCAAGTCAAAGTCCACTACCGAAGAAATTCTTTATCCCTCAGTCATTAGCCTGTGCCAGTAAGTTCTATCATGATCAGTTATTGACTAGAAGCAGCTCATGGGAAGTGTGATCTTGTGCAAAAACACGAATCAATTTCAGAGTTAAACCATATGATTTGCCAATCCAAATACTGGCTATATACCCCCCAAAAAACGATGTCAGTGTCTTGAAGAGATAGCTGCCTGCCCATGTTCATTGCAGCAACAATTCACAGCAGACAAGATATGAAATCAACCTAGGTGTTCATCAATGGATAATGTGGTATGATATATATATATATGATATATATTATATAATATGTATAATATGATACAATAATATATAATATATATCCTATGCAACATGTTACTGAAAGTCTTAGCCAGAGCAATCAGGTAAGAGGACAAAAATAAAAGGAATCCAAATTGGAGAAAAGAAAGTTGTCCCTCTTTACAGATGACATAATTTTACTTTAGAAAAACCTAAGTACTTTACCAAAAACTCTTCGATTTGATAAACACATTTAGTAAAGTTGCGGAATACAAAGAACATATGGTAACTATACTTAAGAACAATGTATTGTATACTTGAACATTGCTAAGAGCAGATTTTAAGTTTCCTCATCACAAAAAAAACAATAATGAGTTTGTGAGGTTTCAATGTATATATATATCAAATATGTCCAAAAAGACCTGGAAATATGTACATGCAAGTGTGTCATACATATGTATGACAAGAGTGTCAAAGCACTATCTAAAAAACTTCACAATGTATACATATATCAAAACATGTTGTACATCATAAATACAATTTTTATTTGTCATATAAAAATTAAATACATAGGCCTGGCGTGGTGGCTTACACCTGTAATCCCAGCACTTTGGGAGGCCCAGGCAGGTGGATCACGAGGTTGGGAGTTCAACACCAGCCTGGCCAACATGATGAAACCCCAATCTCTACTAAAAATACAAAAATTAGCCAGCCGTGGTGATGCACACCCGTAATCCCAGCTACTCGGGAGGCTGAGGCTGGAGAATCACTTGAATCCGGGAGACGGAGTTTGCAGTGACCTGAGATCATGCCACTGCACTTCAGCCTGGGACTGAGCAAGACTCCATCTCAAAAACAACAACAACAACAACAAAAAATAAATACATGCAATAAAATAAGAATTTGGGTTACTATTTAACAATAAGAATAGTTTACTATAGGTCAAGTACTATACAATGCTTTTGAAATTATTTTAATAATTTTAAAAACCTGAGTTAAGCAGCTGGGGTGGTCAATTAATTAGGTTCCCTTTAACTGGAGATCTGATTATTACATTCTGATGGTACATGATTAGGAGTGAAAATGCTGGGCTCTGGGCTCTGAAGTAGCCATGTGTTAATTTTTTAAGAAAATGCTAAACTGTGTTTCAAAGTGATGGTTATATTTCACATTATCACCCACAGAATATGAGAGTTCTAGTTCATTCATATCTCTGCCAATATATTTTTTTGACATTTCTTTTTTTTTCTTTTTTTTTTAATTTTGTTATTCTTATACTTTAAGTTTTAGGGTACATATGCACAATGTGCAGGCTTGTTACATATATACACATGTGCCATGTTGGTATGCTGCACCCATTAATTCGTCATAATGCTATCCCTTCCCTCTCCCCTCACCCTGCAACAGTCCCCGGAGTGTGATGTTCCCCTTCCTGTGTCCATGTGTTCTCATTGTTCAATTCCCACCTATGAGTGAGAACATGCACTGTTTGGTTTTTTGTTCTTGAGATAGTTTGCTGAGAATGATCATTTCCAGTTTCATCCATGTCCCTACAAAGGACATGAACTCATTATTTTTTATGGCTGCATAGTATTCCATGGTGTATATGTGCCACATTTTCTTAATCCAATCTATCATTGTTGGACATTTGGGTTGGTTCCAAGTCTTTGCTATTGTGAATAGTGATGCAGTAAGCATATGGGTGCATGTGTCTTTATAGCAGCAGGATTTATAATCCTTTGGGTATATACCCAGTAATGGGATGGCTGGGTCAAATGGTATTTCTAGTTCTAGATCCCTGAGGAATCACCACACTGACTTCCACAATGGTTGAACTAGTTTACAGTCCCACCAACAGTGTAAAAGTGTTCCTATTTCTCCACATCCTCTCCAGCACCTGTTTTCTGACTTTTTAAGGATCGCCATTCTAACTGGTGTGAGATGGCATCTCATTGTGGTTTTGATTTGCATTTCTCTGATGCTCTGCCAATATTTTGTATGGTCATTCTTTTTCGTTATAGTCAATTCAATAGATGTATAATGGTATCTCATTGAATATTAAGTTACCAGTGATGCCAAGCATATTTTCATATGCTTATTTGCCATTCATAAATGTTTTTGATGAAGTGTCTTTCCAAATATTTTTGGGTTATTTTTCTTCTTATTATTAAGTTGTAAGTATTCTTTTCTTAAATTTATTTTTATTTATTATTGTCATTATTTTTTTTTTGAGACGTAGTCTCTCTCTGTCTCCCAGGCTGGATTGCAGTGGCGGGACTTCGGCTCACTGCAAGCTCTGCTTCCCGGGTTCACGCCATTCTTCTGCCTCAGCCTCCTGAGTAGCTGGGACTACAGGCACGTGCCACCACACCCGGCTAATTTTTTGTATTTTTAGTAGAGATGGGGCTTAACCGTGTTAGCCAGGATGGTCTTGCTCTCCTGATCTCGTGATCCGCCCGCCTCAGCCTCCCAAAGTGCTGGGATTACAGGCGTGAGTCACCGTGCCCGGCCCTTAAGTATTCTTTTATGTGTATACTGGATGCAAGTTCTTCATCAAATATGAAACTTTAAGAGTTTTTCCCAGCCTGGGCTTCTCTGTTAGTTTTCTTATTAACATCTTTGGAAGAACAATTTATTTTTTATTTCTTTAAACTTGAAGAAGTTCAATTAATGTTTTTTTCCCTTGTATAGATTATGTTTTTGTTGTTATATCTTAAAAAGTATCTGTCTAAACAAAGGTCATGAAGATTTTGCGCTTTGTTTTCTTCTAGAAATTTTATGGACATAGCTTTTCAGTGAAGTCTGTGATCCATTTTGAGCTAAACTTTTGTATATGTGTAGTAAGGGTTTAAGTTCATTTACTTGGAGGTAGATATCCTGTCCCATATGGGTGCTGGGACTAAGGTCACCAAGACTAACATTTTTGTACGAAATTTCCCTTGCAACTTTGTTGAAAATCAACTCAGCAGACATGTATAGATGTTTCTAGATCCCATGCTTTTGCTTTAATTTACTTGTCTGTCATGACATCGATACCACACTATTTAAATTGATGTTGCTTTATAAGTATTGATATCACGAAGGGCAAGCCCACAAACTTTGTTCTTTGTTAAATTTTTATGGCTATCCTAAGTTCTTTTAATTATTATGTGAGTTTTAGAATCAGGTTATCAATTTCTCTGAAATTTCCTGTTGGAGTTTTGAGAGAGCTGGTATTAAATTGATAGGTCAATTTGTGGAGAATTAGCATGTGTGCAACATTGAGTCTTCCCATTTATGGATATGGAATTATCTCAATTATTCACATCTTATTAAATCTCTCTCAGGAATATTTTGTACTTTTCAGCTTACAGGCTGGTTTGGTTAAATATATTCCCTTGTATTTTATTTTACTTGATGCTATTATAAATCAAATTGGTTCCCTAATTTAATGCTCAATTGATTTTTGCTTATATTTGTGTGTGTGTGTGTGTGTGTGTGTGTGTGTATTATAAATAGGTTAAAGATAGTCCCTGTATATTGATCTCTATGCTGTTAACTTCTTTACAGCAGGCTGGGCCTGTTAGCTCAAAAGTCCACAGACACTAAACAAAATACACATACAATTGCTTTAAATATAGCCCAAATAAGCATACTTTTAGTCATTTAGAGCTAGTCTGCTTTGCATACCATGCAAAACTGTACCCAACATATGCTAGCCATTCATCAAACACACCCTCAGTCTAAATAAGGCACCAACTCACTGCTCCCTTTCTGGTTTCTCTAACCCAAGGATTTTCCATTGTGCTGCTGAGCAACATCACCCAGACACACAAGCTCCCTCTCCAATTTCCCTTTCCCCTGGGAGTTCCCTTACCCTCCTACCTTTCTGGGTGACAACTTCATAAGACTGTCTTTGGACAGTGCTTTGACAAGTTGTATAAGAGGGTATTTTTCCGTAGAAGGAGACCATCCAAAAAAAGCTCATTGTGGGCAATTGTCACCTTGTCATCTGGACAGAAATGTTATATATAAATTGATGTTTAAATATCAATCTTGCATCCCATCATCTTACTAAATTTAAATAGTTCAAGTAGTGTGTGTGTGTGCAAATGTGTTGTGCTTATTCCTTATGATTTTTTACATGAAGAACCATGTTACCTGCTATTAAAGACAGTTTTACTTCTTCCTTTCTAATCTGTGTGCCTTTCATTTCTTTTTCTTGCCTCATTCAACTAGCTACAGCCTTCAGTAAAATTTTCATAGTTAAGCTTGCTTTCTCTTTTTCAGTTTATTCTGTGAGACCTCACCCTCTGTGGTCATAGGTGCAAACTGGGGATAAAGCACTACTGCAAGAGTGGTGCACAGTGATGTATGGACTCTGGGCTAGCTGCTCACAGAGATTACGTATAGCCTCTTATTTCAAGTGGCTTGGGCTATATTATACCACATACTAGTGCATAAAGCAGAATCCATCATAAAATTAAACAGAACTTTGATAACAAAATATATTTAGAACACTCTATTTTTTAAATTAAAAAAAACACTTTTAAATAAGCCATGGATCAAATAAGAAATGGCTGTGGCAATTACAAACCAATAATCAAGAGCCAAATAACCCATTAGCAATAATTTGTAGAAGATTTTAGCAGAATCTGTAAAAAAGATACCCTGATGACCACTGGAATTCCTGATCCTTCTAACTTAAGGAGATAACAAAAATATTGTAAATGAAATCTAAGAGGTTGTTTTGGGTATATATCATTGTCTACTGTCATGCATAAGTTGTAATCGTATCTTGTTATTACAGACTTTATCACTGTATTTCAGCATTGTACAAATTTTCAGGTCTTCTCTGTGTAAACTTTGTAATAATCTCATGTGACTGAATTATTCTTTTTGTTATTCTCATACCAATAAGAAGTTGAATTTAAAGAACTTAAGAACTATGACCATATTGACCTTTTACTAGGTCCATGTCAAATGTAAGAATATTTACATAAAGTGAAATAGAAGGCTGCGTTTACATTTTAAGACATATGAAGATTTTACTTTTTTTTTTGAGATGCAATCTTGCTTGTCACTCAGGCTGGAGTGCAGTGGCACTTTCATAGATCATCGCAGCTTCTCATTCCTGGGCTCCAGCATCACCCTCCCAAGTAGCTGGAACTACAGTCCTGTGCCACCCTGCCTGGCTAATCTTTTAATTTCTTTGGAGAGATCGGGTCTCACTATGTTCTCCAGGCTGGTCTTAGATTCCTGTCCTCAAGTGATCCTCCCACCTGGGCCTTCCAAAGTGCTAGGTTTACAGGTGTGAGCCATCGTGCCTGGAAGATTTTATTTATTTTAAAAAGCCAAGCTACTGTCAACTTGGAAGAAGACAACTAATCAAAATCAAATCAATCATGATGATGGAGATTGTCTATGAACTTAAAAACAGCTTGCTCTAAAAGATTCATTATTATTTTTAACATTTCAATTACAATTATTTTCTATTTCACTTACAATTCTAACTTGTATAATTTAACTCTTCCGATTGTGTTTTCACTGAAGAAATGATTAAATTTTTTCAAAGGTAGCATCTTTAAGAACTTACTAACATTTTTATTTTTTTATTTTTTTATTTTTATTTATTTATTTTTGAGACGGAGTCTCTCTCTGTCACCCAGGCTGGAGTGCAGCGGCGTGATCTCAGCTCACTGCAAGCTCCGCCTCCCGGGTTCACGCCATTCTCCTGCCTCAGCCTCCCGAGTAGCTGGGGCTACAGGCACCCGCCACCACGCCCGGCTAATTTTTTGTCTTTTTAGTAGAGGCGGGGTTTCACTGTGTTAGCCAGGATGGTCTCGATCGCCTGACCTCATGATCCGCCCGCCTCTGCCTCCCAAAGTGCTGGGATTACAGGCGTGAGCCACCGCGCCCGGCCTACATTTTTATTTTCTTAAGCAAGTCACATAGATTTTCAAGTTGGTACATTTGATGCTAGGAGAGTTTCTAATTATGATCTTTAACATCAAATTTCATCAGTCTAGAATATAAATATATAAAATTTTCCATAAAACATAAAGTGGATTTAATTGTCATGTATAACAATATTAGGTAAAAGGATTGCTGTTCAAATGATAATTTTTTTAATATGACAGAAGTCTATGCATCACCTTCAATTCAATTTTGAATTGAATCATTGATAAATTCTTTTTATTTTTTATAGTTTTCTAATAATGCCATATTATACCAAATAGTAAAAATATTAATCTCATATCTTGAGGAAATTTCATTTTCCCTAAGTTTAATGTAAGTATTTGTCACAGTAAAGAAAAACAATTTAAAAAACTAAATCCATTGTTTACTCATTTATAAAACTGGAACAAGGTAGAAATAAGATGAGAAAATAGAATAGAGATATTTTTTCAAAACATGTTGAAAATCTCTTACAGGGCAAAGCTTCCTGTTAGGCATTCTTTTACTTTTTAACATCTTTCTAGCATCTAATAATCACATATAGTCACTTCTATGAGTTATAGTTCAAGTATCTGCTCCCAAAACTTTCTAACACTAATCCAGCTAAGTGAATGCACTCAGCATGAACGAGATTATTAAAAATGTGAAAATATAGCAATACTTCTCAGTAAAAAATGCAACCCCAAATCATTACATTGTCAGAAAGGAAAAATTGAAGAATTATTGAGAAACTATTCAAACTACAGATCCTTTAAAAATGTTCTCTCATTTTAATTTGTATTGTATACCCATAGTATGGCACTCAAAGAAAAAGTGATAGCTATCAGTTTAATAGCACAGTGGATTAAAATGCAACCTGTTTATGAAATTGCCATGAAATTGAATTGAAGCATACGCAGAACTAAACAGATTGCTTGGAAACTATTCAAGTACAAATCTGTTCTTTTTTCAGACCTGCTGAAATCTAAGCTGATTTTAAGAAACTGGTTTCAGATATTTGCTCTGCCATTTAAAGCAAATCACCTTGAATGTTGCAAGAGTGTTTAGGGAATATTTATGAAAGACCCTTGCCCATTGACAAAGGACAGCGTATTAAATTTTCATGCTAAATAGTAGCCTTAAAAATGCTATTAAAGATAAGCATCTTTTGAAAGAAAATAAATGCCACTTTTTCAGTTGATAAATTTTTATGCTACTTTTTATTGCGAGGAAACAGATTCAGTACATATTTAAAAGTATATAACTTTCATCTTCATTCTGATTTACTGGCATATACTTCTATTTACACTTTCGTTTCGCTTAATTCCTTCCTTTTTGCTCCACTCATTGTAGCTGAAATCACATGTCCTATTGTTTCAAATCCAGTTACTTACTTAAAGAATGCAATAAGGTTAAAATCTGTAAACACTGTGCTCATATTTGCAAAGAAAATACAGTATTTCTTATTTTAATTAATGCAATCATCCCAAAACATTGCTCTATCATGTTAATATTATCTTCTTTTAATTTAACAATTTACAGTATTATCATGTCTTTTATTTCAGGTTGCTTTTTGGATGATTCAGTGTGGTTTGGGTAAATGCTTCACCTTGATCATATCCAAGATAGTTTCTGAGTGTAGAGGTATAGAAACTCGTGACTATGAGAGAAAGAAGAGTCATGACCTTGTAGCGACATCTGTATCCTTGTACTTATAAAGATTCTGGCCTGAACTGTTGTCAGTTCCTGAGGAATGGTTGTTTCCACAAAAAGATGCTTACAAATGTTGACACCTACTGAAAGGTCATTACATTCCCCAAGATACCTCCCTCTTGGAGCATTCTGCAAGACCTCTGATGGCCCACCAAGAGGTTTGCTTTCCCTCAACAAAACCACACAAATTTCTGATTTCTACATATCCCTCCACTGCCTTCTGACAAAGCACTACTTTAACTCCATGCCATGTTGGATATCATTTATGTCCTGAGCTTTTCTATGGGCTGCAACATACCTAATTTATGCCAAAAGATAAATGATAACAGTCCAAATAATATTCCTTGGTTCTCACATTCCTATCTTGATATTTCTGATATGTTCTTTCCCATCGACTCTTGTTCTTTCCCCTTGCCCTTGTAAGGTCAGGTGGATATGACTCCTGGCTCCCCACTCCAACACACAACCCAATCTTCATTTTAGCTCTCTTTTCAATAATTTTCTTGGGATAAAAGAGGGCAAACTTCCAATTTCCTCTTTCTTTTACAAGGTGACTAAATCTTTGTATTTTCTTTCTTCAAGAGGGCAATAAACTCCACAACTCTGGCTTAATAATATATACAGATAAAAATATTATTTTTACCTTATGCAAAACCTCCTCTAATCCGTGTCCCTCAGGCAAGGCTCTGGATATGCAAGTTGCAGAAATGCTGGTAAATAGGAATTACCAAAGATAAAATGTATTAATACCCCCCAAAAACTGCTGCTTCACTAAAAGAGAATTATTGTGATTCTATGTAATTCTCAAGATATTTAGAATCGAGACAAATTTTCTTTTCACCTCACTTTGATTTTCTTCTTCAGATCTAATTCATGAGTATCTGTCTTGCCCTATGACTAATCTATAATATTGAATGCCCCATTTGGCAATGGAGTTTCTGATCTTGATTTCTTACAGTCTAGGAGTTCTGAAAACAGTTTTATTAGAGCAAAATTGGCATGCACTAAACTATATACTTTTTAAATCATAAAATTTAGCAAGGTTTGACATATGTATACAAAATAAAATGATCAAATCAAGATAATTTTATTCATAGCTCCAGAAGTTTTTTTGTGTTCCTTTACAATTCCTCTCCTGTATCTCATATCACCCACTCCCTAGGCAACCACTGATTTACTTTCTGGTAGTATAGATTTGTTTGTATTATCTATAGTTTTATATAAAGAAATTTATATACTCTGCAGTCATTCATGTTTGGCTTCTTTCTTTTTTAATTTTTATTTTAAGTTCAGTTGTACCTGTTCAAGTTTGTTATATAAGCAAACTTACGTCACGAGTGTTTGTTGTACAGATTATTTTGTCACCTAGGTATTAAGCCTAGTACCCATGAATTATTTTTCCTGATCCTCTCCCTCCCCCAACCTTCCACCCTCAGCTAGGTCCCAGTGTCTGTTTTTCCCCACCATGTGTCCTTATCATTTAGCTTCCACTTATAAGTGAGAACTTGACGTGTTTGGTTTTCTGTTCCTGCATTAGTTTGCTAAGGATAATGGTCTCCAGCTCTATCCAGGTCATTGCAAGTATCAGTAGCTGATCCCTTCTTATTACAGGGTAGTCTTCCATTGTATAGATATACTATAATTCCTGGATACATTTGCCTGTTGATGGAAATTTCCTGTTTCCTCATTATTCAATTTTATTTTGCAATTACAAATAATGATATTATAAATATGTATGTTTTGTGTCAAGATAGGCTTTTATTCTTTTTGGAAAATTATTGAGGAGCAGAATGGATAAATTTTATGGTAGGTGTATGTTTTACATTTTAAGAAACTGTTTTCCAAAGTGGCTAAGCCATTCTACCTTCCCAACAGCACTCGATGAGGTTTCTATTTGATCTTCATTTTCACTGTCATGTGTTGTGATAGTCTGTTTAATTGTAGTCATTCTAATAGGTCTATAGCGATATGTCTTTGCGGTCTCCATTTATGTTTTTCTAATAAATTCTTAAGTTGAACATTTATTTGTGTGGTTACTTGCAATCTGCACATGTTTTTTGGTGAATTTTCTGTTCAAACATTTTGTTCATTTTCTGAACAAACATTTTCTGTTCAAATATTTTGTTCAGGACACTTTATCCATTTTGTTTAAGTTTTTTACATTGTCTATGTCAGTTTTCAACCTGTAGTAATTATGTAATCTCATAGGACATATTGTCAGGATTGTGGAGGTTTGGAAGGTAATGTTACTAGTATCTAGAATATAGAGGCCAAAGAAGCTGCTTAGGATCCCATAAAGAAATAGGCCAAAATGTCAACAAGGCTGCTATTAAGAAACTTGTTCAGGAATGAGTCATTTATTACATATTTAGTCTGCAAATATACCCTCTTAGTCTGTGGTTTATCTTTTAATTATCTTAACAGTAAAATTTGAAGCATTGAAGTCTTTCATTTTGATGACATTTAAGTTATCAGGTTTTCTTTGCATCATGATTTTGACATTATCTCTAAGAAATATTTGCCTAGCCCCAGATCATAAAGATTTATTTCTACATCTTGTCCTAGAAGTTTTATAGTTTTAGGTTTAACATTTATTTATGTTACTTAACTTTTGTCTATGATGCAAGGTATGGAGCAAAGTTTAAATTTTTGCATATAAATATCCATTTATTGAGATACTGTACTCTCTGAATTGAGTTACTTTTGCAGTTTTGTTAAGAATGAGTTGTCTAAATATGTGTGCAATTATTTCTGGATTCTCTATTCTTTTCCATGTTCTATTATCAAGCTTTATGCAATGCCATACTGGTTTATACCTACAGATTTCTAATAAATCTTGAAATCAAGTAGTGATTATTCTATATTTATGTTTTCAAAATTAATTTTGTCTACAAATGTCTTATATGAAATTTAGAATCATCTTTTTATTTCTTGTCAATTTGTCAGTGGCAATAAAGAATACCTGACTCCATTTTTTGATGTGTCACTGCTAACAGCTCTTAAGCCCCTCCTCTCACTGTTGCATTTGTGTCCAACATCAGAACAAGCTGATGTGAATGCCTGGTGCTCCCTCCTTTGGCACTGTGGGAGACTCAAACTGAGTAGACCCCTGAACCTCTGCAGAAACTCTCACCCTTGCACTGCTGCCTAACCACAATAAAAACGCCAAGCCAATCTCCTTTTCTTACTCTCTCAAGCCTTTTCAGACCTTCTTCATTGTTTGTTTTTTATTTATTTAAACTTTTTATTTTTAATTATTATGGATCCATAATAGTTGTATATATTTATGGGAGCAGCATCCCCTGCTCTCCCCAGACACCTCAATTATATAAGTAGTAAACATTTTCATGCCAGCTTGGTGTGTGTGTTTGGCATCTTCAGTCTTGATAACCAAACCAAATTTTAAATAGGGATCTCTCCTGTCATTATAGAGGGACCACAGGAATTGACACTATGATCAGGATGTCTAGGCAATGATTACCACCTGGTAATAGGGCCTGCTGCTGGAGATCAGCATGGACTTTGAACTTCTGTCTTCTGGTTGTCTTGTGCTTTCAGCTGTGCTGCTTTGTGTTGTACTGTTGAATCCTTCCCAACCTCTGTTATAGATTTAGCTGACCTAAGTTGAAAGTTTCAATATTTCGCATTTAGGGACAGGGCCATGTGATTGGAACCCTCTTAAAGGGTTCTGGGTCATGTTTCTTGGTCTAGACCTATCTATATGTCCTAGAGTAAGGTTGTGACCGATACTAGCTAAGAGGAAAGAATATGTATTTCCTGTGGCTGATTGGTTGTGTGTCTCAACAAGAAAAGATAGTATGTGAAATGACCCCATCAGCTGGCTGCTTATGAAAGAGTAGCTATTAGAGAATATGAGAAGGCGAAAGAGAAAAAGAGAGAGGGGGAGCACACGGTGGCAGGGAGAGAGAAAATAGAAAAAAAAAAGTCTGAAACAGACATTCTCAATTTGATCCAATCGGAAATCTGAAATTTACTAAAAGAATGTAAAGTTTCGTTGTATCTCTTTTATACTCTTATTAGCTAAAGCTCTTTTTTTAATGTTAATCTTTGCTAAATGGTTGGTTAACAATATACATATATTATGCATATGTAATGTATCACGATATAGCTACGGTGATATTTTATCTTGTAGGAAAGTTTAAACTTTCCCTCTAAAGGTTTAATAATTAAGTTTCCTGAAAAAAATAACTGACAGCAGGCAGAATAACAGAAGAAAGACTTACAAATTGACTAATGTACAAGCACACAGCAATCACACAAGTATGAATCTTTCAAGAAGGGCCAGATGGTTGCAGCTGCAGCTTAAATACTCTCTTCATAGGAGAGAGGAAAGTGGAGAAGGTAGGGAATTTTAGAGAAAGAGTAAATGAATTTTAGGGAAGATGAATATGCCCAAAGAATAGACAATACTTTGGAACAAAGTTCCTCTGGGTTCTGGGAGAGGTAGCAATAAACTTTGAGAAGGTGAAGGACAGAACTGCACTGTAAACAATGTTTTCTTATTATACAGATAAAGTCTCTCTGGTAACAGCCCTCAGAAGACTGGATGAAAAGTCTGTTCATGTGGGCATGGTGATGACTTTTAGTGTCCTCTTTGTTGATTAACCTTCCCTGGGTAATGAGATTTCAGACAGAAGATTGAATGCAATTGTGTTTGTTTTGGAATAACTTCCCTCAGTCCGATAAGGGAATTTCAGAGACAGCCCCTCTCTATAGTTGGGGAGAGAAACAAGTGAAGGTCAGAAAGACCTTGATTTTGAGGCTACTTTTAAGACCTTCAATTTTTTTTAATTCGAGATGCTCATCATGCTGAAGAGCCCTAAAAATTCCTTCTTACAAAGTATAGGAATCTTGCGAGAGTATACTGCTATTTCTCCCCTTTCATAATGGATGCTGTTTTTGTTCAGCTTTTTAATAATATATATGTTAAAAACAACATGTTTCATTGGTGTCTTTTTTTTGCTTAAAAGTCAATTATCTTTTAAAAAGATTTAAATATAAGAAAAATTCCAATGCTTTTGTTGTTGTTGTTGTTGGTGGTGGTGGTGGTGGTGGTGGTGGAAGTCATGATTTCTCAAGAGCTGCCACCTGAACAGTTCAGGCCAGATAATTCTTGCTGGGTGGGCTACCTTGTGCCTCGTAAGCTGTTATTTAGCAGCATCCTTGCCCTCTACTCATGAGATACCAGGAGCACCTCCACTCCTTATGAGAACCAAAAATGTCTCTAAATTTTTCTATAAATCTCTTGAGGATGGAGAAACAAAATCAGGCCTGGTTGATAATCATATAGTTCCATCTGGAGTAATTTTCCTGCAGCCCAAAGAACACACTTTAACAATTAGTAAAGTCTGGTCCTGCTGCAGATTAATTCTACTGACTATTGTTTGATTGGGGAAAAAAAGTCTACTTTGTCTTCATTTTTGAAAGGTATTTTTTGCTTTTTATGAAATTTCAAGTTGACAGAATTTTTATTCAATATTTAAAGATGTTCCACTGTCTCTTTGCATGTATTGCTCCTGATAAGAACTGTGCTAGTGTGCTTCTTAATATTTCTCTAATCATGCATGCCTTTTTTCTTTCTGGAGGCTTTTCAGATTTTCCGATATCACTGGGTTTGTGGAGTTTTGATTATGTACACATTGGTATTATGTTCTTTTTTGTTCCTGTGCTTGAGGTTTGTTGAACTTCATTGATCTCTGGCTTTGTATTTTGCATCAGTGCAAATTTTTCAGCAATTAGTATTTTAAATACTTATTCTGTTCCTTTTTAGGGATTTTTATTACACTTATATTTAGTCACTTGAAATTCTCTCATAGCTCACTGTTTCTCTTCATTTATTTACTTTCTGTTGGTTATTGAGTTTCATTTTGGATAGTTTCTATTGCTGTATCTTCAAGTTATCTGAATTTTTCATAATATTGAATCTGCTTTTAATTCCTTTCATTGTATTTTTCATCCTAGAAATGGTAGTTTTAGAATTGGAATTATATTGGGGTTATTTTTATATGTCTTCCATGTCTTTGTTAGCTTTTGGAATGCAATTATAACTATCCTAATATCCTTGTCTATTATTTCTAATATCTGTGTCAGCTGTAGGTCAATTTAAATTTAATTTGTGATCAGATGACAGTTATCATTAATTTTATCTTATTGGGTGCTGGATATTTTTAATTCTTAAAAATATTATTGATCTTTGCAATGGTATGTGGTAAAAATTACTTGGAAACAGTTTGATAGCTTCACATGTTACTTTTAAAATTTGTTATGTGAGACCAGAGCAGTGTTGAATTTTGGGCTAATTATTCCTCATTACTGAATCAAGACCTCACTTGTTTTCACTTCTACATGCCCCATGAACTATGTGGTGCTCCAATCTTACTCGACAGAACAACCTCGATTCCAGGTTTTGCATGGACATCAGACACTTCCTTCTACCTCTTTCAGGTGGTTTACTCCTCATTTGGGCTGTTTTCTCACACACATACTCTGCTGAATGCTCGAGGGGATTCCTCTGAAGAGCTCTGCAGTTCTTTCATGCATACCTCTCTGCTCTAAGGTACTCTAATCACTAGCCACATTGGTTTCCCTAATCATTCAAGTGTATTTCCTCAAGTCAGAGAGATCCTGCCAGGCTCAACTTGCATTCCTTTCTTTGACCTGCAGCCTTGAAACTCCCAGAAGGTAGTGAGATGTAGTAATGTTGGGATTTACCTCATGCATATTTTGTCTTTCAGAAATCACTGTCCTTCCCCGCTTCACCCCGCTGCCAGAGATCAATGCCCAGTCTCTTGGAAGCCATTGTTTCATATATTTTGCACTGTTTCTGTTTTTGTTTCAGAGGAAGATTAAGTCCCATATGCTCCACCTTTGTTGTAACTGGAAGTCTAGAGTTTAAGATTTTAATTTTTTTTCTCAGTATTTAATAGGTGTCATGGTTATTTTTGTGTGTCAACTTGCTTGGGCTACAGGGTGCCAAAATGTTTGGTTAAACATTATTCTTGGTGTGTCTGTGAGAATGTTTCTGGATGAGATTAACCTTTGAATTTGTACACTGAGTAAAGCATATTGCTCTTGCCAGTGTGAGTTGGTCTCATCCAATCTATTGGAGGCCTGAATAGAACAAAAATCTGAGCAAGGGAAAATTTGTTCTCTCTGACTGTCTTTGAGCTGGGACATTAATATTCATTGCCTTCAGACTTAAACTTGGACTACAACTTGCACCATTGTCTCTCCTGGGTCTCTGTTTTGCTGCCTAAAAGTCTTGAGACTTGTCAGTCTCCATGACTGTGTAAGCAAATTTCTTATTATCTACCTGTCTGTCTATTTCTCTCTCTCTCTCTCTCTCATCTACCTACGTATCTCCTATTTGTTACCTATCATAGATAGGAGATACATAGATACGAGATCTCCTTTGTATCTCCTACATATCTCCTTTCTGTTCCCTTTCTCAGAGAGAACCCTGACTAACATAATACACCAATATTTTATGCACAAACCATAATATTGTGTATGAATCCAGTCTAAATCTTGGAAAATGATGTAGCATAAATACTCTGTTTTACTGGATATCTACATGTTACCAATACTGTGCTATTTTGTGGAAGTTGGAGGAGGTTTTTACACAAATACTTTGCGATTTTATTAATTTATCACCTATCATCTCCAAACTCACCCTTTTGCCTGCTTTATGAAAAAGGAAATGGAGCCGTTAAATATTGTTTTCCTCTTCTACTTGGATAGGGCTAAGCTTTGTCAGCAGAGAGCACCGAAAAAACATTGCAGTAGACATATGGCTATTACTGCCTGGCTGTTCTATTCTTGCTCAGCAGACTTCTTCAGTGTCTGGCTCTTGATATGCAAGGGGGCCAGCAGCATTCAGTGGCCAATAGTTTTTTTTTCTAGTGTGTTCCTATTAGAAGGATTTGTGGCTTCCAGCATGTTTGGAGTGTTGTCATTGTGGAAAGCAATAGTGAGATACTTCTACATGGATGACTTTTTTTTTTAATAGTTCTTGACTACCTCACCAAATTTGCTTTTTTTTTCTTTTTTTAAATTTTAGATTCAGTGGTACATCTGTAGGTTTGTTTCATGGATATATTTTATAATGGTGAAGATTAGATTGGGTTCCTAGTGCACCCATCATCCACATAGTGAACATAGTACCCAATAGGTAATTTTTTTAAACCTTGGCCTCGCTTCCACTCTCCCATTCCTTTGGAGTCCCCACTGTCTATTATTTCCATATTTATGTCCATGGGTACCCATTATTTAGCCACCACTTGTAAATAAGAACATGTGGCATTTGATTTTCTGTTTCTCAGTTATTTCATATAAGATAATGGCCTCCAGCTTCATCCATGTTGCTGCAAAGGATATGATTTAATTCCTTTTCATGGCTGCATGAAACTGTTGATGGACACTTAGGTTGATTTCATGATTTTGCTATTGTGAATAGTGCTGTTATAAACACGTAAGTACAGGTGTATTTTTTTATATAATGATCTATTTTCCTTTGGGTAGATACCCAGTAGTGCAATTGGTGGGTCAAATGGTAGTTCTATTTTTAGTTACATGAACAACTTTCATTGACATCCTTGAGGATATTTCTGACAAAGTCCAAAGGATAGATTTCCAGAGCATTTTACAGCTACAGAACTACAGCAACTTCTTTGTATTCAGTGATTCATGGCTGTGCCCCTCTCCAATCAGGTCTGGAAGTCAGCCAGCCCTGGAGGTAGGGAGTTAAGACTTAATGCTGTATCTTAGTCCTGAAGGTAGTGCTGATTCCTTATATATATTATTCACTTCTAGAATTCTCTATACTTCTAATTCTCTATACCTCTTTCATATTTGTGAATTTTTTGTTATTCTAATTCCCTGTTAGAATTAATAATTCTTTATATTAAACTTGCCCTGTTTAAATTATCATGCAGTAGTTCACTCTTGTTTGGATCCAGATTGGTTGGTGCACACTTACATAGTTGAATATTCCTAACACCAGCCTCTTGCTCTTCCCTTTATATGACTTTGGTTCCAGTTCCTCTAAGATTTTGCCACTGCCCAAATGTCTAGTTCCTTTTGTGCCCCCATTGAAATTAGAAAAAATTGCAAAAGTCTTAAAATGGCTTTTAAAGTTTTATATGCTGCTATGCCTACTATCTCCGTACTAGTATCTCTTACCACAGTTATCCTCATTTACAAAGCTCCAGATACATTTGCCTTAGCCATTGAATGTGATTTTTTTTTCTTATGCCCACTGTTCATTATGTTTAGAGTGCTCTTCCTGAAGATGTGTACATGAGTGGCTCATGATCCTCAATAGATCTCAACTCAAATACCATCTCTTTAGAAGGTCTTTCCAAATCACTCTATTTAAAATAATCAAACTTTCACTCTCAGTCATTCTTTATTACATTACTTATGTGATTGTGTTAATGATAATTATTAGTCTCTGAAATTATCTCCTTAATTTTTGTTTTACATATATTAAAGATAATTCTTTCCACCTCTCTTTCACACACTAAAATATAATCTACACATGAAGAAATGAAAGTAACTTCATTTTATTGCTATATTTCTATTGTGTAGAATACAAACTAGTACACAGGTGCATAATAAGGAATTTTTAAATTGATCGATGGATAAATCTGATAAAAATGTCTTCATTCCAAATCTCTGAAAACTCCAATCTAGGCAGCTCCAATTTTGACAAAGTTTTGAGCTTTTATGCTCTCATAGATGGTAAAAATATCACAGCTTAATATATTTATTAAACAAGTTATTCATGGTTGAAATGTGATGTTTGATTTATAACACCTCTTATAATAAACATATGATGCCTAATTTATTTAAAAACTAAAGATAGCTTGGTGGGTGAAGTAATATACAAAAATGAAAATCCTTATGGGCTTTTTTTGCTTCATGAAAAAAGTATCAAAGATGTGCAGAATAAGCACTTGCTGAAAATATTTAACTATTTAATTAACAATGTTAGGTTACCACCAACTTTAATATTACATTAGCTTTGTAGTTTACAAGTTATTGTTTTCGTATCTGTTATTTTTTATACTACTAATTAAAATCCATGATTAAGTATAGGGGATCTACCCTTCAACCTCCTTCTCTTTTAGTCACTCTATGTCATAGATATAATATATTTTCCTATCTCTGAGGTTATGATTTTGAGTTCCTATTCATCTTTTACCCTAGAGATGTTTTGTAATTATGGTGCTAACATGCTTCTTTAAAAGTGAGACATGAAAGTGTTGATTGGAACATCTGTGTGCATTGTGGACCTCACTGTATTATAATTAGGAGGCTAGTGAGCATTTTAATTTGAGGGTTCAAAATATCAGCATGTGCAGGTAATTCAGTAACTTCAGAGAAGCATTCTCTAATTTCTTGTTCAGAATATGTTAATTGGTTATCAGAAATTTGGATTTGTGATAGAAGGTAGAAAGAGTTGGGAGTTGTGCTATCAGCATTAAAGGCAGCAGATCTGGAATTGGTCCGAGCTGCCTCACCGTAATAATACATATACATGCAAGGCCCTGACTGCTGGTAAAGGTATAAAACATACTGATTATCAGGGTTGCTTTCAAATCATGGGTCAGAGGCAAGTTTCTGGACAAGTTGCTACCAGTTTGTCAAAACTGTTTATTGATAATTGTAATATTCGTGATTTGCAGCAGGTCTTGCCAAAATTGGAAAGGGGCTATGCCTTTAGGGTGGGTTATACTTTAAAAGTATGCCTACCTTAACAGCTGGGTATAAGAAACCACAGACAGCCAGGCGCAGTGGCTCATGCCTGAATCCCAGCACTTTGGGAGGCCGAGGCAGGTGGATCACGAGGTCAAGAGATCGAGACCATCCTGGCCAACATGGTGAAACCCCGTCTCTACTGAAAACACAAAAATTACCTGAATATAGTGGCACGGGCCTGGAGTCCCAGCTACTCAGGAGGCTGAGGCAGGGGAATCACTTGAACCCGGAAGGTGGAGGTTGCAGTGAACCGAGATTGTGCCAGTGTAGTCCAGCCTGGCGACAGAGCGAGACTCCGTCTCAAAAAAAAAAAAAAAAAAAAAAAAAAGAAAAAGAAAGAAAAGAAAAAAGAAACCACAGACAAGACTCCATCTTTGCATTTTTGTTGGGAATTGTTCTGTGCATGTGCTGGTGATCCCTGATATAAAATAGAAACCATATCCTGAATGACCCCTACAGAGGGAGAAAACCTGTCTCTGTAGCAAACACCTGTCTATGATACACACTCTTATTCTCATGCTGTCATTACATTGCATCATTTATTAGCAGCAACTTTAAGTTTGTGAGCAGTGTCATTTTGAGTCCTATAAACTTTTGAAAAAGAATTGAGCCCTATATGCCACTGTTTCTTAGTTCAAAAGTGTCTTAAGTTATTTACATACCCTAGTTTAGTTTTGATTCCTCATGGAGGCTTTTTGCTATGCTTTGGGTCCCTGTGTCCTCAGTCTTTGGCTCTGCATCTCTATAGAACACCCCTTCCAGTTTCTGAGAATGGTTTAGTTTTGGTATTTAGTGATCAGTCAGGCTCATCATACGGATGTTCAATCAGGTCCTCGTTTTTAGACTTTGTTTTTTTTTTAATCCAGCATTCTTCCACATGTGCCTCTACTTCCTGACTCTTTCAGGGATTTGACGAGGAAATCAGCTTATTTTCCTGATTTATCTGATAAATAATTTTTCATTTTTATTCTGCTTTCCAATTTTACTTTATCATAGATTAGGATTGCAGGTGTCTTCATTTTATTAAAAACTGAGTTTCTGCTGCTTCTTTCTTCTGAGTATGTTTGGGGAGTAGTGATTTCTCAAAGGAATATATAGCTATCTCAAAATAAGAATACCTCAGAGTAGAGTTTTGATCCTATGCTAGATCAGAGCCAATGCTCTCCCAAAAGTCATAGAAGTTTATATACCCCCCTAGGAAAAATGTGAAAGGAAAGCTGAATAATTTTCTCTTAACTAGGCTTTTGTTTAAAATTAAAAGGCAAAATTCCCTACTGAATGAGTGTGAAACATATAGCCAAGACTGGAATCGTGTGTGTGTGTGTGTATGTGTGTGTGTGTATTTGTGTGTGGTGGTGGTGGTAAGGTATAGTGGGGATTTATTTGGGGGTTTCTGTTTTTCCCCGGTAATCCACATTCAAACACTAGTATACTGTGGGAGAACAGAAGATAAAAACATGAGAATGTTTAAGTATGCCAGTAAAAAGGAAGGGTGATGATGGCCATGCCTTTTTCCATGTGGCAAAATGCTTGTACTCAATTTAACAATTTCAGGAATGTGTTAAAGGGAAACAGAAGGAAAACATTTTCTTGTACATACTCTTTTGACACTAATGATTCCCACCTACAAATCAATGTCACTCAGTAACCTAAAATCTAACAATATCTGTGAGTATATGTGCCAGTTTAGTAGGAGTAAGGGGTGCGATTGCAGATTGGCAGAGAGCTTTCTTTCCTTCATTTATTCCAAGGCGACCTACTTGATTGTCATGAACTTGGCAACTGTGCCAAAATATACCTTCTTGGAAATCCTATTCCTACAGTTTAAAGCACTCTTCCACATAAATTTACATTTCCTTCTATAATAAAACAGAGATATTATTTAGTCAGATCTCCACACATTCTTATTCTGATAGTTATTCATTCTTTTATTTTCTTCATAATGTTTTTGGCTTTGCTCAAAATGCTTGATGGACTTTTAAAATCTGCAGTCTAGCATATCATACAGGCTTTTATGTATCAAATGTAGTGAAGATGGAAGAGAAGTTCTATAACTAATCCTTATCTTCCTGGAGATGCTGGAGGCAACGTTGACTGCACAACTTTGTAAACACGTTTTAGTTTAGAATTTACTAGCAAGAAGATGACTAAGGAACTTATTATTTTAGTTTTTTAATTTTTCCTTCCTTCCTTCTTCCTTCCTTCCTCTTTCCTTCCTTCCTTCCTCCTTCCTTCCTTCCATCCTTCCTTCCTTTCTTTCTTTTTTCTATTTTTCTTTTTCTTTTCTTTTTTTTTTTTTTTTGAGACAGAGTTTCACTCTTGGCGCCCAGGCTGGAGTGTAATGGTGTGATCTCAGCTCACCGCAACCTCTGCCTCCAGGGTTCCAACGATTCACTTGCTTCAGCCTCCTGAGTGGCTGGGATTACAGCCATGTGCCACCATGTCTGGCTAATTTTGTATTTTTAGTAGAAGCAGGGTTTCTCCATGTTGGTCAGGCTGGTTTTGAACTACCGACCTTAGGTGATCCGCCCTCCTCAGCCTTCCAAAGTGCTGGGATTACAGGCATGAGCCACCGCGCCTGGCTTTATTTTAGTTTTTCTTAAGCGCAATACCTGATGTGCTGAAATGGCTTATTGAAAATAAACCTGTAATATATGGAGTAGTGGGACTCAGGTGTCTGGAGAATGGAAATTAGTTGCTTAGTTTTCTTAACTGCATGACGAAAAAGAGAAAGTATAAAAACTAAGCTTCAAACTTAGAGATTTCTTAAAGCTAAATGGTACCATATCCAGAGTTAGTACAATTTTCATTGTTCTCAACATAGATCAAATGAATTTTTTAAGAGCTGGATCTTATGGGTGCGGATCATTCCAGAGATGCTGCAGTGTTAAAGTTTGCCTTTTTTACTTGTGTACTTAGTCACTTAGTATTATCCAGTGGTGCTGGATGGGATTAATGATGAGTATGAGGCTGCTTTGCGGATTTATGCCCTTGTGGTATCATAGTATAAGAATTCAAGTTTTAGCTTCATTGAAAATCAGAAGGCATTATAATTTATTTTAAACCTGTAGCCATTCAAAATCCCTTTAGAGTTATCTTTCATTCAGTAGTTAGGTCATATCTTAGTAAACCTATATTTTTGTTTGTGTTAGTTTTGAGTGTGTGTGTGTGTGTGTGTGTGTGTGTGTGGTGATGGGATCCAAATATAAATAGTTACATTTTCCTGTAACTATGATCCTTATCTCAAAATAATAAGAGACGTATATTATTTTTGTTGTCTGTTTCAACATTTCAGTCATATTATATTTGATTTATTGCATATCTAGTAAACAAATTTAATCATTATTATACCCAAACTCATAATAGAATCAGTAATTTAAAAAATTTGTAATTTGGTTTCATGGTTACATGTGCAGGTTTGTTAGATAGGTAAATTGCATGTCCTGAGGGTTTGGTGTACAGATTATTTTGTCACCCAAATAATAACCATAGTACCCAACAGGCAGTTTTTCAATCCACACCCTCCTCTCATCCTCCACCCTCAAGTATGCTCTAGTGTATATTTTAAGTGGGACTTATAAGTGAGAACATACAGTATATGATTTTCTGCCCTTGCATTACTTCAGTCAGGATAATGGCTTCCAGCTCCATCTATGTTGTTGAAAAGAACATGACATCTCATTCTTCTTTATGGCTGAATAGCATTCCATGGTGTATACCTACCACTTTTCTTTATCCAGTCTACTTTTGATGGGCACTTAGATTGATTCCATGTCTTTGCTATTGTGAATAAAATTATGACAAACATACATGTGTTCATATTTTTATGTTAGAATGAGTTATATGTGTTTGGCCATATACTCAATAATGGGGTTACTGGTGGCATGGTAGTTCTGTTTTACGGTCTTTGAGAAATTGCCAAATTGCTTTCTACATTGACTGAACTAATTTACATTCCCACCAGCAGTGTATACACATTCCTTTTTCTTTGCAACCTCACCAGCATCTGTTATTTTTTGACTTTTTAATAACAGCCATGCTGTCTGGTGTGAGATGGTACCTCATTGTGGTTTAGATTTGCAGTTCTCTAATTATTGGTGATGTTAAGCACTTTTTCATATGCTTGTTTGCCACATGTATGTTTTCTTTTGAAAAGAGTCTGTTCGTGTTATTTTCCCAGTTTTAATGGAGTTGCTCATTTTTTGCTTGTTAATTTGTTTAAGTTCCTTGTACATTCTTGATATTAGACCTTGGTCAGATGTATAGCTTCCAAATATTTTCTCTCATTCTGTGGGTTGTCTGTTTATTCTCCTGAGAATAAGTGATTTTTTTCAATTAGGTCAAATTTGTCAATTTTTATTTTTGTTGCAATTACTTTTGGAATCTCATCATGAAATATTTGCCAGTGCCTGTGTCCACAATGGTGCTTTCTAGGTTTTCTTCAAGGGTTTTTATAGTTTTAGGTTTTACATTTAAATCTTTAATCCATCTTGAGTTTATTTTTGTATATGGTGTAAGAAAGAGGTCCAGTTTCAATCTTCTGTATATGTCTACCGAGTTATACCAGCACCACTTATTGAATAAGTGGTCCTTTCCCCATTGCTTGTTTTTGTCAACTTTGTCAAAGAAGATTAGATGGTTGTAGGTGTGCCACTTTATTTCTGGGCTTTCTATTCTGTTCCATTAGTCTACGTGTCTGTTTTGTTGTTGTTGTTTTTTACCAGTACCATGCTGTTTTGGTTACTGTAACCTTGTACTATAGGTTGAAGTTGGATAATACGATGCCTCCAAGTTGTTCTCTTTGCTTAGGATTATGTTCGCTCTTCAGGTACTTTTCTGGGTCCATATGAATTTTAGGGTAGCTTTTTCTATTTCTGTGAAGAATGTCATGGGTAGTTTGATAGGAAGAGCATTGACCTGTAAATCAACATGAGTAGCATGCCATTTTAAAAATACTGATTCTTCCTACCCATGAGTATGGAATGTTTTTTCATTTGTTTGTGTCATCTTTGATTTATTTGAGCCGTGTTTTTTAATTCTAGTTATAGAGATCTTTCAAACCTCTGGTTAGCTGTATTCTTATGTATTTTATTTTATTTTATTTTATTTTATTTTATTGGGACTATCATGAATTTGATTGCATTCTTCATTCAACACTCAGCTTGGACATTGTTGGTGTATAGAAATGCTAATGATTGTCATACATTGACTTTGTGTCCTGAAACTTTGCTCAAATTGTTTATCAGATCTAGGAGCTTCTGGACAGAAACCATGGGGTTTTCTAAATATAGTCATTAGCCTGTAAACAGTTTGACTTCCTCTCTTTCTATTTGGATGCCTTTTATTTCTTTCTCTTGACTAATGACTCTGGCCAGGACTTTCAGTACTATGTTGAATAGGAGTGGGGAGAGTGGGCATCCTTGCCTTGTTAGGTTCTCAAGGGGCATGCTTCTAGCTTTCGCCCATTCAGTATGATGTTGACTGTTGGTTTGCCATAGATGGCTCATATTATTTTTAGGTAAGGATCATTAATTTTTAAGGGTTGAAAGGATAGAGATGAGGACTACAATTCTGCTTGGGAACTATTCTGCTTGATTGATTTCTCTTTATATTCAGTGATCTCTGAATATAGTCACTGATCTCTGAATATGATTTTTTAAGGAGGTGTATTATTTTTAACTTACCAGGACCTATTGTTATGCCTTGTGTTAAACATTTTATGGATTTTTTTTTGCCAAATAAACATTATGAATACTAAAATTTTTGCAAACCACTTTTGTTAAAAACAGGATATGTTAAGTCTGTGGTATGTTCTGATATGTTCCAATAAACCTTCAAAAGTATGTTTAGTTTCCAGAATTTATTCTTAGAAAACTCCTGTTGATTCCTAATTGGGCATTTCTTTCTATTTTATTTATAAATCACAATTTTTAAAAAATTACTCATCACTATAAAGATATGTAGATACTTTAACCTGTAAATAATCTATAAAAAGGCTAATAAAAAACTATATTTCTTTTCTTCAAAGAATATGTAATCTATTTGATTAAGAACATACAATGGAGAGAAGCATGTTATCTTCCTTGTAATTATTTCTCTATATCTAGTAATATTTTCTAAATATAATGATATATTCCTATATCCAATAATAGACATAGCCATAATATCATCAGCTTATCTTCACATTATCATGCCACTAAAAAAAGTAATAAAACATGTAACAATTCTTTAATGTTTTCAAAATACATTTTATACATTCTCTAATTTCCATATTTTGAACATTTTTCATTGTGTTTCCAGACTGCTTATGTTTTCCTTAATTTCCGAATTTTCTATACATTTTCAGAACCCATTTGCTTAGAGTATAACCAAAAAACATTCATCACATACACAGATTACTTTTAATTTTTTTCTTTATGAATGCATCAATTGATTCTGTGTTGTCTATCAAAATGTATGATATTAACTGATTCACAAGTAATAGAAACCCCTATTTCTATGCACAGTACATTTGTAAAAATGTGTAAAAATATAAAATGTTCAAAATCATGTTAAAAATAGGAGTTAGTTCCCAAGGAGCTCAAGGCATTTTATAAAAATTCCTTAATTAAGTTACATTATGATTAGTATTTAACCTCCTGTGTATTGTATAATGTAAAGGGAATCATTATACCATTATTAAACAATAAATATAGATAAGAATATTAATGCTTACTTGCAAGTATTTAACTTTAATTCTATTAACCTAGATTATTTGAAATGAACTTCCAGTAGACAAAGGAAGTGTATTTATATTTGTAAATAAATCCATGTACTGATATAGGTTTTTAAAACTATGCAAAGAATCTTGGAGGTGTTATAACTAGTGTTTGCACAGGTAAACCAAATTGGTTTAAAACAAAAAAATATATTTAAACAAATTTTAAGGCTTGAATTGTACTGTTTCTTTAGTATAAATATCCCAGCCGTGACTGAATAAAAGGATTTTAGCTACTGACTCACAAAATTTTTGATTATTTAATGAGTCATTTTCAGAGACCACGGTAGCCAGACCAGTGCTGACTCAAGGCTGAGCAGAATATTTTAAGATAAGCATCGATGGTGTCTTAAAAATGGTTGAAATTTTTTTCTAAAAATGTATGAAGACCTACGTTTGTCTTTAAATTACATTATTCTGATTTTGAATGGTGCAGGTATGGGAGTAGATTTATTATTTCTCACTGCATAAAAGAGTTTTCCGCTTACTTAAAATAAAATTCAATCTTTGGGAAAAATAGTCAATACTTTAAGAATTTTTTAAAAAATTGTTTTTGCTCTTTACATGTGACAGCGTAGAGTTGAAGGGTTTGAGTACAATGATCATCTAATAAAGGCTAATTTTTTACCACATTCCGTGCCTAATAATTTTCAGTTTTACTTTAATTGTATTTTTACAGTTATGAGAATTTTCTCCCACTCCCCACATATTTTATTGTAAAGACATTTAGTTAACTAAAAATAAGTATAATAAATCTAAGTACATCAAAAACTAAATTGAGTAAATAGTAACTATAAATAAATGGGAAGTAATAAATTATATAAAAATATTCATACATAATTTAAATATATAATTACAGATGACAAATGTGTTATAACAAGTACCTATGACATGTTAGGAATTTATCTGTTATGAATAATAAATAATTATGTTTTGCTTTTTAAATTCTTTATGCAATAGCATATCATGCATATCATTCTCTAATTTTCTTTTTAAAATTTAATATTTGTAATTTTGAGTATTAATTTATATAGCTGCATGCAATTCTACTTTATTCATTTTTATGTATGTGTGTGCATGTTTTTGTGTTTGCCATCATTTTTATTTATTAATTCTCTGATGCACTTTTAGACATGTAGATTGTTTTTGATATTTCACTGTTACATGCAAGTTTCAATAACTATGTATGTGCTTGAACAATCTTTTTGATTTTTGAAAAAGTAGAATTTGTTGCAGAATTAGGATTTAGGGTTTCTACATCTTTAACTTTCTTAGGTTTTTCTAAAATTTTTTCCCTAATGATATGCATCAGTTTATACTCCACCACTGGTATATAAGAATGCCCTTTGCTCCACATTCTTGCTAATATTTAGAAATGTCAAACTTAAATATTGTTAATCTCATGTTGTGAAATGGATCCTCTTACTGCTCATTTTACTCCATTTTTCAAGATTTATTTTCTGCGATAATGGATATTGCTTCTGACAATTGTTTTCCATTTTCCCACTACCTGGTATGTGATAAATCTGCTTTCTCTGGCTTATGTTGGCTAGTAGGTTTTCTAATGCTAGCCAATAAATGCTTACAGCAAAAGGTAACACATATAAGTGTTGGTCTAGATAATTTACTTGTCAATACAATACATTTTCTTTTTGATACAGGACAGAGAAACATTTTATATGATGACGGCTCCATCAGTTTGCAGCTCTGTGCGATATGATCAACAGACCCCTCTTGGAAGAAAAGGATTGAAAATAAATGTTTGCTGTTTTATGTCACTGAGATATTACAATTGTTTGTTACCATATGAAAATCCAGCCTTTCTTGGCTGTTATACTCTTTAAAAATACAAGAATATTAATTAAATTTCTACAATACTTTATAGTTTAAAAACATATTTGACATATGTTAATGCTCCCCAATAGTACAACAGTGCGTAAGATAGTCTTCTTATTTTCAAGTATGGACATTCACACACAGACCCATTTTCTTTTGTATGATGCTTCTCTATTCCTCAATTGCCACTTATTCTAACACCACCACCAATAACAACAATAACAACAACAACAACAAAAACCAAACTGGTAAAAATATTTTAAAATAACTACAATTTTTATATTTTTAAAAAGCATTATATAAAATAAAAATGTCGCCATTAATAATAGGTAAAAATTTGATTCTCTAGTTTAAATATATTTCCTTGGGAATATTTTGAAAACATTTTTTTCTTCTGCCCTACATTATTGTCAGACATAAGACTAAACATACTAATAAAATAAAGTTCTATTTAGGACTGAGGTATCAATGAAGTTTTGCCAATGTAATCAGCATAGTATCTCCTTGAGTACTCAATCAATTTGTCAATTAGATTCAAGTGCTGAGTTTCTGTTATGGGCAATGATGTAAAACTCAGAAAGTAACTAGTACATTTTTCTCTCAGGTTGTGCCTGCAGCATCAAGTAATAAAAATAATCATAAACTGAGTAAACTTGATGCGCTGCTCAAGTCTTTGAGAGGATAAATATAGCAGCCCACAACGTCATTTTCACAGTTACATTTCACACTATAACCACATACTGAGGAAAGAACTTTTAGCTACACAGCAGCCTCTAAAGACTTGTGGTTTTGCTAATATTTTTTAAGATGTGTAATATCTGAAACACTTAGTAATTAAAGATGAAAGTTAGATTGTAACATTTGTGAGAGAATGAAAAATAGAACAAAAATTGTCACTTGATATTTGTGTATTGATATTCTGTTTGTTGAGGAAATTATTTTGTACCAACCAATATTTATTTATTAATGCATTGATAACCAATGAATTATCTCATTGAATATGAAAAAATATATTAACACTTTTAGTTTATTATTTTCATAAAAATTTGAAGGATTAACTTTTGATGGCATTCAAATTTCTACCATTGAAACTGTTGTGATAGATTTTCATTTCCTCACTCTAACTTATGATTTATCCCCATCTTTCTCTATCATGTTTGGTAAATGATACCTCATTGAGTCTGGAAAACTAGATTGACTTCCATTTTCTTTTAATAAGAAGAAAGAAAATTTATTCTATTTAGTACTAAAGATACTATAGTATTGTTTTGGTAACAAGTGCTATTCATTTTGAGCACTTACTGTATTTCATGTACTAGTACCTGTAATGTATAATCTAATTTAAGTATAACAGTAAATCTGGAAGTTAGGTATTATTTGTATTTACATATGAATACATTGAAGGGGTTTATGCCTCTCAATATCTTAATTACCTCTTTCATATATTTTACTTGTTTATAATTTAAATCAATATGTCTTGATATATAAATAAATAAAAGTTACATAAATTAAATAGCACAAAAGGTAGACAGTAAACAATCTTCCTCCTCTCTTTCTGCTAAATAATTATCCTCCACAGAGAAAATGATGGTGAATGCACACATACACACACACATACACACACAAATAAATTTAGTAATGCATGTGAAATTCGTCTTGGTGAATTCAAATTTCCCTAGATTGCTACTTATTTATCCTAATATGATTTATGATCTAATTTACTTTTTGCTATTGATTTGATATGGCACATATATAATACAGTCCTAAATTTCATTATAATAGAAAAATTACAAAAAAGGACAAAAATATGTGCTTACCATTTCCACCATTATTCTATTATACAGATATGATAACCAATCATCAAGGACATGTTAAATGACATCAATGGCAGTAGGTTTAGTGTTAATAATATGCAACCACAAATGTTTAACACCCCTAATTTTCTCTCTTTATGCTAGTATTTTTAAGTGACTGTACAGATTTAAAATACTGAATGTATTGTTTATGTTGAGAGACATTATAACTTGTAAAAACAGAAAATAGTATGTTTACTTGGAAGCAGTCTAGGGTCACTGAAGCAGCAGTATCGTTGTCTGAGATATTACCTGGAGTTCTTTGTCTCACAACCAAGAAAATTAAGGAGCATGGCCACCAAGGGTGAGGTTGGAGTGAAAGTTTAATAAGTGAAAGACGAAAGGTCTCCACAGTGGAGAGGGGGCCTGAGAGGGTTGCCATCACACAGTCGAATGCAAAAGCTTTCATAAACAAGCTAATGGGTGGGGTTTTTCATTTGCATAAGGCACGAAAAACTGGTTAGGGCTGGGTTTTTTATTTTCATAAGGTGCAACTTACTGTTAACTCCACCCCATCCCTCTAGTGTGTATGCAGGCTCTTAGCCTGAGTTACTCCATATTGTTTCACCTCTCTTACTGTGCATGCATCAGATGCTGGAATTTTACACTCCAGACATGCCTGGTTCTGTGTAACTTATCTATACAGCTGCAGACCTGTCTTAGGCAAGAACTCTGTGCAAGTTCCCTTATCTGAGTATGCCCAAAAAGGAAAGGAATGTCCTCACTGAAGTCCACTGTGTATAGGTGGAGCTTGCTGGTTGGACAAGAAACAAAGTCATTGGACCTTACTTCCTTATCAGCGCTTGCAGCTTGATTTCTTCCAGGCTGCTCTTTTGTTGGAAAGACTTCTACTGAGACCTTGTCCTAACTATCTGCCTAACTTGTTCTTTTTTCTCTCCTTTCTCAATTTCTAGAAATAGATTTTTTTTTAATTTTCTTAAAAAGTCAGTTTAGTGGCAGATAATCTGTATACTGAATTTCTATATAAATAAGTTCACATCATCTCTACTTTCTATTTAGTCTGTTGATCTTTTTGTCTATTCATGTCTCTGAAATATATTAATAGAATTCTAAATTTCTTATATGTTTTTAAATCCAGTAGATTGAGTCTCTCCTCAATCATTTTTGGGTTTGTTTTTGTTTTTGTGTTTACTTTTGAAACTTATTTTTCTATATGAAATTTAGAGTCATCTTGCACTTTCATTTGAAATAATGTTTAAATTATATACTAACGTAGGAACAATGTATATCTTATGATGATGGTGTCTTCCTATTCAAATTTATATTATATTTCACCATTGATTCAAATGGTGATAACGTCAACACTTTCCAATTTTTTAAATCTCCAATTAGTTGATTATTACAATTCAATTGCTTACTTAAAAAAAAAAACTAATGAATCTTTTTAAGTCTCCTTCACATTGCCAAATACACTATTAAATAAGGACAAAAAACCAAACACCGCATGTTCTCCCTCATAGGTGGGAATTGAACAATGAGAACACATCGACACAGGAAGGGGAACATCACACACCGGGGCCTGTTGTGGGGTGGGGAGAGTGGGGAGGGATAGCATTAGGAGATACACCTAATGTTAAATGACAAGTTAAGAGGTGCAGCACTCCAACATGGCACATGTATACATATGTAAAAAACCTGCACTCTGTGCACATGTACTCTAAAACTTAAAGTATAATAAAAATAAATAAATAAATACATTGTATTCTAAGTGATTAATAATACAATATTAATGAGTTACTTTCACAACATTTTTTTCATCTCCTTTCTCATAACATTTTTCACAACATTTTTCTCATCTCGTTCTATTATTAGCTAGTGGCTAATAATAGAACATAAAACACAATATCATTTTCAAAAATTAAAGATACATGCAGGAGATTTCTGTTTCCTAGCTCAGCATGTAAGAAGTTTGGAAGTTGCTACTCCGTCCTAAAAATAAGTAAACAACTGGAGAAACTGAAAAATCCACAACTCTTTATAGATCCATAAGAGGAACGAGGATATAAGACAACCTACTACCCCCAAAACTGGAAATACCAAAAAGACAGATCTAGAGAGAATCACAACTTACAGGAATAGAAACTCATAAGTGTAAAGCTCTTTAGGAACCAATGCTTTGCAGGAAAACCTGAACTGTAATTGACGAATTGCTGGAAGCTCACTGGGGACTACTCTGAGGGTGAAAATCTCCAGGAGGACCCAGTCACAGGAAGGCATCTATATTTTTGTAAGTTTTATCTCCAGGAGTTTGACCTGGTTCTCACATTGACTATCTGATAAAAATCTTTTTATGCTTCTGGCAAGATGAGGAGAAAAGGAACTATTTTGAAATGCACGAGAGCATTCTGTTCTTCTTAACAAAGTCTTCCCTCAGGAGTGACTATTTAACCAGAACCTTGCCTGCTGGCATTTCAACAGAGCTTAACTAATTGGTGATATGGGAAAATATTCAACTCTATCTGGCTCTCTTCTTCCTTGTGGAGGAAGGGAAATACCCAACTTCAGCCAATTCTAGCCATTCTGTCTCTCTTAAGGGGTGGGAGGGCAGAAGGTGAGAAGCATTTGTAAAGTTGACAGCCCAGCAGGCACACTAGAATATTGAGATCTTATTGTAGGGCTAGAGACTGCTTCTCCACACCCACTCCCTCTCCCTGCACCTTAACATCTCACTGCTAAAGGCCTGCTACCAGAGTTCCTTTTACCCCATATATCATATCTGACTATCAAGAAAATATTGTAAGGCACACCAAAAGGCAAATAAAAACCCAAACCCAAATAAACAACAAACCTGTTCCATAGTCTGAAAAAAGGGACATAATTGAAAGCTTAACGGTCACCCTAAAGTCTACACATCAATGCTTATAGCAGCTTTATTCATAATGCCCAAGCATATAATTAACCAAAATATTTCTTCAGGTGAATTGATAAATAAATCTGGTATATCCAGAAAAGGGAATATTATTCAGTGTTGAAGAAAAATGAGCTATCAGTCCATAAAAAGGCATGGAAGGGGCCAGGCACAGTGGCTCATGCTTGTAATCCCAGCACTTTGGGAGGCCACAGCAGGTGGATCGCTTGAGGTCCGGAGTTTGAGACCAGCTGGCAAACATAGTGAAACCCCATCTCTACTAAAAATACAAAAAATTATCTGGGCATGGTTGCAGGTGCCTGTAATCCCAGCTACTTGGGAGGCTGAAGCAGGAGAATAGCTTGAACTCCGGAGTAGGCAGAGGTTGCAGTGAGCCTAGATTGTGCCATTGTACTCCAGCCTGGGCAACAAGAGTGAAAGTCCATCTAAAAAAAAGAAAAAAGAGAGAAAAGAAAAAGACATGGGGGAAATCTTAAATTAATACTACTAAGTGAAATAATCCAGTCTAAAGAGGCCACATACTTTATGACCCCAACTATAAGAAATTCTGGAAAAGGCAAACTATGGAAACAGCAGAAATAGTCATTTCCAATAGTTGTGAGTAGGGTTGAATATATGGAGAACAGAGGATTTTTACAGCAGAGAAAATACTCTGTAAGATATTAAACTCATGGTTACATGTCATAATACTTTTTTTCCAAGCTCATGGAATGCGCCACACCAAGAGTGAACCCCCATGTAAACAATGGATGTTGAGTGATAAAAATGTTTCAATGTAAGTTCATCAATTGCAACAAAGAAGTCGCTTTAGTGTATATAATTCTAATTTAGTGTAAAATTCTAATTTTATTTAGGATAAAAATTCAAATTCTTACTTTTAGTGTATACATTGACAATGAGGAAGGCTATGCATGTGTGGGGACATAATGTATATGGAGAATCTTTGTGTTTTTCTGTCAATTTTCCATGTACCCAAAACTGCTATAAAATAAATAGTTTATTTTAAAAAATACATGCACACGAAGCAACAACATGCATGTTGTTAGTACTAATTGAAACAAAATATATAAATTAAACACAATGGAGATGTTGACAATGAGTGGATGAGAGTAAGTATGGGTTAGAAGTGTAAAAGACAGTGAATAAATGAGAGGGAGGAATGAAAGAAGGAAAAGAGGGAAGGAGGGGAGGAATAAGAAAGGAAGGTGGAAAGCAAGAAGGTAAAAAAGGACAGGAAGGAAGAATGGATGAAGACAAGATGCAAGAATGAGTGATGATGTACAAAAGTGTATGCTGTGGCTACATTTCACTCAACACTTTAGTGTATAAAGTCTGCATTTCAATGCAAATACTTCTAATATTTTCCCCAAAGCATGAGAATTGCTCTTTGGTTTGATCAGATAAATTTTCCAATAATAAGGATTTATCCATTATATTTATTTTATTGATTTTTTAAAAAATCAAGGATACATATTAGATTTATCAAATTTCTGTTCATGTTTAATAATAGCCTTATTAATATTGAAGGAAACCTGAAACCTTAGGATATGCATGATATAATACATTATTTTTGTAATGGGTTTCTAAATTCTATTTCCTAACATTTTATTTATGATCTCATGTCAATTGCCATATATGATATTGGCTTATAGTCTTCTCAGTGTTTCTTTAGGTTTCAATACCATACTTCTTTCAGAAAATAAAATTGAGAGCTTTCTACCCACTCCTCTCCCATGTTCTGGAAGTATTAACATACCATAGAAATTACCTGCCCTGAATGTTTCTTAAAGTTTCTTTATGAAAATATATATATAACTAATAGTTTTTGGAGAAAATCATTAATCTTTTATCATATTTTAGTTTCGGATACAGCTGGTTTTTGGTTACATGGACAAGTTCCTTATTGGTGATTTCTGAGATTTTGATGCACCCATCACCCAAGCAGTGTACAGTGTACCCAATATGTAGTCTTCTATTCCTTACTGCCCTAACCCCTTCCGGAGCCCCAAAGCCCATTATATCATTCTTTTTTCTTTGCATCCCTATAGCTTACCTCCTACTTCCAAATGAGAATATGCAATTTAGATATGTTGTATTCTTTACCCATGATTTAGGACAGAGTTTTTTGTTTTGTTTTGCTTTCTGTTATGTTAATTAATTTACAAGCAGATGTTGCTTTCTCATTACTTTCTGTGTGTTGTTAATTTATAGAGGTATTTTCTATTGAAATAAAATGATATTTTTGGTTTTCCATTCCTGAGTTACTTCACTTAGAATAATGGCCTCCAGCTTCATCCAAGTTGCTGCAAAGACCACTATTTTGTTCCATTTTGTGTGTATGGTTTTTTTTTCATATATTAACTTTCATATATCTATCCTTTTGGTAGATACTGAGCACTGGGATTGCTGGATTGAATGATAGTTCTACTTTAGTTCTTTAAAGAATCTCCATACTGTTTTCCACAGTGGTGATACTAATTTATACTTCAACAGCAGTGTAAAAAAGTGTTCCCTTTTAACTATGTCCACACCAACATCCATTCTTTTTTTATTTTTTAATTATGGCCATTCTTAAAGTAACAAACTGGCATCTCGTGGTTTTGATTTGCATTTCCATGATAATTAGTGAAGTTGAGCAGTTTTTCGTATGTCTGTTGGCTGTTTGTGTATCTTCTCTTGAGAATTGTCTATTCATGTCCTTTGCCCACTTTTTGGTGTGATTGTTTATTTTTTTTCTTGCTGATTTGTTTGATTTCCTTGTAGATTCTGAGTATTAGTGATTTGTCGGATGCATGGTTTGCAAATACTTTCTCCCACTCTGTGGGTTGTCCTTTTACTCTGCTGATTATTTCTCTTACTGTGCAAATGCTTTTAGTTTAATTAGGTCCCATTAATTTATTTTTGTTTTTGTTGCATTTGCTTTTGAGTTCTTAGTCAGGAATTATTTTCCTAAGCCAATGTCTAGAAGAGTTTTTTTTTATATTATCTTCTAGAATTTTTATGGTTTCATGTCTTAGATTTAAGTCTTTCATCTATCTTGAGTTGATTTTTATATAAGGTGGCAGATGAAGATCCAGTTTCATTCCACATGTGGCTTGCCAGTTTTCTCAGCACCATTTATTAAATTTTTACATGTTGTATTATGCATTTGTATGCTTCTATGAAGAAATACCTGAGACTGGGTAATTTATAATTTAAAGAGGTTTAATTGACTCACAGTTCTGCATGGCTTGGAGGCCTCAGGAAACTTACAATCATGGCAGAAGGCACCTCTTCACAGGGTGGCAGGAGAGAGAATGGGTGCCCAGCGAAGGGGGAAGCCCCTTATAAAACCATCAGATCTCATAAGAACTCACTCACTGTCAGGAGAACAGCCTGAGGGTAACCACCACCATGATCCAATTATCTCCCTCCCACGACACATGGGGATTATGGGAGCTATAATTCAAGATGAGATTTTGGTGGGGACACAGCCAAACCATATCACATGTTATCTCTTTTCTGGATTCAGATTTAGTAAATTGCATTTTTCTGGAGACAGTCCCCTTTAAAGGTTTGATAATTTTTGTAAGCATTTAGCAAAAGAGCTATGACTTATTTTCTCTTTTTTATTACTATACATTTATTTAATAGATGTGGATAAATTATTCTGCCATATTAGCTAATATTTTTATGTCATAATTTTATTTAAAAGTTTTTTGGCTATTGGAGTTATAAATTTATTTTAATACTTCTTATACAATAGTTGATATTTTATTAATGCCTTCCTTTTGCCTTTTTTGTTAATTTTGTTGTTTTTGTAAGTGTTTGAGTTGGCTGCATAATCATTACAATTTCATTGATTTCTATTAACTTATAAATCCCAGGAGTTAAAAAATGAATATTTCATAGCTCATTACTTTGTTGACATTTCATAGTTTCTGATACAGAGTATTTCACTTTGGTATAATATATTCTAGGCCTTCAGAAATTTTAGATATGTTGTATTCTTTACCCATGATTTGGGACAGAGTTTTTTGTTTTGTTTTGCTTTCTGTTATGTTAATTAATTTACAAGCAGATGTTGCTTTATCATTACTTTCTGTGTGTTGTTAATTTATAGAGGTATTTTCTATTGAAATAAAATGATATTTTTCTATACTTTCATTAATCATTATTTAAAAAATATTCTATATTCCAATATATTTTATTTTGTCTATTTAACTGTCATGACTTGAAATGTTAATTAAAATCTACTTTCTAGTATTAATATGTTTCTATTACTATTTTATGTCAGGCAGTTTTTAAGTGTCTATGTTGATAAGTTGATTTTTTTTCATGATTACTATATGTAAACATCGTATGTTCTATATGGGCCATGGTCAATATTCTGAGAGAGAGTAAACACTACTCCACGCTTCTGCAGACATTTATAGAATTAAAGATTAGCATAAAATGTGTTAGCAAACACCTAGTTTGTCAAATTAACAAGAATTACTGGGCCCAGGAAGTATGCTACAGAGTGTGCATACTGAGGGACAAGGTGTACATACAAGGGCTCTAAGAAGAACTTTGGTACCAGGAATGATGATGTGACAGTCTTATCTTTCTACAGGCATACACAGTTCAATTGAAACAACTCTCTGTTACTAAAAAGGAGAAGGAAATGAATCTCCAGAACTATTTGGTCATGTCTCTTAAAAAGTGATAACCCAAGATCAGATAGAGTTGATGGTAGAGGATATCATGAGACAACTTTTGCTGTCCCATAGTTGCAAAGATTAGTGGAGGCTTTTGCCAGTGATATAAATTATGCTTACCTTTGTATAGAATAAGACACTACATGCAACGTATGCACAAGTTAAGATGAGCTCATTAGTGAGGGTTCTAATCCAGTATGACTGGTGTCCTTATAAAAAGGGAAAATTTGGACAGAGACACACAGAGAGGAAAGGAGATGTAAAGAGACACAAGAAGAACACCATATGAAGATGGATGATTGGAGTGATGCATCTACAAGCCAAGAAACGTCCAAAAGGCCAGGCACGGTGGCTCATGCCTATAATCACAGCACTTTGGGAGGCCAAGGTGGGCGGATCATTTGAGGTCAGGAGTTTGAGATCAGTCCGACCAACATGGTGAAACCCTGTCTCTACTAAAATACAAAAAATCAGCCAGGTGTGGTGATGGGCGCCTGTAACCTCAGCTACTCGGGAGGCTGAGGCAGGAGAATCGCTTGAACCCAGGAGGCAGAGGATGCAGTGAGCCGAGATCATGCAATTGCACTCCAGCCTGAGCGACAGAGTGAGACTCTGTCTCAAAAAAAATAAATAAATAAAAATAAAAATAAAAATAAAAATGAAAAAAGCAACATTAAAGATTGCCAGAAAATCATCAGAAGCTAGAAAGAGGAAAAGAATGATTTCCCTATGGGTTTTGTAGGTAGCATGGTTCTAGCAACACTTTGATTTTGGACTTCTAGCCTCCGGAATTGTGAGACAATATATTTCTGCTTTTTCTGCCACCCAGTTTGTGGTCATTTACTAGGACAGCCCTAGAATACTAATATGCTCAATATCTCCATTTAAATCTGGTACAAAGAGAAGTAATACAAACGTGTCAGTTTTTATAAATCTTATGAGAGGTATTAAAATAACAATGTTTTACTATTAGCTTTGTAATGATGGGGGGAGCAATGCTCTTACTCAGGCTTTGTCCTTAGCAAACACCCAGGAATGCAACAAATAGATGTCAAATTATATATTATTTGATTATAGTGACTAAATGTACTTTAAAGTAGAAATACAAAACATTTTTATTAAAATTATCTGGCCAAAGACTCTTCTAAACATTTTATATAAGGCATTTACTCTTCATCAGCATCTTATGATCTCAGCACTATTGTTATGCAGAGTTTACAAATGAGAAAACTGTCTCACAGAGAGTTTGAATAATTTCATTGATTTGGTTAATGAAATTATTCAAACCAAACCAACAATTTTCTTAATTTGGTTCATGAAATTTCTTAAGGTTGTAGAGTTTATACATAGGAAATCTGAGATTTGATTGTTAGTTCTTTGGTTCTAATTTCTGTGCCTTTCTAGTTATAGATGTAGATGCTTCACCAAAATCTCATGAAAATGATATTGTTGACTAGGCTAGAGTGGAAAAACAATCAGGAGTATGAGAAAGTGCACTGTCAGCATAGTTAAAATATGATGCTAAAATGGAAACCCAAATTGAAAAAATCAATTATGAATGCATGTAACAAACTGTATATCTGAGTAAAGTTTTGCAGTTCAACTGTATCTTCAAAATGACTCTTACTTACATTTTAGGGGAACTTGAAGGGATGATACCAATCAATTTGTGAATATATTTTTAGCAATACCTCCAATAAAAGATGGTTATAAGGATATATTAAATTCATAAAAAATCTAAAATTGATTTTAAGATGATTTTACATTCAAGATATTTTAAGCTAAATATTATCTCGAAATGTTGTATGTAAGTCAACATTTTAATAATCTAAATCATATTTTAAAGTGTAACAAAAGCCACCTTTTCCCCTCATTTAAAGAGATTCTAAAGACAATGTATTCACAAAATAAAAATTTAATCAATCCAAACTGTACACGATGACTTTTAAAAGCTTGTTAGAAAAAAAATGGAATTAAAAGATAAAATGAAAAATGTAAATTTCATTTGTCAACATGAGCTCCATCAGGTTCAAGGAACCTCTGTAAGCAATGATACCAGTCACTTAGTCCCTCCCTAAAAAAAATCTGCATCTTGGGAATTCAATCATGTCAATTCAGTTTTTTTTTACATTAATTGAAGAAAAATTGGTGTACCTTAAAGATATTTCAGATTGAGAAACAAAAAGAAGGTAGAAATAGCCAAATCAGGACCATAAGTTGAATGCCTAGTGATTTCCCATTGAAACTCTCTCAAAATTGCCCTTGAATAATAAGAGAAATGAGCAAGAGCATTTTCGTGGTGAAGGACTCTTTGGTGAAGTATTCTGATAATGTTCTTCCACTAAAGATTTAGCTAAGTTTCTCAAAACACTCTCAACAATAAGCAACTGATGTTCTTTGGCCCTCCAGAAAGTCAACAAGTAAAATACCTTGAGCATCCCAAAAAACTGACATAACTTTTGTTCTTGACCATACTGCTTCTGTCTTGACTGGGCCACTTCCACCTTTTGGTAGCCAATGCATTAATCATGGTTTGTCTTCAGGATCATGCTGGTAGAGCCATGTTTCATCTCCTGTTACAATTCTTGGAAGAAATACTTCAGTATCCTGATCCTGCTTGTTTAAAATGTCCATTGAAAGCTCTGCTCTTGTTTGCAGTTGATCTGGCTGCAACAGTTTTGACACCCATCGAGCAGAAAATTTGCTCAACTTTAATTTTTCAGTCAGAATTGTGTGAGCTAAACCAATGAAAATGTTGATAGTGTTGGCTAATGTTTCCACTGTTCATCTTCAGTCCTCTTCAATTAGAGTACAAACAAAATGAATTTTTTCTTGAAAATTGATGTGGATATTCTGCCCCTGAAAGCTTCATCTTCAACATTGTCTTGTCCCTTCTTAAAATGAGTTATCTTTTTGTAAATTGCTAAATTCCTGCAGGCATTGTCTTGATAAACTTTATGTAGAGCATCAATGAGTTATCGTTTTATTAGTTTGTTTTCACAGTGCTACAAAGAAATACCCAAGACTGGGTCTTTTATAAAGGAAAGAGACTTAATTGACTTACAGATCCACATGGCTGGGAGACCTCAGGAAACTTACAATCATGGTGGAAGGGGAAGCAAACACCTTCTTCACAAGGTGGCAGGAGAGTGAAGCAAACAAGAGAAGAACCACAAAACACTTATAAAACCATCAGATCTTGTGAGAACTCACTCACTATCATAAGAACAGTATGGGGAGAACCATCTCCATGATCCAATCACCTCCCACCAGGTCCTCCTCAACACTTGGGGATTACAATTCAAAAGAGATTTAGCTGGGGACACAAAGCCTAACCATATCATTCTGACCCTGGCCCACTCCAAATCTCATGTCTTTTCACATTTCAAAACCAATTATGTCTTACCAAAATCCTCTAAGTCTTCACTCATTTCAACATTAACTCAAAAGTCCACCACCCAAAGTCTTATCTGAGACAAGACAAGTCCCTTCCACCTAAGAGCTTGGAAAGTAAAAAGCAAGATAGTTACTTCCTAGATACAATGTGGGTACAGGGATTGGGTAGATGTTCCCACTCCAAATGGGAGTAACTGTCCCAAATAAATGGGGTTACAGGCCCCATGCGAGTTCAAAATCCAGTGGGGCAGTCATTAAATCTTAAAGCTCCTAAATAATCTCTTTTGCCCCATGTCTTATAATCAAGGCACACTGATGCCAGAGGTGGGCTCCCATGGTCTTGGTCAGCTCCGCTCCTGTGGCTTTGCATTGTGCAGCCTCCCTCCTAGCTGCTTTCATGGGGTGGCATTTGGTGCCTGCAGCTTTCCAAACTGTATGGTGCAAGCTATGGTGGATATTCCATTCTGTGATCTGGAGGATGATGGCCCTCTTCTCACAGCTCCACCAGGCAGTGCCCCAGTAGGAACTCTATGTGTGGGCTCCAACCCCACATTCCCTTCTGCCCTGCCCTAGCAGAGGATCTCCATAGGGCTTCCCCCTGCAGCAAACTTCGCCTAGACATCAGGTATTTCCATACATCTTCAGAAATCTAGGTGGATGTTCTCACTCCTCAATTCTTGACTTTTGTGCACCTACAGGCCCAACACCAGTTGGAAGCCACCAAGGCTTGAGGCTTGCACCCTTTGAAGCAATGGCCTGAGCTGTAAGTTGGCCCCTTTTAGTCATGGCTGGGACCTAAGTCACCAAGTCTTAAGACCACACAAAGCAGCAAGGTCCTGGGTGTGGCCCACAGAACCATTTTTTCCTTCTATGCCTCTGGGCCTGTTATGAGAGGGGCTGCTGTGAAGATCTCTGACATGCCCTGGAGACTTTTCCCCCGTTGTCTTGGTGATTAACATTTGGCTCCCGGTCACTTATGCAGATTTCTGCAGCTGGCTTGAATTTCTCCCCAGAAAATAGGTTTTTCTTTTCTATTGCATCATCAGGTTACAAATTTTCCAAACTTTTATGATCTGCTTCCCTTTTAAACGTGAGTTCCAATTTTAGGTAATCTCACTCAGGCCCAAAGTTCCACAGATCTCTAGAGCAGGGGCAAAATGCTACCAGTCTCTTTGGTAAAGCATAGCAAAAGTGACCTACACTTCAGTTCCCAAGAAGTTTCTCATCTCCATCTGAGACCACGCCAGCCTGGACTTCATTGTCCACATAATTATCAGCATTTGGGTCAAAACCATTCACCAAGTCTCTCAGAAGTTCCAAACTTTTCTATCTTCTTCTTCCTATCTTCTTCTGAGCCCTCCAAACTGTTTCAACCTCTGCCTGTTACCCAGTTCCAAAGTCATTTCCACATTTTTGGCTATTGTTATAGAACCCAACTGTCTGCAGTACTATTTTAGTCTGTTCTCACACTGCTATAAAGAAATACCCAAGACTGGGTAATTTACAAAGGAAAGAGGTTTAATTGACTCGCAGTTCTGTATGGCTGGGGAGGCCTCAGGAAACTTACAATCATGGCTGAAGTGGAAGCAGGCACCTTTGTTACAAGGCAGCAGGAGAGAGAAGAAAGAAACAAAAGAGGAACTACCAAACACTTATAAAACCACCAGATCTTTCAAGAACTCACTCACTATCTCAAGAACAGCATGGTGGCAACTGACCCTGTAATCCAATCGCCTCCCACCAGGTCTCTCCTTAACACCTGGAGATTACAATTCAAGATGAGATTTGGGTGGGGACACAAAGCCTAACTATATTACTCTTTCCTCCATCCAAGCTTCATGAATTTGATGTTTGTTCGGGCTTCAATTTTAGCAGAATTCACATTGCTCTGATAGGACTCTTAAAACTGATGTTTTGTCATTTTTAGTGCCTTAAATTATATTCCGTTCAGCCATGTTATAACAAGTTAGTACAAGTTTATTTTAGTACAAAAAATTTAAAGTCTATTCATATTTTTTTCATAATATATAATTTTCATGAACTTCTTAGAGACCCCTTTTATATATTTTCCAGTTATGTTCGCTGTCCCAATTTTAATAGCTGAAATAAATAAGGCTTCTATTTATGTAGTCTTAGAATTATATTATAAATATTTAACAGGCTAAAAATACAGTTTAAAATTTAATTTGATACAAATAGCCTAGGTAAATATGAGTGATACATAAGTAAAAAGTTAAATGTGGAAACTTTTTGATAATTAGGATTATATTTTAAAATAAATCTGTTTCTGAAAAAAATGTTGTCCCAACATTATGAATTCAACAGCCAAATAATTAATTTTAACATTTTTCTTGCATCATCATGTTTTGAAACATTATTGAGAGATCTCAGGTACCCAGTTTGAAATTCCTTCATGCATATAGTCTTATCAAAACTAAAATAAGATTTCAAGGGGTCTTGTCATTTGGAACTGACTTTGTAGCCATTTCCTCCAATGATCATAGCTGTCTTGGTGATGCTTGACTAGTAGTTAGGTGTCCTCAAGTCAGAGGGATAACTGGGCTCTGTTTGGCTTCCTCCACTTGTTCTGCCTCCTGGAAACTCTACACATAAGCTGGGAGCAAATATAGACCCAACAGCATTTATTTTCTCCTCTATCATGAATTAGTTTCTCAGACTGCCTAATGTTCAATATTTCAAAACTGCTCTTTTATACTTTTTGTCATTTTTCAGTTGTTTTAGGAAGGAGGGTAAATTCAGTTTCTGTTCTTCTAAATTGGTAGAAAGCACATGTGTAAGAGAAGACAGAAATTTAAGGACACCAAAGATATGCTCAATAATAGCACATTCTAACATAAGATCCAGTAAGGTGTGAATGAAAATATTATTTTATTATTTTCTGTCTAGGCATTCAGTGTTGAGTAATGTTTTGAGCTTGATAAGAAATTTCCATTCCAAAAGACTGGGTCTGAAAATAAATTTTCATGTGAAAGTAATATACATTTGCACCAGTTTTTTGTTTTGTTTTGTTTTTTGTTTTTTCGTGTGCTTCTCTACTTTGGTTAGTAATTACAAAGCTAGATGACCTTTACCTTAAATGTCCCTGACATTCCCCTTCCCAAATAATACAGTCACAAAAGAAAATTAGTTATAATACATTTCAAAAACAAAGATGTGGTTGAAATAAAAATGTTCAATAATATTTATTATGTTTATTGCATAATTCCTGGTACTGTGAAATGGATTGGGATAGATAAGCATTATATACAATAATTTGTCCATAACAATCTCATATTTTAGCCTGTATAAATATTATAAACAGAAATATTATTGTACAGTATGGTATTTGCTACAATGTGAGAATAAAGTGTTCTTGAATGCAGATATCCTGGATACATAGTATCTGGATTATTTTATTTAAATTTTATTTTTTTTTTAGACTGACTCAGCTAAAACATATAGGCATATTTTTGACAATTCTCACTTCGAAAGTAACTAAGATTTAAATTTCAAGTTTCCTTTTCAAATAAGAGGTTGCCTTCATGAAACATTTGTAGTAAATGATAAAGAATGATTTTTTAATTCAACACCTTACTTCCTGAGAAGACTATAAAAAACATCGTATTTTCAAGGCAATTTCCCACCCCCTCAGATAAAGAGTGCTATGGCTTCGTCTGGTTTTGTGCAATGGCAACAATAGCACCAACACTAAGGCAATTCTTCCTGTCCTCAGCAAAATTTTCCTTATGTTTCTTTCTCTGCATGTCTAAACCTAAGACTATAGTTTAAAACACCAGCAGTAAACGTAATGGGTAAAATTAAAATGGAAAACATATTTTTAATATGTCTCTCAAACTGTAAATGATTATTTTATCTGTCTTAAGACAAAATGAAGCTACTTATAAGATAGTAATACTTATATGTTATGAAGGATGCTATCTATAAACACTGGAGAATATATGAAATTATTTCTTTTAGATTATAAAGATGGTAATGAATCATAACATTCTGAAAATTTTTTTCTCTCATAAATTGGTTTTTCCTATGGAAAAATAAATTTGTTATTTGAGATGAGATTAGGCATTTATTTGTAAATAAAATTTCATAAAATAGCAACCATGAAATAAAATTAAAATGTATATAAAAACAAATATCTGACAAATCTGTAAAAAATGCATTCTCATTCTTAAATTAGTAATAATAATGAAAATGACAATAATAATTCTAAAATTATCATAACATATTGGACAAGTAAAAGAATATATTACATAATGGGCTTATGTCAATAGTTATTTTTTCAGTATTTTTAATAAAAATATTTCATTATCAAAATACCCATTTACATTAGTTGTAAAGTTACTAATTAATTCTACATAAATACATTCAACTGTATTAAAGACTTATGCTATTTAAATATACCGTATTGTGTTTTAATGGTGCACTTATTTCTAAAAAAGCAAATAATAAATGTCATATAAATTGGTGCAAAAGTAATTTTGGTTTTCACCATTACTTTCAGTGGCAAAGACTGCAATTACTTTTGCACCAACCTAGTATTTCCTTTTTACAAATTAATGATATGATAACCAATGTAACAATGTACCTTGATTCCAATGGTTAACCAGGATTTATTTTCTACACACAGGACAGAAGAAGCAGTGGCAGGTTTACTTTAATGTTTCAGAAAGGAACAAGTTGAGATGCTATGCCTGAGGTTCATTCATTCCCCAGGTAATTCTAGGTGTCTAGTACAGGCTTGGAATATAATTGTGAATTTGAATTCAAATACTTTTTGATGTCATGGATTTGCAGTGTAATGGGAAAGACAGATATTAATTGAATTGTTATATGAAATTGTGACCATGGAAAGATATTTTGAAGAAGTTCATAGTGATGTAAGGCTTATATTAGAGAGAATGATTAGTCAGAATATCATAGTAGTATTTACTAGATAAATGAATTTGAGCTGAATTGAATGAAAATAATCTAAACAAAAGAGGACAGAAGATGATTCCAGACAGAGGAGACATGATGCATACAGGCCCTATAGTCAGAATGAACATGAAGTACATACAGATTTGAAAGGGGTTTAGGATATTGGAGAGAATGGGCAGCAGAATAGCCTGACATGAAGCTGAATGACGGCTTAGAGTATCAGACAGCATTAACTATGAAGGAACTTGTTTTTTGGGTTAAGAATTTTTACCTTTATTTTTTGAATAAGGAGCACACTATTTTCCTTTCATGATGAATAAAATGATTGATTTTCCAGTTAAACATGAACATTTGCACTAAGTGTAGAAAATGGATAGTAGAAGGTATTGAAGAAATAAATAATTCCAGTGTTACTTCAAGAATATACCTGAGAGATGATGATAGCTCAATTAGATAGTAGCAGTAGTGACATAGATAAGTGAAGATATTTGAAAAAGAATTAGGAAGTAAAATTTATACAATGTAGATATCTATGAGAGAAATGAGAGAATTCACCAGAGTTTAAAGCAATAGCAGGCACTGAACCATAGACTAAAGTATTTGAACTAGATGAATTTGGCAAAAGAAAACCACTTCGTATTCAAAGTTGGTGGGGGCTAGGCATGGTGGCTCATGCCTGTAATCACAGCATTTTGGGAGGCTAAGGTGGGAGGATGACTTGAGCACAGGAGTTCAAAACCAGCCTAAGCAACACAAAGAGACCCCCACCCCATGTAAATTATAGCTTTAATCATGACCCCTGAGCTTTTGACTCAAATCTTTTCCTTATGTTTCTAGTACATATCTTCCTGGAACTGCATATTCATTTCTAATAAAATTTACCAATGGCTTCAAACTTCGTAAATTAGCTGTTAATTTAAAAGGCAACATTACTGTCAGAGAAAGTTTTAGGAATACCCCGAAGTTCATTCCACCAATTTTATTATTTTATTATGTTATTTTTTTTTAAGACAGGGGCTCACATTGTTACCCAGGCTGGAGTTCAGTGGCACAATCATGGCTCACTGTAGCCTCAAACCCTTAGGCTCAAACAATCCTCTTGCCTCAGCCTCCAATATAGCTGGGAATACAGGTGTGTGCCACTATGCCTAGCTAATTTTTTAAAATTTGAAATCATTGGTTCATTTTATTAGAAATGAATATGCAGTTCCAGGAAGGTATATACTAGAAATATAAGGTAAAGATTTGTGTCAAAAGGCCAGGGGTATATGATTAAAGCCATAATTCACATTAAAAGATCAATATTTTTATAGTGTAAATGAATAAACAAATGAGGCAAAGAATAGTGATCAGTGTCATTGTAGGTAGTCAAGTGGTTTAGGGTGAGAAAATATTTGTCTGAGAAAATATTGACGCAGCTATAAGAAAGTGACTTATAGTCACTGAAGGAGTAATTTTAGGGAAATTATACTGCAGGAACAAGAGAGGAAATAGTAATAAAATGTAGCATGACTATTATCATGTGAAATAAAGTAAAACAAAAAGCAAAAATAGCCATTGTCTGATAAAAGTCATTAAATTTAGTAAAAATTACTTTTTTCTCTACCTAATATCAGCAATCTAAATGCTCACATTAATATAAGTACTTCTATGTTATGGTTCTTAAATATTATTTTGTCAAATAGTTTCAGTGCTCATTTAGCTTTTTGTGTTTTATATTGTCAAATAATTATGTGGCAGAATTGAATATGATGATGACCTTTACATTTATTACTCTACTGGGAGCAATATTATTTCAGAAGAATGTGATTGGTTTTTCTAAGAATATACAATATTTCTGTGGCTGAACTATTATAAAATTTGAGCTTTTTTCTTAATCTCTTCTCCTTACATTTTCATTTTTCAGAGTCACCTATGCTATTTTGCTTATACTTCACTCTTCGGTATATTAGGTTAAAACCTCTGCTATCAGAAAAGAAAGAAAATATTGGATAAATTATATAACTAAATTTCCTACTTGGTTTTATGCTATTGTAGCACTATTGGATAATTAATTTTTTTCACATAAAGAGCAAGTACAATCCATCTCATTTCATTTTCTGCTAGGTTTGTGTATTCATGTGTATGTCTGTGTGTGTCTGTGTGTGTGTGTGTGTGTGTGTGTGTGTGTGTGTGTGTGTGAGACAATAGCCTTGAGAATTGTTCGGAATCTCCATTATGTCTTTGTTAGGAAGTGGGTCAGAAAACAACATAGAGAGCATTAGCTATTATGGGGAACGTTTCACTTCTGGTAGGTTGTCTTATTTGTCGATTCCTTTTATACCACCAAGACACATCACTTTGAATGCATTATTTGTCTGATAAGTGTACTTTAAAAGGATCCCAGTATAGCTTTGATGTAACTGATGTAAACATTGGCTTTGATGGGGAAACACTTTGTTCCTATTAAACTTAAAAAGCACATATCTGAAGGTTGAAGTGTTCGAGGAACATGGAAGCTGCCTGGTGCTTTTTAGCTTCCACCTGCCATGCTTGCTGCTTTGAAATATTTATGTCCCTCATTGTTCTGTCTAGTATAAGACATCCTTGTTAACATTTAGACATAATTTAGGACACATTTCATAAACAAACTGTTAAATATTTATGCCTGGTGCTCATTACTTACCAAGCACTTCACGTGTGCACCCATGTTTCAATTATTAATGAAGAGCTTGGACAGACTTGTTTTTCTGAAGATTAACTTTTTCATATTTTTCCATAATAATATCCTGACTTGTTTATCGCTTGGTTTAGAAATATTGTCTCTTCCTTTGGTACCAAATTTGTTTTGTGTTTAGTTTTCTAGAAAAGTAGATTTAAGAGCAGGAAAATGATAATATGAAATTAAATCTTGAGATAGATGCATACAAGCCTGTGTGCATACGTGTGAAATGTCTAAGTTTAACAAAAATATTAGTTTATTTTTGAAAAGGAAATATAATTCAACATTTAACAAGGACATTTATGAGATTGCATAGCCTTTTAAGCCAAATATGGCTAACTATAATACCATCTGTAAATATAATGGATAATAATATTCTTTATTTGTTTGGTTAATACAGTTAGAAGGCGCTTACCCACAGTTACATAAGTGGAACCATCTGAGCAAAGAAAGAAAGATGCATTCTTAATATAATTTCCACCTTCAAGCAAAATTTTGGCTGATGATTATCTCTTTCAGCTATGTACTTTTATGAAATTAAAACTTTTTAATATAATTTTAGCTGAATAAGCACAATTTACTGTGAAATCTGATTCAGATGTTTGACTTTGTTAGGTAACCTTGTTAAAACCAACCTAATAGTTGATTTTATTTACTTCCCTAGAAGGACATTATATTAGGGTTATTTGTCACAAGTGGTTGTAAATCCTTTTCAAACTCACCACTAAAATATTTTATAAAAAGGATCATAGTATCCTTCAATTTACAATCAGGTAAATTGAAGACAAAATAGAAAACTTTCTTTCTCCAAATCATAAAAATTACATTTAAATTCTGATACATATGCAGTTAATATGTCTATGATGGCAGAGATGGGATCTGAATCCAGGTAGACTTCTTTCATATTAGGAATTGAATGAGTACCTCTACGCTTAAAATATTTAAGCATAGAGGTATTTTTTTTATTAATTAACATACTTTATTTCAAGAAGTTTCACACACTAAAAGTTAATTTTCATATCAAAAAAACATTTATTTACCTGTCTTTCTACTAATCCTATAGGAAGTTTTTCCCCCAAAATCTCTATTTAAGCTCTGAGCTAAAAAAAAAAACAAACCAAGATATAACCACTAAATATTTAAAATTTTAAAAACATTTTTATTTGAAAGTAACTATATACCATTCAGTTTGTGTCAAATCAGTGAAATATTAGTAGGCAGGTAGAATGCTAATAATTTATTCATAATAACAATAGAAATGTATTCACAATTATTCATTTTGTATCTTCTTTATTTTTACTTAAGAAAATGATTTCATTTAACTTTTTAAGTTGTAAATATAATTAAAATTGAAACACAATATACCTGTAATGTGGCTGCAGGGTTGAATGGATGGCAAACACTACTTATTTCTACAGAGGATTATATTTCTAAGAAAAATCACAGAAATAATACATTGTGGTGTGTTTAAAGTAACCGCATGACAAGAAGTGTCATTGCCTTGTGCATTCTCTTGGTTCTTAATGCAACACTATGTTGAAACTCTTTGTTAAATGTAAATAAATAAATAAACACACAAACAAACTGCTTGGATTATAAGGAAGATGCACTGATAAAGACTCCAAACTAGTCAAGGAAAGAGAAAGGAAGAAATTATCTTGATGCTGTCACCTTTGGAACAATTTCTGTTTTTATTATTGGACTCAGAAATTATTAAAGCATTAAAGTTTCTCACATCAACAGAAATTACTGCATATAATTTTATTTAAAATGTCATTTGCAGTATTGATCTTTTAAAATGCATGAAGACCATAGAATTAATCCACCATTTTTAGTCTCTAACTTAAGCTTGAGGAAACCTGACATTACTGTTAATTTCATTTCTGGCACATCCATGAATTAATGTATAGTTTTGTCTCTGATTGCTTAAATAAATACAGCCCAAATTGAAGAAAGATTAGGAGGATTTGATTCAACTTGTCTCCCCATGTATTTCCTAGTTCTTAATTTTGGAATATCTTCATCATAAAGAAAACATTTCTTAAACAGCTATCACTGAGGCAAATTCATTTTGGCTTCCATTTTTAATGGAATTCAACCCTCTCTAATAATCAGCAACTGGTTAGAAGAAACAATTGTGTCATATTAAAAAAAAAGATGTGGCATGTGATATTAACATTATAAAATATTAGAGAAGGAAATATTAGCAGAGATACTTTGAGTACTTGAACAATGAAAAAGTGATTTGGTTTCTCCAGTTTTTTTGACGTGTATTATTGGAGCTTAAATTGTATAGAAAAATAGACAAAGATATTTCAGGAAGTAATAATTGCTATGGATAGTGAGACAAAAAAGAATGAGAATTAACACATTGTTTACAAATCATGTTTTAAAAAGATTTATCTAAAAGGAGAATATTGAGCACTTATGTGAAGAAAGTGAGGGATCAACTAATATAAATATTTCAGGGATGTCCTTCCTAGTCAGAGGCAGCAGCACTTCTAAAGGTCTGAGGCACAGTTTGGCTGATTGCATTCTAAGGGTGCAAAGAAGGCTGCTGTGATTTTACACAAGTGAGCAAGGGAACTTTGTTAGAATGTGATATGAAAAGAACAAAAATTAGTGTAGATAGGAAATGTTAAAGAATTCTGCAAAGGTCAGTAAGAGACAAGTAAGAGTGCTTGGTCTAGGATGAAAGGATTGGGAAGATGGTAAAGAGAGATCTGATAATTGGATGATCTGTGAAGCCATGGGATAGGATGAAATCACATGGATTTAATGTAAATACAGAAATAGGAAAAACATCAATGGGATATTCTTTGAAATTTGCTGGAAAATTCAGTCTTCTAGGACAGGAGAGTAAAGGGAAGTGACTAAGAAGAGAGAAGGAAAAGTAAGAGAACATGATAGTTGGAGGCCAGTAGTTCAAGAAAGAGGGAGTGGTTTTGGAAAAGTCAGGTTTGGTGACTGACAAAGTGGAAGTCAAATGATAGCTGTAGTGGATTGGAAAGGTTACGTGAGAGAAAGCAAATACACAGAGAATATAGAACTTTTTCAGCCTTTGCCCTCCTTCTAAAGAACAAAGAAATGGGACAGTATTAGATGTGGACTACTGCATAGCAAGAAAAATTTCTTTTAATAGCAGGTGTGTTAACAACATATTTTCCTACACTTACAGATGCATCAGGTGGAAGGGTAGAGGCAGAAACATCTGATTATGAACAAGATAAAGGAAAAAAATTGTGGGAAAAAATTCTGGATTACACTTTAGAGAAAGGTATTTGAGGCATATGTATAAGATATTGAACAGATCTGCATTAAAAGGATTGAAGACAGATTATGTAAACACACATAGAAATAAAAAGGCCTGGAGCATAGGCATGTGAAATTTCTCTTGTGATTGCTTCTAGAAACAAAATGTTATCATTAGACGCTGTGAATAATCACCTCAGAGAGAGGAGAGTGGAAAAGTAGAGACATGTGTTAGGATAACTGGACGGAATTAAGGACACGTCTGAGCCAGTGATTAAACTAGAAGCAGATTTGGGTAGTGAGAGATTTTAATAGTGGCTCTAAAAGTATAGCCATTAAAAACAAAGAAAGTGAGACTATATGGAGAGAAGAATAAAGTTACGAAGGGAAGAATCAACAGATTAAAGTTCCTGGTGAGATAAAATAGTTGGAATCAAGATTTTAGTGGATCCTATCTGGAAACATAAAAACAGATGTGCAGAGAATATGATATTTGAAAATTTTTATTATAAGGTGGGTACAGTTATTGGTGATGACAGTTTCTGGGTGTGACTATAAAACTTTGAGACTCAAGGGAAGACAGAATAATATTGTGGGAGGAGAAATATAATTGATTATTAAATGATAAATCATCAACAGTTTGGTCAGAGAAAATGATAGAAAGAGTGAGTCACTTGATAAAGCTTCAAGGAATTAGAAGTGACCAAAGTACACCAAATATTGTTTCTGGTGCATAAACTAACATCATGAAACTCAGTGGACCTACAGGACATTTTTCCTCTGGCTTCTTTCAAGATTCTTCTCTTGTCTTTGATATTTGTCAGGTTGAATTTGATATGCCTAGGCGCAGATTTTTGGGGTATTTATATTGCTTGTGGTCTCCGAGCTTGATGAATCTCTGTTTCGCTGTTTATCATTAATTTTGGAAAGTTTTGAGTCATAATTGCCGAAATATTTCTTTCTGCTCATTTCTATCTTTTCTTTGTTGTATTCATATTCTGTGTGTTTTATACCTTTTATAATTGCTCTACAGTTTTTGAATGTTCTGTTCTGTTGTTTTCATATTTTTTTCTCTTCTAATTTCAGTTATGAAAGTACCTAGTAACATTTTCTCAAGCTCACTGATTCTTTCCTAGGCTTTGAAGAGTCTATCGATGAGCCAATCAAAAGCATTCTTTATTTTTAATCAGGAAAGCAATTAACTACATGAAATAAAATCAAATACCTGGGAATACATTTAATCAAAGAGATGAAAGATCTCTATAATGAAAATTATAAAACATTTATTGATAAAAGACATTGAAGAGGGTAGAAAAAAGTACATCATGTTCATTAATTAGAAACATTAATATTGTTACAATGTCCACACAACCCAAAGATATCTACAGATTTCATGTCATCCCTATCAAAATACTAATTACATTCTTCATAGAAATAGAAAAAAAAATCTTAAAATTTATATAGAACCCTAAAAGAACTACAATAGTCAAAAGCAATCTTAAGCAAAAAGAACAAAGTTGAAGGCATCAAACTGCTTAACTTCAAAATAGATCACAAAGCTATAGTAACCAAAACAGCATGGTATTGGCATAAAAGCTGACACAAAGACCAACTAGAGCACACAGAAATAAATTAATGCATTTAAAGCCAACTGATTTTCAACAAAGGGACCAAGAATATACTCTGAACAAAGAACACACTCTACAGCATGAAACAATATATTTGCAAACAGTCCATCTGACAATTTACTAATACCCAGGCTGTATAAGGTACTCAAATATTCAACAGCAAAAAAAATTAGAAATTAAAAAGCAAATCACTCGATTAAAAAATGGACACATCATCTGAATAGGTATTTTTTTCTACAAAGGCATGCAAATGGCCAACAGGTGTATGAAAAAGTGCTCAGCATAACAAACCATCAAGGAAATGCAAGCCAAAACTATCATGAGATATCATCACACCCCATAAAACAGCTATTATTAAAAAGACAAAAAGTAACAAATCCTGGTGAGGATGTGGAGAAAGGGGAAAACTAGTACAGTGCTGGTAGAAATGTAAATTGGTACAGCCACTATAAAAAATGTATGGAAGTTTCTCAAACAACTAAAAATAGAATTACCTTAGAATACAGCAATCCCACTGTTGGGTATATATTCAATGGAAAAGAAATTGGCATATCAAAATGATACCTGCATCTCCAGTGTTTGTTGAGGAGATATCTGTAGGCCCATGATTATTGTGCCACTAATAATAACAGCCAAGTATGGAATCAACCTATATGTCCATCAATGGATGAATGGATTTAAAAATGTGGTATACATACACAATGGAATAGTATTCAGCCATTAAAATGGAATTCATGTTATTTGCAGCAACTTGAATGGATTTGAAGGACATTTTGTTAAGCAAAATAGGCAAGGTACAGAAAGACAAATATAGCATGTTCTCACTTATATGTGGAGGCTAAAATTTGATATCATGGGGACAGAGAGTAGAATGGTGGTTACTAGAGGTTGGAAAGAACAAGTGATGTTATGAAGAGAGATCAGTTAATGTGTACAAATACACAGTTAGATAGAAGAAGTAAGTTCTCGCGGTTGATAGCACAGTAAGGTGACTATAGTTAATAAAAATTTATTGTATATTTCAAAGTAGCTAGAAGAGAAGCTGTGGATTGTTCCCAACACAAAGAAATGATAAGTGGTTAAGGTGATGGATTTCCCGGTTACCCAGATTTGATCATTATCAAAATATCATGTATCAAAATATCCCATGTACCTAATAAATATGCACAATAATTATGTCTCCATTAAAAACTATTTGTTTCTGTTATGGGGATTTTTTCTTAGAGTATCCATCTCTTTGTCCATTAGTCATCTGTTCCTTCATTTTGTCCACTTCTTCCATTAAAACTCTTAGCATATTAATAACTACTGTTTTAAATTCAACAGCAATAATCCAACAGAGATAATTCAACATCTCTGCCCTAGATCTGGTGGTCTGGTTCTGAAGATTGATCTGTCTCTTCATGCCGTTTTGTCTTTTAGTATGCTTTGTAATTTTTTGCTGAAAACTGGACATGATGTACTGGGTAAAGTAACAGAGGTAAAGAGCCTGTAACATGAAGTTTTATATCTATTTTGCTAGGGGGTTAGGGTGTGCTTACTATTGGTTATAACAGTAGATGTCAAAGGCTACAATTTCCTCTGGGATCTTTGTTTTTTATCTCCCCTGTCATCTTTGGGTTTCTCTGGATATTTCTTTTTAACATCTGAAATGTGCAATTCTTTCTGTTGTAATCCCCTGTTATTCCACAGGAGCCTTAGGGAAGGGGTGGCAAGGGGTGGCAAGAGGTGGCAAGAGGTGGTAGAGTGGAGGAGCATTGTAGAGTCCTAGGATTAGGCCCTGTCTTTTAGCTGACCTGTGTCCTTGGTCTGTGGCCCCCAAAGATGCTTCTTTGCTTTGCTTTGTTTTGTTTTCTTCCCCTATAAGTGAGGTAGGGAGGATAGTGGGGGCTGGAGTTGGGTACTTCCCTATCCCTAGGTCAGTTAGGTTCTCATAACACTCTAGTCAGTTCGTTAGGCTCAGGAAAACAGTTTCTTTTGAGGTAGGCCTTGTTAAGAAGAATAGATGGCTCTGGCCATATTTCGTAATCTATACTTTCCTCATTTCCCTGCTTGTAGCACTGGGGTCTTGTTCTCTGATCTTCACCGTAAAAACTCTGTAGAACTCTTGAATGTAACACTCATGAACGTGTGTGCCTCCATCCTCCTAATTATGACCCCACCCCCAGAATTTTTCTGGAGTGTGGACAACTTTCAAACTTGTCCGCAATAAACCTTCAGCAATTTTTCAATTACCATTTACGTTTTCCTACCCTGGTACTAGTACACGTGGAGTTTTACGCTTCTGCACATAAGTAAGCTGCAATTCTCTGTTTCCATTGTTCTGTCTCTTCAATGTAGGGGATAGTGGTTTGCCCTGTGACCTCAGTTATCTGATAGATCTAAGAAGAGTTGTTGATTTTCAGTTTGTTCAATTTCTGTGTGTGTTGTGTGTGGACAGGAGTGACAACTTCCAAACTCTCTACTTGCCAGACTGGAAATCACATGTTCCCTAAGGATTTTTTAGAAAGAGGCAAAGAATAAGGTATGGGACTTTAAATTAAAAGTTTTAATTAAATCCAATTAAAATTAAAGATCACACCAATCTTTAATGTTCACACCAATGTTGTACGTAGTATGAGAAAGAACCTTATATCTCAAGTTGGCCAACCTGATGCCTCTTTCTGATGTATATGATAATGGAAAAAAATAGAAAACAATAAATACTGTAGCATGTATTGTACTTTTGTTAATAAAAGGAGACTTAAGTAGAATGTACATAAATAAGTAGTTTTACTTATATATTTCTAACTTGGACATTTAATTTGCTGTTAACCACATAACTGAATTCTAAAACAGAATGTCTCAGCAAGCTTAGCAGGTTTCCTTCACAGGTCACTAATCCTGTCCAGTGGTTCCCAAGCTGTACTATAAATATCAGAGAAGGTCACCATCCATCATGGGTGCATTTATATCAAGAGGGCTCCCAGGTCAGGACATGAAGTCCACATCAACATCTGTGGAGAAGAATGCCAAGTACACATTTTTGGAATATCCATGAACAGCATTGGAGAAAATATAGATAGGCTGTAAAGGTGATAAAATCTTGAAAAGTACTATAATAGGAAAAAACTGCAAAGCTAGCAAAAACATATTATCTTTTAGCAAAGCACAAATATACTGTTTAGCTCAGCTGGAATCTTCAGCCACTGCCTTAGGCAACTACAGCACTAAAATGAACAAATACTTTTATGGGGTCTGTTTAGATGTAGGAATGTGCAGAATGAACAAAGGAATGAAGGTGCTGAGAGAAGGAATCATAAAAGATAACCACAGTAATTCTGTAGTTTTGGTAATGCAGAAAAGATGGAGGTTTTGCAGCTGTTACATACAGGGTCTTTAGGATGTTAAAATATTATTATTATGATACAATAAAGAGAGATTTTTATCCTCCATGCCATTTATAATTTACAAGGCTTACCTTGGAAGAAAAAATCATTTGTAAACATGTTTCCGAGGGTGAGAGGTCCATAGTTTCTTTGATCTGTCTTCTTATCTATTGTACATAATACGCATTTTTCCTTAAGCTATGTGGGTATCTTTAATTTATAAGAAGATACACATGATGGTATAACACTATACTTCCTGGTCATTTTTCATTTTGTTTTTCTCATTACTAACTAGTATTTTAGTTCTAATAGCGAGTAATTTGCTTTAAAAACTGTCATTTTTGAGTTTCAGAAGTAAGATAAGCCACCCATTTAACTTAAAAACACAAGCCTGCAATTAGAAAGAAACACATCTCCTACACTAGTTCCTAAATTCTATGTCCTGAGCAGAACAACTGAAAGCAATGAAGGAAGAAGTTGAAGTTGTTATAAAATAGGGACATTGTTTAGAGATACAGATTATACAAATCAAAAAGAATAATAAGTAAATGGTAGCACTTTAGAAGATATACCTTTGTCCCAGTGAGAGAACAATTGTTCAAGGGAATTTCATAAAATGAGTACAAAACATGTATATGCAGAATTTACAGCTATAATTAAAAGAGTATTCAATTCAAACTCCTTACAAACTAAATGTATGAGGAGTTAAAACTTCACAAATTTAAGCAGCCTTAAGAAAAACTAAAAGTGGAAGCTGAACTTAGAAAAATAGGAATTATGTCAACTTTAAGAGAGGTGAGCACTAAATTATTTTCATTGAATATACCCTCAAAATTCAAGGCTGAGTAAATATAGGTAAAAGGAAATTAGGTGCTTTAAAATCTTTTCAGGATTATTGTGGGAATAAAATAAAACAGAAACTTTAGTCTTGGTAATATGGATCTAGTTTACTTAACTTAAGGTATGATAGAGTTCTCTTTAAAACTGAACAACATTTAACAAAAGTTGACAGTCACTTTTTCAGGCAATATTGTAAATACAGTTTAAATGATGACTTAAGAGTAAAAGGAAATCTCATTAAGATATAGGATAATTGCATTATAATAATATATTTTCTAATTATGAAATCACATTCCAAGAGTGAAACCACTGATGGTATCATGACTATAATTTTTACATTATAACCAGATAACATGTCTAATTCAGATGTAGACATATGATTTTTATTATCTGGTTTAGAAGTAAAGCATACCATTCACTCATTCATTTATTAATTGACCCATTCTATGATTTGCACCACCTGTGTTTTTTCCAAGCTAAACCATATAAAAAATTAAAATAATTCTTCCAGCAATTACAAAATAGCATTAAGTTCATTTTAGTAGTGCGATCACCGTAAAGACAGTGAAAACAACTAAGTGTCTGCCTGAATAGGTGTGGCTTAAGAAATGTTAATAAACTAAATAGAATGAAAATAAAGTCTGTGATTGTGTCTCAAGGTTGCATCACTTATTTAACATGTTTATATAATTTATTTTTATATGAAACCACAAAGATGGGTTCACTGATTGGTTGAGAGCCAGTCCTTTTCATAATTACTTTACAAAGGTAATTTTTTTGTAAGTTGTTTTTTGGGGGGTCAAGAATTTCAATCCAAACCTGGAAGTAAAGACTTAAGTATTTCATCACACAACAAATTTGCAAATAAGGTAATGCATCATTATGGTGATGAGAAAAATATGCTCAAAAAGATTAAAGTATTTATCATTTTATACTGTATTTAGATCCATGTTTATCTGATATCAAAATACAAGTGTTTTTATTCAGCTCCCTAAAAGCAGCTCATATACTAATATATCTTAGTAATTGTATGTCTCTCTGTTTATATGTCTGTCTCTTTCTCAGATAGATAGATAGACAGATGATAGATTTAGATATGCTGCAATACATATTATATAGAAGTGCTTTGTAATGTTGAAGTAATTGTTAAAAAATCAATAATTTCTATTATCATGCATTTTATAATTACTTTTGCAGTTGTAATGGCAAGTCCTCGTGACAAAATAGTAACTTGTTTTCAGACTCTTCATGCTTCTCTGCTCGTATTCCTTTATTGGTTCCTTTCCCACTTCTGATGCAACCTGACAGGTATCCAGTATGGATTGTAACTCTGCTACCGGATATTTAAGCCCTATCATTTCAGTTTCTAGATGTCTGCCTTTAGTGCTCAGTACATGTCCTAGTCAATTTCTTCCAATCTCCTGGTGCCCTCAAAATGCAATTTCCCCTCCTCTTTAATTTCTTGGATGACAGCCTAGATGGAATTCAAATATATGCTTAAGTATTAAGCATGTTTGGGTTATAACAAAAACCCTCAATCATCCCTTAGGTAGATCTCTATTATCCAAACTATAACTTCTGTCTTATTTTCTTTCTTCCCAATCCTGATTAATGGCATATGTTACGTCAAGCTATAGAGGACTTCTGGAGTCTTATGAATGACTTCCTGGGTGTGGTCATTAGGGGGATCAAAATACCTGGTATATGGTGCATTTTAAATATTAGACTATTTCTCATCACATTTTCTGGGTTCTCCTGCTTCCCCAGCCTCAAATCATTTTAAACAGTAGTGTACCTTCTACTTATACAAGTTTGTCTAGTGCTGACCTTTATAATTATCGCTGATTGTTTTTGCCTAGTCCTCTGTTATGTTTCAAGATAACTCTTTCCTCAAAACTGAATTCAACCTAAAATACTCGGCAAAAAAGTTTTAGTATAACAGTAATCTAAAATCTATATGTATCTTTATTAGCTAGCATAGATATCATTGAATTTTTTTGTTTTTATTTTAAATCACAAATTTAGATAAAATGTAACATATGAAACAATTTTCTTTTTTTATTATGAAACATTAATGATACAAGTAGTATTGTGTCTATAGGAGATACAAATCTGCATTTACCTTAGCAACCACTACCGTGTCAGGTGACAAGCATCAGCAGTTGAAGGAACACGATATAAAGGATATTATAGATGTCCTGCAAAATAAATTTAAAGCCATGATCATGACCAAGAGATTTTACTGTAGGATGGATTAAAACAGCATCATTTTGAAACAAGGAAATGATCAGTTTGAATGGGGAATACCAGTTTTATGATTTTTTTTGACAGGAATAGAAACGTAAAACAATGTCTACTTTTGTTTTTTCTTAACAGAATGCAGAGGCTGAATATTAAAATGATCATATTGCTGTGCCTATAGTTGATTGACAGAAACATGATAAATAATAAACAACTCTCTTTAGTAAAGCACAGCTTTTTACTTTCAAACTTTATACATTTACAATCCTGCAAAGACCCAGGCAAACCACACCTAAATACAGAATAAAAAATTGAAACAAATGCTGGGAACATATTGAACACATGCACACACAAAATTCCATTGATTTTCTTTTGTGTGAAAAGTTCCAGAGGCAAAGTTTGATCAATTATGATTATCTGTAATTTCATTGTATAAAACCGTTAGAAAGCTTAATAGTAATATCTACAGACGAGTTTTTTGCAAGTCATTTTTATTGACTTTTCTTTGTTTTCAGTGGTTGTTATTGAATTGAATGTGATTTAGCTGAAAATGGGCTAAACCTGATTTCACAAAATCTGTGTATTATTCCCAGCCTGCCATCCCAAAATAGCCCAGCTCCAGATCTAATTTAGGAAGCATAAAATTGACTTCTGAAAGGATAGTTAATGATCTTGTGCCTCTGTGAATGTCCAATTTATAGACTATTCGCTGAGTAAATGAGATATATTTTTTTCTCAAATGTTTGCAATCTGGAAGCTCGACAAATTCTGTTTGGACCACTTCATATTAGTTTTGGTACTGGTAAAACAGGGATTCTAGAAATAATGAAAATAAGTCTCATTCATATTTATAGTTTTTACTTTTTTAGAAAATTAGTATTTATTTCATTTAACTTTAATAGTTCAGATGCTTCTATTTGAAATAAAGAGTGGTAAAACTTGCTTTCACAAAGCGAGAGAAATTGGGTCATTATCTGCTAGGACAAAAATAATATATTGATTACAGACTGTTCTTATAAAATAATATTAACCAAAGTTAACACATACTTGTTTTGGTTTCATGGAACAATTAATTTGTGTTTGGAATTATTGGGAAAATAATCAATAAATTCAATCAAAAATATTTTGTACAGAATACATAGTATGGAACTTTGTAGCAAGAGGAGCTATTGTGACTAAAATATTCTATCCATTATTTTATAAATTTTAACCTATTGCCTAATAAGTTAAATTAAGGTAATTATAAGAATTAAAATAATTGTGAGGACCATTTCATCAGAAAAACACATAAATACAAGTCTTATTAAGATCATATGCATCCCAATTTGCCATCGTGTCTTAATGTCTGTTATAAGCTTTTGTTTCCTTTTTATTTACTGCTCAGCGTGTCTCCTGGTCATGCCTACCAATACAACTTTCTTATTCCCTGATAGTTCCTCATCTGAAAAATGGCACAATAACAGTGCCCACCTTAGAGGGCTGTTGCAGGGTTTATGCATTCATGTACATAAAGCACATAGAAAAATACCTGGCATATAGTAAGCACTACGTAGTTTTACTATTGGCTCTTCAGTTTAACTTGTTTTATTTTTCTCTTTTTAACCAAATCACAGATGAATTTATGATTTATGTTGTTGTTGTCTCTTATAACATAAAGAAAGAAAGCCCCTTTCATTTTATAATGCCTGGCTCTGGGATATCAATGAGTTCATTGAATTGAAGAATTGAATTTACCTCCCATAGTTATAGCAAATGAAATATTAACAGGTTGAATATAGCATGCAGCCCAAATGTTATCTATTTCAAACATCACAGTATAATAAGATGATTAAAATAAGTAACTAAACTTCATTGATTCTGTTCTTCCTCGTAAATAGCTACAGTGCTATTGTCCATTATTATCGTCAATGTATTTCTGGGTTTTCATTGTCATCTGTATGTCTTACGCTTCCTCCCAATATTCCCTTCATAGTTGGTCTAGCTCAGGGATTTTAGGCTGGGGGGGCGTGATTTTGTCCCCTCAGGGACATATGGCAATGTTTAGATACGTTTTGATTTTCACAACCAGAGGAAGGAAGGGTTCAACTAGCACCAGTGGATATATTTCAGAGATCTGCTAAACATTCTGTCACACACAGGGAAACCTCCCACAATGAAGTGTTTCCAGTGCAAAATGTCAATAGTGCTAAGAGTGAGAAGCTCTGCTGTACATCATTCCTTAATTCTGCCTGCTGGCTCCAAATTCAATCCTACTGGGGCCCTCGGTGGGAATGTTATTCCCAGGATGCTCTGCTACACTGCTTTCCAGATTGTATAATCTTTAGGGTACAACAAATGGCACTAGTGTCCCTGCAGTCTCTCCTTCACCAGAGAGAAGATTTAGCTTTGAAATGGGACAACAGTCCCTTGATCTGAAGGACCTTAGAACTAGTCCGTAAGAACAGATGCCATAATCATCTTTTCATCTTCCTGGAAACTTCCAAGATTTAAAACCCTAGAAATTTCACTCAAAATGCCCTGAATTGGCTATCTAATAATTAATGCGCACAAATCAACTCATGTAAGAAGACTCAACGGGTTTGCCGGATCACTAATACTTCAGACTCAGTAAAGTTTAAATCATAGTTAGGACTACAATTAAAGTATTATTAAATTATTTTTCTTTTCAGTAGTTCACATGACTTTTGTGGGTGGTAGAATTATGCTGTAAATGTCAAGGAGATTCTTGTTCAAATCCTTGAGCTGCGCCTATATAGTTAATAACTAAGAGGAAAACTTACTTATTTGACATCACCAATCTTCACTCAGTGCTCATCTGCAACTTAACTTGCCCTGTCTTGATGATTAAATTAAACAACACACTAAAGTGGCTTTAATAACAGTTAACTTACCCTGTCTTGATTAAATTAAACAACACACTAAAGTGGCTAGCAGTGTATTTGCACATAGAAAACATTGAATGGTACTTATGTTTATTATTGTAATTACTTCTACTATTATAATTAGGACCAAAAGATCTGTGATTGGTGGATATTTTTTGTTCCCCATCATTGCCTACAGGGTATTAGCATGCTCCTTCCCTCTCCAAAATTACTGCTCCTTTACTTTTATGTTTCAATATACAATGAACTACTCAAGTCTACTATTCACTACTCTCATTTCTGCCCTCTTGGATACTGCCCTAGTTTATTGAAAATTCAGTTTCTGACTCATATTTATGCTCCAACCCTGACTATCATCATTATCCGCTGACATGTAATTTTCCTGCCTTCCTCATTTTCCATGACCTTTCCCTTTACTCTCTCAAAATCATCCATCTCCATGACCATTTCTTTGAAATTTATTTTCAATGAAACTCTGTTGTATCCAGAATCTCTACCATTTACCTCTTAACATCTTACCTCCCTATGTGTGCACCAGATGAAGGAACTGTTTGCAAAAATTACTTTACTTTTTTATAAATATTCATTAATTCTAATACTCCCTAAACACTTTAAGGCTTCTTAGGCTTTCTAGTTTTGCTTGTCCAGCTAATGATCCATTATTCATCATTCATAATTACTATTACTTTATTAAAATATGTAAATGATGTGACACTCTTTATCTAACATATTCACCTGGCAACACTATAACCCTGATTTAATTTGAACTGTACATTCCCAGAATGCAAAAATTGGCACTGCTGAAAAATATCATTCAATGGGACAGGCTGACTATATTTGAAATTAAAAATTTTGAATGTAAAATGTTTCCTCAACACTGCTCAGCATTCACAAACTAGATTTCTAGAATGCTTACTTTGCTATTACTCCCAAAAATGACAGTTTCAGTTTTTTCCTCTATTTCCAAAATTACCATTTCCTCATTGGTAATGTTCAGCAGATTAACCTTTGCTCATTTTGCATTCTTAAAAAAATATAAATTATCATGTAAGTAGTCTCTTAAATTGTGACTGCCAAATCTCCAAACATACCTGCAACCATCTTATTCTGTACCCTCCTGTTACAACCTAGGCACTCCTCGTCCTCCTATCAAGGGCCAGACTCTCATATTAAACCTGAATTTTCTCTCTTCTCCTCTCATTCTTCTAAGATTTTACTCTTTCCTCAGTAATTTTCTCTCTTTGACACTCTACCTAGCTCGCTGATAGATACTTTAACATCTTTAATCTTTAAAGATAACCACAATGACCTCTCATTCTTTTTCAAGTAGTAATCAACCTGGAAACATTTACAGTTAAACAAACATTTACAGCCAAAGTTCTTAAAGAGTTGTCTACAGAACTTATCCAGTTCCTCACTTCTCATTAATTCTTCAAGTTCAGACAGTTTGCAGTCTACTCCATACTGCCACAGTAATTCTTATTTACATGGATGCCAATCATTTTCATGTTGTCAGGTGTGGTGGAGCCTTACTGCACTTACCTTATTTAACCTCTGATGTGACTGCTACAGAAGGGCCATCCATATTTCTGAAGATACCCTCTTCTCTTGACTTCAGGAGCAACAGCCTGCTCAAAGCCTTTCACTCATCCTCCTTCTCTATCTATGGTTTATTATTGTCCCTTTTCTTCTGTCTCACTATTCTCTCAGTTACCTCATCTTCATTTTCACAGCATGTCTTTAAATTACATGCTGCCACTTGCTCAGTTGTGAGCTCTTGCTATTATTTGTGATCTCTTCCTCATCTTTTATTTCTAAGTCCATTATTTCATAAAATTTTATGTGTATTTCTTTATTTTCTTTCTCCTTTGTCATCACATGGGTTATTTTATTATCTTCCGAATACTAGGCCATTGCTTTACCTCATGTCTTCAGCTTCCTGTATTAACTTCTCTGAGCTAGTTCTCACAAAGGAAAAGGAGCCATTTTTTAAAAAATAAATGAAACAATATTATATCCAGGTATGTGATGCTTCAAAAATTCCGAGTTTGTAATAAATAAAATGCAAACTATCTTACTGCAGACAGAAATTCTTACATGGTTAAGCTGGCCTATTTCACTTCCCTCCTTTCTTTGTCTTCTATAATACTCCTTACTAAGATTTTATCACACTAAGTGCCACTCAGTTTTTCTATATAGCATTCTCCCTTCTGCCTGTAGTATTTTATATTCCATGCCATCTTCTTTAAATATATTTTTCTTTTTCTGTCCCATCATTGGTTTCTCCTGTCTTCTAATGCTCATCTTCGATTTCTTCTCCAAAGAAATCCTTTTCTGACCATCCTACCTAAATAATCTCCTCCCCCCCACATTTGTAAATCTCTGCACTGTTTCTTTCATAGCATCAGAGTATGGTACCATCTGTTACATTTACATATTTATTCCTGTGCTTAATTATTTACTTCTGTGTATATTTCTCACATTAGACTATAAGTTCCATGAATCATAAATTAAGTCTATTTCATTAACCTCTGTTTATCCAGCTCTTAGTAATCTATCAGGCATACTACATGCATTAAAACTACATATATATATTTAGTACAGAAATCACCCCTTAAATTCTTCAGAGTTTAAAATCATCTCCTTTTCTTAAATATATTCTTAGAAAATATTAGATAATAATCTAGTAAGAGCTGATGGAAACGCAGCAAAAAAAAAAACAAAAAGATTACGGATTATTACAGTATAAAACTAATTCTTATTATCTGACTCCTTCAAAAGATCACATTTTGAAAACATGTTACACAGGCACTTTTGTTATTATTCTATTAAGTCAGGCAAATAGGGATACATTCCTATCATTCTTTCGCTTTTAGTCTTCATGACTTATTTTTTTCATCATGTCCTGGAGATTTCTGCATGTTAGTAACACATTCCTGGTTCTTCAGAAGTAGAGAAAGCTAATTAAATTTAATATGAGAATTTTTCAACATTGTCAGTGTATAACTGGAATATCACATTTTAGAGATTAGAAACCATGACAAGAGGTTAAGTGATTTAATCTGTATAACCATGTAATAAAGTAATGGTAATTGTTAAATTAGCTTCTGAACGGCGTTAGCTATTTTTTAAAAGTACTTGATAGTTTTATTTTAGGTTTTCAGAGGTTGTACTTTACTTCAGATCATGAAATGCATTAATCTGAACACATGTCATATTAGAATTTCAATAAGCCAGAGATTTTCCTTGTAAAACCACATTACCACATTACAGAAATCATAGTAAAGCTGTATACTTTTATGCCTGGTGCAAACTCTCTAACCATGGAATATTATAGAGAATACTTGGAACGTCAGGAAATATTTTTACTAGTTTGGAAATTGTGTTGAGTTTATCAGGAAGTTATTGCCTAGTGAAAAATTCAGATTCAAGGAAACAATTACCATAGATTAAGAGCCAATTCATTCAGTAGCTTTTCACTAAATCAAATCTCTCGCTTCAGTTGAAATCTATACATGTTATGAAAGAATAAAACTCAGACCTACAAATACTGCTTAAGACTTATTGTTTTATTTTATTATATCACTTATGGTTCTACACTTCTGTCCTTCACTAGCGCTACTAGCGCAGTATGGGACACCATCCTGAGAATGCTCAAGAATAGCAGGTGGAAGTAAGTATAGGGGCTCTGCCTGCCAGATTGCAGGCATCTTCATCCCCGTAGTTACTGTGTAACTTGGAGTGTCATTGTTTGGTCATCTGCAAAGTAGGAATAATACTGAAAATCAATTATTTGGAATGTTTTCAGCATTAACTGCAAACTACTTAGAAACATGTCTGGATCAAAGTAGATGCTTTATTATTGTTGTTATTAATAACTGTCAAACTGGTCTATTGGTTTCCAGCCTTGATCCCTTTCATTCTATGCTTTCGTTCTTTTGAAGTCCAGTCAAGATATAGCTTTGTCTTCAGGATGCATTCTTTCCTCTCACATCTAGCCTGCATAATTCTGATGAAGGCCAATTAAGAGGTTACAGACACAGAAATATCTTTTTCTCTTTGATCATAGGTTAGCATTATAGCTCTGTAAAATGAGTGCTGAGACTATGCTGTGATGGCACGATTGATGCGAAGAACTGAGTTCTTTAGCTTTCAAAGCTGCTCAAGATGACAGGTGGCTCAGAGGTGCCTAAGGATATTTGCCCTAATCTCAGACTCCTATAGGTTTTCTTTCCTCAGAATGTGATATGAAAAGAAAATGTATATAACAGGAAAAGAAGGAGAAATATTCCATTTCTATGTTCTTTTCTTTAATCTCATTTCTTGGGATAAATATGAACTTTTAATCCAGATAGGTGGATGATAGAATTTTCACCTAAATTCTCATCGCTTGGATACCCAGTGAAATTCATTAAAAACACAATTGATAATTGTGCTACAAACATGTTGCTAATTTAAATAAAAAATCTGGCGTCTGAGTCAAAGAACATCTTAACTATTACTTTGTAGTTTGGATTTACCATCATGTAGTGTGAAAATCCATTTATTCTCTACTGATTATAAACTTTTATTATTTTCCTTGAGGGATTCTTATCATGTATGTAATGTGTACTTTGCTTCAAGTTATTATTCATGTTTTAGTAAAAATTATATATATAATATTTTACTGTTTTTGCTTTTTGATTATCCCTTTGCTTTTTATATTACTATGTATGTACAATTAGCAATTATAATCTGTTTTAAAATAAACATTTAAGTAATGAGTTAAAGTTTTTAATAATAGGGAATTACAGTGTATGTAAACTTGGATGTATAAAAAATCATAAAATGTTACTGGAATGTCTGATGTTTGGGAAAATATGCCTATGTATCAGGCACTGGGCTTGATTGACTATGCAGTTAGAGACATAATTATACAAACAGTTTGCATGCTGAAATGTCATAGTAATGAGGTAGAAATTTAGGTGAGCACATAAGTGGGCAGTTCTAGACTTAAGTACAGAACTAGGGTGGGTAGGATGTCAGACAATATTTTCTAGAAAAAGTGACATTGAAATTGCTCAAAAAATTGTTAAAGATCGTACTTTGTTCCATTGATCTATATGTCTATTTTATGCTATTTCCGTACTATTTTAATTACCGTAGCTTTATAATACATTTAGAAGGCAGAAAGTGTGATATTTCTAGCATTGTTCTTCTTGATTAAAATTGCTTTTGTTATTCAGGACCTTTTAGTTTTCCATATACCTTTTATAAATGTTTTTCTATTTTTTTCTATTTCTGTAAAAAATGTCTATGAAATTTGAGTAGGAACTGCATTGAATTTTTAGATCACTTGGGGAAATATAGACATTTTAAATACTGATTTTTCTAATCCATAAATGCAGGATGCCTTTTCATTTATTTGTATGCTTTAATTTCTTTAATGAGTGTTTTGTAGTTTCCATACAAGTCTTTTACCTCTTGCTTAGATTTATTCCTAAGTATTTTATTTCTTTTGGTGCTATTGTGAATGAGATTATTTTCTTTCAGATTGTTAATGGTTGGTGTATAGAAACAACTGATTTTTGTGTGTTTATTTTTTTGTATCCTGCAAATTTACTGAATTCATTTATTAGTTCTAACAGTTTTTGTAAAGAGTCTTTAGGGCTTTCTATATGTAAGGTCATGGTATCTGCAAATAGAGATCATTTTATTTCTTCCTTTCTGATTTGAATATATTTTATTTAATTTTCTTGATTAATTGCTCTGGCTTGGAATTTCAGTACTTCCAGTATATTAAGTAGACATGGCAAGAGTGGGCATACTTGACTTGTTTCATAGCTCAGAGAAAAAGCTTTCAGTTTTTTACCATTAAGTATGATGTTAGTTATGGACATTTTATATATGCCTTTTATTGTTTTTGGATGAGTTCCTTCTATGCTTTTTTTATTAATGATTTTTATCATGAAAGGATGTTGAATTTTGTCAAATTATTTTTCTGCATCTATTGAGATAATCATGTGTTTGTTATTTGTCTGTTGTTCTGTTAAAGGAGTTTATCATACTGAATGATTTACAAATGTTAAATCATCCTTGCATCTCAGAGAAAATTTGCAGTTGGTGATGGTATATGATCATTTTTTTTTTTTTTTAAGTGAAAGCAAGTTTATTAGAGAAGTAAAGAAACAAAAGGAGAGCTACTCCGGCCGGGCGCGGTGGCTCACGCCTGTAATCCCAGCACTTTGGGAGGCTAAGGCGGGTGGATCATGAGGTCAAGAGATTGACACCATCCTGTCCAACATGGTGAAACCCCATCTCTACTAAAAATACAAAAATTAGCTTGGCGTGGTCACCTGCGCCTGTTGTCCCAGCTACTCAGGAGGCTGAGGCAGGAGAATCGCTTGAACCCGGGAGGCAGAGGTTGCAGTGAGCGGAGATTGTGCCACTACACTCCAGCCTGGCAACAGAGTGAGACTCCGTCTCAAAAAAAAAAAAAAAAAAAGAGCTACTCCATAGAGAGAGCAGTGGTATATGATCTTCCTAATGTGCTATTGAATTTGATTTGCTAATACTCAGTTGAGAATTTTTGCATCTATGTTCATCAGAGATATTGGCTTGTATTTTTCTTTTCTTGTGATGTCTTTGTCTGGCTTTGGGATCAAAGTGATGCTGGTTTTATACCTACACATATGTGGTCAACTGAACTTCGACAAGGGTACTAAGACTACACAATGAAGAAGTGATGTCTCTTCAATAAATGGTTCTAGAAAAACTGGACATCCAAATTCAAAAGCATGAAGTTGAACCCTTATGTTACACCATGCACAAACATTAACTCTAACTAAAGACTTAAATTTAAGATCTGAAACAATAAAACTGTTAGAGGTGTATGTAAGGGGAAAGATTATTGACATTGGTTCAGGAAAATCAACTGGTTTTTTTATTCAAAAAATATATTTATTTGATACACCTTTCATATTTACCATTGTAGTTTTATGGTTGACATTAGTTGGAGGAAGTCAAGAACTTTTCACTTTTTGTTTTGCACACAAAGGCTTCTTACTTACTTGATTAATATTAAATATTTTTCTCCAGATGTATTGAGTTACAATTAATAAGATTATGTATATCTGAAGTGTACAATATGATAAATTGTCATATGTATACACTGTAAAATAATTACCATAATCAAGTTAGTTAACACATCTATCATTTCACATACTTCTTTTGGTGAGAATGCTTAAAATCTCCTTTGTTAGCAAATTTCAAGTATATAAGACAATGTCATTAGCTACAATCACCATGTTGTACATTATATCATAAGAACTTATTAGTCTTATACTTAAAGTTTGTACCTTTTGGCAAACATCTTTCCATTTTTCCAACTCCCCTGACCCTGGAAACCACCATTCTACAGTTTGTTTTTGTTAATTGATCTTTAAAAAAAAATCCACATATAAGAGATATCACGTAATAGTTGCCAGTCTCTGCCTGACTTATTTCACTTAGCATAACACCCATCCAGGTTCATCCATATTGTCACAAATTGAGTACTTACTTTCTTTTTAAAGCTGAATAGTATTTTATTGTGCATATATACCAATTTTTTTCCATTCATCTGTAAATAGACAGGTTGTTTCTGTTTTCCATTGTTCCCTATTGTGAATAATGCTGCAATGCACATGGGAGTGCAGATATCACTCCAGGGTACTTATTTCATTTTCCTCAGTTATATAATCAGTAGTGAGCTTGCTGAATCTAATGTAATTCTACTTTTAATTATTTGAAGACCTTTATACTGTTTTCTATAATAGCTGTACCAATTTACCTTTCCACCAATAGTGCTCAAGAATTCTTTTTTCTCCACATCCTTAATCAACTTTTGTTATGTCTTGTCTTTTTTATAATAGCCATCCTAACAGATGTGAGTTGATGTATCATTGTGGTTTTGATTTGTGTTTCACTGACGATCTCAATGGTTAGTAATGTGGAGCGCCTTTTCACATATGTGTCGGCCACTCGAATATCTTATTTGGGAAAATGCCTAATCAGGTCCTTTGCCCATATTGTAATCAGATTTCCTGTTTTTTTGCTACTGAGCTGTATGAGTCACTTATATATTTCAGATACTAACCTCTTATCAGATATATGGTTTACAAACATTTTTTCCCATTCCATAGTTTACTTTCTTATTTTGTTGATTGTTTCCTTTGCAGGGCAGAAGCTTCTTGGTTTCATGTAGTCTCGCTTACATATTTTTGTTTTTGTCTCTTTTGCTGTTGGTGTCATATCAAAAAAATATTGTAATATCAATGTCAAGGAGATTTTTTTCTCTCTGCTTTCTTCTAGGAGATTTATAATTTCAGGTTTTACATTTGTGTTTAAAATACTTTGAGTTGATTTTTGTACATGATGAGAGTTAAAGATCTAATTTTATGCTTCTGTGTGTTTATATCCAGTTGTCCAAACATCATTTATTAAAGAGACTGTCTCTTCCCCATTGTATGTTTTTGACACCCTTGTCAAAGATTAGTTAACCATATATGCATGAGCTTACTTCTGAGCTCTTCTTTATGTTCTATTGTTGTATGTTGTTGCATTTATGGCAGCACATACTGTTTTGATTAATATAGCTTTATGATGTATCAAAATCAGGAAGTATGATGTCTCCAGTTTTGTTTTCTGCTCATTTACTGTTTTGGGTTTTTTTACAAAATTGCTTTGATCATTGGTGTCTTTTTGGTTCCATATGAATTTTAGAATTTTTTTAATCTCTGTGAAAATTTAGCAATGATATATTGATATGAGACCTTTTGGTTATAGGCAACCTATGAAATGGGAGAAAATCTCTTCAAAATGTATATTTGGTAAGGGGCTAATTTCCAAAATATGTAATGAACTATTGCAATTCTATAGCAAAATTACAAATAACCTGCTTAAAAGTTAGCATAGGACCCCAAATAGAAAAAAAATTATGGGCAAAGGATCTTCAAAGAAAATTTACAAATGACCAACGGGTATGTAAAAAATGTTTAATATCACCAGTCATCAGAGAAATGCAAATGTAAAACACACAAAATATTGCATCACAACTATTAGCATGGTTATTAGTTTTTAAAAAGATAAGTATTGGGGAGGTTATGAAGAAATTCGAACCCTTGTTCACTGTTGGTAAGACTATAAAATGGTGCAGCTACTTTGGCAAACAGCATGTAAGTTCCTCAAAAAAATTAAAAATAGAACTATCATATGATCCAGCAACCCATCTCTTGCTATATATCCAAAATAATTGAAATACAAATCTTAAATACATATCTCCACTCCCCTCTTCATAGAGACGTTATTTATAATAGCCAAGGCGGGAAAATAATTCAATGTGCACCAGCTGATGAATGGAAAAAGAAAAATGGGATATATGCAGATAATAAAATATTATTCAACCAAAAAAAGCAGAAAATTGTACCATCTATGATGACATAGATGAATATGGAAGACAAAATGCTAGGTGAAATGTCAGTCATAGAAAGATGAACGTTGCGATATTGATTCTTCCTACCCATGAGCATGGAATGTTCTTCCATTTGTTTGTATCCTCTTTTATTTCCTTGAGCAGTGGTTTGTAGTTCTCCTTGAAGAGGTCCTTCACATCCCTTGTAAGTTGGATTCCTAGGTATTTTATTCTCTTTGAAGCAATTGTGAATGGGAGTTCACTCACGATTTGGCTCTCTGTTTGTCTGTTGTTGGTAATTTACAGATTCAATGCCATCCCCATAAAGCTACCAATGACTTTCCTCACAGAATTGGAAAAAACTACTTTAAAGTTCATATGGAACCAAAAAAGAGCCCGCATCGCCAAGTCAATCCTAAGCCAAAAGAACAAAGCTGGAGGCATCACACTACCTGACTTCAAACTATACTACAAGGCTACAGTAACCAAAACAGCATGGTACTGGTACCAAAACAGAGATATAGATCAATGGAACAGAACAGAGCCCTCAGAAATAACGCCGCATATCTACAACTATCTGATCTTTGACAAACCTGAGAAAAACAAGCAATGGGGAAAGGATTCCCTATTTAATAAATGGTGCTGGGAAAACTGGCTAGCCATATGTAGAAAGCTGAAACTGGATCCCTTTCTTACACCTTATACAAAAATCAATTCAAGATGGATTAAAGATTTAGACGTTAGACCTAAAACCATAAAAACCCTAGAAGAAAACCTAGGCATTACCATTCAGGACATAGGCATGGGCAAGGATTTCATGTCCAAAACACCAAAAGCAATGGCAACAAAAGCCAAAATTGACAAATGGGATCTAATTAAACTAAAGAGCTTCTGCACAGCAAAAGAAACTACCATCAGAGTGAACAGGCAACCTACAAAATGGGAGAAAATTTTCGCAACCTACTCATCTGACAAAGGGCTAATATCCAGAATCTACAATGAACTCAAACAAATTTACAAGAAAAAAACAAACAACCCTATCAAAACGTGGGCAAAGGACATGAACAGACACTTCTCAAAAGAAGACATTTATGCAGCCAAGAAACACATGAAAAAATGCTCATGATCACTGGCCATCAGAGAAATGCAAATCAAAACCACTATGAGATACCATCTCACACCAGTTAGAATGGCAATCATTAAAAAGTCAGGAAACAACAGGTGCTGGAGAGGATGTGGAGAAATAGGAACACTTTTACACTGTTGGTGGGACTGTAAACTAGTTCAACCATTGTGGAAGTCAGTGTGGCGATTCCTCAGGGATCTAGAACTAGAAATACCATTTGACCCAGCCATCCCATTACTGGGTATATACCCAAATGACTATAAATCATGCTGCTATAAAGACACATGCACACGTATGTTTATTGCGGCATTATTCACAATAGCAAAGACTTGGAACCAACCCAAATGTCCAACAATGATAGACTGGATTAAGAAAATGTGGCACATATACACCATGGAATACTATGCAGCCATAAAAAATGATGAGTTCATGTCCTTTGTAGGGACATGGATGAAATTGGAAATCATCATTCTCAGTAAGCTATCACAAGAACAAAAAACCAAACACCGCATATTCTCACTCATAGGTGGGAATTGAACAATGAGATCACATGGACACAGGAAGGGGAATATCACACTCTGGGGACTGTGGTGGGGTGGGGGGAGGGGGGAGGGATAGCATTGGGAGATATACCTAATGCTAGATGACGAGTTAGTGGGTGCAGCACACCAGCATGGCACATGTATACATATGTAACTAACCTGCACAATGTGCACATGTACCCTAAAACTTAAAGTATAATTAAAAAAATAAATAAATAAATAAAAATAAATAAATAAAAAAAGAAAGATGAATGTTGCATGGTTCCACTTACATGAGTCATCTAAAATAGTCAGACTTAGAGAAAATAGACAGTAGAATGGTGCTTACCAGGGGATAAGATGAGACAGATATGGGGAGGCTGTTTTGTTTTGTTTTGTGATGAAGTTTTGCTCTTGTTGTACAGGCTGGAGTGGAATGGCACGATCTCGGCTCACTGTAACCTTTGCCTCCCAGGTTCAAGAGATTCTTCTGCCTCAGCTTCCCAAGTAGCTGGGATTACAGGCGCCCACCACCACACCCAGCTAATTTTTTTAAATTATTTTTAATAGAGACGGGGTTCCACTATATTGGCCAGGCTGGTCTTGAACTCCTGACCTCAGGTGATCTGCTTATCTCGGCCTCCCAAAGCACTGGAATTACAGGCGTGAGCCACCACACCCAGCCTGGGTTTTCTTTTTAATAGATATAAAGTAACAGTTATCAAATTAACTACCAGAAAACTGTGGTTCAGCACAGTGCCTATAGATAACAATTATTTACTGTGCACTTAATTTTTTAATAAAAGAATCGACCTCATGTTATGTGTTCTTACCATAGCAAGACAAAGTCAGAAACAATGAGAACAGAAAAGACCCAAAGAGACACAAAAAATTATTTGGTCCTGAGGGATGTATTTATTATCTTGATTATGGGGATAGTAACATGAGTGTGTATATGTGTTCAGACTCACTAAATAGTATACATTCATTATGTTCAGCTTTTTGTTTGCCAGTTAAACCTCAATAAAACTGAGGGTAAAAATAAATAAACAGGTAATACTTAAGTGAGAGCAAGAAAAGAGGAAAGTGTAGAGATAGGGTATTTATACCTTGCTTTCACTTCTTACACTTAGTTGTGTCTGTTTTTAACTCAGGGCTTTTGTACAAGCTGCTCCCCTAAGGTTGGGATATTTTTTAAAACATATTTTCTCATAATTAACTTTCTTTAAAGCTTGTAATTTCAGTTCACTTGCCATTTCATGAGGAATTTCATTCTGTTCTGACCCTCCAGAATATATGAAACTCATCTGTAGTATATTTCCCAAGCTCCCTATGGTTTTTGTTCAGAGCATTAGTAGATTTGGAGTTTGCAATTATAGATCGCTGTCATTCTTTATTTAATATCAGTCATCTGCTATAGATAATGAGCTACATGACAGCAGAAATATATCTTTTCTTTCATTTTTTGTTTTCTGGCTAAAAAATTATCCCCAGAAATCCTGCAAATAAATACTGAGTGCTGAATAAATATTAGTTGAATGAACGAATGAATGAATGTCCTAGGTAGAGAAAACAGTATAACAGTGAGAGGAATGCAAGTATTTCAATATGGTTTTATATTACTTCTGAGGCTTTTTAAAAACAAAGCTTTTTTACAACATGCTGTATTATAGTGCCCTGTTTACTTGTCCCTTCCCTTCCTTATAGTGATCCTACAGGTAGAAACTTTATCTCATCATTATACTTGCAATACTTCGTATAATGTCTGTATTAGTTGGGGTCCAGACAAGCATAATGTCTATATTAGTTGGGGTCCAGACAACAAGCAGAAATCATATGAATTATTTTATTGAGATGGAGTCCTGTTCTGTCGCACAGGCTGGAGTGCAGTAGCACCATCTTGGCTCACTACAACTCCACCTACCAGGTTCAAGGTATCCTTCTGCCTCAACTTCTCAAGTAGCTGAGATTACAAGCATGCACCACAACGCCTGCTAATTTTTGTATTTTTTAGTAGAAACGGTGTTTTATCATGTTTGCCAGGCTGGTCTTGAACTCCTGACCTCAAGTGATCTGCCTGCCTCAGCCTCCCAAACTGCTGAGATTACAGGTGTGAGCCACCACATCCAGCCATATGAATTATTTTAACAGGAGATAACTTGATATAAAAATCATTAATCAGGCATGGACAATTTAAAAAATACCTGGGATAAAAGTGAGGTTTTGTAGAACTAATAATTGCAGTGAACAGCCACAAGCCCTATGAGTAAACGACGGGAAATCTATAAAATTCTTATAATTGAGAAGTGGCCTCATGGAGCAGAGAGTTAGACCTCAGCGATGAAGGGTCAGCCAGCTATTCTGGTGTCTCTGAGGAGATGCAGTGAGGCTGTTTCTGCCTGAAAGCTGAAATTGACTGCTTTTACTTGCAACAACTGTCATTGCCAAGGTGAGAACCATTGCAAGGGTGAGTCTAACAGGAATAGAAAATAAAAAGTACGAATCAAGTCCCCTCTTCCACTTCTATCCTTCCTTTCTTTCTCTAAAATCCTGTATTGGCAGAGTCTAAACAAGATCCAGCTGATAAAGTGTAAATGTGGTTCGCAAAATCCCATCACTAGCACAGCTAGACTACAACAGGGTAAATTTAAAGGTAAAAGCCAATAGGTAATTGTCTAGTACAGAATCCACACATACTGTAATAATAAAAGCAACCTATGATTTTTCCTAATAAGAGGCAATTTTTCTTTGTACAAACAAAATTACTCTTCCACTTCTCAGGAAATTATACAAAGTTTCCATATTCACTCAGTAGATCCATGTCTGGAAGACAGTTACAGTATCCATCTCTGGACTAGGTTAACTGTTTGTCCCACTAATTCACAGTCTCTTCTGAATATCTTTTACCTGCAGACTAAATTAAAAAATAGCCACTAACAATCCTTTTATAAAATAATTAGGGAAAGACAAAAAGAAAAAATATATAATAAAAACAGATGTACATAAACACACATATAACAAGCAAGGGAAGATATACATAAGTGGTATAATTCTCCTTGAATGTGTTCATGAATCCATGCTTTATCTGCCATTACAGAGTCAATGTTTTATGTCCTTTGTTCTTAGATTAGAGCTCAGCAGGGCTAGGTCTTTACCTGCTAGAAGGACAAAAATCTTCATTCCTGAAGACACTGAATCCATAATGGCTCTTTTTTTGTTTGTTTGCTGTAATTTTATATTAACTTTTACTATTCAACAGTAAAGTACTAAGAGGCATCCTGCGGAGATTCTAGACATAATCTTCCTAGACCCCCTATTAAATAATAGCAATGCTATTCTCCTTGTAATCTTAATCAGTCACACAGACAATCAAGTAACCCTCATTTTTGTTTGCTGGTTTAATATCACAGAGAGAAAGAATGAGAGAAAGAGAGAAAAGGAAAGAAAGAAAGAAAGAAAGAAAGAAAGAAAGAAAGAAAGAAAGAAAGAAAGAAAGAAAGAAAGAGAAAGAAAGAAAAGAAAGAAAAGAAAAAAGAAAAGAAAAGAAAAAGAAAGAAAGAAAGAAAGAAAAAAGGAGAAAGCAAGCAAGCAACAACAACAAAAGCAAACTAATGACTGAATGGCAAGCTCAATTTCCAATTCAGTGGAATTTCTTCCTGAAAACAGTCCTCTTAGGAACCAAAATCTCCACCCCAGCAGAGCTGAAACTTGTGGAATGAAGGGGAAAAAATGGAGTGAGACATTATGTGTAATCATGACAGAAACTACTAATACCACTTTTACTACTTCATTGCCAGATGGTTACAGTCTGCACCATATATCGGTTGCTAATTCAAAGGATATACTTCAGTTTGTGTTGTTGGGGCTTAGAAAATAATAGCCTAAAATGAAGACCTCAGAACCAAAAGTTTTTCTTCGACTTTCTCCCGCCCTCCCGTCTCTGTTTCATTCTCTTCTAAAGGCTAGCCAGAGAAACTAGAACGCCTTTTCCCTAAGGTGGGTCATAGAAACAAGAACTCCTTTTACCCCAAACTAGCCACAAAACCTAAAAATATTACTCTCACTTTCTCACCACCTTTTTTTGTGTAAAAGCTGACCATAAAGAAATCATCTGACCTATCTTGCTTGACTATAAGTTGTAAGACTCGTATTCCAGAGACAGTCCTGCCCATACCCAGACCCCCATTCCAGAGAGGGTTCTGCTCCACACCTCAGAGATGCCAAGAAGAATCTAGACAGATAGGACCTTCTGGGTTTCCCGCACTCAATCTATTAACATTAGACAATACACTTTCTGTCCAGTCATATTTCTTTTCTTTTCTTTTTTATTTTGAGACAGAGTCTCGCTCTGTCGCCCAGGCTGGAGTGCAGTGGCACGATCTCGGCTCACTGCAAGCTCCACCTTCTGGGTTCATGCCATCCTCCTGCCTCAGCCTCCTGAGTAGCTGGGACTACAGGTGCCCGCCACCACGACTGGCTAATTTTCTGTATTTTTAGTAGAGACCGGGTTTCACCGTGTTAGCCCGGGTTTCACCGTGTTAACCAAGATGGTCTCGATCTCCTGACCTCGTGATCCGCTGGCTTGGCCTCCCAAATTGCTGGGATTACAGGCATGAGCCACCATGCTCCGCCCTGTCCAGTCATATTTCTACATGGTTGGCCATACTTTATTGAACCTCGTTATAAAAATAGACAGTTTTCCCTGTCTCTTTGGGTCTTTATTCTGAAAATTCCCATGTATACAGGTTAAGTAAATTTTCATGCCTTTCCTCCAACTAATCAGCCTTTTGCACATTTATTTTTCAGCAGAGCTTCAGAGGGCCAAGCCATTGACTCCTAGAATATGATAAAACACTATGCTTCAAGGATCTTTTCTCTCAACTGACATGCATTGTTTGAGTCTTCAAAAGACATGTGCTTATTCCAACAAACCAGTTGCTTACGGCTAATGGGGCATTCGGTAAGGCCTATGAATTTTATGGACCAGAGCCCATTGCTTTACTATATATGCTGTAAAATCTGTTTCTTTATCAAAATCAATTGTGTGTACAATACCATGATGGTGAATTAGGCAGTTAATAAATTCATGGATAACAGGTTTCAAAGTGTATGGGCAGGAAAGGTAAGTCCATATCCACAATATATTTCTGTTCTGTGAGAATAAATAACTGTATCTTACATGATATAGTTGTTCTAATGCATCCAGTCTACCATCAAAAAATGGTTCCACATAGAAAAAGTTGTTTTTCTCTACTGTTGACAGATTAGATACTTGATATGGCAAAAACCAGGTAAGCTTGGTGAGGGTAAATTCTGTACTTACATCACTATTGTCATGAATATTTTTTACATAGATTTGTTGCAGAGGCACAGGGTGGCTTTTAAAAGAGACTGAGGCCAGTGCGGTGGCTCATGCCTATAATCTCATAATCCCAACGCTTTGAAGGCCAAGGTGAGTGGATCAGTTGAACCTAGGAGTTCAAGACTAGCCTGGGCAACATAGCAACACCCTGTCTCTACAAATAATAATAATTAAAAAAAAAAAAAACAGCCAGGCATGGTGATGTGTGCCTGTGGTCCCAGATACTTGAGAGGCTTAGGTAGGAGGATCACTTGAGCCTGGGAGGTCAAGTCTACAGTGAGCAATGATTGCACCACTGCACTCTAGCATAGATGACAGAGCAAGACCCTATATCAAAAAAAAAAAAAAAAAGGAAAAGAGAGGGACTGAATTATATGCACAATATATGTCATTTGGTCCACTTGATTAGTGAAAGACCCTTCTGTAGAAGGTGATCTTTGGTTAGTATACAAATGAAACTGCCCATGAATCAATTTCTTTCTTTATTCACAGCAATTTCTCAGTTCAAACTAAGTGGAAACCAGATATACTACTTGAATTTCTACTAGAAAGACGTATCTTTCTGTCCTGCGATCCTTCAGAGCCATTTCTGGATTAGGATGTATGTCTGCTGTATTCACTTTTATTCATAACTGGCATTTGATGTAGATTTTCTATAAACCAGGAACATTCATTTTCATCTTCAGTCAATGGGACATAAGCAACTATCCATGAGACCACGGGGCTGGATTAGGGAAGATAGACAATGTCTCAGGGATTAGTATTGATGTAATTTGAGCCACCAGCTCTTGAAGCATTCATGCACCTTCCAAACTGATCTTTTATCTCCCATTTTCACTAGATGACTGATTGCTTCTCCATAAGTACAAGCTTATAGATTGTGGAAAAGATACAGGCAATTTGTGATAAACATCTTAGTGTACACGATTATCTAATTTCCTATTGTTAGAGTGGCTACCAAGGTTGAATAGAAGCCCAGGGATATTTCTCAAAAAGGCAATGTTTATCAGCAAAATAAAAGAATTTAGCCTCAAAGCATAGAAGTCTGTGTTTTTACACTTTACAGGGGACCTTCAGGGGCTTCATACAAAAGTTATATTTTTCACAGAAATTTTGAATATCATTGAATATACTCTCAGCCTCGATGAGCGAGTGTTGACTAAAAGCTGAAAGCTGTGTCTCAAAAGAATAGTTATCTTCTAAAGAAGATATGAACTTGCTCCCAAACTCTAGATGCCTATGCTATTATTCTCCTATTGATTTCCGTAGGCTCAATACATCATCTATATTTGCCACAGTAACTTGGCATATCACTGGATATGTTGGATATTAATTCCCAAGTGGAAGACAACTTTCACTGAAGTCTAGACTTGGTGCTGAACCTTCTTTTATTCTCATCCTTACTTAAAACTGATGACATACTTCATAAGTGGGTTTGAGGAGCACACTCAAAGCATCTCTTGGCAGAGAGTAAAAGTTTATGTAACCCTGAGACAACAATGTTAAGTTGTACTTTTAGCACTGCAAGGTAACACTCAAACTTTTAGCAGTCCTTACAACTGGTGTAGAGAGGGAATAAAAGCAAATTCTGGCGAACAGGCTCATGCCACATATTAGGACTGAATTAATATTTTTCTCATTTTGAACAACAACCAGAGTTGCCTTCTGATTTAGATAATTATAAGACAGTTAGTCATCAAGATCCATTTATTTTCTGCACAGGGCAAAGAATTGCTCGATGTTCATTTATGAAGCAATTGAATGTTGCAATTTATAGAAGCCAAATCTGGATTTTTTTCTTCTTTTTTCTCTCCATCCAGGACTCCAACCAATATCTGTTTAATTCTTATTTTACAGTTATTGTGAGGTCATTCGTCTTATTTTACCATTATTGTGAAGTCAAAGCCTTCTAGGCTTTGAGGCTAAATTCCTCCCTTTTGTGCTTGGGTTAACCAATACATAGTTAGCTCAGGATAAGTTTAAGAGATCATTACAGTCAGCCTTTCTGAAAACAGAAACTTCTCTAGATATTTTCCAGGAAAAAAACTTAGCAAAAAAAATATATGTTTACAAAACAGTTGAAAAGTCTTGGGAAGAGAAGTCAGGGAGAACTATTTCTGGCTCTGCAAACATTGAAGGAAGCCAATTGTGTTTCCCTCAGTTGCCAGTAACATTGAGGCATAGATTTGTAAGCTTGTCCAGAAACTTCTGTTAACCTTATATTTGCCCTCAGCCAGCATCTGCTACCACGGCATGAGTATCCTAGGTTTGTTTTCTGTTATGACCTCCTGATCTTGAGCAAGTGCCTCTCCTTGGAGAAATGAGAATTAAATTCTGTTGACAAGCCAGTTGACAACTGTCTATAGCAAGTTTGGTCACCAATTGCTTGGGACTGTCATTGCTTAGCTGCTAGGGCCCATTAAGCTTCATTGCTGTTCAGGGGCCACCTCACCAAGACAGTGGCACAGTGCTTAGTCATTCAGGTGCCATGGGACTTTTGGGGTTGGTACTCAGTCCTGGCTCTGTTCACTAGCTGTGTGGTCATCAGTGGAATAGTTATCTTCTACAGCTTCAGTTTACTCATCTGTAAATGTAATTTTTAGCTTTCTATCATTTGTGTATCAAGAAAGAGCTTAAGAAGGTTGGTGTATTGCTAAGTACTGAACAATATTTAACACAGAAATCTTCAAGTTTGTTGGAATCTGTAAATCAGATTAAAACAAGGATATAATTGGAGTCTTCAAAGCAAGTAAATATTTGCATCTTACCTTGGCATTAAAACATCCATTGCTAAGGCAGTAGTATAGTTACCTTCCAGGTGGCATTCAACAGATGACTCAGTGGCTATAAAACAAATAGCAAACAAACAAAAAAATGTATTGAGAAAGCACTCACTGATCATCTAAAATAAAGAGGAACAAGAAACTACCTTTGTTGAGCCTATAAGAATCTTTTAGTTGGTTGGGCACGGTGGTTCACGCCTGTAATCCAAGTACTTTGGGAGGCCGAGGCAGGTGTATCACCTGAGGTCAGGAGTTTGAGACCAGCCTGGCCAACATAGTCAAACCTCGTCTCTACTAACAATACAAAAATTAGCCGGAAGTGGTGGCAGGCACCTGTAATCTCAGCTACTTGGGAGGCTGAGGTAGGAGAATTGCTCGAACCCGGGAGGCAGAGGGTACAGTCAGCTGAAATCGCACCATTACACTCCAGCCTGGGTGACAACAGTGAGACTCCATCTCAAAAAAAAACAAACAAACAAACAAAAAAACCATCCTTTAGTTAAGAGTAGTAAATCTCTCTAGAGTTTTATTTATTTATTTGTTTGTTTGTTTTTAGTCATATGTGATTATAATTATTTCCTCTTGGCCAACCTCAGCAATTTCTAAAATAAAAACAAAATCAATGATCTATAAAATAAATAATTAATAACATATTTTAAAAGAAAAATTCTAAAACAACATTAGCATAGACAATTCACCATCAGTAGACTAGAAATTTTGAAGAGTTCCTAGAAAATAGGCAACTAATTGGATATGATTAAAGAGAGCTGGAAGAAAAAAAGTCAGAAAATATGGAGGATAGAAAAAAAAGAGTTAAGAAAACGTCATTTACTTTAGGGGAAAAAAAGCTGAAAATTAGTATTAATTTAGGAGACAAGTTTATTATTGGAACAAAACATATCAAAGTTGTAACTTATATTAGATTTCTATATGTATAATCGTTTATTAAATCACAGCCAATATCATGCCAAATGGGCAAAAACTGGAAGCATTTCCCTTGAAAACCAGCAAAGACAAGGTTGCCTCTCTCACTACACCTATTCACCATGGTATTGGAAGTTCTGGCCAGGGCAATCAGACAAGAGAAAAAATAAAGGTATTCAAATTGGAAGAAAAGAAGTCAAACTGTCTTTGTTTGCAGATAACACGATCCTATATCTAGAAAACCCCCTCATCTCAGCCCAAAAGCTTTTTATGCTGATAAGCTATTTCAGTAAAGTCTCATGATACAAAAATCAATGTGCAAAAATTGCTAGCATCTCTATACGTCAACAACAGGCAAACCAAGAGCCAAACCACAAATGAACTCCCATTCACAATTCCCACAAAAAGAATAAAATACCTAGGAATACAGCTAACAAGGGAAGTGAAGGACCTCTTCAAGGAGAACTACAAACCACTGCTCAAAGAAATCAGAGATGACACAAACAGATGAAAAAAACATTCCATGCTCATGGACAGGAAGAATCAATATTGCAAAAATGGCCATACTTCCCAAGGCAATTTACCAGTTCAGTCCTATTCCCCTTAAGCTACCACTGACATTCTTCACAGAATTTACAAAAAAAACTATTTTAAAATTCATACAGAACCAAAAAAGAAAAAAGAACCTGAATTGTCAAGGCAATACTGAACAAAAAGAACAAATCTGGAGGCATCATACTACCTAATTTCAAACTATACTACAGGGCTCCAGTAACCAAAACAGCATGGTACTGATACAAGAACAGACACATAGACTGATGCAACAGAATAGAGAGCCTAGAAATAAGACTGCACACCTCAAAGCATCTAATCTTCGATAAACCTTACAAACACAAACAATGGGGAAAGGATTCTCTATTTAATAAATGGTGCCGGGAGAACTGGTTAGCCATATGCCAAAAATTGAAAATAGACCCTTTCCTTACACCATATACAAAAATCAACTCAAGATGGATTAAAGAGATGTAAAACTCAAAACTATAAAAACTCTAGAAGAAAATCTAGGCAGTACCATTTGGGACATAGGCATGGGCAAAGATTTTATGATAAGGACACTAAAAGCAATTATGGCAAAAGCAATTGCAACAAAAGCAAAAACTGATAAGTGGGATCTAATTAAACTAGAGAGTTTCTGAGCAGCAAAAGAAGTTTTTTAGCCTAGCAATCCTATTACTGGGTATATACCCAAAGGAATACAAATTATTCTATTATAAAGAAACATACACACATATGTTCATTACAGCACTACTCAAAATAGCAAAAACATGGAATCAACCCAAACACCCATCAGTGATAGAGTGGATAAAGAAAATGTGGTACATATACACTATGGAATACCATGCAGCCATTAAAAGGAATGAGATCATGTCCTTTGTGGGAACATGGATGGAGCTGCAGGCCTTTATCCTTAGCAAACTAATGCAGAAACAAAAACCCAAAAACTGCAGGTTCTCACTTATAAGTGAGAGCTGAATGATGAGAACACATACACATTGGGGAGAAAACACACACTGGGGTCTGCCAGAGGGTAGGGGGTGGGAGGAGAGAGAGAATCAGGAAGAATAGTTAATGTATTCTGGGCTTAATACTTGGGTGATGGGATTATCTGTGCAGCAAACCACCATGGCAAATGCCTACCTATGTAACAAATATGCACATCCTGCACATGTACTCCTGAACTTAAAATAAAAGTTGGAAATTAAAAAAAATTAAAAAAACATTTATTTGTGGAAGACAAGCTCACCACTGTATCACCAATGTGAAAAAGTCATTTATTCATTTATGTGATCAGAGAGTCAATAATGCTTGACAGACATTTGAGAATAAGTAATAATTTTAAAAAGAACCAAAATAAAGCAATTGATTACATATAAATACCATAATTCGGATAACAGAAAAAGCTTTAAAATAATTCAACACTGCTCTTTATTAATAAATTTGATAGAATATTGTATATATAAATTCAAAACCTGTTAGTTATAAGAATATTCCTTGAAAAAATTAAATTCTTTGAAGGGGTTAGTAAAAAATTAAGTACAGGTTATAAAGTTGTTTATCTGGAATATACATTCTTAGAGTGAGGAACAAAAAAAATAAAATTTAAAAAACAGAACATAAAAGAAGAAATACAAATTAAAGTAAAAACTCTATGAAATCAATGACAGATTGGAGTGAGACATTGTAGAGACCTTGTTTTAACACAGTTTACTAGGAAAACCAAGGTAACAATTTCAAAGTTCTGAGCAAAATTTATTTTGACCATTGATCCATCAATCCAGAAAAACTAGCATTAAATCAGAACATTTTTGACATAGATTGGCAAAAGTTTAACTACAAAACAACAATTGTGGAAAGTATATTACAAAAAATCATATTTCAGTAAAAAAGTATGATTTCAAATAAGAAAAAGGTATGAAAAATAAAATTAGTTGACAAATAAATTATGATTTATGTATTTTTATTTTTAAATAAACAATGATTATGGATTGTCTAAGTGATTGCTAACATATGCTTAAAATTGTGTGAATGTAAAATCCAGATGATCTCACTGTTGAAGGTGATGATATTGGTAAGTTATGAATGTATTTATGATTAAAATATCAATAATAAAAATTTTACAATAACATGTAGAAAATATTTTGTGTGGTTAATGTCATGTTGTGTTCTTCCCCTATTTAGCCAGAGATTAATTCTTCACAAAGATAGAAAAGTATGTATTTTAATATTAACAACTTATGAGTAATCATTAGATTTCCCACAAAAAGTATGGATGTATTCTATATCACCATAGGAAAGTAGAAGAAAAATGATAATAACAACAATTGATCAAACAAAAAGCAGAAACGAGTAAATACATTAAAGAAAATGAAAAAAAGGAGAATAAATTGAAAACGTGAATTTTGTTTACATTGTAAATCTATTTCTTTAATTATGCTTCTAATTAGAAATAACACCAAATATATCACTTACTCCAGATGTTCAAATGGACGAATATCCCCATTTATAAAGCAGAGCCTGATATAAGAATGAAATTCACCAACAATGTCCTATAAACCAAAGACATAGATAAAATAAATATAACAGAAAAAGTTGTTTTAACAGCAAGATGTAAAATGTTTACTATTTTTTTAACAATAAAAAGATCACCGGGCACGGTGGCTCACGCCTGTAATCCCAGCACTTTGGGAGGCCGAAACAGGTGGATCATGAGGTCAGGAGATCCAGACCATCGAGGCCAACATGGTGAAACCTTGTCTCTTCTAAAAATACAAAAAATAACTGGGTGTGGTGGTGCATGCCTGTAATCCCAGCTACTTGGGAGGCTGAGGCATGAGAATCAATTGAACCCAGGAGGCGGAGTTTGCAGTGAGCTAAGATTGCACCACTGCACTCCAGCCTGGCGACAGAGCTAGACTCCGTCTCAAAAAATAAAATAAAAAGATCTAGTCATATTGATAATAAAATAAACAGAATGCCAAACCAAAAGCAGAAAAGTTAACAGACGGAAATACTTTGTTTTGATAAAAATTAAAACCATGGAGATTAAAAAATAATGAATCATTGTGTGCACAATGATATATATTTGAAAAGTACAAAAGATAGCATAAATATACAGAAAATGTCCAATACACAATCATAACAGATGCATTTAAAGCATGGTTTTTTGAAAGCAATAGATAAAATATTTAAGTAACATGATCTAAAAGCCTTTTCTAACACTACGTAGCCTTATTTTTTTTGCAAATAATTAAATCAGATTATAAACTTGACCAGGCAGAAACCATTCTCTCTCTCTCTTTTTCTCTCTTGCTCTTTCTCTCTCTCTCTCTCTCTCTCTCTCTCTCATACACACACACACACACACACATTCTCTTTTTTCAAGCAAAGGATACAACACAAAAAAAGGAAACTCATACAGGTTATCTTTTACCACAGTTTAATGGAATTGCATGCCAAAACCTTATATTTGTGTATGTATGTTTATCTATACAAGATAAACAAGGGAAGTTCATAGGGTAGGGCAAGGTCATAGTAACTTTTCAAAGGGGAAAGATTTAGGGAACTTCTAGAGGTAGCTGTAAATGTGTGCATTGTTTACAGACTATGTAGGCACTGATGAAAGAAATTATAATAAGTATTGTTCAACTGTAGCTCACAGAGTTTGAGAGAGACAAGCAAATTGTTGAATTTTAAAACTTTTTAAAAGATGCACAGATTATGCTGTCTTGGCTTAAATCATATTCCATACTGAGTCATGCAGGTTGAGACTTACAACAGTTATACCTATCAATCAGAAAATTGGAATAAAAATATTTCAGGAATGATTAAATGTATTCACTTATTAAATAAATGAATAAATGTTTATTAAATATATACTGTATCCTAACTATGTTTTAGGTGAATAGATAAGGAATTTATTTAGGAAATTAAATCTTGTAGACATATGATGGATTGGATGTGGGAGAAGCAAGAAAAAATACAGCAAGGGACACATCATCAAAATATCATTACAAGAAAAACTGTAGAGAATTAAGTCTTTATGTAGAGGTTACAAGAGAATTAAGCAGAGATCCCACAAATGGCTAAGAATATATTGAAGTTTTCATTTTCCAAATGTCCTGCTTTTAGGTAAAGGCATTCTACCATATTGTGCATTTTTTTAAGAAGTAATGCTCAGATGTGTCAGTATGTATGCATAGAAACAGAATGCTCCAAAATTGGTGTTTTCTCAGCAAAGTGCAAAGTAAAATGCTTAATAATAACTGCAAAATAGTGACTATAATGCTGAACCATACTTTCCAAGCTAGAGAAGTGGGAAAGAAGAGAAGTAAATTCCAAGCTAGCTGAAATAGCTCAATTGGGAGAGCATTAGGCTGAAGAGAAGTAGATTAAGGGCTACAAATAAAGTATATGAAAATTAGAGGATAAATAAGACTGACAGTCTTGGTGAAGTTGAAGAATTGCTTTGTAAGATGGAGGAATAGGAGGTTTTGTTGAAACAGTAGAACACATGAATGGGTGATTTTGGAAAATTTCCAGGGTTTTTGTTTTGTTTGCAGCAAAAACCATTAGAAAATAGACACGGAAGGGAGGTTCCAAGATGGTCGAATAGGAACAGCTCCACTCTACAGCTCTGAGCATGAGCAACACAGAAGACGGGTGATTTCTGCATTTCCAACTGAGGTACTGGGTTCATCTCACTGGGGCTTGTCAGACAGTGGGTGCAGGACAGTGGGTGCAGCCCACGGACTGTGAGCTGAAGCAAGGCAAGGCGTTGCCTCACCCAGGAAGTGCAAGGGGTCAGGGAATTTCCTTTCCTAGCCAAGGGAAGCCGTGACAGACAGCACCTGGAAAATCGGGTCACTCCCACCCTAATACTGTGCTTTTCCAACAGTCTTAGCAAACAGCACACCAGGAGATTATATCCCATGCATGGCTCAGAGGGTCCCACGCCCACGGATCCTCCCTCATTGCTAGCACAGCAGTCTGAGATGGAACTGCAAGGCAGCAGCAATGCTGGGGGAGGCGCATCCACCATTGCTGAGGCTTGAGTAGGTAAACAAAGCTGCTGGGAAGCTGGAACTAGGTGGAGCCCACCACAGCTCAAGGAGGCCTGCCTGCCTCTGTAGACTCCACCTCTGGGGACAGGTCATAGCTGAACAAAAGGCAGCAGAAACTTCTGCAGAATTAAATATCCCTGTGTGACAGCTTTGAAAAGAGTAGTGGTTCTCCCAGCACAGAGTTTGAGATCTGAGAACGGACAGACTGAGAACGGACAGACTGCCTCCTCAAATGGGTCCCTGACCCCCAACTAGCCTAACTGGGAGACACCTCCCAGCAGGGGCCGACAGGCACCTCATAAGGCCAGGTGCCCCTGTGAGATGAAGCTACCAGAGGAAAGATAAGGCAGCAACATTTGCCATTCTGCAAAATTTGCGGTTCTGCAGCATCCACTGGTGATACCTAGGCAAACAGGGTCTGGAATGGACCTCCAGCAAACTCCAACAGACCTGCACCTGAGGATCCTGACTGTTAGAAGGAAAACTAACAAACAGAAAGGACATCCCCACCAAAACCCCATCTATACATCACCATCATCAAAGACCAAAGGTAGATAAAACCACAAAGATGGGGAGAAACCAGAGCAGAAAGCTGAAAATTCTAAAAATCAGAGAGCCTTTTCTCCTCCAAAGGAACACAGCTCCTTGCCAGCAACGGAACAAAGCTGGACAGAGAATGACTTTGACAAGTTGAGAGAAGAAGGCTTCAGAAGATCGGTAATAACAAACTTCTCCGAGCTAAACGAGGATGTTTGAACCCAGTGCGAAGAAGCTAAAAAGCTTGAAAAACGATTAGATGAATGGCTAACTGGAATAAACAGCGTAGAGAAGATCTTAAATGACCAGATGGAGCTGAAAACCATGGCATAAGAACTGCGTGACGCATGCACAAGCTTCAGTAGCCAATTCGATCAACTGGAAGAAAGGGTATCAGTGATTGAAGATCAAATGAATGAAATGAAGCGAGAAGAGAAGTTTACAGAAACAAGAGTAAAAAGAAATGAACAAAGCCTCCAAGAAATATGGGACTATGTGAAGACAACAAATCTACGTCTGATTGGTGTACCTGAAAGTGACGGGGAGAATGGAACCAAGTTGGAAAACACTCTTCAGGATATTATCCAGGAGAACTTCCCCAACCTAGCAAGGCAGGCCAGCATTCAAATTCAGGAAATACAGAGAACACCACAAAGATACTCCCTGAGAAGAGCAACTCCAAGACACATAATTGTCAGATTCACCAAAGTTAAAATGAAGGAAAAAATGTTAAGGGCAGCCAGAGAGAAAGTTCGGGTTACCCACAAAAGGAAGCCCATCAGACTAACAGTGGATCTCTCAGCAGAAACTCTACAAGCCAGAAGAGAGTGGGGGCCAATATTCAACATTCTTAAAGAAGAGTATTTTCACCCCAGAATTTCAAATCCAGCAAAACTAAGCTTCATAAGTGAAGGAGAAATAAATTCCTTTACAGACAAGCAAATGCTGGGAGATTTTGTCACTACCAGACCTGCCTTACAAGAGCTCCTGAAGGAAGCACTAAACATGGAAAGGAACAAACAGTACCAGCCACTGCAAAAATATGCCAAATTGTAAAGACCATCAGTGCTAGGGAGAAACTGCTTCAACTAACGAGCAAAATAATCAGCTAATATCATAATGACAGGATCAAATTCACATCTAACAATATTAACCTTAAATGTAAATGGGCTAAATGCTCCAATTAAAAAACACAGACTGGCATATGGATAAAGAGTCAAGACCTATCAGTGTGCTGTATTCAGGAGACCCATCTCACGTGAAGAGACAGACATAGGCTCAAAATAAAGGGATGGAAAAAGATCTACCAAGCAAATAGAAACAAAAAAAAAGCAGTGGTTGCAATCCTAGTCTCTGATAAAACGGACTTTAAACCAACAAAGATCAGAAGAGACAAAGAAGGCCATTATATAATGGTAAAGGGATCAATTCAACAAGAAGAGCTAACTATCCAAAATATATATGCACCCAATACAGGAGCACCCAGATTCATAAAGCAAGTCCTTAGAGACCTACAAAGAGACTTAGACTCCCACACAAAAATAATGGGAGACTTTAACACCCCCCTGTCAGCATTAAACAGATCAACGAGACAGAAAGGTAACAAGAATATCCAGGAATTGAACTCAGCTCTGCATCAAGTGGACCTAATAGACATCTGCAGAACTCTCCACACCAAATCAAAAGAATATACATTCTTCTCAGCACCACATCACACTTATTCCAAAATTGACCACATAGTTGGAAGTAAAGCATGCATCAGCAAATGTAAAAGAAGAGAAATTATAACAAACTGTCTCTCAGAACACAGTGCAATCAAACTAGTACTCAGGATTAAGAAACTCACTCAAAACTGCTCAACTACATGGAAACTGAACAACCTGCTCCTGAATGACTACTGGGTACACAATGAAATGAAGGCAGAAATAAAGATGTTCTTTGAAACCAATGAGAACAAAGACACAACATACCAGAATCCCTGGGACACATTTAAAGCAGTGTGTAGAGGGAAATTTATAGCACTAAATGCCCACAGAGAAAGCAGGAAATATCTAAAATTGATACCCTAACATCACAATTAAAAGAACTAGAGAATCAAGAGCAAACAAATTCAAAAGCTAGCAGAAGGTAAGAAATAACTAAGATCAGAGCAGAACGGAATGAGATAGAGACACAAAAAACCCTTCAAAAAATCAATCAATCCAGGAGCTGTTTTTTTGAAAAGATCAACAAAATTGATAGACTGCTAGGAAGACTAATAAAGAAGAAAAGAGAGAAGAATCAAATAGACTCAATAAAAAATGATAAAGGGGATATCACCACCGATCCCACAGAGATACAAACTGCCATCAGAGAATACTATAAACACCTCTATGCAAATAAACTAGAAAATCTAGAAGAAATGGATACATTCTTGGACATATACACCATCCCAAGACTAAACCAGGAAGAAGTTGAATCCCTGACTAGACCAATAACAGGCTCTGAAATTGAGGCAATAATTAATAGCCTACCAACCAAAAACAGTCCAGGACCAGACAGATACACAGCCAAATTCTACCAGAGATATAAAGAGGAGCTGATACCATTCCTTCTGAAAATATTCCAATCAATAGAAAAAGAGGAAATCCTCCCTAACTCATTTTATGAGGCCAGCATCATCCTGATACCAAAGCCTGACAGAGACACAACAAAAAAAGAGAGTTGTAGACCAATATCCCTGATGAATATCGATGCAAAAATCCTCAATAAAATACTGGCAAACTGAATCCAGCAGCACATCAAAAAGCTTATCCATGACAGTCAAGTGGGCTTCATCCCTGGGATGCAAGGCTGGTTCAACATACGCATATCAATAAATGTAATCCATCATATAGACAGAACAAAAGACAAAAACCACTTCAACAGCCCTTCATGCTAAAAACTCTCAATAAATTAGGTATTGATGGGACATATCTCAAAATAATAAGAGCTATTTATGACACACCCACAGCCAATATCATACTGAATGGGCAAAAACTGGAAGCATTCCCTTTGAAAACTGGCACAAGACAGGGATGCCCTGTCTCACCACTCCTATTCAACATAGTGCTGGAAGTTCTGGCCAGGGCAATCAGGCAGGAGAAAGAAATAAAGGGTATTCAATTAGGAAAAGAGGAAGTCAAATTGTCCCTGTTTGCAGATGACATGATTGTATATTAGAAAAGCCCATCATCTCAGCCCCAAATCTCTTTAAGCTGATAAGCAACTTCAGCAAAGTCTCAGATAAAAATCAATGTGCAAAAATCACAAGCATTCCTATACACAAATAACAGACAAACAGAGAGCCAAATCATGAGTGAACTCCCATTCACAATTGCTTCAAAGGGAATAAAATACCTAGGAATCCAACTTACAAGGGATGTGAAGGACCACTTCAAAGAGAATTACAAACCACTGCTCAACGAAATAAAAGAGGACACAAACAAATGGAAGAACATTCCATGCTCATGGATAGGAAGAATCAATATCGTGAAAATGGCCATACTACCCAAGGTAATTTATAGATTCAATGCTATCCCCATCAAGCTACCAATGACTTTCTTCAAAGAATTGGAAAAAAACTACTTTAAAGTTCATATGGAACCAAAAAAGAGCCCACATTGCCAAGACAATCCTATGCCAAAAGAACAAAGCTGGAGGCATCACACTAACTGACTTCAAACTATCCTATAAGGCTACAGTAACCAAAACAGCATGGTACTGGTACCAAAACAGAGATATAGACTAATGGAACAGTACAGATCCCTCAGAAATAATACGACACATCTACAACCATCTGATCTTTGACAAACCTGAGAAAAACAAGAAATGGGGAAAGGATTCCCTATTTAATAAATGGTGCTGGGAAAACTATCTAGCTATATGTGGAAAGCTGAAACTGGATCCCTTCCTTACACCTTATGCAAAAATTAATTCAAGATGGATTAAAGACTTAAATGTTAGACCTAAAACCATAAAAACCCTGAAGAAAACCTAGGCAATACCATTCAGGACATAGGCATGGGCAAGGACTTCATGACTAAAACACCAAAAGCAATGGCATCAAAAGCCAAAATTGATAAATTGGATCTAATTAAATTAAGAGCTTCTGCACAGCAAGAGAAATTACCATCAGAGTGAACAGGCAACCTGCAGAATGGGAGAAAATTTTTGCAATCTACCCATCTGACAAAGGGCTAATATCCAGAATCTACAAAGAACTTAAACAAATTTACAAGAAAAAAATCAAACGGCCCCATCAAAAAGTGGCAAAGGATATGAACAGACATTTCTCAAAAGAAGACATTTATGCAGCCAAAAGACACATGAAAAAATGCTCGTCATCACTGGCCATCAGAGAAATGCAAATAAAAACCACAATGAGATACCATCTCACATCAGTTAAAATGGCGATCATTAAAAAGTCAGGAAACAACAGGTGCTCGAGAGGATGTGGAGAAACAGGAGCACTTTTACACTGTTGGTGGGACTGTAAGCTAGTTCAACCATTGTGGAAGACAGTGTGGCAAGTCCTCAAGGATCTAGAACGAGAAATACCATTTGACCCAGACATCCCATTACTGGGTTTATACCCAAAGGATTATAAATCATGCTGCTATAAAGACACATGCACACATTTGTTTATTGCAGCACTATTCACAACAGCAGACTTGGAACCAACCCAAATGTCCAACAATGATAGACTGGATTAAGAAAATGTGGCACATATACACCATGGAATACTATGGAGCCATAAAAAAGGATGAGTTCATGTCCTTTGTAGGGACACGGATGAAGCTGTAAACTATCATTCTGAGCAAACTGTCGCAAGGACAGAAAACCAAACACTACTTCTCACTCACAGGTGGCAAGTGAACAATGAGAACACTTGGACACAGGGTGGGGAATATCACACACCAGGGCCTTTCATGGGGTGGGGGGAGTGGGGAGGGATAGCATTAGGAGATATGCCTAATATAAATGACATATTTATGAGTGCAGCACACCAACATGGCACATGTATACATATGTAACAAGCCTGCACGTTGTGCATATGTACCCTAGAACTTAAAGTATAATAACAAAATAAATAAATAAATAATAAAAAATAAAAAAAGAAAATAGACACGAAATTGGTTTTGAACGGGAGTTCAGGAAGAGGTAAGGTACTGAAGTCAGGGTTGGAAGCATCCTTTATGTAAATCATAAGATCATTGAAAGGAGTGAGCAGGATTGAAATAGAAAATTGAAGCAAGGAGTTAAGTATTGTTGTGTATGTGATTAAAAGTTTTCTAGCATACAGTAAGGGGTGAGAAAAAGTGGTAAAATAAGACTGCTTGAGCTCCAAGAAACATGGATTTTCAAATGATTGAAGGTGAGAAATGGTCTAAAAATGACATTGGGAAGCAGGAAACACAAGAACTTTATGTGTGAGAGGTATAAGCTTTATATGAACCATAAGATATCGTACAGCTTAAGAAAAACAGTACTGTTAGGAAAAACAGATAGAAGAAATTTGTGGGAAGATTTTGGGTACTGCAGAGGAATTTTCTGATTGTGGACTAGGATACTCAAAGCTCAGTGGAAAGAAGTGATGTAAGGAGAAAGGGCGTAATAGGCTACAGCATGGCATAACGCAGGAGGTATCAAAGTCAGCATGTTAGTATTCATGGGTAAACACAGGAGAGTGGGGTGAGGTGGGCTTGGACTTCTAGGGATGATTAATATACACAAAGAGGGGACATAAAAGGGATTCTTTCATTAGAGCAGTGGGAGAGGAACATGAAAATAACGTTGAGGTTCTATAAGGTTTCCCCAGTGGCTTTATGGGATATTGAATACTCCCGCAAGCTACCACTGGAGGAAAACAATAATTTAGATGGCAGGTCAGGAAGATCTTAGGCAGAGGCATTCTAACTGGAAGCCCAACAGGTTACTGAAATCACGGGAGAGATGGAATATTCCTGACTGCTAAAGAGTGAGGTGGCTCCTGGATGGGGCTTTCTATCAGCCTGGTTAGGGGTGTTTGAACTGCATCTAAGTGGAGTCACACTCCCATGTGGAGTGACTCAAGTGTCACAGAAAAGTGTGCCAGTGACCTTTCTGAAGATTAAAATGTGTGCCAGTAGCCTATTGGCAATTGGCAGGAAGGCCCTTTGTTCTCTTGGCTGATGTGTAGTTCAATGAATCAAAAAGCCTGTCTGTGGCCCAAGTAATTGATCATTCAAGTCAGAAGAAAGAAAATTTTCTTATGAAGGTATCATAACTAGTATACATCACAAATTGCACTTATTTATAGACTAATTATAAATGACATCAAACCAAAATCAATAAATATTTTATTTATACGCTTGCACTTATTTCCTGATGTTGTTGATGTAAAGTTTATCCTTAAAGAAAACTATTGGCATTCTTAATAAATATATAAATAGAGAAAGACAATACAATTGATGGCAACATTCTTTATAGTTTCCTACTTTTACTTCAGTACCAATTCTTCACATTGGATATTTGTCTATTCAGAGAAACGTCTGTATGCAAAGCTGGCCTTATATCATTATGAAGAAAATGGCTACATTTCTACATTTAGAAATAAAGAAATCATTCATTTCTAGTTACATCATCGAGGAGTAACTGGACTTGGCCATCTTCTGCTACTTCTAGATTAGCTGAGATCATTTAAGGTTACATAATGAACAAATGAAAAACTGTAACATAATTTTATTCTGATAAATGAATAAGGTTTGGGAGATTTCAGATAGTAAAACTGCATGGTAATTTAGATTTTTCAGAGAGGTATAACATTTATGACAATGGTATATAATTCAGTTTGCAGACTGATCTCACAAATTCAGTAGTGTCATTGGCTTGTAATTTACCCAAGCCATGATCTTAAGCATTTTTAACTGAATATGGCACCATACCAATGCAAGTATAGGCACTGAGAGTTGGAAGTTCTCAATTTATAATTTAATTGTTCATTTTTGTATCTGGAGAAGTGGATAGGAAAGAGTACAACAATGTTGGGGGAATTGAAAAACACTCAATGAATTGGGAAAGAGGGATGCTTGCTGTCTTAGGAACATGTCATCATATTTTTTAAAATCAGAAAATCTGTATAGCCAATTTTACTAGCATAACTCTCATTTAATTAGTGTTTTGCCATTTAGACAGATTTCCTACAGAACTAGCTTTCTATAACACAGTAATAATAATCAGCTTCAAAATAATACATTGTATTGAGAACCACAATGAAGCCATTCAAGACATGAATTTCAGAATGAAATACACTTGAATTTAGTCCTTGCTTTTTGCCACTTATTAGCTAGGAAGCCTGGAACTAATTGAGTTCTCAGGATAGTTTAATTATCTTGAAAAGGAGGACAGCACTATGTACTTCAGAGGAGATACAACGATGTTTTAAAAAATAATACAGTTGTCCCTAAGTATCCATCGGGGATTGGTTCCAGGACCCCCTGGGGATAACAAAATCCACTGATGCTCAAGTCCCTTATATAAAACGGCATAGGATTTGCATATAACCTGTGCACATTCTTTCATTTCACCTCTAGATTACTTAAAATAATCATTATAAATGATCTCTAGATTACTTATAATGCTAATGCAATATAAATGCTATGGAAATGGCTGTTATACTGTATTGTTCTTTTATATGTATTATTTTAATTGTTATTATTACTTTTAAAATATTTTCAATCCATGGTTAATTGAATCTGCAGAAGCAGAACCTGTGGATATGGAGGGCTGCCTGGCTGTGTAAAATGCTTAGCATATTGCTTAGCCAACACGAAGGAATCAGGAAAGAAGATTATTATTATTAGATATTCTTATCACCAAATTTATTTATCATCAAACGTTAGTTAAAATTATTTTCTAAGCCATCATCTTAAATCTATGCATGAAAGGTAATTTTATTTGTGGTCTTTCTACATTAGTGACTAGATCATTGATTACCAGGTTCCAAAGAAGTAATTTATCTTAGAGTAGAAAATAATAATCAAATTCTAAATAAAGCACATTATGTAAACATTAGTTTACACATTTCACACATTAACTGTAAAAAGCAACATAAAGAAGAGAAAAAGGAACACTTGGAAACGTTTAAATGACCAAACTTGATCACATACTTTACAGGCAAATGTTTTTCAGGCACATTTGATTTTCAGAGAAAAAACTGGGCATGTCATATACAAGAAATGTATCAGAAACATAAACAAAATGTCATATTCTTGTAATTTATGCATTGGACTTATTTTCTTTGTATGTTCAGTGTCTGCTTTTATGTCAGTTTAATAACTGTTTTTTAATAGCTGATGCTTTTAAATGTTTATGTATGAAAATACCTGCAAAAATCTACATAGACAATATCTCATATCTTATTTCTACATTTTGTTTGTACTTATATAATTCAAATTATTTGCTTTTGATTTAATTAAAAAATTAGTTTGATATAAAATGTCTCTGTAAATATTCCATTTTACAAATATACCGTATTAGGAGTAAACTTTTGGCATACTCTTTTTATGTGTCATTGTGGTATCTGACAAAACTCATCAATGTATCACTGGTATTCAAACCAGAACAAGCTTTATACCAAATCTCATTATTAACTTTAAATATTGACTCAATACTTAGTAACTCCAATAACTGATTTTCAGTGCCCCATTACTGAAATAGCATTATAGTTTTCAGACCACATTATTTAATATGGTTTGTGTAGATGACAGCACACCTATGATAGCGGCGGGAGTCAGACAAATTCCTAGGCAGATAGGGGTGGGTCCCATGTGAAACCTGACTTTCAAACCAAAGACAAATTAAAGTTTGAAAATCAAGCTGCTAGTTCCAGGTAAAGTCCCTGACCAGAGTGAGAATTTCCCCCATGCCTTTTAGCCAATTGAATGGTGCTTTTTTCCAGGCCATCCATGGACCAATCAGCACACACTCCCCCCATTCTGAGCCCATAAGAACCCCAGACGCAGCCACACACAAGGAGTACCTGCTTTTAGGTAGGAGCTATCCACTTCTGTTGCCCTCTTTGCTGAGAGCTATTCCATTGCTCAATAAAACTCGTTATTGCCTTGCTCACTCTGCAGTTGTCCACGTAACCCCATTCTTCTTGGACATGGGACAAGAAACTGTCACCCACTGAACAACAATGGGAGAGACAAGGGCTGTAATACATTCCTGGTGTGCTCACAGAGCTGCAGGCAGTGACATGCTCCTGTTTGCTGAACCACAGGAGAAAAGGGCTGTGACCCTTCTGGGGCCCCGGACTTCAGAGCTCCCTGAGCCACAACTGTGACATGCCATAACACCCCCTTGGGGCTTCTGCTGGTTGCTGGCATTACCAAGCTTTCAGGTGCCACCACATTCCCTTTGTCCAGGTGCCAGGACCCAAGGCAGAAGCCATTTGTGGCATGTCTGTTCCAGTCACAGCCTCACACAGAGCCAGCATCTGTGCCAGAGCCTGGAGCTGCCTGCCCCACTGCAGCAGCTGGCTCCCCTGTCTGTGCACCATGGCCAGACCCCTTGCTAGCTTCTGCACACACCCCTCACCGCTCCACACCCAGCTTGCCTATGGCGGGTGTAGGATCCTGGCCGGTAGTGTGAGCCAAGCACAACCTGGTGGGATGAGTGGGTAAGTGAAACTCAAGGAGAGGTGCCGCTGGTCATGGAGGTCTCTGGCTGGTGAAGCGGCATCCTAAAGAATCCTGTATCTTTGGCACCCCAAAGAATTGCCTACAATATCTTTGTAGGTAATTCTGTATCTTTGGCACCCCAAAGAATTACCTATAATGTAACATGCTTATAATAAAATTCCTACTGGTCAACATTTAGTTATCAAAATTTATCTAAAAAGAAATAAAAAGATTGGAACAGTTTTTGCAGTAATGTGAGATGAAAAGAGGGTGGTGGCAGAACATGAGGTAGCTAAATTAAAATAATCCAGGAACAGCATTTTCCCACTAAAGAAAATGAAAATGGTGACTCAAGATTTACTAGCATTTAGCAAAACCATCATAGTTGTGTAGAAATAAAAAGCATTCTATTTGCCTGAAAAATCAAAGAAAAATAAGTTGAAAAGATGTAGACTGTAATATATAATATTGAGAATGCTTTAGAGTATGATATAATTATAGCAGCCTTTATTTGAATTTCTATGTATTGTTTCATGTGAAATTGCAATGAAAGTTGTTTAGGTTAGATTATAAATCACATCTAACTATAAATGACAAGCTCTTACAATCTGTAAACATCATTTTTACTTCTATAGGGTTATATATTTTCTCCTCACTTTGTTTCTAAGCCACTAATCTAAATATTATTGCTAAGGGTATAGTGATAACAACATAGGTATACCACATGTAAAGCAGCACCCAATTACCATATATTATAAAAAAAACTATGTTTAAATTGTAGATTATAGGTTTGCAACAGAATTTTAAATATATATAACTAGACTTTAGAGAAAATCAACAAACTTTTGCAAGAAATCAGTAAAGCTTGCCAGTGTGATATTTTGAATGTCTTCATAAGCAGTAAAAAAATCAATGAGAAATAGTGCCCTCTTTTGATCTTTGTTTCATAGCATTAAATTTTCAAAAACTTTGCTCATTGTATTTTTATTTTACTTCCAAATAAATATGTCTACATTGACTATTTTATCTCAGCTTTACAAAAACTCCTTCATTTCAATTCTTACATAAATATCAAGTATAAATTATTTTTGTTACATTCTCTATAAGATTGTCCATTGCATAAAAGAATAAAGACAAAAATACTAAATATAATAATAAAACTATAAGGCAAATAAAGGTGGGCAGAATTAAGTAGTAAGAACATCTTTATTAATGATGTAGATAGTTTACTAAATAAACTATATGTAATTTTAAAGTTAAAATACAGGCTTCATGTAGTTTTCAAATTATACATTCATAATTTTATGTTTATCCACTTTATTTTCACATGTGCTTTATTTTCTTGGAGGGGCCTACACATTTTGTATCCAAAATTGTATTTTCTTTTCATCATTTCTTCTTTTATTAGTTAAGCAGCACTGAAAACCCGTGACCCATTCTGTGCTCTTTGCATGTGACAGTAATCCAACTAGAACCAACCTAAGCAAAAAGAGAAATATACTTGTTTGTGTGACCAAGCTCTGAGTATCGTAGAATGGAAGCTAGCCTCAGAGAGAACTAGGACTAGGGAGAAGGTGGTTTCAGTACTCTATGGTTTTCTCTGTTAATGTAATCTTCTGTCTCCTATTAGAGATAGACTTTCTGCTTCTTGCTGAGCTTATGGTTTCTGGCAAATGACTTTCAGCTTCAGCACTCTACAGAAATTCACATTTCCCTCCATTCTGCTTACCTAGGAATCCCAGTAAGGATGCTGCTTGTCCTAGTCGAACTGGCCAAAAATTACCCTGGCTAGAAATACTGAGAGTTGTAACTGCCCATCCTGAATCCAATCACTCTGCCTAGGGTTTAAGGTTATATTGAAGACATAGATTTACATTTGGTCCACATTTAAGAGGAGGCAATGGGAGGAAGGTAGAAAGATGAGTAATCTTCCAAAGGAATAATAAGAGTGGAGTAACCCAAACTTGGCCTCTAGTAAAATAAGTTATAGTAAAATGGAATTGATCCCAAGTTATAAGCTTTATCAATTTACTAAAATCTGCCAATTGAAAAGAGAACACATGGACACAGGAAGGGGAACATCACACACCGGGGCCTGTGTGGGGCGGGGGGGTGGGGGTTAGCATTTGGAGATAGACCTAATGTTAAATGATGAGTTACTGGGTGCAGCACACCAACATGGCACATGTATACGTATGTAACTAACCTGCATGTTGTGCACATTTACCCTAAAACTTAAAGCATAATAAAAAAAAGAAAAGAAAAGAGAGTAACTTTAAAAATGTTGAAGTTTTGAACTTATGAGTATTCCTAAGAGGTCTTTTTTTATAATATGTATGCTTTTAACATGGAATTTGACTTTTATATACGTGATGTTTTCTTTTATCCTGTCCTTTTATTTTTCTCACTTGTATTAATGTGAAATGAGGAGAGTAATGAGTAAGCTGCTTCTGTAAGCTCACTTGATTAACAAGGCAGAGATTATTAATAAAATGTGGTGTCAATGCTACCCATTCTCAGTTAATTTTTTTACTTTTAAGCTTTTAGAGATAAGGTAAAGAATAACAAATTTCTCTGAAGCTTGAAAAAAATCAAGTTTTATGACATAAAGATTGATCAAGTTTTTTGGCAAAATAAGAGAAAATGTATAGCTTAAGCTAAAGTTTCCTTCCTTCATTTTCCTTATTCTTCCCCACCAGCATACACATACTGCTTGTACCAGTAACAATATTACCTAAAGAACAGAAGCCAGGTGTTTGCTGCTTAAAATAGCTTCTATTTTTATAATAGCAGGACTACAGATCCTCCCCAAATTCTCAATTATTTCATTTTGTTGTCAATAAAGTAGTGCTTCACATGTGTTCCAGAACAACTTTTTCAATTGCATTCACAGGGCAATTACTCTTTCTTCTTCCTTACCTATTCACATCAGAATGACTTGGGAAAATTTTGTTTTCATTGTCACCAGTCATGAATGTTGATATTCAAACAAATAGTACTTGCCAGACATTGCCAAAGGGGCTAACTTGTCTTATATCTGAGCAGCCCTTTTAATCCCTTGAAACTTGGGAAGAGAGGTTCTGCTCCAGTGCTGATCACACTTTGTCAGACTTCATGATTGTGCCCAGACTATACCAAGTATCTCTTGAATTGTTTCATCATCTCACTATATTCACTCTTGCAACCATAAGGATTCAAACCCGTTTCTGACGTGGTGGGGATCGTGGGTGGGATGGAAGCAATACTATGATCTTAACTCTGTCTTCTATTCATAGCTACTCCTCATGTTGAAGAAAACCACTGTTCTCCTTCAGTTACAAAAATAAAGCTTCTATGCTAAAGTTTCCTGAACTCAAAAAGAACAGGGGATAGAAGGAATTGCTGATCCTATAAGCACAATTTGGTTCTTCGTTCAACCAGCCAAACAAACCTTGTAATAAGAAAGTAATGCTCACTTAACTGCCCCACAGGATACTCAGATATAATTTCTCGACCATCTACATTTGTATCCAATTGATTATTCTTACATTCAGCATGAAATGTGCTTGAAATGCCTGTGATACTTCCATTTCTAAAAATATTCATTTATTCATTTATGATTATGCACAATTTACAACTTCAGACAAAAATAGCATAGGGAAGACTTCACAATATTGGGCAACAAAACAATAGAATAATCACACTGCAATCATCTGGAAACCAGTAACAACTACACTAGTGCTCTATTTGCTACATAAATACTATCTGTATCCAGATTGTGTAGATTTCATGTGCTGCAACTATAATATACTTCATTATCATAGTATTCAGGAAGGGGTGCCATTTACATGATGTTTCTACTTTAGGAACCAGTTTATGGCATTTTCTCTTGAGGCTCACTCTATCCAGATGTCTTTAGCCAAACTTCATAATCACTGTCTGGTGAAACAGTGCAATGTAGAGGACGTAAATAAAGGGAAGCAATGAAACTAGAATGAATTAACAAAAATGAGTAACTAAGCCTGCAGCACCCCTGGTAATTTTATAAAGCCAGCTTCAGTGAATTTTAAATGCACTTTTTTATTTCATAAATTCTATTAGCTAGAAATTAAAAACATGCCTAACCAAATTTATTGTATAAAGTCTACCTTGTTGCTCTTTCTAAAAAAATTTTATATACATATTCTATTGCTACAATGCTTTTTTCTTCAAAGCAAATTTTTGCTATACATTTCTTAATTGAACTGGCCAATGTGTTATTAATGCAAAGACATATTCATTTCAGTCTAAAAATTTGCAAGAAAGAAACTTTTGAAACAACAACAAATAAAACTCTTTATCTCTCTATCTACCTACCTACCTACCTACCTACCTACCTACCTACCTACCTATGAGCTATCAACTCTCTCTATTTACAGGGAGATTTACTTTCCTTACTTGTTCTGTAAAATTTTAATGCTTATGTGCTGTTAAGTTTATTCATAGTCTTCTGCTTATCACTCAGTTGTTACTGCATTTCTCTCCTATGGGTAGATGCTTAAGTGTGGTCGGGATAGGGGTTCATCTTTAAATCATATAGCTAGAGGCAGAGAAGCAGATTCCAAATATACGTGTAACTCCTCACCTTTTCTTTGATTTTCTCAAAGAGATTTCTGCTTACACAAGACAATCAATTGGTAACACGGTTTTACTGAAAGCTTGAAGTAACAGAGACATTTTTACTTTATGTAACAAAATTCCCTAAAAATAGAATATTTGACATTATGGTCTTAAAAGTTGTTTCAGCCCACTGCTTCTTAGACCTGTCATGTGGGCTGTGTGTTGGGATCTCTGGCAATCTCTACTCTTTTATTTTTCAAGCTTACCTATATCATGCTTTGAGAAGGAACATCATATCTTATTATTTAAGGCAATTTCAGTTTTCAATTTTAAGTCTACTCCATATTAGACTTAGGGCCCATGTTTATAAACCAAATGATTTATTAATGTGTTAAGCTAAACAAGGCCTTCTTCTCTGACTCATTTCCATCACAGAACTTTAATAAGCTTTGATAATTCAGTATTGTTTTTGCTGTTGTACCTGTACTAATATTTGTAAATCAAAATAAGCATTATATAAATTTTATTCCCGCTGATAACAATGGCTAATACCATTGTACCCTTCATCCTAAAGGGACATGTCAAAAAATTATATTTAAAAACAATATTATATTTTATTTTAGATTCAGAAGGCACGCATGCAGGTTTTTTGGGTATGTTGTTTGACTGAGGTTTGAATTATAAATGATACAATCTCCCAGTTAACTGAGGTTTTTTAAAATTTAATTAATATTGTTTGCTCTCCACATTACTAAATGATAATCATGAAAGAATTATTTTAAAAAATTATATAATGTGTGAGTAGTTATCACAATTTCAGTAACCATTAAGAGTAGTTAATATAATTATGTCTAAAGAATTTCCTATATAAAAGTCACTTACTTGGAAACAATTAAAAAACTGTTCTGAATTTTTAATATTCAATATATCATGTTACATCTTGATCAAGTTACTATCATATTTTCTTTTTATTTATTTATTTTGATTATTTATTTATTTGTTTATTAGAGACAAGCTGGAGTATAGTGATGCGATCATGGCTCACTGCAGCCTCAAACTCTTGGACTCAAGTGATCCTCCTGCCTCAGCCTTTGGAGTGCCTGGGAATATAGACATATACCACCCCAGCCAGATAATTCTAAAATATGTACATATATATATATATATATATATATATATATTATTTTGTTTTTTCTTTTTGGTAGAGATGAGGTCTCACTATGTTGCCCAGGCTAGTCTCAAACCCCTGGCCTGAAGAGAACCTCTTGCTTCAGCCTCCCTCCTGCTAGGATTATAGGTGTGAGTCACCATGCCAAGCCCTATTATCGTATTTTTTAAATAAAAAAAAATCGTTTTATTAGAAAATGTTCAGTTTATGTCTCCATAATATTATATTTAAATTTAAAATATCTGGTTTAAAATAAATGTTATTTGTATAACATGGAGTGCAATGGAAAATGAGTATGCTATATCAAAAAGAAGTACATCAGGGGCAGAATGTACCGAAACATTTTGGTAGCTTCAAATGAGGGTAATCTGTGTCTGATATGATACATTCTCAAATAAGTTGATCTTGTATAAGTCTATGAAATGCCATTCCAAGAAAACAGAAAAGCTTTGCTGTAGTATATGTTGTACAGTGAGCATGCCCCCAAATTCCTTTGTTTTATCAACTAGAGGCATATTCCAAATATATTAAAGAAGTGCAAATATTTTGTTTTGATTTCACTGAAAGAACTCACTGAGGTCTTTTAAGTAGTAAAATAATAATCTGGATTATGTCACTGCATAATAAGTGAAAAGTATTAATGAGCCATGTTCTCTCCATGGCTATATGTTACACAATAAAAATGGCAGTTAGTGCTGGAGCAGCACTAGAGTAACGCCGTATATGGTTCCCCGGTGTTCTGAGGTTATGATCTTCACTGATCAGGCAAAAGTAACTTGGTTTGGGGAAGAATGAAACCCAGGAAGTTAAACATTTTTTCAATTGATGAGAAATTACTTGCCTGGGAATTTTAGCTTTTATTTTTCTACATAACATTTTACAATGGGAGAAAATGAATAATGAAAATATATGGAATAGTAAAGATCATAATATATCTACTAATATTTGCGGTCCCATTCAAATGAATAAGGTAAGAGATTAATATTTTCTGGAACTTAATTTAATGGCAAGAAATGTGCCATTTTACATTTTATTTTTAAAATAGTTCTTACATTTGTTTTTTGCGTCAAGCCTCTGGTAGTAATATTACATTAAAATTAATTTAATGACGTGCTTTTAAAAGCTTTTGATTTAGCCATTTCATAATACTACCACAAATAATACCAATAATACTGATAATGATGGATAATCATAATTTAGTGTTTACCATGTGCCAAACAATATCTAGGAATGTTACATGTATTAATTTATGCAATCCTCCCAGCAATTTAAGAGATAGAATTAGTAACCCCATTTAACCAACACCACCACTGAGGCACAAATAATTTAAATAATTTGCCCAAGATCACATGACTAGGTAGAATTAGGCTTGAACCCAGGTGGTCTAGTGTTCCAGAATTTGAGTAATTAACTACTCTGCATGTTGTTTCCTATTTAATTAAAATTCACATTTTCAGATTGAACAGTCTTATGTATGTGTGTTGTAAATATTAAAGAAATTAAAACATATTTTATTAGTTATAAAATTATGTATGGGCATTTACAGTTGGAGCCATTTCAGAGCCAAAATAAGTAACACGTACAAACTGTCTAGTAAATGTTTCTAATTTTCTGTTTTATTCAATGAAGAACAAAATCAGTTTTCTAAATAGCAATTTTGTATTTAAAAATAAATCTAAACTCTACACCTTTCTACAAAATGACTGCCATTAATTAAACTTCTTTGACTTTCATATTAAAATAATGAAAGAAGTCAATGTTGAGAATGTAATATATCTTTAAAGTATTCTCATTGTGCAAAGGGGGAAATTATATCATCAGAGAAGTATTCACTATCTGTGAGACAACAGCGCACAAGTTCACAATATCCATTACAAAATGTCTCTGTCATATTGGTTATATGGGCCCTTCACTATAATAGTTTGACATTTATAAGTATTCCACATAAGAAAATAGAATAGGAAGTATAATTTCAAATATATGTTTTCTTCTTCTGTGATTACTTATATTTAATACATTTTAAAATCTGAGTTTTTCAAAGGAAAAAATAAGCAAGTTAACAATAAATGGGAAGTAAAATCTTGATAAGGGAGAACTAAAATAAACAGCTTATGGGTGAAGAGACATAACAGCTTAGAGGTAAACTGATTATATTAAAATAAGTATATACTTTTTTTATTATTATTATACTTTAAGTTTTAGGGTACATGTGCACAATGTGCAGGTTAGTTACATATGTATACATATGCCATGCTGGTGTACTGTACCCATTAACTCGTCATTTAGCATTAGGTATATCTCCTAATGCTATCCCTTGCCCCTCCCCCACCCCACAACAGTCCCCAGAGTGTGATGTTCCCCTTCCTGTGTCCATGTGTTCTCATATACATGTTTTTAAGTTCATTAAATTGATTTTGTCCCACAAATTAAAACTAAGTATCTACAAAAATGCGTACATTTACTCCACGAAATTCTCAGTAAAAAAAATGCCTTGCAAACAGAATAGCATAAACACACAAGAAGTGTAGTTTACATGGAGTTATTTAGCAGAAACAAGAATGTCAGTCACTTCTCCACCTGACCTTGTAAAGGAGTGAAAATTAGGTGCTTAATTGATTATGTGAATTTCATTTCCTGTCTCTTCCAATCCCAATCCTTGGTAGAAAGTGCTAATGAAAAATGAAATGACTAGAGGGTGAACTGCAAGAAAGAGGAAAAAAAGTGTGGTCAATGGTTAATCACAAATTAAATTGCGCTTTTTTTCAGCTGCCTTCCATTGACTTTCTGAAGTAAAATTGATCTTAAGTTAAATCACTGTTTTCTAACTGTGAGTACCCTAAACATTTACTTTAGTGGAGATTTCTGCAGAACTATTTATTGGATTCCACTGATGTTCAAAACTTTTAAATGGAATTTATTAGGTTGAAAGTCATTATTTAATGTTTCTCACCCAGAATCTTGTGACCTTCCAGGTTATTATATGTTTGGCAGGGTATTTTTAATTAAAGAAAACTAAGTGCTGTTTATAAGATAGTTATCAACTGCAACAATATTAATACGCTAATCAAAAAGTTGAATCTTATTAGACTTTCCAGAAGAAAAAACTGATAAAAATATATTTACAAGATATAGAACATAATTATATTTTTCCCAAAATGATAAAACATAGCAAACTAATTTTAAAATAATTGTAAGCAGATTTGTAGCAGTTTCAAACCAGTGCTATAATTGCACAGTGTATTGTTAAAGGTTTAATTCAAAATAGTCACATTTCTTGAATAGGTATGTAAACAAGCTCAGCATACATAATATGTAAATCTAAATATTCTAATTTCAAAAGTGAAATAATTTTGTCATCATTTTAGTAGGAAAAATTTGTATGTGCATGTTTTATTGTGTAAGTACAGAGCCCACACACATGCTCAGCACTTACTGCTCTGGTACTACTTTTGCACACTTTTTCTCCAGTGTGACTGACTACTGATAGTACTTTCCAAGTACCTACTCCTAGTTAATGCTCTTCAATGAACTTTTTAAACTTTAATTTATTAACTTTTTACATTTATTTTTATTTATAATTGACACATAACAATTGTACATCTTTGTGGAATACAATGTGATGTTTTGATGCATGTATGCATAGTATAATGATCAAATTGCAGTAATTACCATATCTTCACTTTAAACACATCATTTCTTTATGGTGACAATATTCAAAATCTTCTTTTCTAGTTATCTTGAAATATACGATACCTTGCTTTTTGCTTCTGTGTAATAGAAAACCAGAATTTATTCTTCTTTCTAACTTATTACCAGTGGATTAACCTCTGACAGTCCTCTCCTTTCTCTAACCCTCCACAGACTCTACTAACTATTCTGCTCTCTACTTTTATGAAACCAAGTTTTTTAGATTCCACACATGAGTTAGATCATGCAGTGTTTGTCTTTCTATGTCCGGCTTATTTCACCTAACATAACGTTCTCCAGGTTAATTCATGTTGTGGCAAATAACAGGACTTTATTCTGTATTGGGGCTGACGACTTTAAGGAGTGATTGTCATTCTCCCTTTTGCATATTTTATTTTCTCTTGAAAGTCTTACATGGCTACTATATAATGATGATTTAGTGTGTAAAGCATTTCTCCCATTATATTTAAAATTCAGTTTTCCAAACTTGAAACTAACTGAAAATAAGATTAAATTCCATGTTTTAATCATTGTGCTGGTAAAAAGGTTGTGCTCTTGATGTTCTTTAACATATTCTGTTACCTTTCATTTGTTGTCAAAGTTTATTGAAAGGAAAACAATTTATATTTTTTATTTTCACAAAAACAATAGTTTACTTGAGTCTTGGACAATAATATAACTAAGCATTTGCATATACATATAATAGAAATTTTATCTTTAAAAAGCTACTGGCATATTAAGCACATTACACATTAATATAATTGTTTTGATGAAGAGAAAGGCAGGACTAGTCTATTTACCAATCCAAGGCATTTAAATTATATAGCAACTAATACGAAAAATCACACAACAATGTTCATTATCTACTTTTCTTTTACTTTGAATCTCATTTTATTAAAATCAGAACACAAATGTGATTTTCAAAGTACTTAATGTAATAGAACAATTTTGGAACACTTTTAAAAAGGGAAATATACAATTTGTATAATACTAGAAAACTTTTCATTTTTACACACTTTATATTTCAAATATGATATTGCTATGAAGCCATAATAGTTGATCTTCATTTAATGACACAAAACATCAATTTGTAGCTTTAAAATTTTATTTTGGAAAAATCCATTTTAATAAATGTTATTTAACAAAAAGATTGTAAATACACTTAGGAAAATATATTCTTTTGTGTTTATTTGTATTACTATAATGAATTACATGGACAGAAGCACTTTAGCCATAATGACCAAAACTTTCAGAATGGCCTTAAATAGAATTTCAAAACCAACCACCTTATGTTACAGAAGATTTTGTAAATAGAATTTCAAAACCAACCACCTGATGTTACAGAAGATTTTGTAAAAATATTATTTTCTTTATAATTGCAAATAAGTACTCATCAGAAGCATTTATTTTCACATATGTGAATATAAACAAATAACTATGAAAACGTACCTATAAAATCAGAGTTGCCAACTACAAATTGCTGCTTCAACCTCTCATTCTTTGAGCACATGACAAAATGGCAAGACATTGGTGTTTTCCAAAACTAAGCTTTGGTCCTATGCCCTTGTGGGTACTATCTGTTGCTTATTGAATGCAGCATAAACTCTTTGGCTTCCCCCGAGGCTCTCTGTGCTCTAAGCCCAGCTTATATGTTTAACCATGTCTTTAAACAATTCAGTGCCTACCGTCTGCCAGGAATTACAATATGTTTTATGTATTTAATGGTGTCCATGCATTAAACCAAACACAGCTGCTGTATAATAGACACAATGGTGTAAGGTTACGTTGAGTTTCCCCAAATAATAAATGTTTTAATTGAAAATTGACTGATGATGAGTTCCTTTCCTTTCTTCGGTCTCCTGTAAAGTAATCCTGAAAATATCTAAAGTGTTTGTATGCACACTCACCAGGAATTTATGTATGTTTAATTATAAGAAACAGTACATAACAAATATGACTTAGCTACATTACACATAAATTCTTAAATTGGTGGCAACTACAATTTGCACAACTCAATCACCTGATCTTCAGCAGTTCTTTCCTAGGTGTAGCTTTGCTATGGTTTTCAATGTTTTTGTTTTTAACACTACTTAATGCTCTGATTTCTCTCTATTCTCAGACCCACTCTTAATACAGGATTATTGAGTTAACGATTCAGATGAATAAGACTAGTTACAAATTGTACATCACAAACACTGTATCATTTAATATTTTCAAACAGAGCATGATTTCATTAATTTGCCCCTATGATCTTACTTAATCCTCAAATCAACCACATGAGCTGACCAATATTTTCATCCACATATTATAAATGAAACCAGTGAGATACAGTGACTTACATGGTATTGCAACTCCAAAAATGGTGAAGCTGTAACTTGAAGTCAGTTAATTGTCAAAGCCAATGCCTAAGCGCTGATATTGTCTTTCCAAACACTTATAGCCAATTCTAGATGCCCAATCTCTAATCAAGCCTTGATTCCTATGTACTCATAGTTGAATGCAGGAACTTTCAAACTGATAATTCATATTTTCATTGCATTATTTTATAGTACATTTATATTGAATGATTCTTTGTCATATTGCTTTATCTGCTTTGTCAGAAGCTTCTGGTGTTAGCATATCTGTATGTTGCATTTATTCATTCTGAGCTCAGTATCTCACTTGCTTCTTTTCAAGGTTATCGGTACTCATTATAGAGTTTAGACATTTGCAATGCAAAGATAAGGCTTAGACATTTTTCTGTAAGTTATTCTAGTTCTGACCATATGAAAACCAAGTAAATGTGGTCATTAGTGGTGTCTTTGTTAGGTTATCATCACATTTTTCTCAGTAGTTAAGTAACAAAATTTTTATTTTATAATCAGATTTCAAAATATTGAATTCAAAATTGCCATTATATATCTAACTATGAATATCTCCTAGAAATTTTCCAAATGCATTTCCTTTTGATTTCCATTTTATAGCTGGCATTTTTTGCCACAGTACTCTGTCAGGTCTTAATATACGCACTATAGGAAGCATGACCTATCATTTCTTCATGTTTGGTGAGTAGCATGAGATGGATGTGGGAAACTTTGCAGGCCAAACACTATTTGGAAGATTATTGGTAAAAAATAAACAAAAACCTACTTTTTGATGGTTTTTCTTTCTTGTATATTTGTTTAAGTTCTTTGTAGATTCTGGATATTAGCCCTTTGTCTGATGGATAGGTTGCAAAAATTTTCTCCCATTCTGTAGGTTGCCTGTTCACTCTGAAGATAGTTTCCTTTGCTGTGCAGAAGCTCTTTAGTTTAGTTAGATCCCATTTGTCAATTTTGGCTTTGTTGCCATTGCTTTTGGTGTTTTATTCATGAAGTCTTTGCACATGCCTATGTCCTGAATGGTATTGCCTAGGTTTTCTTCAGGGTTGCTATGGTTTTAGGTCTTACATTTAAGTCTAAATCAACTTGAATTAATTTCTGTATAAGGTATGAGGAAGGGATCCAGTTTCACCTTCTGCATATGGCTAGCCAGTTTTCCCAACACCATTTATTAGATAGGGAATCCTTTCCCCAGTGCTTATTTTTGTCAGTTTTGTCAAAGATCAGATGGTTTTAGATGTGTGGTGTTATTTCTGAGGCCACTGTTCTGTTCCATTGCTCTATATATTTGTTTTGGTACCAGTACCATGCTGTTTTGGTCATTGCAACAGACACCTCTTAAAAGAAGACATTTATGCAGCTAACCAACATATGAAAAAAAGCTAATCATCACTGGTCATTAGAGAAATGCAAATCAAAACCACAGTGGGATACCATGTCATGCCAGTTGGAATGGCGATCATTAAAAAGTCAGGAGATGCTGAAGAGGATGTGGAGAAATAGGAATGCTTTTACACTGTTGGTGGGAGTGTAAATTAGTTCAACCATTGTGGAAGAGAGTGTGGCGATTCCTCAAGGATCTAGAAGTAGAAGTACCATTTGACTAGCAATCCCATTACTGGGTATACACCAAAAGAATTATAAATCATGCTACTATAAAGACACATGCACAGGTATGTTTATTGCAGCACTGTTCACAATAGCAAAGACTTGGAACCAACCCAAGTGCCCATCAGTGATAGACTGGATAAAGGAAATGTGGCACATATACCATGAAATACTATGCAGCCATAAAAAATGATGACTTCATGTCCTTTGCAGGGACGTAGATGAAGCTGGAAACCATCATTCTCAGCAAGCTAACACAAGAACAGAAAACCAAACACTGCATGTTCTCACTCATAAGTGGCAGTTGAACAATGAGAACACATGAACACGGGTCGGGGGGGCGGGTATCACACACTGGGGCCTGTCAGGGGGTGGGGGGCTGGGGGAGGAATAGTATTAGGAGAAATACCTAATGTAGATGACAGGTTGATGGGTGCGGCAAACCACCATGGCACATCTATACGTATGTAACAAAACTGCACGTTCTGCACATGCACCCCAGAACTTCAAGTATAATAAAAAAAGGAAAAGAAATAAAAATAAACAAAAAGATATTTTCTAATGGTTTTCTAATCCATTTGGAAGCTTTCTTCTCTGATATTTTCATCCTGCATGGATTAAAGAAAATACTGTTTTCTACCTCTGGAGTAAAGCTCAAAACTCACTGGACATTGGTTTAAGTCCACTTTAAACACCCTAACCTTCTACTACTGATTACTTGCATCAGTTTTGCCTATTTAAGGATTATTTTGTAAATTTTTAGAGTATGTATTGTTTCTTAAATTAACTTATTTTGATGTGATTACTTTCTGTGTACAAGGAAGTAATTCTAAAACACATATTTAAACTTTTAAAGGCTGTAATTATAGGCAGACAAATCAATTAGGTAACATGTAAGTAATTTAATAGATCATTAAGTTGCTTGATATTCTCAGCTACTGAAATCTCTGTTTAAATATTTAACTTTAAAATAAACCATGTGGAAATGTTTGCTACGTAAGTCAAAATCGTATACCTTATATACCACACATCAACTAAGCTTCTACAAGGTAATATCAATTCAAAGTAATTTATTAAGAAAAATTACAAAATATACAATAGAGAGAACAACATAATGTGCCCATTGCCCAGCTTTAACAATTATCAACTTGCTTTTCATATGTCCACTTACTTCCTTCTTTTTTTCTTCTGAATTATTAGTGTTATTATTATTGCTATTATTATTTTTCAGATGGAGTCTTGCTCTTGTCACCCAGGCTGGAGTGCAATGGTGCCATCTTGGCTCACTGCAACCTCCACCTCCCAGGTTCAAGCAATTCTCCTGCCTCAGCTTCCCGAGTAGCTGGGATTACAGACTTGCCCCACCACACCCAGCTAATTTTTGTATTTTTAGTAGAGACGGGGTTTCACCATGTTGGCCAGGCTGGTCTTGAACTCCTGACCTCGTGATCTGCCCGCCTTGGCCTCCCAAAGTGCTGGGATTACAGGTGTGAGCCACCGTGTCTGGCTCTTCTGAATTATTTTATTTTGTTTTATTTATTATTTTTGAGATAGGGTCTCACTCTGTCGCCTAGGCTGGAATGCAGTGGAAGACAAGGCTCCTGGCTCAAGCAATTCTCCCACCTTAGCTCCCCAGTAGCTGGAACTGCAAGCACGCACCACCATGTCCAACTAATTTATTTTTTATTTTTTGTAGAGACCAGGTCTTGCAATGTTGCCCAGGCTGGTTTGAACTCCTGATCTCAAGTGACCCTCCACCCTCAGCCTCCCAAAGGGCTGGGATTACAAGCATTAGCCACCATGCCTGACTCTTCTAAATTATTTTGAATAACTATATATATGTGAATATTTTGATATTCATCTCTAAATGTGAATACTCTTACTTTTAAATAACTATTCTGCCAATCTTAATATTTCCCTTATTGTCTCAAATATATTTATAATAATTGGTTTGGCCAAATTAATAATTAAATAGGAATAAAGATTTAAATGAGTTTACATTTCTAAATCTCTTTAAGTTCTTCATTTATCCTTCTCATCTTTGTTTTTTTCATGTGAGTGATTTGATGAGATAATGTATCAAAAGATTTTAGTTTGCTGATTATATGTCCATGGTTTCCTTTATATACCTCTTTTTCTGATTTCCCTGAGTATTAGCAGTCAGATTTAGGTTTCATTAGATTCAAGTTTGAAATTTTCCTATGAATATTTCATAGAGAGGTGTATTTTCCCCAGGAGACTCATAAAGTCTCTTTCGGTGATAGTATAAGGAATTGATGATCCATTATTTTATTAGTGCTTGTAAAGTGAAGTTCTGTCACGCAGGCTTCAATTGTTAACTGGATCATTCCATTAAAAATATGCCCTTACACTGAGGTAAAATCTGTATAGAAAAGGCTGGATAAGTGCTTGCTTCTTTTCATGTATTTACCAGTTTTCAATCTAATGACTTGGTTTATCAGCATTATCTAAACATAACTAAGGAGTTTTTTTTTTAATTTGTTTGTTTCAATTAGTTCCAGTTATTATTCTCATTAATGTTCAAATCTCTTCTTTGTCCAGTGACAGCCTTTTCACATTGGTACCTGAGTATTTTTTTATTATATTACCTTGGTGGTAATAATAGCTTTTCTTCTTTCTATTATGACAAACAAGTATGCCAGGCTCATCTTATGTATTTACTTACCCAGCCTTTGAATGAGCCATTTCAACCAAGAGCATGGACTCATTTCAGATGGAAATGATATACAGAACCCAAAATATGGAGCTAGAACTGCTCTTTTCTATGGAGTCTTTTCAATAGATAGAAGAAACAAGTATTTTTAAAATTAAAAAATTAATATATACAGATTTCTCCAATTCAAATTCAAAACTAGTGTTTTCACATAATATCATTAACTTTATATATGTGTCTACTTTCTCCCACACAAAAATCCAGTAGGACTCCTCTCTTCAAAATTCCAGGTAGATGAATTTACAAAGAGAAAGATACTTATAATGAGACTGCTGTCTGCTTATATTATTTTAATAGACTTTAATTTTTAGAGTGGTTTTATATTTACAGCATGCACCTATAGTCTCAGCTACCCAGGAGACTGAGGCAGGAGAATCATTTGAGCCTAGGAGTTTGAGGCTGCAGTGAGCTATGACCATGCCACTGCACTCCAGCCTGGATAACAATTATATATATATATATGTGTGTGTGTGTGTGTGTGTGTGTGTGTGTATGTGTATATATATAAAAATTAAATATATACACACACACATATATATGTAAGTTACACACATACACACAGCAGAATGGTACATTTGTTACAACTGACAATTGATAAATCTACATTGACAATATAATTAACAAATCTGTAGTTTACATTAGAGTTCACTCTTTGTACTGTACATTCTATGGATTTTGACAAACGTATAATGAAATGTGCTCACCATTATTGTATCATACAGAATAGCTTCAGTGCCCTAAAACTCCTCTGTGCTCCACTAGTTGATCTCTCCCTTCCTCCTAACCCCTGACAATTATGATCTTTTTACAGTCTCCATAGTTTTGCCTTTTTCAGAATGTCATATAATTGGAATCATATACTATGTAGCCTGTTCAGATTGACTTCTTTAACTTAACAATACACATTTAAAGTTACTTCATGTCTTTTCATGACTTGATAGCACATTTCTTTTTAGTGCTGAAAAATATTCCATTGTCTGCTTACATTATTTTTCATTTTAAGCATGACCTAGAATCCAATTGTGTTTCACATACTGGATTTGACTGTTACATCTTTTATTCTTGCCCAATCTAAAATACTTCATCCACCTTTCTTTGTTCTTTACAGTATTGTTTATGCTGAATGTTTCTGGAACACTGTCCTAGAATATGCCCTGCTTTTTGTTGTTTTCTTATGGCTTCCTCATGATTTGATCAATGTTGAACTATTCTGGCCAACACTGCATAAGAATGGTGAATCACATCAAAAGAGTCATATTGTCATGCTATGGGGCTATTGGCAATACCATATTTAGACATTTATGTAAGTTGGTTACTGTGAGACCTCTTAATAAAGCTAATCTTCACCTTTGTAATTAATAGGCAAATAGTGAGATTATAATTTGAGACTGTTGGAATTACCTATTTACCTAAAACTTTCAACTCATTTTGGCATCAACTGAGGATTCCTGCCCAAGCCAATCATTATGTGGGGGTTACAAGATGGTATTTTTCTAATTCTATTATTTCTTCTATGTATATTAGCTGATGTAGCTGACATTCCTCTGAAAGAACAACTTTCCATTGTCAGAATTTTATCTATCTTTCATTTATTATCACTAAATCTGAGGGACTTTTATGTAATCAGCTAGTTAAAATTCATTACCCTCAATATCTCATTATAAGTTTTGGTGCTCAATTTCCTGGATTTCTTTTTGATACATTGTTCAATTACCCTTTAGGAAATTTCTTAAAATGAAAAAGCAAGTGAAAAATCCTAATAAAAGATGAGAATGAAAAAATAAAAATTCTAAATTTCTCTTTTGTCCAATGTCCAAAAAAGATTCTTGTGGCTAGAACATCCTGAGGTTGACTAGAACATGATGGAAGATAAAGCTTGTGATTTAGGATGACACAGATAGCATAGAACCTTGCCACTCAAGCTAAGATATTTGAATGCTGTTAGTAGTGTATAGGGAGGTTTATAAGAGGGCAAGGTCATTATGGCATTTGTATTTTAAAATGTCCCTTTTACTCTTCTTTACAGATTGGGAGATAATTGATTAGAGGTGTTAGCAGCAAATGAAAATAGAGATAAACAGATTTGAGGTGTGTTTTGAGGTGAAACTGAAAGTATTGGCTGATAGATTCAGTGTGGGGGAGAGGGAATGGAAGGACTCAAGAATGATGTTTACTTTTGTTTTCATGAGCAATGGGGTTGCTAAGACTGAAAGAAACAGATTGTGGGGTGACGAAAGAGAATCAAGATTCTAATATATGCAGTTTAAATTTTCGGTGCCTAAAAAAATATCCCAAGTAACGACGTGAACTCTGAAAATTTCCAATGTAGAGATAAAAGTTTGAAATTTATCAGAATAGATATAACATTTAAAGCCATGTGACGAGGTGAGATGACCTAGAGAGAGGCACAGATTGAGCGAAGTGCCTTGGGAAACTCCAAAATGTAGTAAAAAAGGAGAAGCCAGGAAACCAGTCAGAGAGGAAACACCAAAAAAAGTGAGAGATCAACTAACAATCTCGAATTCTTTAGTTTGCTAGATATTAAAAATAAGACCAGTAAAATTTTACATTCATTTGAAACATCAAAATGTGATATTTAAGGTTAACATTAAGGCCCCTACAGAAAGCATTTCACCTTCATATTTTAGATATCATCTACAACTTGGTTTATCAAGTGATATTTGTTAAATACTAAAGTGTACACAATTCTTATTTATCAACATTTTTGTTTTTGGCACTTTAAAATTATGTAATTTTGATGTGCAAAACTGTATTATATCCATCATTACAACTGTTAATATATTCTCACTCTCACTATTATCAGCTAATTGATTTTTATGGAGGAAGAAGTCTGCAAAGAGCAATTTTGGAGGAGATTTGGAATCATCTGAGAATAGTAAGCTTTTGTTTTAAGTTTAACCACACCATCACAAATATCCTGAGAGATAATTTTAAAGCTTAAAATGAAAATTGCTCCTGGGCTGAAAGCTCATATGCCAAGTGAAATTTCACTAAAGTAGGAGTTTGTAAGTGCTGACAAGTTCTTAACTACAGCGATGCTAAAAACATTACTATTACAAGAACACAACAGAAGCTATTAGAGCTCTCAAATATACTCTTCAGTGTTCACTTACTAAAGTAAAGTACAAATATGCAACAAGAGAATGAAAGAGGTGTTATTTTTCAGAGGGAAAGGCTATTGAAATTTTTAAAGTCACTTTGGGATATTACAGGAATTCATCACATGATAGAAGAGTTTCTTTTCTATTCATGGGGGGCAGGGCAAAACAGAAAATCTGTGATGACACAGAGCTTTCTAAGACTCTGTTGGACTTCATAAACATTATATCGTTTTATTAAAAGTGAACATCTGGCAGTTTAATGTCCCACCATACTGGGATATAATACAAACTTAAGGGCTCTTCTGATTTCCTGTTATGAGGTTAATTTAGTAATTGCAAGCACAAGCATATATAGGAAATACAGTACTTAGAAAAGTGAATCATTGATTGGCACATTACTTTCTGTGAAACAGTAATCATTTTTCATCTCATCTGTATTAATTTCAAAAGAGCAGTCTTAGCTCTTTTGTCAGAAAGGCAAGTCTAATAACAAGTATGCTATCCTCATGTTACGAAATATTTCCCCATTGCCATTATTTAGAAATTCTGAGTTAGAGCTCAGCATTTTATTCCTTGTAAGTCAGAATGAACTGAGTGTCTATCTCTGAAACTAGTAAGCATCTATCTTACCTCAGTCTTGTAGTCCAGAAAGAGATTTATTTTAGGCTTATTATATGCTTTTGGCTCATTATGCTCTTAGTGTTACCACTAACCTCATTCATTTTTTGATAATATTTCCATGTAGAAATTATATTTCCCTTTAATAAATTCACCAACACAAAAACACATAAACAAAATTGTTTTTTACCTCTTTATGTTTAGGACTTTTGATTTATAGTTAGGTAATATCCTAAATCCTCAAATCCTTTGCACAAAACTGCAGACTTCCCCCAGCTAACACAAGTAACACAGGTTTATTTTAGCAGAACTGGGAATGGAAACAATTTCTTGGCATAAAGTACTCAAACATAGAATTTTGGACAAAATAATAGGGCAGTGGGGAATAAATTTTGGAGATAGGAGAAGATTTTTGCTGCTTCTTAAGTTACTATAGAAAAAAAAACCCTACATACGTTAGCATCTCCCTTTCCACCAACTCTTTCTTTTCAGATTGTAAACATATTCAGACCTATCATTTTCTCCCATGCTAACAAATAAACAAACAAAATATTTTCCCGTACTGCTTTTAATTTCCGAACTCTGAATTTCACTTCCAGACTAGTTTCCAAATTTCTTATCAATTTTTAATATTTTTGTTCCTTAATAAACTACAAGTTCAATAAGTCAACAATGCCTATAAATCCTATTTATTTACCACTTTGTCTGTACTTCTGTCTCCCTGGATTTGCAGTTTTGTCTTCCTCTTTAGTTGCAGATTCATCTGTGGACTAAGTTGTGATAGCCTTTCAATGAAAATCTCAAATGCCTAAAACAGTACCTGGGTCACAGATGATACTCAATAAATATAGGTCATCAGTGCAGTTGTTTATCCAAGAACACTTTTTAATGATAATTTTGGCTTGGTAAGTGATGTATACTTCCAATCTTTATAACCATTCCTAAAAGTAGATATTCTACCACTTAATTTTAGATGAGAAAACTCATCTAAAGAGTTAGAGATCTAAGTGACTTAATTAAGGGCACATACGAATAACTAGACCGCATCTTTGAATTCAGTTTAGTCTGACTCTAGTCCCTATTTTCTTTATAAAATACCATGCCAGTAGAAAATAACGGTATAGGAAAGAAGGAAAAAAATGAATCAGTGTTGTTGTTTTCAAGTACCTTAATCACTGTTTGCAATTGTTTCCTGCACACCTCCAACACCTATTTGATGTTGCTGAGTCTTTGAATTTAAACGGTTTCTCTGCAAGGTAAATTAACTATCACCAGAGTTGGCCTACATTTTTTGAAAGTTACTGGTTATTGGATTTGAATTTCATGTTAACTAATCTGACCTAGCCATATTCAATTTCATTACCCTACATGTTCTAATGAATGAGTTTTCCTCATGCAACGATATAATTTGCAAAGTTTTTTGTCTGGTTTTGTTTTGAGTTAACATGACACACTGCTCCCCTCTATATTGTTGAATGGAGATTTTGATATTGATGAACGTCATAATATTATATTTCAAATTTGTTGATATAAAAATGTCTATAACTTTTTTAACATTATGTTTGCAAGAAATGGATTAAATTCTGAGAGGAAAGGGGAGAATATTATAAAATATAATTATAATGTAAAATAAACCTTTTAAATTGATATGGAGATGGAGTTTTGTTTTGTCTAGACAACAGATATATTATAGATAATGACTAAAGAGAGGTCAGTGTGGTCTCAGTAAAGAAAGCAATTACTTTGTGTATTTGTTAAGTAACATCTGGTTTATTCCAAATCAGCTGTAATGGCAAATCCTTTAAATAGAGTGTCTTATTTTTATAACAATCATTAAAGCCTATGACTAAAGATTATATGATTACATTTTTGCACCTTGAATATTTTAGAAGGCACAAAAGCCAAATAAATGTTTTTGAGAACTGACACTTCTACCAAAGGAAGTGCACATTGAGAGGAATTTCACTAAGCAGATGAAGTGTATGAGAGGGAGACAACTCCAGTTGGAGAAGACAGCAGGTGCTAACACACATAACATTACAAAACAGCATCTACAGAGCCTTAGAGGTCCTCAGTGTCCCTATAAAATAGAGCCAAAGGACAGTGATCAGGAGAAAAAGGGCTAGTGTGGTTAAGTTAGAAAAATAAACAGAGGTCAAAACATGAAGGGCTTTATAAATCAGGCAGAAGTTGTGCAAAGTCAATGTGTGCAGGAATCAAGCAATTTGGGCAAATATGAGATCCTGGAATGTAAGGGAAACAGGAGTGTTGGCCCCTGTCAAGGTAGACAGACCAAAAGATATTCAAATTCTGTTCAAAACAGAAAAAACAAAAATCTGTTCCTGTCAAGCAAACACACTTCTTGGCAGTCTTTGGCTTGTCAGAGCTAATATCTGTAGAGCATACTACTATGGAGAGATATTGAAATATTTCAAATAGTGTAGTGATGCAGGACAGACAAGCCCCCAAATTGAGGCTTAACCCAGGAGGGTTCTTGGCTTCACCCAGGAAAGAATTCAAGGGTGAGCCAGTGGTGTTAAACAGCAACTTTTATTGAAGCAGCAGTGCACAGTAGCAGCAGGTACTGCTCCTTGTGGAGCAAATATCCCATAGGCAGAGTACTCTGTGCCCAGAGTAGCATCTCAGAGGCATTTCTGCAGTCATATTTATGCCCACTTCTAATTTTTTTGCAAATTAAGGGACCGTTTAAAAGGAATTTCTAGGACGAGTGTGGTAATTTCTGGGTAATCAGGTTGTTGCCCTGGAAAGGAGGTGTAACTTCCAGGTGTTGCCATGGCAATGGTAAACCGATGTGGCACACTGGTGAGTGTGTTTTATGGAAAGCTGCTTCTGCCCTTGACCTATGTTAGGTAGTCCCCAGTTTGGTCTGGTATTCGAGCTCTACCTCAGGAGTAGAGTACTGCCTCCTAGCTCAACAGGATCAGTGTTATAGGTTGGAAAGGTAACTGAAGCAGCAATACAGAGGTTGAGAGGGAAGGATTACATTAGAGATTATGAGATAGCTATACTACAATTTTTATAGTCAAGGATGATTAAGGCTTGGTCTGGAGTATTGGCAGGCAGTATGTAGTGGAAAGGATATATTGGGGAGGAAGTAAAGGGATTGCACTGAAAAAATGTTAATTATCCATTGAATGTGGGGTGAGGGGGAGTCTGAAAAATTAGGATTTAGCATGGGTATCTGTATGGATAATGACAGTGGAAAATTGGAAGGAGGAAGGCAAGCATGTTATAAGGTAAGAAAATAACAAATTCACTTTAAAAATGCTGTTTGAAGTCCTATAGGGCACTTCTGTGGAGGCAATTTTTAACAAGGATATAGAGCTTATATGAGTTTTTTGGCTTAGTATATATATTTGAGAATCATCAGCTTATAAGACATAATTAAAACAAAGTCCTAAATAAAATGAATAGTGATTGAGAAAAGAGCAAAATATCGAGAACTTATTTATAAACCTACTAACAGATGTACTTTTAATTATTGCCTTCTGTTTGAAACTTTATTTGTAATACTAGATTTTCTAAAATTTAATTTTTTAATTTCTTTTCCATTAACTGGAATTTTAAATGATTCATTTTATTATAAATAAGCGAATTGCTGGTGCTTTAATAATTTTATCACTCGGTTTTTTGGTGTTATAATAGTTGGGATTCTCCAGAGAAATAGACTATAGAACCAAAACAGGCAGAGATAGAGAGGCACACAGAGAGAGAGATTAGGTATTTTAAGGAACTCCCTCACATGTTTTTAGGGGCTGGCAAGTCCAAAATCTGTAGGGTAGGTCAGCAAGCTGGAAACGCCTTGAGCATCCCACAGAATGTTGCCATGACCTTTGCTGTTGACGGGTCTGCTTTTGCTTTGACTGGACTACTTCTGTCTCTTGGTAGCCATTGCTTTGATTGTACTTTGCCTTCAAGATCATACTAGTAAAGCCTTCTGTTGTTTCAGCTCTTTGAAGATATACTTCACGATCTTGACCCCACTTCTTTAAAATGTCCGTGGAAAGGTCTGCTGTATTGGGCAACTTATCTGGGTGCAACAATATTGACACCCATTGACTGAAAAGTTTGCTCAACTTCAATTTTCAGTCAGAATTGTGTAAGCTGAGACAATTGAGATATTTGCGGTGTTGGCTATTGTTTGTGTTTTTAATTGTCAGTCCTTTTAAATTAGGGCACATACAACATGAGTTTTTTTATTGAAAATGAGGTGGATGGTATGCTGCTGTAGGCTTCATCTTTAACATTGTCTCTTCTCTTCTTAAAATGAGTTATACATTTATACACTGCTGCTTTCTTTGAGGCATTGTTCCTACAAACTTTTTGTCAAGCATAAACTATTTCACCCTTCTTCCACCCAAACTTCACTGTAAATTTGATGCTTTTTCTTGCTTCAATTTTAGCAGAATTCATGTTGTTCTGATACCAGGTCTTTTCAAATTGTCTTATCCTTCTGGGTGCTACTCAGAAGATACTAGATCTTCTTCAGACATGTCATAACAAAGTTAGTATAAATTAATTTTGGTGCATGGCTTTTTTAATAATATGCATTTTCAATGTAATTTTTTACTATTGATTTTATATGTGTGTATATATATATACATATACACACATATGCACACACAATACAATTATATGAATATTGGCAGTACATCTGTTTATATAGTTCTAAACTAGTAGCCACCTAAATGTCCATCAATGGGTAAATTGACTAAAAACTCGTGGTGTAAGCACACAAAGAAATGCTATCAATGCATGTAACAACAAAACAAGTGTTACGCTAAATGAAATAGGGCAGACACAAAGATCTGTGTGTGAGTCTTTGAGTAGGAAATTCTTATAAGTGGCAAAATTGTAGTGACAGAAGGTAAATTAGTGCTTGCTAGTGGCTGAGCATGAAAATTAATAACAAATAAAAATTAGTAAGCCCTGCCTGTATTTGCATTTTTGCTTTTCTTGCTTTACTTCCCTTTTCTGGGAGTAATTTTTGTCCTGTATAATAAATCTTTGTCTTATTCAAGGCCATGATGATTTTTAAAATTTGTTTTCTTCTAGAGTTATTTTTATCTTAATTCTTTCAGTTACTTTTATACTTTTATAATTTAACTTGTGCTTATGGCTCTTACTCATTTTGAATTGTCATTGTATATAGTGTGAGAAAGAGATCAAAGAGTTTTTTTTACTGTTACTTTGTCATGTTTTTTTTTCTTTTTTTTTTCTTTTAGGTTATTGAGTCATTTCAACACCATTTGTTGAAAAATAAAAAAGATTAACCTCCATATTGAGTTACCTTGGCATCTTTTTTCAAAGTCTATTGATCATGTACATTTAAATCAATTTCTTGACTCTACTTTGTCTGATGGGTCAGTTGTCTATTCTTTTGAAATTCCCCAAATTATAGTGTATATGATAATCTTATATTAATTTTTAAATTCCATTAGCTTAATTAATTGCTGTTTCAAAAATAGTTTTGGACATGTTCTATCCTTACGTTTCCACATAAATACTATAATTAAATTGACGATATTTCCAAGCAGCTTGATTTATTTAACTGTCCTATTGAAGTATAATTTACATAACATAAAAGTCACCAAGTTTAAGTGAATAGTATGATAAATTTTTAGTTAGTTGCAGGATTGTGCAATCATCATTCCATCACTGTGTAATCTAGTTTTAGGACATTTGGAGTCTGAGGGGATTTTGATTGGCATAGCATTGAATCAATATAGGTATTTAGAGAGGATGGACATCTTAACAAAAGTGAGTCTTTCAATCAATAGAATAAGAGAAAAAGAGATGGTAGTATATTCTTTACTCTTTAAGCAGAATTTACCAAACTCTATTCTGTGACATATAAGATTCCTAAAACATATCAATAGGCATTTAGTAATAAGACAATGTATCAAACAAAGTTACCAGGTTTCTTTACTAAACAATTGCTATTAAAAAATTGTTTCTGTAAAAGACAAAAACTCACTTGTCAGAAGCTGAGTTATGCAAATTTAATTTTGATTAGTTCAAATGTACCGCACACTCCAAGTATGTGGAACTGTGGAAATGGGATGCTCAATTATTGACACAGTGTTAACAGAGAAGGGAGAACAATACATTTCATCCTTTCATCCTTTGTGTTCTTCGGCTGTCCATGAAATTATGTTTCATCTTAATGCATTTTAGGTGCTCAGCATTCTGGTAACCATTCAACCTTCTTTCTCATAATTAGTTTCCCACTCCTTCCAGGCTAATCAAAGACTGAAATGACTAGTACCTTTGTGAGCAGCTTTGGAAGTTGGGATGAATCCTGGAAAATAAATTGAATGAAAATGTAAACTAAAAATAAAATTCAAAGTTTCCCCCACCAACCTTCTGAATGAACTTCCTCCTCGGCCAGAGTCTTCTAAAATTTAGTCTGAGAGACTGTTTCAGGCCTTGCTGGGAAGTAGGGGTCAAACATGCCTCACTATACCTCTCTGGCACTAACATCAACACAGACTTTAAGTCTGATAAGAAACATTTTACAACCTATTATCTCTGAAGCCTAGTACCTAAAGGCTTCCTCTGCAAATAAAAACTTGGGTCTCCATAATCCTTTATCTCAACCTAGGCATTCATTTCTATTGATCCCAGGTCTTTAGATAAATTCAACCGTCAACCAGAAACATTTTAAATCTACCTATATTAGATTTGTGCCTCCCCACCTCCACCCCCACTTCGAGTTGTCTCACCTTTCTGGACCAAATCAATGTATTTCTTTTTTTTTTTTTTTTTTTTTTGAGACGGAGTCTCGCTGTGTGGCCCAGGCGGGAGTGCAGTGGCGCAATCTCGGCTCACTGCAAGCTCCGCCTCCCGGGTTCACGCCATTCTCCTGCCTCAGCCTCCCGAGTAGCTGGGACTACAGGCGCCCACCATCACGCCCGGCTAAATTTTTTTGTATTTTTAGTAGAGACGGGGTTTCACCGTGTTAGCCAGGATGGTCTCGATCTCCTGACCTCGTGATCCGCCCGCCTCGGCCTCCCAAAGTGCTGGGATTACAAGCGTGAGCCACCGCGCCCGGCCATCAATGTATTTCTTAAATGAGTTTGATTGAAGTCCATGTCTCCCTAAAATCCATAAAACCAAGCTACACCCTGACTACCTTGAGCACATGTTCTCAGGACCTCCTGAGGGCTGTGTCATGGGCCATGATCAGTCATTATTTGGCTCAGATTAAATCTTTTCAGTATTTTACAGTGTTTGACTTGTTTCATCAACAGAAGCAAAATGTGTCAATTTTTGAATTGATTTTTATAATCTTACAGAATTCTCTTCTACTTGCCAAGATGATTGTGGAAAGCATGTTTCAAAATGGAGCCTGTCTTAGCCTGTCTCTTCAAAATAAGACTGCTAAGAACAATAATGAGCAAAGCCTAAGACAACCTTCACTAGGAAAGTAGTGTGGAAAAAAAATAAATTTGCTTTTATGTTTAGTTACTGAATTTTCGTGTGTGAGAGAAAGGATATGTTTACTGTGTTACAGCCTAGCTCCCATAACTCATATAGTCCTCTAAATTTCCTATTATCTATAAAGATCTGCCTTATGGCTTCAAGTTTATTTGTTTCATGTCCAACAACTGTCTTGGGGAAAAGAAAAGTTTTAGATGCTTTCTCAAGCATCAGAAGATGCTTCCTGATGTCTGCAAATCAGAAGGGCTGCTCTAAGACACATGTACAGGAACCACTGAGTCAAACCATTGCTCTTCTACAACTTGGACATGGGGATACATTTTGGATAGCAAGGCCTCGTTATCCTCTGCCTTCAGATCATTCCAAATTTTCAAGATATAGTGGAACACCTCTTTCCAAAGACACATATGACATTAGGTTTTATTTATCTCTTGTCACAACACTTTTCAAAAGTTAATTAATTAGTTTGATTTAATTTTTTATCAATTCTATAATCACAAATGAGAAATATATGACTCAGCATACTTTGGTTCACAAGCCAACTTGGTCTGCCTCCTTTTTTTAAAAGTTTTATTTTGAAATATTCATGAACTCACTGGAAGCCACAAAGAGAGTACAAAGACAAACTGTATATCCTTCATCCAGATTACCCCAGTGTGATAGTTTAGATAATTACAGTAAAATAGCATATCCAGGACATTGATTGGGAGAATATTACCAACTAAACTACAGACTTTAATGAGATTTACCCAGTTTTTGCATGCATTTATTTGTTTCTATATGTATGTGTGTGTGTGGATTGTTCTATGAAATTTTACCACATGGTAGATTTATATACCTACCACTACAAATAATGAAGACATAAAACAGTCCCAGCACCATAAATATAAATCTCATACTGTTTATATTCATAACCACTTTTTCTCCATCCCTACCTATTGGAAAGCACTAATCTGCCTCCATCTTTCAATATTGTCAATTTTTAAAATATCATATAATTGAGATTATTTTTATACAACCCTTAAAAAAAATCAGTCTAATGTATTTGAAATCCATCCAAGTGAAGTGTTCCAATATTTTGCTTCTTTTTCTTGATAACTTGCTCTCCATGGCATGGAAATACCACAGGTTATTAAACCATTCACCTGTTGAAGGACAACTATTTTTTTCATTTTATTTTTTGTTATTTCAAATAACTACTACGAACATTTTTCTGAACATAAGCTTTCACTTTTCTGGGATAAATGCCTAGGAGTGTGATTATTTGGTCATAAGATAATGTGTATTTAATTTTATTTGAAAATGCCAAATGATTCTTCAGAGGGACTGTAGCATTTTACATTTTCACCAGCAGTATATGAGAGATCCAGTTTATTCACATCCTCTCTATCATGTGTTTTTGTTGTATTATTTTTTAATATTAGTCATTCCAATGGATAAGTAGTTTCTCTCATTTCTTATCCACCAGCTGGTCAACTTCAGATGGGAAACTGGCACTTGCATAATGAGACATTTTTTCTCAACTCCATCTTTTGTGCTATAAACTGCATTTACTGAGACATTCTGTTCTGTTTATTACAGTGTTCTAAGCATTATATATATATATGACAGTGTTCTAAGCATTATATATATGCTCAGGGAAAAAGAATACACTCTTCAAAGCAAGGAAACTTTGTTTCCTAGTTTATTTAGTTTGGAAACTAAACTGATTTCTTTCGTGACTCTCCCCTCAAGGGAAGACAAGGGAAGACAAATACTTTGGGTAGCCGCAATGACTTTTAACTCAATGGATAAAGGTCTGAGATAGAGGAAAAATGCATGAGGAGAAAACCTTAATTATAATACTTAATTTTATCTTCCTACATTATTGCTAGTATATACCATGAATGTTCAAGGAGGAGATATATTAACCAAATTAACTATGCTTTTTTGATCACGGAATGCTTTAATACAGAACAGCTAATTAAGCAACTCACAGCGGTATCTTGGGAAATATTTCTGGAGGAGCAATAAAATTAGATGTATTAGTAATGTTTATAGTAGGTCATCATGACATGGAACAATCATTCTCAAACATTTGTTCATTAGAATCATCTCAAGCACTTGCTAAAAAAATACAGACTTCTGAGCTTCAACCTCACAGATTTTGTTTTTGTCTTTGTTTGAGACAGAGTGCCACGCTGTCACCCAGGCTAGAGTGCAGTGGTGCCATCTCGGCTCACTGCAACCTCCGCCTCCTGGACTCAAGCGATTCTTCTGCCTCAGCCTCTCAAGTAGCTGGGACACGGGCTACCACAGCCAGCTGATTTTTGTATTTTTTGTAGAGACAGGGTTTCACCACGTTGCCCAGGCTGGTCTCAGACTCCTGGGCTCAAGGGTTCCTCCCACCTCAGCTCCCAAAGTGTTGGGATTACAAGCGTGAGCCACCATGCCAGGCCTATTATTTTATTTTAATCACAAGTTTTAAACAGTTTGATTTTGATGAGTCTTGGTATAGTTTTCCTGTTAATTCTTATACTTCGTTTTCACTGAATTTATCAAATTTGTTGGTTAATAGTTTTCAGCAAATTTGGATTATTTTGGTCATTATGTCTTTTAATATGTATTTTTCCTTCTACTCTCTCCTTCAAATATTATAATTACATCCCTATCAGGTAATGCTTTTTTGTTATTTGCCTCTTTTTCATTTAGGAGAGTGTCTACTTCTATGTGTACAAGTCCACTAATACTTTCTTCTGAAGTATCTACAGAGTTGTCAGTCCCATATAGGGCATTTTCTATTTCAAACATTTTATTGATATATCTGAATTGGAGCTTTTAAAATATTTCCCATGTCTTTATTTGACATGCTCAATTTTTCATCTAGTTTCTGAATACATAGAACACAATTACAACTTGGTGTTAATAACATGTTTATTTTGTAAGAGTTTTAAATTTACATAAAAGTTGCAAAGATCATACAGACATTTCTTATATACCCACAGGTACATCCAGTGTCTCCTATTATTAACAATTTACATTATATGGCACACTTATTAAAAATAATGAACAAATATCGATACATCACTGTTGAAGTTCATAGTTTATTTATGTTTCCCTAGATTTTAACAAATGCCTCTTTTCTCTTCCAGGATTACAACCAGGACACCACATTACACCTGGTAGTTACGTTCTCTTCGGATCTTCTTGTCTGAAACTATTTCCCAGATGTTTCTTGTATTTCATCATTTTGCCAGTTTTGAGGTTTTGTCTAGGCTTTGTCTAATGTTTTTTTTTCTAATTACTCTGGATATATGTGTTTTTGGAAATAGACAACAAAGATAAAAGCTATTATCATCACATCATATCAAGGATACATTCTATAAAAATGACTTACGGATGCTGACCTTAATTCCATGGCTGATATAGCATATTTTAGGTTTCTCCACTCTATAGTTACTTTTTCTGATTCACCTTTCCCATAGTGTACTTTTTGGAGAAATAGAGTGCAGCCAACACTTACAGAGTGGAGAGATATTTGAGATTATTTTACATAAAAGATGTGTTTTTTGACTTTATTTTCCAAAGACACAAGTCCCTTTTCCCACCATTTATTTATTCATTTTCATATTTTTATGGACTTACAAATATTTATTAAACACATGGGCAAGTAATTTATAATTTACTAATTTTGACCCTAAAGTTATTCCAGCTTTGGCCATTTTGAACTCCTTCGGCTGGCTGTTTTCCCTTTGTTACAATCCCATTATTGTGGGTGTTTTTATCTACTCATTTCCTTAATTTCTGGCACTGAAAAAGCTCCAGGTTCATTATTAATTATTATTATTATTACATTTCTTCCTTGGGTATAGAATCAGCCAATTCTCCAAGAAAATAGTTATCTTATTTTAGATTTTATTAGAAAATATGGCAGTAGAAGCCATAGGTGCTAGGTGTGCCCTTGTTATTGAAGTGTCATATTTTCTAGGCCATCTGGGGTGATAGAGCAAAGATTCATATCTGTGCATATTAACTCATGTGTATACACATATTTATAGGTGCTTCCGTGTGTATTTATAGTAAGCTATAAAAGGAATACATATAATAGATTCACTTCTAATCAATTGCCACATAGATCATTCTAACCTTTTAATTCCTAACTCCTTTTTCAACTATGAGAATTATATTATATAATGTTTAATGCTAGTATATGTGTATAATAGTCTTATAATTTTATTTTACTTTATTTTATTTATTTTTTTATTATACTTTAAGTTTTATGGTACATGTGCACAACGTGCAGGTATGTTACATACGTATACATGTGCCATGTTGGTGTGCTGCACCCATTAACTTGTCATTTACATTAGGTATATCTCCTAATGCTATCCCTCCCCCTTCCCCTCACCCCACAACAGACCCCGGTGTGTGATGTTCCCCTTCCTGTGTCCGTGTGTTCTCATTGTTCAATTCCCACCTATGAGTGAGAACATGCGGTGTTTGTTTTTTTGTCCTTGCGATAGTTTGCTGAGAATGATGGTTTCCAGCTTCATCCATGTCCCTATAATAGTGTCATAATTTTAAACTCATGACTCCTGGGGAAGAAATGTTATCAAATGCAGTATACTCATTGTTTATTGACCGTGTCTTTTGTCATTACTGTTAAAACTCCACACATTTTCAATTACCTAGGTCAATACCTTCCCCTCACCTCCCTCAGTGAGGTGGCTTATTACATTTGTTCTACAGTTAAGTTGTTTTGTCATATTTTGCATTTGATTCAGGGATACCCCTGGGTTCCTAAATAATTATCTTTAATTTTTATACATAATTTTAACTCATTGTTCTGTAAAATTTTATGAATTTTGGTCAATACATAATGTCATATTGCTACCATGACAATGTTTAACAGAATAACTTCACCACTGCAGAATGTCCTGCGCTTCACCACGTCAACACTCTTCTTACCCCTAACTGCTTGACACACACTAATCTTCTTACCATTGCTGTAGTTTTGCTTTTTCCAGAATATAAAATAATTATAATCACATGGTCTTTAGCCTCTTTAGACCGGCTTCTTTCACTTAGTTATATGTTAGGATGGTTGCTAATGAGAAGTCTGATGTAATTCTAATCCTTATTCCTTTATAGGTAGGATGTATTTTTTTGGTTTTGTTTTGCTTATTTTGTTTCATTTTTTTCTCTATTTCAAATGTTGTCTTTTTCTTTTTGGCTTTTAGCACTTTGAATGTTATATCCCTAGATGTAGTTTTTTGTTTTGGTATTTATCCTGTTTGATCTTCTCTGAGATTCCTGGATATGTGCTTCGGTGTGTGTCATTGATTCCGGGAAGTTTTGGGCCATTTTTAATGTCAATATTTCTTTTGCTTCTGTCTCTTTCTCTTTATTTTTTACTAAAATTTTATTTCTGTTATGGCTTTTGAAATGACCCCATAGTTCTTGAATATTCTGTTCTACATTTTTCATTTTTTTCTCTGTACATTTTAGTTTGTGGAGTTTCTATTGCCTTTTTTTCAAGCTCACTGAGTCTTTAACCAGCCATGTCAAGTCTACCACTAAGCCCATGAAAGGTATTCTTCGTTTGTCTTAGTATTTTTGAATTATAACATTTTCTCTTGATTCTTTCTTAGAGTTTTTGCCTCTGCTTAAATTGTCCATCTGCTCTCTCATATTGTCTATTTTTTCCCATTACAGCCCTTAATATATTAATCATAGTTATTTTAAATATCAAATTTTAATTTCTCTATTTTATACTTCTGTCATTTGCAAATTGGCCTCTATTCCTAGTTTTGTTTTTGTATTTTTGCTTCTGTGTGTGTGTGTGTGCGTGTGTGTGTGTGAGAGATATGTGGCATGCTTTTTTTTACCTTTACCACGCCTTGTAATTATTTGTTGAAAGCCAAAATGATGTATTGGGTCATAGAAATTGAAGTAAACAGTCTTTCCGTGATAAGCTTCACATTAATCTGGCAAGAAGTTTTATGTTTAATTTTTGGCATATCTGTAGGTTCCAGTGGCTTCACATTTTCTCTAGTGCCCTGGTTTTCATCTCTCCGGTTGATTCTGGGTTTCCTTAAGTATTCCTCTGAAAGTTGAAGCTGTAATCTGATATTATTGTACTGGAGCCCTGTTTCTCCATTGCTAAGGTACATGTGGGAGAAAGTATTTTATAATCTTATGATTAAATCTCAGTCTTTTAGTGCACCTGTGTCCCTGAGATGTAACTACCACAGGTGTTTCTCAGCATTTTTCTCCTACCCAGATGAGGGAGGAAGTCTCCAGGGAGTGAAAATTGAAAATGTGCCCTTCTTTCATGTGGGTTAAAAATTCCAGGAAAGTCGATTTTTCTGGGGAGTAGGCTTTTGCTATAGAGCACACTCTCAGTGTATTTCATCATGATTACTCGTTCCATACCTCTGCCAGAACAAATAACTTTTTTTGTTTCAAATCTTTGCCATATTAATTTGGGAAATTTCTTTCTGGTGGTAAAATCCAAAAAAGTGTGAGAGCCCCAATAAGGATTTCTCACTCCCATGCTAATCCATATTCAGATTTCAGTAGTTCTTCAATATTAACATTTAATTGTTCCTCAGTTTCTGGCTTCCGCAGCTTCTGTTCTAGCTAAACACATCTTAGTTGTGATTCTCTGGATTCTTTTGTTTCTACAGATTTTGACATCATGGTTTTCACTGTCACTCCAGGTATCTGATGGGCCAAAGAAAAGTCTTGATTTTCAGTTTGTTCATCTTTTACATTCTAAGGATTGGAGCGATGACTTCTATGATTTTATATACATCAGAACTGAAGCCTAGTAACTCTTTAAAATATTTTTCTAGTAATTCTGTCATCTCTATCACTTCTAGATCAATTTCAGTTTATTTATTTTTGTATCTTCATTATGGGCTCTGTTGCCCTTCTTCTATGCATGTCTGATGGGATTTTTGAGAATTCAAGGCTTGCTTTGATACATAGGTAAAAAGTTTTTAGAGTTGATAGCTTTATTCCTGAGCAGTTTCTGATTATTCAATACCTTGTAAATTATGAGATATTCTGTTGTGGCAGGTAAAAACATGAACTAGTTCTGGTGATGTGGGAGGTCTAGGAATTTGTACTTATGTTCTTTTGGATGGTTCTTCATTTCAGGTTGGGTACTTTCCTTATACAAATGTGCTGGTCAGTACCCAGATAAACAATGAAAGGGAACTTTCTGCAGGTTATTGGAGTTCTCTTTCTGTGAAACTCTCTATTTTCCAGTATTCCAGAAGCCTTGAGTCTCATGGAATGTGTCATGGGTTAATAGCTCAGGGAGATCATCAGGTTCCACCAGAGTTCTCCCTCCCTGAGCTTAAGTCTTAAATTTCTCCCTAGGCAGTAAAACTGTGACAATTGCAAGGCTTGAATACTTCCTAGGGCTTCCATAACAAATTAACACAGACTTGAATGGTTGAAAACAATAAAAATGTATTGTCTCACAATTCTGGAGGCCAGAAGTCTGAAATCAAGGTGTTGGCAGTGTAATGCTCTCTCTAAATCTCTCAAGAAATGTTCCCTTGCTTCTTCTAGCTTCTGGTGGTGATTGGCAATTCTTGGTGTTCCTTGATTTATAGTGGCATAGTTCCAATCTCTGTGTCCTTCATGACATGATACTTTCCCTGTTTATCTCTGTGTCCAATTTTCCTCTTATAAGGATAACACTCATTGAATTAGGGCTCTCTTACTCAGTATGCCCTCAACTTAACTTTATTATATCAGCAAAGACCCCATTTCCAAATAGGGTCACATTCACAGATTCCAAGTGGTCATGACTTTTTAGGGACACTATTCAATTTAGTATAGAGTTTAATTTACTTGTATCCCATCTCCTAAGAATCACTGTCTAAACATTGTTGTCTGATTTATTTTTGTCAATGTTGTAGGAGTTTCGGGTAGAAGTATGAGGTTCCCTTCATTTTATCTTGACCAGAAGCAGTTCTCCTCTCATTTGTTTACTTAGAACATCTTCTATACTTTAGTTGAGGTTCAGGGCACAATTTTCTTTAAAGAAAGTGTTTCACTGCCTAAAACCTGGCTTGCAAATATAAAATGAAGTTAAAACATATCAAAAACTAGAAAAACTATAGTGAGCAAATATTACATTGTATTAGTTAGTTATAATTTGAATTGATAAACATTGAAATGTTAAGAAAATTATTGAGGTATAGAATGCATGCATTGAGTGGTGCTTTGAGAAGGCAAATATGATAGTACACATTGAAGGGATATAGTGCAAGAAAAACAAGCATAAGGATTTTAGAGAGAATTTGCTATAGTACTCTGAGACTATGAACCAACTTGAGCAATGTGATTGTAAAGAAAAAAAATGGTTGAGTCACTGTTAAGGTTGGATTGAAAAAGAAACAAGTCACTAACAACACTGTGGCCATAGCTAAGTGCTGAATAAATATTGTTATAATGAATTGATGATTACAATAATAGGAAATAGTTCCTGGAGATCTGCTTATAAGTCCTTACGGAATGGTAAAGTGAGGTAAATCATAGCCATAATGAATTAGTGATATAACTATAACTAATACATATCCTTACACCCAGAATTCTAGGTTGTCTTACATTAGAGAACTCTGCTTTCCTTTTTTCTATTATGTCAGAATTTTAGAACATAAAGAATCTTTGACTGAGTCATTGCATGAATTCCAAAATGAAGACAAAATATTGTCAGGGAGTTGCCCACTCCTTAGATGTCTAATAAATTTCAGAATTTAGAGTTAGGACATGGTTTATGTATTTATTAAGACCTTTTCTTAAGCAATATAGAAAATCTGACAGTGTTTGAAATACAGAAGTTGGCATTTCATCACTGGAGGAACATTACTCTTGTTTAAAAATGATTTCAGAAATTTTATTCATGTAATATTTCACACAGTGGTTTTTTATGTCACAGAAAAATTTACCCAGAAAAACAAGTCTAATAATAAAGAGTAAATTAATATTACTTAGATTTTATAATGTTTGAAAAGGTGAACATATCAGTATCTGTTTGTTAGAGGAACCTATAAAATCTCTTCATCCAGCTAGGTTCCCTAAACTGTTTTTCAACTCTAACAAATTTTGTTTTTTATGTCAGTAATCAGCCACAATGTCTAACTTAGCTAATCGTTGGTATTTTATTAAAACATTAAAATTATAATGTGTTAAGTTATACTCTGTACACAAATTATGTTAGAGACCATAGAATACACAAAACTTAAAGTAATGAGTACTTGGTGTTCTGTTCAAAGACCTTTAATTACTAAATGCAGTGTATTAACTATAGATAAGCAAGAAATTGTCATTTTCAGTTCAGAACACTCCATTCAATAGTAAACATAGATTTATAATTATTAAATTTATAAAGTAGTATGATTCAGACTGTATTAAGTGTTTGCAGAGTATGGATTTCAAAGAGGATGAAGTCTTAATTCTGTTTAGGCCAGAAAGTATATTCTTTACAACTTTTAAATTGTGCCTTCAGCAATAAACATGTATTCTCCTGGAAGAGATGTGGGAAAGGTATATACAAGGATGAAAGAACAGAATGTATAAAAGCATGCAGGCATCAAATAGTTTATGTTTAGGGAGAGACAGAAACACAGCCTATAAAGAGTACAGGAGAAGAATAATAAACAGTAAGAAGAAAAGTATGTTGAGGTTGATTGGGAAGGACCTTCCCAGTCAACTTCATATGACATGTTGAGGAGTCTAATGGCTAATTCTATGCACAATGGTGTTCCATGTGCATGTTATACCTGAACGTACTGACAAGATTTATTTACACAATTTAAGAATTATTTTTGGTTATTATTGAATGTAAGGAGCCAGAAGAAGGAAATAATCAAACATGTATCCAAGCTTTGCAGCTAAGATCAATTGAGACAGAATTTAATAACTAATATTTAAAAATGAGTGTTTACAAATAAATCATGATTCTAATGTGTGTCTTTCCCTTGAGGTGAGAACAGGTAAGGTAGATAAATGGATGTACAAAAATTTAACTCACAAAAGAAAAGTTTGTCATATTAAGATAAATATATTTAATACATGTAGTAAGATTTTTGATGACCTTCCAATGTCTTTTAAATCCCTATTCAGAAAAAAATATAAAACTGTAATTTTTTTCTTAATTATGTATTCAGGAAATGGAAACCTCTCCTCTTCAATGAAGTATGAAGAAATTTGAAAATCAACTTTGGAAAGTCATGGTCTCGTGAATTGCCAGATCTTGCCATGTCTGTGCCTGTGTAACTATTATCTACCTTATTTTTGCCAAGATAGATTCATTTATAATCCGAATGATTTAATTTGGCATAATAGTTAAGGTCCCAAACTTTGTAGTCAAACAAACACGAGCAGACTTACCAGTCCATTTCTTTCTTGCTTTGCGATGTAAACAAGGTTTTTTGCATCTAGACCCCACTTTTTTTGACACTTAGTACAATGTGAATAACAGAACCCACTTTATGTTGTTCTAGGGGAACTACATAAAATTATGCTTGTGAAACTTTTGTCAATACCTGACATATGATAGCAGTTTAACAATTCATGGACCTTATATTTTGAGAGATATTAAGATTTGTAAATGAGTCTTACCTCAAGTAAGTTGTGTATTTTGGTAGAAATAGCTTTGAAAATGGGTATGCTTTACTCAACAACTAGCTTATTAAGCTAGTATTTCAATGTCTTCTATGTAAAAAAAAAATAGTAACTGTAGATTTATCCCACAGAATTTTAAAAGTTTTAAGGAAGAGTCACATATAAAGAATCTAATTAGTAGACACTCATATATGTTAGCTTTGACACACCTTTGTTTTAGAATTTTTGTTCTGATATATTCACATTAAATACACATTAACAGGCACCTATTAGGTGGTAGAAAGCATCCCACTCTTAGGTATTCAAATAAAAACAACTTAGTTTTTGCACTCCAGAGACTTAAAGTCCAGAAGAAAAAATATAAACAAAAATAAATAACACAATGTAATATAGGCCTTTAAATGTAAAAGTGCAGTTGAAGTTAACACAATTTAACACAGAATTTAAAAATCAAATAGTACCATGGAAATCAAGTATACAGGGTGCTAAACCCATGAAAACCCAGAAGTGAAATACTTAAGTGTAATTAAACAAAATTTTTAATATGAAAAGGGATTAAAATAAAGTTGAGCCTTAAACTTAAAAATGGACTCTAGGTGTTTTCCAAGAATACTGGGAATAGAATATGTGGGAGAGGATAGAAAATATAGATAATCTACTATAGGGATGTGCAGAGGCATAGCACGTGCAGAGGCACACTTTTTCAATGTCACTGTGTCTGGGGGCAAATTCTAACAGTACGCACCATTAGGCAATGGTACTGTTGAATTTTGAAATATTTTCTCTATTTCCTCACTCATCAACATCTTCTTTTTTTCTCACTCTGTCTCTAAGCCACATCAAATTCTTATTGATTATACTGTATCAAAGAGAATGTACTGTGTTTTGTCATGACTGGACAGGACAGTATTTGGGGATGATCAAGACATAAAATAGATATTAATCTAATATAAAATATATTAACACCATTTGACTAATGTTTGTATCTGCTTCTCCCTTATGTACATATGGTAAATATAATTTAACCTTTCTCATCATCTTTGTCACACAAAGAATCACTTCAATGTTTTACATTCTAAGTATCATGTCAAACAACTTTCTTTTCTCTCATGGTTCTCATTGACTATAAAATAAACTTTTAGCTTACATAGTTAAAAAATATATATTTCAAAAAATCGCTGAACCAGGTATGTGGGAATTATTTCTTGATATTTTTTATTATAACTTATCTAAGTACCTTTGTTTTCTTGCCTTTAGATTTCTTCTCTTGCCCAATCCATTCTCTTTCCTTCAAATATAGTTTTCAGATATAATTTTAATACATTTGATCTTCCCTTAGAGAAATTTTCTTTTTGTTAGAGCCTTCAGTATATGTTCAAAAACTGCACCCTACACAAAGCCTAACCTTGTCCTCCTTCTGTCTCTAGTCTTATTGCCATCCATCCATTCCTCAGATGCTGCATATCGGTCATGTAGTCTTGTATTCTTCCATATGCATTATGCTCTTTCAGCTCTAACACACTTTGCTTATGTTTCACTTTTGCTCGAAGCATACTTTCTTTACCTGAATAATTCCTAATGAGCCTACAAAATTTATCTTAGGGTGTAGTTTCTCTAGGAATTCTTTGATTTTCATTTCCCCCAGTCTGGGTTACTAGCAATGACCAAAATGTATTATATAATAAGTTATAAATTAATAATATAAATTTTTGTCTGCCTTTCTGAGTATAAACACTTCATACAAGCTAACTCAAAGCTTTCATTGCTCAAGGGAAAATTACAGAAACAGTAGATGCGGACATTAAACAATAGGATCGTATAAACACAGAATACTTGCAAAGCATGTTATTATCTGATGATTTTCTAAAAACGTAAAGATATCTCAATTCAGTACAGCATAGGCTCCAGTCACAGATTTTACTGCTATTACAGAGAAGATATCCCTTTTAACTTATAACAGTTCGGCATGCTCCGGGTAATAGGAGAGAGCCTAGGGGAAATACACTAGTCCCGCCTCATTTACAAACCCAGAGAAATTGGGATGAGGAGAAAGATTAATTAGAGTTAGTAAAACATGGGATTACTGAAGACAAGAATGCTTCATCTGCTAGAGACTCGACCTCTGAAAGATACTGAAAAGCCTGGAGACAGCTTGGTTCCAGGTGAAAGCAAGTCATCCAGAATATACCACCTGTGCCTGAGTAAGTCAAGAGAACTGGCTGTAATGGTATCAGCTGTCAAATGTGACTAATGTAAAGGCAGCAAAACTCCACCTTTATCCTCTTAGGGTCCTGGCTAGCTAGGTTCAAGAATTAAATTGACTTAATAGATTAACAGGAGAAAAACACAATATGCATTTTAGTTATTAAAGACATGAAGACCTCAAAGAAGCAGTTAGAGCCAGTTACTTAAATAATGAATTGGACAAAGAATAGTCATTTGTTAAGCTGTGACTAAATTATATGAGAAGGCTTAAAAGATGAGTTATTTTTGCAAGGTCAGCACAGACTTCTCTTGGTCTTGACTTCTTGTCCTTGAACATAAGGATGTTGTTTTTCCTTCTAGTATAAGAACGGCTTTCATACAGGAATTCTGTTTTCTGCTTTGAGAAACAGCACAAAGATCAGAGTGATCTTGCACCTGCTATTTTTCAAGTGTGTTTAGCTTAAATAGTCAGTATGCCAGAAGAGCATACTTTAACTACTTCACTAGGAATTCCAGCAAGGGAAGTGATGTACCTATGGGAAAGGGAATTTTCCCCAAATATATACATATATCAGAAAATAACAAATCTCCAGATGCCATTATAAAACCCCATTGTCTTCTCCTCTACTTCCACATGGTTGCATAAGCATGGACCTCATCCTAAATGAATAAACAAATAACCTTATTTTAAATAAAATAATGAGGGAGGAGAAGCAAAGCTAAGAGTTGTGGCTGTTTTGTATTTTCTAAGTGAGAGGAAACATTAATCTCCAGAGAATGTTTATGCTTTCCCATATACTTTACTCACATGAAATATTTAGTTTCTTGTATTTATTTCCCTAGTAATGTGTTGGTATGTATTTAGGGAAGAACTAGAGTTAAAATAAACTGAATTCAAAGATTTCATTTCATCTGTGAATTTGGGCTATAGTATGGGTTATTTTGTAAACTCTGGTATGGGGTTATCTATTTACTTATCTGTTTTCTTATCCAGAATGTAACTTCCTTAATTCACGAGCCATGCCATATCCATTTATATATCTCCATGGTATCTAATGCTAACATACATTAGCTACTCACTGTTAAGTGTTTGAATTGAGAAATGTTGAATGGAATGGAAGATGGTTATAGGTCAAAGAGCACATATTACATTCTAAGAATCGTTTACAAATCTATAGTGATGGAAAGCCATTGGGGAAAAATTAAACGAAGTGGTAACTTAATAATACTTACATTTTAGTAAGGTACCTTAGGCAGCACTCCAGAGAATGCATTCAAAAGGAGAAATCTTGAAATAACAAAATTAGAAGACAGTTACAGTGGTCATGAAGAGAAATGTAAAAATTTGCTATAGTTTCCTAAACCAAGTTTTATTGAAAGTATATAGTATTCACCTCACCCCTCTCAGCTTGTCAATAAATATGTCTATGGTTATTGATGGGAATTTTACGATTTTCTTATCTGAAATATATTTAAATGTAACTTTCTCCTCTGAAAACAATGTTTGCACAGTATTACAGAAAAAAATTGTAATCATTTAGGAATTCAAGAAAATGAGCACTGCTACTGCACTGGCATGAATGTGTGCATGGTGGCTGCCAGCCGTGCACCCATCAGTACCCTGGCCCCAGGCCAACACTGCTACCAGTGTGAATGTGCACAAGGAGACAAGAGGCCATACCCCCAATCCCTTTCCCTCACGCCACCATCGGTGCAGCTGTGAACACCCACATGGAGGCCAACACCACTACACCCACCAGCGCCCCACCCCAGCTGATGAGCATGCATCCTGCTATGCTGCCACTGTTGCTGGCATGTGTAATTCATCATGGATTCTGCTGCTACAACCCAACAAAGTGGTTGGCACCATCCATCAGAGTGTTGTGGCCAGCAGCTCAACACCTTGGCCCCTCCAGCACAGATTTCTAACTTCGAGAGACCACAGAACAAAGCCTGGGGCCAATACCAGCCCCCCAGAATTACAGCATGCAGCTCAGTAGTGCTGAACTGAGCCTTGACTACCTAAAATCTTCCAGAAACAAAGCCAATTAACTGAACCCACCTTATACCACAATCAAATTCCCAATGACATCAAAGAAGATAAAGCAAAAAGAAAAAAAATCAAAGGACAGTAACTTCAAAGATTGAAGGAACATCAGTTCACAAAGATGAGAAAGAACCAGTGCAAAACCTCTAACAACTCAAAAAGCCAGAGTGTCTTCTTGTTCTTTTTTCCTCCAAACCACCACACTAGTCCCCCAGGAATGGTTCTTAACCAGGCTAAAATAGATGAAACGACAGAAATAGAATTCAAAATATGGATAGGAATAAAGATTATAGAGGCTCAGGAGAAAGTCAAAACCCAATCCAAGGATTCTAAGGAATACAATAAAATGATACAGAAGCTGAAAGACATATGGCTTTTTTTAAAAAAATAAAAAAAACTTATCTGATAGAGCTGAAAAACTCACTTCAAGAATTTCAGAATATAGACACAAGTATTAACAGCAGAATCAGCCAAGCTGAGGAAAGAATCTCAGAGCTTGAAGACTGTTTCTCCAAAATAATTCAGTCAGACAAAAATAAAGAAAAAATAAAGAAGAATAAAAAATATCCAAGAAATACGAGATTATTTAAAGAGATCAAATTTATTTCTCATTGGCATCCCTGGAAGAGGAGGAGAGAAAGCAAGCCACCTGGAAAACATATTTCAGGATATCATCCATGAAAATCTCTCCAACCTCATTAGAGAAGCAAACATTCAAATTCAGGAAATGCAGAGAAGCCACATGAAATACTACATTAGAGACCATCCCCAGACACATAGTCATATTCTCCAAGGTTGAAATAAAAGGAAAAAAAAAGTTAAAGGCAGCTACAGAGAAGGGGCATATCACTTACAATGGGAACTTCATCAGGCTAACACCCAACCTTTTAACAGAAATCATACAAGCCAGAATAGGCAGGTAGCCTACATTCAGCATTCTTAAGAAAATAATTTTCAGCCAATAATTTAATATCCAGTCAAACTAAGCTTCATAAGCAAAGGAGAAATAAAATCCTTTTCAGAGAAGCAAATGCTGAGGTGATGTGTTACCACAAGACCTGCCTTATAAGAGGTCCCAAAGAGAATCCTAACTATGAAAAGGAAAGGCCGTTATTGGCTACTACAAAAGCACATCAAAATACGTAGACCAGTGACCACACAATCAAGTCTTCATAATAACCAGCTAACAACAGAATGACAGGAACAAATTCGCACATTTCAGTACTGACCTTGAATGTAAATAAGCTAAATGCCCCAATTAAAAGGCACAGAATGGCAAATTGGATAAAAAATAATGACCCATTTGTATGCTGTCTTCAAAAGAACTATCTCACATGCAATGACACCCATAAGCTCAAACTAAATGATGGAGAAAAATCTACTAAGAAAATGAAAAACAGAAAAAAAGCAGGGGTTGCTAGTCTAGTTTCAGACAAAACAAACTTTAAACCAACAACAATTTGAAAATTACAAAAAATGGGAATCAAATAATGGTAAAGGGTTCAGTTCAGGAAGAAGACCTAACTGCCCTAAATCTATACAGACCCAGCAAAGGAGCACCCAGTTTCATAAAGCAGCTTCTTAGAGACCTATGAAGAAACTTAGATAACAACAAAATAACAGTGGGAGACTTCAACATCCCACTGACAATATTAGATAGATCATTAAGGCAGAGAACTAACAAAGATATTCAGGATCTGAACTTGACACTTGACCAAATGGTCCTAATAAACATCTATAGAACTCCCCACCCCAAAACAATGGAATATACATTCTTCTTGTCACCATATGGCACATACTCTAAAGTCAACCACACAATTGGACATAAAACAATCCTCAGCCTATTTAAAAAAATAACGAAATCATACCAACCATACTAAGACCATGGTGCAATAGAAATAGAAATCAATACTAACAAAATAGCTTAAAATCATACGATCACATGGAAATTAAATGATCTGCTCCCGAATGACTTTTGAGTAAATAGGAAATTAAGGCAGAAATCAAGAAATTCTTTGAAACTAATGAGAACAAAGATACAAGATATCAGAATCTCTGGGACACAGCTAAAGCAGTGTTAACAGGGAAGTTTATAGTGCTTTTTCTCTGCCCTGCCTTTCCTTTCTTTCCTTCCCTTTCTCCAATTTTTTTCTTTTTCTGAAAGAGCAATTACTTTTGAAAAGGAATATAATCACTGATGTTTTGGTAAATGATTAGTAACCAGCTGGAGGTCAGTAGGAAAGAAGCCTTGATTTGCACTATTTGCTGATTACCATGATGTAAATATTTTGTCATGCCCAGTTTCAAGCTACCAACCTTATATAAAGGCTAGCAAAATTCCTGAAAGTTCACTACCAATTCCGTACCAAGAGGCAGTTCAATCTTGCTTCAGCATACTACTGCTCACTTTAGACAGCCTAGAAGAGAAGCATTTAAGACCCTAGACTGGCTTTCAAAATTGGAAGGACTATCTATTTATGTAGAAGGTGAAGGGTATTTGTTATCTGATGCTAGAGGTCTGAACTTATACCAGTAACATACAGTTGTAGTTCTACAGGGGGAGAAAAACAGGTGTGTGTGTATGTGTGTGTGTATCTGTGTCTGTGTGTGTATCTGTGTGTGTGTGTATTTGTGTTTAACTGGAATGATTCAACAATGAAAGGATTCATGTAGTTAATATGTCAATTTCTTCTCCGGTAATAGTGTGTTTGCTGATTGGGAGGCGCTATATGAACTCTAATGTTACTAATAATTTTTAAATATCATGAAATAGGAATTACTGTTTGAAATAAGGAACTCACCAAGATTAGTGGTCAAATTTTAATGTTAATGAAGAATTTCAGGTTTTCTTTACAATGTTTTGTAGCTATTTCACTTTTCAGAGTAGCCAATACATTATAATTTTCCTGTTGTTAATAAAGAGAAAGTTTTCGCTCAGTCCCCAGAATATCTCACAAAGCAACAATGGAGACACTCTAAAACTTGATAATCAAGGGCTTTGTGCTACTTCTGGTAATAGATAATATTATTGTATATTTATTATGCTAATTAGTACTTTATACTTTTCAAAATATTTTAACAATGAAGTTGCACATGTATACATGTTCACCTTCTGGCACTAAATGTATTAGTTACATTACAAACTTGCTTCTAAAAATTATTCCTATGTTCTCTCTTTGTTTTAGTTTGAACATGTTTATGTATGAGATTAATCAACAAGTAAGAAAGTTTTTTTGTCTGAAGGTTTGCACAGGTTATGGCATTATTGAATGTGTTATGGTGGAAGGTGTTACTTCAGTATTTATTTTCATAAACACACTGGCTTGGAAGAAGGGTAGGAAGAAAGAAAGGAAGAAAGGACTAAATTTTAAATGCACAAATATCCTAGATAATTAGCAGTCCACTTTCCTAAGAACACAGGCATGAAAGCAGATTTGATGAGGATAAATGAATCCTTTCTCTTTTTCTAAATTTAGTTGCTAACTACATTAGTGATGCCATCAATAGTATGATTAACAGCAGAGCTTTCATCTTATGCAAGGAGCTGATGTTTCTGTCTGACTTTTCTCTTTGATTGTGCTGCCTTATTTGGTGTTACAAATCAATGCATGTGCAGACATAGAGCAGGTCAGACCTTAATGCTTTACCTGGGGATCAAGAAATATAGAATAAAATTCAAGAGGTCAGCAGGCATGCCCTGATTAACAGAGTAGATTTTTCTGCTTCCCATACTGGTTGGTATATGTTAGTGAATTAAAATGTAGCACAAACACTCACTGCTATTGTATAAATCACTCATGTATTTATTCTAAGGACCAAAGTTTCAGAGTGCTCCAACTGACTGTCTCATTAAGATGTATTTATACTAGTTAAAAAAAGAGACTTGACCCAATTAGTCATTTATATTAACTGTTTATTCATTTAATTATAAAAGGAAGGCACATGTATCATTGAAGATTAACAAATTTACAAAGAAAATATTAAATTAATTCAAAGTCTAACACTTTGTTATTCAAAATATTTATTACTTTCTAAATCCATATTATAGAAGTGCATTTTACACAAAATTAAATACACTCAATTTAAATGTACAATTTCCAGTTTCACAAGTTTTGACAAATGTGTATGTCTAGTTAATCACCATCCCAAACAAGATATACATTTATATTCTACAAAAATGCCAGTTGGTGCACATCCTTGCCAATACATGATATCCACATTTCACCAATGTCAAAAAATGTTCAGTATTTGTTGTGCTATTTGTTCATATAGTAAATATATCGGTACATTTATAGATCTTTTTGAGATCTGCTCAATGTTTTTGCCCTTCTTCATTGGGCTGGTGGCTTTTTTCAAACTTAAATAATGAGACTCAGAAAATATGATTAATTATCCAGTCTATTCAAGTACAAAGCTTGAGGTTGGTCACTGGGGGAAATCATGGACACTAAATGAATGGGGGCAGCATTTTGCAAAGTGGAAAAGTTAAAGTTTCAATTATGTAGGCAAAAACAGAAGTTCTAGCAGGATTACAACATTTTCTGTACAAGACCAAGTGCACACACCACAGCAATTTGATTGGTTACAGATTACTATATTTCAAGGAAGTTTAAAAGACAAAACAAACAAACAAACAAAAAAAAACAAGTTGCAGCTACATGCAGCATGACTCAGGTTATATACCTGCATTCCTCTCAAGACTCAGGATAAAGTTCTAACAGCTTTAAGTTTGAATTATTTAATTTTGTATTTTCTTATGAGTGACTTTAATGACATTTTTATGTGTGCCTAATGTAAATTGTTAAATATGTATATGTCATATATATTCTAAAGAATTGATAGTTCAAATTTGATAAAACATGGATAATGTTAAGCTTTTTCAATCTTGTATGAATTATGTGAATTGTTACGTTTATAGGTCTTTGTAAAAAATGTTTTCAAGCCTTGGGAATTTTCTGATTATGTATAAGCAACCGAGAATCCTAACCCCAACTGAAAGTGATCTTTATGCTGATCTGCTTCTCTTTACAAATTCTGCTTTACAAATTTCAGACTTCTTATCCTACCCAAATTCAATTATCTCTACATTTCAGTAAGTTCTTTGTTGTGTTTCAGTTCCCTTGTCTGCACTAAGATCAGGAAACTGCCGCCAGACAGAGTTTGGGTTGGCTGTGTCACCCACAGTGCTAATTTTCCTTCTCTCATTGGCCATTGTTATATGTTTTCCTGTGACTCATGATTCAAAAATCATTGTTTCAAATATTTCATGCAGTTTCTACTTGTTTTTGGAGAACGGACAGATTTGTTAGTCAGTTATTTCATTATAATTGAAAATCCAACTTGCAGTACCAAATATATTTACTATTCGTTTTGTGGTGTGCTTGTTAGATTTATTATGTGTTTTTAACATACACATATTTTTATATTAGCTCACTAAATACAACAATCCTTATTATGCCCGCTTTCTAGATGAGAAAATTGAAGCGTGATAAAGTCAGGTTATATGCCAATGATGGAGCCAGCATTTGAAACTAGAAACTCTTCCTTCAGAGGCAGAATTATTCATAGGTTCATTTTGGTACTTAAATAAACTAATGGCTCTCAAAACACTTAGTACATGACAGAGCATATAGTAAGTGTTTCGTATTTTTTTTATAACTTGATTGACACTGGAATGGATTGAACAGTGGCCCCCACAGAAGATAGGTTTGAGTCCTAATCACCAGAACCTGGGAAATAAGACCTTGTTTGGACACACACACACACACACACACACACTCACACACACACAGGAAACCTACTTCATTTTGAAAACTACATCTTTTCAGATGTAATTAAGACAAGAATCTTCAGATGAAATCATTCTGAAATTAGGGTGGGCCCTACAAGCAATGAAGATGTCCCTATAAGATCGAATCAGAGGCAGATTTGGACAAGAAGAAATACAACGGAGGAAGCTATGTGAAGTTGGAGACTAAGACTGAAGTTATGCAACTACAAACCAAGGCATGCCAAAAAGTTCAAGCAGTCACCAGGAACTGGGGTAGAGGAGTGGGACATGTTCTTTTTCAAGGACTCCAGAAGAAACAGACCATGCCAAAAACTTGGTTTTAGACTGGAATACAGAACTGTGAAATAATTCATTTCTGTTGTTTAAAGCCATGTGGTTTGTTGTAATTTTTGTGGCAGCCAATGGGAACTAAAATAGGCATTATTTTTGTTTATGGTATTGTATCTACCTTTTGCCATTGAGAGTGAACATATTAATGGTTTCATAATATTTCAACTTCTATGCTGTATAATAATATGAAGCCTTAGATTAAAATTTTTATATTAAAGCTAATATTCCAGTAAATTTCTTTCTACATAAGTACTATACGGGTTTCTATTCCTTTACGAAGCATTTGTAACTATTATTTATGCCTAAAGAATCCAGGAAAGTAAAAGACAAAGTACTTTACCAATGAGATATTTGCAGTTGTATATCAATTAAAATAATTTGTCATCTTAGTTGCATCTTCATTTTTAATTTTGTGTCATGGAGTAATATGGAGTAATGAAGTATAAAATTAAAATACCACAGGTTTTTTTTTAGTTTATTTAAAAAACCATTTAGTTATAATGTTTAAACATTTAGTTCTAACACGTAAACATTTTAGACCCTTTATTTTGTATTTCTATTTAAAAGAAAAATAGTTTCTAAAATATTATTCTTAAATATACTATGGCCATCATGAAAAACATCAAAATGTAGGGACTCTTAACTGCTCATAAGTTTTCCAGATAATAAGAAGAGTTGGAAAACTTCCCTGGTCTTACCAGAGGTTTAGAACCCAGCTGAAAGAAACTCAGAGAACTGCTAAAAGATACATTGCAAAACTAATTTCACCAAGCATATTGTCATCAGACTATCCAAAGTCAACAGGAAGGAAGAAGACTTGATTTAAATTACATTTTACATTTTATTGATTATAGGTATAATAAGTTTAAAATATGATTATTTTCTTGATTGAAGACATATAAATGCATTTACAATCAATCAAAAAATAAGTTTATGTATATTTTCTGATTTTGTCTTCATGTATGAGTAAAATAAGAATCATGATCCTGAGGAATAAAACTATTTTCCAAACAATTAAATGTTTCTCTTATTATCATTGGCTTGACAGAATTATTTTCACTCCCCAATCCCTACTCATAACTGATGATGTCCAAAACATTAACAACAACCTTATTTGTATGCTCTTTGATATTATTGAATGCCATATGAAATTTGTCTATAAAAATAATAGTTATTCAATGAGATAAAGTGTTAGGGGTGTCTGTGGAGAAGATGATGAATTTTCCAGTCTAGTTAGGGAACCACAACATGTCTGAGGGCTCAAATGAATGACATGATCCATCTGATTGGGTGACCCATAGCATTTTTGTTTATTTGGTTTCCATGGTAGCTCATATTTTTAATTTTCACATAGTCTTTTACATTCTGACATTTCACAAAATTTGTCTTTAACCCTTAGTACTTTCCTCTCATTCATTTCAATGTATTCACATCCTTTTTTACATATGGCTCCAAATTTCACTTTGTAATAAAAATATCTCCCATGTGATTGTCCCACAGTCTCTAAGATTTAATATTTCTACTAGAATATAATGCCAATCTCTCAAATTCAGTGTATTTACAACTAAGATACCATTAGGGTTTATTTGTGGATTTTTATACTTTTATTACTGGCTCCGTGGTGAGAAACCTTTAGGATCTATATGACAACATCCTCTGCTTCACCACTCCCATCCGGCCTGCCTCCACCTAAGGGTCACATTTCCTTCAACAAATTTCCACCACTTTTCCTTTCCTTATTATGTTTCCTACAGATTTCTGACTTACCAAGTAATACTATATTTGTATCTTAATTATTTCTGACTTACCAAGTAATACTATATTTGTATCTTAATTACCTATCATGTGTTTCAATTTTTTGCCCTAATAAACTCTGGTCATATTTCCTCACTATTTTTTAACACAATTTTATAGCACTAATTCACCATGTTACTTTTTGTCTTTTTTAAAGTCTTTATGCCTACTTTTTTGTATGTATTAAAACTGGTATTATAGAACATTGGCTTGGAGAATGGAAATGATTTAGTATTTGTAGTGTTTATATACCAGAAAATATTTAAAATAATTAGGGTAAAACATAATTTACATACAAATTCTTCTTAACACCCAACACAGTACTCTCTCCTTCCAAATTATATAGAATGAAAATAATCATAACTTTTTAATAATGTAAAACTATGTAATTACAGATGTATAAAAATGTCTTTGGGAAAGGTAAAACTTTAAAAATAATTTTAGTATTTAGTTCCTGAATGTAAATTAGAATTTGAGCTGTGTATTGTTTAATATATATGTGTGGGTATATCTGTGTCTGTGTATATATATGTAAACTAAAACACAGAAGAGAAACGTGTCTTGAATATTGCACTTAAGAATTAAATATTTTGGAAGGTGAAATCTACTTTTAACAAGCATTTAAGAAATAGCTAAGTGTTTCTAGTTTAGATAGATATGTTGTATTGCAATCCACATAGAAAATAACAATAATTAAAATTTCATGATGGGATTAACACATTTTTAAAGTGGGTATATATAATAATATGTGAAATATTTTTAAGAGGCAATAAAAATTCAAATGGTAATATTTGATGGAACAAACAAGTCTAGTAAACTCTTTTCAATCTCATTTTTTTTTCATATAAGTAGACAATAAAGTGGGTACAAGTTAGCTTTTGACCTGGTTAAAAAAAAAACTAATAAATAAAATTGTTACTCAAATACTAAATATGTAAAGTATATAAATACTTCCACCAATACCCTATGAACACACATAAGAAATAATGAAAATAAAACTCATTTTTCACCAACTAATTGTTCTGCATATCTTTAAACCTAATAGTAAGACTCTGGATGACCACATAATTGTGCATAATTTAAATACAATAAATAGCTTGTATTCCATAGATTTAGTTACTAGAGTTATTTCCTCCACAAATTATCAATGTGATCTTTGTAATATATCCTAGCTGTAATTTTATACATGTAAAATAAGAAAGTGGGGCCCTATATATTTGAGAATTGTTTCTAACTCTAAAGTTTTGATTCAATAATACATATATGTATATTTTCATATTTGGAATTTTGTATTGAAATAGTCATTTAGGTGGCTCTACAACATATAATATGATACATTTGTTACAATGTCCTGTGAACTTCCCCTACATTAATCATTAAAAGTAAATTGTCTTTTATGAAAAAGAAGTAAAATATGTAAACATGCAAATCAACCAAATTAATACATGGATACTTGTTGTTTCTAGTTGAATTGAACTTTAAGTATAGCATATCCCAAAGTATAATTTTTGCCTTGGAGATTTTATTCACTCTTATTGAGCAGTAACAATGATATAGTTTTTAATAAGGGATTTGATTGTGGTAGAAGTATAGCAAAGCAGTTAGTTCTGCTAATTAGATAAATGTTGTGGAAAGTGAATCTCCTACCACCCTGTGGTAGTTTAGAATCATTGCATATTAGTATACTTCACTTAACTGCCTCTGCATAATTGATGCTTTCCCAATGATTTTGCATATCAAATGGTATTTGTGATATATGAAGAAAGCACACAACCAAACCAAAGTCCTGCTCACACTTGTTAGGGAAAAATTTTAAAAAGAACCCTTTTGCACGCACAGACAAATTTTTTGGTTCAGCACCAGCAATAACACTTTCTCACTTGACATTAATAATTTAATAAGTAGGCCACAGATGCTTTAAATTATACTTTATCATTTTAGAGATCTCTCAAAGAGATTATCACACTAAACCCAATTCATTTCCACACTGAATTATTTAAGAGAGAATAATCTCTTTTGGAATTTTCTTAAGTTCTACTTATACTCTATTATTGTTTCATTTCTGAATCAGGATAAATTTCATTTTTTCTCCAAAAGAAAGATATGAAAAGTATTTTTTAAGATCATATAGGATTATTGAATTATTTAGAAAAACTTGTGTGGAATTTTTATGCTTATGTTCTTATATGACTTTTGCCCAAATTAATTGACAGAGTGACAATAAGCTATGATATATTTAATTTATATTTATAAATTATTATTGATCATTTATTATAATCAAGCTATTGTACTTACTGTTGTAAAAATAATCAGAAGAAATAAAATGTTTATTCAATTTGAGTGATCTCAAATTCAGATGATATCAGGATCTGCACAGGTAAAACAGAGTATACAGGAAGGGTAAAAAGAAGGAGGGACTGAAGACTCAAGTTGGTCGAAGCATTCTTCTTTTGGCTAAAAAAATTATAATATTTATAATATTTATATTTGGCTGTACATATGAGACCTGAAGGCTGACTACATTTTTAAATGTTTTCTGTATTTTTATCTTCCTTGCCCACATCCTTTTACCTTTCTCCCCACTCTTCTCTTACCTTCCCAACCACAGCTCTGAAGTAAAACATGACATTACATCCCAAGAAAAATTGCATACATAGGATTGTCTTTCTCTTAAAACATGCTTAACACCTGAGAGTACAACAACAAAAACAAATTAGAATACACAGTAAACATTTTATGGTATATTTGAATGCACAAAATGGGCAGGTTCCATCTGCATCGGCCAAGATATTTCTAGAGGTGGCACAAGTATTTATTTAAACATATTCCTGTATTTATTGTAAGAAAATGGCCAAAATTAGAAGAGTTTCTTGGCAGTTGGGGCATACACATGCCTAATGTTGAAGTTGTAATTATTTCTATACCATCTACCAGCTCTTTCTTAATAGAAATAGCATACCATCATAATCTGAAAATTACATCTCCTCTGACATTTTCTCATCCCTTTTATGTATTTTAATAATGAGCTTAATAGAATTAAAATCACATATGCGATTTCACAACTACTTTGTCTTTATTATTAACATCACAAAGATGCTTTGAAATTCATTTTTTTTCTCCCTTTTCAAAAAAAAAAAAAGAAAACCTTAGGCCAATATTCTTGATAAACATAGGTGCAAAAATCCTCTGCAAAATACTAGCAAACTGAATCTGGCAACACATTAAAGGATCTTCCACCATGATTCAGTGGGATTTACTCTTGGGATGTAAAGATGGTTCACCATACACAAATCAATATATGAGATACATCACATTAACAGAAAGAAGAAAACCACATGATAATCTCATTAGATGCAGAAAAAGCATTTGACAAATTTAACCTCCTTTCAAAAAAAATGTCACTCATTAAATTAGGTGTATAAAGATGTTACCTCAACACAATAAAGATTAGAAGCCTACAGCTAATATTATATTCAATGGTGAAAAGTGAAACCCGCTTTTATACTGTTGGTGTGAATGTAAATTAGTTCAACCATTGTGAAAGACAGTATGGTGATTCCTTAAGGATCTAGAACCAGAAATACCATTTGACCCAGCAATCCCATTACTGGGTATATACCCAAAGGAACATAAATCATTCTACTATAAAGATACGTGCACACGTATGTTTATCGCAGCACTATTTGTAATAACAAAGACATGGAACCAACCCGAATGCCCATCAATGATAGACTAGATAAAGAAAATGTGGTACATATATACCATGGAATAGTATGCAGCCATAAAAAGAAATGAGATCATGTTCTTTGCAGGGACATGGATGAAGCTGGAAGCCATCATCCTCAGCAAACTCACACAGGAACAGAAAACCGAACATTGCATGTTCTCACTCACAAGTGGGAGTTGACCAATGAGAATATATGGACACAGGGAGGAGAATAACACATGCCAGGATCCGTTGGGGGGTAGGGGGCTAGGGGAGGGAACTTAGAAGATGGGTCGACAGGTGCAGCAAACCACCATGGCACACATATACCTATGTAACAAACCTATATGTTCTGCACTTTATCTCAGAACTTAAAGAAAACAAACAAAAAAGAATAATTGAGAGAACATTCACATAAAAATATCAAAAAAAGAAAAAAGAAAAGTGAAACTAGTTTGGAACAAGATAAGGATGACAATTCTGGTTTCTGTTTAACATATTGTTAGAAGTTCTTGCCAGAGTAATTAGGCAAGATAAATAAATAAAAGACATCCAAATATAAAAGGAAGCAGTGAAATTATCAGTTTGCTAAAGATATTATCTTACATATAAAACCTTACAGACTTCACTAAAAAACTTTTAGATATAATAAAAAGATAGTAAAGTTGCCTAACAAAAAGTAACACACAAAAATGAGTAGCAATAAACTATCTGAAGAAAAAATTCAAGAGAACAAGATCATTTACATTAGCTACAAATAAACACATACATACAAACTTAGGTGTACATTTAACCAAAGAGGTGAAGTAACTATATGCTGAAAACTATAAAGCATTGATTATAGAAATTGAAGGAGACACAAATAAATGGAAAGCTCTCCTGTCATTATAGATTGGCAGAATTAATATTGTTAATATGTACATACTACCCCAATCTACAGATTCTATGCAATTCCTAACAAAATTTCAATGTAATTTTTTGTATGGGACCACAAATAAATCCCAAATAAGCAAGACAATGAAGAACAAAAAACAAATGAACAAAGCTGGAGGTATCATACTTTCTAATTTGAAACTATACTACAAAGCAATAGTAATTAAAACAGCACAGTACTGTTAAAAAAAATGGACACATTGACCAATGACAAAGAATAGAAAGCCCAGAAATGATTCCACACATGTATAGTCAATTGAATTTTGCCAAAAATTTCAAGGATTCACAATTGGAAAAGCATAGTCTTCAATAAATGGTGTTGGGAAAACTACATATCCATACGCAGAAGAATAAAATTGAGCCCTTATCTCATACTGTGTACAAAAATCAACTAAAAATGGATTAAAGACTTAACCAGATAATATAAAATTACTAGAAGAAAACATAGGGAAAAACTATACAACATTGATATGGGCAATAATGCTTTGAATTTGACCCCAAAAATACAGACAACAAAAGCATATAAAAGCAAATGGATTTGTTCCAAACTAAAAAGCTTCTGCACAATAAAGAATGCAATTAACAATGTGTACAGGCAACTTTATAACTGGGAGAAAATATCTGCAATCCATACATCTCATAAGGGATTAATATTCAAAATATATAAGGAGCTTAAACAACTCAATAGCAAAAATAAATAAATAAAAATGCACAGGAAATCTAAATAGATATTTCTTAAAAGGAGACATACAAATGGCCAACACATGTATGAAAAAATACTCAACATCACTAATCATTAAGGAAATACATATTAAAACCACAGGGAGGTATCATTCCACACCTGTCAGAATGGCTGTAATCAAAAGATGAAAGTTTACAACAGTTGGCGAGGATGTGAAGAAAAGAGAATCCTTGCATGTTGTTGGTATGGATGTAAATTTGTACAACCATTATAGAAAACTGTATAAAGATTACTCAAAAACTAAAAATAGAATTCCTATATCATCCAGAAATCTCACTTCTAGGTATTACCAAAAAGATTTGAAATCAGTTTGTAGAAGTGATGTCTGCACTCTTGTGTTTACTGCAGTATTATACACAATTGCCAAGATATGGAATCAATCTAAATGTTTATCCACTGATGAATAGATATAGAAAATGTGGTTGATATATACAACATAATACTATTCAGCTTTTAAAAGAGATGGGAATTCTGTCATTTGCGACGCATTGATTCAACTGGAGAACAGTGTGCTAAGTGAAATAAACCAGGCACAGAAAGACAAAAACCACATGTTCTCACTTATATGTGGAACCTAAAATAATCAAACTAACAGCAAGACAGAGTAAAATGTTGGTTACAGAGGCTGAAGTGTGGAGGAAATGGAGAGAGAATGGTTGAAGGGTACAAAAATCTCATTTAGACAGGAAACACTTATTTTTTTAGGTCTATTGAATAGCATAGTGAATATAGTTAATAATAGAATATTGTACATTTCAAATTGCTAAGATAGTAAGTTTCAGATTATCTCACTACAAAAAAAGTTAAGTATTTTGAGATGATGGATATGTTAAGTAGCTTAATTTAATTATTCCACTTTGCTTGCATAAATCATAACATCACTTTGTACCTCATAAATTTATAGTTATAAGCTGTCAATTGATATTGAAAGTTTTTTCAAAAAAATAGAGTTCAATTTAATTAAACATTATATTTTCTGTACCATTTTATTACGACTGAAAAAATAAAATTAGGAAAACACGCTAATCTTACTGGGTTAGAGTTGCTATGATCAGCTCCACTTGTAGATTAGTCAGTCATGAACATTTATGGACTTCAAGCACTTTCATGAAACACCATGATAAATGTATTGAAAATGTTTCAGGAGACATTATAATTTACTGAAGGAAACCAGAATCATTTATCTAGTTCTGTGACCTTGGGAAAGTTAACTGAGCTCTTAATGGCTCAATTTCTTCCTTTGTGATAAATGATAATAACTCACTGGGCTGCTAAGTATGCTGTAACAAAGCAACAAAACACTGACATTGCTATATAAAAGATATACTGATTTTTTTTTTCCTTCTGTTTTTGAGATGGAGTTTCACACTGTCTCCCGGGCTGGAATGCAATGGCTTGATCTCGGCTCACTGCAATCTCCACCTCCCGGGTTCACACAATTCTCCTGCCTCAGCCTCCCAAGTAGCTGGGATTACTGGTGCACTCCACCACACCTGGCTGACTTTTTGTATTTTTAGTAGAGATGCGGCTTCACTATGTTGGCCAGGCTGGTCTTGAACTCCTGACCTCAAGATTCGCCCGCCCCCACCAAAGTGCTGAGATTACAGGCATGAGCCACCATGCCCGGCCTGAATTTTTTTTTTCAATTTACGTGAAACCAATAAATTAACAGATCGAGATACATGAACTGTAGTTGTTTTCAGAGAGAAGTGAGTATGAATAGAGCACAGAGGATTATTAGAGTAGTGAAACTACTCTGTATCATAATATAATGGTGGACACAGGTCATTATGCATTTGTCTAAGCACCCAAAATGTACAATACGAAGAGTGAACTTGAATGTAAACTTCAGACTTTGTGTGATAATAATGTGTCAGTGAAATTTACCAATTGTGACAAACACGTCACACTGGTGGGGGATGTTGATAATGGGGCTAGACATGTGTCAGGGGAGAGTATATGGGAAATCTCCATACATTCCATTAAGTTTTGCTGTAAACCTAAAACTGCTCTAAAAATAAAGACTATTAAAATGTATATATTTAGTTAGCACTGTTTTAGGAAATATGAAAATATGAGCTAATACAAAGTGTTGACTAATTTTACATATGGCATATACCGCTTGAGTTTGATGATTACAGCAATATCGTTCAGTTATGTTCTACCTCACTTTCTTACACACTGACTCATTTTCTATCAATAAAATTCATGAGAGTATTATTGTCAAACCCAACAATAGTTCAGTTTATAAACTAGATATATTCTATAAGATAAAATAACATATAGTAATATCAGTTAGTTGTAATAATGATTAGATCAATGGCTGTCAACTATTTGTGGTAAAACACATTTCCAAAACAACTATCATGTGAAACATCAAAACATAAAATCAGAATAGGTAGCAGTTGGTATTAAAGACATGAGCACTGCAGGGTAGACCTGCCATTTTCCCATCTTTTGTGTCACCAAAAACCTGTCCAAATATGAGGACTGAACTGACTACAACTTTAGATACTACTAGAGTTAACTGTATCTATCAATTCTATTCTGTTTTATAGGGCATGTTCCTTGTTTTTCATATATATTTTTAATATTAATTTTTAAAAGACACAGCTTAGCAAGGGAAGTAATATCAAATAAGTGAATCTTCTAAATGTTATACAATTATTAGCCCATCCCTACTCATATCTGAGACAATCATCTAACTCAGCAGAGAAACAATAACATTGAAAACCTGGACATACCATTTCAGCAAAGTTTTTATGGTGCTTGTTGGTTGTACTGTATAGACATAAACACTTAGGAATGAATTGGTAAACATTATTATTAATTTATTTCTCCATGAGGAATGTGAGTAGTTATATTAACACATATAACAGTGACTGGGTCATATTAACATAGTTAGTACTCATGTAATGTTTGTTTAATGTTAGATAAATGAATAACGATAAAAATTAACAATTATTAATAAATAACTCAAAGATAAGAGGATAGTAGAGCATTACCTCAGCTGGGATTAAAAAACATTAACCCCTTCTTCTTTCGGTTACAACATATAAAAGAAATATACGTGTTGACTAGGATTCTACGCACCGTACTGTCCAAACTCATGCTTGTGAGAATTAGAAAAACTGAGAAAAAAGCCCAAGAACTGTGTAAAATTGTCAATTAGTATTCAATTTAGTATAGAAATTAATGTATAAAAATCAGTGGCTGAACAAATTCCTGTGCCCCACATTGACTTGTGAGCAGTTTTCCTCAATAATAAGTAGCTGCAGAGGATCCCAAACAGCGAGGTGTTGAAATGCAACTGTCTTACTAGCATCGAGGGGACACTGATTACAGCATCACTTTGCCAGTTTGGTGAATTGGAAACTCAAACTACCCAAATGATTGTTGTATGAAGCTAAAAGGATAATGAGCACAGAAGATGGATTAAAGTATTTGAATACATCCTAAAGCATAACTTCAGATAATTTGAAACACTAAGAGAAAGATAAAAACAATTGTTGGTGTTAATAATAGCTTGTGCTCAGAGATAATATCCTTTTAGCCGACTGAGGTAAAAAGTAAGAAAATAATTTCTTCAGAGTAATTTTGTTATTTTTTCATTGTATGAGAAGACACACATTTTTGCAATTTCTTTTAAATTGGACTCTTCTCTACACAAATGCACATAATTTCTCCCAATGAAAGTGATGCTATTAAACAGGGATTGGAATAAGGAGGAGTGGTGTTCAATGTTAATTGAGTATCTACCAAGAGAATAGACTGTGCAGTTTTCTTCTCTGCATTCGTTAGCTTATTTAATCCTTACAATAGCAAACTCTGAAGGACATAGATTTGTATCATACACATTTTCCAGAAGAGGAAACAGGTTTATAAAGATTAGGTAACTTGATCAAAGATACAGAGCTAGCCAGTGGTAAGATTCTGGACCCTACTTCAAAGACAAAGCTTTACATTTACAACATAATAAATGAATTTTCCTAATTGTATCTGTCTATGTAATTTTGTTTTAAATGTAAGTATATACGTGTTACACTACATGTAATACTGTATAATAAATCTACACTTGCATACTCACATATATACACACACAAATATGTATGAGTATATATGGACATGCATATGAATATGCATCTGCATATGCATAAGAACATCTATAAACATATAATCTATATATAGTTTATGCATAAAAGTACTTTAGCGATATATATGAATACATAAATGTCCAGAGTATAAATTTAAACACTGAGTTTATGCAATTTGCTAGTTATTTTCTGTGCAAAATAAAAATATCCTCCACTGACAAACCATTCATATTATTGATATTTATAATTGTGTATATTTTTGTTCTATAACTGAATACTACAGTGAGTCACTAAAATTATTTAGGACATTTCTAAGATTATTTTTATTATACACTGTCTAGACAATTGATGCAATACCTACTGTATTTTTCTAGGTAATGAAAACAGGGAGGGTCATCACTGTAAGACATAAAATCCAAACACAAAGCAAGAAATGTATGTAGAAATCAAGAAGATTCTGTAAAAGCTAAGGAGATTAAAGTGGCTTTTCCACTGGGTTTACGCATATCAGAGCCTCTAAAAGAATTTTCCCTGTGTGATTTTCTGTCCATGTACTGAAAGACACAATGAACTTTTTCTTATTTAATGCTTGAAAAGCTACAGCTTCAGTTTCATGGAAGATGATTTATGATTTATTTCTTGTATTTTTTAATGCTAAATTCAACCAGCAACTGGAGAAGAAATAAAACCTCCCAATTAATATATCTCTTTGTCAGTAAATTTCCTATTCTTAAATAATTCCACATATCTATAAACATAATATGTACATAAACGTAATATGGAATAGCTGCAGCTATCATGGAGAATACCAAATACATTAAGTTTTATATATGCCTATAATAGGCCAAGATTTTGTAATGAGAAAAAAGGTAAACTATCATTGATTTTCTTTTACAGATTTCCGGCATCTGATTTTGTGCAAAACTCATATAAGCTTTTCTTTGACAGTGCAGATGTGATCAATTCCCCAAGATCTTACACAAGCATCTATCTAAGAAACCTGAGCAAGAAACAGAAGAGACTGAATAAAAATTATCTAATATTATTTTCAAGTTTCAACCAGAAAAAATAAAATAAATAACAAAACTCTATAAACTTTACATAGTCTATTGTATTTTATTAAATATTTTATAATTAAAATATTATGATATATAAGAATATTTACAAAAAATGTATACAATCCCAGGTGTAAATTTTTATTCCCTGAATAGAATGAAACATTTTAAAATATTATTTGTGCTATGAATACTTTCCATACATATTTCAGCTGAAGAAATAATACCTGTGTCTAAGTTTCTGTCTGTTAGCTGGGAACAGACTTCTTGCAACAAAGACTCTCACCTCATTTTAAAATCAAATAACAAAAAACTTTCTTTACTGTAATGGATTCTAAGAAAAAGCATATGAGATCTTCTTGCAAGATATGTTTTTTAGTATAAAAAGAACCAATAGAATTGTGTGCATCTATTTGGTAAGATACATGTTTTTATAGTTTAACTTTTTACTTACTAGTTTATAATTAAAATATCATATGCAGATTGTTGGAGACAAACTCTTCTAATATTTCTTTAAGTGTTCAAGGAATCAAATAATGCTAAGATAAAATACATAGCTGAACATTTTAGCCAGTTTTGTTCATGGCCAAAGACTATAATGGCAGAAACATATATTATGCTAAAGTAAATGTGTAAGAATATTGATGTCCAAGCTGTCGGTCTTTTCTATCAGGACATCCCTCTTCACCTTACAGAGTGGCTCATAAAGGGTGATACATTTGTTGAAGAATAAATAAAGAGTAGGTTCATTTTTGTCAATCATAATCTCAAGGAGAGGGAGCACCAATTTGACACTGCTAATAATAAAATGTTTTGCTATGAATAGTATATATTTAATGAATATTTAGTTAATGTACAGAGTTATTTAGACTGAAATTATTCTTCAGAATAATTTTTTTCAAACCCACAGCACGATGAAAGCATCCCTTAAGATTATCCAGTTCCATTTACTTGAACTAGATGATTAGCAATTTCTCATCTAATTTGGTTTCTGCACTAGAAGTAACCACCATGAGAAAATGATTTGAACAGACAACCAGTAAATTGTACATACATAAAATACCATTTGGGTTTATAAAGTACTCTCTTGGGATTAATTGTTGTTACTGTTTAACTTGGAGTTCAAATGTTCCTCTTGATGCCTCTGTATTTGCCAATATATTTAGATACTTTGAGGCACGGGGCAAAGCTTACAATTTTATTCATTCCATGGCCATGCCTCGCACATTTATTATGCCATAATAGGCATTTAACAAGCATTTGTTAAATGAACAAATAAATCAATAAATGAATGGAAAGAACTACAAATTTGGAGACAAAATACTACATGCACAATATGAAACCTCTTGCTCTACAATCACCAAATAATTTCTTTCGAAAAACCATCTTACCTGATTAATTTACCTCAAAAAGAGTCATCTGTTGATTTGTCTTTGTATTATGAATAAATTAGTAGTATTTTTGGAAATTTGAAAATGTCTATGTTTATTGACTTTTTAATTAATTTATTCATTAATTAAACATTTATTAAGATTTTGAATGTTTACTGTGTGGCAGAAACCATTCTATGAGCTTTGATTAGGAATAACATCTATATTTTTTGTAATTTATGTATAGACATAATTATATGCAACTGGAATCTAAAATGCATTTGTAAAATATTATGAAAAAATGTTTTACCAATAACAATTCATCAACAATTAAACCAAATTGCTATCTTAAAAAATCATATCTGTAAAATTTATTGAGAAACAAACTTGTAGGACACTTCTTCAATTCCTGCAGTGATTCACTAATCTGTTAAAATTTCTACCATAATGTTTATTAGTGTGTCTTCCTGAATAACCTATACATTAAAATATTATTTTATCTATGCATTTTTATAATGGACAAGAGGCATTACTTCTTACATTGAAAGAAAAACTTTTTCAGTTTTATTTTATTTTTAATTATTGTGGGTACATAGTAGGTGTATATATTAATGGGATATATGACACACCCTGATACAGGCATGCAATGCATAATAATCACATCATGGACAATGGGGTATTCAGCCCCTCAAGCATTTATACTTTGTGTTACAAACAATACAATTATATTATTTTAGTAATTTTTAAATGTACAATTAAATTATTATTGACTATAATCACCCCATCGTGCCATCAAATATTAGGTCTTATTCATTAATTCTAACTATTTTAATTTTGCACCCATTAACTATCACCACTTTCCTCCCACCCTCCACTACCCTTTGCAGTCTCTCTGGTAACCAACCTACTCTTGATCAAAATGGGTTTAATTGTTTTGATTTTTTACATCCCACAAGTAAGTGAGAACATGCAAAGTTTGTCTTTGTGTGTCTGATTTATTTCGCTTAACATAATAACCTCCAGGTCCATCCATGTTTTTGCAAATGACAGGATCTCATTCTTAATTATTGCTGAATAGTATCCAATAGCTTTGTAGTATAATTTAGTCAGGTAAAGCAATTCCTCCATTTTCATTCTTTTGCTCAGGATAGCTTTGGTTTTTCTGGGTTTTTGGTGATTCCATATACATTTTAGAATAGTTTTTTTCTATTTCTGTGAAGAACGTCATTGGTATTTTGATAAGGATTGCGTTGAATCTGCAGATTGCCTTAGTGGTGGTTTAGTGGTGATTTCTGAGATTTTAGTGCGCCCATCACCCAAGCAGCATACTCTGTACCCAATGTGTTGTCTTTTATCCTTCACTCCCCTCCCATCCTTCTCCCAGAATCCCCAGAGTCCATTATATCATTCTTATACCTTCGTGTCTTCATAGCTTAGCTCCCACTTATAAGTGAGAACATACGATGTTTGGTTTTCCAATCCTGAATTACTTCACTTAGAATAATCATCTCCAACTACATCCAGGTTGCTCTGAATGCAATTATTTCATTCCCTTTTAAGGCAGGTAGTATTCTGTTGTATATTTATGTATTCACTCATTGGTCGATGGGAATTTAGCCTGGACCCATATTTTTGCAATTGAAAATTGTACTGTTATACACATGCATGTGCTAGTATTTTTTTATATAATGGCTTCTTTTCCTCTGGGTAGATACCAAGTAGTGGGAATACTGGATCAAATTGTAGATCCACTTTTACTTATTTAAGGAATCTCCACACTGTTTTCCATAGTGCTTGTTCTCATTTACATTACCACCAGCAGTGTAAAAGTTCCCTTTTCACCACATCCACACAAACATCTATGATTTTTTAAATTTTTTACTACTGCAATTCATGTAGGAGTAAGATTGTATCTTATTGTGGTTTTAATTTGCATTTCCCTGATCATTAGTGATGATGAACTTTTTTTGTATGTTTTTTGGCCATTTGTATATCTTTTTTTGGGAATTACCTATTCATGACCTTAGGCCACTTTCTGATGCAATTATTTATTTATTTATTTTCCTTGCTGATTTGAGTACTTGTAGATTCTGGATATTAGTACTTGATCAAATGCATAGTTTGTGAATATTTTCTCCCACTCTCTTTACTCTACTGATTATTTCTTTTGCTCTGCAGAAGCTCTTTATTTATTATGTCCCATCTATTTATCTTTGTTTTTGTTGCATTTGCTTTTGGGTTCTTCATCATGAACTCTTTGCTAGGCCAATGTCTAGAGGGGTTTTCCCAATGATATCTTGTAGAATTTATATGGCTTTAGGTCTCAGATTTAAATCTTTGATCTATCATGAATTGATTTTTGTACAGGTGAGAGATAAGGATCCAGTTTTATTCTCCTACATGTGGCTTGCCAATTATCCCAGCAGCATTTGTTGAATAGGGTGTCCTTTCCTAACTCTGTTTTTGTTTGCTTTGTAAATGATCAGTTTGCTGTAAGTATTTGGCTTTATTTCTGGGTTCTCTATTCTGTTCCAATGATCTACATGTGTGTTTTCATACCAGTACAATGCTGTTTTGTTAACTATGGCCTTGTAGTAAGGTTTGAAGTTAAGTAATGTGATGCCTCTAGATTTGCTCTTTTTGCTTAGTCTTGCTTTGGCTACATGGGCTCTTTGTTGGTTCCACATGAATTTTAGGATTGTTTTTTAATTTTGTGAAGAATTATGATGGTATTTTGATAGGTGTTGCATTGAATTTATAAATTGCTTTTGGCAGTATGGTCATTTTCATGATATTGATTCTACCCATCCATGAGCATAGAATATGTTTCCATTTGTTTGTGTCATCTATGATTTATTTTAGCAGTCTTTTGTAATTTTCCTTGTAGAGTTATTTTACCTCTTACTTAGGTATATTCCTATTTTATTTATTTATTTATTTATTTATTTATTTATTTATTTATTTATTTATTTATTGCAGATGTTGTAAAAGGGGTTGAGTTCTTGATTTTATTCTGAGCTTGATCGCTGTTGCTGTATAGTGGTGCTAATCAGATGTAAGAGCTTTTTGGAGGAGTCTTTAGGGTTTTTTAGGTATTCCATCATATTACGGTGAATAGCAACAGTTTGACTTCCTTTTTACCAGTTTAGATGCTCTTTATTTCTTTCTCCTTTCTGATTGGTCTGGCTAAAACTTCTAATACTATGTTGAATAGAAGTGGTAAAATTGAGCATCCCTGTCTTGTTCCACTTCTTAGGGGGAATGCTTTCAACTTATTTCCGTTCAGTATTCTGTTGGTGGTGAGTTTGTCATAGATGGCTTTTATTACCTTAAAGCGTGTCCCTTCTATGCTAATTTGCTAAGGGTTCTAATCATAAAGCGAGGCTGAATTTTGTCAAATGCTTTTTCTTCATCTGTTGAGATGATCACATAATTTTTGCTTTTAACTCTGTTTATGTGGTGTATTGCATTTACTGGCTTGCATATGTTAATCTAATTCCACATCCATGGTATGAAACCCACTTGATAATGGTGTATTATATTTTTTATATGCTGCTGGATTTGGTTATCTAGTATTTTGTTGAGGATTTTTACATCCATGTTTATCAGAGATATTGGTCTGTAGTATTTTTGTTATGTTCTTTCCTGTTTTTGGTATCAGGGTAATACTGAGTTCATAGAATGATTTATGGAGACTTCCATCTTTCTCTATCTCTTGAAATATTTTCAGCAGGATTGCTACCAATTCTTCTTTGAATGACAGAATTCAGCTGTGAATTTATATCGTTCTGGACATTTTTTTCTTGGCAATTTTTTAGGTACTGTTTCAATCCCACTACGTGTTATTGGTCTGTTCAGAGTTTCTATTTCTTCCTGGTTTAATCCAGAGGGTTTCCAGGAATTTCTGTATACTTTGAGAAATTTATCCATCTCCTCTAGGTTTCCTAGTTTGTGCACATAAAGAGGCTCACAGTACCTTTGAATGATCTTTTCTATTTTTCCAGTATTATTTGTAGTATCTCCTATTTTGTTTATAAAATTGAGTTTATTTTATAAATAAACTCTCTCTTATTTTATAAACTCTCTCTTGTTTATAAACTCTCTCTTCTTTTATTGAAAAACCTCATTAATGTTCTATTTTGTTTATGTTTTCAAATAACCACCTTTTTGTTTCATTTATCTGTTGCATTTTTTTGTTTCAATTTTATTTAGTTCTGCTCTGATTTTTGTATTTATTTTCTCTGCTGGGTTTGTGTTTGGTTTGTTCTTGTTTCTCTAGTTCCTTGAGGTGTGACCTTAGATTGTCTATTTGTGCTCATTCGGACTCTTCAATGTAGGCATTTAAGGATATGAAATTTCCTCTTAGCATTGCTTTTGCTGTATCCCAGAGGTTTTGATAGGTTATGTCACTATAATCATTCACTTCGAAGAATGTTTGTTTTTGAGACAGAGTTTTCACTCTTGTTGCCCAGGCTGGAGTGCAATGGCAGGATCTCAGCTCATTGCAACCTCCACCTCCTGGGTTCAAGTGATTCTCCTGCCTCAGTCTCCCTAGTAGCTGGGATGACAGGAACGCACCATGACATCGGCTAATTTTTTTTTGTATTTTTAGTAGATACTGGGTTTCACTATGTTGGCCAGGCTGGTCTCAAACTCTTGAGCTCAAGTGATCCGCCCGCCTTGGTGTCTCAAAGTGCTGGGATCACAGGCATGAGCTACCCTGCCCAGCCATGAAGAATGTTTTAATATCCACCTTGATTTCACTGTTAACCCAAAGATCATTCAGGAGCAGATTATTCAATTTCCATGTATTTGTATAGTTTTGGGAGTTCCTTTTGGAGTTAATTTCCAATTTTATTCCACTGTGGCCTGAGAGAGTACTTGATGTAATTTTGATTGTCTTAAATTTATTGTGACTTGTTTTGTGGCCTATCATATTGTCTACCTTGGAGAATGTTCCATGTGCTGATGAGAAAAATGTATATTCTGCAGTTTTGGGGTAGAATGTCCTATAAATATCTGTTAAGTCCATTTGTTCTACACTATAGTTTAAGTTAATTGTTTCTTTGTTGACTTTCTGTCTTGATTGCCTGTCTAGAGCTGTCGGAGTATTGAAGTTCCTCACTATTATTCTGTTGCTATCTAATTTCTTAGGTCTAGTAATAATTGTTTTATGAATTTGGGACCACCAGTGTTAGGTGCATATATATTTAGAATTGTGATATTTTCCTGTTGGACTAAACATTTTATCATTATATAATGTCTGTCTATGTGTTCGTGTAGTTTCCAAAATTCCTTTTATAAATATCCAGTTTTGTTTCATTGTACTCAGAGAATATGCTTTATATTATTTCATTTTTTAAATGTCTTAAGACTTCTCTTGTGATCTATCATACGGTCTATTCTTGAGAATAATCCATGTGCTGAGGAGAAGAATGTGTATTCTTCAGATGTTGGATAAAATGTTCTGTATATATCTATTAGGTCTATTTATTGAAATAGTGCAGATTAAGTCCAATATTTGTTTGTTGGTTTTCTGTCTCGAAGATCATTTCAATACTGTAGGTGGGGTGTTGTACCCTCCAGCTATTACTGTATTCAGGTCTAGCTCTCTCTTTAGCTCTAATAATATTAGTTTTTTGCATCCAGGTGCTCCAGAAATGAGCACATATATATTCATTATTATTTATCTTCCTGTTTTGACCTCTGGGAGTTTAATGATTAACCCCTTTATCATTATATAATGACCTGTTTAGTCTTTTATTTCAATATTGTCCTAAAATGTATTTTGTTGCTATAGCTAGCTATTCCTGCTCTTTTTTTGAGTTCCATTGGTATGAAATATCTTTTTCTATCCCATTATTTTCAGTCTATGCTTATCTTTATAGGTGAAGTGTGTTTCTTGTACAAAACAGATCATTAATGCTTACTTTTTTTCTGTCTTTGATTGGAGAGGTTAGTCCATTTACATTTAATGTTATTATTGATATGTAAGAAGTTACTGCCATTTTTTATTTGTTTTCTGATTGTTATGTGGTCTTCTTTTTCTTCTTTCTTTCCTTCTTGTCTTCCTTTTAGTGATCTTCTCTGATTGCATGATTTAATTTCTTGCATCTTATTTTCTGTGTATACATTTTGATTGGAGGTTACCATGAGGCTTGCAAATACTATCTGATAGTATTTTAAACCGATTACAACTTAACACTGATTGCATAAACAACCAAAAAAAAGCAACAAGCAAAACAAAACTAATAAATACTACACATTGCCTTCATCCTTCTGCTTTTTAACTTCTTGTTGTTTCTCTTTATGTCATAGTGTATTGTCTGTGTGTCAAAAAGTTGGTGCACTCATTATTTCGATTAATTCATTGTTTAGTCTTTCTCCTTAAGAGTAGTTAACACACCACAGTTACTGTGTTATTATATTCTGTGTTTTTCTGCGTGCTATTACCAGTGAGTTTTATGACTTCAGATGATTTCTTTTTTGTTTGTTGTTTAATTTCCAAAGGTTTTTGCAGAACAGGTGGTATTTGGTTACATGAGTAAGTTATTTAGTGGATATTAGTGAGATTTTGGTACACCCATCACCTGAGCAGTATACATTGAACCCAATTTGTAGTCTTTTATTCATCATCCCCTTCCTGCCCTTTCCCCTAAAGTCCCCAAAGTCCGTTGTATCATTCTTATGCCTTTTCATCCTCATAGCTTAGCTCCCACTTATGAGTAAGAATGTAGGTTGTTTGGTTTTTCCATACCCTAGTTACTTCACTTAGAATAGTCTCCAGTCCCATCCAGATTGCTGTGAATGCCATTAATTCATCTCTTTGTATGGCTGAGTACCATCCCATCATATATATATATATATACACACACATATATATATATGATGTGTATATATATATGTATGTATATATATGTATGTATATATATGACCTGTTTTGTCTTTTCTTTCAATATTGTCCTAAAATGTCTTTTGTATATATATAAAAAACAGTTTATCTGTTCTTTGATTGATGAGCATTCGAGCTGGTTCCACATTTTTGCAATTGCAAATTGTGCTAGCTATAAACATAGTGTGCAATACCTTTTTTGTATAATGACTTATTTTCCTCTGTATAGATACCCAAGTAGTGAAGTTGCTGAACCAAATGACAGTTCTACTTTTAGTTCTTTAAGGAATCTCCACAGTTTTCCATAGTGGTTATACTAGCTTACATTTGCACCAGCAGTATAAAAGTGTTCCCTTTTCACTGCATTCACACAAACATCTACTATTTTTTTTTTTTTATTATGGCCATTCTTGCAGGAGTAAGGTGATATCGCATTGTGGTTTTGATTTGCATTTCCCTGATCATTTATGATGTTAAACATTTTTTCATATGTTTATTTTGTACATTTTGTATATCTTCTTTTGAGAATTGTCTATTCTTGTCTTTAACCCATTTTTGATGGAGTTGTTTTATTCGTGCTAATTTGATTGAGTTCTTTGTAGATTCTGAATATTAGTTCTTTGCCAGATATATAAATTATAAAGATTTTCTTGCACTCTGTGGGTTGTCTGTTAACTCTGCTGACTGTTCCTTTTGACATGCAAAAGCTCTTTAATTAATCCCCATTAATTATTTGTTTTTACTGCATTTGCTTTTGGGTTCTTGGTCATGAAATATTTGCCTAAGCCAATGTCTAAAAGTATTTTTCCAATGTTATTTTCTAAAATTTGTATAGTTACAGGCCTTAGGTTTAAGTACTTGATCCATCCTGACTTTATTTTTGTGTAAGGCGAGAGAAGAGAATCCAGTTTCATTCTACTACATGTCACTTGCCAATTATCCCAGCACCATTTGTTGAATAGGGTGTCTTTTTCCCACTTTATGTTTTTGTTTGCTTTGTCAATTATAGGTTGGCTATATTTGGCTTTATTTCTGGGTTCTCTATTCTGTTCCATTGGTCTACATGTGTGTTTTTATACCAGTAGAATGCTGTTTTGGTAACTATGGCCTTGTAGTAAGGTTTGAAGTTGAGTAATGTGATGCCTCTAGATTTGTTCTTTTTGCTTAGTCTTGCTTTGGCTCTGTGGGCTCTTTGTTGGTTCCATATGAATTTTATGATTGTTTTTTCTAGCTCTGTCAAGAATGATGATGATATTTTGATGGGTGTTGCACTGAATTTATAGATTGCTTTTGGCAGTATGGTCATTTTATTTTCACAATATTGATTCTACCCATCCATGAGCATGGGATGTGTTTCCATGTGTCACCTATGATTTCTTTTAGCAGTGTTTTGTAGTTTTCCTGGTAGAGGTCTTTCCCCTCCTTGGTTAGGTGTATTCCCAGTATTTTATTTCTTTCACAGCTTTGGCAAAGGGGTTTAGTTCTTGATTTGATTCTCAGCTGGGTCATTGTTTGTATACAGCAGAAGTACTGATTTGTGTACATTAATTTTGTATCCTGAAACTTTGATAAACTCATTTATCAGTTCTAGGAGCTTTTTGGAGGAGCCTTTAGTGTTTTACAGGTATACAATCATATAATCAGCAAGTAGTGACAGTTTGACTTCCTCTTTACCGATTTGGATGCCTTTATTTCTTTCTCTTTTCTGATTGCTTTAGCTAGGACTACCAGTACTACGATGAATAGAAGTGGTGAGAGTGGGCATCCTTGTCTTGTTCAAGTTCTCAGAGGGGATGTTTCAACTTTTGCCCCTTCAGTATTATGTTGGCTGTGGGCTTCTCATAGATGGCTTTTATTACACGGAGGTATGTCCCTTTTATGGTAATTTCAGAGTATTTTAATCATAAAGTGATGTTGCATTTAGTCAAATACTTTCTCTGCATCTATTGAGATAATCATGTGATTTATGTTTCTAATTCTACTTATATGGTGTATCACATTTATTGACTTGCATATGTTAAACCATCCTGCATCCCTGGTATAAAACCCATTTGACCATGGTGAATTACCTTTTTGATATGCTGTTGGATTCAGTTAGCTAGTATTTTGTTGAAGACTTTGCATCTATGTTTATCATGTATATTGGTCTACAGTTTTTGTTGTTGTTGTGGTTATATCCTGTCCTGTTTTTGGTGTTGGGGTGATAATGGCTTCTTAGAATGATTTAGGGAGGATTTTCCTCTTTCTCTACCTTGTGGAGTAGTGTCAGTAAGATTGGTACCAATTCTCCTTTAAATTTCTGATAGAATTCAGCTGTGAATCCATCTGGTCCTGGATTTGTAGTTGTTGTTGGTGGTGGTGCTAATTTTTTTTTTTTTTTTTTTTTTTTACCATTTCAATCTACCGCTTGTTATTGGTCTGTTCTGGGTTTCTAATTCTTCCTGACTTAAGATAAGAGGGTTGTATCTTTTCAGCAATTTATCCATCTCCTCTAACATTGAAGGTAAATAGCCTAAATACTCCACTTAAATGATACAGAATTACAGAATGGCTAACAATTCACCAACCTTGTTTCTGTTGCCTTCAAGAGACTCACCTAACACATAAGGACTCACATAAACTTAAGGTAAAGAGGTGGAAAAAGACATTCCACGCAAATGGACACCAACAGCGAGCAGGAGTAGCTATTTTTGTATCAGACAAAACAAACTTTAAAGCAACAGCATTTAGAAAAAAACCAAGAGGGACATTACATAATGATAAAAGGCCTTGTACAAGAGGAAAATATCACAACTCTAAATACATATGCACCTAACACTGGAGATTACAAATTTATAAAACAATGACTAATAGACCTAAGAAATGAGATTGACAGCAACACAACAATAGTGGGGGACTTTAATACTCCACTAACATCACTAAACATGTCATCAAAACAAAAAGTCAACAAAGAAACAATGAATTTAAACTATACCCTGGGACAAATGGACTTAAAAAATATTTACAGAACTTTCTACCCAACAATCGCAGAGTATACATTCCATTCATCAGCACATGGTAGATCCTCCAAGACAGACCATATTATAGGCCACAAGACAAATCTCATTAAAATTAGGAAAATTCAAATTAGACCAAGCACTCTCTCAGACCACAGCGGAAAAAACTGGAAATCCACTCCAAAAGGAACCTTCAAAACCATGCAAATACATGGAAATTAAATAACCTGCTTCTGAATGATCACTGGATCAACAATGAAATCAGGGTGGAAATTAAAAAATTCTTCAAATTGGATGATAAGAGTGACATAGCCTATCAAAACCTCAGCGTAGCGATACAGCAAAGGCAGTGCCAAGAGAAAAGCTCATAGCCTATCAAAACCTCAGCATAGCGATACAGCAAAGGCAGTGCCAAGAGAAAAGCTCATAGCCTTAAATGCCTACATCAAAAAGTCTGAAAGAGCACAAGTAGACAATCTAAGGTCACAACTCAAGGAACTAAAGAAACAAGAACAAACTAAATCCAAACCCAGCAGAAGAAAGGAAATAACCAAGATCAGAGTGGAACTAAATAAAATTGAAAAAAAAAATACAAAAGATAAATGAAACAAAAATCTGGCTCTTTGAAAAGATAAATAAAATTGATGGCAAGGTTAACCAAGAAAACAAGCGAAAAGAACCAAATAAGCTCAATTAGAAATGAAATGGGAGCTATTACAACTGACACCACAGAAACACAAAAGATCACACAATGCTACTATAAACACATTTACTCACATAACTTCAGATAATTTCTTATTACTCATTAATGTCCTCCCTCTAGCATTTCATGTAGGACAAGTCTTTTGTTGATAAACTCCCTCGGCTTTTGTTTGTCTAGGAAGGCCTTTATTTCTTCTTCATGCTTAAAGGATATTTTCACCAGATATACTATTCTAGGGTAAAAGTGTTTTCTTTCAGCGCTGTTTTTTTTTTATTTTTATTTAGAAAGTGTCTTGCTCTGTTGCCCAGTCTGGAGTGCAGTAGTGTGATCTTGGCTCACTGTAACCTCTGCCTCCCAGGTTGAAGCAATTCTTGTGCCTCAGCCTCCCAAATAGTTGAGACTACAGGCACATACCACGATGCCCAGCTAATCTTTGTATTTTTAGTAGAGATGGGTTTTTGCTATGTTGGCCAGGCTGGTCTCAAACTCCTGACTTCAAGTCATCTGTTCACCTCAGCCTCCCAAAGTGAGGGGATTATAGGTGTGAGCCACTGTGCCCAGCCAAGCACTTTAAATATGTCATGTCACTCTCCTGTCTTGCAAGGTTTCCACTGAAAAGTCTGCTGCCAGATGTATTAGAGCTTCAGTGTATGTTATTTGTTTCTTTTCTCTTGCTGCTTTTAGAATCATTTCTTAATCTTTGACCTTTGGGAATTTAATTATTAAATGCCCTGATGTAGTCTTCTTTGGATTCAGTCTTCTAAGTGCTATACAGCCTCCTTGTACTTAGCTATTGATATCTTTCTCTGGGATTGGGAACTTCTCTGTTATTATCCCTTTGAAGAAACTTTCCACCCCTATCTGTCTCTCTACCTGCTCTTTAGGCCAATAACTCTTAGATTTGCCCTTAGCTATTTTCTAGATCTTGTAATCATGCTTCGTTGTTTTTTATTCTTTTTTCTTTTGTTTCCTCTGACTGTGTATTTGTAAATAGCCTGTCTTCAAGTTCACTAATTCTTTCTTCTGCTTGATTAATTCTGCTATTAAGAGATTTTGATGCATTCTTCAGTATATCAATTGCATTTTCTACTCTAGAATTTCTCCTTAATTTTTTAAAATAATTCCAATCCATTTGTTAAAATTATTGGATAAAATTCTGAATTTCTTCTCTGTATTTTCTTGAATTTGAGTATCCTCAAAACAGCTATTTTGAATATTCTGTCTAAAATTTCATATATCTCTGATTCTGCAGGATTGGTCCCTGGTGACTTATTTAGTTCATTTGTGAGGTCATGTTTTTCTGGATGGCCTTGATGCTTGTAGATATTCTGTTTCTAGGCATTGAATAGTTAGGCATTTATTATAGTCTTCGCAACTTGGCCTTTTTTATGCCTGTCCTTCTTGGGAAAGCTTTCAAGGTATTTGAAGAGACTTGGGCCTAAAACCCAATAATGCTGTGTTTCTTGCAGACTCACAGAGGTACTACCTTGGTGGTCTTGAATTAAATCTGAAAAAATTATCTGGATTACCAGGCATAGACTCTCATTCTTTTCTTTTACTTCCTCCCAAGCAAATTGAGTCTCTCTTTGTCTGTGTTAAGACACCTGGAACTGGGGGTGGGAGGACACAAGCACCTTTGTGGCCACCACCATTGCGACGGTGCTCATTCAGGCCTAAAGCCAGCACAGCACTGGGTCTTGCCCAAAGCCCACTATAACCACTACCTGGCTACCACTAATGTGTACTTATAACACTAGGACTCTTTGATCAGCAGGTAGTAACCAAGCCAGGTTTATTTCCTTCCCTTCATGGGGGTCAGTTCCCCCATCCCCAGATGGGTCCAGCAATACTGTCTGGGAGCCAGGGCTTGGAGTCAAAAGCCTTAGAAATTTATCTGAAGTTCTATTCTACTGTGTCTAAGCAGGCATTCAAACTACAAGACAAAGGCTTTCTCATGCTTCCCCTTTCCTTTCCATAGGCAGAGGAGCCTCGCCTTGGGACCACCAACACTATTGACCCTTGAGGGGTTCTGCCAGGAGACCATCAATGTTCCCTTAAAGCCCAAGGGTTCTTTAGTCAGTTTGTGGTGAATGTTGCCAGGCCTGAAACTCATCCTTCAGGGCAGTGGGCTCTCCTCTGGAGCACAGCAGGTCCAGACATGCTAAGAGCCTAGGCTAGATTTGGGGACTCCAAGAGTCTGGTTGGTGCTCTAGCCTGCTATGGCTGAGCTGGTACCTAATGTGCAGGACAGAATTCCCTTTATTTTTCCTCTGCTTTTCTCAAACAGAAGGAGTCTTTCATGATAGCCACCACAGATGGGAATATGCTAGGTCCCACAACCGGCACGTCTCAGATCCCAGGGGCCATGACAACTTTACTGGGTATTGTTGCTGGTTATTTGGGGTCCAAAGGCTCTTTAGTCAGCAGGTGATGCATCCTGTTCTGACTGGGTCCTCTTCTTCAAGGCAGTGGATTCCTTTTTGGCTCAAGGTATGTCCAGAAATGTCATCCATCAGCTAGGGCCTGAAATGGGAGCCTCATGACTCTGCCCAGTGCCCTATTCTACTGTGGCTGAGCTAGTATCCAAGATGTAAGACACAGTCTTCTACTATTCACTCTCTTCTCAAGCAGAAAGCCAAATTCATTTTCCTTGCTGAGCTGCTGCCTGGGTTTGGGGGAGGGGTGGTGCAACCAGTCCCTTAAATGTCCCATCTGTTGTCTCCCTAGGTCATGTGCCCCGGAGTCCACTGATTCCAATCCCAGTACAGCACTAGGAGTTGCCTAGGAATTACAGCCCTTGTGTCCTAGACTGCCTTTCGAATTTACCTAGGACCCTAGAGCAGTTTGGCCTGCAGTGGTGAGGCCTACTGAAAAATAAGTTCTAAATTCCAGGATGGGCTATTTCTCTCTGGCTAGGTGTGACCCAAATGCTCCCTCTTTGCAGGGTTGCTGGCCTAGCCCAGCACAGCTTTGCTCTCTGCTGTAACAGGACGTCACTCAGTTCAATGTAGTCTCACAATTGGTTTGCTCTCTTTCTCCCAAGGGCACAGATTTCTCTGCGCTGCGCAGCCACTGCCAAGGCATGAAGGAGGGGTTGCACAACACTCCCTTAGCTGCTTCAGCTGGCGTCTCAATAGGTCAGGACACCAACCCCAGTCCACTAGTTTTAGGCCCAGATCAGCACTAGGACTTGGCTTGGAATTGCATTCCTTGTGGCCTACACTGCCCCTCAAGTATACTTAGGGTCCCAAAATGCTTTAGCCTGCAGCACTGAGGCTTGCTGGAACTCAGGCTCCAACCGCAATGGGCGATGCCTCTCTGCCTAGGGCCAGTCCAAATGTGTCCTGTGTGAGTGGGCATCAGCTGGATACAGCATGGTTCTGCTTTCCACTGAGACAGTGCAGCAATGAGTTCAATATAAAGTGCCCCAGTTGCTGCATTCTCCTTCTCTCAAGCAGAGAGATTTGCCACACTGTGCAGCTGTTGCCTGGGGAGGCGTGAAGGGTGGCATCAGCAATTGAAGACTGTGTCTGCTACCCCTTTTAGTTCCTCTTTCAGCTATATGAAGTTAAAACTAGGTACTGTGAGTGCTCAGCTGATTTTTGTTTTTTGTGATGGTGCTTTTTGTCTGCAGTTGTTACAATCTGGTGTTCTTGTGGGGGTACTGGGCAATGTAGACTTCTATTTTGCCATCTTGCTCCACTCCTAGTTCATTGTTTTTATAAAAGGAAAAACACCAGATGCACCTCCCTAAACAACATGTATTATATATAAAAACATAGCATAGTAGCTCATGCCCAGCCTTTATGCCTAATTGAAATGCAGTGGCATCAACATTATTTATGGATATCTATTTCATTTCACTTAGAATTAGAAAAAAAAATTTGGAACAGACTCAGCACAGAATTTTTTTTCTAGAAATATATTGTGTTGAAAAGATATTCTTGACAATGTTTGATCAAAAATTCTTTGCACTGATAAATTGCCCTGACTTTGTGGAGAAACTTCCAGATTTTATAACTTTCTAAAAGTGTTCAAAGGCGAATGTCTCTGGAAGAAGTTACTTATATTCTTTTTCATAGTTCTAAAAAGAACTCAGTTATTTTGAAGAGTTACATCAGAATATAAAGCATTTTATTGTTATTTAAAATGTTTTATTTGCCACCTTTAGGTGGTAATGTAGAATTTCTCAGATCACTATGGGACTGGGCAAAATGAATTTATTTTCATCTACCTTCTTCATAAACTATAAGTGTATATATGCAAATTAAGCCTTGCTAATAGAGTTGCTCAATTAGTTCTCAATGACAGTCCATTGAGCTCATGTTAATGACTAATTACCACTGTAATTCTAATACTTCATCTTTCTATAGAAATATTACCTCCATAATATTTTACTGTGATCTAGATTTATTAAGACAATCTAGATTTCTTCCTAACTTTATCTTCTCAAAATGCACTTTGTACCCATTATCCAGGGTTATTAGCCTGATAGGACATTAGCAGTGATGTGGATACATCTTACTCCTCACATTTTGTATAAGGCTTACTTTGTGATCATAGCACCCCCTTTCTATTATCTTTTTGGGTGAAGACCTAAATAAATAAATGTGTCCTCATCCTAACAAAGCAAACCGTAATGAAAGGAGATTGTTTCAATAAAGTTTTATCTTAAAAAAATCTCAGTTTAACTCCAGGATGATTTAGTTTTCTGATGCCCATCACTAGAACTCCTGTGAATGGTTTCCTATAAAGTCAGTTACTGTTATCATAATTTGTCCTCCAGAGGAGATGAAAAATCACAAAACACAACATCTTTTATAAGAACAATTCTATTGAAATTGGATGCAGGATAAGAATTGAGAGAATGTTATTATTAATAACAATTTAAATTTAGCCATAAATTTTTATACCTGCTCCTAAAATAACAGTTTAATGAAGCTAAATCTTGCCACCATTTACACACAAAATAAAAACAAAAATACTGGTAAACAAATTGCAGTTTATATCCATGAAAAATGTATTTGAAAGTGAAAGTTAGCCTCTCCAATAATTGATTTTCCTTTCAAGTCCCCGTTAGAAATATATCTACGACAGATGTTACTAACTTCCAGGATATAGCTTGTCTACAGATTTATAAAATATTACCAGTTAATCATGACACATATTGTTTATTTTCAAATATTTTTTCTAGTTAAACCCACCATTTATATAACCAATTATATTTGATATTATTTAAAATTTTTGTATTAACACCCCACCAAATCATTTTACATGAGAAATAGAGAAACGTCTGCAATTAGACATCATGTTAATTTTCTCACTGTTTTTTTAAAAAAGTTGGTTTTAAAAAGAAAGTTATCAAAAGTGTAAAGAGAATCCTAATTTAAAAATTATCTTAATTTGGAGATTCCATTATAACTTGAGGAACATTTTTAATTTCTTTATATATTAAAATAAAATAAAATAATTTTAAAATCTATGATTGTTAGTGTTAATGGTTACAATGATTTAAAAATATAAAAATGGAACTGCTTTATTGTCTTTCTACTCCTTCTTTTTCATGGTCTTTCTTCTCCTTCTTCTTTAAACATTATATATTGTAAACCTGGATTTGAGTCCTTTTGCAGAATCTGTTAGTGGATTTTTGTCCCCTTATTTCTGCATGAATTTACTCATTTACTATCACACCAGAATGCCATTCAGGAATAACCTTTCTGGTTCCTGTTTGGAATAATTGAAACAATAACTTTCATTTTTATAGTTCTTTAAAGATCACAAGATGTTTTCACATACATCATGTTTTTATTGTCACTAAAGCTCTGGAGGTATTTATTGCCACATCCTTTTTACAGATAAGAAAGTAGAAACAAAAGAGTTATCTAACATCATACATCCCATAAGTTTTTTTTTAAAAGCCTTTGAGTCAAATCAGTTATTCTGATTTTAAATCTGCAACTGTGCATTTTTCTAAAGGTCTAATTGCAGAGGATGTAAATCTCAGTATTCCTCTTTTTCACTGCATTTTCTTAAAAGTGTAGTTCATTTAAAAATCATTCTCATCATCACCAAGTGAGGGGCTGTGTCTGCTTTGTTCAGCAGACTTCCACTTAAAGGACAAAAAATCACTGCTTACTCGCTAGTAGTAACAATTCAAAACTTCATTTTTTCAAATCTATGAGTGAATTCTTGAGGGTAACTTGATTCCTGAGCAGCTATTGCCATTCAGGAACCAACTGGATATGTGAGACACGTGGAAATTCATCAGGCCTGAAATCTGTGTATGGAAGTTGTTGTTTCTATTACAGTAATTATTATGAGTTTGTTCAGTAATTATTTACAAGATAATTTTTTAAATATCAAGTTTCCTTTTTTGACATTTTGCACATGATATTCCTGTAAATAGTTTGCAATATGGCATTGTAATATTTATGATATGAACACACAACATCTCTTTACAAACAATAATTGCTAAATAAGCAAAATGAGTCCATCTTTCTTCATCTTTACGAGTGTTGTCTACTCTACGTCAGGTACTTTTCTAGGCACCAATAGCAGTGAAAGAGAAAAGAAAAATCCCTGACTTCTTGCAGTGTTTCCTTTAGAAAGAAAAAAGACATAAATACATGTGAGGAAACTCCAACATGAGCAGTCTCTTAGACCAAAGACATACTATTTCTCTTTGTTTTAGTAATCTGAATTGGTCCTAATTGTCATGTGGAATTTTTGAAGATGTGATTTAGCATTATTTCTCATCTTCTCTTGACAGTTTGGCCCAACAAGCTTTCAACTACTGTTTTTTTCCCTCATTATGTCCAAAAGGCTGAGTCACAGCAAATAGTGTTTTGTGATATGTGCCTCATGAATACTGGGACTAGCATCTCAGTGACAACTACTATTCTAGAATATAATGCATACTGTCATACCTTTAGAGATTTCTAACTGAAGCAATTTTACTAACCATTCTTTTATTCCTTTTTTGGGGTGTTACTTTATGTACATTCTATATTTTATTGATATGTAGAGCTCATAGATTATAGGATGCACCATTAGGTTACATACAATGCAGGAAGGAAAAAAAACTGCTCTTAATTAAATTATAACATAATGTTTCTATCTCGATGCACAATCCAGAAAGTGGTCAGACTGCTTTTTTGTTGTTTTGAAATTTCTTTCTTCTGCTTTGTAGAATTTCTCGTGTTTCTAGTTGTATTGTTTGGTGGGTGATATCCTTTTTTGATAACCATCACAAAAATTAAATGTTGTCACCTTTATTGCTATAATTTTTTTTCTTTCTTAGGCTTTAGAAAGCACTTGTTTATGGCTTTACAGGAAAATATAAAATTGCAGATGATCCTCTAATGATAAAAATTTATTTCTCTGCTCTGTTTTCTGCAAACCTAGTAACTAACATTTTTATTGCTGAATTATACTTTAATTTTTAAAGGAAATTGTAATTAGTAATTAAACTCTGATCATATATTGCCAATAGTATACAAAACTCAATTGTAGTAATGAAAATATAAATAAGTCTGCTGCCTAAGCTTGCATGTGCACAAAGATAACTAATTAATGAGGGTCATTGCCTAAATACAGCTTTAAGTAACATTGGTATCAGACACATCCTATTGGTAATATGTGGAAGAAAAAAATATGTGTTATAAATGTCATAGCAGTGCTAAAATGTGATAGTATAACTCTGGATATTCTGTAAGTATACACTAGTACAATAGTACTGATTGGTAAAATATTAAAATAATTCTACACTAGTTGCTATGTAGCTCCTTTCCCTGAGCTTCCCATGTGATCCCACTCTATTGCCCACATAAACCATCCCCTAGGAATTCAGATCCTGGTTGAAAGGTAAAATGTGACTCAGTATAATCCTCCCAAGACCCTGTTTCAGTGGTATGGCTGCTATTTAAATTAATATTAAACCTAAATTTAATTATTTTTACTACATTAATAATAAACTTTTAAGCTCTGTCTTCTATATTCAGGATCATCATAGTTTCTTTCAACATTTTTGTATCTTTTCATAGCTCTATGTCAGTAATTTTCACGTGCACATAAATGATCATAAACTTAGTCTAAATAAACATGTGGTCTCAATGCATTAGCATTTACATTAGACAAATCTACATGATAATGTACTGAGAAAAAGTATAGATTGTTTGTATCATCCGTATTATGTATGAAACACAATTCTGCTATTTATTGCAGAAAACTGCCAACATTTCAAAATCATGTTGCCTTATCTACAAGAAGTATAATACTCTTAATATCAGAATGTGACATGATTTTTGACCTATGTAAACATCAGATATTTTTATTTTTTATTAGGTTCTTTTGTTTATGCAGCAATCACAATATTTAAGCTGATTACTGAACCTTCTGAATTTCATATTTCTTATCTGTAAAAATTATTTGTAACCTACAGGGTTGTTTCGAACAGTTTCTGAAATAAGTGTGTCAAAATATTAAATAATGGAGCATAAAAATTGTTCAATATTCCTTTTATATAACACATAGAGAATTAAAGTGGTTGCTATGATTTTTAAATACCATATATTCACCACAAGTGTCTTGATTATCATTCTTATTTTCCAGGTGCGTAGAATTTCCAGGAATCTTTGTGTTTTAGAATTGGCTCTTGCTTTGGAAGTTAAAATATAAGTTTAATAGAAAAAGAAGACAAAAAAAGAAAGAAAATAGAAATATAAAACATGTAGGTAAGATAATGAATAGAGATTGAGAAGTACAAATTGTGATGTTGAGGTTAAATAAATGTCTTATTTATTTATTTTTGAAAAATAAAGATGACAAAGCTATTGAATAGAGAAAGAAATGCCTTTTCCACATATGGTCCTGAAAGAGATGATTAGTTATACACAGGAAGAAAAATAAACCTCAACCTTTACCTCAAGCAATACACAAAAATGAACTACATATGGATAATATACTCAGATACAATTGGTGACACTGTAAATCTTCAAACATATAAAAAATCTTTCCTTTTTGACCTTGGAACAAAAAACAACATTCTTATAAAGAACAAATAAAACACCAATGATTAAAAAAGTATAAACTACATAACATTTTAAAAACTTCTGCTCATCAAAATATACAGCTAAGAAAATAGACTGGCAAGCCATTGACTAGGAGAAAATATTTTCAACAGCATAAATGACAATGGATTTATATTCATAATATACAAATAATTTCTAAAATCAATAATAAAGTAATAAGTAACCGAATGAAACAGGGATAAAAGACTTACATACTTTATGAAGGAAGATAAGAAAATTCAATTCTGAATTACTAAGCATTGATACAGAAGAAATAAAAACATATGTCTATGTTGTACACTTGTAAACAAATGTTTTTAGGGATTTTATTCCTAAAAGTCAAATATCATAAATAAGCTCAATATCTGTCAAACTGATGAATGAATGAATAATTCTTGGTTCATGTTTTGTAATGTTATATTACTCAGAAATAAATGGAAAAAACTTCTGATACACAAAATGAATGAATAAATCTCAAAAGTTTGCTGAGAGAAAAGAGCCAGACACAAGAGAAGCCATATATTTTTTATAACTTTGGAATCGAAAAATCTATATGATAGGATAATTCTGTAACAGAATCAGATCTACATCATTATACAGTCTATGTTGGGTGGGGAGATTAGGGATTGATTTGGGATAGGCATACAGCAACTTTATTGGTTAATTGTAATTGTCTATGTCTAGATCAGTGTATGGATTACATAAATTTATATTATTGTCAAAACACACCAAACTGGAATGCTTAAGATCTGTACAGCATGTAATTTGTGCTTCTATTAAAAACTAAAAGGCAAAAAGATAAATAAAAGCTCTTATTCTCTGCTTGTAAATACTCAAGAATATATTTACATGATTTAAGTGGCCATTTGAATTGTTTTTTATTGCCACTGTGCATTAACTACATATGGAAAAAATGTAATATGTATGCATGACTAACATTAAAACTATTTATTAGTAATATGATAAATCTTGAATCTTTACAAAATTACACTTTGGGAATTTACCATTAATATTAATATCCTTAATAATTTAAAATTCTGGAAAGTAGATAATGCTGTAGTGTTTCTACATTTCTCCATTTGTTTTCATTTTACTTGCATATCACTTTCTGAAAATAAGCCATAAAGGCATGGCATTGTAGTTTATATACCTACATACATTAGAAATTTGGTTAGAAATAATTTACTTTTTTCTCTTTGTTATTGAAAAGGTAACTTTTTCTAAAAATGTATATTAAGATTTCTGATATTTTAATAGTTAAAAAGATGGTTACTGTTTCTAATCATATTTTTACAAAATTCTTCTTTTATTTACTTAGCACAGTCAGCTCATGTTCATCTTCAAAAAGTAGTACATTATACTTTTAAATGAAAATATTATTTTCCATGACTCACTAAAGTAGTGTTATTGTGTTTTAACCATGAATTTACACTTTTAAGAACCTGCAACTGGAAAACTATTCAAATTGTCTCAGACTCTGAGACAGTCCACAGCTAGTTAGTTATTTCCAGTCTGTTTTATGGGAAACAGAGTATCTATCAAGAAGAAAAAAGAGATAGAGGCAGTTTGATATGATATTTGGAATACTTTGGTAGTTAAATATATTAAAACAGGGATTGTTGTTACTAATTTCAAAACATCTGAATTCCTACAAATCACTTTTGGAAAAGCTGAGTTACTTTCTTTGAAGAAACTTTTCTTTTTTTTTATTTATTATTATTTTTTTATTTTAATTCTTAATTTTACTTTATTTTATTTTTTTATTTTTTTATTTTTTTTTAAATGCCAAATCCCACTTTTAATGATAAGTAGAACAACAAGGCGGAATATCAACAAGGAAACACATGAGGTGAACAACACTGTAAACAATCTGCCTAACAGATAAAGAACACTCCACCCAACAGTAGAAAGAATCCCAGATTCTTCTCCAAGATTCTTGTCCAGGGCACATGGCACATTCTCCCGGATAAAATGTGTATAAGGCCATTATGCAAGCCTCAAGGAATTTTACAAAGATTAAAATCATACACATTACTTTCTCTGACTAAAATGAAATGAAATTAGAAGTCAATGACAGAAGGAAATTTGTGAAGTTCACGAATACATAAAAATTAAACAGCACATTCCTAAATAGTCAATGAGTCAAAGAAGAAATCACTGGGGAAATTATAACAATTTTTGAGATTGATGAAAACAAAAATACACACCCAATCTCATGGGATAAAACTAAAGCAATGCTCAAAATAAAAATAAAGGCTCTCAATACCAGTATTTAAAAAAGATGACCCCAGATCAATAACTGAACATTCCACCATACCAAACATTAAGGAAAATAAAGTAAAACCCAAGTGCAACATAAAGAGAAAATAATAAATGTCAGAGGAGAAATAAATGAAATAGAGAATAGAAAAATATGAGAGAAAGTCAGTGAAACCAAAAGCAACAAAACTAACAAAACCTAAGCTATATTGACCAAGGAAAACAAGAGAAAAGACTAAAATGATTAAAATCAGGAATGAAACAGGGGATATTACTTGACCTTAGAATAATAAATAGGACAATATAATAAACTTTTCCAATAAATTAAATCTGAGTTTGAGTAACATTGTGTATACATTGGTTTTGTGATGAATACACTAATGAATGTCTACATTTTGTTGGTGTTGCAGAAGATAAGACATCTGAAACTTAGACTTTAAAAGAAGAAGAAATATTTTCCTCATTTTAGCTATTTCCATTCCTGTGCTAACTCCATTCTTATTTTGAGTCACACTTTTGATTCAATACATTGCGTTTTGTGATTCAAAATAGGGTTGCTTTCAAGTTTCCTAAATTGCTAGAGTTCATACCTTATTTTTTGATTCCATAAATCTCCTCGAAAGAGTTATAAAGATTATGTGTTTTTTTAAAGTATAGTAAGTTAAATTTAATTTTAAAATATTTCAAACATTATTATGTTCCTTGAAAGAATTTAAAACAGATTAGCTTTTGATGGATTCTGTTGAGAAGACCTGAAAAACAATACAGGATAAAAAACAAAGATTATAAAACTGAGAATGTCAATTCATTACACATGGAAAATTTTCCATTTGTTTGTTTGGAGATGTTACAACTGAACGTGGTATTTCTCTATAAACAGTGCTGATCATCTCAAGCTGTAAAAAAACAAACACCAAGGGAGGTTCCAAGATGGCCGAATAGGAACAGCTCCAGTCTACAGCGCCCAGAGTGAGCGACTCAGAAGACGGGTGATTTCTGCATTTCCAAATGAGTTACCGGGTTCGTCTCACTGGGGCTTGTCAGACGGTGGGTGCAGGACAGTGGGTGCAGCCCACGGACCCAGAGCCGAAGCAGGGCAAAACATCGCCTCATCTGGGAAGTGCAAGGGATCGGAGAATTCCCTTTCCTAGCCAAGGGAAGCCATGACAGACAGCCTTTGGAAAATCAGGACACTCTTACCCTAATACTGCAGTTTTCCAATGGTCTTAGCAAACAGCACACCAGGAGATTATATCCCTCGCCTGGCTCCGAGGGTCCCATGCCAACAGAGCCTTGCTCACTGCTAGCACAGCAGTCTGAGATCAAACTGCAAGGCAACAGCGAGGCTGGGGGAGGGTCGCCCACCATTGCTGAGGCTTGCAGTCAGGAAGCTTGAACTGGGCAAAGCCCACCACAGCTCAAGGAGGCCTGCCTGCCTCTGTAGACTCCACCTCTGGGGGCAGGGCATAGCTGAACAAAAGGCAGCAGAAACTTCTGCAGACATAAACATACCTGTCTGAAAGCTTTGAAGAGAGTAGTGGTTCTCCCATCACGGAGTTTGAGATCCGAGAACAGACAGACTGCCTCCTTGAGTGGGTCCCTGACCCCCGAGTAGCCTAACTGGGAGCCACCTCCCAATAGGGGCCGACTGACACCTCATACTGCTGGGTGCCCTCTGAGACAAAGCTTCCAGAGGAACGATCAAGCAGCAACATTTGCCATTCTGCAATATTTTTGGTACTGTAGCCTCCGCTGGTGATACCTAGGCAAACAGGGTCTGGAGTGGACCTCCAGCAAACTCCAACAGACCTGCAGCTGGGGGTCCTGACTGTTAGAAGGAAAACTAACAAACAGAAAGGACATCCACACCAAAACCCCATCTGTACACCACCATCATCACAGACCAAAGGTAGATAAAACCACAAAGATGGGGAGAAACAAGAGCAGAAAAGCTGAAAATTTTAAAAATCAGAGTGCCTCTTCTCCTCCAAAGGAAGATAGCTCTTTGCCAGCAACAGAACAAAGCTGGATGGAGAATGACTTTGACGAGTTGAGAGAAGAAGGCTTCAGAAGATCAGTAAACACAAACATCTCCAAGCTAAAAGACGATGTTCAGACCCTTCACAAACAAGCTAAACACCTTGAAAAAAGAGTGGAAGAAGGGCTAACTAGAATAAACAGCATAGAGAAGACCTTAAATGACCTGATGGAGCTGAAAACCATAGAACAAGAACTACGTGATGCATGCACAAGCTTCAGTAGCTGGTTCGATCAACTGGAAGAAAGGGTATCCATGATTGAAGATCAAACGAATGAAATGAAGCAAGAAGAGAAGGTTAGAGAAAAAAAGAGTAAAAATAAATGAACAAAGCCTCCAAGAAATATGGGACTATGTGAAAAGACCAAATCTACATCTGATTGGTGTAGCTGAAAGTGATGGGGAGAATGGAACCAAGTTGGAAAACACTCTTCAGGATATTATCCAGGAGAACTTCCCCAACCTAGCAAGGCAGGCCAAGAAGAATGCCACAAAGGTACTCCCTGAGAAGAGCAACTCCAAGATACATAATTGTCAGATTCACCAAAGTTGAAATGAAGGCAAAAATGTTAAGAGCAGCCAGAGAGAATGGTCGGGTTACCCACAAAGGGAAGCCCGTCAGACTAACAGCGGATCTCTCAGCAGAAACTCTACAAGCCAGAAGAGAATAGGGGCCAATATTCAACATTCTTTATATATATATATTTACTATACTCTAAGTTCTAGGGTACACGTGAACAACGTGCAGATTTGTTACATATGTATATATGTGCCATGATGGTGTGCTGCACCCATTAACTCATCATTTACATTAGGTATATTTCCTAATGCTATCCCTTCCCCTTCCCCCTTCCCCCCACCCCACAACAGGCCCCGGTGTGTGATGTTTCCCTTCCTGTGTCCAAGTGTTCTCATTGTTCAATTCCCACCTATGAGAGAGAACACGAGATGTTTGGTTTTTTGTCCTTGCGATAGTTTGCTGAGAATGATGGTTTCTAGCTTCATCCATGTCTCTACAAAGGACATGAACTTATCCTTTTTTACAGCTGCATAGTATGCCATGGTGTATATATGCCACATTTTCTTAATCCAGTCTATCATTGTTGGACATCTGGGTTGGTTCCATGTCTTTGCTATTGTGACTAGTGCTGCAATAAACATACGTGTGTATGTATCTTTATAGCAGCATGATTTATATTCCTTTGGGTATATACTCAGTAATGGGATGGCTGAGTCAAATGGTGTTTCTAGTACTAGATCCCTGAAGAAAATAAGTTTCAACCCAGAATATCATATCCAGCCAAACAAAGTTTTATAAGTGAAGGAGAAATAAAATCCTTTCCAGACAAGCAAATGCTGAGAGATTTTGCCACCACCAGGCCTGCCTTACAAGAGCTCCTGAAGGAAGCACTAAACATGGAAAGGAACAAACAGTACCAGCCACTGCAAAAACATGCCAAATTGTAAAGACCATTGATGCCAGGAAGAAACTGCCTCAACTAATGAGCAAAATAACCAGCTAACATCATAATGACAGGATCAAATTCACACATAACAATATTAACCTTAAATGTAAATGAGCTAAATTCTCCAATTAAAAGACACAGACTGGCAAATTGGATGAAGAATCAAGACCCATCAGTGTGCTGTATTCAGGAGACCCATCTCATGTGCTGAGACACACATAGGCTCAAAATAAAGGGATGGAGGAAGATCTACCAAGCAAATGGAAATAAAAAAAAGCAGGGATTGCAATCCTAGTCTCTGATAAAACAGTCTTTAAACCAACAAAGATCAGAAGAGACAAAGAAGTCCATTACATAATGGTAAAGGGATCAATTCAACAAGAAGAGTTAACTATCCAAAATATATATGCACCCAATACAGGAGCACCCAGATTCATAAAGCAAGTCCTTAGAGACCTACAAAGAGACTTAGACTCCCACACAATAATAATGCAAGACTTAAACACCCAACTGTCAACATCAGACAGATTAATGAGACAGAAAGGTAACAAGGATATCCAGGAATTGAACTCAGCTCTGCACCAAGCGGACCTAATAGACATCTACAAAACTCTCCACCCCAAATCAACAGAATATACATTCCTCTCAGCACCACACTGCACTTTTCCAAAATTGACCACATAGTTGGAAGTAAAGCACTCCTCAGCAAATGTAAAAGAACAGAAATTATAACAAACTGTCTCTCAGACCACAGTGCAATCAAACTAGATGTCAGGATTAAGAAACTCACTCAAAACCGCTCAACTACATGGAAGCTGAACAACCTGCTCCTGAATGACTATTGGGTACATAATGAAATGAAGGCAGAAATAAAGATGTTCTTTGAAACCAATGAGAACAAAGACAAAACATACCAGAATCGCTGGGACACATTTAAAGCAGTGTGTAGAGGGAAATTTACAGCACTAAATGCCCACAAAAGAAAGCAGGAAAGATCTAAAATTGATACCCTAACATCATAATTAAAAGAACTAGAGAAGCAAGAGCAAACACATTCAAAAGCTAGCAGAAGGCAAGAAATAACTAAGATCAAAGCAGAATTGAAGGAGATAGAGACACAGAATCCCTTCAAAAAAATCAATGAATCCAGGAGCTGGTTTTTTGAAAAGATCAACAATATTGATAGACTGCTAGGAAGACTAATAAAGAAGGAAAGAGATAAGAATCAAATAGACTGCTAGGAAGACTAATAAAGAAGGAAAGAGAGAAGAATCAAATAGACTCAATAAAAAATGATAAAGGGAGTATCACCACCGATCCCACAGAGATACAAACTACCATCAGAGAATACTATAAACGCCTCTACACAAATAAACCAGAAAATCTAGAAGCGATGGATAAATTCCCGGACATTTACACCCTCCCAAGACTAAACCAGTAAGAAGTTGAATCCCTGAATAGACAAATAACAGGCCCTGAATTGAGGTGATAGTTAAGAGCCTACCAACCAAAAAAATTCCAGGACCAGACAGATTCACAGCTGAATTCTACCAGAGGTACAAGGAGAAGTTGGTACCATTCCTTCTGAAACTATTCCAATCAATAGAAAAAGAGGGAATAATCCCTAACTCATTTTATGAGGCCAGCATCATTCTAATACCAAAGCCTGGCAGAGACACAACAGAAAAAGAGAATTTTAGACCAATATCCCTGATGAACATCGATGCAAAAATCCTCAATAAAGTACTGGCAAACCGAATCCAGCAGCACATCAAAAAGCTTATCCACCATGACCAAGTGGGCTTCATCCCTGGGATGCAAGGCAGGTTCAACATACACATATCAATAAACGTAATCCATCATATAAACAGAATGACAGACAAAAACCACATGATTATCTCAATAAATGCAGAAAAGGTAAATTCAACAGCCCTTCATGCTAAAAACTCTCAATAAATTAGGTATTGATGGGACGTATCTCAAAATAATAAGAGCTATTTATGACAAACCCACAGCCAGTATCATACTGAATGGGCAAAAACTGGAAGCATTCCCTTTGAAAACTGGCACAAGACAGGGATGCCCTGTCTCACCACTCCTATTCAACATAGTGCTGGAAGTTCTGGCCAGGGCATTCAGGCAGGAGAAATAAATAAAGGGTATTCAATTAGGAAAAGAGGAAGTCAAATTGTCCCTGTTTGCAGATGACATGATTGTATATTTAGAAAACCCCATTGTCTCAGCCAAAAATCTCCTTAAGCTGGTAAGCAACTTCAGCAAAGTCTCAGGATACAAAATCAATGTGCAAAAATCACAAGCATTCTTATACACCAATAACAGACAAACAAAGAGCCAAATCATGAGTGAACTCTCATTCACAATTGCTTCAAAGAGAATAAAATACCTAGGAATCCAACTTACAAGGGATGTGAAGGAACTCTTCAAGGAGAATTACAAACCACTGCTCAATGAAATAAAAGAGGACACAAACTAATGGAAGAACATTCCATTCTCATGGGTAGGAAGAATCAATATTGTGAAAATGGCCATAGTGCCCAAGGTAATTTATAAATTCAATGCCATCCCCATCAAGCTACCAATGACTTTCTTCACAGAATTGGAAAAAACTCCTTTAAAGTTCATATGGAACCAAAAAAGAGCCTGCATTGCCAAGATAATCCTAAGCTAAAAGAACAAAGCTGGAGCCATCACACTAACTGACTTCAAACTATACTACAAGTCTACAATAACCAAAACAGAATGGTACTGGTACCAAAACAGAGATATAGACCAATGGAACAGAACAGAGCCCTCAGAAATAATACCACACATCTACAACAATCTGATCTTTGGCAAACCTGACAAAAACAACAAATGGGGAAAGGATTCCTTATTTAATAAATGGTGCTGGGAAAACTGGCTAGCGATATGTAGAAAGCTGAAACTGAATCTCTTCCTTACACCTTATGCAAAAATTAATTCGAGATGGATTAAAGACTTAAACGTCAGACCTAAAACCATAAAAACCCTAGAATAAAACCTATGCAATACCATTCAGGACATAGGCATGGGCAAGGACTTCATGTCTAAAACACCAAAAGCAACGGCAACAAAAGACAGAATTGACAAATGGGATCTAATTAAACTAAAGAGCTTCTGCACAGCAAAAGAAACTACCATCAGACTGAACAGGCAACCTACAGAATGGAAGAAATTTTTTGCAATCTACTCATCTGACAAAGGGCTAATATCCAGAATCTACAAAGAACTTAAACAAATTTACAAGAAAAAATCAAACAACCCCATCAAAAAAGGGGTGAAGGATATGAACAGACACTTCTCAAAAGAAGACACTTATGCAGCCAACTGGCACATGAAAAAATGCTCATTATCACTGGCCATCAGAGAAATGCAAATCAAAACCACAATGAGATGCCATCTCACACCAGTTAGAATGGCCATCATTAAAAAGTCAGGAAACAACAGGTGCTGGAGAGGATGTGGAGAAATAGGAACACTTTTACACTGTTGGTGGGACTGTAAACTAGTTCAACCATTGTGGAAGACAGTGTGGCGATTACCCAGGGATCTAGAACTAGAAATACCATTTGACCCAGCCAGCCCATTACTGGGTATATACCAAAGGAATATAAATCATGCTGCTATAAAGACACATGCACATGTATGTTCATTGTGGCACTACTCACAATAGCAAAGACTTGGAACCAACCCAAATGTCCAACAATGATAGGCTGAATTAAGAAAATGTGGCACATATACACCATGGAATACTATGCAGCCATAAAAAATGATGAGTTCATGTCCTTTGTAGGGACATGGATGAAGATGGAAACCATCATTCTCAGCAAACTATTGCAAGGACAAAAAACCAAACACCTCATGTTCTCTCTCATAGGTGGGAATTGAACAATGAGAACACTTGGACACAGGAAGGGGAACATCACACAATGGGGCCTGTTGTGGAATGGGGGCAGGGGGTAGTGATAGCATTAGGAGATATACCTAATGTAAATGACGAGTTAATGGATGCAGCACACCAACATGGCACACGTATACATATGTAACAAACCTGCATGTTGTGCACATGTACCCTAGAACTTAAAGTATAATAAAAAATAAATAAACAAAACACTCTTGAACCTGGGAGGCGGAGATTGCAGGGAGCCAAGATCATGCCACTGCACTCCAGCCTGAGCAACAGAGGGAGACTCCATCCAAAAAAAAAAAAAAAAAAAAAAACCACAAGGCATAAACAGGAAGTTGCTGCATTGGACATTTTCCATATCAGTCTTTCTTTTTTCTACCTAATAAACTGATTAAACATTAAGAGAGAAAGAGGCGTTGAGGGAGAGAGAGAGAGATGCCAAAATAAAGAAGAACCAGTTATCTGTTACCATATATTTTTGCTTAATACTTCACTCTTGTGCAATTTATCATCAGTACTACTATTTATACTTGAAAATGTAGGTTTTTAAAACATGGCAAATATTTGTCTTTTTATGTCTATACTATTATTTAAAATTAATATATCACAGTATTCAAAGTACTATGCAGATGATAGTCACACATGCACAGACTTTACACTTTGCTGCTTCAAAGTGTAAAGTCTATATTTGTAAGTTTAAATATTCTCAGATAAGACCACTGTTTCACAAATTTCAGTAACCTCTGAGTCTATCTTTGGCACTAATATTTTCAACAATGTTAGCCTCAAAGGCTGAGTATACACATAAGAGATTTCTTGTTTTGGACAGCCTGTTATGGATCAACCATCCATGAAATTACCCAGCCCTTTTAAAATCAGCTTATACTTTCAGATTATGCTACTATTTTGGAGTAACTCATTCTCTGTATCATCTGTACATGTTCATGCTGACACAGCATGCCAAACAATATTATCTAGAATGAATTTCAATGTAGAACTTCTCAATATTTTTTTTCTTTTCAGTATCCCCCTCACAGCAAGAGCAAGCATGGCTGGATTCCAGAAATCACAACATTTATTCATTTAATTTGTAAACAGAAAATTGTTGAACCTTTCTGTTTCTTAAGAGTTAGGTGGGTTTTCTTCAAAGGACTAAAATGCTTACAATGTCTGAAGTATTTCCTGGTAGTTACAAAACCTATTGAATCTTCAAGTATCTGTTGCACTAACAGGTTGAGGTAGTGCACCACAGTCATGATCATTTTGTTCTGAACTGTACCATGTTTCTTATTATCAAAGCTTGTGGATATTAGGAACAAAAAGCTCTTCCTATGGGTAAGCCCAGTTTTTTTACTTGGCGGAATACTAAGAAAATGATAATTCTTGTTATTTTTTAAATCTTTATTGAAATGGATAAGACACTGTGCAAAGTGGCATCATAGGCTAATTGAGAAATAATGCAGAATAATTTTTTCCTTTGTTTTCTCTCTTAAAAAGAACTGTTAGTATTGAATTAGCACAGTCCTATGAGTTCACCATATATTTTATATATAAAAATTGGAGAAAAATTCAAGTTATGTTAACGTAAATTTTGTCATTTTAAACCTCAATTTGCAATTAGGAAGAGGTAAGCAAATTCAATGAAGATAAACTATTCTTAACTTCCTTTTTGTATAGAATGATTGGCTTTGAGATAAACAATTAAAACTCTGCCATCTCATTTCAATAAATGCAAATATTTCAAGTTTATTATATTTAAGTATTCTTGAGTCATTATTTCTTATGTTTTACACTTGTATGAATTACTGTTTCTCTTTTGCATAACATTTGCTCAAATCTGCAATTATCAAAAATGCCAAATCCCATTGCATTTTCTATCTAGTTTACTGCAAAGTTTACATGATGATAATTTTAATATAATGTGGACTGACTTTACTTGAAAAATAAAGAATAACATTTCCATTTTTTTTCATTTTATAGCTTCTTTGAGTGTAGAATCAAGAAATTATGCCTTAATATGATACTAGATTTCTGGTTCTGTATCCTAAACATTTCATGTAACTTTTATATATTTTATTCTCATCCATTCTTGCCATTCTTCATTCTTACTACTAACTCATTATGCAATCTAATAATATCTTAAACACATACTATGCAAATATATTTGCAACTTGTGTTTTGAAATACCATTTTTCTATTACTTCTAGCCATGGGAACTTTTTGAGAACAGAAGCTCTCATTTTAATCTTCTTGATTCTCAAGCCATAAGAGAGGATCTGACATAGATGCAGTGCACAATAAGAATTTGTGAAAAGAGAATTTTAACTGAATATACATCTTTTAAAGGCCTCTGATGAATGTTACTATAAATTTATAAAGGTAATGCATTTATCTTAAAGTATAAATAACATGAAGCCTATTCACATTTATTTGTGTTATATTCTCAAGTAACACAGCAGTAATTCCTACTTATTTGTATTTGTATTATTTGTATTATTCCTATTTATTTGTGTTTATTTGTATGTAGTTGCTGAAAGTTGCTGCTCTTTAATATCCTATTGATAAAATATGGAAATAGAAATGTTTTATTGTTCTTTAAAACACCGTTTTCAGAATAATTTTTCACAGTGTTCTTAGGGTTAAAATTCTGTGACAATTTTTTGAAATAACTAATAATAAAATAATGTAAACATTTACTGTGTATGTCTGCCAATGAAAGTCTTTCATATAGTTGTAACTCAATAAAATTCAAACAGAATTAACCCATTTTATCATTTGTAAAATATCTTAGAAATTTCAAATTATTAGATATGTCATACTAATGCTCTTTCATGTGTGGCTGCTTAACCTTTGCCTCATATAGTAGCTAAGATTGTTCAATGTGAAGAGAACTATTTCCCACTCCTAAGGACCACAAACCAAAGTTTGCCTTGAGGCGACGCAAAATTTTAATTCATTTATTCCAAATTATAAAGTTTAGTGATGAGAATAAGAGTAAGAAAAAGGGAAAGAGCAATTAAAATTCAAGATATATGTATTAATGTATGTAATAGAGAAGGTAGATTAGTAAGATGATCTCTCAGGAGAGGAGAGAAGAGATAATAAATAGAAAGGATAAATGTAAAACAAAAACAGAGAGGTACATTAAGTGCAGCCAAGACCATGGCATATTGTTTTTACGAACATAGGTATCCTGGGACAACTCAGAAAATAAGAAAATAAAAGACTAACACAGACAATATATTGAGAGACATATTCAATCACATTCAGAAATGTGTTATTTGAATTGATTGTATATCTATGTTTGAAGGAAATGTGTGTGTGTGTGTGTGTGTGTGTGTGTGTGTGTGTCTGTGTGTCTGTGTGTAGCTTTCTTGTGTTTCATTCCCTCTCCAAACTCTAGTGGTAAATTTAAAATAAAAATACATAAGGAAAACTGAAGTTCAGAAGAATAAAGAGTTCCATTTTCCTGAATGTAAATAAGTATTTTTGGTTCACTAGAGTACTATTTTTATTTAAAAGTTTCTGAAAATTGAATGTCATTCTTTTGCCTTCTATGTGGCTATTTTATATGAGCAGGAACATATTTGTTTTGCTAATCATAGATCCAAACTACTCTCACTGCATATTTAGACAATATCAAAGTACTAAGTAAATTTTTCTAACTCTTAATCTAAAATATTTAAATCTTTCTAATTCAGAGATGCATTCATTTTCTCTATAAAGTTAATCATTGTATATCATTTCTATTCTTTCCTTCCATCCTTCCTATAAAGTTAATCATTATATATCATTTCTCTTCTTTCCTTCCTTCCTTCCTTCCTTCCTTCCTTCCTTCCTTCCTTCCTTCCACAAATAAGTATTGAGGATCTGCATGATCCTTGGACCTTATAGCATAATGGGAGACAGAGACAATATAAAAATAGATGAACCATTTACACAGGAGATATGAATTTCACAGTTAAAAAAAACTCAAATGAGCAAGATATAACTTTAAGAAATAATTCTCTATGAATAAACTTAGTTTCTACTTTGATTCTCAATTCTGACTATGGTATAAAATCTATTGTTTTGCTTGTACCTTAGCCTCATAATTCTAGTAAAATTACCAGTTTCAATCACACTGAAGATTTTGCACCTCATTCCTTCACCTTTGATGACTTGAATTTAGAGGACTCTGTATCATCATGGTATCAGGTAAAAACTGCCATTTTTGTACCTGTTGGATTCACTGGCATGCATGCAATCCCTCTCCATGTAGAACATAATATTCTTTGTTTTCAGCTGAGATGGTGAAATCCACATCCTATCAGAGGTGGATGACCAGACATACTGTATTTTGACTATAACTATATTCATCTTTGCAATGGGATACTACCAACATCAGCATGATTTAGCAGACAATTATGCAGAATATTGCACATGTCAATTGTGGAATATAGGCCTTACTCTGCACCACAAAATATGAGAGCAACTGCATGTCTTACACATGGTTCCTGACAAAAAATAAAATGTAATTCTCCCAATAAGGGGGGATCTGATAGCAGGTACTTGCTTAAACAGAATTATATTTCAAGAGCCAATGAAGACATTTTTTGAAACTTCAAACTACGAGAAAGAGAGTTTCTCTATTCATGTTAAAGTCCTAAATAAAGCAAGAGCCTCTTAAGCGGTGTAGGTAGTGGTAATCAAGAAATAACAGAAAATGCATTTCATGTATTGACCTGAGATCAGATCATATCCTTCAAGCAAAAAATCCTATGAATAAAAACTAATTTTTGTGGAGGATAGTTTTATTTGTACGTTCAAAAAATGATTTCCTTAAACTATGCAAAACTTCCATGTTAGTGTTTTCTGTTGGCGTATAATTTGAGGTTTACTATTTTCACTATGTTTTTAAATCATAGTCAAGAGAATGACAGTGAGAATAAAGAGCTCATATTTTGCATTCAATTTGACTTTCATAAATGTAAAGTTTCGCACATGCTTTCCTGCTTCTAATGTTTCCCAATATTCCAGGTGCTCAACATGGTATTTGCATAGTAAGAAAGGAGAGCAAAAGAAGACATAGAGATAAGTCAAAAGTTTTAAATTTATATGATGCCTTATGGAACCCAATAGACCAGAAATGTAGTCATGACAAATTTCTCATTTGTACCTGAAGAAAACATTTCTGAATCCATAAACTGAGAACAGGCTAACCGTATAAGTTGTACACGTGGTTGTTAGTCCAATACATGAGAATATTGGCTTTATAAACTGTGATCTGATGATAAGTATTCTCAAATAATTAATTTCATGTGTATTAAGTCTTTACAACCAGTATGAATTGGTTGAATTACACAAAATTTATTCTTTCTCAATCTATTACTCATTTTTGACAGCACTAATTTTTAGTTAAGACAGATGATTTGTAACAGCAATCTGAGTCAATATTGTAACATTCTGAGGGAGCATGATATTTCACATAAAAAATAAGCACAGGTCATATTTAGTAATTAAGCATATTTGTATTGTCTAGAATTGCTTGGCATAGGGTTAATAATGCGGTAATCTTACATGTTCTGATAATTCCTTGGAAATTTGAAAGGAAGTGGCATTTAATAAATTTGACATTTTTGCAACTTTGGAGGAGTTGGGATAACTTTACCAGCTAAAGTAGACAAACCGTGAATCAGATGCAGAAAGGCAGATTAGCTTCAAACAAGCATGTGAGTCTGACCATAAGTTTGAAGCCAAGTCATGTGAAAGATTAAGCAGAAGAGAGAAGATATATTCTAATTTATGTTGGTACTTAAACATTTTTGTAAGACAAAGCGAGATAAAAACGTTTTGTTTTGTTGGCTGATGGCTTTGAATATTCCAGGGCAAAAAGACAATGACTTAATGTAAGAATTGTTTTCAGCCTTATTGAGGATTAATAGACAAAAATTGTATATATTTAGGGTATATAACTTACTGTTCTGATGTTTTATTTTTAACTTTAAAAATAGTTTAAAATTTTTGCTTTTATGAGACACATAATGGAATATGTGCAGGTAAATAACTTTGGATCGTATTTTATAGGATAAGCTGGGTTAAGTAACTAAAATAATGCCCTTAAATAAACTTATAGGGCAGTATAATTAAACATTTTACCGTGAAAATCTAAAAACCTATTGTTAAATTACTATGACAGGTTTTAAGTGATAAAGAAAATATAAATGCTATCAACCTTATTTGCTTCCATTTTAACCTCAGAAAATATGTGCTCTTTTCCTTTGTAGGTTTTAAAGAAACTATCATATGTATACACACACATATACATGTCATGTTTTAAGGCACCCAAGAGAACATATATGGCTATTAAATCTGTCTTTATAAAAGTGCCAGTTTTACTGTGCTTTAGAGCTTTAAAACATAATACATTAGTAATATGTATTGATTTAACAGTTTTCTGCATAGGAAAACAATGTATTAGAAAAGCAAAAAATTCAACTGAATAAATACTTGTTAAATACAAATTGTATATGAAGTACTGTGATAACTTCTTGCAGAGGGCATTAACTGAGTAATCTGTCTGTGCTAGAAGCTCATAATTTACTAGGTAGGAAAATGCAGTGCAAAAATACTTATTTCAAATTGGAAAATGGATAAATGACTCAAACAAAGTGAAAAAAAGTTAATATGAAGAAATTATTAGGGTGGTGCAAAAGTAATTGCGGTTTTTGCCATTACTTTTATTTTTTTATTATTATTATTTTTTCATTTTTTTTCATTTTATTATTATTATACTTTAAGTTTTAGGGTACATGTGCACAATGTGCCAGTTAGTTACATATGTATACATGTGCCATGTTGGTGTGCTGCACCCATTAACTCATCATTTAGCATTAGGTATATCTCCTAATGCTATCCCTCCCCCTGCCCCCACCCCACAACAGGCCCCGGTGTGTGATGTTCCCCTTCCTGTGTCCATGTGTTCTCATTGTTCAATTCCCACCTATGAGTGAGAACATGCGGTGTTTGGTTTTTCGTCCTCGTGATAGTTTGCTGAGAATGATGGTTTCCAGCTTCATCCATGTCCCTACAAAGGACACGAACTCATCATTTTTTATGGTTGCACAGTATTCCATGGTGTATATGTGCCGCATTTTCTTAATCCAGTCTATCACTGTTGGACATTTGGGTTGGTTCCAAGTCTTTGCTATTGTGAATAGTGCCGCAATAAACATACGTGTGCATGTGTCTTTATAGCAGCATGATTTATAGTCCTTTGGATATATACCAGTAATGGGATGGCTGGATCAAATGGTATTTCTAGTTCTAGATCCCTGAGGAATCGCCACACTGACTTTCACAATGGTTGAACTAGTTTACAGTCCCACCAACAGTGTAAAACTGTTCCTATTTCTCCACATCCTCTCCAGCATCTGTTGTTCCCTAGCAAAAACGACAATTACTTGTGCATCAACCTAATAGCTTAAAATATTTTTAAATGTAGTCTTCTGGTCCTTTGTGTTTTATTAGTTATGTTAGGATAACTAACAGAAAGTTCAAATAAACTTAAGTTCCCTGTCGTAGCTCTAACTCTACCCCATAATCCAATATATATTTTTTTCCTCAAGATGCATATTAATTACTGGCCTTTCTTATTGCCTTGTCAGAAGATATCAAAAGCATTGCTTCAAATCCATTAACCTACTTCCTATGGAATATGTTTTTAAAAAGTAATATTACTGTTAGGTATGTTGCCATTAAAAATAATGACAAAAACCACAATTACTTTTGCATCAACCTAATAGAATCCATTTATTGCTAAAGGCTTTATTTTGCTTCATGTTTAGAGTTCATTAAAGTTCATGAAGTATCATTCTTTATTAGTACAACCATGCTGGTCTCTTTTCTTGGATTGTTCTTCCCTTCCTTCACTTAGCCCCTTTCATTTATCTTTCAGCATTTAGCTTGAAAGTTACCTCTTCCTGGAAGCCATCTCTACCATTTCTCCTCCTAGCCACTTGCTCTTGCATAAGGTGCATGTTTCTATTGTTGTAATGTAACACTGAGTAACAATGCAACCTCCACCGGAAGGGAAAGGTGTGGGGATTTTCATCTTTGACACCTGTTTCTAAGCCAGTGTCTGATACATAACTGACACAATAAATGCTTATGGAATAAAATAATAGGTTTTATTAGGATTAACTTGCTAGCAAAAGAAAGGGAAAAGGAGCAAGACTAGACATCTCAGCCTCCCCCACTGGGTGGTTGCTAAGAAAATTGCTGCAAATTTATTATCAATTCTACATAGGCCAGGACTGAAGTACAGCATATATGTATTCACCTCAAAGTGACTTTTCATATTTGGGGGCCAAATCTTAGCGTCAAAAGTTAATTGCCCTCCAAAATAATGTACATCAATTATGTATCAAAAAATAAAAATAAAATTTAAAAAGAAATTTAAAAAGTTAATTCTGTAATGGCTGTTTAAGAATATTTCTGCTAAAAATAGTAAATTAAATAAAAAGAAATTGATAGGTACCTTCTTCAGGCACATTAAATGTAGACATGAATAGTAAATAATTTTTTAGAGAGACTAGAGGAAAAAGGCTCCTTCATAATTAGAAATTCAAACAATACACCTGTATGCCTGTATATACATGGAAAGAATTTCCATTTATTTTACTTCTTTTCAAATAAAACATATTAACATTCCATTTGCCATGCCTTCTCTTATCTGGATACATCTTCAAAGATTTATAGGTCTATTTCTTAAATTAACATTTTTAAAATTGCCACTTGAATTAATCATTTCATTTGCAATAATTGTCTTTCTCCAACAATTATCTGTAATGGTGAGCACAGAGGTGGGACTCATTTCAGAGTCTGCCCTTGCAAGTGTACTTGGTAAAATAAAATAGTAACAGAGTTACAAAAAATTATAAACTTCAGATGATGCTAATATCTTCTAAAATATTATAAAACAAGCAATTCTGTATAATTCTAGCTACCAGAAAGCAAAAATATAGTATGTGAGAAATGCCACAACTAAATTTTTTTCTTCTAAGAGTGATTGTTTTTGTTATTTGTGTAATTCAAAGATATTACATAGTTATCTGGCTTCTAATAGCTGGTAGTTAGCATTGAAAGTGTTCTCTTTAAGTAACATTGATGACAATTAAGAAGTCATAGACACTTACTGAATATTCTGACTAAATAATAAATAAATAAGTTATATTACAAGAAGTTTCAGGTAGGGGCTAGTGACCAAATTATATACTCAAGGACTGGGGGTCTTTCTATCCTTTCTCTTTGGCACTTTAGTTTGCTCATTTTGCTTTTAGGTGTTCATACTTTCCAGTATTATCACCTCCATTACCTTCTTAAGAGTTAAATATTTCCTAGGTCTATGCCATCACAACTGACTTCACATCTGCTTGGCTAAAACCAGTACCTAAAACAATCATTGGTCATAAGAATACAACTACATAATAGCTTAGATGAATTAGGATTTACCCCTGAGGTGACAACAGAGTCGTTTAGTTTGTTTCTGATAACTGAGTAGGCACAAAGGGTGACAGGATAAAACTGAGTTTCTCTTAGCCAAATTGAGAGAAGGAGTAGATATGAATGGGAAAGTACCAATGTTTGCTAATGTATATATTGTGTCAGTAGAAACCATAGAGTATCACATTATGAGAACAACCTAAACAATACACCTCAAAATAAATCCAGATATAAATAAATCTTCCCAATTTCCCAAAGATATATTCAAAAGCCATGAAATAAGATAAAGAAAACCATCCTTGGCCTTCCTGGGAATGTTAATCAAATGATGAAGTTCAAAAGTCTGAAAGTATAAAGTAGAATGATATACTTTTTTTTTATTTTAATATACCCATCTCCTGACATTAGGGAAAAGTACATGAAATTTTGAAGTAGATAAATACTACTACCATGTATAGTAACAAAAACTATTTTTATTCATGGCTGTTTGAGTTATGTATGATCCTGGAGAACTGTGACTGGATTTTATTCCTAATATACACAATATGCATAATGCATTATCTAAAGCTCTTGGCTTGACCATTTAAGATTTAAAATTGAATACATAATAAATGTCTTGAGAACTCATCTTTACTTCTCATAATCCCTCTTTCAGTGATTATAGCAATACCTGCTTCTTTTTCTAAATTACTTCAATGATTATTTCCGTACAATTTCTTGTCAGAAGCTAATTTCAGTAAGATCTTTCCACACAATAGCATAATGTTATTCTTTTCTAAGATATAAACAACTGAGATGCTGCTATATTGAAATTTAATAACATGCTTCACTGAATATAATGTGTTCACTTGTTTTCTGTTTTATTTAATCATCAAAAGGTACAGATCACCTAAAATTTAATATAATTATATTGGCATATCTAAAATATAAAATATTAATTTCACAGTAAGAAAGTGGATAAGTATTTATTTTTAAACTTGCATAGTCCATAACAACTTTGAAGGATATTTTGTTCTTAGTGTATTTATTGTGCATGTGGTAACAGCGTTTGGATATAATTTTGTTATCATATAAATTTTACTGTCATGGGGTGTTTATTTTTTCATTTATACATGCAAACTTAATTTGGAGAAAGCTTTAGTGCAGACCTATGAATATGGCATGTGTATATTAGAAGTAAAAATATGTAGTTGCTGTATACATTATTGAAGACTATTTTAGTAAGAGGTTGCACACTGAATGATTTTTTTCTCTTCAAATTCTACTCATTTTCATGTTAATGTCTTTGGAAATGTCACTTCAGTACTTCTGCTGGTAACAAACTTTTCAACAACTACCTATAAATAATGCATCAGTGACAATATTGTTCTAATAACTTATTTAGGACATAACTAATTTACAGCTCTGGGCATATTTAAATAAGGGTTTTCTTTTAAGTTTGTAGCTTTCAATGCTGCTTGTTTAGCCAATCTGAAAAAACAAAATTCAAAACCAAAATAATATGCTTACTATGGTTATAGTTTGTTCATTATAATCTACAATAAATATGCACTACTAAATAAATTACCTGAAATATCTGAAGCTATGTATGATGTTTTTCCCTACCCTCCCTTTAGTTTGCTTTGGAGTTTTAATTGTCAGCTATGGTTTCTTTTTCTATCCCCTAATTCCCACTTTTCATGCAGAGGAGTTAATGGGGTTATAATCTAGTAATTAAAGAAGATAATTTTAACTTCTCTGATGACTATTATAATAGTCTTGTTAAGATTATGGTGTTTCATTTGTTGCTACATGTGAACATTTGGGTTTGTGGAGGCAGCCTGTGCTATTGAATCACTAAATAATTAAAAAAACAGAACACTGTAGCCAGCAAAGGCTAGCTGCTAATGTAAGATCAAAGTTAGATCTAACTGTTTGTAAATCTAGTAAATGAACCAGATTGGACATATCACATATTTAATAAAAGTCATCAAATGGAAGATAATGCTTCATTAAACAAATATCAAATTTCATCATTAAAACAGAGTTGTCCTTTCTAGATTGTACAGCAGTACATTACTCTCCACAGCAATAAACACAAAAGACAATTCAATTAATGGATGATTTGATGCAGACAAAAATCAAAAATAAAAATGCAACTCATTAATATACCAAATACAGCAATATTAGAAAATTAAAATTTCTCAAATCCTAAGCAATAATCCATATATGTGATGCACTACATTAACAAAAAGGAAATTTGAATTTATACCACTGGTTAAAACAGTGTGCTTCTGAAAGAATCATCTTTGATTGTATTAGAATTCCTAACGTTCCTTGAACATGGCTGGACTTTGAGAGATAACAATCAAAGGCAATAATGCAATGAGTTAGCATTGTGTTTTCATGAACTATATGCGTTAAGTGCATTTTTAAGCTCTGAAATATATATTGTCAATTTAACATTGTATTAGGATTTTTTAGAGGAACAGAACTAATAGGATATATGTATATATGATGGGGAATTTATTAGGAGTATTGACCCACACAATCACAAGGTGAAGTCCCACAATATGCCGTCTGCAAGCTGAGAATCAAGGAAGCCAGTCTGAGTCCCAAAACCTCAGAAGTAGAGAAGCCAACAGTGCAGCCTTCAGCCTGTGGCCAAAAACCCGAGAGCCCCTGGCCAGTCACTGCTGTTAATTCAAGAGTCCAAAAGTTGAAGAACTTGGAGTCTGATATTTGAGGGCAGGAAGCATCCAGCATGGGAGAAAGATCAAGGTCAGAAGATAAAGCAAGTCTCTCTCATTCTACTTTATTCTTCCTGCTTTACTCTAGCCATGCTGGTAGCTGATTAAATGGTGCCCACCAGATTGAGGGTGGGTCTTCCTCTCCCAGTCCACGGACTCAACTGCTAATTTCCTTTGACAGTAGCCTCACAGACACACCCAGGAACAATACTTTGCATCCTTCAGTCCAATCAAGTTGACACTCAATGTTAACCATCACAAACATCTTCTATTTGTAGCAAGATATTTTTCAAAATAAGCAGTTGGGCAATTTTTATAAAGTGAGCTTTATAGTTATTAAGAAACAAGTCATAGAAAACTCAAGCAATAGTAGTAACTACTAACTGTCTCTTTCTTGTTTGAGAATATTTGAATGAACCAACATTTCATTAAGAAAGGAAATTAAGTCACTTCTCCTATTAAAAAAAAAGTATTCTGAATACTGAACCTATAGTTAGCTTGGCAAGTTTTGTAGAGTAAAATAAAATAGTATAGAGTTATTTGGGAATATTTAAAGTTACTTGTGTATAACTATAATCCAAAGTTTTCTTGAAAGATTGATTACTATATCCAGTAAATGCATACATTAGTTTCTTCTCTCTCACAAACCTCTTCAATGCCTACTCTTTCTGACTGGCCTAGCCTACTTGGAAACTTTAGTATTAGTCTCCTCAAATACTACTATCATGTCAATCAAATAATTTGGTAAAAAATTAAAATTATAGCATGTTTATGAAAGCCCAAGAACTTTTCAACAAAATATTTCTTTCCAGTATGTGTTTAAATTTGGTTAGTTTTTATTTCAACAAAATACCGAAAAGTTATAAATACAATCTCAAGTTATATGTAGCCAGCACAAATGTTATTGAACCTCCCCCACATAGTATCAATTTTACATTTCATGCTAGTGGAAATAAATATAAGGTCAACAAATAAAACTTTTGCAGTAATAATGTGATCATATTTTCTAGGCATATATTCCAGTTTGATATGTTTACTGTCTTCATAAACTATTCTAACAATATGAAAATACTTATTAAGTATATAGCACAGTATTTTGGAGGATAAAAAGAAATTTAATATAGACTTGGGAATTCAAAAAGAATGAAGTTGTGTAGACTCACGCAGACATCAAATCACTCTTTTACTTCATATAAGTGTATTGTGCAATAAAATCAAGAAAGTGTTTTGGTAAATATACAAAATGGCCATATTTATTGACAAGGAGCTGAGGAAAAATGCTAAAAATGACATCACATATAGATCATTAATTTATAAACTCACATCAATTTACTAATTGAAATATACCAGTATGGATTTTTAAGCATCTATCATCATATTCAATAACACTATATGTTTATTAATTAACTTGTCTGTGTAGAAAATTAGGCATATATTCCGGGTGCGGTGGCTCACACTTGTAATCCCAGCATTTTGGGTGACTGAGGTGGGTAGATCACTTGAGGTCAGGAATTCAAGACCAGCCTGGCCAACGTGGCGAAATCTCATCTCTACTAAAAATACAAAAAAATTAGGTGGGCATGGTGGTGCATGCCTGTAGACCCAGCTTCTCGGGAGACAGAGGCAGGAGAATCGCTTGAAGCCAGGAGGCAGAGGTTGCAGTGAGCTGAGATTGCACCACTGCACGCCAGCCTGGGCATCAAAGGGTAGAGTCCGTCTCAAAAAACAAAACAAAACACAACAAAACAAAGAGACAAAACCAAACTAGTGTTCTAAATTTATCATTTGCCATGTTTGTTTTAGATTACATAAAATTCAATTGGTAGATTTTTTTTATTAGACTGTGGAGTTTGAATTTGATTTTGGAAGCAACCAGTGACTATTGCTAATCTAAGCAAGCAGGTGATCTTGTCTCAGTTGAGTTTATAGTAAAATACATAGCTAGATAATATTCCAGTCTGAACATAGGAACCAATGCATGTGATACAGTTGCCAGTGGAGTTAGAAATCATAAATAACTGTTAAATAATGTGAAATTATTTTTAAGTACTGCTGAGCATCAAAGGAATAGATCAAAGAGTATAGAAATAATCACAGAAAAAACATCACGAATTTAGAAGTTCATGAATATTTATATTGGGAAGGATATTATAACTGAAAGAATGAAATTGGCATGTGGTCTAACTACATATTGGAAACCTATTCTTATGAAGTCAAGAAATGTTAAGCAAAAGCTCCATGTCAGGAGTTATGTTGCATACTGAAGAAGTACATTTAAAAAAAAAAGTTTCTTTGTGGTCAGAAAAAAGAGATAGTTTTAAAAAAGAAAATTTAATAAATAGTGTCACATGTTCTATAACTAAAATGTATTAGGGGCTTAAGGAACTTAAAGTAGAGACTATCTAGTACTGTTATCAAGAAATTACAAAGAAAGTATCAGGTAGGTTGAACCTTGAAGAATCAAGAGAAGGGAGAGCATTTCAAGAAGAATGATAATCATGTAAAAATATAAATAACATGAAAGATAATGTACAGCTAAGGGACTAAGAGTTATCTGTAACTATAGTGTATAGCGATGTGTCAAAATATATAGAAGTCTTCACAAAGAGTGAATAAGCAGGCAGAAACCATATAATGAAAAGTCATATGCCATGCCCTCACACTGGGAATGTGAATCAAAGGCAAGAGAGGTCTGAGTCTTTGACTGCAGCTCCCCACAGAGACTGCAATGCACCGGCTGTACAGCATGTCTGCTGTGAGGAGAGTAGTTTTTTTCTGTGAGGCCTACCAGGTAACTTTGTTATTGCCTAGGGTCTGTCCTGAAAATCACACATAGGATTTTGGCCAGGAGCTGAACTCTTCAAATATCATTTGATTTATTGACTGCCACATAAAGGAATCATTCTTTATCTTCCCATTCTTTTAACAGATTGTCTTTAAAATTATATTTGGTATTTGTTCCTCTCTTTATTATACAGTATCAATATTTGTATAAGTGCCAAAGAAAATTTGAAAAGTGGCACTTATTCAAAAATGGTCATGTCATGTGTACTATGGAGCTATACTTAATATGCAGAAGTTTAAATTCACTATGCCGTCAAAACATCCAGCTCAAACAGTAAAATTCTCTTCAATATTTGAAAATTATAAGTGCTTTCTACTATCCTTCAACAGAATATTATAATTTAACATGAAATAACTGATTTTTGTATATATGCCATTAAAGGTTAATACATGGATAATTGAATTAAATGGGAAGTTTTCATTGGCTATTTAAATTTTTTAATACTGAATAAGGAGGCAGTGATAATAGTAGTAGTGTGAATTGCATGCAAGTACAGTAATGAGTAATTCATTCAAAGGTCAAAAGCTACCAATGGTCAAAAGTTTTACATCATATTATTCATTAGGGTATAATAAAGAACACCTTAGAAATAGCTCATAGGTGTCCAAGTACTTGGGTTTCACTGATTTTGAGAATGCATTAAAAATTAGAATATATACTCTTAAAGTAATCCTGAGAAGACTTTCTTGTGCACTTGGTTTGCAAATTAAAGGCTTACATTTTAGCAATTTACCTGATTTTAATCCAGGTCATGGATACCCTTATGCTCTGTAGGTGAGAATGTATGTGCAAATTTTTGAAAGGCAAACACTATTAAAATTTAAATATGTTTTTAGATGACCCAGGAACTTTATATCAAGAAATATTACATAATGAAATAACTTGACAGATTAAAAAAGTGCATTCATCTATATATTTAGGAGTAAGAAAATAGGAGTGAAAAACATGTCCATCAATTAGGAAATGCTTAAAAACATTATATACATCCATATAATGTAAGGCTGCGATCAGTATCAGTTAGATATTCCACTATCTTGTTAATGTCCTTATTTACATTTTTAAACTAAGACTAAAGGTTGTTTGAAAGGTAGATTTTTTGGGAGCTTTCTGCAATAATCTCTGAAGGCATGCACTTTGGTTTGGACTGAGAAAAAATTATAGGTGAGGAAGAAGGGGAGATCAACAATATACATCTCCTCAATAGCCTTGTTTTTAAGGGAAGCAGAGAATGGGGCAGAATCAGGAGCAGGACTTGGGGCAAGAGTGGTTTTGTTTCTTGTTTGTTAGATTGGTTTTAAGATGGAGGATTCCCTGGGCACATTTGTGTGCTAAAGAAATTATTCTGATAGAGTGGAAAATTTTTTATCTCTCTTCATCAATCTTCGTTATCAGTCACTGAGCCACTTGTTGAATCCCTTAGAAAATATGGTCTTATGTGAGACAATTTGAAACTATTTGAAAATTTTAAGATAAATGCAAAAAAATACTTATTTTTAAATATCTGACAAAAGTATAAGGCTTATACTTAATATGAGCTATAACTGTTTATATTATTCATAAATATGTAAGAGAAGATGAAAACATGTATACCTATATAAATACAAGCATCTAAAATAGGGGGAAAAATGAAGCAAATGTATTTTAAAACATTCTTGATAATTTATTAATGCCTTTGAGAATAAAACTGCATGAAATAACTAGCATTTTATCTTTAGCATTCTTTTAAACAAAGGATTTGGTTTATCATATCAACAAAAGTAGCATACCCATGAAATAAACTTTAATTGCACTCAATAAAACAGAATTTGCCTCAGGTAAAACCCTGCTTTTATCGTAAACAAAGTGATAGAAATGATTGAAAGCACATTGTTCCCCACATTTGGTAGTATATTATTGAGGATACTTACAAAATATTTGTGCGTTGTATTTAATGGACCATATCTAGGAACCCTTAGAGACAAATAACTTCTCTACTTCATAGGTCATTGCCCTTAAATCTGCAGGAATAAAGCAACTATACAATAGAATGATATAGACAAATATATAGAAAATTAAAAGTTTAAATTTAAATAATTATGTGATGATTTTTCTTGAGAAAAAATAAGATATTATTGTTTTATTTTAATGAGTATATTTGCATTGCGTTTAAAAGCTATAATCAACCTGGCCTGGTGTGGTGGCTCATGCCTATAATCCCAACACTCTGGGAGTTCCAGGTGGGCTGATCACTTGAGGTCAGGAGTTAGAGACCAGCCTGGTCAACATGGTGAAACTCCATCTCTACTAAAAATACAAAAATTAGTTGGGTGTGGTGGCAGGCACCTGTAATCCCAGCTACTTGGGAGGCTGAGGCACGAGAATTGCTTGAACGCGGGAGGTGGAGGTTGCAGTGAGCCGAGATCATGCCACTGCACTCCAGCCTGGGTGATAAAACGAGACTCAGTCTCAAGAAAAAAAAAAAAAAAAAGAAGAAGCTATAATTAACCTTAAAATTATGGATGATGCATTTCTTTTGCTAAACTCAGGTATTCATATCAAAATATTTTTTAAAATATGTTTGCCATTTTTCTTAACAAAGTGAAATGTATTTTAATGACAATGTAAAGACTATTGGATAACTATTAATGCCAATGCAACTCATTTTCAACTTTTAAAATTGGTTCCCTCAAATGGTTACAAATAAATATTTATTGGATGCCTATCTCTAATTTTAGTGAATTAGAGAAATTGCTACCCTGATACTCAGAAGTATAGATGTGACTTTTGCTGCTAGGCCTTACCTTAATATTTAACAATTGTTATTATCTAGACACTATAAAATAGGGCAATTGAGACCTTAAAAGACAACATTTCAGTCAACTTAAGCAAAAGTTCCATAATACAAGGTATTTGGATTCTTGTGGTGAGTAAATAAAAAGTGAAAAATCTTTCCCTTCCCTTGGGGAAAATGGCAAACACTTACTGATTATTACTATATGCAAACACACTATTATTATTTGAAAGTTGCCATACCAATTATTGTTTTGCAATGCTTTCTGAGGAATATTTGTAAAAAAAAAATTAAAACCCTTAGTATAATTTTTGGCCTTTAATAAGACACTTGCTCAATAAGGATTTTCTGAACTTTGTTCTACAAAATTCCACTTCCATAGGACACTTACAGTAATTATGAATTATAAAACAAAAACCCACAGACATTTACCATTTATATCTTTCAACAAATTTGAGACAGTTGGAAGTAAAGGTGAAATATTTGTCGACAATAGGACTTTAAAAGCCTTTGTGTATGTATGTATATATATATATATATATATATACACACACACACACACACACACACACACAGACACACACACACACATAGATAGTTGTTGTTTTTTGTTTTGTTTTATTTTTTTGAGATGGAGTATCACTCTGTTGCCCAGGCTGGAGTGCAGTGGCATGATCTCGGCTCACTGCAACCTCCACCTCCTGGGTTCAAGCGATTCTCCTGCCTCAGCTTCCTCAGTAGCTGGGATTACAGGTGCCCACCACCAAGCTTGGCTAATTTTCGTATTTTTAGTAGAAATGGGGTTTCACCCTGTTGGCCAGGCTGGTCTCGAACTCCTGACCTCAACTGATCCACTCAGCTCTGCCTCCAAAATTGCTGGGATTACAGGTGTGAGCCACCACGACCAGCCAAACTTTGTATATTTTTAAGAGACAAAGAGGAGTATATTTCCAATAAACAAACAATTGACATTTTCTGAAAAGATCATATGCTTTTACTTACACAGAATACACTCTGGACAATAGCTCTTCAAACACAATTCAGTACCAGTATTGAAATTCTCATCCAATTTCACCAAACTTGCTTTACCCACAGTCTCTTCCACATCAGTAGCAATGCCATCTTTTCATGTCTTAGCAAAAGCAAAGAAACAAACAGAAACCTTGGTGTCTTTCTTTTGTCCTTCTTTATTCTCATGCTGCATATGCTATGGAGATTTCCGTATTTGGAAATCCTGCAGGACGTATTTTCAAAACAAATCTTAAGTCTGATCATATCACAGTTTCTCCATTGTAACCCCTATCCAGGCACTATCATCTCTAGCCTGATTCTTGCAGTAGCCTCCTGGTTGTTGGAGTAGCACATGGTTATTGCTTTGGCTTCCTGATTTTACAGTACTCCCTAATTATTTTATTTTATTTATTTATTTTTGAGACCGAGTCTTGCTTTCTTGCCCAGGCTGGACTGCAGTGGCGTGATCTTGGCTCACTGCAACCTCCGCCTCCTGGGTTCAAGCGATTCTCCTGCCTCAGCCTCCCGAGTATCTGGGATTAGAGGCATGCACCACCATGCCTGGCTAATTTTGGTGTTTTTATTAGAGAGAGGGTTTCACCGTCTTGGCTAGGTTGGTCTCGAGCTCCTTACCTCAAGTGATCCACCTGTTTCGGCCTCCCAAAGTGCTGGGTTAACAGGCATGAGCCACTATGCCCCGTCTACTCCCTAATTATTTCAGTAGCCTCTTATTACTGTGTTGTTTAGTAGGTTCCTGGTCATGGCAGAAGTCCTTGATTATTGTGGTAGCCTTCTAACTATTCTTTTTTCCCCCCTATCTTTGCTTCTCTTCAGTGTCTTCTGAACATTGCAGTCAGCATGATTCTGTTAAACCTTAGTTCAGATCACATTACTGCTCTGCTGAAAAATGTTCATGTGCTCTCCATTTCACACCCAATAAAAGCCAAAGAATGTAGCATACCATTCTTCCATTGTCTGGGATTAAATTCTCATGCTCTCCTCCTCTAATATAGCCAGACTGGCTTCTTTCATTTGCCTTTGGCGCTGTAAGAATTCCTCTGCAGGCCTTGGAGTTTGCCCATTTATTGGCTTCACACATCTAAGTAATTTACTCCCTCAGTTCTTGCCATCTGTTCTAAAATGTCTCATTCTCTATAAAGCTTCCCAGACCCTCTTTAGAAATGCATCTCTCTGTCAATACTCCCGATGCTTTTTAATTTGTTTTCTCTCTTGTCTCAAAAGAATGGAAGTTCCATAAAGGTAGGGTTCTTGCCAATTTTATTCATTGCTGTATTCATATTTTCTATGCTCTAAAACATAAAGACACATACAGATATGTACACAATGAGTTAATCTCCATGTGTACGATTAACGTATCAACTCCTGAATGATCTAGAAAAAAGACAAGTATATCTGTTCGACCTCATAATGGCTGGAAGACTTCAAAGGGAATTCAAATTGTTGAGACCAAGCCCATTCTAGATGACTCCGCTGGCTTGGAAGCCCCTAAGCCAAAGCTGATCTCCGATTATTTTGCAGATGCAACATCTTTCTCAACCTTCCCCACTTTGATATTTTAGCTAAATGACTCTGACTTTGAGAAATTTACTGCAGGAGATGGCAAGGTTCTCCTGTGTGGAAGAGCTTGTCAGAAGGGGATAGTAATATATTCTATAGCCAAGACAATCTGTCTGGGTAGATTGTTGGATTGTCCTCTGGTAGGTATGCATATTTCAACATGGCAGTTTGCAGGTAATCTTTGATAAATGTTCAGGTCTGAGGATACAGGACTTGATAGGAACTATGATGGATTAGTGAGGACAATTTTCCTTTGCATTACAGGGCTGTCATGTGAGAAAAGTTTTCGTATCTCTCACATTATAAGGGCTTTGGGAAACTCCAATGCTTCAATTTAATCTGATAACACATAGACCCTGGGAATACAATAGTGAGGCATGTTAGAGATCTTCACACCCACAGAAACAGGTACAGAGAAAGTCACACTCTGCCGAATGAGACTGTTCACCAGGAAATTACAACAGGGTCAGGAGTAGTAACTCATAATGCAGTTAGTAGTCATAGCTAGGAACACTTTGTGTAGTAGAAAGCTAAGTTTCTGCACAGGGGAAAATACTTTTTTCCCCAAAATATATTAGAAAGTTTGAATATTGAATATGGTAGAAAACTGAGAAGTGTTACAAACACACTACTTCTTCATGAGGCTTAATACTCAATATATAATATTTGAATTGAAGTATGTCTGAGAATACAGCCTCACTTCAATTAATGGAGTGATTACGATGTACTCATTTCTAAAATGTCATAAATTTTTTAGATCATCTTGTTCTGACAATGAAAGTAGCATAAGACACTAGTGAGTTACGGAGATTATAAAAGGGTATATAACTGTTCTCTGTTTTTGGTTAAAAATGCAAAATCACTCGAAAAAATTAAGAGTGAATTAAAGGAATAGATGTTAAGTTAATGGTTGTCATTGCAATTGTTCCAAGCTAATAAATACTCATCTTTCTCCCATTTATTTAAACAACTGAAAATTTGTTGGATAATTTTTTACTATTGAAAATTAGTGTATTACTTCATATCCTTTAACAACCCTTGACTGATTTTTCAAAAGAAATTAAATAAACAAATAGAACCCCATAATTTTTATAGACATATAATACAAATACATAAAATGAGCAGGTTTACAGTATGAGCAATTTAATTTTTAATTACTTGGACTAAATAGACAGAATTATTCTACTTGACATATTTCACTTTATTTCCTTACCAGATTTGTAGTTAGAACTTGTATTCTTTAATCATTGCTCATTGATTAAGCACAATCTATAGACCTTGAACTCTGATAAATAAAGCAATCTAGTTTTACTACGTAAACATTTTACAAGAAATACAAATCTCCAAAATTGTTTCTGAAAACAAATTATATAGACTACTTTTGGATAAGCACACCAAGGTTTATTTATGTGGTCTTTGACATTTTAATCGTTTTTTTTTTTACCCCTTTTAGATAGGTCTCAAGAACAAATAGAAGACAAATATAGAAATTAATTTTATTATCTTACTTATATTTAAAAGACAGGAGGAAAACTAGAAAATTACATAATATTTGAGACGAAACATTAAATTAAATTTTATATTATTTTTTCCTTTTTGGTAAATTGACATAAAGTTTTTGGTTATTCCCAAAACCTTACGGTAATTACTCCAACCCCTTTCCCTAAATATCTTGCTGTTTCCTAGAAATCCACTGATTATTAGTATTTAATTTTATGTATTATGTATATAATCATTCATGTTCTTTTCATGTATTATGAATTTAAGATCTGAGAAATCTGTAATCAATACCTTATAAGCTCTGTAATCCTCGAGAAACAGAAGTTAAGAGAATAAGGTTTAAAGTTCTAATTTTAACTAATTATCCATAACAAAATTAGTATAGCAATGACACAAGTTTGCCTTTAAATGTATTAACCCACAAATAATAATGTTAAGGGAGAAATGGGGATTCAATTAAAATGGCCGTTAGAGAGTGTGAGAATAATATGAAAATCATCATTTTGTTTTACCTGTTTGTATTATCCTAAGTAAAACTTAAAAGTAATTCAATTCCTTTTGTCTTATGTATATGAAAATCAAATTAACTATCAAAATATAAACAACCTAAATTGAGTTAAATTTTAAGATTATAAGCTTTTTTGAGGGTTATTTGAATGTGCTGTTTTTATCTCAGTGCTATTGTTGTTAATAGAATAAAGAATAGCAAATTTGTGAAAACGTCAATTCATTTTTCATATTCACAGTATAGTTGTGTTATGTTTACTATCAAAGTCAATTGTTATTTATGGCTTTCTTTAAATAAATATTTAAATCATTTTAAATATTTTTGAAAAATTAAGATAAATATTTATTCTTTTCAAGATTACTGTATATGCTTTTTTCCCTCAGGTACTTGTAATGTCAATAAAGGGAAAATACAGTAGTAATTTTGTAGCATTTCTCTAATTTACATATTTTGCCATCTCTAGGTGCTTTCACCCATGCAGAGGAAATTGGTATAAGATAATTTTAGTGTTTGTAGATAATTTAAAATATTCTAGTTTGACTTTCTTTTTCACAGATTAGAAAATTGAGACACGGAGACATAAAATGATTTGACAAGTTTACATGGTAAATTAAAGGAACATTGATAACTCAAGCAGAGATATAAAAACTTCATTTGACTTACAAATGAAAATATTTAATAAATACTTTAATAAATAAATCCTATTTTTGGAATATAGCTCATGCATTTTATGCTAGTTTATGTGCTTTATATGTATTCACTCAATTCTCACATCTTCACATTAATTTTAACCTAAACAAAAAGTTATTATTATCTTCATGTATGAACTTCGGTATGGAAGTGCAGAGAGATTTAGATATGTGTCCAAGACCACATAGCAGAGCTTGGCTTTGAAATCAGTTTCATTTGATCTCACAACCTAAACTATTAAACACAACTCTATACATGAAGATTTCTGTACATAGAATTTATACAACTATAATAAATTGTGTCATTGTACAATTTTGTTTTCTCTCTCTGATATGGTTTGGCTGTGTTCCCACCCAAAATCTCATCTTGAATTGTAATCCAAATTGTAGTCCCCACATGTTGGGGGTGAGACCTTGTGGGAGGTGATTAGATCATAGGGGCGTTTCCCCCATGCTGTTCTCATGATTGTGAGTAAGTTTTCATGAGTTCTGATGGCTTTATAAGGGGCTTTTTCTCCCTTCTCTCATTCTTCTCCTTCCTGCCACCATGTAAAGAAGGACGTGTTTGCTTCCCCTTCTGCCATAATTGTAAGTTTCCTGAGGCCCCACCAGCCCTGCACAACTGTGAGTCAATTAAACTTCTTTACTTTATAAACAAGTCAGTCTTGGGTATGTCCGTATGGCAATGTCAGAATGGACTAATACACTCTATAATCTCTGCCAAGTCTCTTTGTCAACATCTATTTTATCCAAACTATAATATTTATATTCTTCTTCTTTCTAATAGTTCTTCAACTCCCCATCCTATTCAAGCCCTGGATATTCCTAGATCATTAAATCTTGGAATTGGATGGGACCTTGGGGTCTGCTTTAAGGCTTTCATGTTGCATATGAGGAAATTGAAACCTAGTACTTAAAATTACTCGCCTTAGGCCGTACAACTGGTAGATGGTAGGACTACAAATAAAACCATATCTTCTAAAAGGTATATTCTTTTGACAGTATACGTCTTTCCCTTAACATAATGTCTATTTTGCAATGGTAAAAGCATGTCAATCTAAAATTGGATAAGAATAATACTTGAAGGAACAACATGTTTTTTAACTTCTTTTCAAAAAATGAATTATTAACAAACTTGAAATTACAGGCAGAAAGAGTAACCTCCTAAAATACTGACTGCTCTCTTATAATGTAAATAATAATAACAAATACACCATTATGAGTCAAAGCAGTAAGTAATAGCTGGTTTGTAAACTATTTCAAATATTAGAGACTTAATGCCATAAATCATTATTTCTCCCTCAAGTTGCAAGTGGATGATGGTTGCATAACTGTACTGGACACTTCTCTTCAGTGGCAATTGAGGGTATAAAGCGATTGTTTCATGCTGCCCCTTGCTCTCCTCCGGACTCCTTAGAATCCTGTTCTAAATTTTCTGCATTCATCCAGCTACTGTGCAAAAGCAGAGATAAGGAGGATCCTGGAATTTGTTTTATGACAAGGTTTGGATTGATGCACATGATTTCTGACCACATTACATTTAGCCAGACTCCGGTTACATGACTCCCACATAATTATAAGGAAGAATAAAGAAGATAATCTTTCAGTGTCTCTAGGAGTAGAAAATAAAATTGGTGAACATACTGGTATTACAGACCTCAAATTAAACTCTATTTAGGTACACCCCAAAGTGGAATAATATTCTGATAATTAAGGTTATGCTTTTGATGTATCAAATGCATCCAAACAAAATTAATGAAATTATAGAATTTTCATAAATGAATTTAGAAAGCCTGTAAAATATAGCTTATCTAGATACATATTAGTTTTTGGTTCATACAATTTACTCAGTTATGCATAGCTAAATAATTCTATGACAGCCAATTTATGACTGACATTCATATTGCAGATGCTGTATGTAATATCTGTGATGTGAACCCTTGGTATATTTTACTACATATGGCTAAGATCACAATTTGAAATGAGAAAAATTGTAACCTTTTTCTTCCCTTCTTGAGGACATAGTAAATTTCTGTATGTTCTCAAGCATTCATAAAACTTGAATATCACCTCTCTGTTTGCCTTCAGAACCAATTAAAAGTGGAAATTATTCCTATCACTACAACATTCTTCTAGTTAAAGTGAACTCAATGAATAACAAATTTTTGGCATTAGAAGTTTGCTGTGGAAGCTTGCTATTTAAGGTACAAAACATTTTGTACCTTATTTATATGCCCTAATTGGTCATTTGTTGTAACAAATAATTTTCAATTGTAAGATATCAAAGCCATGGAAAACAAGACAATACTATAGACCTACTAGAATATTTACCTGGCTTATAATGCATCCTATTTGTGTGGAAAATGACCTTTACTCATAGCACTGAACCCCCTTAAATCACATGTCATTAATATGCCTTTGACCGCTGACTACAGTTGACTTGGCAATGACAGACCGTGGACACGATTTGAGCCAATTAGAATCTATCTCCTAAAAACATGAGGTGATGTATAGACTCAAGATTTAAGCTTTTGATTTTGTTTTTTAATTGTTGTTGTTGTGTGGTTAGAAGTTTATAGCTTTAACATATAAATTCTGAAAATTTGGATTATCCATGTTCTGCCCTGTGAGTTAAGTTACTCAGAATATGAATCCACAAAAAGAAAAAGACATGAAGTTAATTTACAGGGATAAACCTAAAATGTATAAAGATCCCTGGTTACTTTGTCCAGTGAATTATTCTCTTTTCTGCCCAACATTGGGGTCTATAACATTCTCCTGTGGATTAATTACCTTATATTTATTGTTTAAATTTGGTCAAGAAGGTTTATTTAAGATCAAAAGATATTTAACTGTAACAATTTTACTTCAAAACATCTCTCAGAAACAGGCAAGTTTATTACGTGAAGAAGTATGTCCATTTAAGGTTACACACATTCTTTAATTTGTTTTGAACAATAAACATAATGAAGAGAGTTAGCTCATGTTAACTAGAACAACATAAGCAGAAATGATGTTCGTCTTCAAAACTCTAAAAAGTCAAACACATTTTGAATTTCCAAGCAATGACAGTTTGAATATCACCAACATTGAAGTGACTTGCCTAAAATATTACATACATTTATACACATTATAATATATTATATATACACACATATATGTAATCTGTTTTCTAAACAATTTCCGCATATTTATTGCCCTAGTTTCCTACTGAGTATTGAGAATATATGTAAGAAGAAAAGTATTGCCCAGAAGGCTTAAAGCTGTTGGAGAATTGGCCTGTAGAATTCATTAGGGGAAAGCCTATTTTAGCTCATCCTGAATGAACCTTAGTACTGATGAAAAAACTTCTGGTCTCAAGGTGCAGAACTGTAATTTTCTCTTCATTATGAGCTATAATTGGTAAGTGTGTTAATATTTGTGACTCTCAAAGAAAGGTACTATCACTTGTTATTACCTTTGCAAATATATGTAACAGCGACACTCTCTTTATTCACTGGCAGGTTATGACATTTCAGTGTCATGGTTTGTTTGAAAGAAATGGGATATCATTTTTAGTTATAAATGTGAACGTTCCCCTAGTAACAGGATTATAGCAGGAAATACTTCCCAAGGACAAAATTACAGCTGCCTATTCATTTATCAGAGAGACAATTTTCTGTAAAGTGGACCTCTACACTATGGGTAGCATAGAATGCAATTAATTAATTCTTAGACTTAAAATAAACACACTTTATTCAAGAAATTAATAATGCCCGGCAGGAAAGCCTATTATCATTTCTGAATGATATATTGGCTTTTAATAAAGACCAAACCATTAACAAAAAAACTGAATCTAAAGAAAGAAAAACAATTCTTTCGCCAAATTAATAGTGCTTTTCTCTTTCCATAATTTTTCTTAACTAAAGAAAGTCAGATTTCCATTTAAATCCATTTCATTTAAACATTTTACTGACTGTCACAACTTGCTCCTACTAGCAATAAAGGTTGTATAAGTTGAATAACAGTTTAGATGCTTTATGGTGTTCTATAATAAAGTTCTATCCTTAACCATGCCCTTCTCCCTGCTAGTCTTTCCTCATTCAATGGAAAGAAACTGACGTTTTACAAAACTTGAGGAAATCATGGGAAGCTCTAGTTTTTAAGCTTTTTCTCCCTTTTTTCCTTCCTTCCTTCCTTCCTTCCTGCCTTCCTGCCTGACTTCCTGCCTTCCTTCCTTCCTTCCTGCCTTCCTTCCTGCCTTCCTTCCTGCCTTCTTTCCTTTCTTTCTTCCTTTTTTTAACTGAATAATCTCTCCTTGATGATCTAAGATAATTTAAACAAAATTCTACACCCTTGGTGCTGGCCCTGAAGGCTGCCTTCAAGACATTAAATCATGATCCCAACTGTTCCATTCATTATATTAAAAGTTAAAACATTCAAGGTAAGCAGCAATAAATGATACAATGTTTAATTCTAGTGTTTATCTTCACTGAATCCAGATATATCCACAAGTTCTGGTTTGCTAATCCTCAACTGAAAAATCTAAGCAAAGATGATACTGTAAGAATAAAATTAAGCACCATCCCTTGAAAGATTTACCTTTGCAGGAAAACAGAGATTATATTTTTCTTGTTTACCACCTTGGCAACACCAAGCCTCAGATGAAAAATAAAATAAAACTCTAAGGATAAAATATAAATTTTCTGTGCATGCAAGTATGTACAATCGAAGACAAATGTTTGCTTGTTTTTAGTATCTACATGATGCTGTTTTGCATATTTCCACAACGGGCTCCTTACTTCCTTGGCTGATTTAACTAGAAATTAGAAAGTTTATGGAAGTCAATATTACGGAGCCAACTTGAGCCACAAAGTTTTCATCCTTGTAAATTCTACAATGTGTTCTCTATATGAGATAGATTTATCTTTCTGGTTGTTATCTTGTTACTTTTAAGGTGTAAGCACATACATTTGCAATATATCATGTAGTAAAATTGGATTACTTGTATTTCATATTAATAGCTGGACAAAAGAGTCCAGTAATTACACACATCTGGAAACTGAGTGTTTTCAACAGGAAAGAGAACACTTTCTGTAGAAAAAGAGCACCTTCCTTGTAGTCCAAATGTTTTTATCTTTATCTTGGCTTGGCCATTATATTGTTCTACAAGAAATGCGCCAACTGTTTGGGGCATAATCTGTCTGCTCTGATAAATGTAGAAAATGATCAGAGAAATTCCCTAGTACCAATTCTGTTTCAGCAGGATGATGATGATGATGATGATGATGATGATGATTATTATTATTATTATTTGAGACGGAGTTTTGCTCTTTCACCCAGGCTGGGGTGCAGTGGTGTGATCTCGGCTCACCGCAACCTCTGCCTCCCAGTTTCAAGCAATTCTCCTGCCTCAGCCTCCCAAGTAGCTGGGATTACAGGCGCCCGACACCATGCCTGGCTAATTTTTGTATTTTTAGTAGAGACGGGGTTTCACCATGTTGGCCAGGCTGGTCTCAAACTCCTGACCTCGTGATCCACCTGCCTTGGCCTCCCAAAGTGCTGGGATTACAGGCGTGAGCCACTGTGCCCGGCCTACGATTATTATTTTTAAAATTCATCAAAGTTATGTATTTTCATAGGTTAAGAGTAAAAAAAATCATTAATTTTCATATATAACTCTATATTTTGTACTCCCTCAAAAACAAAACCAATCTACTTTTCTACTTGCTGGGGAAAAGATGCTTACCTATATAAAAGGAAATGAGATGTTGCTTCTTAAAAAGACTTTTAAACAACTCTCTTGTTTTTTAACATCATCTCCTCTACTATTTCAACATTCTTGATGTTTATAATTCTCAGGATTTTGGACCATTCCATAATTTATATAATACTGATTTTGCCCTTCCCAATTGAGCTACCCTATCTGCCTGTAATGAGTTAATACTATTCTATTTGCTTATGGCTATGTTCCAAAATTTGACTCCTGTCTCTTCTTTCTTTTCTCTTTTTTTTGGGGGGTGCGGGGGGTTGGGCAGGGAGGTTCATGCCATTTGTCTTTTACCTTCACTGTGAAGAAATAGAAACTCTACTATATAACTCATCATGTTTTTAAATTGAAAGCAAGGTATAGATTTTAGCATAAGAGTGTTTCATGATGTCACCATATTCACACCTATAGAAACCAGATTTTTATAAGTTCATGAATCATTAAGCTAAAAAATCAAATGATTATATCAATATATGCAGAAAAAGCATTTGACCAAATTTAACACCCATTCATGGTTAAAAAAAATAAAAATAAAAAAACAAAAAAAACTCTCAGTATATAGCAGGAACAGAGGATAACCCCAAATTGATAAAGAATATCTACAAAACACCTACAATTAACATCATTCTTAATGGTAGGAAAGGAAGCATTCACACCAAAACGAGGAAGAAGGCATGGATTTTCTCTATTGCCATGCATTTTAAACATCATACTGGAGGTCCTAGCTAATGCACTAAGAAAAGGAAGTAGAAGGTATATAGTGTAGGAAGGAAGAAATAATACTGTATTTGATAGCAGGTGACAGGATGATCTGTATGAGAAGTTAAAAAAAAAACCCAAAAACTTCCAAAATTTATGTTATTGTAGTAATTTTATAGAATACAAGGTTAATACAGAAAAGTCAATCATTTTCCTGCATACAGGCAATGAACAAGTAGAATTTTAATTTAATAACAAAATACCATTTATATTAGCACCAAAAATGAAATACTTAGATAGAAATCTAACGAAATATGAACAAAATCTAAATGAGGAAAACCACAAAATTCTGATGAAGAAAATCAAATAAAACATAAATGAACAGATACTCTATGTTAATGGATAGGAAGACTATATTGTTAAAATATCAGCTTTTTCCAACTTGATATCTAGGCTCAATAAAATCACAATTAAAATACCAGTGAGCTAGTTTGTGGATATTGACAAGCTGATTCTAAAGACCAATAGCCAATATAATATTGAAGACGAACAAAGTTGAAGGACTGACAGCACCCAACATCAAAAATTACAAAGAAGGTGCAGTAATCAAGGCAGTGTAGTACTAGAGAAAGAACAGACAAATAGATTAATGAAACAAAATAGAGATCTTAGAAGTAACCTCAATAAATATAATCAACTAACATTTGACAAAGGAGCAAAAACAATAAAACAGAGCAAAGATTGTCTTTTCCACATACGGTGCTGGAAGAATTGGACATTCTCAGGCAAAAACAAAATAAATATACATACGGACCCAGACCTTACACCCTTCAGAAAAAGTAACTCATAATGAATCATAGACCAAATATAAAATGTGAAACTATAAAACTCTTAGATGATAACATAGGAGAAAAACGAGATACTCATAGATATGATAATGACTTTTAATATACATTATCAAAGGCAAATCTATTTAAAAAATTGACACACTGGACTTTATTAAAATTAAAACCTTCTGCTCTGTCAAACACAATATCAAGAGTGAAAAAAGATAAGCCACAGACTGGGAGAACTTATTTGCAAAAGACACATCTAATAAAAGATTGTTACACAAAATATACAGAGCACACTTAAAAGTCAAAAAAAAAAAAAAAAAAAGAAAATAACAACTCCATTTAAAAATGAGCCCAATACTTTAGCAGACACCTAACAAAATAAGCTATACAGAGAGAAAATAGGCCATATGATTTCACTCTCAGCCTGAAGGTTGTCGTATACTAATTTTTGTATATTGATTTTGTATCCTGATACTTTACTAAAGTTGTTTGTCAGTTCTAGGAGCCTTTTGGCAGAGTCTTTGGCACTTCCCAGGTATAGAATCATATTGTCAGTGAAGAAAGATAGTTTGGATTTTTCTTGTCCTATTTGGATGCCTTTTATAGCTTTTCCTTGACTGATTGCTCAGGCTAAGCCTTCCAGTACTATGATGAATTGTAGTCTTGACTGTGAGCATTCTTGTCTTGTTCTAGTTCTCAAGGGGAGTGGTTTGAGCTTTTGACCATTCAGTATGATGGCTGTGGGTTTGTCATAGATGGCTTTTATTATTATGAGATATGTTGCTTCAATGCCTAGTCTGTTAAGGTTTTTTTCATTAAGGATGTTGGATTTTCTCAGAAGATTTTGGCCTCTATTGAGACGATCATATGGCTTCTGCTTTTAATTCTGTCTACCTGGTGAATCACATTTATTGATTTACATATGTTGAACCAGCCTTGCATCCCAAGAATAAACCTGCTTGATCATGTTGTCCTAACTTTTTGGTGTGCTGCTGCTAATATATTGTTGAGGATTTTTGTGTCTATGTTCATGATGACTATGTTCATGAGGAATATTGGCCCGAATTTCCCTTTTCCCATTGTGTCTCTGCCAGCTCTTGGTACCAGGCTGATGAAGACTTTATAGAATGAGTCAGAGAGGAGGCTTTCCTCCTTGATTTTTTGGAGTAGTTTCAGTAGAATTGGTATCAGTTCTTATTTGTACACTTGGTAGAATTCAGCTGTCAATCTAGCTAGTCCAGGGCATTTTGTTTTTTGTTTTTTGGTTGGTAGGTTTTTTAAATTACTAATTCAATTTCAAAAGTTGATATTGGTCTATTCAGGGTTCCAATCTCTTCCTGATGCAATCTTGAGAGATTTTGTGCTTCAAGAAATTTATCCATTTCCTCTAGATTTTCTAATTTGTGTGCATAGAATTGGTCATAGTAGTCTCTGAGGATCTTTTGTGTTTTGGTGGGATCTTACAACAGCCGCACACAAAAAATGCAATACCTAGGAATACAGCTAACCAAGGAGGTAAAAATATCTCTATAAGGAGAACTACAAAGCACTACTGAGACAAATCAGAGATGGTAAACCTTCCATGCTCATGGATTGGAAGAATCAATATTATTAAAATGGTTATACTGCCCAAAGCAATTTACAGATTCAATGTTATTTCTATCAAATCGCCAATGTCATTATTCACAGAATTAGAAAAAACTATTCAAAAATTCATGTGAAAGCAAAAAAGAGCCTGAATAGAGAACACAATCCTAAGCAAAAAGAACAAAACTGGAAGCATCACACTACCCGACATTAAACTATACCATAAAGCCCCAGTAACCAAAACAGCCTGATACTAGTATGAAAATAGACACATCGACCAATAGAACATAACAGAAAACTCAGAATTAAAGTCACACATCTACAGTCATGATCTCAATAAGGCTGACCAAAACAAGCAATGGGAAAAGGAATCCTTACTCAGTAAGTGATTTTGAGATAACTGGCTAGGCATATGAAGAAGAATAAAACTGGACTCCTTCCTTCTACCATGTACAAAAATGAATTCAGAATGAATTAATGATTTAAATGTAATACCTCAGACTATAAAAATCCTGGAAAACAACCTTCTTGACATTGGAATTGGCAAATACTTTTTGGCTAAGTCCCAAAAGCAACTGCAACAAAAAACAAAATAGACAGCAGGACATAATTAAACTAAAGAGCTTCTAAACAGCAAAAGAAACCATCAACAGAACAAACCACCTACAAAATGGGAGAAAGTATTTGTAAACTATGCATCTAACGAATGCCTAATATATGGAATCTACAGAAAACTTAAACAAATCAACAAGCAAAAATCAAATAACCACATTAAAAAATGGCAAATAACATGAACAGACAATTCTCACAAGAAGACATATAAGTGGCCAACAAACATATGAAAATATGCTCATCATCACTAATCATCAGAGAAAGGCAAATGAAAACTAAAATTACATACCACTTCACATCAGTAAGAATCGCCATTACTAAAAGGTCAAAAAACAACAGATGCTGCCAAGGTTGTGGAGGCAAGGGAATGTTTACGTACTGTTGGTGGGGATGTAAATTAGTCCTGCCTATGTGGAAAGCAGTCTGGAGATTTTCCAAAGAACTTAAAACATACTTATTATTTGACCCAGCAATACCATTACTGGGTATACACCCAAAGGAAAATAAATCATTCAACCAAAAAGACATATGCACTCATATGTCCATTGCTGTGCTACTCACAATAGCAAAGACATAGTATCAACCCAGGTGCCCATCGATGGTAGATTGGATAAAGAAATTGTAGTACATATATGCCATGGAATACTATGCAGTCATAAAAAACAATGAAATCATATTTTTTTAGCAACATGGATAGAGCTGAAAGCCATAATATTACACAGGAAAAGAAAGCCATAATTTTAACAGCTGGAAGTCGTAATGTAACACAGGAACAGAAAGACAAATACTGCATGTTTTCACTTATAAGTAGAAGCTAAAATTGAGCACATATGGATATAAATATGAAAACAATAGAGACTACAAACTACTAAAGGTTTGGGGGGAGTGAGTTAAATAACTACCTATCAGGTACTATGTTCACATCTGTGTGATCGGAATCATACTCCAAATGTTAGCATCACACTATAATCCCATATAACAAACCTGCATGGGTACCCCAAGTAACTAAAATAAAAGGCGAAGCTTAAAAAACAGTAGGCATATAAAAAGATACTCCACATCATATGTCATTAGGGAAATGGAATTTAAGACAACAATGGAAGACCACCACATACCTTTTAGAATGGCCAGAATTCAAAATACTGACAACAAATCCTGGTGAGAACTTGGAGGGAGAGGAACTCTCATTGCTAATATATGGAATCTACAGAAATCTCCTACTTTGGAGAACAGTTTAGTGGCTTCTTACAAAACTAAACATATCATTATCACACAATCCAGTAGTCATAGTCCTTGATGTTTGCTCAAAGAGTTGAAAACTTATGTTCACACAAAAACCTGCACATAGATGTTTATAGCAGCTTAACTCATAATTGCCAAAACTTGGAAGCAACCAAGACACTCAGTAAGGCAACTGATACATAAAGTGTGGTATATACCTAGACAATGGAATGTTATTTAGCACTAAAAGTAAATTGGCTGTCAAACCATGAAAAGACATACGGAAAACTTAAATACATATTGCCAAGCCATAAAAGCCAATATGAAAAGACCATATACTGTATGAGTCCAAATATATAACATTCTGGAAAAGGTAAAAATATGGAGACATTAAAAAGTTTAGTGTTTGCTAGAGGTGCAGGGAAGGGAAGGATGAATAGGGGGAACACAGGAAATGTTTAGGGCAGTAAAAATACTCTTTATATACTATAATGATGGAAATATGTCATTATACATTTGTCCAAACCAGTATGAACTTTGGGTAATTATAATGTGTCAATGTAGGTTCATCAATTGTTATAAATATACCACTCTGGTGGAGGATGTTGATAATGGGGGAAGTTATGCATGTGTGGGGACAGAGAGAACATGTGAAATCTCTGTGCCTTTCTCTCTGTTTTTCCATGAACTTAAAACTGCTCTAAAAATAATGAATACTTTTAAAAACTGCCTGGAAAATTTAAAAGATAAAAATCATGAGAAAGAAAACTGTAAAGCAAATTTTTCCACAAGTTCAATAATTATTTTGATAAAAATTTATAAATAGAAATTTATAATTATACAGTTGGATGATTTTTACAAAGATCATATAACCATTCAACTTCCATCCAGGAAAAGAAGTAGAATATTACCAGCATGTAAGGCACTTAATTCAACCACCATATCACCTCCTAATCAGCAATCCTTTCTTCTCACAAAAACTTTCAGTACTAAAAGAGATTAATTTACAGTTTTAAATATATTTTACAGCAAAGATACATAATTATATGTATTCAAAAATCGGATCTATAATGATATTAGTCATGTCACATCAAAGCATGTGTCACATATCAGTCCATAAAAATTTCTTGGGCCTGGCGCAGTGGCTCATGCCTGTAATCCCAGCACTTTGGGAGGCCAAGTCAGCCAGATCATGTGAAGTCAGAAGTTCGAGACCAGCCTGGCCAAAACGGTGAAAACCCATCTCTACTAAAAATACGGGCAGGTGCCTGAATTCCGAGCTACTCAGGAGGCTGAGGCAGGAGAATCACTTGAACCTGGGAGGCAGAGGTTGCAGTGAGCAGAGATCGTGCCACTGCACTCCAGCCTGGGAGACAGGGCAAAATTCCATTTCACAGAAAAAAAAAAAAAAATTATTGGCTTTCACTTTCATTCTGAAATCTAGGTGATCAAAAGTTCTTAATTATAGTCTGACATACAGAAAAGACTTTTAAGATTATTCCCTAGGAAGGTATAAATATCAGACATATGAATCTATAATATCCAGTGGACCCAGGTTCAGGATTGCCATTTTGTAGTTACCACAAAGAAAATAAACAGAAATTTTACATGAAGTTAGATTTCTTAACTGTTTTGAGGGTTAAGGAAAATAATTAATACTTGCAAAAAATATACATTTTTTAAAAACTGAAATATGATATACATTTTAATGTTATCATACTAGGTATGAAGGGAAATTACTGATAGTCCCATATACTCATCTCCCTAGAAACATATATATATATATATAGCAGTTTGGAACAGTTGTCAATACCTTGTATTCTAGAAATATTCTGGAAAACGTTCTTGATTTATAGAACATAATCTTTATTTAGGACTATAATTTATTCCAAGTTTAAACTGCCTATAAGGTTGCATTATCAGAACTGCATTCAACTTTATGTAATTTTGAAAACTGTGTACTACTTATTGTTCAAAATAAATCTTAAAATAATGTTAATCCCCTTAAAAATGTTAAGTCCATTGAACTTAAACTCAAAATTGGACAAAGCCAGAAAAGTAGGGGCATACAACCGGGAATCATAATTTATTTTACGTAAGGTAGGTGCACTTTAACACAGTATTAATGCTTTAAATTTTTTGATGCAGGAGCAAACACATCGCCCATTTTCTAGTTAATTTATAGTTATACAAGTATTTAATCAACATAAATTTTAACATTGAGAAAATCTTACCTTGTGAAAAATATTGATGGCATCAGCATCCTGTCTTGAGCAGCCACTGCCATGATGCCGGCTGCAGTGGGGCAGGCTCAGCCGGGGCTGTGCTCCAGGGAGCTGGCAAAAACTGGGAAAAGGTGGAATCCCTGTCTCCTTCGAGTTGGCACGGCAGGAGCCTCCTGCTCCCCGGGCAAAGCTGCGGCCGCCCAGCCGAGGCTCGGGACCCAGGCATCTCTGTGCTCCTGGGGGCCAGGAACAGTCAGGAGCCCAGCCCGGACAGGAGCCCCGCCCTTCCGGGCGCAGCTGCAGCCCAGGCCACAGCTGCTGGCCGGGGTGTCTCTGTGTTTTCAGGGGCCTAGAATCCCCCCTGCCCCCGTAGGTTTGGCAGTGCCTGCTCCGGCTGTCTGGCCTCTCTCCGTTCCCAGCACCCACTCTGATCTTGGAGCAGAATATAGGCTGAGCCCAGGCGCTGTCACGACCTGGCCGGCTGTGCGTGTGCTCAAGACAGCATTGACATGCCCGCCCCTTGCCGCCTCTGCCCCCTTCAGACTTTGGGCACCGACAACCACAGGAGGGAGTCTGACAGAGGGGGCTGAGGGCAACCTGGCACTGGCTTGCAGATACCACTCAGCACAAACAACCTAGGCAATGGCAGGAGGTAGATAAACTCCAGGGTGAAAAGAATCAGGTCCCCTTTGAAGCCTCACCTTCAAGCCAAGGATGGCGTGAAGCCTGAGGGCTGGGCTGATGGACAAGGATGTGAACTTATGACGCTTTCTGTGGGCCTGTCTATGGCCTCCCATGAACCAATCAGCATGCACTTCCTTCCCTCTGAACTCATAAAACCCCTCGGAACTAGCCAGACTCAAGGAGACAACTAGACCACCTGCCCATGGAGAGACTTCCGGGCTACCAGCTGCGGAGAGTTGCTACTCACTCCAGGCTCTCCTCTGCTGAGAGCTGAGTAGAGTCTGGACTACCAGCTGTGGAAGGCATGAGAGGTGACAGCGTGCTGGCAGTCCTCACAGCCCTCGCTCGTTCTCGGCACCTCCTCTGCCTGGGCTCCCAATTTGGCGGCACTTGAGGAGCCCTTCAGCCCGCCGCTGCACTGTGGGAGCCCCTTTCTGGGCTGGCCAAGGCCGGAGCCAGCTCCCTCAGCTTGCGAGGAGGTGTGGAGGGAGAGGCGCGGGCGGGAACCGGGGCTGCGCGCGGTGCTTGCGGGCCAGCGCGAGTTCCGGGTGGGTGTGGGCTTGGCGGACCCCGCACTTGGAGCGGCCGGCCGGCCCCACCGGCCCCGGGCAGTGAGGGGCTTAGCACCTGGGCCAGCAGCTGCTGTGCTCAATTTCTCTCCGGGCCTTAGCTGCCTTCCCATGGGGCAGGGCTCGGGACCTGCAGCCCGCCATGCCTGAGCCTCCCCTCCGTCCGTGGGCTCCTGTGCGGCCCAGCCTCCCCAACGAGTGCCGTCCGTCCCCTGATCCACGGCGCCCAGTCCCATCGACCACTCAAGGGATGAGGAGTGCGGGCGCACGGCACGGGAGTGGAAGGCAGCTACACCTGCAGCCCCGGTGCAGGATCCACTGGGTGAAGCCAGCTGGGCTCCTGAGTCTGGTGGGGACGTGGAGAACCTTTATGTCTAGCTAAGGGATTGTAAATACACCAATCAGTGCCCTGTCAAAACGGACCACTCAGCTCTACCAATCAGCAGGATGTGGGTGGGGCCAGATAAGAGAATAAACGCAGGCTGCCCGAGCCAGCAGTAGCAACCCCCTGGGGTCCCCTTCCACACTGTGGAAGCTTTGTTCTTTCGCTCTTTGCAATACTTGCTGCTGCTCACTCTCTTTTGGTCCACACTGCCTTTATGAGCTGTAACACTCACCGGGAACGTCTGCAGCTTCACTCCTGAAGTCAGCGAGACCACGAACCCACTGGAAGGAAGGAACAACTCCAGACGCGCCACCTTAAGAGCTGTAACACTCACCGCGAAGGTCTGCAGCTTCACTCCTGAAGCCAGCGAGACCACGAACCCACAGGGAGGAACGAACAACTCCAGACGCGCCGCCTTAAGAGCTGTAACACTCACCGCGAAGGTCCGCAGCTTCGCTCCTGAGCCAGCAAGACCACGAACCCACCAAAAGGAAGAAACTCCAAACAGATCTGAACATCAGAAGGAACAAACTCCGGACACGCCACCTTTAAGAACTGTAACACTCACCTTGAGGGTCGGCAGCTTCATTCTTGAAGTCAGTGAGACCAAGAACCCACCAATTCCGGACACAGGGAGCTAGCCACTCCGTGGTTTCTGCTCTGCTGAGAACTGAGCAGACTTTGGGACTACCAGCTCCAGAGAGGAGCTACCCACTGCAGAGTTCCTCCAGGCTGTTCATTTTTCCTCCCCTGTCCTCTCTTTGCAGATGGGTAATCATGTCTCTGCACCACGGGACACTCCCCTCTGAGGCATAAAAGTTTAATTTTTGGCCTGGCACGGTGGCTTATGCCTGTAATCCCAGCACTTTGAGAGGCCGAGGCGGGCGGATCACCTGAGGTCAGTAGTTCGAGACCAGCTTAGCCAACATAGTGAAACCCAGTCTCTACTAAAAATACAAAAATTAGCTGGGCATGGTGGCACGGGCCTGTAATGCCAGCTACTCGGGAGGCTGAGGCAAGAGAATCGCTTGAACCCAGGAGGCGGAGGTTACAGTGAGCCGAGATCGCGCCACTGCACTCCAGCCTGGGTGCAGTGAGACTGCGGCTCAAAAAAAAAGAATTCTTACCAGTTGAACCTCTGGCTTCTTTCTCTCTGTCTGTGAAAACATGGTTGTAGATTCTCTCTCCTCCATGACTCCATGACTTCCCTTTTACTGGGAACCTATGCATAGGACTCTGAGAGAGATCTGTCATTTTCCCCAAAACCAGGCCCCCTGTCAGCATGAAGCAGTTAGATATACCTCTTCAGAGATGTGATTGATGGCAGCGGCAGCCCATCTGGACCAGCCACTGCCGTGACGCCATCAGTGTGAGACGTGTAGCTAGGGCTGTGCACTCCACAGAGCTGGTGGGAGCTGGGAATAGGTGAAAACCCTGCCTCCTTGTGAGTTGGCAGGACGGGAGCCTCCTGTTCCCTGGCTGCTGTTGTGGCCACCGAGCCGCAGCCCTGGAGCCAGGCATCCCTGTGCTTGGGGATCAGAGCGAGCAGGAGCAGATCCTCTCCCTTCTGGGTGCAGCTGCAGCTGCCCAGCCATGGCTGTGGTCCCGGAAGTCTCTGTGCTCTTGGGAGCTGGGAGGGCCCTCTGCCTCCTGCCCCTTACGCACTCCAGAGTCTCCTCTCTGTTGAGAGCTAAGCAGACATCAGGACTACCAGCTGCAGAGAGGAGCTACCCACTGTGGGCTTCGTCTCTGCTGAGAGCTGAACACTCACTGGGACGCCCTGCCTATGGAAACCAGCTGTTCACTCTGGGTCTCCTCTGAGCTGTTCTGTCGCTCAGTAAAGGTCTTCTTCTGCTTACTCGCCCTCCATTTGTCTGCCTTACCTCATTCATCCTGGACACAGGACAAGAACTTGGGACTTGCCGGTATGGTGGAGCTAAAATAGCTGTAACACAAACAGGATTGAAACATGCCCCTTGCTCGCCACATTGTGGATGACAAGAGGGAGGGAAGAAAGGAGAGAAGATCTGCGACCCTTCGGCAAACCCAGACTTAGGAGATCGGAGAGCCAAGACTGTGACACCCTTTCTGGGGCTCTGTGGTTCCTGGCGTCTCCAAGCTTCTGGGCACCTCGGCTTTCCCCGGTGCCAGTCGTGGAAGCTGCTTGTGGTAAGTCTGGTCCAATAGCCTCACAGTAAGCCAACGTCCATGCTGGTGCCTGGGGCTTCCCACCCCACTGCAGCTGGCATGCCTGGCTAGGCACAATGGCTAGATCTTGTGCTTGCTTGCTTGCTCACATACCCATCACCGCTCTGCACCTTACTCACCCTTACAGGCGTGAGATTTGGGCCAGTAGTGTGAGCCAAACCCAGCCTGCCAGGCCTGGTGGGTGGAATGAGCTCATGGGGCCTGAGCAAAACTTGGGCAAAGGCACCGACAGCCACAGAGGTTTCCGGCTGGTGAAGTGACACATCAAATATCCCGTGACAATATCAATTTTCTAAACACACATTTATAATGCATATATAATTGGAAAGCTGTACTGGTTCTCAATATAAATCCTAATTGGAAAACTTAGTTATATAAAGAAATTCATTGCATTTCAAATGAGATTAATGTCTCTTGAAAATTATACATATATGTGTGTATATATATATATATCTCAAAAGATTTGTTTTAAATGAAATATGTTCTAACACATGATTTTAATTACAATTAATAATTTCATCTCATGTAGTAATTTTCTAAATGTCTGATATCTTACAGGTGTTTTACCTTCTTGCAAGAAACTATAGCATAAACAAAATATAACAAAACAAAAAACCTAAGCCCATGCTATTATTTTAAGCCATTCTGTTTCACTACTATGGCAACAATAGTTACAATGTGAACTCATTTAGCACATATTTATTTAGAGTTTATTATATGTCAGGCACACTAATCATGAGACAACACCCTTTGAAGAGCTTGTAGTTGATGACAGTCTATGAAAGTTAAATTTAACAAAGGACTGCAATAGTTCTATGTATTACAAACTAAATGCAAACAGGTCATAATTTTTTGTGTGATCATTTCCTTACCCGTATAAGTTTCTCTTTATAAAACTTATCTTTTGGAATGCATTCTATCATTTCACCATTAAGTAGCAACCAACAGATGATATTTTCTTTTTTTTGTTTTGTTTTCTTAATAGAATAATATGTGCATATATATATATATATATATATATATATAGGCCTCTCTATATAGTATAGTGTATATATATAGTATAGTGTATATATATATAGTATAGTGTATATATATATAGTATAGTGTATATATACTATAATATGTGCATATATATATATATATATATATAGTATAGGCCCATGTTTTAGGCCTTTTTAAATTGACAAAATTATCTGATAGATTGTTATAAATGCTTATATTTGAAAATTGTAAGAACGTTTTCTTCTATGCAGTAGCACAAAAGATTGGTAGTAGTGGTTGTAAAAATTGCACTTCGAAAAACAACATTCATTTATTTCTTCCATTTAGCAATCTACTCTTTCTGTGATCTCATCTTATACATCATCTCTATTTAAAATTGCAGCTATAAATTCTAAATTTCTCTTTACCCTTATTGCTTATTATTACTCCAGCCTAATATCCTGATTTCTTCTTCTCAGTTGATAATGTGACTTCAAATTCTATCAACAAATTTCATTAGTAGTTTAGTTTAAAACAATTTGGTTAGTACAGAACACAGTAAAATTAACCTTTACTGACCACTCAATGTACTGTGTAAAGAGTGCTCGCACCAATTTGTTTTCTCTTCTTTTTTTTTTAATTTAAAGAAAATACCAATCAATTAAAAACAAATAGTAACAAACTCCAAATATCCCTAAAGGCTTGTGAATTTATTGGAGAAGGTTAAAGAGTTTCTGAAAAATAGATTAGAGGTTAAATAGAATACTGCAGAAAATAAAATCACCTAGAGGAAACTAGGATGAGGAGGTCAGTTGATTTAACCTATTGTGTTGATCTAGACTTCTGGGAAAGGGGAATGCCCTCCAGTGAAAACCTGCACATATGTTCAAAAAGATTAAACCTGAAACTCACATAATCTCATTCCATGGCTTCCATTTCATTTTAATATTCCAATAGATTAATTTCCTTTGAACCATATTTTTCCTTATTTAATATTGTTTGCATAATTTGCTGCTGTAGGATTTTACGGTTTTAAATATCAATAAATATTCCAATTGTTAAATAGTGCTAAGGTGTGGTAATCTGAAAAGTGCTGACCATAAATATTAAAATGTTTAAAAGAGAAATGGACTTCTAAAAACCACACATAATACACACAATGCAAAAATCACAATCACTGCCAAGAAACAAATAAATTAATTTTTATAGTAATATTGTTGTTCTTTTCAGTGTACAGAAAATTTTCCAAGGAATTAAAAATACAAAATGTTACATCTGTAGACCAATTACACAAGTACATAAGTCTGTAGATCAATTACACAAGTATATTTAAATCTAAATATAGTCATAATACTAATATATTAATATCAATAAAAATATTCTAATATTTGTGGAACTATCAAAAACAGCACAGTAAATACAATATTTTCTTTTAATTTATTGCCTTGCTTTATAAAAAACATTTTCAAAGAAGGGTAGAGACTGTTTATGAAATTGTGAAGAATATTAGTTATCCTTTCAGGTACTTTAGGCATTGATAACACAATGATTTATTAGGTAGACTTAGTTTTGCTTCAAACTCACTTTGTTTTCCTTCTCTTTGAAATGGGTATAATTTTTAACCATTAAAAAAACTGTCTCACAAACAGAAATGCAAGTGACAAAGGAATTTTTCTGGTAGAACCTAGACAAGAACCAAAATAAAAAAATAAAAACATGAAATGTGATTTTGAAATATTTAAGATGATTGTTAGAGAAACATTGTTACATTTCATATTATTCAGTAATCCTGTATGATAAAGTAGCTGTTTTTTCATAAATAATTATGTTCAGTTTCCTGTTTGATAACGCAAAATGTTTCACTGTTTTAATTTCATATATTCTTTCATATTTCACAATATGCTTCTTGTGTGTAGCAGAAACCAGATTCAATAGCTACATATCTAGTTGACTTCATATGCATTTACTTCAATGGACTTCAACTTATTTGGCCCTAAAATAGCTTTTCATTGTTTTTCCCTTGGTATAAAACACCTTATTCCTCTGTATTCCTCTGTTTCTACTGGCATTGTTACTAAATAAAAGGAGAAATTATCTACAGGCACATAATTCCTAAGATCCCACCTCTTCTACAACTCCTATCTCTGTTACTTCAATTTCAAAAGCCACAAAATGACATTATTTTTTCAGTCGTACTTGTAAAAATTATGTACAAATCTTCAAAATAAATTTCAGTTAAAAAAAGTATGTACACAAAATCTTCTACCCAATGAATAAGATATTTGGAATTGGTTAAAATTATTAGTTATAGACTAAGCAAATATATTATATTTTAACCTGCCTTATATCTTTCATCTCTTCTATATCTGTTCATGTAATATTGAACATACATACATATATACATACAAAAAATATTTTATTGGAGTGTTATTTATAGTAGTCAGTATAATGGTCCTCCAGAGATATCCATATTCGAATCCCTGGAACATGTGAATATGCTACTTTTCATGATAAAGAGGTATTAATGTAGCAGATGGAATTAAAGTTGCTAGTCAATTAACCTTAAAATTTGGAGATGATATTGAATTATCTGAAAAAAATTGAATGTAATCACAAAGATTCTGAAATGTGGAGGAAAGGAGCAGAAGAGGAAATTAGGGTGATGAAATGTGAGTAGAACTCAACCTGCTGTAGTTGGGCTTTGAAGATGGATAAAGAGGTTAATGAGCTAAAGAATATGGTAGCTTCTAGAAGTTGAAAAGGGGAAGAAAATGGATTCACCCCTACAACCTCCAGAAAAAAATGCAACCTTGCTGATGCTTTAATTTTAGCCTAGGGAGATGCATTTCAGATTTCTTTCCTTCAAAAATTAAAGTAATAAATTTGTGTTAAGTCACTAAATTTGTGGCAATTTGTTACAGCAACTATTGAAAACTAATACACAGTCTCTAAATAGGGGAGAAACTCACTAAATGTAAGAAGTTAGACGGGTTATAGTTGAACAAAACTGTTTAAAATAAAACTACAATATTTCACATAAAATCATATCAAAGAGTATTAAGAGTTTCTTTATCTTTTATCTTTCTCATTGCACTCTGAAGACCAAATATGTCAGTTATGGTTCATAGTTGCAAACAGGAATAGACTTGAAGGTTTTTAGCAGAATGATTTTTTGAAGGACATTAGATGATTCATGAATAGTCTTAGAAAATATACAGAAGTTAACAGAAGTGAGGCAGCGTGAGGATCAAAAATCATACCAAAAGGCACCCAACTTTGGATACCACTTCTGTCACAGATGGATTGCCGAGTCCACTCCTCCAGCTCCTCCTGGATATGTCTCACAGTCCTTGCCACTGTAAGAGTTTTCTAACTTGCTCCTGAGTCATTGACATTCAGTATGCAAAGTCCCACCCAGGTGTAAATATCTGGAAGATCAAAACTAATGCATGTACTCACACCTTAGATTCCAGGATTGTGGAGAAAAAAATAACTGGTTTGATGTCACTTCTTTGGAAGAAGGTTGGTCCCTGTCTTTTGTCAAAACTTATAGAATGAGAGCTCCTCACATAACAGAGGAGTCTGTATGCTAAGTACCTCATAAGTACTTAAATTTAATTTTAAATATATTTATTTATTTTATAATTATTGTCATTCCATGGTATAGATGAGGAAGCTGAGGTTCAGATTAATGTTAAGTAATTTGCCTTAAGCCATTTAAGTAGTAATGAGAAATAAAGGCAATCTTCAGATGCCTGATTCTCATTTGCTGCAAGCATGGTGCCTAAAATTCAGCATATATGTAATGTATTGGAGTAGGAAAATTAATATTTAAAAATTATAATAATAATTAAGGGTAAACATTGGCTTCATAATAACACACATTTTAATTTCAATGTTAATTTGTAATTTAATTTTACTCTTACATTTTAAGTACACTACACTAATTGTTTTAGTGGATACATTCTCACTCATAGTGTCCAGTTGATCGAAATACTAGAAATCCTTAATTGTAATAACTGATTGAACTTTTGTAATCCTAAGTCCTGACCTGCCTATAGTACAAAAAAAAAAAAAAAAGCATGGCTTTTCAGTGACAGGTAAATAGTTCCTGTTTACTTAAACTTCACTTGTCTACCAAGGCTGCATTCTGTCTGCATTTATTTCCAGGCTCTGGGTACACAGGAAGAGGGTCATTTTCCATGTGGAGCCTGAGGTTGAGTGTGAGGGTACCATGCAACTTCATATCTGATTTTGATTGACTATTCTGGGTCCTTATGGCCTCCAAGGCTTCACTACCCAGATTTAAGAGACTAAAGCTAATTCAGAAAAAAACTATGCAAAGAAATTGCATAGTTAAAACATAATCTATTTTATGTATTTTGTACAGCATATATAGAAAAATGAATTATCTCCACTTTGTAGTCTGTAATAATTTTCAATATTTATGCTTTGTTTAGAGATAATAAGCTGACTTCTGATAACCCGCGTTAGATTCTATCACAAGGAAATATGCATTTTACAATATCTTTTATTATGCATCTGTCAAATTTGCTTTCTTAAGCACATATAATACGTAGATTGTAGCCCATGTAAAACTTACTGAAGCTAAATACTTTCACATAAAGCGCTTTTAGTTAATCAGTCTTTCGGAGCTCTTAAAACAAGTGCTTCTATAAAACTGCATCACATTTAAATGCTGATTCCATCATATACACTTCACACTCTTTGTTGCCTGTGAAGATTGATTGGCTTCTGTTGCAGTACAAAATGAAATTCAAATTTATAATTTAAATAAATGTAGCTTCCCTTACAATGCTTCTGCTTGAAATGAGAGCCTCCACCCTTGTCCATAAAATCTTCTCTAAAAATGAGACTGTATTTCTCTGCTTACTGGTGGGCATCAGGTCATCAAAATGAAGGCCTTAGAAATGAAAAACTAATCTTAGCAATTATGGCATGACCCTCAGGTGGTATTTAGAAAACAGGAAATCCTCAATGAAAACAATCACAAAGACTAACCTTTGGCTTAATGGCACCCAATTTCAGTAAAGTAAAATTCTCAGGATGAGTTCACTTGGCTGTATGGCCTATGAGATCAATAAAATAGCAAATTATCCAGCCAATCCTCAGACCTTTGAAAGACTTTACTACACAGAAGAGTTACACAGAATGTTGAGGGTTGTATTACACAAAAAGAACAAAACTACAACCTCACTGTGGGGCAGGATTATTTCTTATATCTTGTTTACAGGGAAGGCAGTTTGGACACTCTTGGAGGAGAGAGAAAGTGAAGACTTGACCAAAAGTCATGTGGGAATGGATTCTCATGAATGGGAGGGAGCTCAAGTTTTTGTGCTGACTGATATGACCAGAAATAGAAGGAAAGGGAGAATGCTTTTAGCTCTGGAAATCTTTAAGGCAGAAAATATTGCTGGTGTGTGTATGTGTGTGTGTGTGTGTATGTTTGTGTGCATCTGTGCATTTATGCATGGAGAGGTTCTAGGTGCACATAAAATTCTGTGGTTCCCTTTCTACCATTGCTTATGCCAGCCTGGGGAAAACTATCTTTTCTTATGCATGCCTGAATTTTAATTCAAAGATTATAGATAGCTTTTATGAGAGACACAGTTTTGTGATCCCAAAATAGTAAAGAATCCATGGATGATTTGACACTAACTCCTGATTTCTTTGTTTCTACTAGTATAGCTAACACTTATGAATAAAAGCCAAAATGCATGGTACCAAGACATGTATCATTTTGTAATACTGTAGTCACAGATTAAATAAATTTTCATAATAATTCATACAATTTGACTTACAAACTGCCTTTCTTCTACATTGCCATATTACAAACTAGATTTCTAAATTATGATGTACCTATGGAATTTAATACACATGCCTGTAATGGAACTTGGAAAATATAATACCATGACTATTGCAGATGGACTCATTATGATTGTAAATAATGAGTCCTGTGTTAGAAGTGCCATATCGTGACCTTGTAATATTTGACTGCAATTACCCTGTCCACTGGCCTATATAGGAAACTGCCTTTTCTGCTATAATCTTACATGCAGGAAAAATTATGGTCATAGAGACATATTCTCCTTAATGATAAAATAAAGTGAGGATACAGCATCAATATTTTAAAAATTAAAAAAATTAACACCTATATGTCTAGTTAAATGTAAATTCTCACGTATTTCTCTCTTTTTGACAAGAAATCCTTTCATTCATAACTATATGCAGCAATAAAATATAAAAACATGGTACATAATTTCTAAAAAAGGTTAATGCAGGAATTTACCATTCTTGAAAATCACACAATAAGGCAGCATTTAAGTTTGTTTATTATATGGATAAAAAGATATGATTTTCTCCCAATAACAGTTAATAACTTATTTCTGTATGTAGAAATGCGGATTTAATATAAGCATTAATAGAAACAAATGTATTTATTATTTATTCTGGAGACAATGAATATTGTGCTTTTAACTTAAATAAGTTCTCATTTCAGTTAGGTAATACCAACAAAATATGTTTTAAAAATTCCATAGTCTTAAGATTATACACACACACTATATAATATATATACACATATATACAGCCAACACACGTGTATGTTTTATATATGTGATCAACTACATTGAAATAATGCTTATTATTTGGTAGGCACTGTGATAAGATCTTTACATGCATTGTTTTAATTAACTGACAAAAAAGCAGCAAAGTAGCTAGTATTAATTTATTCTTTTAGAAAAGGAAACTGTGGTTTAGCTTACTTCGCCCAACTAGAAATCATGGGAGTTAGTTTCTGAATGCATATTTGGTTAATACATTTGTCATAATAAATATTCAGACACCTTTATTGTCTATGATTCTCCATTTCATCATCCATATATCCACCATTTTTTTCTTAATTTCACACACTTAGCTGTAGCTCATAAGACAGGAATTTTAGCAAGAAAATAAGGACAAGAAAATAGCTTATAGTGATTTACAGAGGAGATGAGAAATGTGTGGAGGCACCTTGTACACATAGGAATATGAAGAGTTTGTAGACATGAGGGCCTGAGTTTTGTCTAGAATGAAAGATACAATAGAAAGAAAGGACAATCCATGATAAAGAAAATTATCTAATCAAAAACCTACTGGGGTAAAGTGATAAGTGATTTTTTAAAATAGTAAAAGAATTCGCCTTTAAAAGCCTAGGGAGAAAGTAGACAAGAGAAGATGTATCAGAATTACAAGATGGATGTAAGGTATCAAAAAAATTAGGCAGAAAATAGGGAAGTTGAGTAAACATAAATCATTACTTTGCACCCAAAAATAAATCAGGAACTAAAGTTGTATGCTAAAGTAAAAGACTTGGAGTAGGCTTTTAAGGGTGGTGATAAAAGGTTTGAATTAGGTACTAATGTGGAAACTATGCAGCTTAATACGAATAAATAGAATGATTGGCAAACATCACTGGGCCATTTAGAGGCACTTTAAATTTATATTAAATATTTCACTCTCTGAGAGATTAATTCTTTTAATCAATCTTCATATCTTCCTCAGTGACATGCATAGAACATTGTCAAAATGCTGAGTGAGTTTTAATTTTCTAGTTAGATATTCATAATTACATGAATGGAAACCTTTTTTTGTTTGCAATACAATGCATTTTAAACATTATACATAATCTTGTCATTTACCTAGACCTGCCAACTGTGTGCTTGCATAGATAAAAAGGATTTTTTTAAGTTGTAGAAATTTTTAAATTAACAAAACTCTAAGTACTCTTCAAACAAAGCCCATGTTTTGCAGTGACATAATTAATTCTCTCAAATAATTTTTAAATAAAATAGAAAATCTCTGCACATTATATTTTAAAGGGAAAAAACATTATTTTCCAAAATATGTCAAGATTTTCTACAATTTTGTTACGGTCAGAGAAATAACTTGCTATCCATTTGCTCCATATATGAACTTTTTTATAATTAAAAAATTAAAATTAGTAAAAATTTAAATATTCTTTAAACTAATTAATTTAATATTTAACATGATAAAAATTCAGTGTACAGTATAACATTTAAAAAGAAAATATCTTTTTCTATAATCTGACAACAGTGTTTCAAAAAAGTGGCTGTCTTCAAAGAAATGAAACCTTTTAAAATAGGTTTTCATTATAATAATATGTATAGGGATAATTAAACTAACATAATAATGTTGTGAAAAGGTGTATTTCCTGAGTAGAGAAAAATTCGTTGGTACGAACATGCATTGGAAATCATAGGAATTTTTCAGGGGTAATTTTCTATATGATTGAAAGCAGGCATTTACAAAAACAATACTGAAATTATACCTAAGTGTTATTCTTTATTTAATTTGATAAATACAAAAACACTAAGTATGAGCCAAATACAATTAATTTCCAAATATATTGCTGTGCATATGGAAGAAGTTTTACATGAGATGTATTTTGTCTCAATTTAAAATTGAGCTTTTGCAGCTTTTTATTACACTTTAATAATATATTTCATGCATAACAAAGAATATACTTGATGCATATGTAAAATATAAAGACATAGAACAAACATCAATATACACACTAAAGCTAATTTCAAGAATGATACTGATATTCTTGATAACTTTTCACAGATATTCCAAATTTTTGTCTTTTATGTTTTATTGTAGATTATCACGTTATGTATACATTTGAATAATTTTGAATGTAATATATATATAATATAACATCACACTGTATGTTTCACCCAATTTTTTGTAATGCATAATTATGTGTTTGATCTTTGCACAGCCACAGTTTGGTCATAATCACGCATGTTTAGGGTAACCCTGATAAACATGTAAATATTTCTATTTTTTCATATGAAAATAATTAGAAAAATATAGTATGTGTAGAATTTAGTCTTTAATATCTAAATTTGCATACTGTCTAAACTTTATTGTAAGTATCATTGATTTCCATAAAATGTTATATTACTATATCTTAAGTTTTCAATATTGCTTGATTTTTAATTATGGACAAAGAGGAAAAATAAAAACAAAAATATTGAAAATATATATGAATTTATAAATCACAAAAATGCTTATGTATTATCAGGAAAAAATTAAAATAATAATAAGTAACTAATAAAATTAGTTTTGTTTGCCTGAAGTTGTATGATCCTGATAATTTTTTAATGTCAACTTCGAGAGAAGAAAATGTTTTTTAAAAGTAAATGACATAGAATTGTGTCCTAAGCATAGTCATGTAATTTATTAATCCCAATAATGAATCTCACTAATCATATAGTACATATGAAGCTAAATATTTAAAATATTAATCTAAAATTAGGTTAAAACAAAAAAACAAAAGTTGAAAATAAAATTGAAATACACACATTGAACTAGGAGAAAATGTTATTAATCAATAAATTATTAAACTTAGTAATTTTAGTTTATAACCTGTCACTTATAGAAATTAAGAAAATAATAATAGAATGTACATATTTTCTAAGTACATAGAATGTGCCATTATCTGTGCAATGTCTAATATGTGGGACAATAATCTGAGCCAAAGAAGAATAAAGCCTTTTTTTAAATTTATTTATTTTTATTTATTTTATTTTATTATTATTATACTTTAAGTTTTAGGGTACATGTGCACAATGTGCAGGTTAGTTACATATGTATACATGTGCCATGCTGTTGTGCTGCACCCATTAACTCATCATTTAGCATTGAATAAAGTCTTTAAACAGTGTCAATTCAACTGAATGTAGGAAAAATAACTTCAAATTCATTACTATTTACCTTACACCATACTACAGACGTAACAATAATAATTACTATTAGTAAGCTTTGGGATTATTAGGATTATATCACTGAAACATGGTTTCCTCATTTATAGATAGAAATAACATATCTGGATCACTTTATATATTTTTTTAGATCAGGATTCTTTTCATAGTCCTTGGATACTAGAAGTTAAGGTTTGGGAAGGCTCTGGAATCCAACTTTATATTTATAAGGGAGAAGGCCTTTAGGTTTGTGCCACATCCTCCAAGGTATCAGTGACTTCTTAAGAAGTTTATAATCACTACTGTAGAAGATGTTGAAGCATGATTTAAATTTTTTCTACTTAATAAAATAGAAGCTTTTTAGTCCCAAATCAGCACTTTTTATATATTTGAAAAGAAATAGAAGAAATACTCCTTCCATTTCTTTATCTGGACTACATGAGAATAATAATCAGAATTTCAATCCAATTGTATGATGAATTCAAATGAAATCAACTGACATTGTTAGTGTCAACTCTGCATCAGATATTCTAACAAAAGACAAAGTAAAACATTATCCCTGACCTCTAGCTATTTAGAACTAAAAAAAAGAACATCATTAAATGCATATTTTCTATTTCATTTAATGAATAAATAATTATAATGTGGTAGATTGACCTAATTTACACATTTATCCTATTTTTAATGAGTAGTATCTTGTCAAAACAATTGAATCATGCACTGTGATGAATAGAAACAAATATGCAAACTTTGCATACTCTTTTTTTCCAGGGGGATTCATGATACAGTGAAAGGAAATCAAAATCTGAATCAGTAGGAGACCAGTTAGACAAATCAGAAAAAAAGAATGAGAGGTAATATTGCTCTCCTGGAGTTGTTCATGACCAATGATTGAAAATTTTAAGAAAGGCAACACAGAATTTTAAGAGGGATATTCAATTATAGTAGTTACAAGGAACTGTTACTGAATGTATGACCAAGAAGAAATAAATTTCCTTGGATAAGTTTCTTGTGAAGGACTAAATCTAAATATTCAATCAGGAAGGATACTGCTTTGTTTGCTATACATACAGATTGTGAGAAAGTGACTTGAAATATTAATTAAAATTTCCAACTGCTGCAGATTTTGTGGGGAAAAAAGGCACCAATATAAGTGTCTTGAAAGGAGTTTTTCATATTATGGAGAATAAGCTAAATGTTTGGTAGTTGTTCATGAATACAAAATTACTAAAATAATTGAGGAATTCAAAAACTCATGAGAGATCTCATTATAAATAATCAAAATTTAAAATTATGCATAACACTTGTAACTGACATTTATATACCATAAAATACAGAATAATTCTCACAACAGTTAGTTTAATATATGTAATTGAGTGTTCAAAATAGTGTCATAGATACCACTTTGGCTTTGGCCCTAACAGAGAATGAATTTTATTTCCACTTTCTTTTACCATTAAACAAAAATAAGTAGGGAAGACGTGTGGCAGGATGAATAGGAGGACTATACATTGAGATTTGTATGAATCACCTTCAAAGCATGAGTAGGCAGACTGTAGACCCATCATATGCTTGCATGTTCCATATGCAAAACTTCAAAAGAAAGGAAGAAAACTAATAGTCATATGTCTCCACAGTTTATGATATTGTTTTTTCCATAAGACAGTTTACGATATGGTATTTCCCATGAGACTACACCGATATGGTTTGGCTGTGTCCCCACCCAAATCACATGCTGAATTGTAGCTCTCATAATCCCCATGTGTCATGGGAGGGACCTGGTGGGAGGTAATTGAGTCATGGGGGCGGGTTTTTCCTGTACTGTTCTCATGAGAGTGAATAATTCTCATGATATCTCATGGTTTTATAAAGGGCAGTTCCTCTACATACACTTTCTTGCCTCTTGTCACATAAGATGTACTTCTGCTCCTTCTTTGCCTTCTACCACGATTGTGAGGCCTCCCCAGCCATGTGGAACTGTGAGTCCATTAAACCTCTTTTTCTTTATAACTTACCCAGTCTCATAGCAGTATGAAAATGGACTAATACATATACTCATGTTTGCAGGGAGCTACTTGGGAGGCTGAGGTAGGAGGATCACTTGAGCACAAGAGGCTGAGGCTGCAGTGAGCCATGACTGCACCATTGCCCTCCAGCCTGAGCAACAAAGTGAGACTCTGACTCAAAAAAAAAAAAAAAAAAAAAAAAAAGAAAAAAAGCAAGGAAGTACAAGTCCAGTATCCAGTATCCTAGGACTGACAATTTTGGAGATGTTTGGGAATGTTTTGCAAGATCAGATCAGAGACTGGATACCGTTCAGTAAAATTATTGCTATAATGACAAAACTAGTAGTCATTTCTTAGGTCTCAGCCCAATAAACCTACAAGCAGTATTCAACACATTTGATTAATTCCCTCCTTCTTGAATCACTCTTAACTTGACTCAAAAAGTAAAACTCTTTTATGGCACTCCTACCTCAACAAGTAATTATTTTCAGTCAGACTTGCTTGTTTCTTTTCATTTTTTTACCTAGTCGTAGAATGAGCTAGGCATGAGTCTTTAATTAGAAATACACATCCTGTCACATGGTTTTGTGTGTCACATATAGGCTGCCCATTCTCTAATTCACATTACTTGTCCTAACCTTTCTCTTCAACCCCAAGCTACTAAACATTTCTACTTTTCCACCTCATAGTTGATTCTTTGTGTTGATTTAATGTGTTGAATTAACTTGGCCACAGAGTGCCCAGATAATTGGTGATCATTATTCTGGGTATTTCGTTGAGAGTGTTATTGAATGAGATTAATATTTGAATCAATTTATGAGTAAAGCAGATTGCCCTTTTTAAAGCATATCATCCAATTAATTGAAGGCCTGACTAGAAAAAAAGTCTGAAATTCCCATGAGTTAAGACGGAACTTCTGTTTTATTGCTTTAAGTTGATCATGGTCTTTTCTTGCCATCAGACTTTTATTGTAACATCAGCTCTTTTTTGTTCATGAGCCTGCCAACATTTTCATTGAAACTCATACCATTACTACTTTTGGTTCTCAGGCCATTAGACTTGAACTGAAAATACACCATTAGCTCTCCTGGAATTCTATCTAGCTAGTCAACTGCAGATCTTGGGACTTCTCAGCTTCCATAACCATGTAAGCCAGTTCCTTATTATAAATAAAAGTAAGTGTGTGTGTGTGTGTGTGTGTGTGTGTGTGTGTATCTCCCTTATTGGTTCTGTTCTGGAGAAACCTAACAAACTTGATATTCCCCCTGTGTTGCATATCTTCAATTTACTCCTTTGGATACATTTTCCACAATTTTTCCTTTTTGCTTTGTACCATAGAAAATTTATTCCATATTAACAGAATCAACAGTTTCCTTTGCCTCCTGCTTTTAGTTGAATTTGCATAATGAGAGGCACAAGAATGAAGTCTAGAGAGTAAGAGGAGATTATGATTGGGACATTTATTCCCTTGGAGCCCTCCTGCTAAGATCAGCATGTGCTGGTTCACTTTATTGAAGAACACAGCTTTCTTCAGACAGTTCTACTTAGGGATGTCTTCCCTGTCATTTGTGTTGACCGCTCCTTCTCTTTGTCTCTTCAGACTTAGGGTTTATAATGCTAATCACCCCCCTAATCACAGTTATTAGCCCACAGAGTATTGTACAAATCTTTCTTGATTTTCCTAGACTTGGTAAATAATCTCACTCCTTTATTAAACTCTCTTCAAATTACCCAAGTTGAGTATGCCATCTGTTTTCTGCTGCATGCTAACAAAACACCCCCCAAAGTCTTCATCCTACAGACTCCTTAGGAAGTAGCAAATGCATTTAACAATTGCCAAGGAAAAAATTTTGAAGTTATCCTTGTTTTCTCTCATCCTTTTCCTCTTCGTGTCAAATTCATTTGTAATTCCTGTTGGCTTCTCCTTGAAAATATATTCAGATTTTGATAACATTGCATCTGTTCTCTACTTCCAGCACTCTACTGCTCTGGTTATCTACATCCTATTCTCATTGCAGCAACCAGACCGATTCCTTTAAAATATCAAATATACTATGTCCCTTCATGGTACAAAACTTGAAGTAGCTCCTCATCACACTTAGAATAAAAGCCAAATTTTCATCATATTCTAGAACATGATATGGTACTCATCTTGCACAACTCTCTTCTTCCTTCATCTGTACCAGCTACATCAACTTTTTATTGATCCTTGAATATCTCAAACATGATTTTGCCTCAGGTCTTTGCTTATCTTTTGGTTAAAAAATTCTTCTCTCTGATATCTTCTGTCTGGTTCTTCATTACACTTTTCTTCACTTACTTTAGACCTATAATAAAATGTTTCTTAGCAGTGAGGTATTTCCTGATAGCTTTAAAACGTGAAAACCCATCATACCATTTTATTTTACATGTATCCCTTGATTTAATCTTAAAAAATATTAAGATCTTCTATACATATACTGACTTATTTCTAATGTTCTTTTGTTCAGTTCTACAAATTTTAGTTTCTCTTTAGTATCATTTTTCTTCAGCATAAAATTCATACAAGCATTTTTATAGTGTAGTTCTCCTGGTGCAAATTTCTTAAGCTTTCAGTTGCATGTGTGTGTGTGTGTGTGTATATATATATATATATACACACACACGTATATATAAATATATACGTATATATATACACACATATATATATTTAGACAGGGTCTCACTCTGTCACTCAAACTGGAGTGTAGTGGCACGATCTCGGCTCACCACAACCTCCACCTCAAGCGGTTCTCCTGCCTCAGCCTCTCAAGTAGCTGGGATTACAGGTCCACACCACTACCACCCAGCTAATTTTTGTGTTTTTAGTAGAGATGGGGTTTCATCATGTTGGCCAGGCTGGTCTTGAATTCCTGACCTCAAATGATCCACCGCCTTGGCCTCCCAAAGTGCTGGGATTACAGGCATGAGACACCCTCCTTGAGCCCGGCCCCTGAACATGTATTTTGAAGGATATTCTTATACTGAATGTCGAAAATTGAGGGACTGGCTTTCTTTTCTGTTAACTGTTATCTTCTGTACTATATTCTGACCCCAATTGTTTCTAATATGGTCAGCTGTCGTTCTTATCTTTAATACACTGCATAAAATGCGTCATTTCTCTTTTCACATTTTTGAGATTTTCTCTTCATTTTTGCCTGTTTGATCATGATGTGACAAACTGTGATTGACTTTGTATTTATCTTGTTCAGGTTTTTCTGAAGTTATTAGATATATAATTGGAGAGTTTGATCAAACTTGGTATTTCTCAGCCATTAACATATTCAATGTTTTGTCTGTATGTTTCTATCTTTATTCTGTCCTCCTTCAGATACATCCTCTTATTACCTTTATTTAGACTGTTTAATTGGCCCATAGCTTCCTAAACCTCCATTCATTTTTCCTCAACCTTTTTCACCCCATTCTGCTTTACATATAGGAAAATGTCTACTCACCATTATTTAAGGTCACAGATTTTTTCTTTTCCTGTTCTTCCCATTTATCTGCTAAGATTCTATCCAGTCATTATGATATACTCCCTTTATTTATTTTAACATGTTTATAATTACTTATTTAACATCTTTGTTTCCTAAAGGAAACAATTAACCATTTTGGGGGCAGTTTTTTATAGACTGACTGATTGATTCGAGTCTGGGTATATAGAGCACCTGTTACATAAGTAACCCACCTTAGAAAGAGACTCCATCTTTTACTTCATAGGGTACTTTGCCAAGAAGAATAAAGTGTTTTGCTTAATAAAATAATTAAAAAGAGTGCATCCAACCAGATAAGGACATAAACAAGCACATTTTTCTACTATCAGTCCTCATCAGAGGACTCTGTGACCATAAAGATAATAGGGCTTCAACAGCACCAACATCTGCCACTGAAGGCTCTGCCCACATCAAAGTCTCTTCCATGCAAGACCCAGGGACTGCCTGGCCTAGACCAGGACATTTTTTTTTCTCTTCATCACTCTCTCTGGTCTGATTTGTTAACCCATCTTTCTGTCTGTTCTTCCCTTGATGTTAAATGTAACTTTGTTTGTTTGTAGAATAATCTATAACATTTACATATTAATTAAATGTACTATTATGTATGGTTTGCAATATTGATTGACTTGTGGAAAGGCTTGGGCTTATGCACCCTTGGCTCTGAGTACCAAGTGAATGGGAAGTACTAAGGGGAATTGCCTCCTTGGGAACTCCAAATAGCATGTGGCTTTTATGATGGAAATAGCATCAGTAAAAGTCCAACATTGTGGAAAGACACAAATGTGTTGACCTGGTTATCTCTGACTTTGCATTGTTCATGAGACTGGGTCACATATTTATATTAATTTACATGAATAGAATGATTGTTTGTATACTAAACATTACTAATAATATATGTAGAAACTCTGTGCTCTGTTACATTCATCTAGAAAGTGTTAGATGTGTCATCTACTTTTAATCACTATGAACTTGAGTAGATTTGGTTTACAAAAATAGGGCAGACGTGTCTATAAAGCTCATGATGTTTTCCATGACCCTGTAACATGGTGAGACTGTCAACTTCCAAACTGTGTGCCCATCAGTTCTTCTCAAAACTTGTATTTAGACTTCCTTAGGGCAGGTCTAGAGAAGAAGGTGCTACATGCTGCATCTCAGTTTCAGTACTGGAGTGACAAAAATGTTACAAATTTGCGTACTTGAGTAGTGACAGATCTTAAATATTTGCCAGCATTGCTTAATCTCAGTTATCTTTGTTTTCCTCTCAAATTTCTAGCAGCTGCTGTCTGATAAACCTTTTGTACTCTTGTTCTCCATATTGGAAGCCCAGTCTTAGGTCAAGGTCTCATGGTTAACTTCTAGGTAGATTGTTTCCACCCCCATGGGGCTGATTTCTCTCTGGTGACCTGCCCCATGCAGTCTGGTTACTTCAGCTTCCCCAGTCACTGATAACTGCTTTTTTTAGCTTGGTGGTACTGTCATGCTCTCATTAGTTTCCAGCTCACTGCACTGTGGTCAGGAAGCTGTGTCCAGGGAGACCTGGTATGACCATGGGCCTTGATTTATGAATTTTTAATCCCTAAGGACCAAAATCTTCGAGGTTATCTCCTCTACAAGGCTTAAAATGAATTAACTTATGTATTTCATACACTATGATAAAGAAAAGTAGCTGAGAGCGGTCTGAAAAATGTGAGGTATACAACATTTCTCAGGCCCAGAAAACAAGAGAAGGAGTCTTCACCGCCTACCCCCAACTCATGCCCTTGGGGAAATTGGGGCAATTATTTAAAGACATTTCTTCCCTTACTCAGAGTTTCTAGACTAACTGATAAATTATTTAAAATTCCATCATAGGTTGTACAATGTGAGTCTTACCCATTATGTTTATGTTCCTGGAATTTGCAATACAAAGAATGATGTATAGCCAATTGATAGTTTATGTTTGATTTAGGAACTGTCCTTTCTTTTTTCATTTAAAACCTACTAGCAATTGCTGTTAATCAGAGCATAACATCAACCTGTGTCTCCCATGTTGCAGTCCTCAAATTTGTCCCAAATAAACTCTTTACTTATATTAATTTTGCCTTAGTTTCTTTCTTCAGGTCAATAAGTGTTAAGGTTTTTTAATATTGGGATGACTAGTCTGATCCTGATTCTGTCAATGCTGGGAACAGAACAGTCTGTCTGTCTATCTATCTATCTATCTATCTATCTATCTATCTATCTATTCTTATCAAGCTTCATCCTTAGAAAATATGATGGTAGGTGAATAATGAATAGACTGATGTTTATGATAACTTCATATGAGAAATTAAACCAACAGATAAACAGGAAAACAAAACCCACTTATTTCTATGCAACATGATGTTCCAGAGAGGTGCTTACGTCAGGACAAGCAGGATAGGAAATGATATGGAGCACTCTAGCAGCCAGCTTAGGTTTGTAATTGGAACACAGAGAAGAACTTAGCCCATTTCTGCTTGGATGACATCCTGAGATCAATACTCTTTCACTGCCTTTTATCTGGGACAAAGAAAATAGTTTCTCTAGATAATGAGAATATTAATCTAAAACATTCTGATTAAATTATTGTTGAATAGAGTCTGATGGGAAAAATCACTCTTCCCTGGTTTAATTGCACCAGGATAATTTGAAAAAAAAACCAAAGCAATAACATTAAAAAAAGATCATGGATCATTATAGAACAGTGTCTATCAGGCCTGTATCTTCTCTACCTGCATTCATTTCCAACATCTGGTAGTAGGCAGAAGGTCTACATAATGCCTGCAGTAGAGGGAGTATGTGGGTGCCCCATGCGTGCAAGTTTCCGGAGTATATTCTGCATCCTCCCTGGCCTTCAATCATGATATGCTTTTTTTTTTACTGTTGAGTATGGGCTAAATAAATATAACAACTTATGTAAATCACCAATCACAAAGATAATTCTCAATAAGCAATTATATCAACATTGTTGCTTGAAGTGATTACTTTGTTGCTATTACAAGGAGAAAGCATGTATACAGTGGTTTTATGTCAATAATAATTCACCATTTGCTGTGAATCTACATAGCCTCAGAGTTACTCTTCGTTGGCCCTGTCTTTTGAGGTTTGTGGTGTAAATAGCTCTGAGCTGGCAAGTTGTCCTGATGGTTCATTTCCTAGTTTTTCTTTCAGGTTTTACAAAACATTAAGCATACATCAGGATGTGTTGCCTGAAACCTGCTTTATATTGTCTTGGTGTGATTTCAGAAGATTTTTCTATTTTGTTATATTGGACAATTTGACATTTACCATCATTTTATAGGTATTTAACATGTCCCTGGGGCTGAGAATATAGAATTTTTAAATTTCACTGTGAAACCAGAGACTGGTTGCAATTTTAACTACCTTAGATTTGGGCTATATTTTAGCTATCCACTGTATTCACATGCCACCTACCTGTCAAATCTAAAAGTGATTATTTAAAATTATTAATAGTTTCAGTTCTGAGCTTTATAGGTAAAATATTACTTTTTCTGCTAGCAACCTCACCACCAAAATGTTCCACACATTTGCTAACAATTTTTTCTAATAACACTAATCATGTAAATGACTATATGTTGAATCTGAATTATGTATTTATTCACTCATTTATTTATCAATATATCTTGTTTCTCTATTGAGCAAATTAACAAAATTCTTACTTTCTCAAATCTTAATTTTGAAAAATATACCAAGTGTTATAAGTGAAAATTTTATTTTTCTTTTCAGTAAAAAAAAACCTCTCAGAATGTATATTTAAAAATTCTGAGTGAAAAAACTTATTTCAATTTATCTCTTCTTATGTCTATATTTTTATCAACCAGAGTATAAATTTTTAAATTTTGAAAAAGTACATGTACACACATATATATGACAGGTACTCTCAAATACAGATTTGTGCCAACTTTAGAGATTGTAACATTGTAATAAAGGAAAATGTACAGGACTCATGAAGAGCAGAAAATTTCATGAATATCAAGCAAAAAAAGAGTTAATTAAGTGGACTGAACTCAGAAAGCTGAAGCAAATCTTTTTGACTTTTGCTTGGAATATTGCTGATCTTTGTTTTGTTTTTCAGAGTCAAGGAAACTTACTTTGAACTATTTACAGACTTTAATAATTGAGTAAGATATACTCCCTATGATCAAAATTTGAAGCATGTTTGTTTCTCTCTGCCTGGTTCCTCTAAAATTTAGAAACTATCTGTGAGTATTCTCATGGCAATATAGTTGTTTGCATCAGTACAGTAAGAATCCATTTTTCTTTTGCAACAGAACACAATTGAAGAAAGTGGTTGTTTTACCAAGGCTTTGACAGGAAGGATATGCTTTTTTTTAAGGAGTTAATCTGAACTTGCAGAGCCAGTAAAAGCCCCACGGGGGAAACTGGCCTCACACCCTCATGTATGCAGTTCCTGTACAGGGTTCCTGACCTGTGGTTAGTAAAAAATGTCACTTTCTAACAGGCTTAAGGGATCCAAGTTTATCTTGGGACCTTAAGAGGAGAGAAGGGGAGAGTCACCCAACTCACAGGTGTTTGAGGATAGAAACCCATGGTTGGGCTTGGCTTTAAAAGGTCTTATTTGAGATTCCTTGTGCAACAGTCTTCCATCAAAGCCAATATAAAAGGCCTATGGAGAAAAAATTATTCATGGTGTACTTTATGCAAATAATCTGGCCAATTATAAGACTAAAGTCCATTTTGCAACCCACTCAGTCCAATGATGATTTTTTTTTTTAACAAAACTGAGCACTGGGGAGAGAGAAATTATGTTTCAAAACTTATCATATATCTGTCATTAAGTTCTAAACTCATTAGTTGTTTTAATTTTTCACCTGGTTTTAGACTAACCCTGCTTGTTACTGTTAACCAATCAGCAATCTGTGGCTGCATCTCAACAAAAACATGAGAGATGGGTAATGTAAAAATCTGGATTAATATTCTGGTTCCAAGCAATTATCCTGCAAATTCTTCCCAGGTGATGGGAATCAATAGGATGCCTATCATTCAGAGTTTTACTGTTGGGAAAGTAAGACCAAGGGAGCTAACCAAAGCCAAGCACCATGCACCCAAATCGTAGCAAGCATGACTATAGCCACCACTTATCTGGGTGTAGTCACAAGACATCCTTTCCTCTCCCTTGTTGGAGGAGGGTTCAGTTCCACAGTTTCACCTTAGCATTCAGCTTATAATAAGGAGTCCATGCAAACCCCCTGAGATACATTTTTTGTCCCAGACTCAATTCCAAGCCTTGGATCAAAGCCCTAGAAAGAAAAATGGATCCAAGGGATCCAGAGGAAGACAGCAACAGAGGTTAAAAGGCACAGTGTAGGCCAGTGTGGCTGATTACTGCCAATTAAGCCAACCCCAAGCTTCCTGTTTCATGGATAAAGGTCACCTTAATATCCATGGCATAAATGAGGTCTAGGAAACTTGAAGGCCACTGACAGTAGGTGGGAAAGAGACAGAGGTGAGAGCAAATAATTCATATTCTCTAGGCTATCCCTGCTTCATGGGTGCAAGCCACTTTGACGCGCATGGTGGCACCTGCTGAGGTTGCCGAAACTGGGGAATACAAGGATGGAAGAGGGGAAGAGGATGCTCTTCTCTCTCTCCCTCATGTACCCCGGTATCTGCTAGGAAGAGAAGGGAACCAGGGACACCTGCTTACCTCTTGCTAGATGGGTAGCCATCATCTTCAGTCTGTACCCCTTTCGAATGTATCCTAAACCCTTTGGACTCCTTTAAAAAATGCTTGCTTTTTCCTTTCTTCTCCTCAGTTCTCTCTTCACCGATAGGTAATTGTGTCTTTGTACTACAGGACACTCCCCTCAGATGCATCCTCCAAACTGGAAGGAGTTAATTTCCCAAATCTTAAACTGGTTGACTTAGGACTGGGCTCCAGGGAAGGGAACCCAGAAGCCCAACATGCCAGCAAAAGGGTAAAGTTTCCTTTTTGCTAGTCGGGCTTTTGGCCTCCTTCTCCCTGTACAAACTGGTAAAAGACCTCAGAATTTTTGAGCTGTCCTTACCTCTCCCTTTGTTTCATTTTGATACAAGTTTTGTAGTAACCCTGTGTCTGTTCTTGCCTTCAGGCCATCAAACTCCAAACAGTCATGCAATCAGAGCCTCTGACAATGGCCCCATCTGCTGGGAACCCTTAGATAGGCCCCTGAGGGAGTTCTGACTGCTGTTTCCTCAAAACAGCAGCCCCTATCAGCAGGAAGCAGCTAAGATAGGTCTTGGCCCTTATCCTTAATCTAAGAGCAGTTAGATGTACTTCTTTAGATGGGGGAAGGAGACAGCCAGGTAGGAGGGGGTCCCTGAAGAAGCTCCAGTCAGCCTGCTCACTGGAGTAGAGCCTCGGGAAGTTCATGATGTTTGCAGCAGGGAGGACCCTGGCCCCTCTTCCTGGGTGGAAACTAGGATTCAAACTGCCCAGTGGGAAGTGCTCTAGTGGAGGGACTCTGGCCTTGCGAGAGTCCCTGTTCCCCCCTTTTTTTCTCTTTTCACCCAATAAAATCCTGCTTTACTCACCCTTTAAGCTATCTGAGAGCTTAAATTTTCATGGCCATGGGATGGGCAAGAACCCTGTCTTTAGCTGAACTAAGGAAAAGTCCTGCAACACCAGGTCTCATTTTCTTCCTCATATTCCCATTTTTAGTTCTAAATATCACAACAGATAATATATCCTTCAAAAGGGATAACAATAAAAAACACAACCATTAAAATAAGGGTTTGAATTACCCACTGGGTAAGGAATCCCAATTATGTGAGTAAATTTTCAGGGGCCGTAATAAATAATAATAATAAATAAATAAATGCTGATATGTAAACATGAGGAGTTGGTAGAAGAAAAATAGTGGAGTTAATTATATTTCCAGCTTTGTAATATTTCCTCCTTGTTTTGGAACAATTATACATACAGTGTTTATCATGGACAACTTTAACATTGACTTCATAATTTGCAGATTAGCACAATTTAGTTATAAGTGAAATGATAAAAACAAATCTTCAAATAAGCATATAAAAAGATAATACAATTTCATTAGGGAATTGCAAATTAAAACAACCATGGGATATCACTACACATTTATTAGAAAAGGTAGAATCCAAAACGCTGATAATACCCAGTGCTGATTTGGATGTAGAACAACAGGAATACTTCTTTGTTACAGGTCAGAATGCAAAATTGTACAGCCACTTTGGACAACAATTTGGAAATTTCCTACAAAACTAAACATACTCTTACTATATGAACTAGCATTCATGCTCCTTGGTATTTACCCAAATGAGTTGAAAACATGTACAAACATAAACCTGAATATCTATAGCAACTTTATTCATAATTGCCAAAACTTGAAAGCAATCAAGATGTCTTTCAATATGGAATGGATAAGAAATTGTGGTACATCCATACAATGGAATATTATTCAGCAATAAAAATAAATGAGCTATTGTGTCTTGAAAAGGCATGAAGAAAGCTTAAATTCATATTGCTAAGTGAAAGAAACCAATCTGAAAGTGCTATCTGCTGTATGATTTCAAATGTGTCACATTCTGAAAAAGACAACATTGTGGGAGTAGTGAAAATTAATCAGTGATTTTAACAGATTTGGGGAGAAACAGGGCGAGATGAATGACTGGAGCACAGGGAATTTGTAAGGCTGTGAAACTATTGTATATGATACTGATATATACATTTGTCAAAACCCATAGAATGTATTGTAGAAAGAATGAGTCATAATGTTACCATCTACTTTAGTTCATGATATTGTACCAATATCAACTTACCAATTGTAACAAATATACCACTCTAATGCAAAATATTAAGAATAAGGTTAACTGGGTGTGGGAGGCATGGAGATGACAGAGTATAGACAAAACTCTTTGTATTTTCCATTTACTTTGGTAAAATTTAAACTGCTAAAACATCTCAATTTCTTAACAATGAATCTTCAGAATGCTACCCAAAGTTCTTCTAATTAGAACTAGATGAGTATGGATAATATTTAATGTTCTTTTCTGTTAGGTAAAATAATATCTTCACAAGGATAGATATATTATTATATTACTTAGACATATAAAAATGGACAGAAAAGAGAATTTTGGTTTTGAGCAGCAAAAGTAATAAAATATAGTGATCACTTGCCACTTTTGCTATTTGGCTTAAAACAACCTCTTTCTCAATAGATTCCAATCCCATATTGTGGACGGTAATAACTTAGCTCCTAAATCAGAAGCTTGAAGTGGTGAAGCTAAGTCAATCAAATTCTCAGATCTGAAAGTTTGAATCTAGAAATTTTGGTGCAAGAATAAAAATAAAGTCTAAATTTGTTGATACTGGCAATAGCAACAATGTTTAGTGAAGTTAGAAATTCTAGAAATTTTCTGGGAACATTTTCCTGTTGTTAAGTGTTCTGATAGTTTCATTTTTGTGCAGTTCCAGCCTACAATCAATTCGTGGTCCCTCAATATACATCCAATACATAAAACTTTTGCTTAAAATAGCCAGAGCCTATTTCTGTTGCTGTGACCAAGAATACAAATTTTTATTTTTATTATTGTTTTATTAACATTATCTTTATTAGTCATTGCTTTTCAGCCTTTATATAAGGGGAAGAAGAAAAAAAATACAACAGAATATAGCAAGAATAGCAAAAATTCTCCCCTAGTTTTTGAAAAAAAAAACCCCGAAAACAGAATGTATCACTCCCAGATACACCTTGGCATATTTTGAGATGGCTGTTCAGAGAGCCTGCAAACCTAAGTAGCCACTTAAAGTAGTCTTTTGTGGGGAAGATTTCTATCAGTAGAAAAAATCTGCATTGATGCAGCTAGGCTTTATCTGAGGCCCTCCCTTGTCCTGATCTAGAAAAGATTAATCTAGAGTCTGACACCTTTAAATGTGTGAAAGAGACATATGTATTCTCTCTGAGGGCTGCTACTTGTGAAGTTTCACCTATGTAACAAGACCACCTTTACTAGCCAGGTCTCCACTTTTCCCCCTCCCAGCAGAACCTGTTTTGCCACACTCTAAGCCCCCATTCTTCCTGTAACCTCAGAATGGTCTATAAACTTCTAGACCCCGTTAGGTGGTGGGGGAAAACACTCTACGTTTTGGCCCTGTGTGCATGTTAATACATTTCTATGTCACTTGTCCTGTTGATCTCTTTTTGTGAGTTGACTTTTCAGCAAAACTTCAGAGAGCAAAGGGGAAGCTTTTCCTTGGCCTCTAAGTTTTTTTTTCTTTTTTTCTTTTTCTTTTTTTTTAATCTAACAACAAGTAGGTTAGCCACTAGAAAATATAAATATTTTGAAATCATAATTCTTATTTCCACAATTTAAAAATTATTTGCACTATGGACTGAATGCTTGTAGCCCTGCCCCCTAAATAAGTTCATGTATTGAAGCTCTACCTCCCAACACAGTGGTATTTGGAGATAATAATTTAGAAAGTAGAGTTACATGAGGTCACAATGATGGGGTCCCCATGGTGAGACTGGTGCCCTTGTAGGAAGAGACATCAGAGAGCTTTCTCTCTTTCCATGCACATGTGAATCATGTGAGCAAACAATAAAAAAAGGTGACTTTTTGCAATGCAGAGAGTTCTCACCAGGACCTAACCATGTTGGCACCTTTATTTCATAAGGTCTAGCCTCAAAAACTGTAAGAAAATAAAGCTCTGTTGTTTAAGCCACCCAGTCTGTGGTATTTGGTTATGGCAGTGCTAGCAGACTAATGCAATTTGGATTAACAAAAAAAAGACGCAAATGTGTGCATTCCCTCGTGAAGTTAATAAGAATCATCGGCCAACATATTCTTCAGGAGGAAAAACTCAAAAGTTTTCTCATCAATAAAATTTCAAAGTCAGCTAAACAGGGCGCTGTGGGTAGCACTACTCATTAACCTTTTCATAATATATACAGCCCTGAAAGCCTTGCCATTTTATTATTAACATATCTTCATTATAGAGCTGTCAATGTCTGTGAACACACAGAACTCCTCTCAATCCTCAGTGGCAATTAAAGTGCTGTGATCACAAAGGGGAAAGGGTGAGAATAGGCAGGCATCTTTATCACTCTTAGACGTTAATGCTTACATATGAATACAATATTTATTTGGACTAATTTAAGTTATAAAAATACCCAGCTTATGCCATGTTGCCATACTGAATGAACAAAATTGAGGCTTCAACCTATCTCTCTACATAAAAGCAAGTATCCATAATATATTTGTCTACTTGGAAATCTATATTACAAAGACAAGCATTAAAAGTCTCAAAAAATGCAGTTTCTACTTTTATTAAATAAGTGTGTTAGACCATTATATGAAACTCTCTACTTCTTTTGGAAAGCTCAGGAAGAGAACTTGTTAACATAATTCCACAGTTCAAAGGCAGAGATTAGAATGAGGAAGATATTATAATAAAAAGCAAAAAGTTTATGTGTGCTATAAAATCCTAAAACACAAATTATTGATATTCGATATTACACTTATACAGGTAATAATTCTAAATTGCTGTGAAAATAAAATTTAAATCTTTATTCTTACTTTTATGCTCTCCAGATAATAATACTGTCATGTAAAAGGTACACAAGTGAATGCATTTTAATAAATAGTAAGGTGTGAATAATTTACATCGATCCAATTATATAGTTATCTGGTTGGAGAGTGTGGTTTATATATGTAAGCTTTCATTCTTAGTTCCTGGCTCATAACTCCCACACCTCTTGTTACAATATTTTGTTATAATATGGGTATGACAGGCCTCAGGAGAAGGCCTCAGAAAACAGAATCTCTCTGGCCTTCTCCTGCCCTTCTTTCACCTACTCCAAGGAAGGACTCTAATCTTTACAAGACTTTCTGATTGTGGTTCATAATCTTAGATAGAGTCTTCTGGAGAGCATCTGGAGAGCTAAACATGTGGAGCCTCCTGAAGGAGGGCACATCTCTTCCAGCATACCTCACCCTATGCATTTCTTCATCTGTATACTTTGCAATATCCTTTGTAATAAACCAGTAAACTTAAGTGTTTCCCTGAGTTCTGTAAGCCATTCCAGCAAATTAATCAAACCCACTGAGGGACTCATGGAAACCCCAACTTGAAGCCAGTCTGTCACAAGTTCCTGAGGCCCTGACTTTCGATTGTTGTCAGGTTAAGAAGACTGAGCCCTTAACCTTTGACTCTATCTCCAGGCAGTGCCAGAATTGAATTGGAGGACACCCAGCCTGTGTCCGCTGCTTGGTGTCTGGGAAAAACCACTACATGTTTGGTTACAGAAGTCTTCCTCTGTGTTGATGATTGTTTTTGCTTTGGTGTGAGAGCAGAGGAAAAACATGGTTTGAGAGAGTTTTTCCTTAAACAAAGACCTACTATGATGTTTCTTGTGCTGAAATATTTAAGATAGTATGGTCATTTAAAAAAATGTATGGCACTTCTTTGTTATTGTAATGTTACCAAATGGTGTTTTGCCTCAAAGAGTGGCAAGAATCATGGAAAGCATGCAATTCAAAGCAAAAAGGGAAGAACTGTGAACTGAAAAAGTCTATGCATAAAAAAGAAGTGACACAGAAGAAAAATACTACATGATCTCACTTGCATATGGAATCTAAAGAAAAAAATTGACTATATAAAAACAAAGTAGAATGGCGGCTACCAGGGTGGGGAGGGGAGGGAAATAGGAAGAAGTAGTTCAAAGGGTGCAAACTTACAATTACATAAGATAAATAATCTGGAGATCTTATGTATGGCAGGAGAACTATAGTTAATTATGTTGTATTGTATATAGAAAATGTGCCGAGAGAGTAAGTTTTGGTGCTCTTAATACACACACACACACACACACACACACACACACACACACACACACACACGAAACTGTGGAAAGTGATGGACATATTTATTGGCTTACCAAAATATAGTTATCATTTCACTATTTATATCTATATTAAAACATCATACTGCACATTCTAAATATATACAATAAAAAGTAAATAAAAATAAATATGTGTAAAAGAAAAAATGATAAATATTGCTTAAAAAGACATGGAAAGATATGAGCAAAGTGGAAATTTCTTTTGTTTTTAACTAAATTGCAAACACCAAGGAGGCATAATCTCATTGCATTTTGAATAAGAACATAATTTTGTGTAAGTAATGAGTTTTGTGAGATGTGAACACATTTCACTAAGATTTTGTTTAAATATTGAGAAATTTCTTTAATTAAATTCTAAAAGGCAATTTATACTGCTCCTAATCACTTTAAATCCTCTAGGATTTTCTGTGTTAACATTAACGACTCACCTAGGGTATTTTATTTAGAATTTTTCAAAATGTTTATAGCCAATGAAAGGTAAGATAGTGGAGTAGATGAACAGTGTAGTACTACAGCTGACTTTTTAACAACACATTATTGCATTGCAAGGATCCACTTACCTGCAAATTTTTTTCTGCCTCTGTCACCCCCAAGACAGCAAGACAAACTCCTCTTTTTCTTCCTCCTCAGCCTAAACAACATGAAGAAAAGAAGGATGGAGATCTTTATGATAATTCACTTCTACTTAATGAATAGTACATATATTTCCTTTTCCTTATGATTTTCTTAATAACATGAAAATGATCTTTTCTCTAGCTTCCTTTATTGTAAGAATATAGTACATGACACATGTAACTAAAAAATATGTATTAATTGTCCATTTTATCAGTTTTGGGGGACTCAAAAGTTATATGTGGATTTTTGACTGTACAAGGGTTGGTGGCCCAATGCCTGAGTTGTTCAAGGGTCAACTGTATAGAACTACACAGCTGCATGGAACTTCATTGTGTCCATACATAATTTAGTCAATGAATACATTTTTATTTTGATGAAACTCTTTTCAATATGTTAGAAATTTTGGAAATGTAACTTTAATTTTGTTGAAATTTAGGTTTTTTATGTCAGTATTTATTTTTTATTTGTACAATCTGTGTTTTTGTTATGCTGTTTATCTTTGCTTGTCTCACTTTGAAATATTTGACTACTTTTGAATTTTATTTTTATTTATAATCTCAATTCCTCTTGTTTATTTTCCTTGTACAATCTAGGAAACTTTCAGTAAGATATTGACAAGGAGGGATGGGATTGGGCATCCATGTTCCAGATCTTAGGGAGAAACATTCAGTATTCCACCAATAAGTACCATATCGGCTATTGGTTGTTCATAGAAGCCATTTATCACATTGAGATTATTTCCAAATATTCTTATATGGATGAAAGTTTTCTATTAAGTAAATTAGCAAGCAGGCATCATTCAACAAACAATTTTGTAATTTTTATAGACTATAAGGTGAGAAATTTTATTTTTCTGTAAAAAGATTCTTCTAAATGTGTTAAATCAAAAATTTCAGCATATAATTGGAGTATGTCAGTACAAGTGCTATAATTATGACTGTATGTTTGCATAGAGATTTTACAATTACCTGTTTAATCTGGTCAATATTTGCAACTGATGCCAATACCAGGCATCATCTTCTATGACTAGGTTTTTAATCTTTGATGGCTTAATAGTTTTACTTTTTACATAGAATAATCTGAATTAGACTCTACTATTGCATTTTTTATTTCACTCCCCACTTTTATTGCCTTTAACTTTCAAGCTTCACAAGCAAATTTAATAAGGCTTTAACAATTTTTAAAGTGGTTCGTAGGAATTTTCATGCATAAATTCAGCCAACAATAATGAGAGTTAATGAAGATATATCTGTTAATGAAAAATCGTGTTGAATATGTCACTCTTACTATTCTAGTCTTCTTTGTGTCTTTATAAAGTTGTCACTGCTACACTTACTTCACTGACAAAAATTATTTCAAATAAGAAAAAAATATGAAGGAAAACTTTCATTAAACTTTTCAATTTTAGGAATGCCATAATAATTGCAATGTAAATTTTTATGCCTTTTATAGCAACACTTATCTCCTACATGGCATTTTTATTTTAAGAAACAGGGCCTTCCTATGTTGCCCAGGTTGGTTGCTCTCCAACTCCTGGCCTCAAGCAATCCTGTATATCAGACCCACAGCAATTTTTTTTTTTTTCTTGAGACAGAGTCTCACTGTCACCAAGGCTGAAGAGCAATGACGCTATCTCAGCTCACTGCAACCTCCGTCTGCCAGGTTCGAGTGATTCTTCCGCTTCAGCCTCCTGAGTAGCTGGGATTACAGACACCATACCCGGTTAATTTTTGTATTTTTAGTAGAGACGGGGTTTCACCATATTGGTCAGGCTGGTCTCAAGCTCTTGACCTCATGATCCACCCCCTTCAGCCCTCAAAGTGCTGGGATTACAGGTGTGAGCCGCCGCACCCAGCCTTGACCCATAGCAATTTTTAATACTTCTTCCAGAACATGTTTTTTTTTCAGAATTTTAAATGATCAAATACATGAATCTGGAGATTCTTTCATTCTTGCTTCTACAAGTTAATAAGATCACCATGGTCAATAGAGATTAAATGTGCTGTACAAAATACTTATATTTTATTTGGGTTATCAGATATGTTACACAGTTTGAAATGATATTTTTAAAAATAATGATACAATAAACATGCCAACAAAGTTGCATTCATTTTATTAAAAATTGCGATACTTGATATTTCCCTCTTACTTTACAATTTTTTGTAGTTTTTGAACATAAGGCCATGCATTACTTTTGCATTACTTTTCTCCTTAGATTTATTCTGTCTTTAAGTATGTTTGACCTTGGCTACGTAATCTAAATCCAAGTAGTCATCAGAATAGCCTTGATAGCTTGGGCCCAAATCCAGGAATTTTGAGTCAGTAGTTTTGTTTTGGGGTGGGTCCCATTAATTTGCATTTCTAACAATTTCCTAATTGATGCTAATGATGCTGGTTTTCAGAGAACACTTTTAAATAGCACCAGCTATAGTGTAATTTTTATGCCATATCAACAATGTACAACATATTTACTCAAAGATTCTAAAATGTTTTGTATTAAATAATTAAAGAAAAACTATCCTAATATATAGCTATGTATTAAACAATTATGTCTTAAGTGAAATTTTAAAAGGTATAATCTGATAGATAAAAGATAATAACTTTCTTGTGAATATCAGCATGTGCCTTCTAAATTACCCTCATTGAAACCACCAGCAATTTCTCACCCAGTTTACTTGAAAGCACTTTCTTACAGTCCTTTCTGCCTATGGTCTTGTTATCATCTAATTAAATATGCCTGTTGCCTATTTTTTCTAAAACACAAATCTGACTAAGTTATGAGAAACCTTTTCCTCAGCATAAAGTCCAAACTTCAAAATTTGGCTTAAAATAACTTTTGTGTCTTAGCCTCTGATTATATTTCTGCCTCAGCTATTATTAGGAATTGAACTCTTTTTCTTTCCTCAAGTTTGGAAAATCAATTACAGTTCAATTGTCAACTCTTTAATATAGTACTCCTCCATCTGGAATCTTTTCCCATTTCTCAGCATTCATCCTGCTAAATTTGTGTAGAGAACTCTTGCTTATTTTCCAGATATCACTGTCTCCAAGAAATGTTTCCTCATCTTTCAAGACTATTAAAAGATTTTTTTTCCCTACGGATTCCTGTGGCCCCCCTTTATAACCGTAGCTTCGCAAGACCAAGGTATTATAATTTTCCATTTACTTGCATGGGTTCTACATTGGACTGTCAACTGCTTGAAAGCAAGGGTACTTTAATTTTCTTATTGCATTCTTTTTTTTTTTTTTTTTGAGATGGAGTTTCGCTCTTGTTGGCCAGGCTAGAGTGCAGTTGCGTGATTTCAGCTCACTGCAACCTCTGCCTCCCTCATTCAAGTGATTCTCCTGCCTCAGGCTCCCAAGTAGCTGGGATTACAAACTTATGCCACCACTACCAGCTAATTTTTGTATTTGTAGTAGAGACAGAATTTCAACATGTTAGCCAGGATGGTCTCAAACTCCTGACCTCAGGTGATCCACCTCCCTCTCATAGATAAGAGTATCCTTCAAATAATGGACACTCATGAATTGACTCCCTCATGGAGAATTGAAAACATTGAAACATTAAAAATTAAACAGGGAAAAAATGAGAAAAGCACCTCTTCAGGACTTTGTCCTTATTCCTATCTGCTCTTCAGATTTTAAGCATTATCAATCAGAAACTTTTAATAAAGACTTAAGACTTTTATTAAATATTCTTTCAAATTATCCCTGAATCTAAAATTGAGTCCACACACACCTACACACATGTGCGTGCGCACACACACACATACACACCTCAAACAAAATCAACTACTGCTAGTCTACTTATTTTATGCAGACATTTTTATTTTAATAAAGATAGTAAGAAAAAACTCATTGTTTTTTCTTCTTATAACCCTCAATTATTTAGAAAACCCATGAGGATCTTTTCAGAGTTCTTCCCTCGTGATAGAGCATATATACCACTGACTTGTCATACAGGTTTATTATGGATAGTTTATAATTTTCTCATTCTTCCACCTTTTTATTCTTTCTTTTCCTATTTTGTTATTTTTTAAGATAGAACTCAAAACCTTTTTTAATATTTTAGTTTTCTAGCACAAGTGTGATTCTGTAGGTATTTTGTAAAATGAGCTACATCAATATAATTCTAAGATAAATTTACATAAGATTGTATAATGGAGTTTATAATTTTTATGACAGCATGTATATGATTTCTCTAGTCCCAATGGTTATAGAAAACCAGAAATTAAGATAAAGGGAGATGATTTAAATAATTTAAATAAAGATTTTATCTACATATCTACAGATATTATTGGCTAAAGAATTAAATTGTGATTGCTAATTTTTGTGATTTTTTGCATAAATATATATGTTTATGTTTTATAGTCATTCATTACCTGTAGTCAATGAGCAGTAAAAAGTGTTGTCCTACAAGGTCAAACAACATTAAGAAAATTCATTTTTTAACCATATAATGTAAGTTAATTTGTAAAAACAAGTAATATGTTCAAAAAAGTATTTTTAATAATGGTTATTAATATAGTAGCTAGTAAATTAGGCACAAATGCAACATGAAATGTATACCCTCCCTCTACTATGTGTACCAACCACATTTAACAACAAAAAGAAGAAAGAGGTTTCTTGATATATATATATATATATATATATATATATATATATTTTTTTTTTTAAGAACAAATGTCAGAAGAGAGAGAATTTCTCTCCTTTTTTCAAAAAGCAGGTAATGTGAGTTTGACTAGGCAAGGTGGAGTTTTCCTTGATTTGAATGATGCTACAGAATTATCGATAAATATTGAAGGCAGCTCCAAATGAAACCTAAGCCCAACTTACGGAATTGCATACATATCTAGAATGACAGTGGCAACTGGACTGAAAGTTTCCAGCTGTTGAATTGTGCTGCACAGTCAGATTTCCTGGTAATTCTTACTGGCACTCTGAATAAAGTGATCTCAGCTGCTTGCCTGCTTCTACTCCAAACTGGCTAGGGAGAAATGCAGGAGTATGAATTGGAGCTTTCTTTAATAACTGATAGAGTGTACCTGAGAATCTGGCTCTAACTGATTCATCCAAAAGCAGTGTTATCTTGATTGGTCAAGCTACTTTTTTTCTAAGCTTTTCTCGTTTCCAAAATTAATATTATTTATTTTCTGTTCTTTAAAGAGACAATAAAGCAAGTAACTGAACCCAATTTTTGGCACATGGAAAGCCCTTAATACTATTGGCTGTAAGTTTCTTACATTTTGTAAGCTCATTAGGTTCACCCTCATTTATCTAGTGTGACATTTTTGCATTAAATTTAACCCCCTTTATTTGCAAATGCAAAATATTATTTCATCCAATTTTGAATCCCAAATATAATAAACATAAAATAACAATAATTTAACATTTTTCTCTAAATAATTGAAGGATTCGTTTGAATCCAAAGAACTTGCTTTTGAAATATTCTTTCTTTACCTGTATTTTATAAGTAACCTCTGTATCTATGTTAAATGGATTTATCTGAATACAAGTCACATTTGTATTATATGCGATCAGTTGGTGAATTAAAATACAAAGCAGATTTACTTTTTGTACAAGGGGTAATTTAAGAAGAATCCTAATCCTTTAATTTATCCATTTCATTAGGTTAAAGAAAAAGACTGTATAATATGGTACTCACTGAAGAGTGATAAAGTGGGTATATATCAAAGGGTGAAGGTGAAGATCGTATTTTTTCTGAAATACTGTATCTGAATTTGACAAATATAAGTGGTCTTTCCTACAAATTTAGAAAATTAGAGATTCAGTGAAACATGACAATTCCAAAAAACTTAGGCCTATTTATATTTATGACTTTACTACTTGGTTTTACAACAAATTTAGAAAAAATTATGGAGTCTGATAAAGAAAAAGCAAAGTATAAATTTTAAATATGGCAATAGCTGCTCAAAGCTGGGCTTCTTAATTAGAAAAAGGGAAATTTCAAAACTCTTATCACATGGTATTTAATTGACAGAGTATTCATTTTATTATTATAAAATAAACTAAGCTTCATGTGTTACTGATATTTCTCACAGGATTTTATACACAGTTATGGTGTAGTAATGACATTTACTAACAATATGAACGTAGAATATAATTTTCAAGAAAATTTTAAGAAAAAAATAGGAGCTAAACTATTACCGGTTTTTCTTGTCCCAAGACTTCTGCAATTGTTCATACAAAAAGAAATGAATAGAGATGCCAATCATTTTCACTAACTTCATGCTGTGAATATAAATGGCTGGACAAGAAGAAAGATTAGCAATAAAAAATATAATCTAAAAGGAAAAAGAATAAAGGCAGCTGAAGAAATACATATTTTGCCTTCAAGAAAACTGCAGACCATCATGAAGGCACATAAGTGTCTCCTCTATTTCAGTGGATTTCACTTTGTCATTATTTCTTTGTTGTCTAATGTGTATGTCTCTTTTTTCCCCAGTAGTACTGTAAGTTTTTAAAGACTGAATTTGTAGTCCTGCCTTTCCTTTGCGTGTCCCATTCTAATAAGTATAGGAAAGACACCAAAAGTTATCAGTAAAGGCTGGTTAAATGAATACAGTTGCAGTTGTAGGTGACTACATAGGTGAGAAGACGAAAAATAATCACTTGAAATGTGTTTCAAGGTATATGTTTATCCAGAAATAGCATTTAACTCAAACTATTTGGAAGTATGCTGCCATTTTTTCCCCAGTAGATTAAAAGGGAATAGATGCCTTTAGTGTAAACATTTAAAAAGATGTAGTTATCAGTTTTACAGTGGTGATATGAAAGTACATTAAAGAATTCCCATAACCTCTTAAAAATTCTACAGCAATGCTTAGTATATTCCAAATTCATTTTTTCTTTCATTGATGCCAATGTTTTTGGACATTGGCATCAATGAAAGAAAAAAAAAAATTGAGCAGTGGCCTGCTCAAATATATGTCTGCCCAGATCTTGTCATTGTGGTCCATTTTAAAAAGGGATTTTTGCAGACGTAACTGAGTTCAGAGTCTCAAGATGAGATCATCCTGGATTATCTGTGTGAGTCCTAAATCCAATAGTGTGCACTAATACAAGAAAGGAAGAGGAAGACTTGAGATCTACACAAAGGGGAAGGCTATATGAAGTAGAAGTTAAAGATTAGAAGCAGAGATCGGAGATATCTGTTTACCGTGAAATGTAAGCAAATCTTCTCTGGGATGAGAGGGGAGGATTTAGTGTCCTGGAATGTCTTTGGTAAGGGAGATAGTCTCAATATATAATTCTTATGCTGTTTCTAAATGCCTTTGTTACAAAGGAACATGAGCGATTCTAGTGAGAGTTGTATCCCAATAACCCTCCTCCCTAGATATAGATACATCCCTGTAGGAGGTATAACCCCACCATTTCATATTGGTCCCCACATATGTGATATTTCTAGGGCTTGTTTAATAAAGACATGGCAAGTTATGATAGCCCAAACTGCATCTTATTTTGAATTTATTATAGAAGAATATAGCATGTGGCAAATAAATCCTAGATTTATATTTTATAGGTAGTGGTTAAGACTCGTGATTGGCAATCCATAATGACTTTGTAGAGTATGTCTCTGGAATTATCTTCTGTGATACAAAAGGATATGTTATACATCTTAATTTGATCAGAGTTTATTGTCTGTGAAATGCTTCCTGTGACTCTAGAAAGAAGGAGTTGAAACTTTTGTACAGATTTCTGCTATATATTAGGGCAGGCATATATATACCACCAGAACTATGTCTTAACATGAGAAAAGTACAATCAATGTAAGTTTCTTCAAAGTAGTTACAAAATTTCATCTGACTTAATATTAAAAGGGGTAATATGCAGGGCTACTTTCAAGTACAGCAATGACTGATGTACTAATAACTACAAAAAAAATCAGAGAACTATCTAAATCCTAATTTAGACCAAAACAAACAAGTAATACAGCAATCAACAAATAGTTTTAAATCAAAGTTTTATCAGACATGTAATATTTGATTATTAGCAAGTCAGATGCCAGACTTTAAACATGACCCTTCTAAATCCTATATTCCTTAATCCTTAATACTAAGACAGATGAAATTTTCATCAGAGTATAAGTTGCAGATTGTAACTTATTGGGATCAATAATAGGCGATGAAGAAATGCAAGCAAAATAACTAAAAAATTTACTGGAATCCAGATGAAGTCACACAATTAGTACTTAGCTATATTAAAATCTCTTTTGACACTCACACTCTACTCTGCTTCCATAAATGTATGGAATATAGGATTTAGAAGGGTCATGTTTTAAACCTGTCATCTGACTTGCTGATAATCAAATATCACATGTCTGATAAAACTTTGATTTAAAACTATTTGTTGATTGATGTATTACTTATTTGTTTTGTCCTGAATTAGGATTTAGATAGTTCTCTGATTTTTTTGTAGTTATTAGCACATCAAGCATTGCTGTACTTGAAAGTATTGCTGTATATTACCCCTTTTAATTTTCAGGAATATGGACATAATTATATTTAAAGTTTTATAGTAGTGATTTATCTGCCTTCAGATAGCAATGTACATTAAAAGTGGAATCTACTAGAAACACTTTGAGGAAGAATGCTATAGATTTTAGAAGTTATGGCTGACCTGGTTTTACTTTGTGCAAGATGTCATTGCATTTTTAACTGGTGTCAATTGTTATTTACTAAGAAAATAATGCCTCAAATTTTCTTTGTCCAGACACAAGTAAGATGTTGGGAATTAATTTTTTCTGAAAATGTCTCTGTTTTCATATAATTATGCTCATCTTTTCTAACAAAAGTTGAACTAAAAATGGGGCTAATATAAGTTTCTTCATGTTATGAGAGATCGTAGAACGGATTTTACTCAAGGTTCAGAAAACTTATAAGATACAATGGCATCACTCTATTAATCAAATGGTAAAGTGATGTTATAAGAGGGGTTAATGGCAGCAGAGCCATTAGAAATATCTGCTCCAGAGCCATGTAGTTTGTTTCCTATTGTACTATTAGTATGCAATATGTTTTCATTCACTTCTTGCCTTTTTAAGAATGAGTATTTGTTATTTCAACTCATATCCATATGACAAAAGCAGAGTTGTACTATTCGGTGCCTTTTTGCTGAAGTAGGTGAATATATATACTAAAAGAATAGGTTCATATGAATAAGATATAGGGCATTTATTGGACTCTAATATTTGTTTTTTACAAATGCACTGCATAAAACATTGTAAATAATTGAATACTTAATGTTATTTTTACATTATTTTTCTACATAGCAGACGAATGTGATGAAGACCATGTCTATGTCTAGATGTTTATATGTCCTTTTAGAGGAATAAAGTATTATTTTAAGTAATATCATATTTGCTTTTAGTGAGCTGTTAATATTTTTCATATTCTAGCAGGTCAATTTTGATATGAAGATAATTAAAACTCTAGAAATTCATTATATCAGCATATACAAATGCACAGCTTGCTTATATATTTGTCAATATCATACACTGTTAGCATTCACAATGAACACTTAGCATTGCAAAATGAGAATAAAGGAAGTCTTTTTAATTGATTTTAAGGCAGTGCTCATAAATGAGAAAAAGTAATGGAAAGAAATTATTGAAATTTGATGAACGATATGAAGTAGATAGACATTTACTTCATTTATTTTTGTTTTTTAAAACAAATAGCTAAGTAGATCTGTTTTTACATATTTACAAACTGTAAAGCTGTTTCAAGGTTCTTATTAATAATTGATTTCCACCTAATTGCTATAAATGATTAAACTAAGCTTTTAAAAATATTGTCTTCATTAGTATAATCTCTTTATTATCTCATAACTTACTACAATTACATATAACCTGTTTCAAGGCTGTTGTGGTGCTAAACATTTAAACTTTATATTATTCAAAACTTCATGTTTGTTTATTTTTTGAGATGGAGTCTCGCTCTGTCACCCAGGCTGGAGTGCAATGGCTTGATCTCAGGTCACTGCAACCCCTGCCTCCCAGGTTTCAAGTGATTCTCTTGCCTCAGCCTCCTGAGTAGCTGGGATTACAGGTGTGCACCACCACGTCCAGCTAATTTTTGTATTTTTAGTAGAGACGGAGTTTCACCATGTTGGCCAAGTTGGTCTCCAACCCCTGACCTCATGATCCTCCCACCTTGGCCTCCCCAAATGCTGGGATTACAGGTGTGAGCCACCATGCTCGGCTTATTCAAAACTTTTGTAATTTATCTTTATGAGTATGTATTATTAATTTAAATGGTTATTCAACAAATTTTAAGTGAGTTAATCATTTGTAAGAAGCACTGACTTAAGTCCTGAAGATACAACAGGAGACAAAACAGACAAGAAACAACAAAGGAAGATTAAAAAGCTTAAGGAACAGTTGGTTTGGAAGAGTTGGTTTAGAACGTCAGGCAAATTGTGCAGAAATGATACTGGGAGCTATTGCTATATTGAGTATATGATGAAAAATACCCTGGGTCAAACTATTTTAATATAATCTATATGTAAATTAATTGATTACTTAATATCAAGTAGGTAAAGAAGAATTGCTCTTATATAACAACATCCTAAATTGAAGGCTTTTGAAATATTTTATTAAAAAATAACATTCAAAGTAGTATTATTCCTTGCTATAAATGTAAGTATACTGTATTACACAGAAATGCTTTGGCCTACATAGAAAATTTTTTATAATTTTGTTTTTAAACAAGGCTTTCAACTTGTGTGGCAACTAGAAGCTTGCAGAATGCTTGTGTTCATTACAAATGTGCTATTTTATTTTACTCAGCCCTAATGATTTTCATTATCTCCTTAGTTGATAGAATCCATTTCCAAAACCAATAATCTCTTGAAATCCACTGAGCCACAAATTTCTCATTAGAAAAAATTTTCAAAGATCATTACCTTTACTATAGATGTTCACTTTTCATCTCCTGCATACTCTCTTGTAATGCTCCTTATAATAAGGGGAGGGGAGATTATATAGTTACAGAGAATGATTTCGGTGAAATACAGACCAATGACTTGTTTACCATTTGAAACACTGCATTTTATTAAAGGTCAACATTGCATTGTGTTTAACCTTAATTCTATACTTGCAAATCTAATGTGTTATCATTAAAATATAAATAGGACTTTAATTATACTATTCTGATAGTTTCTGAGGTGTTTCATGATTTTATTATAATTTTTGGACGAGCAAATGTGTATGAATATTTGATGACCTGCAACAGTTGAACAGTAATTTAGTCTGGGAATTATTTCATATATCTAATTTAGGGCATTTCTTATATAATAATATAATTTTACAAGTATAAAGTTTTTCTACTTTTAGTAAAATAAATGTTTGATTTCTTTAAAAACTACAAGTCTACTGATGTGTCTAATCAGGGAAAAAAACAAAAATTATCTCAAAATGAACTTAATAACTTAGGATTATATGGATTATTTTCATTACCCTCAAAGCTGCCTTGAAACCTCTGTACCTATATTCTAATGTTTTGCATGTGGAAATAATTAGAAGTTAAATAAAAATGTAAATATTTTTGTCATATAATACATATTGCTATTAAGAACAATTACATTCAACCTAATTTATGTCTTTGTTTGTTAAAGACATAATAAAAGAGAGATTTTATAACCAAGCCTTTAGGAAATCTTGGTTTAAATATTGACAGTGTTAATTATTAGCCTTGTGATCTTGGACAAGTTATTAGCTCCTTTTGTTCTCCATTTTCTCTCATACAAAAAAGTGAATCGTATTTATCCTATGAAGCTCTGGCCACAATGCCTGCCCCACAGACAGTCTGATGGATGTTTGGCTTTTTGCTTTTTGTTCTACTAGGCCTCCATTTGCTGTTTGGGAAACTCTCTACGCTATGAATGTTAGCTGGCAGCAAACACTGCCTCCCACTACAGGGGCACACAGTGTTGGTGCCTGCTTTTCCACCCTCCACTTCCAACAGGAAGCAAGCACAGGACCCAAGCATTGCAGACAGTTGTATCACGCCAATGTGCATTCGGAGCCACTGACAGGTAAAGGTTAGGAATGAGAAATGATGTTTTTAAAAGTTATTATAATAGGAAGAGCAGCAACAGGGAACACATCCATTACCAGAAACTATTTTGGGGATATTCTTACAGGAAATGTTGATATTAACCAAGATATACCATTATATTTGTACTGGTCATTAAAATAAGGTTTGTGGCACTTTTCTTACTGCTTAGCATCTGGCCTAGTTCCCAGCCTTCCTAATGATTATGTGAGCTGCCTGATATCCTCTTAATAAACTCCCTTTTTGCTTAACCCAGCAAGAGTTGCTTGAAATGCTTACAAATAAGAACACCCTCTGATACCGAAAGTGGTTACTGACTGTTAATTATTGTTTTATTATAAAGTGGAGCAATTAGTTCATAGGATTTTTTCAATGGACATATCAAATTTTTCATTTTTTAAAAAGTGGGCTGGATTAGATGACCTGAACTTTACATCTAGTAGAATTTTCGTGATACTGTGATAACACAATTGGCCTTCCCTATCCCTGGGATCCACATGCGTGAATTTAACCAACTACAGATCACCAATTTTTTTTTAAAAAAAGCATCTGTACTGAACTTGTGCAGACTTTTTTCCTTGCCATCGTTCTCTAAACAATACAGTGTGGCAACTATGTACATAGCATTTATGTTGTATTAGGTATTATAGGTACTGTAGAGATAACTTAAAGTATAAAGGAGGATGTGCATAGGTTATATGCAAATACTATGTCATTTCATATCAGGGACTTGAACATCTGAAAATTTTGGTATCCATGGGGGGTCCTAGAACCAGTCACCCTTGGTTACTGAGGGAAAAACTTATGAGAGATTTATTATATCTTTTCTATATGAATAATAAAGAAAGTGAGTAAAACATCCTTGTACAACCACACATAGGAAAGAAACAGAAGGACTAAAGAAAATGTGGAGTTTTGACAAGTAAATATACAAAGGTTTACTAATGTGTGTTAATAATATCTTGTATTTTGCAGCTAAGCTTTCTTTCAAAATAGATAAAATAACATTTGAAAACCCTCAAGAAATGACTCCATTTTAATTATTTTTTGTCATGCTTACTCACATTAGGTAAAAGAGCCTGTTTTCATGCCACTTTCTTACATAGTCCTGGTGCTAATTAATTTGGCCATACAAATCCATAAAATGAGCACTAAAAAGACATGAAAATAATTGACCTCCCTAAGGCAACTTTCTTGGCTTTTGCTGGTAGGATATGGATTCATTAAAGTACTTGCCATTATGTGTATTCATTAAAGAAGGAAACAATCTATTTTGTCATCAACAAACCAAACAACTTTCTAACCTCTTGCTAGTTCCCAGATAACATTTAGTTTAATTGGCCTGACCCTGACTATCCTTTAAGGCTTTTCAAGAAAAAAAGTAGGTAGACACATGTGGAGGGAAATTAAGTGGGCCTGGCACAAGCTCCTGAAGTTGCTCTGGTAACAATAGATTTAGAATATACAAAGTTCAAGTGAATATGAATTGTAAGTGACAGCTGAACTGCTAGAGAGCAGAGCAAAATTCAGCAGTTCTGGATACTGTTAGTAAACATTTTATATTTTTGACTAGTACCAAACATTTTTACGTTATTGCCAATATTCATAAAATGTTATACTATAGGATATTTGTAAAAATATACATGTAAAGAAATGAGAGACATAGACTTAATATATTAGTCATTATTTTATGAAAGTTAATAAGGAAAGGAAAAACACTAACATGTCAATAGAAAAATGGCAAAGGACCTAAATGAAGAAATATAAATTGCTAATAAAAATATTCAAATATTCTAGAAATAGAAGATTTGCATGTTTAAATAGTAATGTACCATTTTTTTTCTGTGTGTGTAAAATTGACAAATATTGGGAAACCAACAAAGATGATCTTCATTGCTGGAAATTTGCTGCGGAATAATCAGTCTTATACTATTCTCTAGGATAAAAAACTCTCTGGAAAGAAAGCATCAGAAGCCCTTAAAAATGTATTCCCTTGGCCAGGCATGGTGGCTCACGCCTGTAATCCCAGCACTTTGGGAGGCCGAGGCAGGCAGATTGCCTGAGCTCAGGAGTTCTAAACTGGCCTGGGCAACATGGAGAAACCCTGTCTCTACTAAAAATACAACAAACTAGCCAGGCATGGTGGCAGGTGCCTGTAATCCCAGCTACTCGGGAGGCTGAGGCAGGAGAATTGCTTGAACCCGGGAGATGGAGGTTGCAGTGAGCCTAGATTGCGCCATTGCACTCCAGCATGGGTGACAGAGTGAGACTCCATCTCAAAAAAAAAAAAAAGTATTCCCTTTAACCAAGTGATTCTAGGAATCTATCCTGAATTAATAATAGAAATTTTGGACCCCACATTTGGACTGTTGCCTTTTTTTTTAAAGCAAAGCATAATTAGAGTTGAAATAAAAATTGTTGCAACTTAGTTTTAAATTAATAAGGTATAATTTAAAAGTCTCCTTATATAGCATGGCCAAAATATGTGTATAATCATATATATGCACCTATGTATATGTGTGGATATGTGAGATATCTTTATACCTCAAACTAAAAAAAAAATAGTTCAAGGGAATTTTAACATGGATCTATCAAAGAGATACAATTTCAGCTAATTTACATATTTTTCTTTATGATATTCTTGTTTTCCAAAATGTTTAAATTGAGCAGATTATTTAATACATTGTAAAATATTTTTAATGTGTCTGTAAATGAGAACGTCAATTCTAACATCTTAGAAAGAGCAGAGGTAAAAGAGAAAGTTATTAATCTTCCAAAACTAATCATCATAAAATTATCTTGCTGGATTGTTTTGCACTTGATCATTCAATGGGAAAGTTGGCGGACACTTCTTTCAGAACATTTATGTATTCTGATGGAACAAGAGAACCCGTGCTCTTAAGTGTAGCCCTCCCACTCTCGAATTGCCTAATACAAAGTGTAATTTTTAGTTGAAATTGAACTCAAATGCAATTTGATATCTGTTCTCCCAATTTACAATGGCAAAATAAATGGAAAATTTAGAGAAATTTTTGAAGGAAGGCTGTGTTTGTGTCTGGTGAGAGTGCTGAGTAAGTAACGAAGTCACACTCTAAAAAGAGTAAGAAAACACAGGGATATTTTTATAATGAAAGATGACCTAAAAAGTCCTTCTTCTCTTTTTTTCTTACATTTCAAAAGTTAAACAATGTAGCTCTTTCTGCATCAGACATATCTTAGTGGTTTTTGAATATGTTGTAATAATTAAAGTCATTACTAATGTATTTGTGTCTCCAATGTTCAAATTTCTTCCCCTATGCATTGTTTATTCAGTTAAGAAACTAAATTACTGATTTCATAAACATTTCTATTCGGGAAGAGTTCCCCTTTTCTGCCTTAATTCTCTCACCGTCTTCCCTGTTTCTTCTGTGGGAGCATTGCCTTCACAAATCACGTTATCTCAAATCCTGTCTCAGATTCAAAACTTTTGAGGAATCCAACACCATGTACTTCCAAAGCATAAAAGGTGATACAAAACAACACTTTTGAATAGGGTATGGTTTACTGGTCTATGGAAATAGGAGCACAAGAATAATCAATGGCAATGTTATTTGGACCTGAGAGAATACTTTACCATTGGAGTTTATCAAGAAAATAAAGAAAAATGACAGAAATAAAAGGAATACTTAGGAAAAAGTATCATGAAATGACCATGGTGAAGATTCACTGAACAACCTAAGCGTGGCTGCTTGTTCTATCTGTTGTATGTCCCTCTATTTTCCCTCATTGTCTGCCTTTTCCTTGGGTTCCGGCTCAGGAAATTGATCTGTAGTATTTCATCAATAGTGCTCTGTGTCTCTGGTTTCAGCTGGGGTCAGACTATGGAAAGCCTCATTAGGAGATTGTAGGGAGGCAGAAGATGAAGTTAGAGTATTTATTTTCTCGTCTACCTTCCTATTAAGTTGCTTTAAGCTTCTGACTTCTACACCTGGCAAAAATTACATTTATCTCAAGACCCCTGACCCTATTTAATGTTCTGTTCTTCTGTCTTCTGCATGTTTCTGATATGTTGTAATATCTGATTTCTTAAATATGTTCCCCTTCCTTTTCCTTTGGATCGGGAGATGATAATACCTTATTGTTACCAGCTCTGTTACTACAGTGTCTTTGTGGTTCCCCTAAAACTATATGTTTGTAAGTAATTAGCTTTGTAATTAAACTCCATTCACATTAGACTACTAAGAGTTTGCCATCCTTTTCCTTTTAGAACCTTGATAGTATTGAAACGGGAAAGGTTCCCTTGTGCCCCTCACAGAGCTTGCGATGGGGATGTGGGTCGCTTCTTAAGTGCCCCACTGCTCAAACCTCTAGGGGAGCACACAAACGGGCAGGCTGTGTGGCTCCCACCCCACAGCAGTGTCTAAGAGTGAATATTTACAGCTCCCGAAGCCCCAGTGGGCGTGTCTTACAGGATGCCTTTTAGTTTTGCCGTCTATAGGCGGCTTGTGCTAACCAGCTCAATTAGACCCTCTACCTTGTAGCAAGGACAGAGGGCTTTCCGTATCCCGGGTTCTTGCCTTGGTGTGCCGGGAGAATCAGATCACACCTGGGCTTGGAGAATGATTGCAAGGTCTTATTGAATGGAGGTAGCTCAAGGGAAGTCAGAAGGGAATGGAGTGGGAAGGATTTTCCCTGCAGTTGGGCTACTCAGCGGCTTGGGCTCTCATCTGACTGCCCAGCTAAACTCTGTTTCGTTCTGCTTCTGCCGGTCAGTGGCCTGCTCGTCGGTGGCCTGCCGGCATGCCAGTGCCTGTCAAGAAGTTCACGTGCCTGTCAAGAGGTTCAGGTACCTGTCAAGAGGTTCAGCTGCCTGTGTGTTCCTCCGCTTATGTGCTCTTCTCAATGTTCAGCCACCTGTATGCCTGCCTGTTAGGGTCTCAGGGTTTTTATGGGCACAGGATGGAGGCTTGGCAGGCCAGGGTGGTCTTGGGAAATGTAACATTTGGGTAGGAAATGCCTGTCCTCACCTAGGTCTGTGAAGGTGGAGCCATAGCAAGGGACCATACACTTCTCTACCCAGGGCTTCCCTTCCCCACTTCCGTATCTTTTAAAGGGACCACACTCTTCCCTTCCCAACACTTCCCTTCCATATTAATATTATGAATCTAAATTTCTGAATAGCTTATGATATGTTTCATAATTTTGAATTACTTTTTTCTTTCTATATAACTGACCCAAATCTTATTTGAACATCTCTTCTTTTATCACTTTCAATTATTTGTATATGTCTATGTTCTATGCATTTTCTCATACAATTCTACACACTTTTATTCAAGTTTTATCAATATGTATCAATATAATTCTTTTTTCTATCAATACATTTTAATCAAATTATTGTCATGTTGTTTTCTTAAATTCACACATTAAGGGGAGAGATTTACTAATTATATTTTTGTAGCTCCAGCTAGCACTATTCCTTCTAGATACTGCTTAATTTAAACAACATTGATTTACAAGGATTTGTATTCCTCTTTAATATGTTCTGTACAGTTGCTATGGTTGCCAATTTTTGCAGAAAATTACTTCTATCTATGTTGCATCTCCAGGGCTATATGAATTCCAAATCTCACTGTTTAGAATACTCTCTAGTCTTTGTGTTTTTATACTTGAGTCTGTTTTATGAAACAGAGAAAGAAAAGCTTCCAATTTGTATAAAATCTTTAAAAATCTTCCAACAGGGAAAAACCATTTAAATAAGAAGTAGCCAGCAATAGTTGTTTAAACATGTCAAGCCCTCCTAATGTGAGCTTTAAAGATGCATGTTTTTTTATCTGTAGGATCTTTTGAGTAAGTAAATATAGTAAATAAGTATAGTGTAGATCTTTATTTTTTATTTTCACATTCTATTATACATAATAAAAATTACATATTTCATTAAGTTGTCTCTAATTAAAAACCTAAAAAAGTATTTAATTGACTAACTTATTCAATATTCAATTATCTGGAAAAAAATTGACCTATTTAACACATATTTATTAAGCACCTAATGTATGTTAAGCAGTAGACCTAAAGTAGTAAGAAGAAATGGCATCTTCTCAGCTATAGAAGTTCTACAAAATCTTGAGTTTATTCATCCAATCTTCAAACAAATATTTTGCAGACACCAGGAGACAAAAAAAGCAATTCTTCACAAATGCCCTATCCTTTATGTTTGTCACTTATTATTTTCCACTTATTATTTTTCCATTTCCTTCCACTTGTGATTTCCACTTACTATTTTTAATAATCTTTGTTTATTTTATCTATATTCGCCTTGATGCCTTCTTTGGCAAGGTTATGCCTTGTTTTTCTATGTATTAGAGACCCTCCTCACAGTTCTTGTCCCATACATAGTGCCTGGTTCATTATTGTGTTTCTTAATGCTCTCTCAATTCTAATCTTGCCAGGTTTAAGAATGTGCAGCTAGTGTTTCTTCCTCTAGCCAGAAAGAGTGATAACTAAAGACACATTTCTTAAACTAATAGAACACAAAATCACATGCATTGCCTGAAGTTTTAAGCTTTAAGGGTCTTGTGAAAAAGAGAAAAGTAATTAAATCCTTCTGTTCTTCCTCTTGATTTTATTTTGAAAATTAAACAAATTATTGATTTAGTTTTGTTTTTTTTTTTTACTTTTTTGTATAATTCATTTTGCATTCTGGTACCAAGTATGAAAATTTGAATAAATCCTTATCCTTAGTTTATGCCATATTGTCAGCAGGTACCATGTGAAACTCCTGAAATTATTTGTTTATTTAATCATCTATCAATTCATCTATCTGTTTATTTTTGTTTATTTACATTCCGTAACTCCATTTCCCTCCTACTTCCCCAGAATAATCACTTATAGCACTTACCATCAAAGAGATTGTGACCTATAATGAGAAAAATATTTTACAGCCTCACATTTCTTAAGAATAAAATAAAATTAAGACAGTGATTCAAGTGGGTCCACAACACAATTATTGTGTACTAAATGATAGTTTTAGATATTGGTATTTTTAGGAATTCTTATGGAAGGAAATACTACACAATGAACACAATGAGAGGATAATAGAGATTTTGGAAAAAAAATAAGAGATTTAAACTGAATTATTGAAAGTAGATGAATTTTATTAGAAAGTGAGAAATAGGGAACTAGGTGAGGAAAATTTAAGCCAGAAAAACAGATGTATAAGGTGTATGGAAATAATGAATTATTGAAGCCCTCCTATCAAGATAAGTTGAAACAGCCACTCATTTTAAAACAGACTAAATGCGCTGGGTGTGCCTTTGACTCGACCCTGTAATTCCAACTACTTGAGAGGCTGAGGCAGGAGGATCACTTGAGACCAGGAGTTCCAGGCTACAGTAAGCTATGATCACACTACTGTACTCCAGCCTGGGCGACAGAATGAGAACCCATCTATAAAATAAAAACCCAAACCAAAAACCAAAAACACAGACTAAACAAATGTCTAATAACTTCTGCCATTAGAAATAAAATAGAACAAAATATACACACTAACGAATTTCTCTAAGTTATTTCAGCCATTGATGTTTGATTTGATAATTTAAGGTTAATTAGGAAAATCGGTAAGCTTGTTAGCTTTTCTGAGTATAGCCTCACAAAAACTATTTGAATTTTCAAGAATGTGCCTGCAAACTTCAGTGGTTTTTCCAGAGGAGATTATTATTTAAATTGCAGAATTTAGCTTATGGTTATAAAACATGCAGCACACACATATCTATATTTACTTTATGATTGCTTATATATGTGTCCACCTGTAAAAGTATATCCATTTTGTATGAAGTGACTTCAGAGACAGACAGAGAGGTGTCCTGCAGTCACAGGCCACTTCATAGGCGATGACCATTGTAGTCTTAGAAAGGAGGTGCTTTTTAATAGTATGATCACTCATTTGACTACACATCAATGATCTACAATTGGAAGAGCAATTTGGAAATTAAAGGGAGGAATTTATTTGGGGAGATTTTTCAGTGTGTTGCCCTCACTGGACTCAATGTTGCATCGTACTCACTTTGTTCACTGAGTCTATTGTCTATCCACCATCTCAGTCCATTCTCATGAGGGAAGGATGGTGAGTACTAATCCTGCTTCTTTCCTTCCCATAGGTGTTTTAAGAGCGGCTTAAGCAAATCCCTTATTGAGGTAAAGTGTTAAACCCTATAGTGTTGGCAGGGGATGTACTGGATTAGGAACTTATACCTGCTTAGGCAATCTAAAGACAAGAAACTCATCTTCAGGCGTCAGAAGAAATTTAGAAAAATGAATGAGAAAGAGCAAGAGAGTGAAAGCGAGTGAGAAGAGAGTAAGAGAAAGAGACTGAGAGCATGCGTGAGAGAGAGATACCCATAGTCAGGGGCCTCTTCATGGGTGACAACCAGCGCAGTCTGACAGGGCTCCACATTCAAGAGATACCTGAACTACCAGGGGCTTAATGCTGTGAGACTGACATATTGAAACTCTTAATAGTGACATTTATGTTTTTAAAGGTAAGTCCCTAGGAAAGCGGTTCTGGAGCTTCACATGTGGCCCTGCCTTCCAATGCCTGCTTGAGATGGGTTCTTGGTAGCTAGCTTTTTACCTACCACTTTTCACCTCTGCCCAGCTTCCACTGTCACTGACTGCTCAGAATGAACTCCAGCTTGTATTGACACGGGAAGCCCTGTGGTCTTCCACTGCTGTCTGCCTTAATAGGTAACTTGAACACATTCATGGAAATTTGCAGGGTTTGGTGGACACATACTGTGACATCTTGGGATGAGGCATGCTGCAGTTATCCCTGCTCTGGGCTGTCAGTGCCAAAGTGCATTCAGACATTGACTTGAAGGGGCAAGTTGTTATCTACCCCTGATCCAAGGTTTTATTACAGCTTGGTATAGAGATTGCAATTCCTTGGTGGTTTGCTTGTCAGCCTTGGGTAGTGTGGTGGGTCCATCCCAACCCAGCACACTGTGTATCTGACTAAAAGCTTGAAGAGAGGAAAGCCAGCAGGCAGTGGGCTTTTCCTTGAGTTGTGTTGCAGGCCCCCAGGTACCTGTGAGGATCTGCATGCATTCCATAAGTATCCCCATGTGTGAGGGAGCTCAATGTTAAACAGCAATTTTTTAAAAAAATGACAGGTAGAGAGACTGTGGAAGAGGAGATTCTTTTTTAAAAAATTAATTTGTTACCTCTAACAGAATCTTTTTATTTTTTTCAAAGCAAGGGTTTCTATATTTAAATTTTGCATTAGAGTCAACCCTTTCCAGCTTATATTTTCACTGACTATGGAGAAAAAAATGCATACATTTTCTTATTTTTTTCTCTTTTCTATTCTTCCTGGTTTGTTTATTTGCTTTGCTTGCCAAATACATGTCACTTATCAGAGAATGGGAACCTATAGGCATCTTAAATGATTCCCATAATATTGCTTAGAGAGGGAATACCCGTCAACCCCTAAACAAATACATAAGAAGGTGGCTAGAATGCCAAATTTTTCAGGGCTGAAAGGAGATTTGTAAGTGATCACCAGGAAGAAAATATAATGGGCATGTCAAAGAAAGTCTAGTCAAATATCCCCAGTGGGTATCTCTGAGGAACTCACAAATAAGCTCCTCCGCATAACCCCATGACCAAAAAAAGGAGCTTGATTTTATTATCTGCCAAACCAAGGGTGCGTTAGCCTAGTGACTTCAAGACCAGAGGTAACAAAGCCTAACTACATTGATGCCAGGAAAGGAGGACCATTTTGCATCTGACCTCTTCAGCTTTGCTCTCTTCTTTCAACTCCGAGATCACCAGAAGCAGCCTAGTGAATAAGGAAGGAGGAATAGGATATTAAATAGGTTGACAGAGAAGAAACTGGTCCAGATCCCTTTCCTTCCAAAAGGTTTGACTAGCACTGTGCTCATGCTGGACAAGGCGCAAAGATTTAACTTGGAATAAAGCTTGGAGTTTAGTTATTGTATTGGACTAGACCTATTTATTAGATGGCAAATAGTCTTCTAACTGAAAATGACCAGAGGATTCTTTAATACTTGAGAAAATTGAAGAAGTTGTTACATTTGGACTAGACTGTTTCACAGGGGAAAGTGTCTAAAAACAGGCACGGAGTGAAGATGAAGCTGTACCCTGTGACTCATTTGTCTAACTCACTATTACACACTTCTATGGACTTATCAATTAGCTACTATATGTCAAAGCAAAACCTTTATTGAAGCAATGTAAGTGTGAGTAAATACTGTATTTGATATTAATATAATTTTTATTATTTCCTTTTTCTGATATCATTAAGATTATAAGTTGATCTTAAATAACAGAAACGTAGTATCGAATGGTTTGAATGAATAAGCATAATTTTTATTATTTATAATAAATATTAATCTATAAATTACTATTTTTAAAATTCTGAAACATTTGGTAACACTAAATATTACAGATTGATTTTTAGCTTCCACTTAGCTGTATAAAATAATCAATTTATTATTTATCCAGAATGATTTTAAAATTTATCTAACCATGTCTAGACTAATATTTTCTCCATGAGAACTAACTCTAAGAAAGCAAACGGGAAAACATTATTTTTCTCTACTCAAGAGCTTTTGCCCCATTTAAAGAATTTCCAAACTGTACCTAGCAGCTAATCCCACTGCTGACATTGACACTTTTCTACATGTTTCTCAGGGTCTGTAAATACACTTTTGAATGAGATTTTAGGAATAATGATTCTACCTGAATAAATATACCCCAGGGCTGCTCAAATATCTAAATATTTTGGGTAAAAACATTTGTAGAAAAACTGTGCATTCACAACCTATATGCTGACCTGTAATGGATTAGGGTATTCTACCCTGACATCAATTTTCCAGAAAAGAAAACCAATACTAACGTGAAAGAATCTTTCTTTGCCCTATAGGCCACAGATAGGATAAAGCTAAACTTATGCTGTTTTCTAATAATATTTTAAAAATCTCACGAGATCAAGAGATTAAGACCATCCTGGCCAACATGGTGAAACCCCTTCTCTACTAAAGATACAAAAATTAGCTGGGCATGGTGGTGCACACCTGTAGCCCCTGCTACTTGGGAGGCTGAGGCAGAAGAATCTCTTAAACCTGGGAGGTGGAGACTGCAGTGAGCCGAGATCGTGCCACTGCACTCCAGCCTGGAGACAGAGTGAGGCTCTGTCTCAAAAATAAATAAATAGGTCGGGCGCAGTGGCTCATGCCTGTAATCCCAGCACTTTGGGAGACCGAGGCAGGCAGATCACCAGGTCAGGAGTTCAAGACAAGCCTCCAGCCTGGAGACAGAGTGAGACTCTGTCTCAAAAATAAATAGGTCGGGTGCAGTGGCTCACAACTGTAATTCCAGCACTTTGGGAGGCTGAGGCAGGCAGATCACGAGGTCAGGAGTTCGAGACAAGCCTGACCAACATGGTGAAACCCCATTTCTACTAAAAATACAAAAATTAGTGAGGCATGGTGGTGTACGCCTGTAATCCCAGCTACTCGGGAGGTTGAGGCAGGAGAATCACTTGAATCCAGGAGGTGGAGGTTGCGGTGAGCCAAGATCGCACCACTGCACTTCAGACTGGGCAACAGAATGAGACTCCGTCTCAAAAAAATAAATTAATTAATGAATTAAAAAAATCAAAATCAGAATAATGAAATCTTACATTTCATTTTATACACACACACAAACACACACATATATAAGGTGTTATGTTTTTTATATATATATAACAATATTTACTGTTATGTTTTTTATGTATATTACAATATTTACTGGAAAATAACATATCTACTCAGAAGTTAATGACTGTGGTCAAGTAACAGGCATTGGAATAAAAATGATAGACACTTAAACATTTTAAGCAACATTTAGTAGGATAAGCACAATATAATATATATGTACAAATTATTTTGGAAACATAAGGGAAAATTCTTGGAAACATAAGAAATAAAGGAAGAAAGGAGTATGTTTGACCAAAGAGAAGATATTTTACCAAGACCTTAAAGAACGGAAATTCACTAATAAAGACAGAAAATAAGTACATTGTAAAATATAAACAACAAATGAACTAACAATTAAGTGGGCATCTTGATTTCAATTAAGGAAATCTTGAGAGCTTCAGTTTGTGCACGCTATTTGAGTATGGGGAAGATTAGAATAGAAATCTAGTTAGGTACCAGTCATAGGCTTTCTCATGCTAATACTTTTCTACTTTATCATATGGACCAATTAGATAAGTTTTGTTAACAGATAACTGAAAACATTATGAAAAGTTATTGCAAGGGTTAAAGAAATGGTAGATGATTTCAGTTGGCAAGATATTGTAAAAGCCCACATGAGAGAATGCTGTGAAATAATATTATGGTATGAAATATGCAAAGATGTGGATTTGAGAGATATTTGTTTGGTGGTATTGACAGAATTTAGAAACCAAGGACACAAATTGGAAGAGAGTGATGAGAAAACTTATAATCATGAACAAGATTCCCAATTTTTATTGACAGCCGAGACAATGCATATTATTAAATGTTAAAAAAGAGAAATCCTTTCTTTCTCACAACTATTTTAAATATTATTTAATCTCCTCAAAACTTGGATTTAGTCTCCATCTCCTAACTCTCAGGAGGCGACATTCGCTTTTATTTCAGATTGTCACTTTGTTGGAAGAAACACTATTGGCTTTCCGTCACCAGTTGACCAAAACTGTCATTGACCCTCCTACCTAGGTCTAATCTCTTTACCTACACCATTGGGCCATTCCTTTGCTTGCCTTACAGTTTAATAATTTTTTCCTTACTTCTATATTGTTAATCTATCCCTTTCTAAATGTGCCATCTTATCATTTAAACTTGTCCAAATCTCTCACATTTGAGAATGAGGTCGATAACCTATTCTGCATTTACTTTATCTTTTTATTTCACTTTACAGACAAATATTTCCGAAAGTTGTCTATATTTGTCCTCCACATATTTTCATATTTTTAATTTTTTTTACCTTCCTTCATTTTGATTTGTACACCTGGAACTATGATAATAATCGCCACGTTACTAAATCCAAAACACACATTTTGATCTAAGGTAATCATTCATTTCAGCATATTGTGGTCTACCTCTTCCAACTGAGTAACACGTTAGGCTTCCTAATACCAGATATTTTTCTTTAAATTTTGCAAGGAATAGTAGTCTGATGTGAAGGCTTTTTATTAGACATATTTCTTCAATCTTGGTTTTTATCAGTCCAAGGCGCACACACAGTCGCTCACTCTCCCCCTCTTTCTCTCTCTGACTCTCTCTCTCTCTCTCTCTCTGTATCTCTCTTTCCCTCTAATATAAAATGCTACAAAATGTGGCCTGTGAATCATAACTGGGCCAGAAATATGTGTTTGACACACATTTTTTAAAATAAAGCTTGAATTTTTCTTGTAGAAAAGATATTTAGCTGTCCAGGGCAGATTCTCCACTCTTCTTGGAGGGACTTTCCCTACTATGTAGTGGTAAGAGGATGCAGTGCTTTTGGCACCATCCAGAAAGGAGACATGTAAATTGCAGCAAAGTAACGGGGACAATCATAAGTAGGTGAATCCACTTTATTCTTGCTCACAGCATATGAGACAGAGGATATTGGCCCTAATCAGTCTCTCTCCCTTTTTGGAACTTTGAATACAGATTTGGGTGAGTAGAAATGGATCTAAGCTGTAGTCAACAGTATGTTGAAGATGTTTTAAGCAAATTGTGTATGAAGTTTGTCCTGACACACAATTTGGCCAAACCTCCTTAGACCCCTTGATTCCTGTCTACTTTCTAAGATGAAACACTTTTTAGTCTCTCATAAGTTATGTGAAGATATATACAATTACAAAAACTTTTCTGTTCATGTAAGACATTCAGAGACCATTTATATTGCTGTTGAAAGAATGACTACAACGTACAACAGTTTATGTAAAAAATATAGACTCCTGGCTTCCCTTCAAAATTTGATGCTCTGGTAACTCCCTAGTGTTAAAGACCAGCTGGCTTCATTAAATGAGGCATGTGGTCTTTGCTTTCAAACCGTCCCTATTACTTTTACATCTGGGAAGCTTGTTTTCATTATCTGAACAACCAGGGTAGTCATCTGGCTTTGTGAACTTCAATTTACACTTTTCCCCAAACATCTCATTCATTCTCACTGCTTAAGATCCCATATGTGTGTTAGAATTCCATAATCTAATATATTAGTCACAGATCATATATTTGAGCCACAGATATATTGTTAAAATTGTCTTTTAGATATTGTTTTCACTGGCCTAATATTAAAGAAAATAATAAAAGCAGATATCATCACTCATGACAAAAACTTTGCTATTCGCTCCATCTTCACTCTTCATTGAATGCAAACGTGCACAAAGTTAGAGAACTGAAATCCATCTTTAACTTCTCTCTCATCCCTATGACTAATTATGGCAATGTCTCAATACTATATACTAAGTATCTCTCACATTTATTTATTCATTTTTTAAATCCCAAAAACCTGGTTCAGGTTACAATAAATTCTTGTGTAAACTACTGCATTTTAACTTCCCATATAGCACATTTGCCTCAAATTTTGATTTCCAACAATACTTTCCCACATTGCAGTTACAGCATGAAACCCCGTTAAATAATTTATCTTTTTTATATAATATCTACCGTTCTTAATAACACTTAAAATTCTTATTCTCATCAGCCACATCCCATGATACTCACTTTTTGTTTTTGTTGGTGTTTTATTCAATGTGAAATACATAGAAATAGTTGGATATTTGTGTATGGAACCTAAACAAGTAGATGTAATATTTATTTCTAAATCACTTAGGACTGAATAAGTGAAACCTAGATTGGTTGTGGTATCTATTGCAGTGTTTCAAGTAGAGGAGAGGATGTTATTATTTGTGCTCAGAGTCTTGTAAATAGGGGCTTATGAAGGTAGTCTTAGATGTCTAAAAAAAATCTAAATTCAAGAAGAGCCCTTAAAAAGTATTCATTAGTCTGAAGAAGTTTAGAAGAAAGAATATGAGTGTAAAACAGTGGGATATTAGGTAAACTAACATTTTGATCCTTGTAATGTACAATACTTTCCTAGACCCCTGGTATCGAAGACCTTACAAATTAAGAGTAGACACATAAATTTTAAAAATACACAAAAGTGTAATAAATAACATGATTTGGGAAATACAGGGTACTCAAGGAATATATATTAGTTTATTTGGCCATACCAAATGTGGATATCCACCTGCGTAACAATTTTATGTAGTTTTTCTTACAGCGTGATACTACTCGCACTAGGATATGTAAGATAGTTTTAGAAGATACATAGCTATTGCCATCCCAGCAGCCCACTTCTATGTGCAATACCACTGAGCTTCCTATAGATTCAGAGAAACACAAAACAGAAGAAGATGGAATCAGAGAGAGAATGAGGAATGAGATTATGCAGGATGGTTTAAGTCATTGTAACCCTTTGAATTTCACCCGAATGAAATGGGGGAATCATTGCAGTTTATTGCAGAGGGTTGACATGCTGTCAATTATACTTTTGAAAGATCATTATGGTAGCTATGTTGATAATAAACTGTAGCAATTGTCGGGGAAGGATAAACAGGTCTGAAGAAACAAGTAAGAAAACCATTGCTATAATTGTGAGAGTGATGATTGCTTAGTCAAGACGGTTAGCAGTGAATAGACTAAGAAAAAATATGGATTCTGGATATATTTATATATACACATTTTTGTTGTTTCCTTAAGATAATATATTTTATTTTTCAAATATTTATTTTGAAATAATTTCAGACTTTCAAAGTTCTAAAAATAGTACAAAAATTGCCCTGAAACTTCAGCAAAATTCCTCAAATGTTAACACTTTACTGGGCTTTCTTCATCTCTTATTTTCTTTCATTCTCCCTCTCTTCCTCTTTTTTCTGTATCTATATCTGTTTTGATCTACATGTGCATACAAATGTTATCATTATTCTTTTTGTATGATTTGGGAATAATTTGTAGATATAATGACACTGTGCCTTACATACTTCCATGTGTTTTTCCAAAACACAAAGTCATTTTCTTACATAATCAGGGCTTAATAATCAAAATCATGAAATTGTATTTGATACCGTATTAATTTCATCTCTGGATATATTGAAGAGGTAGAGTCAACAGGATTTCTTGCCAAATTAAAACTGATTATGAGTAAAAGAAAGGAGTCAAAAATGACACCAGCATTTTTTTATCTAAACAGATGGAAAAATAGCATTGATATTAGTGAGAATAAGAAAACTGTGGGTGGAGGAGATTTTGGGTGAGGATAGCTGAAAATCAGAAGTTCAGCATTAAACACAATAAGTTTAAGAAGTCTCTTAGCATCTAAATCGAGATAAGTTCTGGAGAGCTGTCTAGAAAGATGTCCTTGGAAAGAGGTAGTCCTTTCTGCATAAGAAAACAGATAATTGTGAACAAAGATGTAAAGTAATTCAATATCTAAAAGAAAGTTAATTGATTAGTGTCATGAGAGATGATCATTATTTCCCCAAGGAAATAGTCCTTGAGAATAGTTTTTTAGAGGTAGATTTTGAAATTAAAGAATGCTAACCATTAGGAATACTTTACAACAGAACAGGGAAATAATCACAAATGTGGACAATATTATTTTTTCAGATGTGTGAGTGGAGAGTTGACAGTCAGAGCTGAGGATCTTAGTTAAAGCAATGCCTCAAAGTGTACACGTCGGGAGAAAAGAAAGAAAAGGGCAGAGGGAATAGAAACATAAGAGCAAGGGGAAAGAAAAGCTAAGGGACTAGAAGAGCATAATAATATATGAGCACAAAAATAGTGAAACTGAGAGATACGTAAGCCTATCCAAGGACAAGAGAAGTATGGAGTTTTATATTTCAACCCTCGAAGAGTTCATATTGATAACAAGGTCTAAAGTGGGGAATTAGTTGTTGAAATGGAGATGAAGTTTGCTGAAATGGAGGATGCACAATTTAGGAAACAGATCTAAGAATACCTGGCCAGGTCAATAGTCAAAGATGAGCAAGTGACAGTTTCAATTCTGCGTGATTAATTCATTTAACTTTTCCTCTGACAGAAAAGGGCCTAAAATTATATGACATCTACTTTCTTATTCCTTTTGTTCTCTTTACCAGCCCCTCTAGGATATTTTTTTTCTTAAATCTGAAGAGAATTTTCCTTCCTGCAGGATTGAAAAATCTTCAGTTCCTATTTATTTGCTTCATTTCCAAGTAAAGTTTATTTGTATTCTTTACATTCACTGTGAGTCGATAAATAGAAACAAGTTTCAGGGTGCTCTCATTTTACCTAGCAAGTATCTCTTTCAGTAAGATTATAAAAGTGCCTGTCTCTTATCTTTATAAATTTGCATGCATTACATTTACATGATAAGCTGTGGTTCTCTGATAAGTCAACAACTCTAAAATTTCAGAATCTTACCAAGGCTCTTTCAGTAACTGAATCTCATAACTGAAAAGGAAAAAAAAAACCAAAGATTCTACCATTATACTATCAGCCTTATATATCACTGAAAGGATTTCTAATTTGGATATGTTATTTTGAAATAGACCTTTTCATCATGTTTTCTTCCCACCGGTAATCTTAGACTGGTATCTTCATCTGCCATGAGTAAAAGTGCTATTACTTGCTAGCACATCATTAACGTCCGGCAGGAATATAATAAATTACACCATTTCTCTGCAATTTTACTTGAGCACTGTTTCTTGCTGAAATGTATAAAACTGGAAAGAAACCTTGGACTTCTACCTGACACAAGAGCACAGAGATATTTTATAACTGTCAAGGTTACTAACACTTTTACAGTCAGGGCAGTCATGTTGTTTTTGGTCTTCTTAAAGAACAGGGCAACAAAAAGTACCCAATTAAATGTGGGGCAAAATCAGAATATATGTGGAAATATGGCACAAACCATTTTTGAGTATAAACAAAACAGTGAAGTTCTGACATTTATCAACATTAGAGTGGAGTCTAATATTGCTAAATTACTCAATTCAAATGTTCAAAGCAGAGAAAATCAAGGTTATGTGGGCCATAAGATTTTTTTTTAATTTTTGTAGATTCATGTGCAGGTTTGTTACATGGGTATATTGCATAATGACTAGGTTTGAGCTTCTAGTGTACCCATCACCTAAATAGCAAACATTATACCTCTAGTTTATTTTTCAGCCCTTATTTGGCTCCCATCTTCTCCCCTTAAAAGGCTTTCTTTCAAAAAATGTCCCTACAATTTATCTTTTTTCTTTTTTTTTTTTGGTGTTATAATCTTGTATTTTTATTATCTCAGTTATTTCACTTACAAACAAACATGAAATTTTATTATTTAAAATAAATACTGACATGAATAAATTGACACCACAGTTGTTAATGGTATATATATATATATATATATATATATATATATATATATATATATATATAACTAAAACAGTAGTACAAAATTGTTAGAAGCATCAACCCTAAACTTTCATTGCAAATCTTTCCTAGTCCAACTTTTAAATATACATAAAAATAACAATATTTAGTCCACATAAAGGCAAGTAGTGTAACTCATTACTAAACATCAGAAATAATTCCATTTCTTAATAGAGAAAAAAGATAATTCAATTTTTCTTACAGAGTATTTTTTTGGCGAAAGCTTTTACAGGTAGTGGGAGACTACATGAACAATATTTTATACTTTCTTTTTTGTACATCATAAGAAGGAGAACTAGGAAAAAGATATTAGGCAGAACACCTGAGACACATTAATTAACTGTAGAAATATTAAATTATTCATTAGCACTCATTTCCACTCCCTTTAAGTGTCAGGTAACAGAAATTTTGTGAATGCATAATGTAAACTTTTACAAAATAGTACTTTATATTTCATTGTATTTCAACTTGCTTTCAGAATTGCCTCATTTTATGGTCAGAATAACTCTGAGCTAATATTCACACGCTTTTTTTCTCTCTCTGATCTCCTACATATGATCCAATAGTTAATCATCAGTTATAATCACCTGGTGCAATAATAATAAAGACTGTTCTTGTTTTTCCTCAGCCTCATCCCAACAGCCTCAGTTAAATCAGGAAGCATGAATTATGGTTGAGGTAGTTATTCTGCTTCCTGGAAAATCCAATGTAGCATGCATGTTTGAAACATAGATATCCTCCAGTATGAAAAATATCGAATTCAGATTTAAAGGTATCCAACCTTCCTAGATTAAGGTCTATCTAAGCTAAGTGCTCTCACTGTACTTTTTGCATGGTATTTATTATGTTATTTTGTAACTGTTAATTTATTTTCCTGCCATAACAATTTGTGTGTGATTTCTTAAAAGCAGAAAATATGTCTTTTAAATCTGGATTGTGCCTAGCAAAATTCATGGCACTTTTTTGATAATCAGTAACTTTTTGTCTATGCATGATTGGTACTCTCTCCTCTTTACTCCATATAAAACAAAGAATTTTTTATTATCCCAGGAATCTTCATTGGCATGCCAATTGATTCAAGGATATTGAGGCTTCCTCTTAAAGACAATTAACCCAGAAAGAAAAAGACTGAAATAAGTTTAGAATTGGGTAGTGCCTTAGAAAACCCTTGCAAAGTTCTATTAATTCTTCCATCTTTTCTTCACTTGGAGCATCACAAATGCCCTGTTTTGGGAATGATGCCTTTATAAATAAACAAAGATTATATCCTACTTTTGAGCCATAAGTATTTGACATAATGCTCTGGAATTTTGCTTCCTGACTTTCATATATCAAATTTGCTACAATCTTCTATTGTTAAAACTATTCTTTGTTTATACTAATGTCATATTCATGTTAACTCTGAATATTTGATATTTCATATTTGGATAAAATCCTGTATGTCTTGTATATAGTCCAATATTTCCTGGTTTTGGATATTAAAAACCACACAGTCCCAGTATTAGTGTCTTTCTTCTAACTTTTATAATAATTATTATTTTTAATTTTAGAGGCAGGGATTTGCTCTGTCATCCAGACTGGATTGCAGTGGCACGAGCATAGTTCACTGCAACTTCAAACTCCTGGGCTCAAGCAATTCTTCTGCTTCAGCCTTCTGAGTAGCTGGTGCTGCAGGCGTACGCCACCATGCGTGGATAATTTTTTTTAAATTTGCTAAAAAGATGGGGATGTCACTATGTTGCCCAGGCCGGTATTGAGCTCCTGGCCTGAAGCAATTCTTCTGCCTTAGCCTCCCAAATTGCTGAGATTACAGAAATTAGTCCATGCCTGGCCCAATTTTTATAATTATGTGCTATAGCTATATGTCACTCCTACATTTCTCAGTATTTTAATCTGTATTCCTGATGACTCGTGATTTGTATGTAGTTCAGAGGCTGTAAAAGGCCTGTGAATAATTTAAAAATAAGTGGGGTACTTTTCATTGGCAAATCCCTGATTTGTTTTAAATTTGTGTTATTTGTAGAAAATATGTTACATCATAAAGGGATATTGTGTAAAATATATTTCAGAAATGGCATTTTGGCTCCTGCTGCTGTAGATTTAGAGAATTTATGTTATGAAAGAATAAACAAAAATGCAAAAATATTATTTTATTAAAAAACAGCTAGGGACCATAGAGATGATAAACCAATCTGTGGCTGAAAGCTGTTTAGGGTGGGGAAAACAACAGAAGCGAGGCACAGAAGATTGTTTAGGGTGATGAAACTATTTTGTATGCTACAGTAATTTTGAATAGCTGATATTATGCATATACCAAAACTTATAGACCTTTACTACACAAAGAGTAGACATTTTATGCAATATTAAAATATCATTTAAAATCGGGGGTAGATTGCAGAGTTAAATGCAGAATGTGACAAAACAATCTAACTGTATTAAATACACTTGAAATAATCTCACTGAACAGGCTGAACAGGATAGAAAGAAGAGATGCTGAACTAAGCAACTTTAGAAATGGACTGAGTCTGTGACTAAAGTCATAAGAAACTCTTCTTAAACAGTGTACTCTAATTGATAAAGTTATTTCCAATGGGAGTGCAGTAAACAACTGTGAGACCGCTATAGATACTTGCTGGTTTTGAACAATTAAGTAAAAGAATGGCAGATAGCAGGAGCTAGGTTTCTCACTAGTAGACAGTTGGAGGTTACACATAAGCAAGGAGAAGAGTCCAGAATGATCCATATTGTAATGAATTAGAGCTGAACACATTAGTTTAAACTCATATTTTGCTTAACATAGATATAGATGTATCTCTCTATCTATATATACACACATATACACACACAATTATATTTATATATACATTTACATTTATATATTTCCTTGTTGTGTCAGCTGAGAAGGCCTAGAAACAAAGCCACCTCAGTAGCAAAGAGGATGAAGATCTTAGTCCCTAATACCATTCTTCAATTAAAAAAAAAATTCCTTGGATACATGGTTGATTATAGGACAAGAACAGAAAATATACAAGATAATATAGAAAATAAACATAAAGATCTTGTAGCAGACACTAAAATAAATAGTGACAGCAGGAACAACTACAAAACAATGATGAGTGCATGTCGAAGGGATGTAAGGGCTAAGTAAAAGTGCTACCCATGGTCAATGGTGGAAAAATGTGAGCAGCAAAATAAATATAGAAGTATTAGATTGTACCAAAAGTATAAAATAAATATCCATAAGTCCATACTCATATAAATAAATGATAGAATAAAAAATAAATGAAGCAGAATATAGAAATCATCCATGAAGAATTCCAAGTAATTTATGAGGACATTCTATTTTCAAAGAAGTGGAGCATAACTTCCTACTCTTAACTGTGGGCTACACATAATGACTTTCTTCCAAAGAGTATTGTTTGGAAAAGGGGAAAAACATAGCTTATTGTAGTGAAATATGACACTCACTATTTCAAATAGGAGATCAGGGTTAACGTCAACAGTGACAAGTAATGTTTACATAACGTACATTTGATAGGATGGTGATGAGACTAGTGTTTGACCTCAATGCTGTTCCTCCAAAAAACCCATAACCCAAGTCTAATTTTAGGAAAAATATCAGAAAATTCCCCATTGGTGAACATTTTACAAAATACTTGACTGTTCACAATCTATCTTTTTTGACAAACAGCATTGGTGATGCTGCTTCTTAGCTTTTGATAGACTTTTATTGCTTTTTTAATTGAATTTTATAATATCGTGCTATCTTCCTTTGTGGAAAAGTTGTAAGCAGTTTTTCAATGGATTTTTCAAATAATAGCATTCTTCAGAGTTCGAAGCTCATTTCCCTTTCTTCCCCATTGTAGCGCTATGGTTAATTATCTACTTTGTTCCAATGACTTTAATGAATATTTCTAAGGTATGAATTTTGAAATATTTATCTTGCGTCCAGATATGATTGCTCATACTCAGAACCACCTTCCCATTAGCATCTTACATCAGGCCAAAAACTCAACATTTTATCTCATTCATATCCCCTGTCTTCACATTCAAATACTTATGCCTCCTGTGTTTGCCATTTCAATATTATTCTATTAATTCATTCAACAAATAGTTATTGAATATTTATATACCAGGAAATTTTCTGTGCAGTAAGGAGACAAAAATTAACAAAAAGACTAATATCTTGCCACCTTGGAGTTTATTTCCATATGAGGTCTGGTGGGAATACAGATAAGATAAATAACTAGATTATGAGTTTGACAATCGTAATAAATTAAGCAGGAGTTAAGAATATGAATTGAAATACAGATTGTTTTCCATTTAAAATAAGCTTAAAATAAATGATCATTTATTCAAGAACTTAAAAGTGGCAAGAGATTAAAACATGAGATCCTCATGGGCTGTTAACTCTTTCCACATTCAGGTTTGCAGATGTGTCAGAATGTCTGGACTAGTTCCTGTAGATATCCAGTATAGGGACAACAACGACAACAAAAATGCCAGAGTGTGCAGTAAAAGCAATATCATGCATTTGAGTGAAAGTAGTACATTTGTAATATTTGATACACCTTCTTGACCAATTTTATATTTTTAACGTTTTTACCACATAGTGGTCAGTAAGTATTATCATTGACTAGGTCAATATGTTAATCATTAAGTGACATTTGACGAAGTGAAGAAGAAATAATTGGAGCATTCAATGATACATGAAATCTAATGAATGAATGAAAGAATAATTTCAAAGTTAAAATGTAAGTACAAATAATTAAATGAAGCAGAAGGGCTTAGTACACAAAATGAGAGCACTCAATTTTAATATGCTTTTCAGATGTAGATTTTAAGCATCCTATAACCACAAAGTTGACTGCAAGATCATTTGGTAAATACTCTTATTTCTTTCTATTAATTCCAAAAAGATATTTTTTTCACTAGTCCTCATAAATTGCTCAATGTTTATTTCAGTTTATCCTATCTGTGACAACATCCAAGCAATCAAAATAGTGATTCACAAAGTGTTTCCTATAATGTCTTGTAGGTAATGGTACATAAAATGCTACCAATTATTAGCTCAGAATATGTACTTCTAAATTTTCACAGTATAAAAATTATACATTTCTATTTTTAAATAGTATTTTTATCCCATACTTAAGGGCAATGAGGAGGATTTCTTAATCTTTGAAGTTGGCATCTCAAAGTGATGAATGGTAAAATTTCAGTGTTTTGAATCACAAAAGCCTTTTTAACAGGAGGATGTCATCAATATCTTATGGTCCTTTGAAAATTATTATTCAATATTAATATAATAAGTGACTTATTTGATGTTAAAGCTTCATATTTTGTACATCCTTCACAAAGACAATAAAATTTAAAATAATCCTGGAATATGTCTGCTTTAGCAGCCATTTTTCCATACTCAAGATGATGTGCCTGTTCCAAGCTCAGCATCTATAGCAAGTGGCAGAAGAGAGAGCAATAAAAATAAATTCTAGTAGGGTCGATTTTGATCAGCATTTTTTTTCTTACATAACTTCACCATTCACTAAATATCAAGAGCTATTCTAAAATTCCTGAGCAGAATGGGTTGCAAATTAATGAGCACATCTAAAAATGTCTAATCCTTTTGTTTTTCCAGGTTTTATCATTCTTACTCAAGACACTGGTTCTGCAATCCTGAGACCCATTCTCTCACCACTACTATGAATACTTCTATGTGTGAACTACAGTGGTAGATTTAGAATGAATGTGCAAAATATGCAGACAAATTGTTTTATTTTAAGAATTTAGAATCAAGTAACTCACAAAATTTTCTTTCATTATTTCTATTGTTTAATAGCAAAAACATCTTATGGTAGAGACTTTTAAACATAAAATATTTGGATGCTTATCCAAGCATGTTAATTTTTCAACATATACCACACTTCAGTATTATACCTTAACATCAATGAATTGATGTTTTCAGGAAGATAAATATTATATAATGTTTATCACGCTCCTTTATCTTTACTAAACTAAAAAAATAAATAATGCTTAATATGGAAAATAGGCTCACTATATCTAATTTTATTGACGAGATAGGCATTTTGGGGAGAACATTTGGATTTCTCTTTCTCCCCTTCCTAAAAAATGTAGTTTTATTTGAAAACTTATTTCATCATCTAATTGGTGGTAAACAATTTAGGATATTAAAAGAAAGCTTATTAACATTACTTACTGAATTGGGAATTCATATATATGAAATTAGACATATTTTGATACAGTATTGGGTATCATTATGCTGAACTAATATGACTACGTTTATGTAGGAGATTCTATTAGGAGCAGTGCTCACCATCTCAATAAAATAAGAACACTAACACGCATGAGAATAATATAATAAGTGTTTTTGAAAGGTAGAATTTAAGTACTATGTGATAGCTGACCAAGGAAGATAAAATTTCCAATTGAGTCAATTCAGATGTGCCTTTTATAGGAGTGGGAATTTGAGCTGCACCATAAAGACATGGTTTCTTGGTTCAGATTTCATGGTATATAACAGAATAGATAATTTGGAAAGACAGGGATACATAAGCAAGCATCAGGTGATTAAAACTTTTTTGGAATAGCTGGAAGTGCAGGCTCTAGTCTTAACTTCTGGAAGCAATTTCAAATTACCAGAATTCACTACCTAATTAAAAGGAAATATTCATTTTCTAAGATGATATTGTTTGCTTTGCTCTAAAACTATCAGAACCTACTCTATGTTTCTTCTATTAGTGTGTGCCTAAGGTTACATAAAGCATACCGTCTGCAATAGACACTTCAAGCACAGTTGGTTCCAGGCTAAATTAAAACTCTGTTAGCACTGCATCCCAGAAAAGCTGGAGAACACTTTCTTGCTCTAGGTATCTCTTTATGCTGAGACTATTAATGGTCATTATATGAATGAACTAGAGCAATACATGCAAATTCGGTACATGTTGACTCAAAATACAGAGACTTGTCTTGTAACACTTTCTTATTGATACTGGGCTCAGGACAAATCAATTTGTTATTCACTTTGAAGGAGCTATGTTAACATGCCTCAGAAACCTGCAGCTCAGACGTTTCAATGAGGTGGGGGGGCTTTAAATTTTTATGTATGATACTTTCATCTTTAGATCACCAGTGCTGTGGGTCAGCATAATGAAGACCCTTGCACATAAAGCAGAGCTGGAAAAGTGATAAAGGCCAGAGCAAAGTTATAGCTTTGAATGAAGGTACTTTGTTGTCATTGTCCATGAGAAAAGAGATTGCCTCTATTTTCTCCTGTGTATTTTTATAGACAGAAGTCATTTACAAAATCATTGGTTATTTGCCAGATACTTAGCTTTATTGATTTATCCCACCAAAGAGTCTGTATATGAAACATAAGTTGAAATTGGAGTCACTACCTAATTTTGCCTACATTAATTTATGGCAGTTCTTTAAGATGCACAGCAAAAATCCAAAAGATGATTAAGTGGGAATGTAGAAGAACTTTCTTACTTGGCTTTTAAAATATTCTAGGCGCTGTAGTAATATAATAAGTACTTCTATTTTTGCTGGTCTTTGGTTTACTTTTTTGATAGTGAAGCACACTTCCAAAAATTTCCACCTGGCCTTTCTAATAATAATTATTCTCGCAGCTAAAAATGTACATTATGTACTGATTTAGCGTGTAAGGCTGCGGAGATCTTCTAGAATGTAAAGCACAATGTACGAAAACAGAAAATATCAGATGAAAGAGCCATACCCACATCTTTATAATAAAATGTCCAGTGGTATAGGAAAGAAAAAAGTGGAAAGAAATAAATCATCCAAAACAATAGAAGAAACTTTTTGTTAACTGATGATAGTCATCAGTCTTCTGGTTGAAAATATCTATGAACTTGTTCCATAAAACAAGTAGCAGGTGGTCATTAGACTGGCACATCTGTAAAGTAGAAAATAATTAAGCACCGTCTATTTATTTATTTATTTGTAAAGATGGGGTCTCACCCTGCTGTCCAGGTTGGAGTGCAGTGGCATAACTATGGCTCACTGCAGCCTGAAATTCCTGGGCTCAAGTGATCCTCTTGCCTCAACCTCCTGAATAGCTGAGATTACAGGTATAAGCCACTGTGCCTGGCAAGTATTGTCTTTTCATTTCCAAGAGAAAATTATTTTGGATTCTCAAGTTTACATTTAACTAAAATATAAATCTATTATGAGAGATAAAACATGACGTGTGAGAAAGAGATAAAGAATTATTTTGGCTTTTCAGATAGGCAATGATTCATACATTCTTCTCATTTAAAAAACAAAACTGGAACTTTCCTGCAACCACTATGGCTAAACACATCACATACCTCAGTAAGAGAAAAAAATATGCTTTGCATTCAGGGATAACCTTAAAACCTATGTCTACCATGTTGCATTTGTTTTCTATTTTATTCTTATGGTTTTGTTTTTGTTCTTCCTCTTTTCCCATTGTCTTTGAGATTAATTGAATATTTTTGGAATTCTCTATAATATCTTCTAATGAATTTTTAAATTAGAAATTTTGGTGGATCTGGATATTATAATATGTATCCTGAACTTCTCATAGTAATCCTTTACTAAATAGTATATCACTTTTCAAATTTGTAGGAAGCTTACCATAGTGTAATTCCTTTCACTCCTACGCATGCTTTGTATAATTGCTGTCATATGTTTTACTTCTAAAAGTTATAAATCCTACATTGCACTGCTATTATTTTTGCTCTATCAATCAACTGCCCTTGAAATAATTATAAATATGAAAATATTTATATGTTCATTCATTACAGTGTTTTTCATTCCTTTTAAAGTTTTAAGATTTTTTTTTTGTTTTCATAGTATTTTGAACATTCCTGCAAAACTTTGCAAATAAAAATACATTTTTCTGTCTAGATTTTTCCTTCATTGATAGAGGTAATATTAAAATTTCCTGGCAGATCTACCCAATAAAACAAAACAAATTGTGTTGCTTCTAAAATGCAATTTTTATGTCTCACACCTAGATCCACTTTTCTTGGCTCCTGTAGTATATCTAGTCAAGCAATGAAGATCATTTATTCTTGTTGATTGTTTCTGAAGCTGTTTTGTTTCCCAGCCAAGTCTGTTTTTATTTTGTAAATGTGCATCATTTTGATTTTTGGTTTTTTATGAGCAATGTTGACAGGCTGGTTTTTATTATATTATCTGACCATGTGGGCTTTTTTCAAGTGGCAGCAACACTGGTTGTATCTTTGTGTTTATCCTCTCAGTTTGTTCATCTTAAGAATTCTAATATCTCCTGATATTTTAGATAACCTTCCCTATGACCCCATATCATAAGGACATAATTTAGTAAGATATGTGGCTGTGATCTCTACCTAATGCAAAGATGACAAAGTGCTCATATTACATATCCAACCACTGTGTGTAACCTATTTTCTAAAACTCTTAATGTTTGTGTTGTTTGCACACTCCTGTGAACTCAAATCACCTAAAAAGGGCTAAATTTTAAAAAGAAAATTATTTCTGAAATGAAAATTAGCTATTGGTTCAAGAAACGTCTCAAGAAACTTATTCATGTCTCCCTAACCTTCCCACCGTGAAACTGCTGCAACTGACTGGTGAATTTTGTTGAGATGCAGACAATTGTTCCTATATGTACATTTAATCAGTGGCTGAAGTTGATAAACTAAGGCAGATGGCTCTCTGTGGTTTGTGTGTGTGTGACTAATTTTTTGAAGCCTTTCTCTTCTTTAAGAAAGAAGATAAAAAGGAAGATTTACAACAGTTAACTTTCAATTATACCACTTTTGTGTCTATGCCTGGCTCCTTTTAAAAACTTTTGAAGATTAATTGGCCATATAAATCTTTTATTTGTGTGCACTATAGAGTAATCTAAATGGAACAGATCCACCATCAAAGGGGTGAAATGTATGCAAAGTTTAAAATATTGAAACTATTTTTGCATGAATTAGAGAGCAGAGAGCACTGACTAAAACATGGCTTTTTTTTGTTTGAATGAAAATTATATGAATGAGTCTTAATTAATGTCAGAATCAAATGCACATGAAATGAGCAGTACTTCTGGCTTGTGAAGTGCTCTTTGCCTGCTTTAGATTTCAGAAGAGTTCCAACTGCAGGATTATTCCTTTCATTGAAAAGAAAAATAAGACTCTCATAGAAATACACAAAGTCTAAGTAAAATGTTTACAATGACATTCTGTCTCCAAAAATATTAAACTTTATCTTGACCTACAATCTCTCTAGACTAGTGCTTTAATAAACAACACATATGGAATAGTGAGATATATCCTCTCACTCTAATTCTATTATGCTGAATTTTTCTGTAATTTAAACTATGTAATAGAGTTAAATTTTTACTTGGGGCTCAGTCCCCAATAATATGAACCATAAACCACAGAGAATCACCATCTCCAAAATTTGACTATCTTGCCTGAGTATTTAATAAGACCTGTCTTTTGTCTTATGTTGTGAAACATTTTGTTATTATTATTTGAAGCACTACTACTCATCAGGATATTTTCCTAAACAATAGCACAACTTGAAAAGTAATCATACATACGCCCTAACCCATGTCACCACACAACCATGCTGCCTCCTGCAGCCTTAACTTGGTTTTAGTTGGTGCTGTCTGAAGTCAGCAACCTCTATAAAATTTTCCACTCATTAGACAGAAGGGGACACAAGACAGACAGACTTTTAGCCAAAGAGTAAGCAGAGGAACTCCCAGTCATCCAATTTGAGAGCTTGTTTCAATTCCTGGTTTCAGTCTGGTTGGTGGACAAACTAGACTGTAAGACATGCAACACACAACTCTAGATTTCTGGGAGAGCAGGGGTGCAGGAACCAATTCAAGGAGATCTAATGCGTGTCATTCAGTCAATTGTATGCCATTCCACAAGCGTGGAATTGGAAGCAAGAATAGAAGTGTCAGTAAATAGAGAGATTTCCAGAAAAAAAATAATTTTGCATAAAGTCATAAATAACAGACATTGTGAAAAATACCACTCTTCTTTTTGTCTTATAGATATGGATGTAAGCATTTTCTTCAAGACAGAAAAGAAAAGCAAAAATAATTTCCAGAATGTTGGCCTAGTGCAACTGAATGCAAATTTTGCCATCTTTTAGAGACACTTACTAAATTAGGTCCTCAGTATTCATGGAGGGAGGATTTGTTCCTGATCCCTACTCCCCCTTCCTCCTCATATACAAAAATCTGGGCATACTTATGTCCCACAACTGGCCGTGTTGAACTCACATATGGGAAAAGTAGGCCCTCTTATCTGTAAGTTTTACATCCTATCGTATTGTATTTTTGATCTGCCTTTTGTTGCTGATGCAGAATACAGACATGGAGACCTACCTGTATTTATTGAAAAAAAATCTGCATGTAAGTAGACCTGCACAACTCATACTGTTCAAGGGTCAACTGTACTATGCCTTACAAATCACCTGTGGTTATACTTCGACCATCTGTATACCTCTAGTAACAGCACATAAGTGATTTCAACAATGAGCTCTGGAATCAAAAGACACCCACCCCGAGATTGAGGAGGGAATAAGGATGTGGCTAAGGGGGAGTCTTGCACCAGGTACTGTCCTGGCTGTCTTCATGAAGGATATTGCTGGAACCCCTTTTGCTAAACCCCCCTCTTATCTGAGGTTTTGCTTTCCATGGTTTCAGTTACCTTCAGTCAACCTTGTTCCCAAAATATTAAATAAAAATTACCAAAAAATTTGTAGCTTTAAATTGCACACCAATCTGAGTATTGTAATGAAATATTTTGCTGCCATTCTGCTCCATCCTTCGCAGGACGTGACTTATTCCTTTGTCCAGCATATTCATGCTATCTAGGCTGCCTGTCCATTAGTCACTTAATAGACATGTTGGTTACCAGCTGTCACAATATCACAGCACTTGTATTCAAGTAACCCTTGTTTTACTTAATAATGGCCCCAAAATGCAAGAGTAGTGATGCTGGCAATTCTGATATGCCAAAGATAAGCCATAAAATGCTTCCTTCAATTGAAAAGGTGAAAGTTCATTACCTAATAAGCAAAGAAAAAAATGTATGGCGTGGTTGCTAAGATCTACAGTATGCATGAATCTTCTATCTCAAAAATTGTGAAGAAGGAAAAATAAATTCTTGCTAGCTTTGCTGTCACAACTCAAACTACAAAAGTTAAGTTGTGGCCACAGTATATGACAAGTGCTTAGTTAAGTGGAAAGGTATTAAATTTGCGTGTGTAATAATAAGATATTTTGAGAAAGAGACAGACTATAGTTACATAACTTTTAAATATAATATTGTTCTAATTATCCTATTTTATTATCATTGTTAATGTTTTTTGTTTGTTTGTTTTTTTGAAGCAGAGTCTTGCTTTGTCACCCAGGCTGGAGTACAGTGGCGTGATCACAGCTTACTGAAACGTCTGCGTCTCAGGTTCAAGCGATTTTTCTGCCTCAGCCTCTGGTGTAGCTGGAATTACAGGTGTGTGCCACCACACCTGGCTAATTTTTGTATATTTATTAGAGACGGGGTTTCACCATGTTGACCAGGCTGGTTCAAACTCCTTGCCTCAAGCCATCTAACCAGCCTTGGCCTCCCAAAGTGCTGGAATTACAGGAGTTTGCCACCCCACAAACCACAGGCTATTTTATTAATGTTTTGCTAAACCTAATTTATTAATTAGCTTTATTACAGATATGTATATATAGGAAAAAAATAACATATTGTATATAGTTTGGTACCATGTGTGGTTTCAGGCATCCAGTGGGGGATCATGAAATATATTCCTTATGGATAAGGGGGGTTGCTACTCTATACTAGGGGAATTATTGGGCTTTAAAGATCAGCAGCCCCTTTTGGAACATAAAGCAAAAGCCGTCACAAAATTAATTTCTGCAGGGGATAATATAGTTATTGAAACATCCAGGTTATTTGATTTTTAGAATGTTCCACAGTCTGGAGTTTGCAGATTACTCAATGTAGAATTCTTTTTTTTTTTTTTTTTTTTTTTTTGACATGAAGTCTCACTCTGTCATCCAGGCTGGAGTGCACAGGCGTGATCTTGCCTCACTGCAACCTCTACCTCCTGGGTTCAAGCGATTCTCCTGTCACAGCCTCCTGAGCAGCTGGGGGATTACAGGTTAATTTTGTGTTTTTAATAGAAACTGGTCTCAAACTCCTGACCTCGAGTGATCCGCCTACCTCAGCCTCCCAAAGTGCTGGGATTACAGATGTGAGCCACCACACCTGGCCTCAGTGTAGAATTTTTCATGCTTCTTTGTTTTCTATCTTTAATGAAAATTGGAAGCTGGCTTTAGAGTTGTGATTGATATAATTGTATTTATTTAACAAGACCATTGGTCATGTTTTAGTCTTTTATCTGGTGATATGTAACGTATGGTTTCCTTTCTTTTTTATAGTGTTAGCAGTCACTGATGCTCAAACGTAAGTCCTTTATTCATCAATTTATTGGTTTCTTTTCTTTTTTAGCTTGAATATTATTATAAGATAATTATTTTCTTCTATTATTTCATTACCCAGTGATAAAGTTGAAATAGGAAAGGAAAAAATATTTGATTTTTTTTTATTTTTTAAATTTTCCAGATAGTTGATTTGTTCCATATTATCTCAGAAAGTGACCAATTGGTTTTGTTATTCTCTTAATATTATTACAAAATTATAAATTTTAACATTTTTTGTTGAGTGAGTTTCAATCCATTGTAGTTCTTCCTGAAGCTCAAATTACTTCTTTTGCTAGCAGACCTCACTTAAATTTGACTTTTAAATCCTTTTGACATGACATCAGAGTGTGATAAGTTTGATACCATGCTTATTTTCTATCAGATCTGGACTGGATACTGAAAGATGCTCATTGCTACTGGGTTGGTCACCACAAATTGAAATTCTTTTTTTTCTCAAAGCTCCAAAATGTATATTCTTTTAATTTTATACTTAAATATATTTTCTTACTGAATAAGATTCCCTAACAGAAAAATAAATTCCATGTTTAGAATCTGGATACTTTTACTCTTTCTGGAGTTCCTGATTATCCTCAGTTGATTATTTTAACACATTAATAAAGAGAAAATACAAAGACCTGAATTACAATGTCTTATTCCCATACTAAACAATCATTTCTCAATTTAATGTAAAGTAATTCTCCCTTCAGTGATATTTGTGTTTTATTTAATACAAATAAACTTTTGTAGGTGTAAAGAGGATCAGTTAATCAGTGTAACAGTTAAGGATTGAATGACAGTCTTGATATTCTGTTGTGTGCGTAATTGGGTGAAAAAGTTTTTAAAAAAATTTACCAGGATTCATATTGATAAAACAGCTGTGTGAAATTTACATTTAAATCAATTCAATTTTATAAGTTTGTTCATCAAAACTCAAAACTACCTGTATTACAGAAGAACAATTAGAATTTATCCAGGTAGTTGTTATGGAATACTAATCTGCACATATTGAAAGACAACAAAAGTTAACATTTAAATGTAGTTAAAAAAGAGAAAAATAATAAAACCATTGAAAATAAAAATAAAGGCGTGTAGAGACAAAACAAACTTGAAAAGGTCGGGACAATTATTATATATGAGTAGGAGAGTATAATCTTGAGTATGTGAGAAAATGTAATTTGGTGAGAGTAGAAAATCAGAGGTAGAGATACAATTTATGGGAATTTCAAGTTTGTGTTGTAAAGACTGCAGAGTTACTGTCAGCTTGTCTACAACAGAAGCATGGGAAGGAAAGGCAATGGGAATAGAACAGAAATCTAAACACAGAATAAGGAGCAAGCATTTATTCAGAGCAACTCATCAAAAATGTAAATGAATATAACAAAAAATATTGGCAGGAGAATGAAGTAGTGTTTTTTAAAGAATCTAAATTTTGAGTATATCGATGAGAAAATAAAAGAGTAAATGAAAAGGAAGACAAGGAAAATGGTAACAAATTGTAGCCAGCCCAATGATAGCCATTCTCGCAAACACTTGAATGGTGATTGTTGGACAACCGGGGTTGTGTAATAACCACCTTGCTTTCTGTTTCCTCTATTTTTTATTCCCTTTTCTCATAGCTATACATAAATACAGTCATGTTAAAAATGCTCATATGCAGTAATCCAGCAATTTCCACGTAAATACTGAAATTACTGTGATTTGTTTCCAAATAGATCAGCTACGACTTCTTAGGTTGTAGCTTTTAAGTCAAATGGCTTGAAAATCTTTGTGTAGTTTCAAGAAGTGTCTATTTTGCTCTAAGGGAGAAAAAAAAGATTATTTCAACTATCTGTGAGCACATTGATTGTCAACTTGCCCACTCAGTTTTTATGAATAAATCCAAATAACGGCTGTATTTTTACTTAGCACCACTTCCTCTCTAGGAGTAATAGTCTATAAGTGGAAGAGCTGGTAGAGATAAGCAAGTCCGTGTCCTATTATACAAGGTAAACTTTTAGTATGTGTACTTGCACTTCACTTCCCAGAGGAAATCTGCCTTTTTAGACAAACATAAAACCCATAATGGTTTTATGGATCATAGTTTCTGGAAATTATTTTCCACCTGACGAAACTGAAACATTTAGCGTATGTATTACATAATTCAAAAGCCAGGTCTGTACATATTGCATTGTTTTATTCAAAAACTGCAACCTAGATACCTTGAATTGCCTTTCCACATGGCAGAGAAAAGCTACACTTACTTTTTTGTTATATGCTGTGCTGAATTTTTTTTAATAGACTCTACTAAACAGGCAAAATCCCAAAGAGGGAAAACTCTCGGCATATGGTTTTAATTCAAAGAAGACTTGGATATAGGATTTAATGGTTGGTGTCAAGTGCTACATCTCAGAAGGAACAGATAATAACAAAAGCTAATGCTTGTAGATGTTTTGCTGGCAGTCAAGCAGTTTTATTTTTTTAAATAGTTATTGATATGGTATTCACATATCATAAAATTCATATAATAAAATATGCAATTAAATGGTCTTTAGCATATTTGTGCATATGTAAATCCATCATCCCAGTCAATATTAGAACATTTTAATCATATAAACAAAACCCATACCCTTTTGCTATCACCCCCATATCCCCCCATTCTTTCCCCTCCATCCTAAGGAACTACTAATTTAGTTTCCATCACTACAGATTTGTCTATTCTGAATATTTTATATAATGTGTGTTTTCTGTGACCAATGTCTATTACTTAGCATAAGTTTGTAAGCATCAAAGGCATGTAATGTGTCTCTGTACTTTATTCCTTTTTATGACCAAATGATATTACATCGTTTGGATATACTATATTTTGTTTATTTTCTTTATTTATTACTGAACATTGGGATTGTTTCCACATTTTGGCTATTATAAATAATGCTACTATAAATACTCATGTACACCCTTTGTGTGGGCATATGTTTTCATTTCCATTGGGCATATACCTAGGAGTGGAATTACTGAGACATATGGTAACTCTATGCATAATTGTTTCAGAAACTGCCAAACTGTTCACCAAAGGGCCTGCACCATTTTATATTCCCACCAACAGCATGGCAAAGTTGTGATTTCCCCGTAATCTTGCCAGAACTCGTTTTCATCTGACTTTGTAAATCTAGCCATTTAAGTGGATGTGAAGTGATAATTCACTGTAGCTTTGATTTACATTATAATGATAAATGCAGATGTTGCATTTTCATGTACTCAATGGTCATTTGTATATCTTCTTTGGAAAACTGTCAGTTAAGATCCTTTGCCCATTTTTAATTGGGTTATTTGTCTTTTTTTGATGCTACTGTAAATGGAATTTTTCTCTTAGTTTTGTTTTTAGATTGTTCATTGAAAGTGTATACAAATACAATTGATTTTTGTATATTGAATTGCATTCCTGGGATAAACAATTGATCTTGATATATAATTATGTATATGTTTCTGGATTCCATTTGCTGGTATTTAATTTTTTTGGCATCCATATTCATAAGATATATTTGACTATACATTTCTAATGATGTCTCTGTTGATCAGTGTGATACTAGTCTCTTTTATTTTGTATAGGAGTTTATGAAGAATTGGTATTATTTCTTCTGTAAACATATGGTAGAATTCAGGAGTGAAGCCATCTGGGCTTGAGCTTTTCTTTGTGTGTTGTTTTTGTTTAATCATATAGCCTTTTTATTTGTCACACTTATATTCAGATTTTCTACTTTTTCTTAATTTTGATAATGTCTATCTTTTTAGAAATTTGTTTATCTATACTTTTTAAGCTGAGACATATAATTATTCACACTATTGCTTTATTATTACTTTTATTTCTCCAAAGTCAGGAGTAATGGCCTGTCTTTTATTTCTCTTTCCAGTCATTTATGTTTTCTCTCTTTTTTCCTTGGTTAATCTAGTTTGTCAATTTTTTGTGTGTCTCAAAGGACTAGCTTTTTTTAAAAAAATACAAAAATAACTTTCTCTGTTACATTTATATTATTTAATTTATTTTGGTCCAGGCACAGTGGCCCACACCTGTAATCCCAGCACTTTGGGAGGCTGAGGGAGGAGGATCGTTTGAAGCCAGGTGTTCAAGACTAGCCTGGACAATATAGCGAAACCCTGTCTCTAAAGAAAATAAAAAATAAATAAAATATCCAGGTGTGGTTGTGTGCACCTGTAGTCCCAGCCACTTGGCAGGCTGAGGCAGCAATGTCACTTGAGCCCACAAGTTGAAGACTTCAGTGAGCTATGATCATTCCAACCTAGGTGACAGAGAGAGACTCTGTCTCTTAAAAATAAATTTAAAAATAAAAATTAATTTGTAACTACAATACTCCTTATTATTTGTATATATAGCTTCAGCAACAGGTAGGTATGGCCAGGATGAAAACTTCTGAAATTCTGTCTCTCCTGGAAAGATAGTCTTTTTATTGTTACTTGGGGGAGAGGGATCTGCATCAGTATGGAGTGGAGTTTCTGTCTCACTGAGTGGGAGGGGAAGGAGGAGAGGTCTCAGTTCAAGTAGCACAGACTCTTGTTGTCTTTATCAAACTGCAGTAAATATTCTTGAATAAATGCTTCTTTGTTTGTTGTATATACTAAGGAAAATTTCCAGAGACTTTAGTTTTTTTAAAGTATATATAAATTTTATCAGTTTATCAGAGAAATATGTCCACAGAGCTACTCAAACTACCATACTTAAATCTGTCTCTCATAAAGCAGTTTTAATTACTTAAATATTAACCATTCTTTACAACAACACTTTGTGGTAGGTTATTTTCATTATCACTTCCATTTTACGTATGAAAAATGTAAGGTGCAAACAAGTTAAGAAATTTCTTTTTAATTCACTATCTACATATTTATAACTTGCACAAATAAAAAGAAGCAGAAGCAGGATTTTAACCTAATGTGATGGTTAATTTTATGTGTTAACTTTAATGAGTTACAACATACCCAGATATTTGGTTAAACATTATTTATGAGGGTGTCAGTGAGGGTGTTTTTGGAAGAGATTAGTATTTGAGTTCGTTGAGCATTACCCTCCTCCGTGGGGTGGGTATCATCCAATTCACGGAGGGACTGAATAGAACACAAAGACCAACAAACGATGAATTCTGTCTTTCTCCCTGATGACTCAGCTGGGACATTGGTCTTATTGGGACATGGGATTTACATCATAGATGCTACTAACTCTCATGCCTTTTGGCTTGAACTAGAATGTATACCATTATTCTCTTGATTTTTAGACCTTTGACACAGATTGGAACCACTGACTTCCCTGGGTTTCTAGCTTGCAAATGGCAGATCAGGGGACTTCTCAGCTTCCATAACCAGTGAGCTAATTTCCTATAATAAATTTATACACACACACACACACACACACACACACACGCACATTGTTGGTATTTATTTGGTTTTTCTGAGAAATCCTAATATATCCAGGCACTATGACTCAAAATTTTTTTTCATACTCTGCAACCTCATGCTTTTCAAGTTGCACAAAAACTTCTTTCATCACTGTGTTTGAAGATAGTAGGCTAAAATAAGATATTGTAGCATAGTAAGAAAATCACAGATTTTGGTAATCGGATTTACCTGGAATCAATGACTATATTTGTCACTCAGTATTATGTGCAAGCAGATAAATAACTACAACTTGTGTAATTGAAAATTGAAAAAAATCTCTAATATAATTCTATTGAGACCTGAACTTATTCATCATATATGATGTGGTTAATATGTTTCTAGGGATGTAGTGTTTGTTGAAATGGCTCCATAGTAAATAGACATTTTTGGCAAGATATGTCAGAAGATTTATGATTTAAATAAGCAGTATTTGCTGGAAATATTTTGTCATATATTGATATACACAAGAGGACTTTATTAAGTGTCAATTCACAGAAACGTGGTAAACTGTGTGCACTTGAATTCTGACACTTACAGACTTTCAGCAGCTTCCCTCTGTTTATACATTTTCTGGGCCAATAGATGTTACCACTGATTTCAGCAAATACTCTGCAAATTATTGTGCCAGCTATGTTTCAAACTGTGCAGTGACTAGTAAAACTATATATTTAAATCTAATTTTTGTAATGTAGCATCTGCCCTTTGAAGTTTAGGAGGCAAAATGAACTAAATAATAGACAACATGAAGCTGTTAAGTTTGTGATATTGCTGCATATATCACTGTACTATGTACTTTTCTATACTAGACCCATTCACTATCTAGGACTCCATTGGCTTATGAGTTATAACAAGTACTGTGGCTGCATATACACTTTCATGTTCATGATAAATATGGAAGAAATATTTTTACCTTGAATTTATGATGATGTGGCCAATCTTTGCATTTAAGTATGCTTATATGTACATGATTTTTCTATGAACATAAAGAGTGAAACTCTGACATTGTTTTATCTAAAACCTAGTAGTTTTCTACCTTGTTAAATACTAATTTATCTCTATACCCTCAAATAATTCATCATTTAGTTTCAAGAGACTTTTTTTTGACTAGAGTTGAATGAAATTGAGGGGAAATGAAGCAAAAATATTCTTTTGTAATTCAATTACTTCACTTGATTTATGCAATGCATTGTGGCTGAGGAGATATATATTTCAAGAAAAAGCAACAAAACAAATACCACTTTATTTCCATAATAACACTGTTTTTCTCAAAACATCTCAGGTTGATAGTGTATACATTAAATGTGTAATATAAACAGAATAGTTTGTAACGTCTTTTAAAATGTATTAATATGGTTGACTCTTATCTGATGGGTGTCAGACTCTAGAGGATGGGCTAATACTAGATTAAGTTTTATTAAAAGATTTTATTGTTTTTGATTATAACTCACTTAAAATATGACTTCATATTTCTGGTGAAAGAGTCTAGTGTGTAGAAGCATAGCCTAGTTCTTTGCTGTTTAGATTCACTGATTAAGTTTCTGTGGCTGATTAGTTTTGCTGGGCTAAATGTAGGTCAAACTTGAACTAGCAGAACTTATAGCATTTAAATGTTCTTCTGATGCAATTAGTCTATAGGGCATTATTTTATGTTCCAGGCTGTAAACAACTTGAAAATATCAGATATAGCTATAGTTACCAACTGGAGATTAACACTAGATACTAAAATTTCAACAGCAGTGTAATTCAAACAAATTCAATTTTTACAATGCTCCCTATGTTACCATAGCTCAACGAACATAATTTGTTGATTTTGAATAAGTATTCTAAGTTTCAGGTTTATTAAGATATTTTCTATTTCTTGATTATTTGTGGTATTTTTCTCTAATCAATGAATGAATCATTTCTCTCATAAATAGCAATTTTAGGAATTAAAGTATTTAATAATACATTTGGTAGAATATCATTAGAATACTTCCTACGGTGAGATCTACTATTTCAACATTCACTACAGTTGACTAATGGCATTTTGGTATTCATTTTAGTACAAAACTGTGAAAAGTGTTGACTCACTGTGGAGAAAATGGAAAAAATACTACTTTCTTATAATAGGTAAAGTTGAGAAAAATGTTCTAAAAATTGTGAGAATATTATTTTTAAGTTTAACTTTTAATGCACAAATAATAATAGCATATGTTTCTGGGGTACAATATGATTTCAGTACATAAATAGTATTTTTTTAATTTAAAATGTTTTTTGAATGCCTATAATGCACCATGTATGGATTAGAAACTAGAAAATCACTTAAAAGATTATCAACTTTATTAGTCAAAAGGGAACTGCAAATTAAAACCATAGTAAGATATCATTCCACAAATATTAAGATTAAAAAAAATAAGAACAACAAAAACAACACTGACCATCCCAAGTTTTGGCTAGAATGAAGAACAGCTGGATCTGTAATATATTTCTGGTGGCAATGTAAAATAGTACAGTCATTTTGGAAAACAGTTTGGCAGCATCTTTATAAGCTCAATGATAAGTAACCCTTAAATTCCAGAAATCTCACTTCTATATATTTACTCAATGAAATAAAATAATTATGTTCAAATAAAACCCAGTAAGTGAATGTTCATAATGGCTTTATTTATAATCACCTAAAACTGGAAAACATTCAAATGTCATTTAACTGATCAATCAATAAACTGTAGCATATTTACATGTTAAAGAGAAATAATATGGATGAATCTCATGCATGATGCTATGTGAAAATACCCAACTTCCAGAGTGTATGCATATTATGATTCCATCGATATGGCTTTGTGGAAAACTAAAAACAATAAGGACAGGAACCATCAGTGCTGCCAAAGGCTGTTGGTTGAGGAGATGTTGACTATAAACTAATATGAAGTTGACATGGAGAGGTTTTGGAGTGACTGAACTGTTTTTTGTCTTGCTTGTGCTGATGGGTACACAACTGAGTATTTTTCAAAACTTGTAGAACTGTGCGCTAAAAATGGTCAGTGTTGTTGTATTAAGTTATACCTAATAAAAATGATAAAATATTTAAGAAAAAAATCTGATGAGTAGATTTGTTACCACCATGATTGCCATACTTATATAATCAGAGATCACACAATAGTCAAAAGAAATGAATGAATCCTAGTAATAAAATGCTCAAAGAAGTAAATCCCAAAAAGTGCATACAGCATGACATCTTCCTTATAAAGTCAACTAAAACTCAGTAGCGTATTTTGTTCTTTTAGGAATTTCTGCAGTTGTGACTTCTGTGCATGTGTGTATGTGTATGTTTATGTGAGTGTGTGCATAAAGTAAGGTCATGGTCTACATAAGAGCCAGGATATTGATTTCTTCTGTGTCACAGAAAAATGTGTAAAATTTATTTTTAATTTCAGTGGTATTTGTCGTCTTACAATTATCAGTATGTATGCTACTTATCCTCTTCCTGTGTATGAAATATTATACAATAAAAATTAAAAATAATAATATGACAGCGTTTATTATTGAGAATATTGAGGTAGATGTTTTAAATATATTATTTAATACTCAAGGACTAGAATCAGAGATAAGACCTACACTAAAAATTAGACATTGTCATTTTGTCTTTGTGATCTTTGACAAAATATTTAGACTTTAATAGGTCAAACATTTTTAGTTAAATAATGAATAATAAATAACATTATCCTTTGAAAGTTCTTGAGGAGAAAAAAGAAATGATTTCATCCTACATAGAATAGCTCAGGTCTCTAATTACTTAATAAATATTGATAATGCATTGTTTGTATTGATCTTATTAAAAAGTTAAATTCTGCTTTGGCAAAAACAATAGGGATAATAACAATAATGAACTTTTTTCTCATTAAAATTATCTTTTGATTTTTAATATTTGTAGTTATAATGTATTAAATTTAAACATTACATTTATCCCAAATATTTAAGACCATGTACTCATGAGATGCTTGCTGAGGATCAAATCCTATGTTCATATTTGAAAGAGAGAATAGTGTTAGGCATAAAATAATCATAAATGTAAAACAATTCCTAGGGGAAATGTGCACATATTATTTCAAATTACATTTTAAGTTTGTGAAAATCATACAAAAAAGCTTTTTAAGGCTATTTTGTAATTATATAACTTTTCCTATTCCAGAGTTTCATCTGATCTAACAATATTTTTTCTTTCATATCTCCTGTGAAATTTAAGATTATGCGACATGCAGGTAGAAGGAAACTACTGTATTGCTCATGGCAGAAACTGAAGTTTTCTCAAAAGTGATTTCACAAATTGATCTCTTAACACCCAGAAAATGATTGAATGTTCTTCTGTGGTTTTATATTTTGCTATCTGAGACAAAATATTCTTAATGCACATTATTTATTCTGTTAAGAAAATAATTGGTACCCTTGAACATTATATGCTTTTGTTAGAAGATACTCCTATCAAGTCAAACAAAAGAAGATTCTTATTACTGAGAATCTATCATAATAGTTAGCGTTAGATCTGTTTTTTTAAAAAAAAAAACTGCCCTAGAATCTTAGTCCATACATTTTGTTTCCTTTTATTTTTTATCTTACATATATTATGAAAATAAGCAATATTATACTTCTTGTATTGTTATTTATTAATATTTAAACAATTTGTTATGCAATTTTATTAGATTAACCATTTTGAAACTGAAGTATTAGGACAAAATTATAATAGATTTAATAGGAGGAATTTTCAATAGCAAAATATTAATTATATATCCAAAATATTGTATCCTTTTTCTAAACTTTTCTTAAATATTTTGAGTCCTCTCATATGACTGTAAATATTTCAAGTTAATAGTACATATACTGTGATTGCTCACGGAAGTTAGGGTCGTATGTTTAAAAAGTATTTTAATCATCCTTAGGTAAAATGCAAAAATAAAGGCATTCATTTTCCGAAATAAACTGTGGCCTCACATGTTTTTACAAGACAGATGAAAATTACCTTTGGGATTTACAATGAAGAATCTAGATAATTACCTCTATTCTGATGAAATTGCTGTGTGCTTAATTATATGCAATTATTTTCTATATTATAAATGTTTCACTTTTGTGTTGCCATTTCACAGCCTTACATCTCCGACTCTCAATACTAGAGAAAGAAAGATCCAAATATTTTCTTGAATTGTTCTGTGAATTATATCTCTACCCAAGTAGAAGAACCATTTTTATGATTATCTTAGGGGTCCACAGTGAAATCACCAATTGAACTGGTGGCTAAAGGTCATAAGTGTCTTTCTGCAATTGTTGATAACTTTTGCAATTCCCAAGTGTAATATTCAAGAACAAAATTTAGACAACACTTATGTCTAATTAAGAAATATGTTTCTTTTATATGTATCGAAGGGAGAGAACATAAGATGCTTATAACTATCATCTTATCTGAACTTGAGGAAATTATGGGCTTTTGCCATAATGTTATTTAGAAGGAGATCAAAATATTGGAACAAAAATGTTCGCAATTACTTAAAGTAGATTGGCTTTAAATGTGTGTGATATTCTATATCAGGAAATTGGGACTTGAGGCTCATGGCTCATTTAAGTCTCACCCACAACTACTCTCAAACAAATCTGAAATATATATTTAGTAATTCTGGAGTTTGTTGTAGGTCCCAGGGTGTCAAAACATCTCAATTTTTTCAAGACGTATGCATTTCACAAAGAGCTTATATTTCCAAGAGCTCAAAGGATGGGTTCAGGTCAGAGGCATTCCAATACAAAAAGACAATGCTGTTAGTAGCAGTCTATTTCTTAAGTTCGCCTGCCAATTCCATCATCCCAAATAGACGTGGTTAAGCTCATAGTGTTTTTTTCTAAGGGAAGTGACATTTACACAAGTCAACTTTGGAAGTTCTTGTAATTGAAGAATTTTAAGGAATACTTTGAAATCTGCAAACATGGAATAGGGTTGATATGGATCCTGATTTACATGGTGTAGGAAATATTCAGGAAGAATATATATTTTTATATTCTATGTTCATTGCTCTCTGTCTTGGTTTATATGTTACTCCTCAACCATGGTAATCGTAAAGAATAAGGTTAGCTGTGATTAGTTTATCTGGATTATAATTGATAACAAATGCTTGAGAAATATCATTTTTTCATGATGTTTGTCAAAATAAAATAAATATTACTATTATTTCTGGCAAGGTTAATTTTCCAAAACAAAAAGTATCTGCATATTAAACACAGGGGATATTTTAATCCTGAGACTATATCATAAAGTTAGTGTTAGTTCTATCTTTTTTTTAATCTTCCTCAACTTTGTATCAAGGAGAAAACATTGTTATACACACCATCCAGGAAAAAGATACGGTGTTTGAATCACCATGAAATGCCAAAATAATAGCTGAGTTACACAGATTTTCTACTAAGTCCCTGGATATAAATTTATACAATTAGAAGCACCAGACCTTCCACATAATAATAACCCAAGAGAAAACCAATTATATTATTTCTTTTCCAGTCCCAAGGGGTCATGTTAAATTTTTCAGTGAAACAATATGCACTCTTAAATGGAAACATTTGTCTCTTTCAAACTAAAATAGCAGCATGAAGGTAAGGAAAGCTCACTTTTATGTGGCAATTTTCACATTGCCAAGTGCTAGGCATTGTTCTAAGTATTTCATACTACCTCATTTGACTCTTTCAATCAACGTATAAGGTAGGTAAGTTTCATTATTCTCCTCATTTTCCAGATGAGAAGACTGGGACATCCATCAGATAAGAAACGCTGCCCAAAGTGTTAGACTAATAAGTGACAGGGTTGGACAATGAACCCAACCACTCAACCTTCCGGAAAAGTGAGTTTTAAACAATAGATTATGCTAATCTTATCAGAAAAAAACGACATTGTCCGGGCACGGTGGCTCACGCCTGTAATCCCAGCACTTTGGGAGGCCAAGGCGGGCGGATCATGAGGTCAGGAGATGGAGACCATCCTGGCTAACACGGTGAAACCCCGTCTCTGCTAAAAATACAAAAAATTAGCCGGGAGTGGTGGCGGGTGCCTGTAGTCCCAGCTACTTGGGAGGCTGAGGCAGGAGAATGGCATCCACCCGGGAGGCGGAGCTTGCAGTGAGCAGAGATCGCACCACTGCACTCCAGCCTGGGCGACAGAGTGAGACTCGATTTCAAAAAAAAAAAAAAAAAGAAAAAGAAAAAAACGACATTTCTGGAGCAAGTTTTCAAGAATAATGTCCTATCTTCTTGTTGCCACACTGTACGTCAGGTCTCAAGTGATGAATTAAAAAACAAAACAATAATATTGTAGCTCTTTTGCTATATTTTATGATAAAGTAAAATAACTCTATTTTCTAGAACCTAGGTTGTCACACTTGTAGAAGATGAGAAAGTAGTACGCTTGACTTCACCTACAAACCATTTATTGTATAACCTAACACACTAAGAGGCCCTTTATTTCTCATGCATGTATCAAAAATGCTATAAAGTTACTATTGAAACATAATAATTAGTGAAAATAATATCTCTTACCATGCAGATTAGAACTTTTCCTATAGAAGTCCAGATACTCAGTGACCTAAAGAAAAATCTTCTTACATAAAAAAGGTTTCAACATATAATAATAAAACGTACCTATCCAGGTAGTCATACCAATTAGCCGATACAATCTAGAATTATGGAAATCTGGTTGGTTGTAAGCACTTTCTTTGACTCTTCCTTTTCATTTCTTTGGCCTTGAAAATAAAGTGGCACAGCAATAAATTCAGGTAAAGAACATACTGGTGATAATTTTATATTCAGTTCAAGTTCAGTTGATCATGTTAGGTGGAGTGCTTTCATTAAAATTCAACAATATATCTTGGACATTTTATTGTTTTGTTTTTTCTTTCAGCACGCAACTATGTAGGTATTCCAAAATATATCTAGAAAGATTCCCAGTGCTTTCTGCATTCTAAATGTGCAGAACCTTCATGGTTCCTTTTTGAATTACACATATTAATATATTTTCAATTTCATTTTTCTTATGAAAAATAACATGCTTCTTGTCTGTTTTGTTATCTGCTTTTTAGTCATAATAAAAATGTTACTTTAAGTCAAAAAAAGCTACAAAATCAACTTCAATCTGGATTATATGCAGGAAAAACATTACAAAAGTGACAAATTGATTTTATGTCTGTCTAATCATTATTAATCATCTTCTCTACTTTTGTTAGTGAATAACCAAATTAATAAAAATTTAAGAACATATCAAATAAGTAAAAGTAACAAGTTTTAGTAATGCAAAACTAAACAGATAATTTGAAAACGTGTATAGTTTGAAATTATAGAGAAATCCTCTCAATTTGTGTAAAAAAATAATGAAAGCAATATGATTGAATATGAAGCAATATTAGGTAGTACTGAAGCAATTTTTTTTTCATATTTTGGCTATATACTAGGTAATTAAAATCCTTCATCAGTTCCCTTCCCCTTTATCACAGGCTCTTTTTATTTCACAGACCATTTCCTTAACTTCATAGTGTTTTTCATCTCATGGTTTATAACAAATTCCCAAAATAAATTTGGATCCATTTTAACATCCAATTTCTTGCCAGAGTGAGCCTGACCTATCCTATTCTCACTTACTCTGCTCAGCTATGTTTTTGCAACATTTCCATCTTCAGTATCAAAAAATGTATGTTATAGAATGCCCTATAAATGGCATATTGAGAATAAAGTGATGAATAGAAATGACATGAAAAATATCAAGTTTCTAATGCCCAGAAAAAATGTTAAACATGAGCCTAAAACTCAAAAAACTTCACATAGATTAAACTTATTTAAATAACTTTTGCTCTCAAAGTTGATTATTTACCAAAACAGAGTGTGGGTCACTAGTTTACAAGTACTAAATGATCAATATGAGCAAAGATCATTAAAAATTTCATTCATTAAACTGTCCCATTAATATCAATTAGAAGATACTTATTCATTGATTAGCTTAATATTTACTACATAAAGGTATGTAATTTTTTGTGTTTTAACTAAATGGGCACATATATGTATGCAAAAGTTGCCCTATCCCATTCAGCATACATAACAACTTATTTGGCAAAACAAAAATTCAGGAATAATATACAAGAGATCTATTATACACCATGGTGACTATAGTTAATAACAATATATTGTACCCTTGAACATTGCGTTTTAGAATGTAGATTTTCGTTGTTCTCATCACAAAAGAATAATAAGAGTTCATGTATATGTTAAATAGCTTAATTTAGTTATTACACAATGTACATAAACATCAAAACATCATGCTGATCACCATAAATATATATAATTCTTGTCAATTATAAGAAAAATAGAGTACAGTTTTGATGTTCTTGCACAATTAAAGAGAAAGGAGAAGAAAAGTGGAGTCCCTGGGGCAGATATTGAGTGAGTTAGGATATTGGAGGATTTGTGTTGGAGCAAAACAGGACTGCAATGAAATGTCATGCTTGAATGCATCTTGCTTTTGGTAACTGCCTGAGGTAAGCTTCACAGGCATATTCACAATTAGTCTCACTGAACCACATTTGACTAATATAATTTGGCTCACAACTATGCTATCTACACCACTAGGTGAAGCACTTCTTTATTTTATTTTATTATTATTATACTTTAAGTTTTAGGGTACATGTGCACAACGTGCAGCTTTGTTACATATGTATACATGTGCCATGTTGGTGTGCTGAACCCATTAACTCTTCATTTAACATTAGGTATATCTCCTAATGCTATCCCTCCCCCGCCCACCCCACAACAGTCCTCGGTGTGTGATGTTCCCCTTCTTGTGTCCGTGTGTTCTCATTGTTCAATTCCCACCTATGAGTGAGAACATGTGGTGTTTGGTTTTTTTGTCCAACAACAGGTGCTGGAGAGGATGTGGAGAAATAGGAACACTTTTACACTGTTGGTGGGACTGTAAACTAGTTCAACCATTGTGGAAGTCAGTGTGGCGATTCCTCAGAGATGTAGAACTAGAAATACCATTTGACCCAGCCATCCCATTACTGGGTATGTACCCAAAGGATTATAAATCATGCTGCTATAAAGACACATACACACGTATGTTTATTGTGGCACTATTCACAACAGCAAAGACATGGAATCAACCCAAATGTCCAACAACGATAGACTGGATTAAGAAAATGTGGCACATATACACCATGGAATACTATGCAGCCATAAAAAATGATGAGTTCATGTCCTTTGTAGGGACATGGATGAAGCTAGGTGAAGCAATTCCTTTCCTGAGGAAAATAGAACTCACTCTGCTCTGGCTTGTATGAGGAGGAATAGGATATAAGCAGTTGAGGAAGAACGGTCCATGAGTTGCCATCCTTCCCTCTTCCTGCCTGCCAGAAGAGGTAGAGCCCACTGAAGAAGGAGCAGAATAAGGAATGGAAACCTTAGTTACAAGTCCAAGAAATTCTACCCACTCTACTATTTTTTTATGTGTAACTTGATTTATAGTTTTTACTTTGAAAGAATGTAACTATTGTACATGTTTCATAAAGTATCAATAGCTGAATAGACCAAGAAAAAATGATTGTCTACCCGCTTTCTATGCCCACTCTTTTGCTGGTGGATCTTTTTGCAGTAATGGTCAACAGGACTAGCTAGCTCTTTCCCTTAATGTCTACAAATAAACCTGCAAGTTCTTTTAGTTTTAAAGGAAATATTCATTGCCACAGGGAATAGGCAGGGGATAATAAAACATAATGAAGTGAGAAAGATTCTGTGTCAGTCGGGTTAGATGATGTTTTGCTGTGACAACAAACAAGTCTCCCATATCAGTTAAGATTTAGGATAATCTAAGTTAAGATTTAAGTAAATTTCCTTGCAAATCTAGGTGGTCGTCAGAGCAATTATCCTTTACAAGCCACACCAAAAGAGGCTTAACCATCTTGTAGACATATATCTGAATATAGAACTTTCTACTTCTGTGGGCCAGAGAATGAGTGAATGAAAGACTCAAGCACTAGCTAAATTCTTTCACCCAGAGACAACATATATTATTTCCACTCATATTTTCTTGGTCAAAAATCATACAGGAATGCTAACTTTTGGGATCAGGTCAGTATAATATTTCTTTGCAACCAGTATAGAAAAGAAATAGAGATAATTTCTTCCACAATTCTAATCTTACAAGTTCCTTAATCTATGGTTTCTGAATGTATTTTAGCATAATAAAAGAAAGTTTACAAGTATGAGGTTTCATACATGATTATCAAATAATAAGGTATGAATTAAAATACATAGGTATAGCTAGGATGCTTAACTGGAGCTAGAATGTAAAAATTATTATATGTAATACACACACACACACACACACACACACACACACAGAGTCATGTACCACGTAACAATGCTTCCATTTACAATGAACCACATATTTAACAGTGGTCCCATTAGATTAAAATACCATATTTTTACTCTACCTTATCTATGCTTAGAAACACAGATACCTATGAATGTGTTACAAATGCCTTTAGCATTCAGTAAAGTAACATGTTATATGGGTTTGTAGGCCAGGAACAATAGGCTAAACCGCATAGTTTAGGTACATAGTAGGATATCCCACCTATGTTGGTGTAAGTACACTCTATGATGTTCAAAAAATGCTGAAGAGTCTAATGACCCATTTCTCAGAATGTACCGCCATCGTTAAGTGAGACATAATTGTTTATATATATATATACATACACACACATATATACAGGCATACCTCATTTTTGTTTCGCTTTATTGTGCTTTTTTAGATACTGCGTGTTTTATATAAATTGAAAGTTCGTTGTAACCTTGTGTCGTGCTAGCGGATTGGTGCCTTTTTCCAATAGCATGTGCTCACTTCCTGTCTCTGTGTCACATTTTGGTAATTCCTGCAATATTTCAAGCTTTTTAAATATTATTTTATCTGTTATGGTGATCTGTGATCAGTGATCTTGGATGTTATGATTGTAATTCTTTTGGGTATCATAAACTGGATCCATATAAGATGATAAACCTAATTGATAAATGTTGTGTGTGTTCTGACTGTTTAAGCAACTGGCTGTTACCCCTTTTTTCAGACCTCCCTATTCACAGACATACAACAATATTGAAATTAGGCCAATTAATAACCTTATAATGCCCTTTAGACATTCAAGTGAATAGTCACAGGTCTCTCACTTTAAATCAAAAGCTGGAAATAATTAAGCTAAGTAAGGAAGGCATGTTGAAAGCAAAGACAGGTCAAAAGCTAGGCTTTTGTACAAAACAGCCAAGTTGTGTATGAAAAGGCAAAATTATTGAAGGAAACTAAAAGTGCTACTCCTGTGAACACAAAGATGATAAGAGAATGAAACAACCTTATTGCTGATATGGAGAAAGTTTGAGTGGTCCAGATAGACGATCAAACCAGCCACAAAGCCTAAGAGTTATAAGCCTTGCCTGTTCTGCAAGCCAGAAAACTCAAAGCCTAATTCAGAACAAGGCCCTAACTATCTTCAATACTACAAAGATTGAGAGAGATGAGAAAACTTCAGAAGAAAAGGTTGAAGCTAGCAGAGGTTGGTTCAGGAGGTTGAGAGAAAGAAGCTGTCTCCATAACATAGAAATGCAAGCTGAAGTAGCAAGTGCTGACATAGAAGCTACAGCCAAGTATACAGAAGATCTAGATAGGATAATTAATAAATGTGGCTACATTAAACAAGATTTTCAGTGTAGATGAAAGAGCTTTCTATTGGAATAAAACACCATCTCGGACTTTTGTAGATGCAGTGGAGTCAATGTCTGGCTTCAAAACTTCAAAAAACAGGTTGACTCTTATTAGGGGCTAATGCAGCTGGTAATTTTAAATTGAAGACAGTTCTTATTTACCATTTTTATCTTTCAAAAAATCTTAGGGCCCTTGAGATATACATGAAATCTACTCTGCCTATGCTCTATAAATGGATCATTAAAGCCTGGGTAGCAGCACATCTATTTACAACATGGATCACTGAATACTTGGAACCTATTGTTGAGATCTACTGCTAAGAAGAAAAGATCCCTTTCAGAGTATTACTACTCATTGACAATGTGCCTGGTCATCCAAGAGCTTATATGGGAAGTATAAGGAAATTAATGTTTTCATACCTGCAAACACAACATTCTTTCTCCAGCTTGTGGGCCAATGAACAATTTTGACTTTCGTGTCTTATTGTTTAAAAAATGTATTTTGTAAGGGCATATCTCTCAAAGCTAGTGATTATTCTGATGGATCTAGGCAAAGTAAATCCAATTTTCTGGAAAGGGTTCACTACTATAGATGCCAATAAAAACATTCATGATTCATTGAGAAAGTCAAAACATCAACATTAACAAGAATTTGGAAGAAGTTAATTCTAATCCTCATGAATAACTTTGAGGAACTCAAGACTTCAGTGGAGGAAGGAACTGAAGATATGGTAGAAATAACAAATGAACTGGAATTAGAAGTGGAGCCTGCAGAAGTGACTGCATTGCTCCAATCTCATGATGGATGAGGGGCTGCTTCTTATGAATGAAGAAAGAAAGTGGTTTCTTTAGATGGAATTTAATTCTGGTGAAGATGCTGTGAATATTGTTTTAATGCCACCAAAGGATTTAGAGTATTCCATAATACTTGGGATATTGATAAAGCAATGGTGGGGTTTGAGAGGACTGACTCTAAATTTGAAAAAACATTCTTGTGGATAAAATGCCATCAGACAGCACCACATGCTACAGAGAAAACTTTTAAATAAGGAAGAGTCAATCATTGTGGCAAACCTCATTGTTCTTTTATTTTAAGAAATTCACACAGCCATCCCAACCTTTAGAAACCACCGCCTTGATCATTCAGCGGCCATCAATATTGAGGAAAGACCCTCCATAAGCAAAAGGATTACAACGTGCTAAAGGCTTAGATGATCACTCGCATTTTTTAGCAGTATTTTAAATTAAGTTATGTAAATTGTGTTTAAACATAATGATACTGCACACAATAAATTACACTAAAATATAAACATAACTTTTATATACACTGGTAGACCAAAAAAATTGTGTGACTCACTTTATTATAATATTTAATTTAGGCCAGGCATGGTGGCTCACACCTGTAATCACAGGCGTAGGTTGAACAGCCAGATGTGGAGACACTGTCCAGCTGTACAAGTTATTTTTACATAGAACAACTTATTGCACATATCTGTATCCATGTAAACAAATACTTATGTAGGGCAGGAGATATAACAGTCTTCCTTGTTAAAGAAGACACTTCAAGTTCAAAAGAGGCACTCTTCTATTTTAATGCTGCCCTATAAAATTGAGGCAAGCCCTTTGCCATCCTCTTAGAGAAAAAGTGAGGCATCAGGGCAGAGTTTTAATGACCTTCTGGACTGCTTATGATGACTTTTCTGAATGTTATTTATTATTACATAGTATCTCCTCCACATTTTGTTGATCTAGTTTCTAGTAAAAGATCACTTGATTTTATTTTTTATATCCCTACTAACCCATGTGCATGTACACACATACACAAAAAGCCATGACCAATATTTTTGTTTTATAAATGTACTCTGTAGACTTTGAAATAGCTGTAGAAGATTGAGAAAATAGCCTAGTGGCTTAAATGAGAAAAGAAAGATCAAAACAAATATGAGGCACAATCCCCTCTTGTTTTGTTTTAAGGAATAAATGAGCATTCTGACAGACCTCTAGCAGGGGGGCCTCTGGAAGAAAGCCAGCCAGGTCTCTAGGATCTTCTCTTGAGCACAACATGCAATTTGAAGAAGGTTTAGGATTCAAACCCAAGGGAGGGTTTGAAGCTTTGGACTCTGGAAGGTTTCAGAATTAGGAACTCTGGAGGTGGGCTGGGTTCTACTGATAGATCTCCCCAGGTGTGGTCCCTCCTTGCTCCTGCATTCACTCTTTCCTCAACACTCCTTGCAGCATCCTGCCTCAGCTGCTGCCTAACTAACAGATGGCTTATGATTTGTACAGGTTAGGAGACTATGACTCTTCATCTGTACTATAATTTGGGACACCTGAGGGGGACACTGTAGCTTGGTTACTTTCATCTGAGTCTTCTATGTCTGCCACTTATCATTGATTTATAATCCTATTACCTACATAATTAGTCACAAGTGGAGCACTGAATTTTGGAAGGGAGATTTCACTCTGTTCAAATGCAATCAGTCCATATGGTAGTTGCAGGAAATGAAAAAGAGGGAAGGTATCTAGGTCATTTCTCAGGCATACTTTAATCTATCCCTTGAGCCCAGATACTGTAGCAAATGCTATACCAGAGCACATATGCCTGACAATAGCTGAACATGAGGGCCACCCCCACCTATTAAGCCATTCTATATTCTATAGAGGACGCAAGTGTTCTGGGGTTAGTGTCAATATGGGGTGAGGCTAATGCCTCTTGACATAAAGAATTATTAAGGACAACAGTAAAATTAGTGGAATCATTGCAAGCAGGGTGAAAAGTTTTCCTGATGCCTTCTAATATAGGAAAAATGTGATGGTAGACGTGGCCATGCCTACCCTAATGTAACCAAAAGTAGTCCCAATCATGCAACAAAAAAACGGAACATGGAAAGATGAAATCGCTGCGTTTGTACTTATATTGCCTCCCAACCTCTGACCCCTACTACCACTTAAAATAGAAGAACAATCTATTTGATTTCTTTTCTCTAGCAGTTCCCTCTCTGTTTGTGGTTCTATTTGAAGGAAAGAAAATATGCTCAGCATGTACTTTTGAGTATAAATTGTATCTGATTTTTTGTTTTTGTTTTTGTTTTTGAGATGGAGTCTCACTCTGTTGCCCAGGCTGGAGTGCAGTGGCGTGATCTCGGCTCACTGCAACCTCCACCTCCCAGGTTCAAGCAATTCTCCTGCCTCAGCCTCCCGAGTAGCTGGGATTACAAGTGTCTGCCACCATGCCCGGCTAATTTTTTGTATTTTTACTAGCCTCGGCCTCCCAAAGTGCTGTGATTACAGGCAAGAGCTACCATGCCCGGCCTTATTTTTGAGATTTTTTAAATTTGCCTTTAAAGCTGTTTACTGAAGTATAATATAAATACTTGCAAGTAAATCAGAGTGTAGGTCAAATAATTTTAAAACACTGACTGTGTTGTGTAACTAGCATCCTAGATCAAAACTCTCAGAAGCCTTTTCATATTTCCTTTCAGTTTCTACTCTCTTCCAAAATATAGACAAATATAACTGATATTTTTTCTATTTTTTTCCCTCAAATGTATGAGTAGTATTGGATCTACTATTAATGTGCTTTCCAAGGTTGAAAATCTTTGCTTTAATAGGCCTAAACTACAGTCCAGTTCCATTTAATGCACATCTCTATAGCCTTATTCTGGTCAGTTTAATAGCTATTTTCAGAAGTATACAGTAATTTGGATCCAAAGATATAAGCAAATGGAAATCTGACTTGTAACATACTCTAGCTTGGGAGATTCTCCACAAATTAATTACCCTTGACTTTAATTAATGTAACCCCCAAGTAAATATAACTTAATATCCAACCTATAAAATATATTCCATTAAATCATAATAGTCTACTGGCATGCCAAATTTTTTTAACAGTGTTCATTTTTCATGCTTGTGAAGTAGATAAAATTGCATTGTATATCTTGAAATTTGGACTTCTCTTAGTGTTTATCTTCCTCTTACTGTTTATCTTCCTCTTAGTAAGAATGCAGCTTCCTCTCAGGGTAAAATCAGTATTGTTTTTGAATTTCCTTATCTGTTTATTTTCTTGATATTTTGGCAATTAATATCTTACCCTCATGCTAAAGTTCAATTCAAAGTATCAGAAATGTAAGAATCCCCCCACTATTCAATGAATCATCCTCTGAGGTTGTATTCTTTAGGTAAATGCAAGTTGTCTGCTTTTCACTGACATGATTATGCCAAATCTTACACAAATATTCCCAAACAGCATGATAAGCACACATATTATCAAAGGTATGGGAGGAGGAGAAACTATCATTTTGAAGACCAGTCCCTGTGGTAAAAATTTGATTGTGCAGGAAATGTGATTGGCACATCACATCTCCGACCTTGTTCATTTTTCAGTGAACCATGAATCTCAGAATATTAAATAAATAAGACTTTATATGTGATTTCACTCTCAAAAACTAAGAACAAGCAAAAACAACACAATAATAATAAACTCATACAAATACTCCTATATTTTATAATTTGGATTGCACTTGTTACTACAAAACTCTGCAGGTTTATTTCTTTGACAACACAAAATAAATGTGAATTTGGAACTTATGGGTTGAACTGTTAAAATATTGTGAACTATGCACAAACTGTGTATATGATGTAGAACTGAATAGTTTGCCCCATTATGAAATTTGTAATGTGATAGTAGACACTAGACACCTAACAAGAATTAATTTATTTAAAAAAAGGAAAATTACCTGTGGATATTTACAAACTTGTCTTTAGATTTTCAAAACATATTCTCTAAAGCTTTTCTCCTTTTATAACAATTTTAAACACACGTTCTGTAAGCTTTTCCTCTTTCATTACCATTAAATGGGACAGAAAGAGAGACTGGATGTAACTAAACTGAAAAGGAAAGTGGCAGATGACTCAAATAGGAGAAAATTTTAAAAAGGTTAAAATTATAGAAACACTCATTTGCTATAGATGTCATTAAAATTGTATATCAAAATATTTATGTGCCTCCTTTATCGAAAACATAAAAGCCTACCAGCTATACAAAATTGATAGTATGAAATAGGTTTCTCTCTCTGACATCACCCAGGATATTTTATTTACCTTATATATTTCCTTAAAAGAGAGTGAAATTACAAACCATTTTACCATAGGAATTTTAGGAAGATAATTTTTCATCTTTTCTGTATGGCAGTATTAAAAATCCAAATAGTAAAAATTTACAGAATGGCTTATTCTATTATGCCTTTTGCTGAATTTCTTCATTATTTATTAGTTTGTTTTTCAACTTATCCAAGGCTTTCAGTTGTTGTAGCCTCTGGGAAATATCCTCATATTATAAAATCCACATACAATTTAGAGTGATTGACAGGCTCCAATGAGGAGGGATCAAAACTGGACCAGCAGGGGCATTACATGTCAAAGAAGGTGCACAAACATATCCCAGAGATGCATAGAATTTCTTTATATATGTTTTACTAGGCATATATTTTGCATCAATGCCTAATTTGCTTAAATCTGGGAAAATATTTCATGCACTGAAAAGAGTAAATAATGAAGTAAAACTGAAAGAGTAAAATACATTGACTAAAAAAGCACAGTTGATGGTAGATGATGTACTGTACTGAAAGCGAATAAAACAACAGAAGATTCTTTCACTATTTCTTGAAAGATAATATGATCCATAATAGAAGACTCTGGACAACCAGGGGATAATGAAAGAAGTTAAATAATAACAGAATAGAATATGTAGAAAAATAATAAGTTTCTTTCTGAGGTTATCATGAAGAAAATTGCAGACAAGATGTCTGGATTAAAAAGAAAGCTTCAAAGAAGCAGCATGAATATTTTCTTTAAAATAAACACATGCAGTTTAAGACAAATGCTGATGGACACAATAAGGACTTCTTGATCATGAAATACATAAATCAAAGTCAAACACAGTTTTCAGAAAAGTTATGAATGCAGATGGCAGTGAGTTGATAAAGTAAAAGCACAAGTCCTTAATTGGTATAAATATTTACAAAATATTTCATATCATCATCCCTGTAGTAATTACATGTGGAGCTGAACAGAATATGTGCAGGACAGTGAAAATTTCTGTGACATTTTTCCTCATTAAGAGCTCACTTCTCTCTTTTAATTCTTTTCAAAAACAGTTTTATGAATACTTTTTTTCAGTTTTAATATAACTTTGTGAACCTTGAATGTGAACCCAAGTACTTTATAACTTACCAGTGTCATCATGCTGTTAAGACTTGCATCTGGAAAACACTTCGTGAGTTTGGGGGCTGTACAGTACCCCTGGACTTACAGTTGGAAAGGGCCCATACCTGAGTTAATGCTCTGCTATTGCTCGGTGGAAATTCTTAATTTTTGAACAAGGGACCCCACATTTTCGCTGTGCACTGGGCTCTGCAAATTATGCAGCCGGTCATGCATGCTTTCCTTCAAAGTTAAAAATCTATTTTGCTCTCTTTTTCCACTTCCCCACAGAGGCACATCTAAGGAAAATTCTATTGCCAGTAAAACTATCTTTAGGATGAATCACTATTACTCTCTCTCTCATTTCCTCTTTGTGGAAAATTTCTGAGGGATATTCTAAAATGTCTACAGATGTGGCATTATATGATTATTGTTGCTGCCTAGGGATTCCTCCTTATTGTTTTTCTCAAGTGTTTTATTGCTATAAATTAAGTTAGGAAACTCAGGGGCAACATAGATTTGTGAGAAAATGATGAACATGATGCTTTAAAATTATTATGGGGCATTCATTGGGAGATTTCTAGAAGGCATTTGGTGAAATGATCTGGAGTTTAGGAGACTGGTTTAGGATAGGAGTCATCAGCCTTTACGTTTTTCATGAAGTCATTTCTGTGAATGTCAGCAGTAAGGTTGAGTGTGTAAATTGAGAAGTTCAAGGCCAGATACCTGGGAAATGCTGACTTAAAGGGTCGCAATGAGAAGTTCATACTAGACAAAAGTAGCATACAGAGGGGTAGAATGAAGGAAAACAAAGTCAAAACTTAGAGAATACAGAAACAAGATTTAGATTTCAACTCCATTATATGTGTCTTATGCTATTGTCAAATTGGGCTGCGTTCCACTTTTTCGAAAGACACTACCCCTGTGTGTTTGCCAGAAATTCACCACTTTTTTATTGTCAAAATTGTCAAAGATCATGCTCAAATATCACTCTTTTTTGCTGTATTTACTGATTCTCAGAGATATTGTGATGCCCCAGAAATTTATTTCTACCTCTCTTTTAATTATTTCTTAGTTTGCCTTGTCATTGAGTTTTGTACTTTTCTTATCTTTTCTATTGCATAACACATGGTTTTTGTGCAAGATTCTTGGGCAAACATCTCTCTACCTCCATCAGAAAGTAATACACATGAGTGTACACATCAGTGTACACATGAGTATGCCCATGAATATTTGTTGAATATAAATAAATTGTTAGAATTGAGCTGAGTCTAGCTGGCTGATTGGCATAGCTGGTGGTTGTGGCCCAAAGCCTTTGAGCACCTATGGGCACTCTAGTCTGAGTCCTAGAGGGGCCAGTCCCACCCAGGAATGGCACCACTGGAGCAGGCACCTTGAGAGGTCTTAACCCTTGCAATATGTCAGTGCCAGGGGAAAACGCATCCCCTCCTCCCCAACCTTAGGCCCAAATTTTCAAGGCTGAGGCCCAGAGTGGGCTTGCCTGCCATAGACTCCCCCTATACTACATAGTCTTCTAGGATCTCTGTGGGGCTCACTGTGGGTGATCTTCCAACTTAGTTGGAACATGGAGCGACATGCAGTAAACAGCAATACCTCACCACAGAATACTGGTTTAGAGAGTGGACAGATTCTGCAGCAGGAAAGGGGTTATGCCTTGATGTTTCAAGTCAGTAGAGGCCTGTTAAATCACACCAAATGACAACAAATCATTGTCCAAGCTGTCCCTGAGGGACAAGGCTAAACCATCCTACAAGTATCTATGTTTGGGACACAGCCTTGTAGCAGATATAGTTGGTCTTGTGGAAATAGATCGAGGTCTGGGGGAAAAAAAGTGGAGGATAGAGATACAGAGGGAAAGACTTTACAGGTTCAGGGCCAACAAGACCAGACTCAGAAGATTGTCATCCAGCACGTGCAGACAGCCCTCACCACCAGCCAGACACACAAAGAAGCAGATTGCTATCCAAGGGCAGCAAGTAGGACAGATCATGGTCTACCAGCCAGTTAATGCAGATGGCAACATTCTCCAGCGAGTCACAGCCACCATCTCAGCAGCCACTTTGACAGTGGCATAGACTTTTCAGACAGCAAGCCAATACCAACACAACCAGCAGTGGGCAAGGAACCATCACTGTAACACTACCAGTGGCAGATTATGTGGTCACTTAAGGAGAGACAGTCATGATGGTGCCTGGGCTGTCTCTGTGACTGCCACCCAAAGAATCTCTCACCTGGAACAGAGATAGAAAGACAGCCTCCCAATGTGAATGTGGATAACAACTAGTGACATCATCTTTGTTAAGAGGATGTAAGCCTGGGCTGAACTAGAGGTACAAGGAACATTCCTAAGGGAAAAAAAAAAAAAAATATATATATATATATATATATATATATATATATCTGCATAATTCGTGGTATGGCATAAAAGTGTGGCAGAGTTGAATGTTTTTTTTTCCCAAAATAAAAGAATAGTCTCCATATGCAGGTTGCAGACCAAGTAAATGCAGCAGCAATGGCATGCAGAATTTGAGTGTTCTCAAACCAGGCCACATGATAGGGATGTATTATTTGTGACTGTGTTCCACTACTCAAGGAAATTGATCAGCTCTTCCAAAAGGACACCCATGATCATATTCTGCTCTTTTCTGCAGGACAGCAACCACTTAGTTTTTAATGACAGGCTCAATATTATAATTGTAGAAACATCTAGAAAAGTGAAATTGTATGCGTTTGTCTTTTCTTTTCAGTTCTGTGCCTATTTCATACTGTAGATAATATTGACAGTTCTTAGATTAGGATAAATCAAAGAACCCATGCCAGCCAAGGAGTACCACATAAGCACTTTTGCTGATGGGTGAAGCCGACCATCCATCTCAGCAGGAGAGAGTAACCTTTTCAACCTAAACCACAGTCAGGGAAGCTACAGTCCACACCTTCCCACAGAAATGTGGTTAGAGGGCATCTCTCTTTCTGGTTGGGTAGCTCAGTCTACCAAACTGCACAGGCATTTAATATTTAGAGATGACTTCCAGAAGAGGAAGTTTGTCTTCAGACATGAAAACAATAAGTCCTCTGAGATACAATAAATACATACATACATGAATTGTTTATCTTAAAGCAGTGATTTTCAAAAATCGCTTTAAGAAACCTCAGTTATATATAAAGAGTTGTTACTTTATAGCAGAGGAGTCCTTTGGCCAGTAATTTTGGTAAATATGTTGCAAACTCAAGCAGGTTTCTAATACTCTAGGACTTATCAAATCTTCTGTTATATTTAAGCTTTGTGAATCTTAGAGAGAGAGATAGAGTGCAACATTTGTCAAAATTATTTAACCATAAAATCAATGTATTCATTTCAACAATCTCATGAAACCAACTTTTCTGTGAAATATGCTTTGGAGAATATGTTAAGATTTAATTCTTTCTTATAGAATACAATATGGATCTATATGATGCTAATTTGGTCATATACATGTAAAAGGAATGACATTTTGTTAATTAAAATTTTTTGGTAAAAATAATTAAAGTGATATTTGATCAGATTTTTATATAGGACTAGTGTTTTCCCTTCGTGTGTGTGTATATATATGTGTGTGTGTGTGTATATATATATACACACTCACACAATATTGTGTATATATACAATATTGCAGCTACTGGTTATTGCAGCATATTTGCTCTGTGAAATCATCACTTTTACTATTTCACATTCTGAGCACATACTCTTCTTGTTCTTTTTTTCTTTGTCTTCCAATTCATTATTTGTGTTCTCTGATTTCATTAAGAGTTCTTATTTTTGATCTAGTTATCTCCCTCTCTATCAGGGCACCCTCTATTTCTATCTGTATTAACCCTCTGAAAACAGGAATACACAGAGGCCACTCCAAACATGGACATTTGCAATGCCTAGAACATTGTGCCAGTGGATATGTGAATGAATTATTCCCTGTCCCCCACCTGCACATTATTCCGTTTTCTTGCTCATTGCCACTGTATCAGAAGGGCCTTTCTTTACTCCTAACCATATTAGCACCATCTTGTCACATGTCTTTCCCTACCTCTTATGATCTAGATCATTAATTCTGGAGTTTTAATTTTAAGGTATACTATATGGGAAAAGGAGGCACCTCAGGAGTTCATGAGAAATAGCATGAAAAGCTTGGGATGCTTATTCCATGGAACTTAAGACATTTGCTGAGGTTCCAGAGTATTATCAAAAAATTTAAGAAGAAAAATCAGATTTTTAATACAAAGAGCACATCATAGATGTGGTTTGTAGTTTGTAGACAAAAAATAAAAAAATAAATAAAGAACAATTAAAAGGCAACACTGAATTTTAGGATATAAATTATAAGTACTTGAAAAAAAAAGCAATGTTGTTTTATTTTGTCCAGTGCAATTTACATAATTGATTGGCTACCCAGGGTCCATTTTCCTTTTGCATTATTCTACCCCACCCATCCACTCCATGTGCTGTGGAGAAGGTAGACCACATCCCCAGCTGGGAAGAGAGGGCAGAGTTGATTTAAATTAATCCATATTTTGTATCCCATTGGGCAGGCCTTGATTAAATAGTGGACAAAAATAAAATTACTTTTAATTCTTGCTGGGAATCCTAGATCTAAAGGGCTCTGCCTCTAGGCATATATGAGACCCAGAATTGTTGTAACCATTAGATAACACACTAAAAAAAATTATCATGCACAGTTAAAAAATCACAGACAAATACAGCAAAATCATGACTGAACCATGACGTTTCACAACTCTACTTATAACTTAAGCCACTTTGTACTGAGCATTGGTTACTTCCAGCAGAAACCATCCTAAATGATAATACAAATATATTGGAATCATCTAATACAAATATATATAGAATCATCTAACTGATTCATAATCACTTCTAAACCATTGTTTATATCTCCTTTTAGAAGATCTTGTCTGTTTTTGCCCGAAGTGGACAGATCACAAGGTCAGGAGTTTAAGAACGTCCTGGGCAACATGATGAAACCCTTTCTCCACTAAAACCACAAAAATTAGCTGGGTGTGGTGGCACGTGCCTGTAAACCCAGCTACTTGGGAGGCTGAGGCACGAGAATCGCTTGAACTCAGGAGGTGGAGGTTGCAGTGAGCCGAGATCGCGCCACTGCACTCCAGCCTGGAGACAGAGCAAGCCTCTGTCTCGAAAAAAAAAAAAAAAGAAAAGAAAGAAAAGAAAATAATTATTATATTTTACAGGTCTGTGAAACTGAATAAGGCAAGTTTAGGCAGAACGAGAAGAATTAACTTTCAATGTCCTTGCTTTAGCCTCTTTTATCAGACCTTTAAAGTTATTTTTATATTGCTTTGGTACTTATTTCTTTTACAGCATTTGAAAATGTATTTGTCTGTCAGGGCCTGGAGAGAATTATAGAGAAGGCTGACAGATGATTCTGTCATCACTCTAAATGTCATTAGCCTGCCAGTTTTCTCCAGAGCAAATGAAAGTACTTATATAAACAGGAAAAAATTGGATGGCAATATAAATATTTTCATAGTGATTTAATAATATCTAGTCACTTAACAAATAATGTTATCTACATGCTGTATATTTAATACATAAATTAATATGAACGTTAACTGGCAGTGTTTATTTTTTCTATGTTCCATCATGAAGATATTAACAATAAATAATTGGGATAGCACATGAGCATAAAATACATTTTTTTTCAAAACCTATGCTGGATGACACATAATGTTAATTAGAAATGTTAAAAAACAGAGAGCTGGCACTCTAACTTTCCAGTTAAGCATTTCACCACTTTAAAATATATAGCTATCCTATTTATCATGGCACACAAGTACCAAAACCTTTTTTAATTGATAATAATCTATCTAATGTCCAGCTTAGACATGTTTTTCTTATTTTCTTTTTTCTTCATGCAGTTGTGCTGTATATTATTGCAATTTCTTGAAAAAGCTACACATTATCATATCTTTTTGCATTTATTTGTGTGTCTTCTTCTGCTTGAAAAGTTTTTTATTTCCCACCTAATCTAACTGGTGAACTGTTTTTCATCTACCAACCTTAGCCCATATTTTACTTTAATGAAGTCTCTATTGAGTCCCACAGGTGGCAGAAGTAATAGACTCCTTCCTGTAACATTTAATGAGATGGTAACTGTATATGAACAAGTATTCTGACCAATAGTGTTCCCACAGCACTTTGTATAGATCACCATTATAATGCTCATTATCAGCAGCTAATTTACCATAATGTGAATAAAATGTAAGATTCACAGCCCCTCAATTTTATAGGCATCTTTGAAGTGCCTATAGATGGTTTCCTATTTGTATTCAGTACCATTTTTCGTAAAGAGCGTCTCCCAAGTAGTATATTTCAAACATAGATACACAGTTATTCCTCACATTGCCTCACAGTTATCCATCATTCTAGTCTGAGCGATTGTCAAGGATAAATTTCTTGTCTTAAGCATGCTTATTTCTTTAGTGATTATCACTCTGTTTATACAGCATTCAATAAGGATCTATTGAACAAGTCATATCACTGAACTCATGATGGAATTGGATATGCAATGAACCAAAAAAAAGAGAGGCAGAAAATTTCTTTAGGAGAAAAAAAAGAAAGAAAAAAGAAAAGTTGATTGATATACTTACTTGCCACACCTGGAAGACAGAATTAGAAAGTTTCCATGTCAGCCTATATAGGTGTGTAGCCAAGTTGAGCAATCAGCAAGTGTTTTAAAAGAGCAGGTTAAATTTTTGAAATAAAAAAGGAAATTATATTGGTGGGTTTGTTGTTCCAGCTGTGTAGTTGTGATTAGCAGAAAAGGCACTTTTACACATTTTCAAAATATGGGAAAGCCTTCTATAGAAGTTATTAGGTTATTCCTTGGGGAAACCAGGAAGAGTGATTTCTGTTACTTTGACATTACTTCATCCATACCTGTAATCTGCTCTGGGAATCAAGTTATAAATTAGGCCTTAGTCTCAACAATTAGCCCTATACTTGTATTTGTAGTGAAGGAAAAATTATCTATCTTTGCCTTGTAAATATTTGAAGGTCAAGCTCAGTTGACCTAGAAATAACCTCTAGAACATATAGTGATGGAGAACTTGATAATTTAACATTTTAGAAAAGATATTACACAAGTATTAGTTGTTTGATCTTACATCCTCTAGAAATGTTTACTCAAGTTTCAGTGATAGGAAATAAAGTGAATTTCATATTATTTTATTTTATTAACTTTTATTTTAAGTTCAGAGGTGCACATGCAGGTTTGTTACATAGATAAACTTGTGTCATGGGGGTTTGTTATACAAGTTATTGCATTACTCAGGTATTAAGCCTAGTACCCATTAGTTATTTTTCCTGATCCTCTCCCTCCACCCACCCTACATCCTCCAATAGGCTCCAGTGTTTGTTGTTCCCCTCTATGTGTCCACGTATTCTCATGATTTAGCACTCACTTATAAGTGAGAACATGCAGTATTTGATTTTCTGTTCCAGCATTAGTTTGACAAGGATCATGGCCTCCCTCTCCAACCATATCCCTGCAAAGGACATGATCTCATTCTTTTTTCTGGCTTCATAGTATTCCATCATGTGTATGTACTACATTTTCAATGAAAGTGCCCATTGTATTACTCTTCATTTCTCTTATTTCCTACTCTTCAGCCACTTTTTCTCTTAGCACATTCTTTTAAGGTTTTATTTCTTCCTATACAACACACCAGTTAAACTAGAAGAAAAGAAAAATCTTAACAATTAATATTATTATACTTAAATGAATTATTTTTATGATGTTTTAAATTAAATCATCTGTTTTAACCTAATTGTTCTTGTATACTCGTATCTTCATTTTGTGCTAAATTCTGGTTTTTGCTTTTTTATTTTTTATTTTTATTTCAATAGTTTTTGAAATACAGATGGTTTTTGGTTACATGAATAAGTTATTTAGTGGTGATTTCTGAGATTTTGTTGCACTCATCACCCAAGTAGTGTACACTGTGCCCAAGATGTAGTCTTTCATTCCCTACCTGCCTCCCACCCTTCCCCCTCATTACCCAAAGTCCATTATATCGTTCTTTTTGCCTTTGCATCTTCATAGCTTAGCTCTCACTTACAAGTGAGAACATACAATATTTGCTTTTCCATTCCTGAGTTACTTCACTTAAAAAATGGTGTCCAGTTCCATCCAGGTTGCTGCAAAGGCTATAATATTCTGTTTTATGGTTGAGTAGTATTCCATGGTGTATATATACCACGTTTTATTTATGTACTCATTGGTTCATAGGCATTTATGTTGCTTCCCTACTTTTGCAATTGCAAATAGTGCTGCTCTAAAAATGCATGTGCGTGTGTCTTTTTCATATAATGTTATATTTTCCTTTGGGTAGATACCGAGTAGAGAGATTGCTGGATAAAATGGTAGTTCTACTTTGAGTTCTGTACAGAATCTCCATACTGTTTTCCATAGTATTTGCCCTAGTTTATATCCCACCTGCCGTGTAAAAGTGTTCTCTTTTCACCACATCCATGAAAACATTTATTTTTTTTTATTTTTTATTATGGCCGTTCTTGTTGAAGTAAGATCTTATCTCATTTTTATTTTAATTTGCATTTCCCTGATAATTAGTGATGTTGAGCATTTTTTCTTATGTTTGTTGGCAGTTTGTATATCTTCCTTTGAGAGTTGTCTATTTATGTTCTTTGCTCACTTTTTGATGGGATTATTTGTTTTTTTCTTGCTGATTTGGTTGAATTCCTTGTAGATTCTGGATATGCATAGTTTGCAAATATTTTCTTGCACTCTATGAGTTTTCTGTTTACTCTGCTGACTTTTTCTTATGCTGTGCAATAGGTTTTTAGTTTAATTAGGTCCCATTTATTTATTTTTGGTTTTGTCGCATTTACTTTTGGGTTCTTAGTCATGAATTAGGTGCCTAAACCAATGTCTAGAAGAATTTTTCTAATGTTATCTTTTAGAATTTTTATAATTTCAGGTCTTAGATTTAAGTCTTTGATCCATTTTGAGTTGATTTTTGTGTAAGGTGAGAGGTGGGGACCCAGTTTCATTCTCCTATATGTGGCTTGACAGTTTTCCCAGCACCATTTATTAAATTGGTGTCCTTTCTCCACTTTATGTTTTTGTATGCTTTGTTGAAGATAAGTTAGCTGTAAGTATTTAGCTTTTTTTCTGGGCTCTCTATTCTGTTCCATTAATCTTTGTGCCTATTTTTATACCAATATCATGCTGTTTTGGTAGCTCTAGCCTTGTAGTATAATTTGAAGTTGGGTAATGTGATGTTTCCAGATTTGTTCTCTTTGCTTAGTATTGCTTTGGCTGTATAGGCTCTTTCTGGATTCCAAATGAATTTTAGAATTTTTTTTTCTAGTTCTGTGAATAATAATTATGATACTTTGATGGGAATTGTTTTGAATCTGTTGAATGCTTTGGGCAGTATTGTCATTTTCACATAAATTCTGCTTATTAACAAACATTTTTCTCAATAAATGAAGAAATTTAGAAATTAGGGCAAGTCTCATATTATTTCATTATTTATTAAAATATGTCTTTGTTGTCTTCTTAATGATGATTTATGATATATGTATACACACACCCAAACACACACATTTAACCCTTGAACAACACAGGGGTTAGGAGTGCTGATCCCCATGCCATTAGAAATTCACAAATAACTTTTGACTCTCCCAAAACTTAACTGCTGATACCCTACTGTTGGCCAGAAGCCTTACAGATAACATAAGCAGTCAAGTAATGCATACTTTTTGTGTTACATGTATCGTATGCTGTATTTCTACACTAAAGCAAACTAGAGAAAAGAAAATTGTATCAAGAAAATAATAAGGAAGCAAAAATATATTTACTATTCATCAAATTGAAGTGGATTATCAGAAAACTCTTCATCCTTGCCGTCTTCAACTTTGATAGGCTGAGAAAAAGGAGGAAGAAGAGGGGTTGGTGTTGTCTCAGGAGTGGTAGAGTTGGAAGAAAATTTGCATACAGGTGAATCTAAACAGTTCAAACCTGTATTACTCCTGTTGTTCAAGGGTCAGCTATGTGTGTGTGTGTGTGTATGTGTGTGTGTGTGTTTGTGTGTGTTTTATTTTCTTAGGTCTTAGACAATGAAATGAATGGAAACATAAGCCTGAACATAGGAGAACAGGCAGATTTTCCATTATTACTCTCCCCTATAATGTATTAATAATATGCTTCAACAATCTTAATTGCTTCAATGACCTTCTTAATTTAACAGATTCAACCTTCTCCGTTTGTAATTTTACCAGAGTAATTGGATAAGTAGGCATTGCATGTACCTAAACAAATTAGGCATTTTAATAAAACCTCATTATTCACAGCTCATTAGACAAAAAGTCAGATTTTTTATTATTTTCAATCATACTATAGAGTAAGGTTCAATATTAAACACCATACTTTGTGTTTTAGATTTAAGTTGTTCACAACATAAATTTCAAGTCAATTCTAAACTAGTGATAAGACATTTATATTGTATTGAAAGGTATCATTTTAAATTTTCTGTGTGTGAAAGAATTTAAGATGCAGTTGATAGAAACTAGGTAGCAGAACTAAGGAGAATTTGTTTTTTTTACCCTTTCTATTTTATTTGCATGCAAAATTGTATGAGTTTCATGCATTCTGGTTTGGTTGTCACGAGTGGTTCATGTTTCTAGAGCAAGATGGCCTTCATATTTCCTTCAGCCTGACTAAACTTTAGATAGGTTTAGAACTGACTCTAGGCCCATAACCTTTCTATTCTTAGAGCACTTACCTTAGAAAACTTGTGAATTATTTCTTTGCCTCTTTGAAATGTAAACCATTTTACAAGCTTCTCACTGGTTTTACAAACCAGAAATGTCTTTCTCAGGAACCTTGGAACTATCTTTTTAAAATGCAATCAACAAAAAAGAAAGAAACCCTATATTCCTATTTTTGTTGAATATTAGGAGCCTAACTTTGATAGCCATCTTGCCCCAAGTTGTAAAACTATATCTTGTCATGAAGATATGAAAAGTTTGCTTACACAGATGGCTTAAGACTCCCCTCTTTCCTCTCTTCAGCTCTGAAGAATCCTTCTGCTTTGTTTCAGTAGAGTTTAACTCAGACTGAGAACTGGCATCTGGCTTCTATTTCAATAACTTTAAATAAAGTCTTCCTCATCTGTTTTTGCCTGGTGTAATTTTTGTTTTGACATCATAAATTATTTATATGCTTTCATGGTTTATTTTTATATAAGCTCTTGTATCTTTACATGAGTGTTGTTATTTAATACAGAATATAATTTAATACTCCTTTAAATAATTTCATTTGATATATGAACTTCCCACAGGTAGTGATAAAATGTAGCATACCTGTATAATCCCTTTCTCTGTATCACCTGTTGTAAAGATTATCACACAGAAAGCTTAACAAATCTAGGAATTGGTCAACTTCAAATAATAAAAGTTTTTATTAAAAAAATTACTGTTGTGAAAAAAATTCAATAATTGTAATGCTTTTGAAAAGTGATACCACCATGAAACTGTAAATAAGGCTACATGGAAATATAATTTCAGGTCATGCTGCCCTCCGTCTTCCCCCAATTAAAATAAATAAAACTGATCAAAGCAATACTTGAAATGATTGTGAATGCATTTTTAAACATGGAAATAGTTAAAGGGATGGAGCTTAAACTATTCAATATTGCAGTCTTTACCCGATGCATCTATACTAAGGATTCAAGCAAGTTTGGAAATCTAGAGGACTATTAGACTCTTGCACTTTCAATGGCAGGTAACCAAAGCTCATCTCAAACTGGCTCATGTAATACAAAGGACCAGGAATAACTCTGGCTTGAGCTGAGCAGCATCCACTGCTGAAATTATATTTTCAGAATAGTTTTCCTCTCTCCCTCTCTTGGTTTTGTCTCCCTATGTTGGCTTTAGTCTTAGGAAGTCTCTCTCTTATTGGCAAAATGCATTCTGAAGCTCACGTTCCCTCACATAAGCAATTCCCCACCTGCCTCTGTGTCCTAAACTAGAATATCAATTTCCTAGTATGTTACTCTAATACAAGCCATCCGTTTGAGTCTTTGTGGACAGGCTTAGATCAAAAGCAATCCCTAAATGAATCAATGTAGTGGGAGAAATGGAGTATCTTTTTTATTTTATTTTATTATTATTATACTTTAAGTTTTAGGGTACATGTGCACAATGTGCAGGTTTGTTACAGTGTCTTGCCTGGAATATATGCTTGTTCCTGTGTCCTGGGGGTGGATTACTTCCTAACAAGTCACAGGAACTTAGAGAGAAAATATGTAGCTATACATTACAAGAAATAACAACTTATGCTCTCCCTTTGCATTTTGCACTGAAGAACTTCATGAGGAGAAAATTCTCTCTGAGGAAAGACTTGGTGAAGGCACTTGAGCTGACTCACATCAATGGTTATATTTCTCAAAGTTAGACTCATACTTGGTACCACTGTTGCTAGTATTGTCTATTTAGGTTATCCTCTTAAAAACCCTCAAAATTCTTCACATAATAAGGGCATTGGGAGCTACAATAAATAAAATAAAAAATATAAATTGAGAATTCTCTATCTCTCTCTGAAATATTTATAGAAATTGCAGACATAAATCCTTTGATTTGTGTATATTTACTGGCTTTCAATGGTGTTGTAGTCACACCAATGGGCAATAGAATAATAACAATAATAAAACAACAAAGTAGATATGATCCCTGACTGCATGGACTCTGCATTCTACAGAAGAGATCGATAACAAACAATTAAAAGGTTAAGAAAAACTTTCATTGAGATGGTTAAGCTTTTACAGTGTTGGACTATTGGTTGCACATGGGATTACTAAAAGAAATGGGGAATCAGCAGAAATCATATTTAACATGGAAAGGCTAAAGGCATTGCCACACATTCTGAAATTTAGCAAACTCTGCATAAACAAGAGAAAAATAAATGAAAAACGGCAAATGCTACATTGTAGCCAGAACAATTGTTTGTTCATGGCTTAATTGAAAGAACTTGAGGGAGGGAAAAGTGATGGCAAATTTATGGTAAGGGGATGAGACAGTGCAATGCTGTTTTGTATAATTGTATTTGAAAATATGTGGCAGCTTTGAAACGAGCTATTACAGACTAGGGAAAATTAAAAGTTACTTTCTGTTAAAAGATAATACTTCCTTAGAATAATGTATTTAACACTTATATTGAAATTAAATCTTTTCCACTCATTCTCTTTATGTCTCTCCCTCCTCCTTTTCCCTTTGTTTTTTTCTTTTTCTCTCATTTCTTTCATTTTTCACTTTCTATATTTCCCCAAAGGAATTTTATTAGTATTGGTGACTACTAAGTATTATACAGATTAGCTCTAATCTCTGTATCTGCTAACATAACATGTAAATAATCGATACAAGGATGGAGGTGCACACTATGTAAACTATTGATAATAGGAGTAACAACGTGACATAGAAAGCAAAAAAAAATCAAATTAATAGCTGAGTAAAACCATGAATATGTATTTCTGAAGCATGAGTTTGAGGAAAACTGTAATGCGCTTGACATGTATGGAAAATCTGTGACTTAGATCTTAGCATCATTAGTCAGGTAAAAAAAAGAAAAAAACATGACAAGCCAAATCAAAGACAACCAAAACTACAAGTCTGGAAGTAAAGCAGGAAAAAAAAATGTCCCCTTGCCTCCTTCCAACACACCTTTAAGGAAATAGTGCCCTGAGAAATGGTTCACTCACTTCAAGGATAAAAAGGAGATGGAGATGGTAAAAGTTCACTAAATCACTGGTGTGCTAAATGATGACAATTAATTGAACTCAAATCAAAAGAATATAGGTTTCATTACAGTAGATTTTTGAAGCTGGTACTGTATAATTAATAGTTTAATACATTTTGAACTTTGTTAATTTCTCCATAATATTTTTGAAATGTTAGGAACTTAATTGCAATTGTTTATTTGAACACTGACTTTCTTCCTTGCTTGTTAGAAAGGCGATACTGCTCATTGAAGGGTTCACTGCATCCTTAATTTTTACTTATGTCAACCACAGAAAGGCCTACAGATGATTTTGAGTTTATTTACACAAACCATTCAAGTAGTCAAATCTCTCTGTGAATCTCTTTTATCACATAGAATCCCCCTGCAATTATAAAGATACTACATATTCTTTGTTACTCTTGCCCTTGACTTTCTTTTTTTGTTTTTGATGAAATGAGTGAACACTCAGCACTTCTTCCTAAAATTACCCATACCTCCCACAGCATTAAGTTTTAAAATTAATAAAAAGACAACTGCATGTACTCCAAGTCTATCAGACTGTAAAAATTGTATCACTGTGATGGGTCATAAATATTAGAATTTATTCTATTATATTATAATTCTTTTGATGAATAACAAATTACCAATACAAATAATGAGTAGGTCTGGGAACAGCTTTTTTTATAACAAGAAAGAAAGGGACTTGTTAGATAGTTTTCACTTTGAACACATCACACACTTAAAGTATAAACAGAAAAGATTTTAACCATGATACAAGTCCCTGACTGAGTATTGTAGTTCATTTTGACAGAGGAAAACATTTCGGTGGACACGTGAAATTTTACAAGCATGTCTCGGAATAATTAAATCTCTTAAAAACATTTTTTTATGATCTGCTTTATGAAAAGTTAAATTTCAATACAATTTATATGAAAAATCATTTTAGCCTAACTTCCCACTAATAGTATTTCAGGGAATAATTTTAGAAATAACGAAACACTCAGTGCCACTGGTACTGAATTTTGGCATATTCTGAAATACTTAAGACAACCATCATTTAACTAGGATAATTGTTAGTATCTCTGGAAATAATCTTTTGTAGAGATATCATCATGTCAGTAAATCATTGCTGTTTCCTTTGTTTTGGTTCCATCTGTCTACTAAAGCTTGTATGATACAATCCCTATGGACTTTATTATAGTAGGAGAAACTTATTTATATATTAGAATACTGTACCTATGTGCTGAAAACTATGTGAAGATGGTAAGTAAAAGTATTAGAGACAATGTTAATATTGTTCAGAACATATATTTTTAAGCATTCTTTATGTAGAGATGAAAGTAAATAAAATGATTTTATTAGTAATTCAATGAAATTTATTCTTGTTTTTGAACAGAGTTATGGGAAGAGCAAGGGGAAGCTTGGCAAGTTTAGGTAGTCTTATTCAATATTATGTTTTCAAGTTTAAGGGCAAATACGAATTAAAAATAACACCCTTAATTCTCCTAATTGGAAATAAGGGAAGAAATTTTCATCTCCTCTGTTTTGTTTTTAATTGTAATTGCAAGTACTTCATCCTTTTTTTGAAATGTATACAAATTCTTTTCAAAACTAGATAGCACTATTGAAAACCGAATAGATCTTTCGTCAGCTTTATGCCCTGGGAATGTCTTTTTCATGGACCTATACTAGCAAGGAAGATAGCACTTCTTTTTCCCAATTTCTGTCGGAGCATAGGAGCCTAACTGTAGTGGAAGCCTCGATCCAAGTGGCAAAGCTACCTGCCACCTGTCATAAAGATATGAGAAGTGTAATTTTCCTCTGGACAAAAAACAATAAGCTAACACAAATGGTCAACCCAATTACTACATTGAATGTAGGATGAACTACTTGTGACAAATGGTGCTATCAAGTCCTCTTACTTGAAGGCTAATTTATTGTTTATCTTCAAAGCATGCATGTAAAAAGTTGTATCTGCTTGGCTACAAAATGGTGAGATTTCTTTATCTTTGTAATCTCCTAGTGGATTGTCTGAATGCACATTAAAGTTTGATTTAATGCTTATTCGATAATAAAACTTTTTTTTCTCTATTACCTTTGTGGAATTGTTTTCTTGGTTGGGAGATTTTGCTATTATTTTACTAAAAGAGGTCATTATTAACATTTTTTTCTCCCCTCCCCCCCATGATTTGTTTAAGGATAAAGAGGTATGAAGGGATCACTGTGGATAAATATATTAACTATAATTTATTAACATTTACAGAAGCAGTAACAACAGTAACATGGAGAGAGAGATGTATCATAAATATCTTTTATAGAACAATTGTAATACAGTTTTGAGTTTCACCTGTAAAGTTCTTCAGTCTTTATTAAAGAGATTTTTCCCCCTATGGAATGGCATGTTAGAATCAAGGTAAACTCTTGAACAAGTTTCCTATATCACATTTTAGGGATATTATTATTTCTTTGAGAGGTTATTCCTAGTAGTATTATAGTCTTGGCTATCAGCTTTGAAAGCCCACATGTAATTTCTGGCCAAACCTGCAATGCCTGATGATTTGCAGATACCCCATATACCCTGCAAATAATCTGTGCAAAACAATTTCCTAGGAGACTACTTCCCAAGAAACAGAGTGATTTTCTCATAAGAAGTACATCCTAGGTGACTGAAAATTCAATAAGACCCCTCAAATTTACGAGACTATTGTCAGGTCTAATACATCTAATATAGTCTAAGATTGAATAGAGTAAATAAAAGATTGAACAAAGAACCCAATGATAACACAGATATTAAGTTCATCGTATTATATTAAAAATAGTATATTCAGTTCTGCAAAACATATTTTAAAAGACATTTCAAAATGAACTTTTATAACTTTAGTTCTTCCAAAACAGAACTGATAAGATAGTGAGAAATTCTAAAACTATGTCACCTGAAGGACTGCCTTTTTACTCCATCTTAAAATTTTTATCATGTACCATTTGCAAATGATATAAGGAATATTAATATAAGTATGTTAAAGGTATTTTTCCCTTTAGAGGCTTTTCAATGCAGTAGAATGGATAAGACATATTCACAAATGTTTGTGTATAAGTAGATTTATTGTAGAAGCCAAAATGCTCTTCTAGTAATTTATCTTTCAGTCACATTCTCTATGCCTCCTGAAGACAAATAAAGGGTGGGGGGAGGCAGTTCGTAACGTCCTTGTGAGCTAATCATTTGATTTAATAAATATAACTGGAAAGAAAGAGAGTATATTAATTTCAACATCTCCAGTGGATCAGGCACAGCATAATATCACACTGTATATTCAGATAGAGCTAATACAAGCTGTAGTAAAAGTAATCCTGAAATACCAGTGACTAAACAAAATGAAAGTTTACATCTCATTAACATGAAACTTTCAGTTTTTTTTAAGACTTACTTTGGAATCTATCCCTCATGTAGTAGCTCACTATCTGTCTCTATCCATGACATCTATATCATGGAAAACTTACTTGAATTAGATGTGGATCGAAGTTTGAAATGGTTTCCCAAAAGATTTGTATTATTTAGTAAATAGGTTGCAATTATTAAACTACTAGTAACTGACTCCATATTTCTGAATATTTTAAGATTTTAAAAAGCATCATTATAGAACAAAAAGTGCAATAGCAAAACCATTGCTATTATAAGTTCATTAAATCTTTACTATTTAAGTGAAGAATAAAATAATAGTTATATCAATTAGTTTTAAAAGATCCATTAAAATACACTTTCCTAGAAAATATTTTCTAAAACCAAATTTTCTAATTCATGATTAATATTTAACAGAAAAAAAGTTTTTCTCAGTCTAGAATACAGAAGAAATCAAACTCAGTTTCTTGTATACTCTCACTCAACAATAATAATTAACACAGAAGCCTTCTGTGACTGTATGTGGAAGGGCTTCTCCCCCACATCAAACATGCAATCTATTTTGTAGTGGACACCAGCTGCATGTCCTCTAGTTCATTTCAGATATAATCTACCTGGAGAAGGTGTTAGATTTCACAGGTTGATGGCTGAGTCCCCAAGACTGCTCCCCACCCGAATTCTGATGGCACCAAGTTATTTTGCCTGTGCTTCTGACCAATGGGCTATAAGTCGAGGTATCCACAACCCTCTTCTCAGGTTCAATTAGTTTGCTAGAGCAGCTCACAGAGCTCATGGAAACACTTACTTATATTTGTCAGTTTATAACAAAGAATATTATAAAAGATAGATATGAAGAGATGCATAGGGCTGGGCATGTGAAAAGGGTCAATTGATGAGCTTCTATTCCCTCCCCAAGGCTCCCCCTCCAGTAACCTTCACTGTTCAGCTATCAGGAAGTTCTTTGAACCCTGTCCTGTTGGGCTTCTGATGGAGACTTCATTGGATAAGCATGATTGACAACTGAGAAGAAATGTGATTAAACAAAAAGAGTATGATGTAATACTAATAGACTAAATTGGGAAATCCAGCAAAACCTCTCTGTTCAATTTTTCTTTACATCTCTGTGGAGCATCTCTTCCTCCAGAGTATGGGACAGGACCTCTTCCAAAATGAGGTTCTTATAACCTACAATCAGACAAGGTATGTCAAAGAGTTTCCCTGTGGCCAGAAGCAAAAAAAGATTAAAATGTGTTTTTCATTTCTAAGGCCTGCCTTCACCTGCTAAGGAGCAAATGAAAGGAAGTCAGCAAAAGGGCAGAGAGGAAGATTGTTTTCTGACACCTGCTTCTGAGCCCTACAGCACCCTGATGTTAATAACAAAATACTGCAAGAAGGGCTGAGTTATATATAATACAATATATTATATATATATTATTACATATGATAGTATCACACTCAGACAGCATTATATTGTTTTCTTTTAAACTAAATTTGAAGTTACTTAACTTCAGCTAGATATCAAATTAAAATTTTTACTTAAACACTTACTAAACATGAACATATATATGCTTTTATTTATGTTTTTTATTTCCCGTCAACCAGAAAGTTGGAAGCATTTAATGAGAACATTATCTACTAAGCCATTTAGGCTCACACTAGCTACCTTTGTATCAGCTATAACTTGAGTTTGTTTTCTGACCATCTCATCTCCCATGGGCTATAACTTTTAGCCCATTATGAAGACTGCTTCTGCGCTTGCTGATCTAATACTCATTTATGTTATCCATGATTCAGCTTGGCTTAATTTTGCTAGCAAAAACTTGCAAGGACAAATTTGTAACAAAGGCCCAGATACACATACTCTGTGGAAGGAATATAATCCGTTTATACATAAATGAATTTCAATATTAAGAGATTGGCCTACATAAGGAAATTAAAAGCCTGAAACTGCTTGACTGAATAAAATATTTAAAAGTTGAGAGCCCATTAAGTAATCAATGTATTCATTTCTCACACTTCATCACTGTGAGAGTCAGAACAATTGATTCAACATGAGAAAAATGCTCAAAGCTCAAATTTGTCTTCAACTCATTCTGCCTCCCACTTTCTGGATGAAAAATGCTAAAACCCCTGTGCATGAGCTTGAGGGAGCAATAGTAAAATAAAATCTTCATCAATAATGGCAAAAAAGAAAGAAAGGACAGGTAACAAGATAATAGAAATAAATCATGTGGCCATTTAGACAACATTTGTATAATTATTTTATCTACTGTATGATTCCAATTAGAGAACCAAACTCATTAAAGATATTGGAGCAATGCTTTTGAATCAGTATGCTTTTTCTTTGTCCTAGGTTCAAACAATTTCATTCATATGTCACAAAGAACAATCTAATAATCAGTTAAATAATGAATTATAGGAGACTCTTAGAACAAACACATTAGCATGACAGCACAGCATGTCAGGAAATGCTTAAAGAAAACATTTCAATATAATTTTTCCTTTTGCAAATGACAAAGAAAACAGACTATTTACAAGATATTATTTTTTCTTCTAATCAGGTACATACATGATACCTACATGTGCCTCATTTCAAGATCAGTTTTGAGGGAAAGCTGTAACCAGCTATACAATAAAGAAAATTATCTTCAAAGTGGGAGAGTAGGTAAATAAGGCTAAAGAAGAATTGAGGCAGAAAAGAAAAGTGAGTAGTTAATGAAAGAACATCTATATAAGCTCACATATTTAATATTTTGGCTTTGATTTGTTAAATATCAGTGTATTAAAAGAATTCGCAAATGCAAATGCATTCCCAAAGTTTCTATCTTATATTTTTTAGTGGATTATAAGATATGGGAGATATGTACTGGAAACAGAAATTAAAGTTTATTTATGAGTTATAAAACATTTCCTTGCTAAAATAATTTAATGAAATAAACTGCTATTGACACCATTTTCTTAAAGATAGTACATTTTGCCTCTGAAATACAGAAAAGCTACAACTTCAAAGTAAGTCTTACAATAAATACATTTACATTTACAAAAATCTAACCACGTAGTCCTCATATATCTCATTTTTTTCTTTGCACAGTAAGAAAATGTTACTCTTTGGCATTTAGGAATCAGTGGCATACATTGATTTCTAAACTTATTTGACATGCAAGATCTTATAACATTTCGAGGGATCTGTATTCCATGGGACACATTTTGGAAAACATTTCTCTTGACAATGTTTCATTAAATTTTGTGATCAATTACTGTTACAAAGACACTGAAAACAAGATATTTATCTTGAGAATAATACAACTGGGAGAAAAAAGATACACGGAATAAAATATTTTTTAATACATATGGTAAGATAGATGAAAATCAATAAGGGGAATTTAAAAGTTACATATGTACAGTTATTCATTTAGACTAAAAACAAAACAAACCACAAGAAGATGCGAATTCCTGATTTAAAAAGTTTCATGTAAAGATATTTTCTATAAAAAGTAGAAATAAATAATATAACATATTATGAGGCTCAACCAGGATTCAGTACACCACTAATTATTTGTAAATCATTTTTCAGAAATAGCCACACTTATTCACTTACATATTATCAATGGTCGCTGCTTTCCTGCTACAATAATGGAACTGAGTATTAACAGAGACAATATGGTTCACAAAGCTAAAAATATTTAGTATCTGGCCTTTATTGCAAAATTTTTGCCAATCCCTCTGTTAAACCTAGAGAATACTGTCCTGATCAAAAGAAGTAATGCTCTCTATGTTATTTTTGATGCTCTGAAAACAATGCATTCTTCAGATTTCAGGTGAAAATCACTTTGCCAGTGAAGCACTCCTGACCCCAGATTTATCCAATCCAAATAAAGTTCCTTAAGTATAAGCTATCAGAAAACCCTATTCTTTTTTGTACCAGTATTTACCACAATTATAAATAAACATTCTGATATTATTTAAGTTTTCATTTTCTTCCCCATAAGTCAAAGCTCTATAATAGAAGATATATGGCTATTTTGCTTACCACTCAGTAACTGTTTATTGAGTGAATAAGCAAACAGTAGAAAAAGTAAAAGGAATATATAAAAGTGAAATTAATATAAATGTAATTAACGAAGTAGAAACATTTGCAGTATTTGGAACTATGAGGAGTTGCTGTAATAAAAAAATCATTCTCTCTTGTCATTTATACCTCGATAGGAGAGTAGATGTTGGATACGTGTGATTGAAAAATGTGGTTTAGATCATGGCCAAGCAAATTTGCTAATACTTCATCTCAAAAGTTGAACACACTTCCACATAGAATCATTTGCACAGTTATACAACTATAGGACTGCTACAGAGAAGTAAGCCATTTTTCACATAGAAGGAAGAGGCCAAAGTAAAGATGCTCTGCAGAAGGTATACCTAACAACAAAAACAGCTATTTTCACCAGTCATTTTTTAAACGTCATCAGTCAAATCAGCCCTACTTCCCTCAGAAAAAGTGAGAAAGCAGTAAAAAGACAATGGCTTTATTATACAAAAAATCACTCCAAATGATAAACATTCAACCACAGGGAAATGAGGCCCCCCCTATACTTTGGAGAGTATGTCTGAATATACTTCCTTTTACCCTTTCCTCCATATACTCTGAAGAGATCATATTTAGTTGGTTAAAAGGAGAAAGGACAGGAGAAAGTGGAGTTACACAGCTGAAGAGGACATTCCAATGTTTGCCTCCTGACACAAACAGCAAATTGAACAACTATAGCAGGCGAGAAAGCACCTTCATAAGAACCAGAAAATCAGTTGAGCAACCAAAGTACTTCGTTATAACATCATAACAAGAAAAAAGGCATTGAATAAGGTAAGAAGGACAATTTTGCACTGTCTGCACTACCCCTCCATGAATCCCAGGCAACACAGGGCAGAGAGAGATTGCATGTGCTTCGGAAAGGGAGAGCAAAGGGAGTATGGGACTTTGCATTGGCATTCAGTGCTGCCCTGTCACAGCAGAATGCAATACAGGGCAGAATTCTGCTGGCATCTATGGCAAAAAAACATCTACATCAACCCTGGACCAGAGGAAAATCCGTCTCTCCAGTGACAGAAAATCAAGTTCCAGGTGGCTTCACTACAAGCTGACTAACGTGGCCTGGGGCACCAAATAAATGTGAGTAGCCGTCAGGCAACAGGAACTTCAGTCCTTGGTCAAGCCCTGGTGTTGTTCTGGTCTCAGAGGCAGTGGACATGGGATTTGACTCAGTGTGGCAACAGCTGTGAAGGCCATGAGAGTGCCTGCAGCTCCTCTCCCAACTCCAGGCAATGCAGCTCAAGGAGATTCCTTCCTGTTGGGGAAAATAGAGGGGAAAACAAACAAACAAACAAACAAACCCAGAGGATTCTGTCTTGTAACTATGGACAAGCTCAGCCACAGTAAAATGAAGAATCAGGCAGATTTCTGAAGCTCCCAATCCCAGCCCTTTGCTTTTGGATGGTATTTCTAGTCCTACTCTGGATCAGAAGAGAATCCACTGGATAATGGGATGAACCCACTCCTGGCAAGATTTCACTGCCTGCTAACTAAAGCACCTTTCAGTCTTGATTAAACATCAGCAGCAGTCAGGCAACACTGGCCATAAGCCTTGGGCAAGCCTCAGTACTGTGCTGATCCGGAAGGCTGTGAGCTTCACGTGTGATCCAGGATTGTGCCAGCTACGGTGGCCATGAGAGAGCCCATGTCACTCTTTTCCCAACTCTATGCAATGCAGCACAGAGAGACTCTGTTTGGAAAAAAGGAGAAGAGTGAGAGACTTTGCCTGGTAAACTAAGGAATTCTTTCATCTTATCCAAGTCCACCAAAGCTGTATTTCTAGGAGCCTGTAAGAGTCTCACTGTTCCTGGGCTTAGGGTACCCCCTAGAGCTAAAATGGCTGCAGTGACCACAGGCTTAGGTCACAACACTCAATCCCCTTTGAATTCTTTGAAAGTCCTCTTAAGAAAGATGAATACAAACAAGCCCAGACTGCAAAGATTGGAATAAATACCAAACTCTTCAATGCCCAGATGTAAATGATGATCCACAAACATTAAGAACCTACAGGAAAACATAAGCTTACCAAACAAACTACATAAGACATTAGTGACCAATCTTAGAGAGACAGAGATATACGACATCTCAGATAGAGAATTCAAAATAGTTGTCTTGAAGGAGCTCAACAAACTTTAAGATAACACAGAGAAGAAACTCAGAATTCTATCAGCGAAATGTAACAAAGAAATTAAAATAGTTTTTAAAAATCAAGCAGAAATTCTGGAGCTGATAAATTTGATTGAATAACAAAAATGTATCAGCCTCTCTATAGCAGAACTGGTCAAGCAGAAGAATTAGTGAACTCAAAGACTATATGAAACTACACAGCAAGAGGAGAAAAAGAAACATAGACAAAAAGAATAAAGCATGCCTATAATATCTAGAAAATAGCCTCAAAAGGGCCAATATAAGAATTATTGGCCTTAATCAGGCTGTAGAAAGTGAGTGAGGTAGAAAGTATATTATTAGAAATAACAACAGAAGACTTTCTGAACCTAGAGAAAGGTATGAATATCTAGTTACAAGAAGGTCAAAGAATATCAAGCATATTCAATCCAAATAAGATTACCTCAAGCTATATAATATCTCAAATGTCATGAATAAGGAAAGAATCCTAAAAACAGCAAGAGAAAACAAACAAATAATATAAAAATGAGCTCTGATACATACACTTGGCAAAGTGCTGAAGGGAAACAAAACCAAAAACTTCCAACCCAGAATAGTGAACACAGCAGAGTTATCCTTCAAACATGAAGGAAAAATAATGATGTTCCCAGACAAGAAGGAAGGAAGGAAGGACAGAAGGAAGGAAGGAGAAAGAAAGGAAGGAAGGAAGGAAGGAAGGAAGGAAGGAAGGAAGGAAGGAAGGAAGGAAGGAAGGAAGGGAGAGAGAGAAAGAAAGGAAAGAAAGAAAGAGAAAGAAAGAGAAAAAGAAAAGAAAAGAGAAAAGAAAAGAGAAAGGAAAAAGCTGAAGAAGTATTTAGGGATTTTCTCAGCACCAGATCTGTCTTACAAGAAATGTTAAGGGAGTTCTTCAATCTGAAAGAAAAGGTTGCTACATGCAACTAATAATTATCTGGAGGTGTAAAACTCACTGGTAAAAATAAGTGCACAGACAAATACAAAATAATCTAACACTGTAATTGTGGTGTATAAGTCACTCATATCCTGAGTAGGAAAAAAGATAAACCTATCAATAATAACAACAATTTTAAGTGACATATGATATTTTAAAATATACATAGAAGCAACAAGAAGTCAGAAAGCAGGAAGAATTTAAAGTGTATAGCTTTTTAGTTTTTTTCTTTGCTTATTTTGTTTTTCCTTTCTTTGTGATCACAGTTAAATTGTCATCAGCTTAAAATCATTTGTTATAAGATGTCATTTTTTTTTACTTTGTGGGAACTACAAAACAAAAATCTATAATAAATAAAAAGCAATAAATTAAAACATACTTCCATAGAAAGTCACTTTTATATAAAAGAAGACAAGAAAGAAGGAAAAAAGGGAGTACCAACAACAACAACAAAAAATAGAAAACAAGTAACAATATGGCAGTAGTAAGTTCTTATCTATCAGTAATAACAATGAATATTAAAGGACTAAATTTTCCAATCAAAAGACATCGAGTGGTTGAATGGAGAAAAAATAAAACCCAACTATATGCTGCCTATAAGAAACCCAATTAATCTGTAAAGACACAAATAGACTGAAAATGAAGGAATAAAAAAAGATATTCCATGCAAATTGGAAACAAAAAACAGCAGAAATAGCTATACTTACAAGAGATAAAACACATTTCAAGAAAAATAAACTAAAAAGAGACAAACAAGGTCATTATATAATGACAAAGGAATCAACTTAAAAGGAAGATGAAAATACTGTAAACATATATGTGCTCAACACTGGAACACCCAAATATACAAAGCAAATATTATTAGAGCTAAAGGCAGAGATACACCCTAATATTATAATGACTAGGGACTTCAACACCACAATTTTATCATTGGACAGATCATCTAGATAGAAAATCAGAAAATAATAACAGCTGTTGTATGATATGTTCTATTAATGTCTATTAGACTCATTTGTTCTATAATACCAGTTAAGTTTGATATTTATTTTCTGATTTTCTGTCTGGATGATCTTTACCTTACTACATGGAAAAATCTCCATGATAGACCATATGTCAGCACAGAAAATAAGTCTAAAAATTTTCAAAAAAATTAAAATAATATCATTTCTGATTGCAATGGAATAAAACTAAAAATCAATAATTAAAGAAACTCTGGAAACTATAAACACATAGATATTAAACAATACAGTCCTGAACAATCACTGGATCAATGAAAAAATAAAGAAGAACATTTAAAAAATTTCTTGAAATACCATATGCTAAAACCTATAGGAAACAGAAAAAGCAATATTAAGAGGGAAGTTTATCGCAATAAACATCTACATCAACAAAGTAGAGAAAATCAAATATACAAAATAATGATACTTCTTAAAGAATTATAAAAATGAGAGAAAACTCAACCCAAAATTAGCAGAAGAAAATAAATTATAAAGATCAGAGTAAAAATAAAATTAAAATGAGACTAAAAAATACCATAAAAATGAAACAACAATTGATTTTTTGAAAAAATAAACAAATTGACAAACTTTCAGCCAGGCTAAGAAAGAAGAGACAGGATTCAAACAAATAAAATCAGAGACAAAATAGGAGGCATTACAACTGATACCACAGAAATTAAAAGGATCATTAGAGAGTATTATGAGCAGCTATATGCCAATAAATTGGGTCACCTAGAAGAAATGAAAAACTTCCTAGACACATACAACCTACCAAGAATGAACTATTATTGCGGCACTATTCACAATAGCAAAGACTTGGAACCAACCTAAATGTCCAACAACGATAGACTGGATTAAGAAAACGTGGCACATATACACCATGGAATACTATGCTGCCATAAAAAATGATGAGTTCATGTCCTTTGTAGGGACATGGATGAAACTGGAAACCATCATTCCCAGCAAACTATCGTAAGGACAAAAAAACAAACACCGCATGTTCTCACTCATAGGTGGGAACTGAACAATGAGAACACTTGGACACAGGAAGGGGAACATCACACACTGGGGACTGTTGTGGGGTTGGGGGATGGGGGAGGGATAGCATTAGGAGATATACCTAATGCTAAATGATGAGTTAGTGGGTGTAGCACACCAACATGGCACATGTATACATATGTAACAAACCTGCACATTGTGCACATGTACCCTAAAACTTAAACTTAAAGTATAATAATAATAAAATAAAAAAAGAAAAATAAAAATAAAGAAATCCCAAACCTAAATAGAGCAGTAACAAGTAACAATATGATAGAAAGGGAGAAAACTTTTGCAATCTATCCATCTGACAAAAGTCTAATATCCAGAGTCTACAAGGAACTTAAACAAATTTGCAAGAAAAAAAACAAACAACCATATTAAAAAGTGGACAAAGTGTGTGTGTTTTAGACCTTCTTTGCTTTGTGACTCAGAGTTTATCTTGTATATGTCCAGCCCAAGTCCCAGAATTAGCCATTTCTCTAAGGACATCTGGTGTCTTTTACTGGACAATAGTATTATAAACCAAGATTTTTGTGTTAGGTGAGCCCATTGCCATTGAGTTTTTATTTATTTCATTTCCTTGAACTGGCAGAGGACAGAGATATATGTATGTATACTAAGTCCTGTATAATAACATTTCTATATGTAACCATCTTTATCTACATTAAGCAAAACATGACTTCATACTGTTGTCTTCAACTCTAGTCCATTACCACATGAACCAGTGTAGCCCCTTGCTTATCTCTAAACTACTATTCCAACAGTTAGAAACCTAGCTCTTACCAGCTACCATCCATTTACTTAATTGTTCAATTCCTGTTAACATATTTAGCAGTATCAGCACGCATATTCCCAAAGGAACAAATTTTATTGACTAGAATACTTTGCTTATGTACAATTCCTTTTGCCTTTTGTGTTACAGAACCCACTCATTTTCCAAGTTAATTAGGCCACTACCTTTGCCACCACCTTTTCCATGGATACTGTTTCATGCATTTGTTACTCATTTATAATTTCTTTGTGCACATTCTGCACTTTGTCCTACAATCCTTTGACTTCTTAAATGATGCATCTTAATTTGCAAATATTAAGGTTCCACTCTTTGCTGTGAAGTTAAGTGAGTTTTGTCAAATGTATCATGACATGGATCCATCATTGCAGTATCATACAGAAGAGTCTCACTGTCTAAAAAGCCAGTATTCTCTTCTATTGATTTCTGCCTCCCTCCCCCAAGAAACCCTGGCATTCACGGGAGCAAATGTTGATAATATGTCTGTGGCATTTGCTAGGAATAATAAAGCTTCTTTTTCTCTGAGCCAGGGATCTTCAGTCCTCTACCAGCACCTATGAATGGGTAGCAGGAGAATTTGTTAACTAACAATTATTATAAAATTTAAAATCCCTTCTCTGTCTTGAAAACCAAAGACAAATATTGAATTAAAATGTGTAATAGAAATAAATATGAAACATTTAACAAGTTTTGTAAGAATATACAGAAGTGTATCTTCACAACTTTGAAAAATGTCTTAAAATACGCACATAAATTTAACTATGAAATAAAAAAATGATAACTGCAATTCAATTAAATCTGGAAACTTAATTTCATCAGCAAAATGCAGACTGGGCCTAAGGAAAATTTTATAATTAGTATTGCCAGAAGTAGGTGAGAAAAGCAGAAAATAATTTTTTACTTTATGTCATACACATGGAAAGGAGACAGAAGTGACCTTATTTCCAGGTAGCAGCAAATATAAAATTGCTTTGGGAAGAACCAACACCAAATTAGACTCTGAGATTTCTACAATTCAGTCTCAATCAGTTATGAGATCACAATCTTTTTATTTGGAGTCACTTTAGTTGGTCTCATTAATGTCCTTTAGAGAAAAAAAAAAAAAACAGAATAAACCCTGTATTCAAGAACCTGATATAACATACTGCCTTCAGTTTCATGTCTCTTTATTCTCTTTTAATCTGCAAAAATTTAGTCTTTCATTGACTTTACCTACCTTAATCTTTTTGAAAAAGCACAGGGCGTTATTTTGCAAAATGTTCCCCAATGTGGAGCAGTCTAGCATTTCCTCATGATTATATTACAGTTATGTATTTTTTGACAAGCATGTGATAGAAGTGATGCTGTATTCTGTCTAGTGGATTATATTAAGAAGGCTTTGATATTGGTTTGTCTCATTATTAGATATTAACTTTGGTTACTTGAATTTGGTAGTTTATGCCAGTATTCTAACCTGTAGAGTTACACTTTCTCCTCAGTGTAACTAACATTATTTGCGGAGTGATACTTTATAAACATCTGTATGTTATTATGCATCAAACTTTGTTATTATGCATCACTCATTTCAGCATCCATTGCTAAGTATTGTCTATATTTTAGAAATGCTGATCTTTAAACTTTATTGTTTATTTTACATTATTAATTGACATTAAATTATAAAAAGTTCTTTCTTAAAATATTCAAGCTGACTGTTGTTTTGAAAAGCTAGGTCATATTTTCGCTGTGGCTTTACATTTTCTTTGACACATTGCTTTATAGTTTGGCTTATATGTTTGTTAATTTAAAAATAAATAAATAAGAAAATAATCTAAAACATTTTATGTATGATTTAGTTATATATTGTGTGCATGAATATGTGCCAAATGTTGCACAAATTCTGTTCTATTAAATGTGGCTTCTGATCAAGAGAACTGGCCACTGAAATTCAAACTACAGCACTGAGGTTCCGTCAGCGAACTCATAGATTTCAATTAATTGATCAATAAAAAGATCCCAGTTAAAGAAGCACAAACCTATTATATAATTGGTCTGTCAAATAAAATTGGCTCAAGAGATATAGTTTGATTAAGTGAATTAATTAACCAATTGGTTAATCCAACTATATGTCAGCCCCACATATCTGGGCATCATGAATCATCAAATTCAGATTAAACAACTAATTTATGAATAAATAAAAATATGACACAAACATAATTATCAACTCTGCCAATTTTCTTTAAGGATTGCTAGTTTCTTTTACTTCAATGGGCCATAGTATACTGTGTACAATGATTACTATTTGAATATCATACAGATACACTTGCTTTGAAACTACAGAGAGTGGTACTCTGGTATTTAAACTTCTATCTCAGTACATGTCCATGGTATTTTCTCTATTAAATATTTTACACAAGTCTGGGTAACATAGTGAGATCCCATCTCTACATAAATAAAAATTTTAAAAAATTAACTAGGTGTGGTGGTGCATGCCTGTATTCGCAGTGACTCAGAAGGCTGAGACAGGAGATTTGGTTGAGCCTGAAAGGTCAAGGCCACAATGAGCCATGATCACACCACTGCACTCCAGCCTGAGCAAAAGAGCAAGACCCTGTTTCAATAAATAAACAACCAAAATATTGTACAGCTGTGCCATTGTCATGAGTCAGCCCTTAACAATATATATGAAAAGTGAAAGATGTTAAGAAGTCACACGTACCCAAGCACATGTAAAATGTAATTATCTTATCTTACAGCCCTATCGCTTTATATTTATAGAAAATACCATGCATAAAATGTTGATGTGCAACAAGGTTTAAATGAATAATGTTGCATAAGAAATCACTTTGGAGCGTATAAACGCATTTTAAATTTTTTAAGTTTTTTTTGCTTTAAAATGCATTTAAAATTTTTTTCTCTAAACTCAGAACATAGCCTTGAAATGCACCTTAAAATTATCTGTTTCTTTCCCTTTCTTACCAGACACTCCCTTCTATCATGCATGCTTATCTAATGATATGCTTGTTTAGTATACCAGGGGATAATCTATAAGTAAACCAGACATGGAGACCCAGCTGCAGAACTCTCCCCCACCTAGAGATTACCTCAAAGTGGATAATCTACAATCCAGTTGCAGCCAAGGTGATGCCAGCTGGAACTCTGGGTAGACAATAATTCAAGATAGCCATCAAAAAATGCGAAGACCTACAACCTGCGCCACTCCCACATATTTCCCATACCAAGTGTCCCTTTTTAAACCCCTTCAGTCAGCCTCCCAATTTAAAACAGCCTTTTGGAGACACGAGCTTGGCTATTTCCCAACAGCTAGCATTTAAATAAAGTTGCTTTCCTTTCACTGCACCTCACTTGTATTTTGCCATTTTAGGTGCGAGCAGCTAGACTTGCATTGAATTATAATTGAACATTTTGGAAATTAGATGATTCTGAAGCAACTGATAAAATTAAGCTTTGTAGAATGAACACTACAAAAAATGCAAAGAACGACTTATTCATAAATGAATTATGTACTGTTATTCTGATTTCTTACAAATAATTTATTATTCTATAAAAATAGGGTTGCTCTAATTTAAATGTGACAATTTAGATTTTCCAACATATAGAATTCATTTTCTTAAGGTAAAATGTCAGTACAATCCAAACTGTTTAATTCTCACCCTTTAAAAAAATTAAGCTGCTCTACAATTTTACAGTAAATTTTTATTAGTTTTTTCTCACAATGGAAGTACAAGATATCTTGTATTGAAACTTAAAGAGAACATAAGAGTCAAGGTTTTTCAGCCAGGACCTAAAGTGTCCATTCTAGAAAAAAATTCAGTTTGAGGTTATTACCACAGATCCATATAATTTTCTTTCAAAGCTATGTTTAATTAATTTTAATAATTTTCTACAAAATTTTTCCATCTTCTCATTATCAGAATCCATTATTTCACTCTTTTATCATCCATCTCTATTTTCTAAGTAACCTGAATGCTTATATAGGCTTCATATTTTTGTTAAGAAGAGATTTGCTTGTAAATATAAGATAATATCTTTAGGTTAAATTAGCAAATTATTAATATTAATAAAATTAGTTTATTCAAACATTTTATATTTTTTAATATAGAGTAATGTATTGCAGAAAATTCTTATCAAGAATTTTGCTTTGCTTATCAAGGAAAACAAAAGTACAATAAATGCAGCTTATTACTCTTTTTTTTTTTTTTTAAGTCAGGGTCTCACTTTGTTGCCCAGGATGTAACTCAGTGGTATGATCATAGCTCACTTCAGGTCATAGCTCACTGCAGCTTCAAATTCCAGGGCTCATGTAATCATTCTGCCTCAGTTGGAATTATAGGCATACTCAGCCACACCCAGGTATTTTTTTTTTTTTCACTTTTTTAAAGATGAGGTCTTATTACATTGTCCAAGCTGGTCTTGAACTCCTGGCCTCAAGATCCTCCCATTTCAGCCTACTGAGTGGCTGGGATTACAGGTGTAATCCATCACACTGTCATGATGTTTTTCATAAGTTATTTAATATATAATCAACTTTAAATAAAAAATAAACCAAAATCACTTCAAGATTATAGCATAACATTTTTATGTTGATTATATATTACAAAAATTAGTTCCATATGTGTGTAGCATCTAGAATCAACACATATTTTTAATATGCTCTTTGATTTCATTTTGATGAATAACAATAATGTTATAACATATAACAATTTCTAACAATTCAGTTTATATTTATGTGTTAATATACTGATAAAACATTGCCTTCCAATAGTTATTCATACTTTCAAATATAAAAAGACAATATTATTTATTGACAATGTGCTTACTACAAAGAGGACAAATAATTTTAATAAAGAAATTATTAGAGTTGAGTAGATAATATATTTTAAAAGTTCCGAATGAATGAAGATTTTGGATTTATTTTCATTTATTATCAAAATGAATGCAATGATTAATATTATTGCCTCTAGATTGAGGAAGAAGTGTAATTTCCATTTTCCAATTTACTTATCTGTGAAATGGGAATGTGACAAATTTAAAGAAGGCATGTATTGTTACTAGCATGAATTTAATAAAATCTCGCTATTAAAATTACTCTCAGTATTATGAACATACTTAAGTTAAGAAACCCTTCACATTTAATCAGTCTTGCAAAAGTCTATATCTCTGCCGGTATGACAGGATAGTTAGTATAGATGATACAGGAACCCTATTGAAAGAAAGTAGTTGAGAGAGAGCTTTGGATTGTAACTTAGAAGGAATAAATTCCAAACCTGTCTCTGGCTCTAAATTTAGTTGCTATTTGAGCAAGTTAAGTAACTTCTGCCTCAAGATCTTCATCTGTGAACGATGAGGTAGAAATGAAAGTTAGAAAAATGATATCAAAATATGTGGCTTCAAAATTTCTAATTCCCTAATCCCTTTTCACTTGAAATGGAGAATAAAGCTCATTAAATGTGTTTTGATGTCTACCCTTGAAATAAGGCAGAGATCAAAGTGAGGCCTTCCTAGACAGTATTTATCAAAGTAGAGCTCTGACTTCTCTTAAGGAATTGTTCTCAGTAAGATATGCTTTCAGCCAGAAAAAGAACAGTCCCATTTGTCTTTTTCTTTAACTTCTTCATGGTCACTAGTTTGTAACACTTCACCCTCTGGAGAAATAACTGCCTACTTCTGTCAGTCTCATTAATACTCTCTTCAGTGAATTCCTGGCTGATGCCCAGCTAGGGTGCTTTCCTTCAAATGGAGCTTGACAATAATGTTAGAGATAACTGATTAGACCAGGGCTAGGTTTTTATACATCTGGTTTCACAGCAAAGTCAAACAGCTAGCTTGTAGGCCAGGTGCTAGTAACTAATTCCTTCTTTGGAGAATGTAAAACTAGATACATGAGGTCATTGCCTATTTCTCACATTGTTGATTCAGATCTTACGCAGTCATTGTGTCCTTCCTGTAAAATTTATTTTTAATAATTTTTACATATTTTATATTTATTCCATTTAAATTTAAAAAACAGTGACTTTTTTCAAATGCTATTTACCAATTTGATTTTCTAAAAATGCTAGAGCTTTATAGTCACAATTCATAGCAAATCACCAGATAAACAAAGAAAATAAACTGAGGAAAACCCATCATACACAAACACTCAGATGAATTCTTTAGTTCTAATTTTGTCATGAATTATCAATACAGAATCATCTTTCTGTACTTTTGGATGATACATGATTAATAGCATAAAATGAAAATTGTAGCATTGCAGTATATAGTAATTACATACATCTAGGAAAAAGTGGTAGACGTTATATGTGTACATTCAAGATTTTTTTTAATTGGAAATCTTTATTTGGAAAATTGGTACATAAAATTATACTAGTTAAGCCATCAACATAATTTGTTCATTTGCATTTAGTCAATTTACATAAACATTTTTAGAAAATTAAAAGCTAGATTTTATATAAAAGGTGCATTTGCTTAATGAATCTCAAAAATAATACCTTCTATTCATTTTCCACAGAAAGGCCAAACTACAACTTGTTCATTAAAGTTTTTTAACCAATTTAAATTTCTGGGAGAGATATGAACACTTAATTGAACAAGGGTGGTATCGTTTGCAACCATCTCTTCAAAAGCAAACACAGTAAAGATAGCAACAATTTATACCAAGCAGCTAGAAAAAATATTTTTAATTTATTTTTATACTTTACAATTAACATGCATATGTGAGAAACTTGTTCTTGTGACCTCCTCAAGTAAATAAAGCCTGATGTTTTAATAGAATAAAAAAAGTTTTAATAGAATAAGAAAATGTTTGAAGTATTTCACTAGCCATCAAAGGCATGCATGTAGCTGTGTCTGCTTTATAAACAGAAGTAGCAGTTATGCTTGCCAGAAAACCTATTATTTAGCTGATTCATGGATGTATATTATATTTTAAAGGTCAGAGTTATCCATTAAACTTATTAACACAAAGCAAAATGCATTTAATCAAAACTTCTTTTATACTTTTGTGTCATGAATGCTAAGGCAAGAAAAAGATTTTAATATTTTTAAAACATAATAATCATTACTAAACTGAATGGAATGGCAGTTATCAAAAATTGGAAGAAGAAATATACGTTTTATTTTTTAGAGAATAATGGAGAGAAATTGCTTTTGCATGTTAGAAAAATACTGTTTAGTTTTCCATTTCTCTGTTTCAGAGGAAATTGATTAGGTCTTCCATGTTCAGGAGACACATTTTTCTTTTCTTACACATTTACCACCTTCTTTTTAGAGAATATTGAAAAGGATCTCAAGATTGTAATGGAAGATAAGATTCTTATTCATGGCAGTGGTAGGGAGAAAAAGTAATATATTCTTTTCTCACTTGTGGCAAATTTCATGACAGAGACCCCAAAAACAAAGGACTGATTGACCAGAGAAAAGCATATAAATTCATTTAAAATAAGTTTCACAGGAGACTTCAGAAATGAAAAAACAGGGAAGACTGTGTATTATTATGCTTATGTTTGATGAAAAGTGGACAGTGTCATGGAAGGATGCTTGGACAAAAGTGCACACGGACTAACTGCAATAAAGTGGGGAGAACTCAGGAAGGATTGTTCAGATTCTTCCTTGCTTCTCTATATCTTCATTCCTTTCCTCCCAATGTAGAAAGGACCCCTGTACATGAGGGTCTTCATAAGTGACGGAGAAGACAGAGAGTTACTTTCCTAAGTTTTACAGCCTTCTTCAGGGGAGACGACTAAGAAGCAAGTGAGAGTGGTCTTCCTGTTTCTGCTATTTTCTCCATTTCCAACTTGCCATATTTTGGGGCAGCATTTATTGCACTCCATCAGCAACCTGTTCCCGGTCCTCAGCCGTTTCTAATCCTTCCAGACTGAAGATCTTTTTAAAATCCTTTCTTTAAGACCTCAATACTCCATTCATTTTACTCCCATCAAAATTTACCCTTTGACTCTTTCTTCCTGACCTCCTACTACCAATCTTGCTTAGTGTTTGGGAGACTAAAAAAAGAAAAACTGGATTGTCAAGCATGTATCTAGACTGCCCTTAGATGATGGCTGCCTTAAGTCAATATTTCTGCTCTAATGAACAGAGACAGAGGTGCTAGCACGACCACAAGGACACTTAGATCTGCTACCATTTTAGACCCTCACATATTTTACTTGGTGAACTGATTGTGCCAAAAAAAAAAAAGTGCTTTTTCCCTGGACTAAACATAGCACTATGTTGCAATACAAGATTTAGTGAGCAAAGAATGAGTAACATTTAGCTGGTGTCTTTGTGAAGTGCCCAAACTGCACAAAAACAATCAACTTTAGAGTGACAGAGGAGTGATTTAGGCAGATAAACACAGGTACTTTTGTATAAAACCTTGACACATTAATATGACAGGCGTGCATGTTGCTTTAAATGAATTATACCTAATGCTCAAAATGCTATTAGAAAGAATACTATTTTTACTATTCTAAAGATGAAGACAGTGAAGTTCAGGGAATTTAATAATCTGTACAAGTTTACATAAGTGGTAACTTATTGGTGTGTATCTTCTCCATTGTACTGAGAACTTCTACAGAAGGTTTATTTCTATTTATCTTTGTATCTGTTCTAGTCTGCAATACATAGTAAATGCCCAACTGGTGTTTTAAGTTAAATTATTAAATGTAAACTGTACTCATTGACATTTAAACAAATAGATATTTTGTTGCAGATTGATTATTTTTAAAGTATTCATTCTTTGATATTTTCTATTTTTCAGATATCATTAATACTGTAATTGTAGAGAATATTTAAATACTACTTTTCTTACTGATGAATATATGCAGGCCGTTTTAAAAGTACTAATTTAGAACATATGATAGGAATATTCAAAGCTGGTTTTGTCATTTCTGAAAAATGCTAGTATTGTGCTTCCACAAAATGTAAATCTATGTATTGACATTTGCATTTTTTTATCTTGAATGTGTAAATGTTTAATACCACTTAAAAATTCATGGTGCACCCGCCGGGCACGGTAGTTCACGCCTGTAATCCCAGTACTTTGGGAGGCTGAGGCAGGCGGGTCACAAGGTCAAGGGATGGGACCATCCTGGCCAATATGGTAAAACCCCGTCTCTACTAAAACAACAAAAATTAGCTGGATGTGGTGGCATGTGCCTGTAGTCCCAGCTACTGGGGAGGCTGAGGCAGGAGAATCACTTGAACCTGGGAGGTGGAGGTTGCAGTGAGCCGATATCGCGCCACTGCACTCCAGTCTGGGTGACAGAGTGAGACTCTGTCCAAAAAAAATAAAAATTAAAAATAAAATCATGGTGCACCATAGCAGTTAACTTATTTTTCTAATCAGAACTTCCATGTTTTACAGATTCAAACTAGCAATGGTTTCATTTCTCTCAGTGACAGTTTAGACTAGAGTATGGGCTAATTCCTCACACTCATATTATCCTTTTTCAAAAGATTAGGAATCACAGGGAGAATACAGTTGCACCAAGCATTAAAATATTAGTTCTTTATCAAAGGAAACCAACAAATTTCCAAAATTGTAAAAGAAAAAGCTGCATCCGTTTACATACTCACTAGTTGGGTGAATCTATATGTTCACATTTTGCAAGCCTTTAGTTTTTCTTCTCTTTTGAATTTGGGAGTTGCAGGGCTTGGAAAGGATTTAATTCATCAGAATACTCCACATTTTGTTTCAGGAGTTCAAATTTAATTATTCTTTTATATGTTTAGTTTTCAAATTATATTTAGATTCCTTTATATTTTTTCATACATTTATTTTGAAAAATATTTGTGAATAGGACTCAAATGTGAAAGTTACTTTATGAATTATATAGGATAAATTATGCTTAACTAAACTCTGGGATGATTTTTAAATAGCACAGCAAAGATGTGAGGTAGAAAAAGAGGCTCTACTGAAAGCCTCTGAAAAAGAAAATCATAGAATACATGTGAGAAAGACTTAGAACCCAGTTCTCTGTACTTCTCTTATATCAGTATCCTAGAATTTTAAAAAAATGCAATACTTAAAAATGTTTAAATTATACTTTTTCCCTCTGGTTTCTCTTTGCCTTGAAATTGTTAAAGGACTAAATTTCAAAATTGCAATTAAATATGATAATATTTTGAGTGATTTTAGAGTTCTCTGACACTTTCTGCAATAAACTGAGAGTCTGTTGTATTAAAAACATAAAATACAAATGTGTGATTATATTTGTGTGTATATATTTACGTAATTTATATGAAACATGTAAATCATATATGAAAAATTATTCTTTTTATTGAATATATATTCTCGAATATGTTTCAAAAAATGTCTATCTTATTCATAAACACACATATATAGGTCCAATAAATCTGTATTACATTTGCAATCATTAATGACTTTATTGCACAACTTCTTAACATAAAAAAAGAAAGGCAGAAGAAATTTTAAGTGAAGCTATTTAAAATATATAGAACCTATGACATGTGGTTCACACAGTACATTAATTTCTTAGCATACTGTTTATAAATACAGATCAGGAAAAGTTAGTCAATTTTATAGTAGAAGCAAAGATTAAACTTCGATAAAATCCTTTTTGTAAGAAATAGACCTTGATGACTTTTTAAATCACCACTGTTATATTTTGTCTGGTAAATATTATAATCTATATTTCATCATAATTACCCTTCAGATATCTTTGTTTTATTAACAGATTTTCATTCAATTATCTGCATTTCAGTCAGATAATCTCACAGGAAGAAGAGAAACAATCATGTAATTGTTTATAGCTGGGGTTGTATTCAAATCAAATCTACATAGCTAAAGCAAAATAAATATATAAATAATAATTTGAAAAATTTAATTCAATATGCTATCATACATATATTGTATAAATATGTCTTCAAAATACCTGATGTTAGGAAGCAATTCATTTATCACCAATATGAGCCTTATTATCCATAATAGGTATTAATCAACTTGAAAACATATTGATTTTCTAATAATCTTCATAAAAATTAATGAGCTACCTTTTCATAAAGGATGTAGGGAAAGAGAAATTTTATTATAAAGTTTTTAAAAATAATTCAAATTCAAAAGTTATTATATACAACAAATTTATTGTTTAGATTATATTCAAAATTATGAGTTTTTATACTATATTTTATAAATAATTACTAATGTTAAAAATATCTTAATGGACTTTTCTAAATTAGGTAAAAGCAAACTTTTAGAGCTAGAGAAATTCAATAGAAATTAACAAACATTGTGCTAAGTTAAATTTGCTCTGGTTTCTGTGGTATTTTTGCCTAATGCTAAGTTAAAAAAAAAAAACGTGTAGAAACGACAGAGAACTCTATACGGGGCACTAGGTAACACTGCTTCAATAATAGTCACTTCTCATTAATGTATCATCAGCAGTTGCTTTCTGGAAAAAGTAACAATAAATCTCTCTTTAAACTAATATTGTTTCTCCCATAATGGAATAAAGTTTCATTCTAAATACTTCATCTCTTGAAGGATTTTACTATATCTTTCTCATTCATTTTACAACCACATTTTTGAAGCTCCTTACTCTTTTGGCCAGGAGTGAGTAAAATATGTGAACTTACATTTCTATCATAAGCAATGAAAAACAAAAAATAACAAAATATTTGTAAAAAACTACTACGGTTACTGAGAAAACAAGAACAAATGAGATGAGAAATATCATTTCCTAGAGTTTCGGCAATTCCAAGATTGTGACTCAGCAATGAGTCCCCAAACAGAGTGCAGAAATCTTGCCCAGTTGAGACAAATTTTGAAGTGTGAGATGTCAAAGTGGCCAGAAGTTCTAGGGCACATTATATGAGAGAAGGAATTTATACTAGAAAGAAATTACAGTAAGAGTTTTTAGTCTGTGACTAAACACCCATCTACACATTTGTAAGGTCGTAACCCAGGGAAAGAACAACTTCCAAAGAAAGAACAATGATCAGATGGTTGTAGATGTGTGGTGCTATTTCTAAGCTCTCTTCTGTTTCATTGGTCTATATGCCTGTTTTGGTACCAGTACGATGCTATATTGGTTACTGTAGCCCTGTAGTATAATTTGAAGTCAGGTAGCATGATTCCTCCAGCTTTGTTCTTTTTTCTTAGGATTGTCTTGGCTATATGGGGTCTTCTTTAATTCCATATGAAATTTAAAGTAGTTTTTTTTCTAATTCTAAGAAGAGTGTCAATGGTAGTTTGATGGGAATAGCATTGAATCTATAAATTACTTTGGGCAGTATGGCCATTTTCAGGATATTGATTCTTCCTATCCATGAGTATGGAATGTTTTTCCATTTGTTTGTGTCCTCTTTTATTTCCTTGAGCAGTGATTTGTAGTTCTCCTTGAAGAGGTCCTTGATGTCCCTTGATGACTGTATTCCTAGGTATTTTATTCTCTTTGTAGCAATTATGAATGGAAGTTCATTACGATTTGGCTCTCTGCTTGTCTATTGTTGGTGTCAAGAAATTCTTGTGATTTTTGCACATTGACTTTGTAACCTGAGACTTTGCTGAAGTTGCTTATCAGCTTAAGGAGATTTTGGGCTGAGACTATGGGGTTTTCTAAATATAAAATCATGTCATCTGCAGACAGAGAAAATTTGATTTCTTCTCTTTTTATCTGGAAAAGCTTTATTTCTTTCTCTTGCCTGACTGGTTGGCCATAACTTCCAATACAATACTATGTTGAATAGGAGTGCTGAGAGAGGGTATCCTTGTCTTGTACCAGTTTTCGAAGGGAATACTTCCAGCTTTTGCCCATTCAATATGATATTGGCTGTGGGTTTGAAATAAATAGCTTTTATTATTTTGAGATATGTTCCATCAGTACCTATTTTATTGAGTTTTTAATATTAAGGGATGTTGAATTTTATCAAAGGACTTTTCTGCATCTATTGAGGTAATCATGTGGTTTTTGTCATTTGTTCTGTTTATGTGATGGATTATGTTTATTGATTTGTGTATGTTGAACCAGCCTTGCATCCCAGGGATGAAGCTGACTTGATCCTGTTGGATAAGATTTTGATGTGCTGCTGAATTTGGTTTGCTAGTATTTTATTGAGGATTTTCACATCGATGTTCGTCAGGGATACAGGCCTGAAGTTTCCATTTTCTGCTGTGTCTTTGCCAGGTTTTGGTATCAGGATGATGCTGCCTTCATAAAATGAGTTAGGGAGGAGCCCCTCCTTTTCAATTATTTGGAATAATTTCAGAAGAAATGGTACCAGCTCTTCTTTGTACCTCTGGTAGAATTCAGCTGTGAATCAATCTGGTCCTGAGCTTTTTTTTTTTGGTTGGTAGGCTGCTAATTACTGCCTCAATTTCAAAACTTTTTATTGGTCTATTTAGTGATTTGACTCTTCCTGATTTAGTCTTGGGAGGATGTACGTGTCCTGGAATTTAGAAATTTCTTCCAGATTTTCTAGTTTATGTGCATTGAGATGTTTACAGTATTCTCTGATGGTAGTTTGTATTTCTGTGGGGTCAGTGGTGATGTTCCCTTTATCATTTTTTATTGTGTCTGTTTGATTTTTCTCTCTTTTCTTCTTTATTAGTCTAGCTAGCAGTCTATTTTGTTATTTTTTTTTTTTTTTCAAAAAAAAAAAACAGCTCCTGGATTCATTGATTTTTCGGAGGGTTTTTTATGTCTCTCTCCTTCAATTCATCTCTGATCTTTGTTATTTCTTGTCTTCTGCTAGCTTTCGGATTAGTTTGCTCTTGCCTCTCTAGCTCTTTTAATTGTGATGTTAGGGTGTCTATTTGCAATCTTTCTAGATCTCCGATATGGGCATTTAGTGCTATAAATTTCTTCTTAACACTGCTTTAGGTGTGTACCAGAGATTCTGGTACATTGTCTCTTTGTTCTCATTGGTTTCAAAAAGCTTCTTGATTTCTGCCATAATTTCACTATTTACCCAGGAGTCATTCAGGAGCAGGTTGTTCAATTTCCTCCATCTGACCTTTGACAAATCTGACAAAAATAAGCAATGGGGAAAGTATCTCCTATTCAATAAATATTGCTGGGAAAACTGGCTAGCCATATGCAGAAAATAAAATATGGACCCCTTCCTTATATCTGATACAAAAATTAAATCAAGATAAATTAAAGACATAAATGTAAAACCCAAAGTCATAAAAACCCTAGAAGAAAACCTAGGGAATACCATTCAGGACATAGGCATGGACAAAGACTTCATAATGAAAATGCCAAAAGCAATTGTAACAGAAGCCAAAATTGACAAACGGGGTCTAATTAAACTAAAGAGCTTCTGCACAGCAAAAGAAACTCATCAGAGTGAGCAGGCAACCTACAGAATGGGAGAAAATTTTTGCAATCTAATAATCTGACAAAAGCCAGAATTTAGAAGGAATTTATACAAATTTACAAGGAAAAGAAAAACAACTCCATCCAAAAGTGGTCAAAGGATATGAAAAGACACTTTTCCAAAGAAGACATTTACATGGCCAACAAACATATGAAAAAAGCTCAACATCACTGATCATTAGATAAATGCAAATCAAAACCACAATGGAATACCATCTCATGCCAGTCCGAATGGTGATTATTAAGAAGTCAGAAAACAATAGATGCTGATGAGGCTGTGGAGAAATAGGAATGCTTTTAACACTGTTGGTGGGAATGTAAATTAGTTCAACCATTGTGGAAGACAGTATTGTGATTCTTCAAGGATCCAGAACCAGAAATACCATTTGACCCAGCAATTCCATTACTGGGTATATACCCAAAGAAATAGAAATTATTCTACTATAAAGACACATGCACACATATGTTTATTGCAGCACTATTTACAATAGTAAAGTCATGGAACCAACCCAAGTGCCCATCAATGATAGACTGGATAAAGAAAATGTGGTACATGTTGGAGCCAGGGAGACTGGATGTCTTGCTCCCAAGACTTGTCCCCACAGCCCAACACATCGGGTTTGGTAATCTGCGGCCAGAGTGCCTCTTCAAGCCTGACTCTGACCCATCCTTCCTCATTGGGCAGGGCTTTGCTACCATAAATCCAATAACTCCAGCCAGAGTCTCAAGGACAGACCTCTAATCTAGAGAGGCAAGAACAAACTAATCCAAAAGCTATCAGAAGTCAAGAAATAACTAAGATCAGAGAAGAACTGAAGGAGACAGAGACATAAAAAACCCTCCTTCAATGATAGACTGGATAAAGAAAATGTGGTATATATACACCATAGAATAGTATGCAGCCATAAAAAGGGATGGGATCATGTCCTTTGCAGGGACATGGATGAATCTGGAAGACATCATCCTTAGCAAACTAATACAAGAACAGAAAATCAAACACCACATGTTCTCACTGATACGAGGGAGTTGAACAATGAGAACACTTGGACACAGGGAGGAGAACAACACACACCAGGGCCTGTTTGGGTGTGGGCGGACGAGGGGAGGGAACTTAAGAGGATGGGTCAATAGGTGCCATGGAGATGGCACACATATACCTATGTAAAAAACCTGCTCATTCTGCACCTGCATCCCAGAACTTAAAGTAAAATAAAACATGAAAGAACAGTGATCACAAATTTGTAATATTAAACAATTCCCAGAGCTCATACAGCACAAGTTAACACGAGTGTTCCCTCTATTCAGAATGGAGAATTCTTGCTAAATACATAGGGAATTTATAAAGGCTTGCCTTAATAGTGAGACAAAAATAGTTCTAGAATGAAGTCTGCTCTAGATCTGCCATAAAGCAGCTAAAAATTGCATATCACAAACAGTGCAAACTATTGCATTAGGAATGTAGTTGCCGTCCAGAAAAATCAACTATTTTTAAATAAATTAAACAAAATTAGACACGTTTACATGTAAAACACAGTTTCAGAATCTAATCATATATCACTACACACATAAAGAAACAGAAAAATGTAACATACAACCTGGAACTATAACAGGTAGTTAGGTAAAAGAAACCTAGGAATGACAAAGAAAATCGAATTAGCAACAAAAAATATTAAAACAGCAATTCTAAGAATCTGTAGTGTACTTAGGGGTAAACATGATGAGGAGAGAAAAGGATAATATAGAAGAGACTCAAATGGACTTCCAGAGGTGAAAAATACAATACCTGGGAAAATACACTTGAAGAGATTATAAAATGAGTTAAACAGCACACAATAAAGAAAACCAATGAACTTAAATATGTAGCAAAAAGACTTAAAAAATACTCAAAGAATATCTGTGAAACAAAAATAAGGTTTGTCAGCAACTTGTGGTACCAAATAACAGAATCTAACACACACACACACACACACACACACACACACACACACACACACACACAGAGAGTTCCAAAAGGAGGAGTGTCATGGTGGAAAAATTATTTGAATAAATAATAACTACAAATTTTACAAATTTAGTGAAATATGTAAAACCTGGGATTTAAAATCTAAATAAGCTTCAAACAGCATAAACCTAAAGAAAGCCGAACTAAGACACATCACATTCCAAATGGTGGAAATCAGTGATTAGGAGAAAATCTTAATAATAGTAAATAATAAAAAGACAAATTACATAAAGACAGAAAAAATATAAAAGCAATGGCAGACCTCTTGTCAGACATATTTAAGGAAGACAATGTAGCAAGCCCATTAAGGAACTCAAGGAGGAAAATTTCTGAGATAAAATGCTATAGCTATTAAAATATATCTCCATGCTATATCTATTAAAATATATAAAGGTAAATAAAGACTTTCAGAAAACATGGTTAGCAGAACTTCACCACAATAAATATAAAAATGTAACATCTTCAGACAAAAGGAAGATGGTACCACATAGAAAACTGGATCCACAAGTCAGAATCAAGAGAGCAAAAATGATGAATATTTGAGTATATTTAAAAGCTTAAAGGTGGTAAACACCTTTATTAACTCCATTTTCTCATCTGCTATTTACTTTTCAGTGGACAGCAATTTGGCACCCATCCTCACATCCCCACTCATCTAATAAACTGCCTAATAGCCAAATCCAAAATTATTGTTAGGGCTTATTTACTTGTTCTTTCTTCTATATTGGATGTTCATGGCTAATTCTTTCTTTGGGACACACATGACTTTATCTTTTCTAGTTCTTCTCTTAACCCTCATAGGTTTAAAAGATTTATCTGACTTATGTTTCTCTGTACATCCCATTATACAGTGTTGATTAGTATTTGCAACTGACCATTAGTTTTCTTTTAGATAGGCATTTTCCATCACCAAAATCATTTACTCACATGGTTTTTGTTAACCACTTACATGTTAATTTTTCCCAATTATTTATCTGGCATTTGACTATCTATACTAACTAATGAACCCATGTATTTATTTGTCAGACTTTATTCAGCACCACTGAGCCTCAATATCAAAACAACTAAAATTAACACACAACCTTCAATTGCAAAATATGCATTTACACTTCACGTTCATTATATTGTTGAACGGTACCATCATTTATCTACTTGGCTAACTGCTAACCAGAAATTAAAACTCCTCCATTCATCTTCTTGTCATTGATTTACCAAAATATACTGAACACTTTCTATATGTTAAGAACTTAAATGTGCCCAAGAAATATAAAAATAAAAAGAAATATCTGTTCTGCTGGAGTGGAGGCATTTGGGAGACAACAAATGAAGTTACAAAACAATGGAAAAGAGGCGATGAGAATAAAGGGAAAGACGTATCTAGAGTTCTTCTGCAGTGATCATGTCATTTGAGACCTCACAGGTGAAGTAATGTCATAGCCGACTGTTGAATATTGATTGGGGTTTGAGAAGGTGAAAAACAAAACAAAACAAACAAACAAACAAAACAAGATGTCCAAGGCAGAAGACATAATCTGTGAAGCCATAAAATATTGATATAGAAAAAGAAAGTAGCTCCATGAATATGAATTAGAGGCACTAATGTAGACTCTGGTGGACCTTAAAGCGGGTTTTTAAGGGAACATAAACTTGGCTTTTTGTAATATATAAAACATTTGACTTTTTTTAATTAAGAGAGTATGTTTTATAATGTTTCTTTCTTGTACTATACCCATTGGTTTTATTTGAAAGGAATGAGGAATGTTGGTGTGGTGGGAATATGAATATATGTGTGTGTGTGTATGTGTATGTGTGTGTGTGTATATATATATATATAACTCTGATCTCCTACTGCAGGGAGAAAAATTGCCTGATGAAACTAATCATTATCTTTCTGAATCCACCATTATGTACACACAAAGAATACACTTAACTGAGATGCTCCTAGCCACAAAACTGAGCACAGCAGGATACAAGTGGAGACCCATTTCTTCACAAACTGGAACTGCTCTAACAGGTGACTTTGTCCTCATCCGTTTGGCTGAAGTTGTCTTTGAGATGCCCTGCCATCTGAGATGTTTTTTATTCAAATTTCTTTCCCTCTCACTGTATTTTTACTGATATTGGAACTGGTTTGTAGTCCAAAGGCTATCTCTACCTATTTATCTTCTTTCTCTTTAATATTACTGGGCATTCTCTCTCATAACTCCTTCACACATCTAGTCCTTCCTTGGCATCTGCTTCTTGGAGACTGTAAACCAACACAGCTGGTATCTGTTCATTATAAGTGACAAAACAGATTCTGTAGGTAGACTCTTCAAATACTATTTAGTGAGAAAATTCTCTAACCTCAACATCCCATTGGTACCCATAAGCTTGATAAGAAAAGGGGTTTACCAGGACTTTCATCTGTTGATACTGGAGAGACTGCAGTTAAGTAATGAATTTATGAACAACAACAATGATAAAAGCAGTAATAAGCTCATGTTGAATAAATTTAGCACTCTTTGTGTGTGTATAATATTCATATATTTAATAGAAAAGCTGACGAGGATTCTCTGTGTTAAGTTAGCCAATTTCTGTAGTTAACATTTTATTTGATATTCTTAGATTAAATACTTATTAAAATGTTACCCTCTTTTAGATCAAAAGTCTATGGCACAGAGAACAAATAAGTTATATCTGTGCATGGTGCTATTCAATGTCAAAACAGAGATTCAAATGGGCCTGTATGTTTCCAGCTCAGCCTACTTAAAGTATTGTAGTGTCTTTTCTGACAAAAATTGAAGTAGAAAAACTTTTGACAGAAAGTGTATTTCATGTTATTTTATCTTTATCCTTTAGCAACTCTCATTCCAAGAAAAATATTCAAAGGCAAGATCAAAGCTTTACACCATGAGATATGCCAAGCTTACAAAGATTAGTTATCTCTAAATTATAACTGAATGCATATTATCTTTCTAAATAAATATAAAAAGAATTTCATAAAATTGTTACAATGAAAATTCTTAGCTCTTTTATGAAATCATTGTTATTTCATCTGAAAACTGATTCAATAAACTTCAGGCCATAGCAATATAGGACACAGGTCTTCAAATATATTGCATTATCTTAGCTCAGATTCTATTTATAAACTTCTTAAAGATGGTGCTAATGATGAAACAGGCCATTAAACAAACAAGAGAATAGTTTTCTTGCGGGTTTAATATTCTGAACCAGTATTAGGGCTATAATAGTTGAGGATTATCACCTTTATTCTATTACCACATTCTTAATTTTCATTAACTTAATCAATAACTTCTAAATTATAAGATAGGAACTAACATAAACTTTATCAATGTGAAAATAAATTTTATGAAACAGTATATTGGAAATACTCTTAAAACTGGTAGTATTTTTGTCCAAATTTTTTTAAACTTGCCTTTTCTTTTTGTCTATAGCATACTTTATAATGTTCTGTCCAGTCTGGCTCAATCTTTCATTTCAAGATCACTTTCATGTTTTCCATCCACCCAGTGGTATAAGTAACCCAGAGTGTTTCTGTGCATTTTTTTCATGTTTTGTTTTCCAGAATTACTTTTTCTCTTCATCCTAAGTATCTGGGTCAAATTATACCAATTTGTAGAAAATCTCTTTATACCCCAACAAAATGCCAACTACATAACAACATTGAAAAACAGAAATTAATTACTTTACTCGCCCATTACTGGTAATAATTGTCTTTGGATTTCTAATAAAACTGGATAGCTTGCAATTTCCCCACAAGTGTCTATAAGTTATAACATTTCAAAGACTTTTTAACATGTACCTACATGCTGAGGAGGCTTACTACTTCATGTCCACAAAGTTTCTGAGTTTCTACTTACATAGGTGAAGCTGTGCGTTTCTTTGCAAGGTTTCTCAAAGTTAAGTATGCATAGAAATCACTTGAGAATCTTAATAAAAGGCAAATTCTGATTCAGTAATTGGGAAGGCATTTAAGAATATACATTTCTAAAAGCTTCTATGATGCCGCTAATCTGTGGGCTACACTTTGAATAGCAATATTGTTGAGTACTACAACAATTCATATATTAAATTAAATCCCTTCCTTAATTTCTACAAATATATTAATATACAATTTGTACAGAAACTTCTGAGGAAAAATTGGGAAGGGTTTTAAATTAAAACATTATAAATTATTTTAAATGAAATGAGAGGGTTCATCACTGTTAAAGTGTCCTTTGTTTTTATCCCACAAATCAGGAGATTCAACAGCATTTCACCCTATGTAATACTAGCCTCTTTTCATTTAGTTGGTTCTCTCTACCGCTGTACTTTTTTCTTCTTAACTTGTACTTTGAATCAGCCAACATAATCCATGCAGGGTTTTACCCATTTTAAGAGTACTTATTAGACACTTTTACACAGAAAAATACATTGCTCCATGAGGGAAATTCTGGAACCAGTTATCAAGAAAACAATTATTACCTCATTAAATAATATAGATAACATAGAACCACGGTCCACAAAGATCTTTATATGTCTTGAGGACAAATAAGACTCAGCAAAGGTTTTTTAAAAAGAAAGACAACTCTATAAAACTAACTCTACTTACTCAAATCATGTGAAAGAAATCAGGATTTTTCTATTAAAAATGAAACAAAACAAAACAAAACAAAACATGTACTTATGGCTGGGCACGGTGGCTCAGGCCTGTAATCCCAGCAGTTTGAGAGGCCAAGACGAGCATGCATCGCTTGAGCCTAGGAGTTCAAAACTAGTCTGGCAGCATGATGAAACCCCATTTCTGCAAAAAAATACAAACATCAGCCAGTCGTGCTTGCATGTGCCTGTAGTCCCAACCACTCAGGAGGCTGAGAGGGGAGAATCTTTTGCGCTCAAGAGGTTGGGGCTGCAGTGAGCTGTGATCGTGCAATTGCACTTCAACCTGGGTGACAAAGTGAGACCCTGTCTCAAACAAACAGAAAAAAAATAAACTTTTATGTTGGCATGAAAACATCTTTTAAAAAAGTGTTTTAATTTTTACTGATATATTATTATATATGTACCTCTGGAAAAATAGCCATAACTTCTGATGATTAATAACAAAATATAATTTTCAAAAGTTACTCTTCTCTATTAAATTCACACAGAGCAAGAGTTTAAAGGATGGCAGGCTTAGCACTCTGTTCATGTGCAAAATTTCTTCACAGTCAGCTTGTTGCCAATATAATAAAAATAATCTATTGATTTTCAGTGAAAAGCCGTCTGATACCTAAATAATGATAAATTCATCTTTGTGCTATTATGCTTAGTGTTCTTTGGTTCTTGGTCTTTTCTTTTACTGAAAAGTAGCGGTCGTTTTCTCTCTCCTTTCTGCTAAAAATAGTGAGATCTTTCATCATAACCTCCAGCTTTATGACAGTCATATCAACTTCTGTTAAGCCTATAGTTTTATCACGCATTCTCTTATCCACTTAAAGGAAGTACATAGACAAACTTCACAAGCAGAGTAACATTTATCTTCTAAGTTCTTCACTTGTTGAAAACATATTCTCTTATGCTAAAAATATCTTTTTACAGAAAGAAAAATAAGTTGAAATGGGACGCCAATTCTCAGAAGGAGGGATTGTTCAAACACAAATGACCTGATTTTTTTTTTTTACTAGGAATATGTTTCCTACTATAAGAAAAGACAGCAAAGAGTGATACACTGGTAATATTAGAAAGGGGAAACTTGCTGTTACAACCCATAGAATTTGAACATTAATGTACTCAAAGCATACATCAAGTTTATTTTTTTACTTGCTCTTATGATGTCTCACAGTTAAATAAATCTAAAGATGCAAAGTGATAATATATATTGAAGCTGCTGACAGCAGAAATATTTTCATATATATATATTTTTTTTTTCCAGATTTCTTTTCATGGCCTAGTAGCTTCAGCTTAGAAAAACCACAGATCAGGAAATAGGATATTAAGAAAATGAGAGGGGTTGGGACAATTTAATTTGACAAAATATTTTGTGGGAATTCTGAAAGATCTTACAAAATTTTGGTTAGCAGAAATACTTGCATGGTAATGGTTACAATATATTAAGAAAATATAAGGTGCTGGTTGTGTGCAAGAATGTGTCTATGTGATTGTGTTAAGGTTTTTGAAAGACAAGTAGATTTATATTGGAACAATGGAGGTATTAAAAATAGAATATTTGATCTATGTAACACTTTATTATTTATTTATTTGAAACACTACTTTAAAATTTGCCTTTAATTTCACTGTAAATAATGTTGCTATTTATTCAATGAATCTCTATGCAAACATTTATATATTTTTTAAAATGCAATCATAAATATGCTATATTTAGATATAATCTTAATATTTTTCTTATGTTAATAACACAAACCATTTTACATTCTATAATTTTAACTAATACCACATCAAGTATATTTTCTACTTTGCTACAATTTGTTGTTTTTATTACCTCCACAATTCTAGGCTTTTTGTTTCTCGTGATTATATTTTCCTTGCCCATACTATCATTCTTGTGTGCAATAAAAATAATTAGACAAACATAGTAATATGTCTCTATGATAGTACAAAATACAAATTTCCTTATAGCTTTCTTTTTTTTTTACTTTTGTTTATATCATTGAGATCCAAACACATGAATTGGAAAGTAAATAATTCAATCCTTTGTAAATGGCTTAGAATTTTATGGTAGGGCTGTTCTATAATGATTTCAGCGTATTCATTATTAATTCACATTTACATAAGTTCAAGGTTAACTGACCACCCTCCACCCACACTATAACACTGTAATAGATTTTCTTGTATTGCATCCTAGATATATGCCTGTATTTGTGGATTATGTGTGTGTGTGCGTGTGTATGTGTGTGTGTATGTGTGTGTATTTGATTCCCAGGGATGGCAGAATTAGATAAAAGTGTCTGCCTTATTCACAAATATTAAGAAACATATTCCTATATATTTGTGGAGTTTCATAATTTTTAGCAGTGAATAAGACTAGACTTTTTCATACTTTTATGCTAGCACTTAGAATTTTCACCCTCTGAATTATGTTAATGTGAAAGTTGGGTAGTTAAATCTTAGTTTTTTAATTTGCTTTTTCCTGAATATTAACAAAATTGAGTGAATTTTTTTGTATTCTGGACATCTGAATTTCCACTTCAATTACTTATTAATAACAATGCCCCAGTTTAAACTAGGTTATTATTTTGTAATCAAATGTAGGGTTTTAAAAAATATTTTGAAACTATTTATTTTACTGTCACTAGATTTGCATGTATTTTTTATAATATACTATTTTTGTTGTGTATTTGGCATATTTATCCATAAAGTCTTAATTTTTTGTTATTGTAAAATACTGCCATTCATTTTAACTTCTGCCCCTTCTACCTTCCTTAACATGAAAATGTTAAATAGATATTTTCTAAATTAACTTCTGAAATTATTACTAATTTAATAAACATTTTAGCATTTATTCCATTTGGATTTTGTATTTATAATTTGGTGTTATGGTCCACATTTGTTTGTTTTTTAAATAGATAACCAGTGTGTCAGTACCATTTATTCAGCACCGTTTACTCAGCACCTTCTATCATAGAATAAAGGTCAATAGTACAGAATAAATTTCATTCATTTACAATTGACTTTTCTGAGCTCCAATATAAATATCATATTACTTTGTTTACAATAGCTTTTTAAAATGTTTTCATACATGTTAAGGCAAAATTGTCCTCGTCAACTTCTTTTAACATATTCATTGGGAATTAACATATATTAATTATTATAAGGATATTAATATTTAATCTATTAGCTATGCCATCCTCAAAAAGAAAAAAAAGCCATCAGAAAATCTAACTGGAATTACATTAAACTTAAATAATAGTCTTCTAATGATTGTTAGTCACAGATACTTTCATCTAAGAGCATGATACTTCATTTCATTTGTTTTAATGCTATGGTAGGTCTTTCACTTATATATTGTAGGTTGTGTCTCATAAAGGTGGTTATTATTTGTTTCTTAAACTTATAACTATCTTTTGTCTATTGTGAAATTTAATTGACTACTACTGATCTATTAATGGTAATTTAAACACAGTTTTATGGCTAACAAAACTTAATATTATGACCTCCAAAACTAATGTTAACATTTCTCAGATAAATCAAGGGACTCGGTATGAGTTCAACCTAAAGGTTTGGCATTCTGGAGATCTTTAAAATTTTATAAGTAACTGAGAAGAAAGAGCACAATGATCTAGTTCTCTCACCAAAGTCCAAAAGCCATAGTACCCACCATTATCTCTACAAAGAGAGAGCTTTTGCGGCAGGACGTCCAATAAATATGGCAGTTTGGGAGCTACTTTTCAAAAGCAATGTCATTCTAGTTACTAGCATGGGATGGTGAATAAAATTAATCAGGAACAAAAACTACCAAGTTTTGAGTCCTGGAGTGGTGGCTCATGCCTGTAATCCCAGGATTTGGGGAGGCTGAGGCAGGTGGATCACTTGAGCTCACAAGTTTGAGACCATTCTGGACAACATGGTGAGACCGGATCTCTACAAAAAAATACAAAAATTATCTGGCTATGGTGGTGCACATGTGTGGTCCCAGCTACTCAGAAGCTGAGGTGAGAAGCAGAGATTGAGTGAGCTGAAATCATCCCACTGTATTCTTGGGCCAGAGAGGCAGACTGAACTGAAATTGCTGCCAGCCAAAGCAATAGAGCCAGACTTTTAATAAACTGAAAAAAAAAAGAAATAAAAAGAAAAGAAAGAAAGAAAGAAAAGAAAGAAAGGAAAGAAAGGAAGGAAGGAAGGAAGGAAGGAAGGAAGGAAGGAAGGAAGGAAAGAAGGAAGGAAGGAAGGAAGCAAAGTTATCCTGCCAAACGCACACACACACATACGCACACTCTCACACAAGCCTGAACTAAAACTGACTCTGACTCTCTAACTATTCGAGTCTATATAGCACCCCACTATCAGCATGAAAGAACAGAGTATTCTCAGAAAATAAAAGCATATTCCCCAATACTCAAACCTGATACAATCATATAAAAAATTTTAAAGGATGAAACTACCAAAGGATGGTGCCAGAATCCATAGAGCTTTAGAATCAAGGCATTTCCTCCCATAAAGAAGAATCAAAGCCTAATCAAGGAACATTTCTTAACTTCAATATATGGGTCCCTCAAAATATCTGTCCTTAGAGATTTCATACTTTCTATGAACAAACAACTTCCATGCATTTCTATTTTTTTAATTTCCAAATAGAAGTGCTTATTTTGTATAGAATCTTACTATTCAAACATTGTATATTAAATGTGTTAATGACAAAATAGCTTTGTTAGGTAACAGGTCTGCAGATCACAAGATACCTGTTGAGAAACTACAGGTCATTAGTGAGGGTTCCTTGACTTTGAACTTGAGTCTGTAATTGGATTACACTTTATGATGATTGAATAAATGTGTTTTGCATGTGGAAATCTCTTCTCCTATATAGTCCTATAAGAATATAATTGTTTCCAAATGCATTAATTTAGGTGTAGTCATGCAACTAACTTTGGCTAGGTTACTGTGAATGAAAGTAGGATGTAGTTTATTCTAGAAAAAATAGATGTATCATTCTCTATATTCTCTTTTCCTGTCTGAGAGAACTATAAAGTCTTATGTTGTAATGGTGGTTTCATTACATGAAGCAGCATTTTAGCTAGGTCTCATGAATGAATATGGCAAACACAGTTCCCCTAATAACCAACATTTTATTATGGCATTTGATATGCACTGTGAATGAGAAATAACTATTGTTGTATGAAGACACTGACATTATTCTTAATTTCTGTTTTTGTTTTTTTGTAAGAAAATGCTATATTTGTCAACTAAATTTGGAGAGTTTTCATCTCTCGTATGCACGTATGCATGTACTGACATTATGCAAACACTATTGGTATGATTAGCTTTTAAAAAATTGGAAAACATTCAGCCGAAAGTAGTAGTAAAAAATAATTCGCATTTTATCAAGATAATTTCCTGTGTTGTCTTTATTAGGTTTTTGTTTACTTTGGAAAATTGAGCTTTAAAGTTAATATTTTTAATTTGTATAACCTTCTGTACTGCTTTTGGTGTATTATGATTATCATTCTGGTTAAATTAATATTATTCATTTGGATATATATCTATTCAATTTGGATATATATATATTCAATTTGGATTATATATATATTATTCATTTGGATATATATATACATATATATGTATATTCAATTACGGGGACCTGTTATTCTGTTTTGATCGATGTTTGAAACTTTTGGCACCTGTGGTCAGCTTTTACCTAGGATGAAAATTCTAAATTAAGTCCTTTTAACTTAGAATTAACTTTGAGATTTTTTTCAGTTGAGCTCCTGGAAAGTCTCAAAAAGCATATATCTCATCTTGTAGGGATATTAAATGATTGGGCTTTTTGGTAAGTTGTTTGGTAAGTCAAATGGAAACTGATACTAAATATTTTAATTACATTTATGGGTATGTTATTGATATGAATCTTTCAAAAATTATATAAACTCATAGAAATCTAATATGTATTCTGTCATAATTTTAGTTGTTATGTGAAATCTTTTATAAAGTTATATTTATTTGGATAGGTTACCCATGTGAGTATTCCAAAGATCATGTGAAATATATAAATGTCTGATGATCCTGATGTGATGCTGTCAGTTATGATTCAGATTATCTTACAATGCTTCATGTAATAAAAAAAATAAGTAATTTTTCTTGTCAATTGTGAACTATCAGATTTTTAACCATGGCTCTTCAAAGATTTTTTTTTATTCCACAGTTTTGATTTATCTCTAAATGCATTTGTAATAATATTTATGGAAAGGACTCTAACAAGTATTCTTGAGCATAGATTTCTTATAGCTTTGGACTTGTGCACCTAATACAATTTTTCAGAACTCTGAGAAAAACAAACTGATGTGATCATAAAATTGCAAATCAAGATCAATCAGAACAAAAACTAATTATATGAAGGTAAATAACTGAAGATAATATTTTTATGACTTTTATTTGAAACAGAAACATTCTTGGTTCTTTACTTAAATATTGTTTTTTCCAGATTTAGAAAAAAATTTCTTTTAGGCTATCTATAATCTCCAACCATTTGGTAAAGAATATTTTGTAAACAAAGGTGAAAAGATTTGCTTTTTCTTTCTACTTGAGTCTTCCAAAATTCATAAACTATTCCTGAGTATTCTTCTTTTTTATTACAATAGGGTTATGTGTATAAGTTCAATAAAAATCTGTTCTCTCTTTATAGTGGAATATAACATTGGTTATATTACAATGGCCTGGACTGAAATATATTTAATACTTTGGTTATATTACCAAGGCTTTGACTGAAATGTCATACTTGATAATGTGCATAAAATGTTCAACATCAAGAGTTCCCAGCCTTACAGTGAATGAGAAAAATAAAATCACTTCCTAGCAGACCCAAAAACCTTGATATTATAAGTGAAATCTAAAGTCTGCCTTGGTTTGACTTCCTACACTGAAGAGCTTTTTAAGTTTAAAAATCCTATGAGCTCAATGTAGAGAAAAAATTGTGTTTATTAAAAAAACTATAATGTATCTGTTAATAGATAGTAGCATTATACATTATTTTCATGTTCTTGTTATCTGTCTGTATACTAGACTAAATCCTGAACTCTTGTAGATCTTTTCAATTCACCATTCTTCCAGGGAATTGCTAAAAACAAAAACTGCTCTGTTCTTAAAACATTAAATGCTGAAAACTAGATACATTTTAAGGGACAAGCCTCATGGCTGATGTATGGGCCACACAAAAACTTCACCAAACCACATAATATCAGAGACATTGATACTGCAAATCCAGACAAGAAGTTAATGCTTTCATGCTGTAGGCAGCTTTTCCCAAGATGTCAGAACAAGACTTAATTTATCATGAGAGTCTTACCAGCCTTAATGCTACTTTTTGCACTTGGCAGGAGGATAATGTAATTGAAGTTTTACAATCAGTAGCCTCTGCCTGTAACTTGACAGAAACTGACCTGAGATATCCTTTAGTATCCATTGGTTAAATAAGGAAATGTCTATGCTATTGCTAATACCACATGCTGTACCTAGATAAATTCCTCTAGAACAGTTGAGACCCATGTGCACAAAATTAGAGAACAGGCAACATGGTTACAACAGGTCTCACCTACTTTCTTAAGGTCCTTGGATTTACTCAATTAGTTGCCTTTCAGCCTACATTAAGATATTAATGGCTCAAATCAAATCAAATGAAATTTCAAAATGCTCTCAGATGCTAGAGACACTTATGGAATGCAAGGTTCCAAGAAATAAAGAGAAAGTGTTGAACCCTGTTTAAAGAATGACTTCAATATATTAGGGAGTCAATGATTTCAATGAAGAGAATTTATGATGAAGTTATGAGAATTTAAGATGAAGTTTATGGGTTTGTCATATTACTATTAACTTTACTTTGTATTTTCTCTTTTTAAACTTTGTATCTGTTACTTATTACATTTTGGAAAAGTACAGTTCCTAACAGGTTAATGTTAGCCCTGCATTTTGAAATAATAGCAAAAGACAACACAACAGACAAAATTGAACTTAATAATAGACTCCAGGTAGACTTAGCCTGAGAGTCATTCCCTTCAGACCTTCTTTATTCCTCAGATATGGCTGAAAGGGTTTTGATACTGACTCCTAGTTGCCAATTACTCCCCACAATGTGGGACACGACCAGCAACCAGGATAGGTCCATCCTGGCACTGAGGGACATCCAAACGTAATGACGGGATGATTGACTAGTGATGCTTTCGAGAATAATCTTGATCAGATGGATAATATGTGACAATTGTCAGAACCAGAAGGTAGTCATTCATGTTAAAAAAAAATTTTTGACAAATAGAGCCAGCAATGGCTATGAGGAGAGGGTTTTCGTGCTTATTTGCCTCATAATAATCTACCACAAAAGACTTTACAAAAACCCAAAACTATACCCTTGCACAAAGGCCATGACAAGCTCACACAAAAATACTTCTTCAGGGTCATGTGCCCAGCAACTGCCACTCTAACCCCACACTGGTGTGATTCTTGCTATTGATGTTTGCAGTCAAGGATAATGATTTGAAGACAATTATGTTATCCTCTTCATTTTTACTTTAAAAACTGTTGTCTCCCTTTACCTTCCTGAATGTGCACATAGTTTACTAAGACATGAGTATTCCCATTGCAATGCTCTGTTCAATAAACATTATTTTCTTTTAGAGAGTGTCTCTCTGTTTGTTATTTAGTTTGACAAATGTTTCTGCCTGATATCTTCTTGGTCTCGGACTTCACTCACTTCATGCCTTGCTTTAATAATCACCTCTATAAGAGGTAGTTATTCATAGAGGACAGTTTCTGTAACATGTATTAATAACTTTTACTAAACAAGTCTAAAATTACATTTTAATTGATATTTTATTGTTGAGGAAAAGTGACACAATACTTTTAAAATTTGCTTGTATTCATTCATATATATATATTGTTTTTTAGACAGGGTTTCTCTCTTTTGCCCAGGGTGGAGTGAAGTGCCATGATCTGGGCTCACTGCAACCTCGGCCCCCTGGGTTCAAGTGATTCTACAGCCTTGGCCACCCTAGTAGCTGGGATTATAGGCGCCGACCACCACACCCAGCTAATTTTTGTATTTTTAGTAGAGACAGGGTTTCGCCATGGGCCGGTCTTCAACCTCTGACCTCAGGTGAACCACCTGCCTCAGCCTCCCAAAGTGCTGAGATTACAGGCATGAGCCACTATATGTTTTTTGATTTCAACATATTTTTAAATTCAGGTGTACTTCATATAAATAATACATCATTTTTACTGTTTTGCACTGATAATAAACTTCAATTTTCTTATTTATGACATATTAATTTGGAACGAAGAATATAAAAATTATTTTTTAGTCTTCTAAGGATTACATAAATGTTCCCCATATGAATGACATGTAAAAATGTTCACTTAACATTAGTGGACTGTATCTATACAACAATTTTAACAACTTATATACATTTAATGTAGAATTCAAATACAAATAAATAATTAAATTCATACACACTGGCAAATTCTTAACCCCTCAAAGTACCTTTATTTGGTAAAATATATTGTTATAATAATTTCTAAAATTATTTTCTTTTTATTGCTCAATTGTCAAATAGTTTATATAAATTTTTACAAAACTATATCTTTCTGTGCAATGTCATTGAGCCTATTGTTGCAGAATTCAGGTTGTTGGAGAAAACACAGCAATGGAGAAGAAATTTTCTTCATGAGAAATGCAGCTGTGGTCAAGTCCTATATGACACCCAGTCAACACTGGGCAGCACATGGTGGAAAGAACATCGTGGTCGGACTGCAGGCTTTAGAAGAAGCAAACCACGATGGGACTGGTGTTGAACAGAAAGCAAGCCAATCACAGGAGGAGGAGTGTGTGGAAGATTAAGACAAGGTCCTTGTTGTTTTACATAAACAACACTCTTTCAGGGGTATATAAGACCACCCCATCTCTGAGTTTGGGATCACTAGATGGAATCACTAGACTTAGCATATAATTGTCCTCATGGATCAAATTTACTATAGCAATGTAGTAAGGATACTTAGCCATATAGTAAGAGGGAAATACAGGTGTGTTGTGAAGGAATCCCTATGCGGCTTCCTATGTTTTCTCCCTCCTGTGAAGAGTCACAGTCTTTCCTTAACACCAAACACTCAACAACAGGTATGTTATATGTCTTCCACAAGCAGTTCATCAGAGACATAGTGACTACAGTTTTTATTTGGGCTGATCATATAGGCACTCTCTACTTAGCACCAAATAAAACTCCAGAGTCCCAGAAGCAGGATAGGTCCTCAGCATAAGCACCATTGTTAGCACAGTCTAGGGACAATTAACCTCCTTTGTCAGCCACCTGTTAATTGGGAACACCACAGAGCTGAACTCCCAGATACCAAACTTGTAAGCAACCTTTTCTAAATGTAACTGTTTCAAGACTCTTATGTTAACATTTTGCCTACGCTTTCTATAATCATTAACATTTCCTATAAAGTTACTAAAGTTTTGAAATATATGTGGGTTTCCATTTATTGTAGAAATGACTTAAAGGTTAAAACATGGCAAAATATAAGTGCACTTCTATTTCTTGCAAAAACCTCTGAAAAAGTAAAATCCTGTAGAAGTAAAATTTGAGGTGTGGAGCTTTATTTCAGTTTATTTACTGGTCAAGTCAGGGATGAAGAATATTATTAGAGATGCGCCATAAAGTATACAGTCCAAAAGACACAGCACAGCCCAAGTTACATCCTGCACTCGGAAAACAAAAGGGTCAGCAGACCCTTGGGTTACATTTTTGGGGGTCATCATGAATAATGAAATAAGTCACCATACTCAAATAAATATTAAACTTGAAGATCACTACAGGCTGAATTCACCTTGGAAATAATGCCAGCCAAAGCATTACACACACTGTGGAGTTGTGCAGACCAGTCATGCAGCATCAGTGTGAACACTGTGTACATCACCTCAATCTCCTGGGAAAGGCAGACTGTTATCTGCTCTGAAATTTGCATTATAAACTTTATAATAAAGGATGTTTTAGATGGATTGCTGAGGCATAAGCGTTACAAGAATGTACAAGAGAAGTCTAAGGATAACTACATGAGGTAAATGGATTGAGGTCAAAGTTTAGCCTGGCTCAAAGATACTTTCATTATTTTGATTAAGGACCTCTACTCAACAATGTCTGTCCCAGCATTCACTGTGTGGCTGGCTAGTAAGTAAGAAATGAAATTTTAAAATGCTCCCAGATGCTAGAGACACTTACGGAATGTAAGATTCCAAGAATAAAGGGAAAGTGTTGAACTCTGTTTAAAGAATGACTTCAATATATTAGGGAGTCAAGGATTTTAATGAAGAGAGTTTATGAATTTTAAACAAATTTTTCAGAAACTAGAATTTTAAATTATACATGCTGTTTTACTTATATATTGATTAGCTTAGAATCACACTACCTAACATTGTTCAAACAGTTACCAGATAATTTGAAAAACTGAATTCTACTTTGAGTTTCTGATTACTCTCCAAGTAAAGGAGAAAATGCTTTACACATGTTTAGGATAGAAAGATTTAAAAACTAAAATGAAGCTATAGAGAGTTGTATGAAAAAATAATTTATTGTATTTAGCTGCTAAAAAAATTTATGGTAAACCTGTATTGAAAAATCTCAAAATTTTGCCACTTGTTTGCATTCAAATTTTGTTTGTTCTGTAGTTAATCCCAGTAGAGACGGAAAGAAAAAGAAGAAGAGAAAGAAAGGAGAGAAAGAAAGAAAGAAAGAAGAAAGAAAGGCAAAAGGAAAGAGAGAGAAGGAAAGAAGGGAGGGAGGGAGGGGAAGGGGAAGGGAGGGGAGGGGAGAGGAAGGGAAGGGAAGAAAGAAGGAAAGGAAGGAAGGAAGGAAGAAAGACAGACAGACAGACGGGAGGGAGGGAGAAAGGAAGGAAAGAAGGGGAAGGGAAGGGTAGGGAAGGGAAAAGAAGGGAGGGGAGGGGAGAGGAAGGGAAGGGAAGAAAGAAGGAAAGGAAGGAAGAAAGAAAGAAAGAGACAGACAGACATGGGAGGGAGGGAGGGAGGAAGGAAGGAAAGAAGGGGAAGGGAAGAAAGAAAGAAAGAGAAAGAAAGGAGGGAGGGAGGGAGGGAAGGAAGGAAACAAGAGAAGGAAGGAAAATATATCACAATGACTATTGAAAATTGAGAAATAAATATTGATTGGAAAACGTAAAAGCAAGTATAATTTAATTTCTTTAGAAAAATACTTTAGGAATGTGGCAAACAAAGCCCAGGAGATAGAGGTATAATTGGTCACTTAGCCCACAGATGTGTTTGCTGTGGGAAGCTTTTTCACAAATAGAACAGATATGACAAATCACATTCAACCCATTTTTCTAAGCCCAAGAATGTTTCACTTTTCCGAAAAGAAAAACCCTTCAGGGAGCCTAACCCTTTCACTACCACCATACTTTTTTTCATGTCTCTGTCTTTTGAATACTTTAAAACATTACAATATGCAAACACATGTACACCTTTTCTGCTTTCGTTATTTATTTCTATGTATTTTTTTAAAAAGATAAAAATGAATTGTGGAAACAGAATGCACTAAAAAATTACAACCTACCATCTCCTTAAAATATTACAATTAACATTAATCAATTAAGTGGTATGAAACAAACCCCTCACATAGTGAACTTAGTTTTGAAAAAGCAAATTTGGAACCCATTTCTCTGTTAAAAATTAGATAGACGGCTTAGTTATGAAAATAAAACTTTAACTACTGGAAAAAAAAATAAGGCCTCAAATTAAAGGTAGAACCAAAGTAAGGAAGCATTCTTAAGAAGCATTTGGCAGCCATAAAAATGCAACTTTTTTTTTTTTGACAAAGTTTTAACTGTTGCCCAGGCTGGAGTATAGTGGCGTCATTTTGACACACTGCAACCTTTACCTCCCGGATTTAAGTGATTCTCCTGCTTCAGCCTCCGGAGTAGCTGGGATTACAGGCATGCACTACAGTGTCCAGCTAATTTTTGCATTTTTAGTAGAGACAGGGTTTCACCATGTTGGCCAGGCTGGTCTTGAACTCCTGACCTGAGGTGATCCATCTACCTCAGCCTCCCAAAGTGCTGGGACTACAGGTGGGAGCCACTGTGCCCAGCTGAAAATGCTCCTCTTAATCTAGGGGGAATTATAATTGACCAAAGGTCCCTGCTGCTAAACTCAAATCCATCTCCACATTCACATCAAGCCCCAGCTTCCAATAGCCTGTTCCCCACCAAGGACTGAGTGTTTCAGGGACACTAATGCTGGCCTCTTACTTGGAGATGGGATTCCTCTGATGGGCAATTTTGACTTAATTGCCTATTAACCTTTCCAGAAATCCATAGGATTATACTGCAATCTGACAGAATTCCATTAAAACTTCCTTCATGCTCAATAAGCACACCTTCTGTGTGCCACAATGATGATGAAGGAATTGCATCAGAGTCTGTTGGTTCTCCATGTCTCCTTTGAATTTCTCCTAAAGTCGTTTTTTCAGGTGTGTGTATGTGGTATTTTTTTTTTGGTTGGGGGAAATGTTCAAGATTTACTTTTGAGCAGACAGACAGCAGCATCACATAAGACTACCGAAGGTACTGCACAGATCATACATTCACAGGACATTATTAGCTCAACAGCAAGAAAGTCACTGATGTGTTTTCTGTAACAATGTCCACCTCACAGTGTAAATAGGAACTATTATTGTGTTCACTTACAATTTTAGAGAAGACATAACTTGGAAAAAGTGGGACATCCTCAAGTCAGGTGCAATAACTAAGAAACAAAACTTTAGCTAACAATTTTGGATCCATGTTTCAATCAGGGCCTTCCACATAGAGGGGAATGACTTTTCTACCAGAAGTAAGAGTCTTTCTTTCTCCTTTCTTGTAAATTCATTACAATAATGTTTTGTATGCTCCATATTATTACGTGTACAAAAGAATAATTTTTTTCTAACAATTCTATAGAAGATCTAATCTTATCATGGTGTCTGCTTCATGGAAGACCTGCACTAAGCAAAATGGTATCTTAATTTATAATAGCAAGAAGAGTCCCTACGGAGGAAAGAAAGAAGGATGTAAGCCTGAGAAACTATGTAGCCTTGAACTCATCAGATTATGCTTCTTATTGGGGTCTGAGGAGGGTTAGTCAAACATCCAAGGGGGTACTGACGTTGATAGTAAAACAAAAAAAAAAATTGGGGCAGAAGACAATAGAATGGAATTTTTACTTATTCATTTAGGTAAAATTTAACCCAAACGCTCCCCTTTTGAATAATATGTACATAAACTTTCACAGCATCTCTAGAATCCTGTAAGAACACAGAAGTTATTTTACATCATTTTGTTTATGTGGTCAGATAAATTTTTCTACAAATGTGTAATAATAAATATTTTAAACTTTGCAGGCTACATACGAGTCTCTGTTGCTTCTTCATCTTCTTTGCATTCTTCTTTGCATTCTTCTTTTATCCTTTTTCCCTCCACCTTTTGAAAAATAAAATGTAAAAATATTTTTAACTTGCAGGTAGTACAAACTGAGGACAGGAACTAGAAAGTAGTTTGCTAATTCCAGCCTTCGATGGAAAGAAAGACAATTTCGCTATCACATTATCAAATTTGAAAAAGAAAATAATCCAAATGGGGATTTAGATAAGAGCTCATCCCAATCTCTGCGAAAAATTATGTAACCTTGAATTTCATCTTATGCTAACTTTTGACCTTATTCTCCCATTTTTTGGAAATCTCGCTGATACAGTTTGAATATATGTTCCTGCCAAATCCCATGTTGAATTGTAATCCCCAGTGTTGGAGGTGAGGCCTGGTGACAAATGCTTTGGTCATAGGGGTGGATCCCCTGTGGCTTGATGCTGTTCTCATAATAGTTCTCTCAAGTTCTCCTGAGATCCAGTTGTTTAAAAGTGTGTGCCATTCCCCATCCCCCATTTCTCTCTCTTGCTCCTGTTCTGGCCATTTGACATGCCTGGTCCTGCTTGATCTTCTGCCATGAGTAAAAGCTCCCTGAGCCTCCACAGAAGCCAAACAGATGCTGGTGACATGCTTGTACAGCCTACAGACCCATGAGTCAATTAAGCCTCTTTTCCTTATAAACTACCCAGTCTCGGGTAATTTATTAAGAAATTATTTATAGCAATGTAAGAATGCCCTAACACATTTATGTAACCAAACATGAGGTGGCTTTTAAAAAAACGAAGTACACACACAAACACACATACACACATTTGTATACACTTGCACATGTGCACACATGCACATACTCAACTATGTACTACATAATGTGTAATTTCTGGTGGGTTGCACAAAGCATGTTATATACACTTCAAGTAAGACCAATAGTTAAGTGGAAAAATAGAATTTAGCCCCTGAGGGCTGGCTATTTATAGAGAGAACATTCACTTTGTGAGAACATGGGATTTTTAACCTGAAAAAATTATGGGACTATTATAAAACAAGACGGGAAGGAGAGAAATGTTAAGCAAAAAAGAAAATAATGCCTGGAAAATTGTCATCTTGCCTTTAAATCTCTCAAATTACTATTAAGTTTTATAATTTCAATTATGACTGAAATGTCATAAACCTAAGTTACAATATTATTTTAAAGTATATTGTATGACTATAACATGGGAAATTATAAAATGGCCTTATTACATAAGACAAACATTTTTTTCAAATGAATCATGAATAGATATGTAGAGATTTGGAACTCTATAATTTCAAATGTCAAGTTGAAGAAGCAAGAGTTGAAGAAGGATGGGGCACTTTTCGTTTCATTATTGTATATTAATTAAGGCTTTCAAAAGACAGAGAAATAATGGTCTTACCCTTAATTTGTAAAAATAAAAAATTTAATTGTGATATAAAATATAGTAAACTGCACAAAGTATAATGGATTTGCTCAGTGAATTTTTATGTATGTACACTCAAGAGTAACCTGCAATAAGATCAATTTATAAAATATTGATAATTTTCTGCAAAGTAGACTTTAGGAAAAGTGATATCTAATATGACTTTTGACAATTTGTATATTCTGAGACTCTATATAGAACATTTACTTTAACCTATTATATAAGAGGCATAAAATGAAAAATTTAGACAGTGTCACAAAAATAGTTTTTCTCATTTGTTTTAAAGATATTCCATTCCTACTTTTAGTCACTTGACATTTAATCTCAAGATAGCTGAGGCTGTATCTGTGCCATGCCAAAATATTTGAGTGTGGCAAAGTAAAAAATCAATCAATACAGTCTTACAATAAGCCAGGCTTGTTGTGGTATATATAATCTTACTCTAATATCCAGAAAATCTGAAGAGTTTAGAAAAATCTTTTTCTCTGCATACTGACTGATTGACGCAAATGAAGACATTTATAATGCTGTCATAACCATAGCACATACAGATAAAATGTTAATGTATTAATTACATCCCCAGCTCAACCTATCATTTGATTGCCATGATAACGTAATTTTTGCTATTGGTCTACCAAAATACTATTTTTTATGCATTTTTGCTTTTATGAAAAAGAATTGGCCCAGTTTCCTACTTTCAAATTTTGACATTATGATTTCTATCCATCTATGCTAAATAAAGCTAGTAAAATCCTCTAATTTTGCTACCTAAGACATGGCAAATTTATGTGACACAAGGTAAGTCACCTAACTTCTTTCTATATAAGAAATGCAAGAGAGCTATAAAAATAGATTTATTTTTTGATATTGTCAATTTAGTAGAGAGTGCCCTGATACTGCTCATTTCAGTCTAGTTGTTTCAATAACAGTAGTAACAAGAAGTAGCTTTTATCATTCTGGCATCATTAAGGTACCAAGACACAGTAAAATGAGATGCTTTTCATAGCACTTTAAGATGTATACTCTGATGTTCTGTAAGTCAGATAAGAGACTGGCTGAAACTATTTGTGATTTCTAAAACAAGGAAAAATATGCAATAGAAGCAAATTAAACTTATAGAATACAGCAGGGCAAAAGTGATGAGATTTCCCATGTATTAAGTGGACACTAAAGACATTAATTTTAATAAAATGGGATTAAAAGTGTCTCATTCAAGACACTATAAACAGAAACTGAATTGGAGATGGTGTATTTTCACACAGCCAAGACAGTAATGTGATCTATTAAAAGGTTAGAATTGATAATTATTCATCATTTCATGACTTTTGCTATCTGACCACATTTGATAAAGTACTGCTGATAATATATACATATATATACATATATATACATACATATATATACATATATACATATATGTGTGTGTATATATATATATATATATATATATGTATATATGTATACACACATATACACATAGCCAGATGATAGAGATAGGAAGTCAAATAAAGATCAAATCTGTTTGCTTAATGGACATATTTCTCTTCATCAATATCAAATTTTACTCTTTTCTCCAGTGAACTGATAATTATATCATTATTTTCTTTTAAATTTGAAAGATAATCTATTTGGCTTCTACATCTGGTAATTTCTGCCATGGAAATCGATGAGGACGGCCTTGTAGATTTATCATCATAGCCACAAGAGATATTACTGCACAACTTTTGTTCACTAAGGAGACTTGAAGATGTTTGGCAGTACATTGACATTCATAAGCAAGGTCATGGAGGATTAAAGCATGCTTGCTAATTCTTCCCATTATGATTAATGCAGAAAATCTTTTTGTTTGCATAAACTTATTAAAAGGAATTCTAAACTGACCTTTCATCAGCTTAGCAAGCACCTATTTTATAATTCTATTGACACCAAAAGTATACTAATATCTCAGTGACTTGGGATCTATTTATTTACCATTCCATATTGCTTCAATGCCCTAAAATAGTTCAGAGCTAAGAAAATAATACAGGTTAATAGTAATGTATAGTTAAATGACAAAACGCTGCATTATATTTTATTTATATTTTATGAGATTGAATAAGCATGATTATAAAGTTGTTCACATGTTACCATAATTATGACTGTGTTAGTTGGAATAAGTCAACAGCATCTTAAAAATGAATATTAAAAATAAGTATGTTAAATCCATTGGTTAATTCTAAAATTGTCACATGTATTCTCACTATATCTTGTAAACATTGTTACAATTAATATAGAAAAAATTTATATTGGTGCACTTGAGAAATATGTTTTATTATTATTGATAATTTATTTGACATTTCATTCATTTTCATCATAGTTTGGATTATGACAATTTGTAATTCTTGTCAGTGTAAAATAAATGAGCTATGAAAATGATTAAATAGATTTAAATAATTGTATTCGGATTAATTTGGGTGACATAAAATTTTGATACAATAGAAAATAAATCTGCTCCATTCTAGTTCTAAATATTGAATATTTCTGGGTTACAGTAAAATAATACAATGTTGAACAACAAACTGGAAGTAAAATTCTATATTTATTTTCATAGAAAACTCATATTTTGTTTACCCAAACTCATATAAAAGATGTAATTTTTCAAGTATTCTGTTTATTTGTGCCAATCTGAAAAATTTTCATTAAGAAAACATTTCAAACAATTCTTTGAAATACAAAATTTGAAGGGAATATGCATTAAGAGACTATAAACCAAAATCTTAGTTTAACTGATCTCCAATGACAGGATAAAATGTAGGCAAAAATTCTATGCTTTAGGTGATCAATATCTACTAGTCAATTTATTTAGTTTTACACACAAGCTATGGGATCTACTCATAATCATATAAAAAATTAAATATCAATGAATACATTAATTTGTTTGCACTGTTTTTCAAGTAATTAGATTCTTTAAAGGCTGTGATGTTCAATTTTGACTATATTTAAAGGGATTTGGGTAAAGTAGAAAGGGTACAGTGAGAATGAGGCAGGAGCCGGAACTCAACTCCAGAGTCGGGGCTCAGACACTGGATCAAATTGAGGACTAACTAATACAGTTCCAGGGAAAGCACCTCTCCATAAAACATACTCACCAGTGTGCCATGTCAGTTTACCATTGCCATGGCAACAGCCAGCTGTTACCACCTGTTTCCGTGGCAACGACCTGACAACGCAGAAGTTACCACCCTCATCCTAGAAATTTCTACATAAACCTCCCGTTAATTTACATATAAGTATAAGAAGGGATAAATATGAATGCAGAACTTCCTCTTAACTGCGATTCTGGGCACTTTGCCTATGGCGAGCTCTGCTCCGCCAGGACAAGTAGTACTTCTGCTGCTGCACTGACATTTCAATAAAAGTTGCTGGTTAACACCACCGGCTCACCCTTGAATTTTTTCCTGGGCAAAGCCAAGAATCCTCTTGAGCTAAGCCCCAATTTGAGGGCTTGCCTGTCCTGCATCAATAATGCAAAATTATAAAAGAAATGGAGATTTCTATTTCTAGTTATAATTAAATCAATTCCTATCGGACTGATTCTCATACAAAAAAAAAGTATGAACATATAATAAAAAATAGCTCCTGGAAAAGCACTAGTGTGAAAGAAACAGATAAATCTCATGGGAAAGGAGACTTAGATTAAGGAAACTGCATAAACTGTGTTTCTATTTTCATGACTTTTAGAGTGGCCAAAGAGCAGTTGGCCCACTATATTGAAAGAGTTAGTGGTTAAGCACACCGACTTTCTAGCCAAGAGATCCAGGTGCTGAAGCCAGGAAAGATATTACATAGAGTGGAAAGAGCCAGAAAGGGGATCTCAAATTCTAACTATTCACAATCCTGATTGATCCCTGAATTATTCATGTGGAAAAGAGACCCAAAGCAGCTAAGACAAAAAATGAAGAGCTCTGAACTGAGACCACAGATATCACGCAATGAATTGTGTTTAGAGTTGGATTCCAAACAAAATAACTGCTGACTAAAGCAAAAAATATTGATTTGACAAAAACAACAGAATCCAAATTCTTCACAATGTAACATTTATATGTCTACAACACAATCCGACTTATCCTAATACGAACAATGAAGAAAAGGTAACAAGTTTTCAAGTGAAAAGAAAATCAACGAAGACAGATCCTGACATAATTCAAATGTCAAAATTATTAGATAAGGATTTTAAAGGTAACAACCAATACTACTTCCAAAAAAAGTAAAATAGGATATGCTTATGGAAATAATATAGACAACTTTAGTAGAGGAATAGAAATTTTTTTAAGGGATCAAAGGAATGCTTGTGGAAATTTAAAACTTGCAATACTTGGAATAAATATAATAACTGGGTGAATCAATAGAAATTATCCAGTGTGATAAACATTAAAGTGATAAAAATAAAAAATGAATACAGCCTCTCGAACTGGTTGGTAATATTCAGTGGTAGAGAACGTGTACATTTGGAGTAAATATAGAGAAAAGACGGTGATGTGTCTGCTAAAATATTTCCATGTAGAATTTCTAAAACAAAATTTATCTCCGGCTTGTCGTGACTATTCTTAATTATCATATAAAGAGTAAGAGATTTCAGCTTATTCTTTTGTTCTTATTTTGTGTCTTTTCTGCCTTAAAAAGTTTACCTAACATAATATCACAATTGTTACTATAATTCTTACATGTATAGCATTTACATGGGTAAATCTATGACAGATTTCAATTTTTTTGGCATAAGACTTAAAATTCATTTTTTCTTGTTTAGTACTTTGGAATCCTTGTTCAAAATAAATTGATTATAAAAGCTGAGTTCAATTTGGATTCAAATCAGTTCTTTTGGTATATATTTCTACGTTTAGTTGAATACCACAGTACAGATCCTATACATATTAAAAGGACAATAAGGGAATGTACATGACAATACATTTGAAAAATTAAATGAAGTGTACAAGTATTTTAACAAATGTGAATTACCAAAAATTACACATAACTGCCTCAAAAGAAAACTTCAGGCTCAGATGGTTAAACAATTCAATTGTATCAACCATATAAAGAATAAATAATACCAATTGTAAATGTTTCTAGGAAATAGCTAAGGAAGTAGCCTTTAACTCATTATAAGATTAATATTGCCCTTAAACAAATTCAAAGACATTAGAAGAATGGAATTTTACAGATCAGTAATCCTTATTAGTGAATATGCAAAAATTCTTAAAATTTCCACAAATGAAGTACACGAGTAGACAAGGAATAATAAGCCATAAAAAAGTACAGTTAATTTTGAGAAAGCAAGGTTAGCTTGGCGTTTGAAAATCAATAGATTTTACAAGCTATAAAATTACAGAAAAAAATCACATGTCATTTGTTTAGGGAACGGTTTCAAATGCATTAGCAGAACTGGTTTATTGCAGTAAAGTCCTGTATTTTGATATGTATAGGAGGTATAGTGATATTTACTCTTTTATTCCAAACATTGGTAGATTTTGTTTTATTTTGTTTGGTTTGTCTATCTCTTTTTGTATCCATTTGTCAAGTAACTGGCTAATTTGACAAAGTTTACTGATCTTTTCAAAGAATAAGTCTTCGGTTTAATTATGTCTTCTGTTTATTAATTTTTTTACTTGATTGATTTCTGCTCTTATTTTATTATTTCCTTCTAACTTTGTTTAATTTGCTCTTTTTATTTTAAGTTCTAATGTAAGATTAGATCGTCTTTTGGGATTGCTGTTTCCCTTTAATTCTGAATTTTTAACATAGCTTGAAGTTTGAGCATATTTACAATTGATGTGCTGCTCTCTTCAAGAAATGTCCCTCTTTATCACTGGCCTTCTGAATTTTTGTCTTCTAATTTGTTTTACTTAATACATACCTAATATTAACATAGCCACCTCAATATATTTGCTTAGTATTTGAATGGTATGTTTTTCTTTCCCTTTTTTTCCTTTCAGATTCTCGGAGTACAGGTGCTTGGTTGTTATATGGGTATATTGCATACTAGTGAGATTGGGCTTCGAGTTTACCCATTATCCAAATAGTGAGCATTGTACCTGACGGGTAATTTTCTAACCCTCATCCCCCTTGCATCATCCCCATTTTGGAGTACTACATGTCTATTATTTCCATCTTTATATTCATGTGTACCCAGTGTTTATCTCCCATATGTAAGAGAGAACATGTGGTATTTGGTTTTCTGTTTCTTAATTTACATAGGATAATAGCCTCCAGCTCCATCCATGTTACTACAAAGGATATAGTTTTATTCTTTTTTATTGCTGTGTAATATTCCAAGGTGTTTACATACCACATTTTCTTTATCCAGTCAACCACTGATGGATACTTAGGTTGACTCCCTGACAATGGTATTGTGAATAGTGCTGCAATAAGCATATAAGTATAGGTGTCTTTTGTTCTAGTTTCTTTTCTTTTGGGTAAATACCCAGTGGGACTGCTGGGTTGAACGGTAGTTCTATTTTTAGTTTTTTGAGAAATCATCAAACAGTTTTGTGTGGAAGTTTAACTAATTGACATTCCCATCAACAATGCAGAAGCTTTCCTTTTTCTCTGCATCTATGCTAACATCTGTTGTTTATTTACTTTTTAATAGAAGGCTTTCTGATGGCAGTAAAATGATATTTTATTGTGATTTTAATTTGTATTTCTCTGATGATTAGTGATGTTAAGCATTTCTTTGTATGTTTGTTAGATGCTTACTTTTATTTTATCTTTTGTGAAATGTCCATTCAAGGTGCATCATAGGAAAGAAACCACAAAACTGTGCAATTCGGATATTATATAGGACTGTTGGTGATCTGCTCACCCTCCATTCTGGAAATACAGAACTGGATGTGTGTGAGAGAGAGGATGAGAGAGAGAGAGAGAGAGATTATCTTCAGCTCAGAATATAAGCAAATCTCCCTTGAAGGGAAGATTAGGTCTTTATGCTTTATCTTGACTACCTCAGTACATCATCGAGGAGGATAATGTCTCTAAACTTTACTATCATATAATGTCTCCTTATAAAAATATCCTTCACTTGGCTACAAATGGCTACAAATGGCTCAGAGGATCTGGAACATGTATAAATACGAGATATTTGTAAAGAATTTTCTCTAAATAGGTATTATATTTTATATATCTATTTTACAAATTCAGAATGCTAATATTTGTATCATATTAAAATAATAATCATCTTTAATAAGCATGGAATTGTAAATCAGAGATGAAATTTGCAATATTTAGCTAATCTGTTTCAAATTTATTTTCACATTATACTGTGATTACTATTTAGAGAAAATCTTAATTTATAGAGCTAAATGCCAGTAGCAATAGGTTTTAAAGTTTGACTTTCAGTCTCAGCCTATTCTTACAAATCCTGAAAAAAGTAGGAAATTTCTGTTTTAAAGTGAAATTACAACCTATGTGAACAGTGCTCAAAATTCTTGTCATAAATATAAATATTAAAAGATATTCAAAACTGCAAAAAAGCACTGAGACTTTGTGTGGATGAGAGTACTCACAAAGCAGAAATTCCTAAATCTAGTCTAGTAATTGGGTATAGCACAGTATACATTCTCTGTACCACAGCATTTGTTACTCAGCTTCAAAGAAGCAACAAGTCAAGGATCTAGACTTAAAAATGAAAACTTATGAGTTTTTATCTTATTTGTAATAAAGAGGCTAATAATAAATCTCTGATATAACCTTTCCTAAAGGGAACCGACTAGCTACCTCGTTAATGGTTGTATATTGGATGCCTTTCTGTGTGGATGGACAACAACTTATCCTCATTAGAATTGTCATTTGCTTTGTATATGGATTTATTTCCCTGTTCGCTGTGCTTCTGCATCACCATGAGAATCACTGTAATTCTTATTGTTTTGTGGTTGATGTCCATATCTAAGTTGCTTTTAAAATTGTTATCTTCTTCTAAATCTGTCCTGTTAATAAGTGAGGCTTACACAGGTAAATAGAGTTTTGTAAAACAAAGTCAAAAAATTTGTTCTTCTACCTTGTCTTTATAAGCCAGTAATTCTTGCTTCTAAGTTGGTTTTCAAAATTCTCCCATTTAATCATTATCTTTACAGTAATGAGCTGACCTTAACTGACAAGAATATACCAATTATCTCAGCAGCATTGTGGAGAAAGAGACTATTATCTCCTTTCTTTTGATGAGACACTTGTGTCAATGAAATGGGAAATCATACCAGCTTTATTTGCTGGGAGAATATATTGCAAACTCTGCACTAATGTGCTGTCATAAGGATTTCAGAAATCTGATATCTTTAGGACCTAAGCTGAATTTAAAAATCATCTGTTTGTTCTTTATTTTTTCTTTATGCAAATATGGTAATATGCTATTTCATTTATTTATTGATGCAAATTGCTGCATAACAAACTTCTTCAAAAAATAGTTGCTTAAAAGAAAAATTGTATTACTTCTCTAGATTCTCTAGGCTGGCTGAGTACCTAGATATTTATTCTGTTAGCCTCACTTGAAGTCTCTCAAACAATTCAATCCTCATGTTGGCTGGAGATGAAACGTCTAAAGACTACTCCACTCACAAATTGAGAGCTGTAGTCCTCTTTAGTGTGGCCTCTCTTCTTCTAGTAAGATACCTGGAGTTCTTAATGGAGTAGCTCAGAAGGCAAGAAGTAGAATCTACTGCTTCACTGTCTAAGCTCAGAAATCTCAGAATGTCAATTGAACAGCATTATGTTGTTCAAAAACAGATTAAAAAAGTGAGAAACAGCTTACCTATAGATGGGGAGGAGACTACTCTCCTTGTTTCTTTTGGTAGGGAGGTGGCAGTTGTAGAAACTGTCTGCCAAATGTGCCTTGTTAAATTTACATTCAAATAGCACTAGACAAAAAAAAAATTCAAAGAAGAATACATTCCAGGGTTTTGTGTAGGTCCTTGGTCCTAATATTAATTAAGCAATAAGGTGTGTATCAGTTGCTCTCCATTACAAAGAAGAGTAGAACTTTGGAAATATGATAATGTAGTGCTCTAATGTTTCCCACTGTAGTGGCAGAAAGTTTAAAGCCTTCAATTTTTATAGATAGGATTATGTTTCTATAATCCCATAGATATTTATCATAATAGTAATAATTTTCCCATTAAGACCTACTTTCTTCCTGGGCTCATGGAGCACTTGGCTGAGCAATAAACTGTTCATTCCCCTTTGCACTTACTAATTTCATGCGTCTAAATTTGCTGTGTGAGCATAAGTGGTGGGTCCAATATCTATCTAACTTGCCTAACAGTAAATTGATTAGTCTATATCTCCTCTTTCCCTTCTTTTGTGTTAACTGGAATGGCAATTTAACAGAAATCTTTGTTTGTTTTTCATTTTTGTTTGTTTGTTTTGTTTTGACAATTAGACAGGTCTAATGACAAAAGGTAGATGGAGCAACAAGAAGGAAGAAGCCAGGATCCCTGAATCCTGCAGATTACAGCAGGCTTCTGGGCTAGAGGAGCAGAGCTTTTAACTGACAGAGTCATTCTTAGGTTTTTTGGTCGTTGGTGGTTTTTCCTCAGCCCACTCCATTTTAGTTAAGTTTGATAGGGTGTTTAGTCTTTCCATAACTAAAACAAAATTATACCACAATTTTTATTAATTAGTAGAATCAATCTCATTTGAAGTCAATATAAATTTAAGAGAATTATTGCCATTGAAAACACAAATAAAAATATGAGCTATTGAAACTGAAAAGTATGTACAGATTAAAGAATAAAATAAATAAGGATGCTATTTCTTACTTTAAAAAACTTATTTATTTTAGAAAGTCTTTTATTTTTCAGTCTTGTAAAATTCATGCATTTGATTTTTTTAATTCTAAGTAAGCTAATTATAATAAGAAATAAGGATTTATAAATGTGCAGACATTTATTAAGTGTACACCAGAGTCTCTGTTACTACAAAATAATTAACAAATTACTGATAATTTCAAAGTCCTGTGAAAGCAAATAATAGAAAATAAAAAGAGAAGACACTGGATATCATTCAATGGAGACACTTTTTCAGAGAGTTGTCCATGTCTAGCTCAACCGATCTCATTGCTAAACAGTGAGAAAAGAATCAGGCTATCATATGGTACTCACCCTCAGATAAATATCTTCCAATAAAAGCAATAGTAACATAATGACTTAATATGACATGTTTTGTTTTAAAATATTTGCGTTTACTCATCGTTCCTATGTATTGCATATGTATGTTATAAATTGTAATATATAGATTTATATTTCTATTTATTTTGATGTATCTGTGTATATAGGTATGTAAGAATGTGTATATATATCTATTATCTATCTCTTTCTCTGTCTATTCAGCTATCCATCCAGCTCCCTAGCTATCTAGCTATACATGCACAAACATAAACATAGAAAGATGAAATTTTCCTTTCAGAAAATCTCATCTCTATTTGTGGTATTCAGAAATTTTACTGTGTTAAATCCAAGTGCTTTGCATTTGTCAATTGCTTTAAATTTTTCAATTTGAGAACTCTTGTTTTTCAGCAATCAGTTTTTTGCATATTGCCTTTTAACTATTTCTTTTATTTTGTCTACTTCAAGGTGTACTCTTTGTACTATGCTGAATTTTAGACATCTAAACTTTAATTATCTTTATTTCCCATTCCTTATATATTAGTGCTGTAGTTGGTGGTATCCTCTAAATTTGTCTTAATTTATTTATACACTTTTCACCTATGCATAGTCTTGTCATTTTGAAAATAAATGTAATTATCTCCAAAATTAGTTCTTGACTTGTGATATGGTTTGGCTCTGTGTCCCCACTCAAATCTCATGTTGAATTATAAGCCTCAGTGTTGGAGGTGGGGCCTGGTGGGAGGTGACTGAATCACGGGGATGGTTTCTAATGGTTTAGCACTATCCCCCTAGTGCTGTCTTGTGATAGAGTTCTCACAAGAGATCTGGTTGTTTAAAAGTGTGTAGCACCTCCCGTTTTGTTCTCTCTCTCCTGCTCCACCATATGAAGATGTGCCTGCTTCCCCTTCACCTTCTGTCATGTTTGTAAGTTTCCAGAGGCCTCCCCAGATATGCTTCCTGTACCGCCTGTGGAACTGTGTCTCAATTAAACCTCTTTTCTTCATAAATTATCCAGTCTCAGGTAGTTCTTCATGGCAATGAAAGAAAGGACTAATACCACTTGGATTTTTGGTCTTATTTTAAAAACACTTGTTTATAATGTTTTAGTTCATTTGTTCCACTATAACATAATACCACAGACTGAGTAATTAATGAATAATAGATATGTATTTCTTACAGTTCTGGAGACTGAGAAGTCCAAGATCAAGGCATCAGCAGATTTGGTCTATGGAGGGCTGCTGCCTGTTTCAAAGATAGTACTTTGTTGCTGCATCCTCCAGTGGGCATGAATGATATGTCCTCACATGGTGGAAAGAAGGGGAGGGACAAACTCGCTCCGTCAAGTCTTTTTTCTCCTTTTTAGTAGAGAAGGGGTTTCTCCATGTTGGTCAGGCTGGTCTTGAACTCCCGACCTCAGGTGATCCATCCGCCTCGGCCTCCCAAAGTGCTGGGAATACAGGCGTGAGGCACCGCGCCCCGCCCCATCAAGCCTTGCTATAAGTCACTAATTGATTTATGAGGACAGAACCTTCATAGCCTAATCACTTGCTAAGGGCCCCCCATCTTCCTACTGTTGTATCAGGGATTATGTTTCAACATGAATTCTTCAGAGGACACAAACATCCAAACCATAGCAATTAAAACTCACATCTTTATTTGTAAATCATATAATTATTTGCATTATAGTCTTTTCATATTGCTTTATTATCGCTAGTCACTCTAATGTATGTTTTTTGGTTTGTTGAGTGTATTATTCTTAATTATGTTGGCTTTCCTCATGTATTTTGAAATACTTGATTTTAAAGTCATCTTATATAGAAGGCATCTTTTGCTTGATCTTGCGCACTTTCATGTGTCCCATCTTGGCTCGAGCTTCCTGTGTAAACTCTCTGTTTATCGTTTTAGGGAATAGGATCACTATTATGTTTAGGTGACATGGTATTGACCCACCCTTCCAAACTGTGGGCAAACAGCTCCACCTAGGCTGTGGTCCTGTTGGGAGAGCAGAGTTGTTCTAAATGCTCACTTCACAGACAGCGTCTTCCTAGCTGTAGACATAGTCAGATAGTAAGGCTCCAGTCTTGAAATCTGAGCCTTATAGCCTACCTCTTTTCCCTGACTTTCTTATATATCGATTCACTACATTCCCTGTGGAATATTGTGCATTTTGGTGTGCTGCCTTTTTTAAAGTTATATTTATATATATATATATATATATATATATATATATATATATATATATATATATATATTTATTTCTAGATACTTTATTCTAGTGTTTGTGCGTGTGTGTGTGTGTGTGTGTGTGTGTCTTTTCTATGGCTTTCAGCATAAAGTAATTTTCAACATGTTTTTAAGATTTCATCTTAAATAAATTATTCATATTTCAGTCATGTTCACACTTTTATTCTTTTTGAGGCCTATCAAAAATATCTGTTCGAACCCCCTTGTAGGAACCTTAGATAACTAGAGCACACATTTTTACCAATAGGAATCTAATACTTCTCAGTTGTAACCTCAGGTTTTATTTTCAAAGTCTAAAAATTTTCAGTGTTCCAAAGGGGAATATTACAAATATAAGCCATATGTTTATAAGTATAATACTGGCTTTCACTTTGCTACAGTTGCAGACCCTTCCTTTTTGCCAGTAATAATTGAATCCTGTTTGCTGCTCCTGGCCACAGTGTAATTATTTATCACCAAGAGTTATGGTATGTAACATAGGGCTATAAATAAAACACCATGAATTGCTATGCAGGTATATTTTACTTTCATTCTGTATTATAATAATTGGTTCAAGTTCTCAATTTGAGGTCTTAAAAGTTATTAATAAAATCTATAGTGCCTGAACAAATTTTTACCTCATTATAAATTGTTACAGCATTGACACAGGCTGCTACAATAACTAGATATTAGCTTAAAGCAGCATCTCAGGCAAAATGTTCCAAGTAATATGAGAGACTAATTTCTTCTGCTTGCACAGAGTCTTCTTAACGGAGGAAACCTGAAAATATGATTTTGAGTGAAAAATCAAAATTTTATGTTATAAAAATATCTACTTAAATCTTCTTTATTGGGGAAAAAACCCTGAGGTTGTGCTGTATTTGTAAAGGATATTTACATCACTGTCTGTTCCTCTTAGCAATGTAGCTAAGTGATTTATCACAGCTATGTGAGCATTCATCTCCACAGGCTTTCTAACAGAGTATGGAAAGGCATGCAAGCCAGAGTGAATCTTTATGACATAAGTCATTGTACATGTGTTTGGTAGCATAAGTGATTAATATCTTAAAGATATATATCCAAGACACTTCTCTACACTGTCCAAAGCAAATCTAAATCTATTAAATTTATTTTGGATTATAGTTGTGGGGGCATGTGCGTGTACACACATGCATGCACATGCATGTCTCAGATATTCTTAGGGTAGTTCTCTTGACTTTTCAAGGCAATAACTTCTTATTTCCTTTAGTTTTCTAAAACATTAAATAAGAATTGCCAGTACGGTGAGAAATGTAAAACATGTAACTTTCTCTTTCTGAATGCTGTTGAGAAACAAAACTATTCTCTTCTGTTGAACACAGAAAAATTAGTGCGTGGGAAAGGAAGAACTGATATGCCCAAGGTTGGATTTATTAGAGGAAATTCACTTGGGTTGTGAGGATTTCAAGGGTGGTAAACCGTTTTATGCAGATCCATAGGAAAGTCCTGATCAAAATTACTTTGACCTTTTACCAACATCGTGATATTTTCTAAGGTGTATGATGAGGTTACCAAAAGACCAGAAAAAATACATTCTTAATATCTCTTTAGTCCATCTACCACTTATTCCTATGTCAAAGATAAATCTGGTATGGTATATGTACTCCTCTGAGATTCCTTCACACTTCCAAACACATGCTATATATATTCATGCTGTGACACTTTCTTTAAAACATGTCTGAGGAATTTTTTTTCTTTCAATCATGTTGTCTACACATTTGATAGTTATCCCAGTGAAAATCATGGTAAATATTTAGCCCAGTGATCCCCAAATTCTACTCAGTGGATTGTTGACTAGCTGACCATGGAGTGAGAATCACATAAGAATACTAACTACAGTATAGACATTTTCCCTATACTACTCTAGATATTCTTGCTCCATCCTCAGAAATATGGATATTTTTCCACAGATATGTACAACCACCACAGCAGTTTTAGAATATTTTCATCATTCCCCAAAGAAACTCTGTATTCTTTAGCCATTACCTGCCCTACTACCACCTGTAGCCCTAAGCAGCCCATAATCTACTTTTTGTCTCTATAGATTTCCCTATTTGATACTTTTATACAAGTCACATAATATGTCATTTTATATAAGAATCACATAATATGTCATTTTTTGTTACTAGCTTCTTTCACTTAGTAAAATATTGTCATGTTCTTTCCATATTGTAGGATGTATCAGAATTTCATTCATTTTATGGCTGAATAATATTAGATTGTATAAATATACCACATTTAGCATGCTTATCCAATCATTTAGTGATGGACATTCAGATTGTTCCCACCTTTTGGCCACGATGAATAATCCTGCTATGAACATTCATGACCAGGTTTTGTGTAAATATGTTTTCCTTTCTCTTGAGTATATAGTTTGGAGAGGAATTGCTAGTTCATATAATTCTATGTTTAATCATTTGTCAACTGTCAAACTGTTTTCTAAGATAATTGCAACATTTTACATTTCCACCAGTGGTGTACAGGGATTCAAATTTCTCCACATACTTGCCAATACTGTTATTTGACTTATTAATCCTAGCCGTCTTAGTGTGTGTGACATAGTATCTGATAAGTAATGATGTTGAGCACCTCTGCATTTGCTTATTGGTAATTTGTATATCTTCTTAGGAATAATATTCTTTCAGATCCTTTGTCCATTTTTAAATTTTGTGTTATTGAATCATATGAGCCCTTTGTATATTCCAGATACAAATCCCCTGTGACATATATGATTGCACATATTTTCTTCCTTTAATGGATTGTCTTTTAACTTTTTTGATAATTTCAACTGAATACAAAGTCAATGTATATACATTTTTGCAGCAAATTATATAGAGACAAAATTAAATAAAATGAACAGTAATATAAAAATCAAATATGAAGTATAAAATAGATACACAGTATTGCACAAATATTTATTGAACAGAAATTTTAAAAATCATTTAAATGAAAGGACTTATCATGCACATTGATTGAAAAATTCTCCTTTTTCATTTCTAAGTCAACCTTTGTATTTTATGAAAATTGCAAAAGTAATTTTTGATAGAAATTAAATAGGTAATTTAAAATACTATGCAAAAATCAAAACACAGAGAATCCTCAATACACTCTTGAAGAAGAACGTGTTGGAAGAAATATTCTCCCAGGTACCTAAAGTTATAAAAACATAGTAATTAAGATACTGTGATATGTACAAAGGATAAACATATAGGCCAATTAACATAAACTGCCCAATCCTACATAGATACTTGACTTTGACAAAGGACACTAAAAATCTGTGAGGAAAAAAAAGAAAAGAAAGAAAGAAAAAGAAAAACCTTTCCAACATGAGGTACTGTGTTATATTAAAAAGAAAAAAAATAAAGAAACAATACGAAATAGATTTGAGTCCATCTCACACCACACTAAACAACATAAACTAAAATAAATGTTAGGTGGATAGTAGAATAAAATATAAAAAGTAAAATAACAGAGTATTGAGAAGATAATAGGAAAGCATATTCATGATGTTAGGGTAGGAAAGGATATTTCAAGCACAACAATTAAAAAAAAACTACCAAGAAATTTGATTAATTGAACTACACTAAACTTAAGGGTTTTTATTAATCAAAAGACATAATTAAGACAGTAAAAGGCAAACCATGTAGTTGAAGATATTTCCAACCTTTACCTCTGAAAAGGGCTCATATCCATAATTTAAAATAACTACTAAGTATTAAAATTAAAATACAATCTTAAAATATGCATAAATTCAGCTTCGCATAGAAAATTGGCAAATAGTTAACATTTTAAAAGTTCTTGAACTTATTATATATCAAGTTAATGCAAATTTTAAAATGAGATACCACAATAGTGACAAGTAATGGCTGTGATGAAGAGTAATGTGAACTCTCATTCATTTCTTTTGTAATGTCAATTGATACCACTACCTTAGAAATCATTTTGGTAGTAAAAGACATGCATAAGAATATTTAGAGTATTATTACTCATAAAGCTCAAAATGTAAAGAGACTATATAAACATATTTTGATATATTTAATAAACGGAATATTCTACAGCAATGTAAATTAATGAGCTGTTGGTATATGAAGCAACATCATGAATTATTCTCACATTGTTAAAATAATTCTGATATAATATGCTTACACTTTGAACTTACATGAAGTTTAAATTCTGGCATTATTATAACGTAGCTATCCAGTTGAAAGTCTTGGTACTGATTATTTTTGGATGAGAGGAACAAAAGACAGTGACTTTCAGGGAGCACAAAGAAGGCACATAAGATACCAGTATTTTTTCTATATTTTGTAATGTAATCTAAATATATAGATGTGTTTTATGTTACACATTTTTTTAAATCCCCATACTGCCAGGAAAAGACTAATTGTTTTGTCACCATAATAGCAAGTAACCACCAGGTTCTGTTTTAATAGGGTTTAATTGATTGGTAACAACTTGACTCAGTTTAATCAATGGGAACATTGAGCCAATAACGTAATTCTAAAAATGAATCTCTCAGTGATAATCCCATACTTTTGTGAGCCAATCAGTGAAAGCCTCCCTGCAGTGAGTACACTGCCAACCAATCAATAGTTTTACCTGAATAATCACACTTCCACAATATACATTAATCAAAACTCCCCTCTAAAAGGCCAACAGTCCCTGAGCTCCTTGGTTCTTGCTTCTCTAATCCCTGTGTTTTATTAGACTCCTGCTTTGTCCAGAGAGGGGCTACAAATAAGCATACCTCTTTCCCACTTCAGTATGCAATGCATTCACTCTTTATTTTCTGTATTGCTACTGCATTATTTTCTCTCCTCTTTCAGTAAGAAGATTGATAATTTATTAAGAACACTTAAGATTTCTGCACTTTGTAGGGATGTATATTTCAATAAATGTTTGTAAGATAAAAACTGCCTTCTAAAATTCTGTGAGCTTGCCAGGAAAAGCTAAGGAACTCACTGTAAAGAACAACTCAGCTCAGTCCAAAACTACAGGAAGCTTTTGATAATGAAGGGTGAAGTTGCATACAACATTAGTTTCATATATTCTGCCAACATATTTTCTGTTAACTAAAGCCAGTTTCTCCCAGGGAAGGTTTGTTGAGAGCTGGAGATAGTAAACAAAGTTTTTTTTAAAAAAACAAAACAAAACAAAACAACAGCACTGTTTAAAACATGCTATTGAAGTTAGCCTTCCTTATTAAGGGTCCATTCTTATTTGTCTCATGGTTTGTGTGGTTATGTCCACTGTCAAAGGTATGTACTAAATATACACTTATGATAAGTAATTACATGTGCAAGGACTTCTGTGTACAATTTTTTTTTTTTTTTAGACAGAGCCTCTCTATCACCCAGGCTGGAGTGCAGTGGCAGGATCTTGGCTCACTGAAACCTCTGCCTCTCAGGTTCAAGAGATTCTCCTGCCTCAGCTTCCTGAGTAGCTGGGATTACAGGCGTGCACCACATCTGGCTGATTTTTTAATATTTTTTGTAGAGATGGGGCCATGTTGGCCAGGCTGATCTTGAACTCCTGACCTCAAGTGTCCCGCCTCAGCCTCCCAAAGTGCTGGGATTAAAGCCGTGAGCCACTGTGCCCAAACCTGTGTGCAATTTCTTATTGAAAGTTGTCACAATACTTTCAGTTGCCAAAACTGGAAAACAGATCCCCTCTCCAGTCACACCCAGTTAGCCTATTCCTATCTAACTTTAAATTATGAATGTCTTTTAAATCTATTCTTTTAGTTTTAATTACACTGCCACCACCTGCACTTGAATTTATCATTATTTTATACCTAAAGTATAGCCCCAATCTACCTGTTCCCACTCTTTTCTTCCATATACAACCATTTCCGTCCAGCAATAATCCCTTACATTGTAGTCAGTGTTTTATTGAAACTGACACATCATTCTTCTGCTTAAAATACATCATTTTTATCCTTTGTATAAACTACAATTTATTGAGGGAAGAATTAAAGTTGCTTATAACCTGGTTCATGTCTCTGCCCTTGCTGTATTTATCTCTACCTGTATAACATTTTGAAAGATAAACCAAAGTTTTAATCATTTCATTTTATTAACTATTATTTCATTTTAGTAACTGTGGCCCTTGCCCTAATATTGGAAATTTGCATTTCTATTCACTTTAGGATTCACATCCCGGAAAGGAGTAGAACGGATTCAAATCTTGAGTTTTTATTTTCAAAACTTTGTTTCTTGTGAAGCAAGAAACATACTTCCAGAAATAAACAATAGATTTAAAAGATACCTGGTGAATCAGACCAAAGCGGCTCACCTGTAGAAACAGGACTACTTTCTAATCTGAGAATAGGAGAAAAAGATCAGAAATAAATTATAATTTAGGTAGTCTAGGTCCCAAAGGCAAGAAGAACCTTAAACCTCTGTTCTTTCCTTTCTCAAAACTGAAATAAAAGAACTCAAAATTGAAAGAAAAGAAATGACAGAACTCCCAGATTTGTCTGTGCAATCTCAGAGTTCCTGGGACCCAGAGAAACAAAATACCAGATTAAAAAGGAGTTGCCTACTTTTTAGAATGAGATATTTCCTGTAATTCAGAACGGCCCAGGAGATGAAGAATGTTTTCATATAACTGGAAGAGTCAAGAAAACCTGACTTAGCCCTGATATCCACTACAAAAGTCACTTTAGCAGCAATCTATGGGTCCTTTGACAAAATATGACAAGAACCAACATATTTTTAGAATGTGCCTGTGAACACAGGAATCTACTCTGGTGAACAGAAGTCCCTGCCTGACTCACAGTCACTGTATCAGCTCCTCAAAATTCAGGTTAATTCCTGTCAAAGGGAAGAAATAAAATTCAATTAAGTTGTGTATCAGCAAAATAAGAATTCATAAGATAAATTAATTTAAAATATATAAAAAATAAGTAGATGATTATGTAAAGTGAGGAGTACTTGTATATAACTTCCAAATATTTATGTGAGGTTAATTGATAAATGTATTTGTAACTGAACAAAAAGATAAAATTCTAATATTTCTAGGAAGAGTAATTCGATATACGACTATTTATGCTACTAAAATATGAGGTATTTTATGATCACATGATCCATATATGCTTTTTGTTGTATTTAATATACTGCATTCTGTCAGTGACAGAAAGCACCTAGATATTTACCTAATTGTTCTCCCTATTTTGTAAATTTAGCAATAGTAAATAAAAAGTGAGAATAGGGTCAATGAAGATACTGTTTTTTTCAGAGTTGAGAAAAGTCATTTATCTTTCTGTCAGAGCTTCATCCCTGAGTGACTACTTTTAAATACCTGGCACTTCCCTGTCTTCTCTTTTGAAACATACAATTTGAGAAAGTTTTTGAGAAGACAAAGATGTGATATGCTTCAAAAGATTTTTTTAGTAGTAGCCAAGTCATTAAAAAAATTAAAATTTGTATGGGTAGATAACAATTATACATATTTGTGGGGTACATGTAATATTTTGATACAAGCATACAGTGTGTAATGACCAAGTCTGAGTAACTGGGTATCCATCACGTCAAACATTATTATTTATTTGTGTTGGGAACATTCCAAATCTCCTAGCTACTTTTAAATATACAATAAATCATTGTTAACTATATTGTTAACACTGAAGTTTATCCCTTCTCTGTAACAGTATTTTTGTACCCAATAGCCAAATCTTGACTTTTATTTTCAAATGTATCAATGGAACTATTACTTGTTGAAAGTCCAAGTTTACAACTCTTATATTATGATTATGGACAGAAGGGAAGTAATGTATCAATCAGACATTGCGCTAGGGGGTTTTCATCTGCCCATTTTCTTTAATCACGGCCATCATCCTAGAAAGGAAATATTATTTCAGTTTTATAGATGTGGACACTGAAACAGAACATTTAAGTAACTAGCCCAAAATCCACGATAAATGTTCCACTTCAAATGTCTTTCCCCTTGGCATGCTGCTATGGAAATACCTATAATTAACATCAAGTTTTAAAATACAGGCACTCGATAACAAAACTTGAATTTTCTTTGTGTGTGAGACATGTTTCCCTTTTATTCTGAGATGTCCTTCTGTATTATTTTTAACTTCGAAATTCAGGGGGACATGTGCAGGTTTGCTATATAGGTGAACTGTATGTCACAAGGGTTTGGTGTATAGATTATTTCATCACCCAGTTAATAAGCATAGTACCTAATAGGTAGTTTTTCAGTCCTCACTCTCCTCCCAGTCTTGCATATTTCAATCTATTAAAGTTTAAAAATATCATGGCTTTCATAAAAGAAGTTACTATATATGACGTTATTACAAGAAATAATTTTAATCTTTCATAGTAATATCATTAAATACATTAAATTATATGAAGGCTACTAGAAATATCAGAGTGTTTAACAATTTGTAAAATATTTAGGAAAAGGATTTCAGCTTCTGATAATTAAAATGCTTGTCAATAACCTCATTATAAACACAAAAGAAATTCAGAAACTGTAATTCATTTGCTTGCTTTAAAGGCAACGAACAAGACTATGCTACTATAAATAAATGTGTTTTAGTTTAACAATAGATGAATCGAACTAAAATGCACATATCATGAATTCACAGTTCATTGAAAATATATAAGTAGCACATTGGAAGGCTATATATCTCTAACACTTAATTTTAGAAACAATTTATAGAAAAGGTACTTAATATTTTTTAGATCCAATCTGATAAAATCTTTAAACTATTTTCTCCAAAAAATTCACATAATTTTGGGGGAGTATATGAGATCATTTATGAGTGACAGTCACCCAAAATATCCAAAATAAGATCTATTTTTCTAAAGTAGACTTTTTTCTCCTCAAAATTGATTTATATATTGGCCTTTGAAAACAAATTACTGTCACAAAATTTTTATAATAATTATTTATTAAGTAGGTATTACATGTATTTTAATAATATGTGCAAACTTAAAATTATGTGTAAATTTAGAATACGCATACAACCATAAATCCATAATACTTTATATAAACTAAAGACTACCAATCAATAACTTGCAAATCAATGGAACTTTTTCTGATATCTGAAAACCAATCCATCCTCATTTCTTTTTGTATTTTAATATATTGATATTTAATATATACAGTGTACACATGATCAAATCAGGGTAATTAACATATCTATTACCTCAAACATTTCTCACTTTTTTGGGATGTTGGGAACATTCGAAATCCCTCATCTTTTTATCCAGCACAGTACCTGCTGAAAGGTAATATTTAACAGTTTGTTGAAACAAGAAAACCAGATTGGTTTAAATTTTTGCTGCTAAGAATTAAATTCATTAAAAATGTTTTTCTTTTAAATTTTAAAAATTGTTAAGTAGTGCTGGCTCCTTATAAAAAATTTGGGAAACATTGAAAAGTAGAAATAAAAGAAATGATAAAAACTCATCCCTGTTCCCATTTATAATTTTATCTTGATTTTTCCTTCTTAGTTTAATGAACACATAATAACCTTCAGTGGGAAGAGTTTACTCCCCTCTTCTACAAGTCCCCATTCATGTACCCTAAAACTTAAAGTATAATTATATATATGTATATATATATATATATATATATATATATATATATATATATATATGACGATGAGAGCGTGACAAAGCACACACATCAAGTGGTGGGATTCAAGATGGGTGCTCACAGTCTAATCAATTCACCCCCAAATTCAATTCCCACAAGGACTTAACTCTAGACCCCAGGGGCACCATACTGGCTTCAGTGTGAAAAAATATTGCATCTATCAAAACACAATGAAGCATAACCTTCTGTTAAGATATTTTTATGTTTTCTTATATTAACGGATTACCCTTCTCTTTCCCACTATTAATTGACGTTACAGCAGGCTCCTTTCTTTTTCGTTTAGTACGGGGTTCCTCACTTCTTATATATTTCTAGTGTTAAAAAAATGCATGAAGTAAAATGGGAAAACTATAAACACATGCCTCAATGGATTATCCTAATCTCTATACCCATATAACTGACACTCAGTTCAAAATCTGCATACTTAATATAAGATTCCCAGAACTTTTTCTCGTGTCCTTTCAAATCACTAAAATCTCCCTCCTTTCCAGGTTAATCAATATTTAAAATTCTAAAATTGCAGTTTAGATTTGCCTTTATTTAAAAATAATAATAATGAATTTATTCACCAACTTTATTTCATATCTTACTTATTTTGCCCAGTACTGTATTTGTGAAATACATCAATGTTTTTGTACTTTCTACATTTTTATTTGTGCATGCTGCTCTATTTTATGAATGAACACATAACAAATTATTTCTTCATTCTACTGAAACCGGACTTTTTTTTCTGGACATTTAAATATAACTATGAACTTTCACAAATAAGTTTTTTCATTCACAAATGTATATATTAATATAAATTATATAGAGAGTATATCTCAACCAAAAGTATACTTTATAACTTCAGTCATAGAACATGCAGATTTTTAATTTTGCAAAATAACTATATTTTTCAAAGGGTGTGCCAAGTTACATTTCCAACAGCAGTATTTGACAGTTATGTTTGTTTCACTCTTTTGCTCAACATTTAGATTGTCAATATTTTTAACTTTGGTTGTTCTGCTGGGTCATAAAGGTATCTTAACAATACGTTTAGTGTACGTTTCACTGAAATCGAATGGTGTTGAAAACCTTTAAATGTACATATTCGTTTTTGTTGACAGCCCTTTCTTTTATTTTTAAATAAAATACCCGCCCAGATATATATATATATACACACTCACACATATAAATATATGCATATATATATGTATATGCATATATATACACATATATATATATTCACCTATAAAAACAACTAAAAATACCAAGAACCCAGTATAAGGACCCAATAATATTGGCTTATTTTATATATATATATATATATATATATATAAATTGTATGTGTGTGTATATATATATGCACGTATATGTATGTGTGTGTATAAATGTTTGTGTATATATAGAATATATAATAGAATGGATTATATATAAACACTACAATATTATACATATATATATTCTACTACCCAGAATCATGTAAACAGAAGTCTTATTTAAGCCTTTGATTAGAAAATGTATATTTTAACAAAAGTTTTTAATATTAATGTTGTCTAATTTGCAACCGAATAATTGTTTACACCTCTTGTTTAAGATGCTCTCCCTCCTACAATGTGAGAGGTACCACTCCTATACTTTCTGAAATCTTCAGAATTTTGCCTTTAGAATTTAGATACACAATATATCTGGAAAGAAATGTTGCATTGTTATGAGGTAGTAATAAGGATATTCAATTGAACCAGTACTATTTACTGAAGACTTCATTTTTCCCATTTTGTTTTTACAGTTTCATGTTTTTCTTTAATCCAGTGTTCTATACAGGATTCTATTTCTGGTATTTCTACAATGTTTATTGCTCTACTTGTCTAGATTTTGAGCAATATCATAGGTTATTGTTACAGATTTATTATGATTTAGTGTTATTTTCTTGCCTATTTCTGGACCTTTGTATTTTTACATATATTTTAAATTAGCATTTTATTTTCCACATCTTTTTTTGACTAGGATTGCATTTAATATATAAATGAAATTTGTGAGATTGACGTATTTATGCCACCAAATTTTCCAATGTAAGACAATTGAAAGCTTTCATATTATCTAATCATCTTTAATTTTCTCCCAATGTTATTTTTGTAAGTGTGGGTTTCTTGCAAATCTTTTTAAAGACTTAGTCTAAGGCTTCTGGTATTTTTGATAGTATTATAAATATTGTATTTTTGTCTCATTTTAAAGATATAAAACTGCATAAAAATAAAATTAACCCTTCATATTAACCTTTTGCAAAAAACTGTACTAATATTACCTACACATTCTAATAATTTACCTATAGATATTTTACAATTATGAAGAAATAATGGTATTACACAGAGAAATGCAGCATCAATAAATAAGTCACTTTTAATTTTCTTTTGCTTTTTCATTCTTAATGTTAAACTAATTTTGCACTCATAAAAGTATCATGATTAACTAATTTTTGTTTATATTATTGGTTTTTCTGCTGAATAATTTTTAGAAACTATGAAAACTATTTCCCTGTAATATTCTTTTCTCTCATGCTGAACTCATAAACAGAATTGTAAAGTATTCCCCTGAGTCTTCTGAAGATCGTCATTAAATTTTGTTTAATTATTATCTGGAACTCACTCCTGAAGTTATGTGAGTCTGAAGATAAAGATGGAAAGAGAGATGGAGACACTTATAGAGAATTGTGTGAGCTACAGATCTAATATAGGATAATTTGGGTATTCTATATCTTGTTATTTTTGTAAGTAATATAATTCTAGTGATTTTGTTTTTCATTTCTGTTTCAAACTGGCATAGAGTTGTTCAAGTTATTCTCTTATTATTTATTAAACTCATATGATGTGTGATGATGCCTATCTTCGTTTATGTAACTCTCAATGCGTTGAGTTTTAATCTTTATTCGTTACTAAAACAGGATTTTAAAACAGCATGTTTTCTCTGGCCACATTTCTTAAGTTATTTTTATATCATTTTATTATAATTAAAGTGTTTTCTAAACACATTATGATTTTAGTAAGACATATGCATTATTTAGACATGTACTTCTTAATATTAAAGATAGTATTTGTAATTGGTTTTGACCTTATTCAGACTATGGTTAGAGTACATACTAAGCAAGAATTAAAGGCTTTCCATTTTCTCGAGATTTGTTTTGTGGTCTCTGTCAGGCAGTCAAAAAATTTTCATTATTCCTAGTGCAATTGTAAAGTAAGTGCATCCCACATTTTGGGGTACATTGATTTGTAATACTCATTCTGCGTATTTGCTATACCCTTATTCATTACTTCCATTTATTAACAATTAAATCACAGGCTTTGTGAATTTATATCATTTGCCTTTTACTTTCTCAATTGTTTCTTAATTTATACAATACTTTATTAGTAGGTGCATCCAGTTTAAGTGGTTATATTTTCCTGGTGAATTAAATATTTTTATTATTTTATTAAAATGGTGGTCTTCATCTTTCATGATATATTTCCCTTAATGTCTCAAATGTCTCATATCATTATAGGAATGCTAGCTTTCTTTCAGTTAGTGTCTATACATTCTATCTTTTTCTATCTTATTATATCAATATTACTGCACCTGAATAATTGAAATGTCTCATTTGTAAAGTGTATATATTTATTATTTTACTGAAGAGTCTGTCTTCTAAATGTATTAGTCTATTTACATGAACACAATTTGTACTGAATATGTTTTAGTCATATGCCATTTATTTTCTATTTATCCAGTCTGATCTATATTCTTGCTGTCTTTTTGACTTAGAGTTTTTAAAATATTATTATTACATTTCTCTATGTATGAGCTTGATAGTTGTATTAGTCCATTTTCTCACTGCTGTAAAGAACTGCCTGAGACACAGAGGAAAGAGAGCAAGGTAGCTCTCTGATGTCATCTTATGAAGGCACGAACCTTATTCATTAGGGCAGCACTCTCATGACCTAATTACTTCCCAAAGGCCCCATCTCCAAATACCATCACATTGGGATTAAGATTTCAACATATGAAATTTGGGGGAGCACATTTAGTCTATTGCAACATCTTTAGCTTATCATAGAATACCTTCAAGTAATATTCAACTTCATCTACAGTATAAGATATCTATAATTGTATACTTCTCTTTCCCCTCTCCTAGGCTTTATGCTACCTTTGTCATACATTTACTTATTCAGTCTTATAAACCTTATAACATGTTTTAGTGCATTCAGGCTGCTATAATAAGATGCCGTAAACTGTGTGGCTTATAAACAATGAAAATTTATTTCTCACAGTTCCGGAAGCTGAGAAGCCCAATATTAATGCACAAGCAGATTTGGTTTCTAGTGATGGCCTGTTTCCTAACTCATAAAAGATGTATTCCTGCTGTGTCTTCACACAGTGGAAGAGGCACACTAGCTGTTTGGAGTCTCTTTTATAAGAGCATTAATCCCCAAAATTAGGGTTCAAGCTAATTACTTCTCAAAGGCCTCACCTTTCATCATAGTGGTTAGTATTTTAACATATGAATTTTGGGGATACAAATTCAGAGCACAGTATAACACATTATTGTTATTATTATTATTATTATTATTATTGCCTAATACCATCAGTTACCTTGTGAGGATACTTTAAAAATATTTCATATTCATTGGTATGTCAATTTTAATTGGAATCATAAACTTTTAAAGCAAGAGTAAATAAAATACATTCCTCAAGAATAGAATAAGACTTAAGTATTATAACTGTCATTTTGCCTCATATGTCATTTAATAACATTAAATAACATAAGAAATATTCTTAAACTATTGCTAAAATTTAATTATCCATCTAAAAGGTTGTCAGTTTATTTAAAAATTGGATTATAATTATTTTATTATAGGACTAAGTCAAATTAAATTTAAGAACTGTTTCCTTATTCACTTTTGTAAATATCTTATATTGAAACACAAATGTGGACTTTCAAAAATATTTTCTGTATAAAATAAAATACAAATGCAAATGTTCATTTTGTACCGATAATAATTCTATGAATCAATCATTATTTATAGCAGAGTATATGAGAATTTGTTTCTCACAGTTTAACTCTTATTAAGAAACAAGAGTTTCTAAATTTCCTAATGTTCCAGGTTTAACTTTAATAATTATGTTTATAGTTAAAAATTAAACAACTAATTTTAAGCTTTATGGATACATGTATAAAGATTATCTAAAATAATATTCAAAAAATTTACAGAATTATTGCTTTTAGCACTCAACTTTTAATTAAACATAATTATAGTCTCAGATCTGCAAGAAATTTTGACCTCATAAAAATACACATTATACTCAGTGTAAAAACGGTAAAAAAGGATACCAATAGTTTCTTTTTACATCCCCTCTCAAACATACACACTGCCTGGTATCTTATTTACAATCATTACTTCTTATTCCACAACTGAAAGTTAATTTTGTAAAGAATGGCAAAATGGCTTTACCAATGAAGATTAATGTAACATTAATATAAGCAGAAAACTAACCACCTGAGAGGATTTTGATAGTATACTACAAAAATTATTTGTGTAATTGAAAAATATCCTTTTGAATGTTGATTTCTTATACATGGAACATATCAGTTGTTATTTTATATAAAAAGTGAATAGTAGATGAACTATAGACATAAAATAATTAGATACTAAAATAGCAAATCAGGCATAGATACTATGTTTATCACTATCTGTATAAATCCTTAAAACACAAACATGATTAAGACTGTTTAGGGTTGATTAATACTGTTTAAAAGTGTTTAAGAATGATTAAAAATGTTTCTTAATTAAGACTACTTAAAAATACATAAGGATTAAGGAGAAAAGAGATTAATTGTAATCCAGCTTAAAATGTCAATTGTATTAAAAAGAGGCTGAAAAATAACTGTAGACTCATATAGTAATTACATTTTAATATCCCTATTTAAAAACTCACTGTGAATAGTGTAAGGAGAACATTTACAATGAAATACACTGCACAGGTGAAGGAAAATAAAGATATGGAGACAATTGAAATGTTGGCTCAGTTTTATAGGCACACATTTCAACACATTTAGTAGTATATTATCAATATATTATTGCTAACATAATGTTCATATATAATTTCATAATATTAAGAAAAGTTAACCCATTTGAAAAATGTTTTCACAGATTATTGTCTTATATTGACAAATATAAGGTAAACGTTACATAAAATTTAACAGTGCGAGGCTAGTATGAGCTATCTCTCTAAGATTCATTGTTTCCCTCAGGCACAAAAATGTGATTGCAAATATGTTGAGTAGTCTCATAACTGTTATGAAGTGAATCTTGAACATACTTATATTAGATTGTGTTACTACTAGATTATGTTAAATTAAGTATTGGTGGTATGCCCAGCACTATGTTGAAGCATTAATACTGAAGGTATTGCCCTTTCCTAGAGAGATTGGTAATTGGCAAGAAAGCCTATTTATACTTGGCTCAAGAGATAATAATAGAAAATAAACTGCCAGTGTCAAGTTAATTTTCAAAATTAACTTTTCAAAATTGCTTTTATTCAATTAAATTTTCAAAATTGCTTTTATTCAAGTATTTATGCCTCCATATTCTCTTTATATAGTTATATTACTTGACACCGTTAACAACTCAATGGGCAAGTTATGCAGAAATTATTGTCCCCATCTGACATTTGAAGAAAGTTCCTTTATCTAGGTGAAGAATTACATAGTGACAGAAACCTTGGGTTCTCAACTTGTAGTCCAACAAATTATCCAATCCACTTCCTTTGCTATATAGTGGGTATACATTTCAGGGATACACAATATGGATATCAAAAATTAGTAGCCATGTCATAAAATCAGTGATTGGTTTAATTATATAGAAACTCATTCAGAGATACGTAGAATTATTTTTCATTAGCTACTTCAGAACAAGTCAGTTTTGAAGCTCTTGTGGATGAAGTTGAGTGAACTGCTCATCCTCATATCCCTAGGGTCTTTCTTAGTTTTAGCACTAAAATTCCTGCATCCTCGGAATCCTCTTAGTCCTAGATAAATCGAGATGTATTTCTTGAAACAATTGGAATATCCGTGTTTTGAAAGGAAAAGTCCTACATGATGAATCCTTCCCTCCACCAGTTCTAGGAAAAAACAGGAAATCTGGTCACCTTAAGAGAAAAAGTAAGCCTTGTTTGTGTGTGTGTGTGTTTTTGTTTTTGTTTTTGTTTTTTTGAGACGGAGTTTCGCTCTTGTTGCCCACTCTGGAGTGCAGTGGCACAATCTCAGCTCACTGCAACCTCCACCTCCCAGGTTCAAGCAATTCTCCTGCCTCAGCCTCCCGAGTAGCTGGGATTAAAGGCATGTGCCACCATGCTCGGCTAATTTTGTATTTTCAGTAGAGAAGGGGTTTCTCCATGTTGGTCAGGCTGGTCTCCAACTCCCGACCTCAGGTGATCCGCCCGCCTCGGCCTCCCAGATTTCTGGGATGACAGGCGTGAGCCACCGTGCCCAGCCTAAGCTCTGTTTTCTTAACTGTAAGGGCAAAGAGTAGAATTGACATGAGGTCAGAACATGAAGGAACATATTAAAAGGACAATAGAAAATACATTATTAGGATTTATGTCCTGAAATAGGAGAAAAACCCTGAGGAAATTTCATAGATAATGATTTGTCTTGGTTTAAAGAGCGGGAAAGGGACAAGAAGTTTTTGAGCGAGTCTAGAGAAAGGACAGGAAGAGAAAGCCTGCCACAAGTTCAAATAAATTATCAAAACAAAAAGAAAGCATTAAAAAGATATAAGGACAGAAAATAACAGAAAAATGTATCTTTTTCTAATAGGTTCTCTTGCTGCAGTTGTTCAAATTTTATTCTAGCACATATGGCAGAAGGGTAAAGTTAACAAATTAATTGCCCGTAGGATAAAGAAGACAGGTTTTTAGATAAGAATAAGGGGATAAATCTTTTATTATTGTGATGGATTTATCTTCCTATATTTTTCCTAGATGTTTTTACCCAGAATTTTTACCTTTATTTGCATTCATTCACTTATTCATTAAAAATACTTTTTATGAGAAGCTACAATATGCTACAGACTGTTGTAAATTCTAAAGATATAGCAGTAAGCAAAACACAAAAAAGCTGTGTGTTGGAAATTATATTTCTAGTAGGAGATACAAAATACATAGCATTAGTTTCCTATTGATACTATAAAAACTAACACCAATTATTTTAGAACAAAACTTTTATTAATTTACAGTTTTGGAGCTTATAATTCCAACTGAGGTCTCATTGAGTTCAAATAAAAACACTGGCTGTAAGGCATTGTTTTTCAGAATCCCAGGGCAAAATCAATTATCTTGCCATTTCCAGCTTCTAACAGGAAAGCTGTTCACATTCACTGGATTATGTCCCCCTTTCATCTTCAAACCCAGCAACATTCAATTTAATCTTTTACACGTTGCATCACTCTGACATCTTAACACTTGTGCCTTCCCTTTTTGCTTGTAAAAGACCCTTGTGATTGTATTCGGCCCACCCACAAAATTCAGGGTACACTCTTTATTTTAATGTCGGCTGATTGACAGCCTTAGGTCCATCCACAATCTTAATTTTGCCTCATCATACAACTTAACACATTCTCACATTCCAGGGAATAACACATGGACATCTTTGGATCATTATGACTCTTCCTATCACACAACTAATAAGTATAGCATAATGATTGTTAGATGCGAGTTAGTGTTTTGGCAAAATTTAAAAACAAGAAAGGAAGATAAAAGGTCGTAGTGTGGGAAGAAGGCACTATTTCAAAATAGGAGGACTTGAAAAGCTCTAAATGTAATATTTTTGCAAAAATATAAATGAGAGAAAGGAACGAGAGGCATGTATATTCTCATTAGAAGTGAAACAAGCAGTAATAACAGGAAATGGAAAGGCTCTGATGCAGCTAGATACCGGACATGTTCAAGCACAGTAAGGAAGCCAATAAGGTAGAATTCAGTGAAAATACAGGAAGGTAATAGATATTGCAGGCAATGTGGTAATGGAGTATGAGAAGTGTAGATCACTTAATACATTGTGGAATTTGGGCTTTTGATTTAAAGAATATGGGAAGTCACTGGGTAATTTTAACATAGCAATTTCTAAATTCTGTTCAAGAGATATATTTCAGAATAGATTATAGGAGAAAAAGTTTGGGAGCAATGAGGCTAGTTTGAAGTCTCTTGCTTAATCACGTTGCAGGTGATAGTAACTTGGATCTGAATAGTATGACCGAGATGGTGGGAAGATTCAGATTCTATTTTCCTTTTGAAGGTCAAGCCAACAAATTTTGCCAACAAAGTAGATAGAATAGAATAGAATCAGAAAAGTCTGTTTAATCTAAGTTTTTTTTTGGCTCAAATAACAGAGAAGATATACTTGGAATTTTCTACTTTAGGATGTCAAGCAAAATAAACACAGAGAGGCTGTCTAAAAGAAAATGATATTTATTTGGGAATAGGACATTGCAATGGGAATATGTGTGCCATAGTAAACTATGTGCATATTCAGGGAAGTAAAGGACGACAAAGTGTTTTTAAAGGTAAAATGAAGATAATTCATAATTGTTTAGAGATAATTAAGCTGGACAGGCAGTTGCTTGGCACATGTCTTTGCAGAAGTAATTTTTGGGTAAGAGTGATGAAATTTATGCAAGGTTGCAGTATTTGCAGTCTTGTGATACTTTTTGCTATCACACATGTATGCATGAGAAGCCTATACTTACAGCCTTCCCTGACTGTCAGTTTTGGTTTTTTTCTAACACAAGTGACTCCATGTTAATTCTGACTACTTTCTCATTTTCCACTTTTGATCAAGATCTTTCTCTGAAAGCATAACTGATTCATCATTCTGTAATTAGGTTTTGAGGACTCTTGGTGCCAGGATGGACCTATCCCAGGTTGCTTACCTGGTCCTGTTAGAGAGAGTGAATGGCAGCTAGGAGTCAGTGTTAAAACCATTTTAGCCGCATTTGACAAACAAGGGAGGTGTGAAGAGAATGGCTGTCAGGAAAAGTCTGATGAGAGTTTATTATTTAGTTTTATTTTTATATGTTGTAGCCTTTTGTTATCTCAATGTGCTGGACCAACATTATTTTGTCAGGAGTTACACTTCTGCAAAAAATTAACAAGTAACAGGTGCAAAGTTTAAAAACAGAAAATATGAAGTTAAACTTAGTAATATGACAATTCCAATTTACACAATAGTTTTGAGCCATATACCTCAACTTAAAAGCCGCCAATTAAAAAAAAAAAAAAGATAGGCATTAAGAGGGATAAGAGTTTCAGTATGGAGTCCTGTTCTGACATCTTGGTAATAGCTGTTTTCAGCGTGGAAATATCATTCTCTCATCCAGGGTTGAAGTTTTATTGTCTCTGGTTAAGGCATTGAGCAGTTTGGTGAATTTTGTGTTGTCCACACATCAAACATGAGACTTCTTCCTTAAAATTTATCTTGTTTCAACTTATAGATCTTCAGGAACAAAGAAGTTCCCATTTTTAGTAATTTTATGAAATAAAGTTGGGTTGCAGGAATCTAGAATAATTCACTATGTATTCTAGTGTATAGGTAAATAACAAGAACTCAAAAAGAATGCTCAGAGCTACATTCTATATACAATCAGGTATATTATACTTTCTCTTTTGAAAACTTACCTACATTGATCACATAGAAATCTCATATTTGAAAACATCTGGATGCTAGCAAGCCAAACCAAGGCAGAATTTAGATTTTACTTATAGTCTCAAGGTTCCTGGGCCTATTAGAAAGTGACAACTTTTACTGACTGTAAGGCTGAGAGCCCTTGAAACCAGATATTGCATGCACATTCTCAAGCGCTATATTTCAGTCAAAGTGTTGGTAGCATAATCGATGTTTCCAATTGTACCTGCTATAAAGAGAGAGTTAACTTTAGTGAACTTATACAAATAACCATATTGCCATATAAAACAAGAATACTGACAAATAATTTCTGCATTTTGTAGAAATCAAGCAGAAAGAAAAAACAATTCTTTGATCTTTGTTTACAGAAGTTATACCAAGTTGCATAAACTATAGATAGCTATTAAAGAACATTTTCTTAAATCTGGGAAACAAAAAATTTAAGTAAAGAACCAACAGCGCTTTAACTAAAACTCATAAAAACAGTATCATCATCAGTTATTTAATCTCTTGTAAATGTTTTTCTACTTTACCTTGATTAGCAGTTTTATGAACCCTGTTTTTCCATTAGAATTTTGAAAAAATTATTTAGTCAATTGATCTTAAAGTTATGAGAAATCTGTATTCAAGAGTGCTTGTTAGCATCATTTCAATGAATCTGATTGTAAACACCTTCAGAGAAGAACTCAATGTAATAAGTACAAATGACAAAAACTTAGAATAATTATTGTAAAAAACATGATGAAAGTTTATTATCAGCAACTGACAAGGAAACTTAGTTATTTTTGTGGCTACAACAGTATTCAGAGGTATGACTGCTGAAATATATATCTAAGAGTTTCATATAATTTTGGAATATTTATATAAATGAAAAGCCCTTACATGCATTAAAAGAAGATTTAATATCACTCATCATTTGACAATGTTAACCATATGACTTACCAAAGAAGCCAAATTCTTTAATATCTCCAAAGATAATGTCCAACTAAAAAATACCAAAGTTAGTTATAGATCAGAAAGATTTAATTAGAATTTTGATCCTAAGGAAGATTTTCAGAATGTCAAAAGGTTTGAAAAACTTGAACAAAACAAGATTACAGATCAATGTAAAATAACAGTCATTTATTTAGCAAAAGTCATTGTGAAACAATAGTCATTGGTGAAATAAATCATTCATTTAACAAAAGTGATAATCAAAAGTCTCCAACAGTCTTTCAAAAGAAAGCTACACAAATGTAAAAAATAATTAAACTTTTCAAAGCTCAGTTTTCCTAAACAATAAAAAATGAATAAATGCAACACCAAAAATTATCTTGATAAAATGTAAAATCTGTGTTTTTTACACGAGTTATCAAATGTAAAGAAAAACTTCCTGCAGTGCGATTGCTTTCCCTTGTAGAAAGCTCATTTAGATTACTTTGAGGTTAAGCCTAAAGAAAGGTACTTGAATTTGTCTAGACATGGGAAGAATGTGTCCAAGGTTGTAAGTATATACCACAACTTAAAGAAATATAAATAAGAAAACCATTTCCTTGAGCAAGGGAATATATGGCTCTGAAAAAAAGTAAAAGTATGTGAAATCTCCTGGTTACACAGAAGAATTCAGACATATCCAGAAAAGCCAAGCATACAGAATCAAGTTATACTGTAGGAAAACATTGCTTTTCTATTCCTTTAAAACAAACATCTCAGTGGTAGGTAATGACATTTTAGTTAGAACCAGGGGGAGAAATGCTACATAAGCAGATGAAAAAGTTCAAAGTGAGTTATTATCACAGAACTTCTCAAGGAGAAAAATACCTGAAGAAAATGATGCATGACTTACAAATCATATACTACAAAATACTGCCAAAGTAGAACTTCTTTTATTTTATTTTAGGTTCAGGGGTACGTGTGTAGGTTTGTTATAAAGGTAAGGTAAGCTTGTGTCACAGGGGGTTTGTTTTACAGATTATTTCACCACCCAGTACTCAATAGTTATTTTTTCTGTTCTTCTCCCTCCTCCACCCTTCACCCTCACATACACCCCAGTGTATGTTGTTCCCCTCTATCTTTCCATTTGCTCTCATCATTTAGCTCCTGCTTATAAGTGAGAACAGGCAGTATTTGATTTTCTATTCTTGTATTTGTTTGCTAAGGATAATGGCCTCCAGCTCCAACCATGTTCCTACAACGGATATGATATTGTTCTTTATGGCTGCATAGTATTCCATGGTGTATATGTAGCATATTTTCTTTGTTCAGCCTACCACTGATGGCAATTATATTGCTCTCATGTCTTTGCTATTGTGAATAGCATTGAAATGAACATATGCATGCATGTGTCTTTATGATAGAATGATTTATGTTCCAAATTTGAACTTCTGAAATATGAATTTGAGAAACTATAAGAGGAAAAGTCTACCTCAAAACATTGAATTACTATTTTGAATGAAAAGACAGCATTTCTAAACTGAAACTAGAAAAATTAAATTGATCTCAGGAAGAAATATGGCAAAAATAGAAACTGTCTGCAGGTTAGAAGATGGCAGGCCAAAAAAATTTTCAGAATTAAAAATTAAAACTTCTTGTAACATGTACTAAGAGCAAATCAATACTTTAAGAAAAACTTGTTGTTCTAATATAGGGGACCATATTTTTAGTTTTGTATGTGTATTTTTGACATAAAAGCTCAAATATTTAGAAAGAATTAGAAATAATTCCCTCCTATTATAACCAACTTGATCACACACAAATTATTTTTATAAATTCATCCTTCACCAACCTTTTTACAACCTACTGAGACTTTTGACATCATGTTTATACTTTCTTCTATGTCCTATACTTCCTTATTCTTAAATAACTAGTCATTTTACTTTAGGACAAAAATGTACCACATAAGATTTTTTCCTCATACAAAATTTTACTCTTTTCTTATTAATCTTACTAGTCAAATATAACATTTTTGTACTCATGACTTGCTTAACATCTGTCTCTCCTACTTACTAGTGCCTTTCTTTCTATTAGGTTCCTATTTCTTGCCTAATTTTATATTTTGAAACAGCATTTAATAGCATTTAAATTTAGTCAAAATTATTATTTTTCCTCAATAAAGAATAAATTTTTATTTCTCTCTCATAATTTTTGTCATCAAAAACTCTTTTTCGATATACTTCGTATATGGGATTATATATAATAACTCTTAGTAACCTTAATTTCCAGCGAAAACCTAGAAAGCAACTAATTTTGAACCATCACATATTAGTATTTTATAGATGAGAACCATTTTATAAGTTTTAAAATAATATTTCTTCATAACACAATTTTTATGGTATTAATAGACTCAAATAAATGTAGTCTTTTTCTAAAATTTAAGAAGCTAAGCACAAACATATTTGTGTTTAACAAATTGTTTCAGCATTTTTATCTTAATTGAAAATGGCCCAAACATTTAATGAGTATCTATTATTTAATTTAGTATAGCTTTAAGACTTCACAATACATGGAAAGTTAATTTGTAAACATTTATCTTATTTACATTTACCTAATTTAATTTTTAACAATTATGCCTAGACTACTTATAAAACTGAGATATTAGACAAAACTACTCATCATTTCATTACGTTTTTGTTAACCATTTTTATAATCTATGGAATATAAGTTGTTCAACTAAATAGGAATCTTAAATATGTACATATTCTGCCAACAACTCTGATGATCCACCTGTTTTCATTAAATCAACAATATTAGATTATTAAAGAACTGCACAAATAAAGATCATTCTGGTTTAGCCTAGGTTTGTAGTTTTATAAACTTTGTGTCAAATCCTGACACCTTTAAACACCTAATGAGAAAAACATAAAACTGTCTAGATGGGCATGGTGGTGCATGCCAGTAGTCCCAGCTACTCAGTGGTCTGAGATGGTAGGATTGCTTGAGCCCAGGAGTTCAAGGCTAGCCTGGGCAATATAGCAATACCTTACCACTTAAAAAACAAAATAAAACCCCAAAATTGCCTGACCAATAAGTAAACCTATACAAAAATGCATGCTGACAATTTTGAAGACATTTCTATTTTTATGTTACTGACTACATTACAACAAGTTTATTTATCAAAGATTTACTTAATTCATGTAAACTAAAAGAAAGTTGAGTTAATTACTATATATTTTATATGAACATTCTTTTATGTAATCCAAGCTGCATAAACCATGTTTAGGGAATTCTGAATGTCTATGCTAGATTCTACTACGTAGACACAATACACAATGAAATATGCACATAGATGTAAACACACCTGTATTAGGCTGTTCTTGCACTGCTATAAAAAATACCTGAGACTGGGTAATTTATAAAGAAAAGAGCTTTAATTGGCTCACAATTCTTCAAGCTGTACAGAAAGCTTGATGACATCTGCCTGGCTTCTGGGGAGGCCTCAGGAAACTTACAATCATGGCAGAAGTCCACGAGGAAACCAGCACTTTACATGGCTAAGGAGGAGGAATAGGAAGAGAAGCAGGAGGTGCTACACACTTTTAAACAACCAGATCTCATGAGAACTCACTCACTATTGCAAGGACAGTAACAAGGGAAATGGTATTAAACCATTCGTGAGAAACTGCCCTCATGATCCAATCGCCTCCCACCAGGCCTCACCTCCCACTTTGGGAATTACAATTCAAGATGAGATTTGGTGGAGACACAGATCCAAACCATATCAAGACCTAAACACATATATACACACACGAAGATCTTGTAGCTTTCCATTTAGAATTTTAGTCAAGGCGTAGTAATACAACTCTCTTGCATATAAAATACACTTGAATCCAAATTACATTTCTGATAAAATGAGGCCTGTTCACAGAGCTATTTTCCCTACTATGTAATCTAATGAAGACTGTGAACCAAAATTTTGGGTATAGCAGTTTGAGTAAACCATAGCACTTTGGTTTTAAAATAACATTTCTCAGTTTCAAATAAGTTTAAGGTTAAGCTTTCAATGTTTACATTTTAACTAGGACTGGCTGATTTGTACATTTTTAAAAAATAAAATCTCCAAATTATCTTGAATTTGTAGTAACAAAATTATCTTTTGTTTGTTGGTCTAGTTTGCTTGACTAGTCAATGCAGGTGGGCAAGCACTTTAGTAGGATTTGTTTCATATTTTTCTTTTTGTCTCCTTCATGGCAGAAAAAGGAATTTTATACTGGACAGCGATATCTTATGTTAGTTCTCTGAGTTCAAAATTTTGACCTGTGTCATTTAAGAGTCTAAATTCTATAAACATGTATCATTTACCTAGTTCTTTCCTTTTAGACTATCAATCATTCAATTAACTGTTCCATCACCTAAACAATTGTTAGTTAGAAAAACCTAAATTTACATTTCCAAAAGGTATCTAGGTTGTTGGTTGCCATGTAGCTGTTGTAATTTGTAAAGTCATATTTGAAAATTCTTTAAAACTTTAAAAAATAGTCTTGACTAGAATGCCATTGGTAGTGAGTTTTATCTCCACACCAGTAGAAAAGTCTGAAGCAGATTCAAAGTGGGCAGCAGAAAAACTAGAGCAATACAGAATCATATACTCTACATGCTAACTTTACAGTTGCAAGTTATTTTTAGATAGTTTAAATAATAACCAAATGAACTCTAAGTTTGTGTTGATGTAATTTTCCCAGCAGTTAAAAAAATGTACACAAATGTGGGTCATAATATAGCCAAGTGTATTCTCAGAAAACCTTGACATGCTTTAAGGTTTGAGAATCCTATTCGATTTCTTATTAATTTCTCAAGAGCAAAGGCCTATACATCCTGTCAGAGAATGTCAGGAGTTTGAACTAGTTTTTGAAATGGTGATGACTGCTTTAGTGGCTTTTAATTAGCCGTCCTGCACCCATTATTTTGGATGTTTATTTTTCCTCTGAGAATATTTTCAAAAACAAGCCAGGGAAAAGAGCTAAACCATTTACAGACGTGCATAACTAAAACAAAATAAAACCAAAATAAGATTGTTCACAAAATATTAACCCAGGCATGCAGATACAACAAAATATTAAATTAAATGCGCAGAAAGAACCAAAAGGAAATTCACCGGAAAAGCTAAGCCTCAGAGACAAATGTAAATCCTATAGAAACCAAATTACTCAAATCAGAAAAATACTTAATTAAAAAGGACTTTTGTCCAAAAAGGACAAAAAGTCTCTTATCATTTCAGGAGGGAAGTAAAGCCCTTTAGTAAAGATGGCCTCATAACTAAACAAATTCCAAATAAAATGAAAAAGCGTCTACCAAAGAAAGGAAGGTTCAGCTTGAGAAGTCTCACCAGGGCAGAAAAGGCAAGCCATGGAACCAGAGAGTTCAAAGGGCTCAAGTGAGTACTCAACACCAGTTTCAAGAATTACTGATTCTTTCCAATAATGAACTTTTTTTGGTTCCACTACTGGACATCGTTTAGGTCAACTAAATAACAGAGAGAGTCTCTCTAAAAGAAAATAACAGGCCGGGCGCGGTGGCTCACGCCTGTAATCCCAGCACTTTGGGAGGCCGAGGCGGGCGGATCACGAGGTCAGGAGATCGAGACCATCCCGGCTAAAACGGTGAAACCCCGTCTCTACTAAAAATACAAAAAATTAGCCGGGCGTAGTGGCGGGCGCCTGTAGTCCCAGCTACTTGGGAGGCTGAGGCAGGAGAATGGCGTGAACCCGGGAGGCGGAGCTTGCAGTGAGCCCAGATCCCGCCACTGCACTCCAGCCTGGGCGACAGAGCGAGACTCCGTCTCAAAAAAAAAAAAAAAAAAAAAAAGAAAATAACATTTATTTGGAAATAAAGCATTGCAAATAGAATATGTCTGCCATAGTAAACCAGGTGTGTGTTCCAGGAGGTAAAGGAAGACAAAAGCTTTTCAGGAATGTATAAGAAAGATTACATAATTGTTTTGAGATAATTATTATCTTTTGCTACAAGGGCGATCCCAGCTCAAGGCTGGGCAGGAAGTTGCTGGGCAGATGTCCTTGTAGAAGCATTTTTAAAATTTTTGGATGTAGAAGTTTATTTTTTGCAGTCTTTCCTTATAGTTTTTGTTATCAGGCATGTATGCATAAGTATTCTCTCTTCATAGCTTTCCCTAGCTGTATTTATCAGGGTGTGGATTTTTTTCAGCACGAGTTACTCCATTTTGATTCTAAAATTTTTCACAGGGGATATAATGAAAAGAAAAGTTTTGATGTTAAAGATCAAGAATTCGTTTGGGAACACGGTTACATTGAAATAACTAATGGACTTTCAAGTAGAAATATGTAGTAAATAGTTGAATATATCGGTCTATGATACAAAGAAAAGATTATAGCGACACATACAAATTGAGGATTATTTGCATACAGACAATATTTAAAACCATGAAAGTGAATTACTTATATATCACATATGAAATATATTTAACCAGTATTCAACTTTGTTTCACCATATTAGAGGTACAAAATATGCATTAGATGTTAGATATACTAATGGTGGCTAATTCATCAGTTAGAGATTATATAGAAGGTGATCTAGGTGTTTTCTCCATCAATGTGTGTGTAGAGAGAGAAGAAAGAGGATATGATAGCTGCCATCTAGGATATTTCAATGTTTTATGGTTACATAGAAGAAAAGAAATAACACAGGAAATCGAGAGGTAGTAAGGGTAAAATAGGATGACAATTTCAAGAATATGGATCTTGAAAGTCACATGAGAGAAGGAAGATCCTGTTAAACTGGTGTTTTCCTGAGAGGCCAAAGGAGATGAAGACTAAGAGAGCTAACCATTGTGTTTAGCAATTTGCAGATCATTGGTGACCTAAAACAAATTCCTGGAGGGGTGACAGCAAAATCCTGACTGGACAAGTTGTAAGAGAAAATGGTTAGCAGAGGAATTGAGGAGAATACAGATAAACAACTCTTTCAAAATAAACATTGAAAGAGAAATATTGTGGTATCTGGCGTGGTATAAAACAACAAAATAGTGTTTTTTTTAAATGGGAGAGATTATAGCATATTTTATATTCATTAAAATTATTAATACAATTTGATAATACAAAAGGAAAATGGTGCAATAGCTGAAGTCATGCCTCAAACAGTTGGGAGACAGAATTACATATTGGAGAGTTTACCCTTAGGCAATTCAACCACACTATCCAGTGGGAAAGACATAAAATCAGTAAACAGAGATGTGATAAAGTGATCTATACAGAGGTCCACAACCCCCAGGCTGCAGACTGGTAATCAGTCCAAGACCTGTTAGGAACCAGGCCACACAGCAGAGGAGGTGAGCAGCATGCCAGTGAGAATTACCACCTGAGCTCCCCCTCCTATCAGATCAGCCTGGCGTCAGCTTCTCATAAAAGGGTGAGTACTACTGTGAAATGTGCATTGAATTGATATACCATTTTATGTATAAAATTTTATGCTATGAACACAGATGATATATATCAGCAATTTAGTGGCATGGGGCATTAAATGTCCATGTTACAGTACGTTGTATAGACAGGTGTTGGGGTGTGAATAAATTATATGGTATGTTATAGAGACTTGAAATTCCTACAGATGGTATAAGGTTTAAGGGAGGAAAGTAGTGTGATGAAGCCATCAAAGAAAATCTTATAAAGTAAAGATGTTTTAAAATAATATATTATGTTGTTCTTTTAGTCTCCGTGGATTGTAGAAGAAAATACAGAATTGTTTTTGCAACTACAATTTGATCCCTGCTTCCAACAAGAATCAGGTTAGAGTGGTAGTTCACCCTTGTTGGTATGGTAGTAGTTTCCTTTGATTAGAGTTTAGATCTTATTGGAGATTTTATGTAGTGGTAATTAAATTCTATTTTAAAGGTTGATCATTTTGAAAATGTAACTCAAACAAAAATTGTAATTAAAATCAGCTTAAACCAAGTTGATTGATATATTTTAGACCTCTCTTTTAAATCTCATAAAATTAGTAGCTCTGAGTAGAATTTTTTTTAATTTTTTATGATTATTTTATTTTTATTTATTTATTTTTTTGAGACAGAGTTTCACTCTGCCATCCAGGCTGGAGTGCAGTGGCACGATCTTGGCTTACTGCAATCTCTGACTTCTGGGTTCAAGCGACTCCCATTCCTCAGCCTCCAGGTTACAGGTTTACTGGGATTACAAGTTTCGCCATGTTGGCCAGGCTGATCTCGAACTCTTGACCTCAAGTGATCTGCCCACCTCAGCCTCCCAAAGTGCTGAGATTACAGGCATGAGCCACCACACCTGACTGAAAAATTATTTTATGTCCTCATAAAAATTATTTTATATATTTGTGTAAATTTTGTTCTATTACTTACATAGAATATATTTTGGGAAACAATCCATTTTAAAATATAGGGTTCTTTAGAGAATGTTGTAAGAATTTCATCTTCTGTAAAGAATAAGGTAATATACATTTAAAAAGAGATAGACATATATATTCTAGGCTAATTCCTTTAGATTGGGGTTGACCATTTTTTTTCTGTAATGGGCCAGTTAGTGAATATTTTTGATCTTGCGAGCCAAATAATCTCAGTCACAACTACTCAGTTTTGCCATGGTTGTACAAAAGCAGCCATAGGCTTGAATGAATAAGCATAGCTGTGTTGCAATGAAGATTTATTTACAAAAAACAAAAAAGAAAACACAAAAATAGCTGTTGGCCAGCCAGATTTAGCCCACAGACAGTGTTTGTTTATCCTTGATGTAGATGATTATATTTAGTATTAGACATTAAGCATGAATAATATTTAAAAGAGAAGCAATCAATATCTCATGCACATTTTTTAACTAGAAATTTCACATTAAAAATAGCAAGGGAGCCAGGCATGGTGGCTAACAACTGTAAACCCAGCACTTTGAGAGGTGGGAGGATTGCTTGAGCTCAGAAGTTTGAGACCAGCCTGGGCAACACAGCCAGACCTCGTCTATACTAAAAGTCAGAAAAATTAGCCAGGCAGGGTGGCACACATCTGTAGTACTAGCTATTAAAAAAGTAGAAAATTAAAAATTAAAAAAATAAAAAGCGAAAGGAAATCTGCCTATGGTGGTGAATGGATATAGGGTTGTTTCTGACATAAGTCCAGAGGTAGGTGGCTGCCAGCCTTGGTTTAGCTGTAGAAGGCTCAAGCATAATAGAGCTAAGGTTTTTTTTAATATTGTTACGGTCTTTTCTTCATGGTCACTGGATAGTTTCTTCCTTCAAGCTATCATATCTATCTTACAGGAAGAAAGGAAAAAGAAAAATAGAATTATTTTCTAAAATTCTCTCCATACGTGCCATATGCCTCAACGAACACATCTTTGTTACACAGCTACAGTTGACTGAAAAATGCCTTAGAGGAAGGGGATAGGGAATTAGAATTTTGTTACTCACTCGATACTATATACCACAACACACAAGATTTCAAGTCAATACAGTTTCAGAAGTGGTAGTATCATTAGGAGGAATAGGGAGGAATATTATTTGTTTTTATGAAAATGGCAACACTTTGGCTTTTAATTTTTTTTATTGAATCAGTTTGATATAAAGGAAAAACATCTTAAAGAAAATTTCCCATGAAATACTGAACATATGAAAATGTAGAGCTCTGGGAGGATAAAATATACAATAGTAAAGCTGAGAATCACAAGAATTAAGTTATGATGAAACAATATTACAAGATAAAAAATATATAGAAATATAGAAAAATATAGAAGAAAATTTTCCAACACTTAGGGAATATTTTACACATGGGGTTTACACAAGCGAGAAATGTTCACCCAGTAAAAAGGTATGCTTGTTTTGTTTTTAATTCGGAGTTGTAAAAGTCTCTGACAACAAATTTTATTTAATTTGTCTAAAGGTGTATTAACTAAAAATGTGTAGTAAAATATTTGAACTATGTAGCTATGACCGAGAATTCAAAGATTTCAAATTTACTGGATGAATTTTGAAGATTATTGTACCAATATAAATGAAAACCCATAGCCTGAATGAGTGTAGAAACAATGATAAGAATCATAATAAAATAGGGGAAGATTTGATAAACTATTTTATTCTTCCTTTTAATAGGCTAAGAAGGCTCTATTTTCTATATTTTCTTAAGCCATTTAGTATTAAAGCTATATGTATATATATTAACTTCTACTCACATTCGAAATTGAACTTTGCATTTCTAGGGTTTAAAAATCCTGTTGGTCAAATGATCAGTGCTCAGTACAAAGGATATTAGAATGGTCTTTATAGTAAATGTAATTTTTGAAAAGAATTTGACTTTTGCTTTTTTTTCTCAATGACCTGTGTCAGCTACCAGAAACACAAATTTAAGAAGCTCTCAATACAACCTAGTCAATAACTTACTATGATTTTACTTTTAAATGCCCTCCCAGTTTTACTAAAGTTCTAAAGTAGCTAATAACTTGTCCTCAGAACTGAGGCCAGATTTTGGAGAATATCTTTCGGAATATTGTCCTACACAGCAGTATTCTACACGTATTTGTTAATGTGTCAATCACCATGATATTGAACTTCTCTTTATACTTTGTTTCCATGTACATTGTATTATGTTTTTCACTGAGAAGCATCTAGAAAAATCAGAATACTTAAAATGTCATTAATTTGGTTTTTATGCAAGATTCCGAAGTGTTGATAATAATTCTTGGTATCAAAGCTCAGCTATCTCAGCTTAGTATTTGTGGTCATGCACAATAAACTCCAGCTGTTGTATCAATTTTGTCCCTCTAAATGGCCAAAACACACCCTCTTTAAAGGAAGAATTCATAATCCATATTATCTTTAAAATAAGGTTTACTCAAACTTTTTCCCCAACTTTAATAATTTGTCTCACATTTTGTTTGAATTTCAATACCTATTCATCTCATAACTGAAAAGCTCCATGTCCAAATAAGAACTTCTAATTTTCTTTTCTCTCTGAGCCTAAAATGACTGGACATCTATGAAATATGTTTTGGTATGTCAGTATATCCTACTTGAATTAATATCTATTTTCGATGTTTCCCATTTATCAAGTAGTTCCCAGAGGCAAATCATGCATTTGCTTTGTGTCCTATTCTATCAGTCGTTACAGAAAAATAATTGTGTGTAGCATGGTGGCACATGCTTGCAGTCCCAGCTACTCAGGAGCCTAAGCATAAGTTTAGAAGTTTGAGGCTGCAGTGAGCTATAAACATGCCACTGCACTGCAGCCTGGCCAACATAGCAAGACCCTGTCTCTGAAACAAACCAAAAATAAAAAAGTAAAATGTTAAGTGAATAATTTATAGTAAAAATTATATGAAAAAAATATAATGTTGGCTAAATTCAATAATGAAAGTAATGTATGGACTTACAAAATGTCTGTTTGTCCTACTCTATATGTTAACTTATACATAAATATCATTAGAAAGTGATTTTTCAGGTTTTTTTCCCAGTCATCTTTTTTTATTTCTCTGTTACTTCAGATTAGAGACCCACGTTAAATGGAGAAACTATGTTCTATACACTATTTGTATCACAGGCAGTAGTAAAGCATACTATAGATGTGAGTTCCTCATGAATATTTTATGATGTCTCTTCGATAACTCTCTTCCATCTTACATTCCCCGAGGGGCCCGAATCAGGTTCCCAATCCAGTAGTTTCTACCAGAGAAAGAAGAACTCATGCTGATTTTGATAACTGCTAGATCAGAAAATGAATATGCCTTTCTCACTGCTGGAGACATTGTCTGTGACCAAAGGTTTTCCCGTTTTCTATTGATGAACATGTAGAACTCTCGTTAACACCACGGAACTTATGCATGCACTTCACCAAGGGTATGTACCTTAGTGTTGAAAGATGAACATTCCTAAAATAAACTCCTTTTACATCTAAATTGCAACACACAGGAGGTCTCACTCCTGAGCCGTGAACAAATAAGGAAGAGGAAGACTCTCGTGGATAATGAGTATATGCAAAATTCTTTAGTGAATAATCACAGACACTGGCTAAGACAATATGCGACCGTGCATGCGTAATAACAGTCTCAAAAGCTGAGCTGCTTGGATCATGGTTTGTTGCTGTGTAAAAGAAGTTAATCTGGGGATGAAAAGTTATTATGGCACTGGCTTAACAAACTATAAAATAAACTTAATGTAACTATATCTGATATGAATTTAAGTATGTGGCATAATCACTGAGTTTGAAAAAGATGAATCTGAGAGGATATGAAATACCTGTAGTGACAATTATTTAATAATGTCTCAGGAAAACAGCTATTTAAAAAGTTCGGTATGCCTAAAAAGTTATATACAAACAATACATTATTCACATTTATGATAGATAGGATCTGAAAGTTATTCCTCTGCTGAGTAAGACCACAGTCGTTTTGGATTGGCCAAAACCGGGGCTGGGAGACCAAGATCTGACTTACATAAATAGAAAATGGGAATAAAGCTGACTCTTGGACCCCCTATCCTGGCTCTTCCTCTCCTCTTTTTTTTTTCCTTTCTCACCTTGTTCTCTCCTTTCTGTCTCTGAACTCCTGCTTATCCATGTTCTTATCTCCCACTTTATATTTGACTTCTCTCCGCTCACCCTCATATTTTTTCTTCTCAGCAGTGTCCCTCCTTTTTCCTGCATCCTCGCCCACAATAATAACAGAGCTATTTTTTTCATAGGGATTAAAAATAGGAGGATGAAAAAGCTGTATGCTTTTTTCTCCCCATACCATTTTCAAGAGTTACTGTTAGTTAAACCATGACTAGAAAAAGGAACCCCAGAATTATGCATAATTGACCATTGAATATTATGTGATCCATTGGGCCAGAGAGAGAAACTTGGTAAAAAACTTAATGATGTTGAAACAGCATGGACTCAAGCAGAAATCAGGCCAAATATTAACTCTGATATTTTGCCTATTAATTTATGATTTACAATAAAAATAGATGATGGATGTAGGCTTTAACACACTCTACAATCTACAGCCTAATCTAATATTCTTACTTTGCACCATTTATATTAATTTTGAATCACTTTTTTGTTGATATATGATATTTGTACATATGTATGTGATACTTACGATATTTTGTTACCTGCATAGAATGTGTAATAATTAAGTCAGGGTATTTCGGGTGTATATCACCTTACATATTTATCATTTCAATGTGTTGGCCACATTACAAGTTCTCTATTCTAGCTATTTTGAAATATTGAATACATTCTTCTTAATTATAGTCACTCTACACTACTATCAAACATAAGAACTTATTCTTTCTTACTGTATGTTTGTACCCGTTAACCAATCTCTTTTTATCCCTCCCGTCACACACACCCTTCCCTGCCTCTACTATCTATCATTCTGCTATCACCATGAGATCAAATTATTTAATTCTCACATATGAGAACATGCAATATTTGTCTTTCTGTGCCTGGCTTGTTTCATTTAACATGATTACTTCTGATTCCATTCCCATTGTGCAAACAACATGATGTTAGTCTTTTTTATGGCTGAAAGGTATTCCACTGTGTATATATACCACATTTTCTTTATCCATTTGTTCATTGATGGACACCGAGCTTTATTCCATATCTTGGCTATTGTGAATAATGTTAGAAGAAGCACAGGAATGCAGATATATTTTTAATATATTGATTTATTTTGCTATGGTTAAATGCCCAGATTTGGATTGCTGGATCTTATGGTAGTTCTGTTTTTAGTTTTTTGAGAAATCTCTATATTATTTTCCATAAAGGCTATACTAATTTACATTTCCACCAATTATGTATAAGAATTCTCTCTTCTCCACATCATCAGCAGCATCTGTTATTTTTGTCTTTTTTTAAAAAATTGTTCTAACTGGGGTAAGTAATATCTTTTTGTAGTTTTGATTTAGATTTTCTTGATGATGGTGATGATGAGCATTTTTTCATGTACTTGTTGGCCACTTGTCTGTTTTCCTTTAAGAAATATCTACTCATGTCCTTTTGCCCACTTATTATTATTATCATTACTACTACTACTTTGAAGTGTTTGAGTTTCTTGTGTATTGTGGATATTAGTTACTTGTCTGATGAATGGTTTGCAAATATTTTCTTCCATTCAACAGGTTTTCTCTTCACTCAATTTTTTCTTTGCAGAAGTTTTAAGTTTAATATAGTCCCATTTGTCTGTTTTTATTTTTGTTGCCTGTGCTTTTGAGGTCTTACTCATGAAATGTTTGCCCAGACCAATAATCGGAAGTATTTGCCCTATGTTTTCTTCTAGTAGTTATATAGTTTCTGGTTTTATGCTTCAGTCTTTAATCTGTCTTGCATTCATTTTTACATATGGTGAGGGATGGGTGTCCAATTTCATCCTTGTATATATGAATATCCAATGTTCCCAGTACCATTTACTGAAGACAGTGTCCTTCCCTCAATTTATGTTCTGGCATCTTTGTCGAAAATCACTGAACTCTAAACACATGGATTTATTCCAAGGATCTCTATTCTGTTCCATTGTTCTGTGTGACCTTTTTTAATGTCAATAGTATGCTGTTTTGGTTGCTATGCAATTACAATATATTTTGAGGTCAAGGAATGTGATGACTCCAGTTTTGTTCTTTTTGTTCAGGATTGTTTAGCTATTCAGGTTCTTTTTTATTGTTGTTCTATACAAATTTTAAGATTCTTTATGCTTTTTCTGTGAAAAATAACATTGGTATTTTGATAGTGATTGCATTGAATCTGGAGATTGCTTTGAGTAGTGTGTTCATTTTAATGATATTAATTTCTTCCAATCCATGTGTATAGGATGTCTATCTTTGTGTGTGTGTGTGTGTGTGTGTGACCCCTTTCTTTTCTTTCATCGATGTTTTGTAGTTTTTCTTGTAGAGATCTTTCCCCTCTTTTGTTGTATTTAATCCCATTTTATTATTTTGTAGCTATTGCAAATGGGACTGCCGTTTTTATTTCTTTGTCAGTTAGTTCATAAATGCTACTGGCTGGGCATGGTTGCTCACTTCTATAATCTCAGCACTTTGGGAGGCCAAGGTAGGCAGATTTCTTGAGCTCAGAAATCTAAGACCAGCGTAGGCAACATGGTGAAATCCCATTTCTACCAAAAATAGAGAAAATTAGCCAGACCTGGTGGTGCATGCCTGCAGTCCCAGCTACTCAGGATACTGAGGTGGGAAAATCGCTTGAACCTGGGAGGCAGAGGTTGCAGTGAGCCAAGATTGCACCACTGCACTCCAGCCTGGGTGACAGAGCAAGACCCTGTGAAAGAAAGAAAAGAAAGAAAGAAAGAAAGAGAGAGAGAGAGAGAGAAAGAAAGAAAAGAAAGAAAGAAAGAAAGAAAGAAAGAAAGAAAGAAAGAAAGAAAGAAAGAAAGAAAGAAAGAAAAGAAAGAAAGAAAGAAAGAAAAAGAAAGAAAGAGAAAGAAAGAAGGAAAGAATGAACCACTGATTTTTGTATGTTGATTTTGTGTCCTGGAACTTTACTAAATTTATTTATCAGATCTAACAGTGTTTTAGTGAATTCTCTAGGTTTTGCTAGTTGTATGATTATATTGTCTGCAAAGAAGGGCAGTTTTACTTCCTCTTTTTCAATTTGGATGCCTGTTATTTCTTTCCTTTGCCTGATTTCTCTGGCTAGCACCTCCAGTACAACATTGAATAGAAGTGGTAAAAGTGGATATCTTTTTGTTGTTCCAGTTCTTAGAGGAAAGGATTTTAGCTTTTCCTCATTCAGTGTGATGTTAGCTGTGGATTTGTCATAGATGGCCTTTATTATGTTGAAGTACATTTCTTCTATGCCCAGTTTCTTGAGCGTTTTTATCATGAGATGTTGAATTTTATCAAATGCTTCTGCATCTCTGAGATCATTTTCTTGATGTGATGTAACATGCTGATTGATTTACATATGTTGACTCATCCTTGCATTCCTGGGATAAATTCCAGTTGAACTTGGTGTATTATATTTTTGGTGTGTTGAAATATTTGGTTCGCTAATATTTTTGTTGATGATTTTTGTGTTTATATTCATCAGAGATGTTGGTTCGTATTTTGTTGTTGTTGTTGTTGTTGCATCTTTGTTTGGTTTTAGTATCATGGTTGTATTGGCCTCAGAGAATTAGTTAAGGAGAAGTTCCTCCTCTTCAATTCTTTTGAAATAGTTTGAGGATAATTGGTATTAGATTTTCTTTGTAAGTTTGGTAGATTTCAGCAATGAAGTCATCTAGTCCTGGACATTTCTTATTTTGGAGACTTTTTATCACCGATTAAATTCATTACTCATTATTGATATGTTCATCTCTTCTGTTTTTTCTTTATTCAGTCTTCGTAGGTTGTATGTGTCTCAGAACATACTCATTTCCTCTAGGTTTTCCAGTCAGTTAGTATATAGTTGTTCATAATAGTCTCTGTGGTATTGGTTGTAGTGTCTACTTTTTAATTTCTAATTTTATTTCGTTTATTTATTTGGGTCTTTACTTCTGGTTACTCTAGCCTAGAACCATATTAAGTTTTTTATCTTTTTTACAAACTAAATTTTCATTTCATTGCTCCATTGTATTGTTTTCTTAGTTTCTATTTTGTTTAGTTCTCTGATCTTTATTACTCCTTTTCTTCTACTAATTTTTAGTTTGGTTTGTTGTTTTTATAATTCCTTTAGGCACATCACTAGATTCTTTTGAACTCTTTCCGCTTTTTTTGTGTAGGTGTTTATTGTTATATACTTTCCTCATAACACTGTTTTTTTCTGTATCCCATAGGTTTTGGTATGTTGTGTTTTGATTTTTGCTTTAAGATAGTTTCCTCTTTAATTTCTTAATTGACCCAGTCATCATTCAGGAGCATTTTGTTTAATTTCGTGTAACTGTTCCCAAAGTCCTTGTTACCAATTTCTAGTTTTATTCCATTGAAGTCTGAAAAGATACTTGATATGATTTCAATTTTAAAAAATTTGTCGAGGTTTATTTTGTGTCCTATCATGTGGTCTAACCTAAAGAGTGATCCATGTGCTTTTAAGAACAATGTGTATTCTGTAGCTGTTAGATGAAATGTTCTGTAAATGTCTGTTAGGTCCTTTTATTTAAATGCAGCTTAAATCCAATGTTTGTTTGTTAATTTTCTGTCCAGATAACCTGTCTAATGCTAAGAGCGAGATGTTGAAGTTCCTATTATTGTGTTTTATTCTATCTCTACCTCTAAATCTAATAACATTTGCTTTATATATCTGAGTGCTCTGGTGTCGGGTGCATATATTTCTAGAATTTTTATATTTTCTTGCTGAGTTGATCCTTTTATCATTATATAATGACCTTCTTTCTCTCTTTGCACTGTTTTTGACTTATATTCTGTTTTATCTAAGTATAGCTCTTCCTGCTTTCTTTTGGTTTTTGTTTGTGTGGACTATATTTTCCATGCCTTTACTTTCAGTCTGTATGACTACAGGTGAGATGAGTTCATTGTAGGCAGCATATGGTTGGATCTTGTTTCTTACACATTCAGCTAGTTTGTATATTGTAAGTGGGAATTTTAATCATTTTACATTTAAGGTTATTTTTGATATATGAAGGCTTTTTTCTGTCATATTATTATTTGATTTCTGATTGTTTTATGATTCTTTCATTCTTTTCATTCTCTTTTATTGTTTATCTTCATGGTTTGGTGGTTTTCTGTAGTGGCAACATTTGAGTCCTTTCTCTTTTTTACTTGTGTGTTTGCTGTATCAGTGAGTTTTATATTTTCATGTGTTTTCATAACGGTAGGAAGTTTTCTTTCACTTCCAAGTATGAGTTCCTTAAACATTTCTTCTAGAACCAGTCTAGTGGTGATGAGTCCCTTCAACTTTTGCTTATCTGGAAAATATTTTATTTCTTCTTCATTTATATAAGATAACTTAGTTGGATACAGTAGCTTTAGCTAGCAGGTTTTTTTGGTTTGGGTTTTGTTTTTTCTTTCAGCATTTTCAATATACTATTCTGTTCTCTCCTGGCCATTGAAGTTTCTGCTGAAAAGTTTACTGTTGGTCCAGTTATGGCTCCCTTATAAATGACTAGCTTCTTTTATCTTGCTTTTTCAATAATTTACTATATCTCTTTAACTTTTGACAATTTGACTATAATGTCCCATGAAGAAGATATTTTCGAATTGTATCTGTTGGAAATTTGTGAGCTGTCTGCATCTGAATGTCTAAATCTCTTGCTAGGTGTGGGAAGTTTTCAGCTATTTTGTTAAATTTGTTTTCTATCCCTTTTGTTTACTTTTCCTCTTCTATGATACTTAAAAATCTGAATATTTAGTTGCATCATGGTGTCCTATATGTCATGTAGGCATTATTCATTCTTTTTCATTCTTCTTTCTTTATTTTTCTTTAACTATTTCAGTTCCAGGATTGTTTGTGCCTTTTTAATGATTTCTGTCTCTTTGGTAAGTTTCTCATGTATGCACTGAATTGCTTTTCTGACTTATTTGTATTATTTTTCTGTGTTCTTTTGTATCTCACTGAGCTTTGTTAATATCATTTTTTTTCTGGAATTTCATAAGTTTCTTTTTCATTGGAATCTATTGCTAGAGAAACACCGTTTCCTTGAAAGGTATGATATTTCCTTAATATTTTTATGTTGTTTGTGTTCTTACACTGATTTCTGTGCTTCTAGTGTAAGGGTTGCTTCTTCCAATGTTTTGAAGTTGCTTTCATAGGGGCGGGCTTTATTCTGAAGATGTATCTATTATGTTAGTTGGTGTGTTAATCCATTTGTGTTGCTATAAAGGAATACCTGATACTGGGTAATTTATAAAGGAAAGATGTTTATTTATCTCATTGTTCTGTAGCTGTACAAGGAGCATGGCACTAGCATCTGCTTCTCGTGAGTACCTCAGGAAACTTCCAATCATGACAGAAGGCAAATGGTGGGGGGGCGGGTGTGGGAGGTGTCACATGGCAAAAAAGGGAGCAAGATAGAGCAGTAGAAAGTGTGAGATACTCTTCTGAGCATCCAGCTCTTGTGTGAATAGAGTGAAAGCCCACTCATTATCTCAGAGAGGACATCAAGCCATTCATGAGGCATCTGCCCCCATGAGCCAAACACCTCCCATTAGGCACCATTTCTAACATTGAGTATTAAATTTCAACATGAGATTTAATAAGAACAAATATCCAAACTACTTCAGGTGGGTAGGGTACTTTGGCTTTGATTCTGGATGCATATAGTAATGTCGTCTCCACGTGTTTTCTTCAGCTATAAACAGTACTACTGGTGCTGTGATTTCTTCAATGGCTTAGGGTGCAGTTTTAATGCAGGTTATTATAATCTTTTACTGGGAATTGTTATGCCAGGTGGGCCCGTTGTCAGGCCACAGTGGTTTCAGTGGCAGGTTGCTTGTCATTGGGCCCTTGAGTGGTATACACTGCCACTGCTTTTACCTGGTCAGGTGAGCTGATTCTTGGGCCACTTGCTGAAATGCTGGAAGTGGCAGCAGTGGGAGGGGTAGGTGGGTGGGTTCTTGTGACTTGTGACCCTGGGCAAAATGCATGGCATAGGCAATGGCAATAACATGGTCAGATAACCCTCTGGCTGTCAAAAGTGGTCCATATTGATTTTGGTGGTGGCTGTGTGGGCCACTCCCCAGGTCTGCAGGTGGCATGTGCAGGTGGGTTCCAGCTATTTTGGTAATGGCAGGTAGAGTGGTCTCAACCTCAGGTTCTTGTGAGGAATGCACAGGTACAAACCACATTGCCTTAGCTGGGCTATCCCCAAGTCTCAGATGGCATGCTTTGGCACTCATGGGGGCAGAGCATGGGCAGAACTGGGCCAGGTGCACCTGTCCTCAGGTCCCACGTTGGCGGGTGTAGGTACTGGCTGTGGTAGACAGGTGCAGGGTTATCCCCATTCCCTCAGTGGAATACTCAGGTTGGGGTGACAGTGACTGTGCTATGGCTCTGCTATTGAGGAAGGTGAGCAACGTTCCTTCCAATGGCAGCAACCATAGGTAGGTGACTAGGGAGCACGTACTAAGACCCCAGTTGGTGACTACAGGTGAGGTAACCTGTTCCCAGGTCCCTTGTTTATGCACAATGGCTCTGTTGCTGCAGGGGTCACTGCAAGTGGCTCACGATTCAGCCCTGGCAGCAGCAGCCAACCACAATGGTGGCTGCAGGTAACTAATGTCAATGGGGCTCCCAGGATGTGAAGATGCAGAAATTTTTAGTCCCCAGGGCAAAATGAAGTATGGTGGGGGCTTATTTCTCAAAATGGTGCCTTGCTGTAGCTGCTTATGACTATGGAGATATGTGGGACCCAGTGTGAGCTTCCTCTCTGAAGCAATGTCATTGCATGGTTCCCATGCACCTTCCTATGTTAAGTCTCAGGGACCAGAAGAGTCAAGGGGCACTCCCATGGCAGGAATTGCAGGAGTTTTCCATGGTAACATAGACCACTGGGGTTCTCTCACTTACTGTATCCCATACTGGGGAGCCTCTCCAGGCTTCTAGGCAATCCTGGCCAGTCAGGCTGCCTCACTTCTGTCTCCTTCCTTGCTTTTGGTTTTTTACATCACTTCTCAGTTGAATCCCAGTGTCCAGTCTTAAATGAGATATTTGAATTATCTACTTGCTATTTTGTTTCTTCTTTATGGAGAAGGTAAGTACCAGAGGCCTCTAGTCAGCCATCATGAAGCCTCTCCTCCATTTGACTATTAATGTGTATGTTTTTTAACATTTAGTTTTCTAAATAAGAAGTAAACCAATGAGCCCATATAATTTCTCTGTGAGAAATACCTGTAAACTAAGGTAACTAGTGATAGAAAGCTCTACTCTATAACCTTACTTGATTAACTCATCCAAAACAAAGTTCTATTTTAAAAGTTCTTATTAATTATGACTCATTGCTATTAGCCAGTGAGGTTAATTCAGAAGACCAAGGTGTGCTACTCTTGTCACTGGAGCATACAAACTTTCTTCCAAGTAAGTGGTTCCCAAACCTGGCTGCATATTTCAATTATTTGGAGAGAATTTTAAGAATACATGCTTTGGCCTCACCTCAAAATCATGGAGGATGGGTTCTGGACATCAGTATATCTTTAAAGATTCAAAGATAATTCTAAATAATGCTGCTTTATTTAAGAACCTCTGCTACAAATAATTGAGTTAAATTTATGGGTTGAAATTCCAGGTAGGTAGAGCCAGACAATTCTGTTTTCCATAGGGTGGCTGAGAGACAATCATGTAATGTCCATACTCCAAATTCTTCGTGTAAGATGTCAACTGCATACATAATATTTTGCTGATCCCAGTCTCTACCATCACAATACATGAACACCAATCAGTCTATCTTCATAATCTTGCCAGAAACATCTGAGCCCCTGTGATGCATTTATTGTGTGTTTAAGAAAAGTCTCTCTCAACCTCCAAAGTAAATTAAATAATTCCCTCTTATTTCTGTCAATTTCATCCGTTGGCAAGGCCTGTACTATTCATGAAGGAAGCACCATTCTTGATACCTGAAAAAGGTGATCATAAAGGAAACTAAATGTTATTATAATGCTTTTGAATCATGTTCCTTTTAAAGTTACCAGAGTTACTTTCTGGAGCTGCTAAAATTATTCATAAGTATTAAATACAAGTTCTACAATTCCTACCACCTGCACTGCTGCACCACTCAAGACATTGTTAGTGCAATTGAATAAATCATTATCTCTTTCTTAAGCTAGGATATGCAACAGTACCAGTTCAGTTTCATTGATTACATACATATTTAATTAAATACTAATAGGTATCAGGCTCTTCGTTAGATGCTGCTCAGTAACCCTGTTTTTGCAGAAGGCAACACATGTAGCACAGCATCTGCCTTCTGTTAGTATCACAGAAATAACCTGACAACATCACTGCCCTGCCCTGAATTCATCCCACCCAAGGAGACAGAACTCCTATTTCCACTTTTGTGACACATTCTATTATTTTGGTACAAAGGCACCATTGGGTTGTTATTGGAGTCTTCTCACAGCTATTTAGTTTGAAAATTTTTTTTACGTTCTTTTCAACAATTCACTCTACTTATTCCCTAGAGAGTTAGAGGTGAAGAATGTGTGTGTTTGTGTGGAAAATGGGTGGGAGACTTTTATTCTAAATGACATGCACCATGGTCTGTTAAATATCTTTCATTTTCTTTCTCTTAAACTTACAGCACTGCACATAAAAAACATTCCTCACTATCTTTTCCACTTTTTTGGGGAGTTTCCTCAATCCTTCATGCAGATAGACTCCTAGAGAAATTTTATGGGCCATAGAAAAATTGAAGTGGGCTCATGATATCACACTTACTATAATTTATGAAATTATTCCATTTATCAATTTTACTCTATTTGTAATTTAAAATTTCAGTATCGTTTTCAATTTCTAACAATATACATTGGTTTTCCAAGGAGCTATTTAAAATTATTTTATAACACTATATAACTCATGTCTTAATAAATATTGATTTTCTTTAGGAAATGATGCTCAAGTTTTTGACTGATTATATTCTATCTGCAGGTCAGTCATAAGAATGTATCAGAGAGAGCTTTGGTTTCTCAGTTCATAAGCGCAACACACATAAATCATTAAAAGCAAGTGATAACTAATCAGTACATCTTATTCGATATTTTAGAAGGAGCATTTGTAATCATCACCAACTCTATATTCGTGCTATCAAATGTGGGGATGCATTATGTATATAATCTCTACATTTCTGTTGTTAAAATCTATAATAATAATAAACACTATGGACAGAGTAAAGTCTTTTATTTTGAAACCCAAGAAATGCAATGTACAAACAATAAAAGGCAGTGGGAGAGCACCAGCCTCTCTATTGACACAATCCTTTTCATTTTCTCCTAGGGTCTTGCTGATCATGGGATTGTATCAAATATTCTTAACAGCATGAAATAATCAACATCCTGAACTAGAGAAAGAGCAAGATCAGTAGGCAGAAAAATGTTATGTAACCATGAAAATAGTTATGAAATTTGATGATAATCTCTCTTTTCTTACAGTTTTATTAAATGCATATATATGTAATAATTATTAAACAGCATAATAATATAGATAACAATTTTTTTAAAAAAAACCCACCCTCTACTAAACTTCCTGGATGTGATTTATATGATTTGTAAATGTCTTAAGTTTAAAAATACAGAAAAAATATTACCTTTAGAAAGAACAGAAATTGTAAGTAACCCTTTCATTTCCCCTTACATATAGGCATCTCAAAAATCTCACTCAAAGAAGAAGATCCTGCCATTTGCAACAACAATCACTAAGTAAATAACTCAGACAGAGGAAAATGAACACTGCATGATCTCACTTTTATGTAGAATCTGAAAAAATAGAACTCATAAAGGCAGAGAGTGAAAAGGTGGTTGTCAGAGGCTGGTGGGGAAGTGGATTGGGAAAATGTTGGTAACTTTCAGTTGTAAGATAAGTAAGTTATGGGACTAACATAGAGCATGGTGAGTATAGTTGACAATATTGTATTGTTTATTTGAAATTTGATAAGGAAAATTTTAAGTATCCTACACAAACACACACACACACATGCACATGCATGCATACACACAAATGGTAACTGTGTGTGGTGATAGATGTGTTAATATATACTATACATACAATTGGTATGCTATATATATATGTATACATAATATATATACAATTTTTATGTCAACTAAATATATTTAAATAAATTAATCTTATTAAATATACAATACAAATTATAACAAACTGCACACTTCTGAAAATTTTCTCCAATTCACTTCAAACTGTTCTTTCATGAAAGCTCTTACTTCTCATTCCAATATCCTATATTATATTCTTAGCAATATTTCACATAAGTACTTTTTGGGGGAATGTACCACATAGTGATAAACATAGGTCTATTTTTATTTCACAGAGGTCTGCAGATTATCCTTGTCCATTTTTAGTTCTTAATGATAAATTATTAATTATATACATCCATTTTAATAACTATTTATTGTTAAAACAGTGTCTATCACCCAGATAGACAAATTTTTTAAAAAGAAACGCTACATGGTTTTAGTGCTAGTTAAGGTCAAGTGATAGAAATAGAAAATAAATAGTGATAAAAAATAAATGGTGATAGAAAATAAATGGTGATAAAAAATAGCGTTACCGCTTGAGTTTACATCCAAATTGTATTTAAATTACATTTTACCATTGCTTATGTCAATTTAATAATACTCTTTGCAGAAGGTAGATTTTCACAATAATGGTCCTGACTAAATCACTCTTCGTCTGTCTACAACCCAGTAAGTTGATTGCTGCTGAGTAGCCATTTTCCCACGTCTAATACCTGAACTGGCCTTGTGACTCACACAGACCAACACAAAGTCGCAAAATGATGTTGTCTAACTTTGAGGCCTTATGAGGTCTTATAGTTTCCATTCTTGCTTCCTTGCAATGATTCACCCTAAAGGTTTTCTATCAATTGCATGAGTCTGCTGAGACAGAATACTGGCACAACAAGTCAAGCGAAGTATACATATCATTCGCAGATAGGCATCAAGGATAAACAAGCCCTAGGATCCATTGCAAGCTGAACTCCAAAGTTCAGGAAAACTGCCTAGGTTAAATAGTCTCGTCTGTGCATGCCTCACAACACACTGCAGCTAAGGGACCTGAGAGCACTCCATTGTGGGTTTTACATTGGAAACGACTTGTCACACTGAGTTCAGGTTTGCAGAACATCCTGTTCTGAGAGGAATAAGGACATAGTCTGGGTTATTTCAGACATCTCCCCTTTATCTCTGGATGCTGCATTCTTGATAAATTCTGAGAACTGCAAGCAGGAGGGAGAAGAGCTGAGGAAGACTTAGAAAAAATAAAATCTCTGAGCCTCTTTGTATTCCTAGAAATAGTGATTTAAACAGGCCTTTTTCACCATAAGAATACATTTGGGGAAGAAACATTCTTCTCTCACTTTTGTATTTGCTTTTCATGTTATGACATTTTTTGCTTGACCATACAGTCAATAATCTGTTATTAATGGAATATTTTATACTCCTAGAACTACACTTCTAAGAATTATAATCTCATAGTTGGAATTATCTTTCAGTAGAAATTTTTGATGATGGACATCATTATATTATAGTAGAAATCTCTCTTGTCATGCTCAAGAGAAAATATTGATGAGCCTGGATAGCTAACCGGGAGGAAGAAAAATATCAAAAGCATTTTCCTTCGTGGGGAGGTTTTCTGGATGATATAAATCAAGAACTCACAAGGAAGTGCCCCCTTCAAGTAAAAAATTTGATTATGAGATATTGCGACCCTGAAAACCAGCATCTGTTTTTTGATAATTTATTTTATTTTCAGAACTGTGTTTTGAGATGCCATTTTTGCCTGATGCTTTATATATCCCATATGAGGAAAGATGACCTTTTCACATATTCCAGATTAGTTATAGAATACTAAAAATAATCAGTATAAATGAATGTGACAAAGTGTCATGAGTGGGAAGAAATACTTTCATAATACTTTATGGGTTAAGTTCAGGTAAAGTAAATGTAAAACTTCGAGTTTAAAGTTTCTTCATTAGCAAAGTTTTGGAAAGACATAGACATGATCTCAGACAATAATATAATATACGCATAAAATTAAAATGATTATTTAGAAATAAAACCTTAAGAGTAAAATATAGTAGTACAAAATATTAAGTTCAGTGTGGATTTTAAAGCTACATTAAAATCTGCCAGGGAAACAAAACTAAACTATGGAGTGCTTTCTCATCCTTGCGCTGGATTATCTTCACATTAAATAAGGAGTAAGTATTTATATTCTCAGATTCTATAATAAATATTGGCATGACATGTAAGACATGAAGTCAGAGCATTTATTTATAAATATCTTGATAAATATCATTCTCATGTCTAATCTTTTCATTGTAATACACAATAGAACCGACTTTCTCCTTCCTGAATTTTCACAGTATGTAAATGATGCAATTATCACTTCAGGCAGACATCGCTTTTTTTTTTTTAAATTATGTCATGGCAAAAGCAGAATAAAGCCAAAGCTTCAAAAAGTTTAATAGTTAGCCATCTATAAGAAGTGGCACCTCTTAAATAAGCAAGTCACCAAAAAAAAACACCTGTGTAAGAAATGTCAGAATGAAATACAGTAAAACCGAATTTGTACTGAGAATCTTTATCAGAGTGCATAAGTCTTTTCACATGTGGCCTGTTATCCTAGTGTGAAGATCATAGGGGAAATAATTGCTAAAGGGTGCATCCAGCTGAGTCTCTATTTTATCTCTGTATTTATGAGAAAGAAGATAAAAGGCAGTGCTCAATCTAGCAAGATCAGAGTTTACGGCTCCTGTTGGATGTTAGTTTTGAACTTGGGTAATACAGGTTGCTTTTCCTAATGAAGTGATAAAATGTGAAGATGAACAATTTAAACCTTCTCTAATAAAAAAAAATCAGTGGAATATAAAGGCATCACAATTAATTAGTCTCTTTTTAAATTTTCCTCTTTGATTTACTTTCAGGTTATTATAATATGAAACTCGAATCTATGTTTAGCAAACGGAAAAAAAGAACATTTAAATCTAATGAAGATCAAGGTAATTAAAACAATTGAATATAACAGCAGAAACTCAGGCTGTGAAAACACCTTTAATGGAATCATTCGATTAACCTGATTCAGTAATATCATTCAAAACAAGAGTTTACTCAGAAAACATTAGGTGCTTGACAGGATATGCCATTCTCTGTTTTGGCAGAGGTAATGTCAAACTTGGTATATATAAGGACAGATGGTAAGAAATCAGAATGCGTACCTATATTACACTTTTAAAAATGTTTCAAGAAACTTATCTTCCGTTATACTTTGTTAAATGGACTCCTGCATAGAAAAAAAAAGTAAATATGTTCTTTATATTTATGTATTCATTTACTTATAGCCTTCTCTTATATGGGAATATTCTAAAGAAGCTAAATGTTACATTAATGTGCATATATTTCATATTTTAAATAAATGATGTTATTCCAAATTTTCTATGATATCTCAAAAATTAAAGATTATTCGTTGCTATTTTAATAATGACTATTCATTATTCTTGATTATTAATGATTATACACCAATAGAGTACAGATCAATATTTTAACTTTCACATACATTGATAGGCAAAATGCAATAGGGAATGTAATATAAATAGTACTACCTTTGCTAGATGAAGTTTACACTATCCCACTGTGTTGAAATGTAAATGTTTAAAATGTAATTATTTGAAAGTGTTATATGAAAGATTTACATGTGGCTTAATCTATATTGATGGGCCATTATTGACATTAAAGTAAATTCAATAGGTTGTTTATATGAATGGTTTGACAATTATATCAACTTTCCTAAAACTACAAGAAATATTTTCTTTTGTGTTGGAGATAAAAAATCTAAAATTTTATCTAAATTTTACTGAAAAATGTAGAGTTTCTACTAGCATGTGAATCCATCAATGACCACAATACTCAAAGGGGATCTTTTTAGAGTATTAACTGTCAACTATATTTTAATCAGTGTAGCATAACATCTTGACAAGGTCAATAAAAATGACTTTCAAAGTGTTTAGAATTGACGGCATATGCAACAGTAATTAATTCTGGACAATTTTATGTTTTAGAGAGAACCTTGGATGATAGGAACATTACAGACTTTAGAAAAAAAATTTAAAAAGGAGATTCTCATCCCAGCTGAGCTCTCAGCTAGGAGTGAGTGCTATGGGATACTGACCTAACTTCATTGTCTCAGTTTCTTATGTGTAAAATAGTAATAAATGGGCATTACTATCCTTGGTTGCTAGTAACATTTAACATACTGATTCTTATTTAGAATATTTTGAATAGGAAATAAAATAGCAATTTACCTATTTTCTTTCTGTCTTCTTTTAAATAACTTAGCTTTTCTTAAGTTTTTGTTGTAATTGAAAGGCAAGAGATAAAACAATCAAGCATAAAAACATTCACTATTTTACTTATATCAATATAATATCACATTTGTAAAGTTGGTAAAATGAAAGAATTTTAAGTCAGCCTAAAGTGTATAATTGTCATTGTTAGCCAAAACATCTAAAGAAGAAGCTTAACTTGGAAACTAAGTGTCACTGTTAATGTGCTATCAAGTTCATGTTTATTGTATCATAGATATCTAGGAGACTTGAGAAGGATGCTTACATGCACTCACACAAACATATTCTCTATCTTTTGCTTAATTTTTTGTGATGCTTACTTTCCTGAATTTTCAGTCTGTAAGTAAAGCCATTGCATATATGCTAATGTCCACGAAGTGTAGGGGTGTACTAAAATTGAGTATGTGTAAGCAGGTTTTAGAGGCCTCATGAACAGGTGACACATGCTAATACTATTAAAACTTCTATTTTGTCCTTGAATCCCATTTATATCAGTTTGTAACTTATAAAAATCATAAGGTGTTTGTTTCACTTATTTTCTTTCTCTTTGTCCTTTTCTTCCTGCATGCATGCTTGCTTGCACACAGTCATTTTGATAGAAGATAGTCACTAGTAATTGATTAACTTCATGTTCTAACCCCCAAGTGTTGCCTACAAGATTAATGAGATTGTTTTTGTTTTAAAGAACAATAATCTTAGGTTATGCAGACCTCCTTGATGGCATCCAGAAGTCTGATCAGAGGAGGGATGGACACAGCTTTGACTAGGAGATCTCACCTCCCGCATACCGACCTTACTCATAAAAGCTTCTGGTTATGTTCAAAGGCAAGTCGGATTTGAGAATTTGCCTCTCGCACTCTCTCATTTTGGCCAAATCAAATAATGCCTTTCTCTCTTCCTAAGCGCTGATGTATCAGTGTTTGGCTTATTGTGCATTGGGTACTCAAACTTAAATTTGGGGGTTTTGTAACAATTTCACTCTTCTGCAATCAATTGAAATAAATTTTCTCCTTTGATTTCTGTTTGTTCTTTCACTCACCTGCAATGATTCTACCAGAAATGTTTTAATCAGTAAAGATATAGCTTGAATTTTTATACTTAACCCAAATTTACATGTCAAAATAAAAAATGAAAACAATAAAAAAAACTATGCATGCCTCTCCATCTACACATTAATGGCAAAAGTGCAAGATATAGAAAGCATGGCTTGAGTGCTGTGTGTGTACTGATTATTTCATACATATGTACTCTTTAAACTTTATCTATGTAGAGAAATAAATTCTAAGATTACTGCTCTTTCTCAAATAATAAAAAGCTCAAGAACTGCTAATCACAGGAATAAAAAAATCCCTATATAATATTTCATTAGTGATATTTTCAGCCCGAGTGCTTCTATTACCTATATTTTTTGGTAAGTATATTTTTATATAGTTATTTACGGAATATCTGATTTACTATAATAATAAATTTGTGTTAACAAAAAGTTTAAATATTGAATGCATTAAATAAAATCTAGTTACTTGTCTAGGAAATTTTCAAAGCAAAACTTACTCAAATATTAGTTGACATTGTGAAAATAGTTCTGAACATAATGTCTCAGACATAACATAAAACTTTTTAAATGAAAGCGAGAATTTATGTCTAACATGTAAAATAAATTGTGTCAGTATTAGAATAGTATTTTGACCTTGAACAGAAATATATCTGTAATAATCATCACTATGTTGCCAAAATGAGAGAAAATAACACTATATAAATACTTAATCAAACAGTGCTTTATCTTTTCATCTAATAATATAGATATACCCCTAAAATTTACCATTCTAAGAATGTGTACATGATGTATTACTAGCCATATAAAAATAATTGTGGTGGGCATTTTTGAGGGGTCGTTTTAGAACTTTTCAAAATTCCCCTGAGAATATTTTGTTAGAATAGGTGCCATATATTTTTAGAATCTTGATTTGGGAGCAATTTCAATATAAGTATTTCTAGTTATTTAAAACGAATAATTTTAAAAAGAACAGCAGTAAGGCAAGAAATAAAAGGTTAAAAACTTTTAGATTTTTATTTAAGACAGTTAATGTACATTACAGTCACATAGCACGTAATGAAGTTTCAGTCAATAATCCACTGCATATAGGATGGTGGTTCCATAAGATTGTAATGGAGCTGTAAAATTTCTGCCCTCTAGTGATGCTGTAGCCATCACAACTTCATAGGACGACACATTACTTACATGTTTGTGGTGATGCTGGTGTAAATGAACCTACCTTCATAAATGTATAGCACATATAATTATGTATAGTATGTAATACTTAATAATGATTATAAACTACCATGTTACTGGTTTATGTATTTACTCTACTATACTTTTATAGTTATTTTAGGTATTCCTTCTACTTAAAAAATAAAAATAAAGTTAAGTGTAAAAGATCCTCAGGCTGGTTCCTTAGGGAGATATTCCAGAAGAAAGCATTGTTATCATAGGAGATGACAGCTCCACACATGTTGTCCAACATGACCTTTCAGTGGGCAAGATGTGGAGGTTGAAGACAATGATATTGATGATCCCGATTCTGTGTAGGCCCAGTCTAACATGTGTGTTTGTGTTTTCATTTTTAACAAAATGTTTTAAAAGTAAAGAAAATAACAATTAAAATTGAGGCGGGTGGATCATCTGAGGTCAGGAGTTTGAGAGCAGCCTGGCCAACATGGCAAAACCTCGTCTCTACTAAAAATACAAAAAAAAAAAAAAAAAAAAAAATTAGCCAGGTGTGGTGGCATGCACCTATAGTCCCAGCTACTCATGAGACTGAGGCAGGAGAATCACTTCAATCCAGGAGGATGAGGTTGCAGTGAGCCGAGGTCCACCATTGCACTCCAGCCAGGCTAACGAGCTAAACTACATCAAAAAAAAAAAAAAAAAAAAAAAAAAAAAAGAAAGAAGGAAGGAAGGAAGGAAGGAAGGAAGGAAGGAAAAAGAGAAGGAAAAAACAGAAAAAAACTTATAGAACAAGGATCTAATGAAAAAAATGCATTGTTAACATGCCTCTCCCACATAGAAAGACAAACTAATGTGTAGAGTCTCACACTATGAACTTTTTTCCAAAAAGAGATTCAGGAACTTAGAAAAACTAAAAGAAACCCCAGACTCTTTGAAAAAAAAAAAAAAAAAGCTGCAGGCTGCATGCTATACTGTGAGCCTGGTGGAAAACTGTAAGTTCCCAGAATCTGAGAGGGAGATGAACTACCTCCAGGTTATATACTTCCAGCAGGGAACCTGGCAACCCAGGCCACGAGGGAAGGCCTTAACCCTACCCAGCTCTGGAACTGATTTAGGAAGCAATGGGGAATATAAAAGTAGGTACGGCTACTGGAAGAGCCTTGCGTGCATTCCCAGTCTCCAGTGTAGTTGGAGGGAGACCGTTTCTGACTCTACCTCATAGGAGACCTCAGGGAAGTCTGCCAGCTAAATAAGGCGGTGGTAACAGCTTAAGAGAAGCTCCCAGCTAAAATTCACAATATAATTGAGTGCTCATGAACTCCCTTGGCCAGAACCAGGGGGTGAGTGGGAAGTGTGTTGCAGCTACTGTGATGGAGCTGGGTGCCATTGCTTAACAGTTGGTCAAGGAGGAGCATGATCTGAAAGTCAGGCTTATGGCCTGGGACAGTTTTGATTTCTAAGTGCAGAATGCCTGGAATTTAGCTAGCTGTAGCTAGCAGAACACTACAGGGGTGAGACCTGCCTTGCCAACTACATGAGAGCTGGGTGAGGCTTACTGTTGTCTGCTACTCCACACTCCCTATGTAAACTGTGCAACAAAGGCAGCCTTGCTTCCCCCTAGAACATTATCCCAGCAGCCAGAGAATCATCAACAAATCCCCACAGGGGCTATTGCTTGTCCCATGCACGGAAAGACAGAATACGGACCTATCTGATCCAGCCCCCACCTGGCTTTGCCCCTGAGCCTGCCCTGGTAGTTTACCACAACAGACAGAAACTTTTGGGAGCTCTATGTCCCTGGTCATTCCTTGAGAATCCAGAATAACTCCCTAGGTAACATAAGGCAAACACAAATCGCACTGTTACCATCATAACTGGCACTCTTTTGCAACTGTCATCTTCTGGCTGGAGGTCAGCTGGCACAGTTCATTATGTCATCTCCAGGCAGATTAATGCAGTGCTCAAGAAGGAGAAAATTTGTGCATAACCTCAGCTATCATCATTGCCTTCAACACCCTGGCTAACCAGGAGGTCCTGAGTCTTTCCACATGACCAGTTAATTCCTACTACAACCAGCATTGGAGAAATCCAACACACTAAGGCTATTTATAACCAAGGAATCTCACAGGGTCTATGTCACTAACCTGTCACCTCCATCAGAGCTGGTGTTGGTACCCACTGCTGTGGGTACCTGCAGCTCTATCCAAATAGTCAGGCAGCCCTGATACTTGTGAGACGTCTGGGAGAAGGGGACTTCTTTTCCCACTCATTCATCACTACAGACACAGCTGGGAATTCTCTCATGGGACCTCAGCATGGGTGTAACTATAAACAGACTTGAGGACAGGTAACATCACTGGATCCCTTGCAGACATTCCGGAGCATCCACATGAAGTGTGGCAGCCCCACTGTACGGCTAGACCCAGAGGAGCAGCAGCATACACGGTAGAATAGCTCTCAGGGCTTTCTACTCCTAAGAGAAAGAAGAATGCACCACATCAAAGGAACATTCCATGGGACAAAACAATCCAGATGGCAGGCTTTGAGTCCCAAAATTTTTCTGCCGGTGGGAAGTTTCTTTTAGTAGAGGCATAGGTGCAGTGCTGGGCTCAGCGGGGAATACCTGCAGCTCTATCCAAATACTCAGGCAGCCCTGATACTTGTGAGAGGTCTGGGAGAAGGGGACTTCTTTTCCCACTCATTCATCACTACAGACACGGCTGGGACTTCTCTCATGGGACATCAGCATGGGTGTACCTGTAAACGGTCTTTCTGGAACACTTCAAGGCGACTGCATCACCACCAAAGGAGTGCTCTTCAGATTCAGGCTTGCATGAGGGGTAAGGTAACAATTCCTCTCTATTTGAATGTCCTCTCGATATTCCTACAGATGATAAGAGGTGCCTGTCTGATCTGAACAGCCAGAATACTGGGCCAAGAGAATGACTGTGATATGGTTTGGCTCTGTATCCCCATCCAAATCTCATTTCAAATTGTAATCTTCACATGCTGGGGAGGGGCCTGGTGAGAAGTGATTGAATCATACAGGAGGACTTCCCCCTTGGTGGTCTCCTGACAGTGAGTGAGTTCTCATGAGATCTGGTTTGAAAGTGTGTGACACTTACCCCTTTGTGCTCTCTCTCTCTCTGTGTCTCTCTCCTGCTGCCACTGTGAAGAAGGTCCTTGCATCTCTTCCACCTTCTGCCATGATTTTAAGTTTCCTGAGGCCTCACAGTCATGCTTCCTGTTAAGCCTGTGGAACTGTGAGTCAATTAAACCTTTTTTCTTCATGAATTACCCAGTCTCAGGTAGTTCTTTATAGCAGTGTAAGGATGGATTAATACAACTATAAGATGGATCACTTTCCTGCTGGCCTGGCAGGAGAGTTGAGGTGGCTCCCACTTTTCCCTCTGATAAGACCTCAACGTGTTACATTGGGAGATCCCTCAGTCACCCTCAAGGCTGTGACCTCTGTCTATCATTGCATATTGCATTTACCCACCTGCTTTAGTGACAACTTGTTTCTACCCAGGGACACCTTCCCTACTGGACTGCAGCTTGAACTATTCAACCTAATAAATAAAATACTGTGGAAAAATAAATAAAGTGAAAACCACAAGGGAATGAGATAGGCTTCAACAGACCTCTGCCATTCTAGCTTCATAGGAGACAGTAAACTTGCTCATACACCATCATCTGAGGAATCCACATACACAGACCCTCTATAACCAAGGAGCTGATACAGTCTTCACCCCTGAAAACATCAATAGCTGAATTACACCACAATTAACTATAAACATGGAAGTCACATCCTTAAGGGGAAAAAAGAAATTAAAAAAAAAAACACAGTCAATTCAAAAATAATTTGAAGAAATAGTCTACCCAAATGAGAAGGAGCCAGAAAAATAATTCTGGCAATATGACAGTATGTATGTAACACCTCCAAAAGATCACATTACCTCTCAAGCTATGAATCTATATCATTGTGAAATCTTTGACATACCAGATAAAGAATGCAAAAGGTTGATTATTAAACTACTCTATGAGATAAAAGAGAAAGGTGTACACCAACATGAAGAAATTAAAAATAATAATTCAGAATATGAATGAAAACTTCCTAAAGAGTTAGATATTTTAACAATATCAGAACTTATGGAAATGAAAGACACATTTAGGGAATTACAGAATGCAGTAAAAAATTCCAACAATAGACTAGATCAAGTTAAATAAAGAATTTCAGAGCTCAAAGACAAGGCTTTGGAATTAACCCATCAGAAGAAAATAAAGAAAAAAGAATATAAAGAAATGCACAGTCTCCAAGAAATAGGGGATTAGTAAAATGGCCACATCTAAGAATAACTCATATTCCTGAGGGAAAAAAGAAGGCAAAAAGTTGGAAAAATTTATTTGGGGGAATAATTGAAAAAACTTCTGTGGCCTTGCTAGAGATTTAGATATTCAGATACAAAAAGCTCCAAGAACTTTTGGGAGATTTAATGCAAAAAGACATTGCCAAGGCATGTAGTTATCAGGATGTCTAAAGTCAACCTGAAAAAAAAAATCTTTTTTTAATCAAGGTTTCAGAAATCGAATATAATATATAATATTAAAATCATTTTATACAAGAGCAATGAACAATATGAAATTGAATTTTTTCAAATGGTACTTATAATAGCAAAAAATACAAAATACCTCCAGATAAATCTGATAAAATATGTGAAAGTTTCACACAGCTAAAATTATAAAACACTATTAAAAATTAATGATTACCTAAATAAATAAAGATACTTTTTCTGGTAATACAATAGAATGATATTTTTATTTTTGTTTTTGTTTTCAATTTTACCTTAAGTTCTGGGATACATGTGCAGATCATGCAGGTTTGTAACATAGGTATACATGTGCCATGGTGGTTTGCTGTACCCATTAACCCGGCATCTAGGTTGTAAGCCCCACATGCATTAGGTATTTGTCCTAATGCTATCCCTCCCCTTGACTCCCATCCCCCAAAAGGCCCCAGTGTGTGATGTTTCCCTCCCTGTGTTCATGTGTTCTCACTGTTCAATGTCCACTTATGAGTGAGAAAACATTGTGTTTGGTTTTCTGTTCCTGTGTTAGCTTGCTGAAAATGATGGTTTCCAGCTTCATCCATGTCCTTGCAAAGGACATGAACCCACCCTTTTTATGGCTGCATAGTATTCCATGATGTATATGCACCACATTTTCTTTATCCAGTGTATCATTGATGGGCATTTGGGTTGGCTCAAATGCTTTGCTATTGTGAACAGTCCTGCAATAAGCATACATGTGCATGTGTCTTTATAGTAGAATAATTCGTAATCCTTTGGATATATACGAAGTAATGGGATTACTGGATCAAATGGTATTTCTTGTTCTAGATCCTTGAGGATTCGCCACACTGTCTTCCACAATGGTTGAACTAATTTACACTCCCACCAACAATGTGAAAGCATTCCTATTTCTCCACATCCTCTCCAGCATCCGCTGTTTACTGACTTTTTAATGATTGCCATTCTAACTGGTCTTAGGAGCCAGCCCCTCCTAACCAGCGCGCCTACGCCTCGCCCCCCTGCGATGGAGGTCCTAAGAGTCAGGGGGGGAAGAGGGGTTGGCACTTACTCCCCGAAACGCGGGGGGCGTCTCGCCTCCCTGCGATGGGGTTCCTAAGAGCCAGGGGGGAAAGAGGGGCTGGCTCTCAGTCCCCGCCTCTCGGGCTGTGCCTCCCCACCCTGCGATGGGGGTCCCGAGTGTCGGGGGGGAAGAGAGGCTGGATCTCAGTCCTCGGCGCGCGGCGGCTGCCTCCCCCCACTGTGATGGAGGTCCTATGAGCCAGGGGGGATGAGGGGCTGGCTCTTACTCCCTGCCTCGCGGGGGGTTCCTCTCGCCTCTGCGATGGTGATCCTAAGAGCCAGGCGGGGAAGAGGGGCTGCAACTCAGTCCCCGCCTCGCGGGGTTGCCTCCCCCAGGTGCGATGTTGGTCCTAAGAGCCAGGGGTGAAGAGGGGCTGGCTCTCTGTCCCCTCGTCGCGGGGGTTGCTTCCCCCCCTGCGATGGAGGTCCCAAGAGCCAAGGGGGGAAGAGGGGCTGGCTCTCAGTCCCTGCCTCGCGGGGGTGCCTCCCGCCCTGGGATGGGGATCCAAAGAGCCAGGGGGGTAAAAAGGGCTGGCTCTCAGTCCCCGCCTCACAGAGGGTGCCTCCCCCCCCCGCGATGGGAGTCCCAAGAATCAGGGGGCGAAGAGAGGCTGGCTCTCAGCCACCACAAAATGGGGGGCCTTTATGTTCAGGTTTTGCCCAAGAGTCAGCTCATTTGCTTCTTGTACTAGCAGGGGAGTTGCTGCCAAGGCCCTCAAACAGGGGGGCCATCCTTTAGAAACCCTGTCTAGTTGTTCAGAGACATAGGCCACCGGCCTCATCCAAGGCCCCACAGTTTGGGTTAAAAGTCCACCTGCCATCTTTTCTCTCTCTGACGCATACAATGGAAAAGGTTTTGTCAGATCGGGTAACCCCAGGGCTGAAGCTGCCAGAAGTTTTTCCTTTAACTCATGAAAGACTTGCTGTTGTTAGGATCCCCATTCCAAAGGTTCCCGGTCCCCGCCCCCTTTGTGACCTCATACAAAGGCTTGGCTTATATTGCAAAGTTTGGGATCCACAGTCTACAAAACCCCACAGCTCCTGAGAATTCTCTCGCCTGCCTTTGGCCCTTAGGCTCTGGTAGATTGCAAATAACATGCTTTCTTTCTGTTCCCGGGTGGCTTCGGACCCCTGTCGGATCGGAAATCCCAAGTAAGTTACCTGCCCTAGGCAGATTTGAGCTTTCTTCTTGGACACCTAATACCCACAGTCCTCCAGGTGTGTCCTAAAGATCTTAGTATCTGCAATGGGGGTCCTAAGGCAGGGGGGGAAGAGGGGCTGGCTCTCACCCACCCCAAAATGGGTGGCCTTTATGTTCAGGTTTTGCCCAAGAGTCAGCTTATTTGCTTCTTCTACTATCAGGGCAGTTGCTGCCATGGCCCTCAAACAGGGGGGCCATCCTTTAGATACCCTGTCTAGGTGTTTAGAGACGTAGGCCACTGGCCTCATCCAGGGCCCCACAGTTTGAGTTAAAAGTCCGGCTGCCATGTTTTCTCTATCTGATGCATTCAATGGAAAAGGCTTTGTCAGATCAGGTAGCCCCAGGGCTGGGGCTGCCAGAAGTTTTTCCTTTAACTCAAGAAAGACTTGCTGTTGTTGGGATCCCGATTCCATAGGTTCCCGGTCCCCGCCCACTTTGCGATCTCATACAAAGTCTTGGCTAATACTGCAAAGTTTGGGATGCACAGTCTACAAAATCCCACAGCCCCTAAGAATTCCCTCACATGCTTTCTGCCCTTAGGCTGCGGTAGATTGCAAATGTCCTGCTTTCTTTCTGTTCCCGGGTGCGTTCGGACCCCTGTCGGATAGTAAATCCCAAGTAAGGTACCTGCCATCGGCAGATTTGAGCTTTCTTCTTGAACACCTATACCCACAGTCCTCCAGGTGTGTCCTAAAGTTCATAGGATCCACGATGGGGGTCCTAAGCCAGGGGGGGGACCAGGTGCTGGCTCTCAGTCCCTGCCTCGCGGGGTGTGCCTCCCTCTCCGGGATGGGGATCCTAAGAGTCTGGGGGGGAAGAGGGGCTGTCTCTCAGTCCCCGCCTCGTGGGGGTGCCTCCCACAGGTGCGATGTGGGTCCTAAGAGCCAGGGGTGAAGAGGGGCTAGCTCTCAGTCCCCGCCTCGCGGGGGGTGCCTCCTCACCCTGCGATGGGGGTCCCAAGTGTCAGGGGGGTATAGGTGCTGGCTCTCAGTCCTCGGCTCGCGGGGGCTGCCTCCCCCCACTGTGATGGGAGTCCTAAGAGCCAGGGGGGAAGAGGGGCTGGCTCTCAGTCCCCGCCTCGCGGAGGGTGCCTCCCCCCCCACGTGATGGGGTCCCAAGAGCCAGGGGGGGAAGAGGGGCTGGCTCTCAGCCACTACAAAATGGGGGGACTTTATGTTCAGGTTTTGCCCAAGAGTCAGCTTATTTGCTTCTTGTACTAGCAGGGCAGTTGCTGCCAAGGCCCTCAATCAGGGGGCCATCCTTTAGAAACCCTGTCTAGTTGTTTAGAGAAGTAGGCCACCGGCCTCATCCAGGGCCCAATAGTTTGGGTTAAAAGTCCACCTGCCATCTTGTCTCTCTGACGCATACAATGGAAAAGGTTTTGTCAGATCGGGTAGCCCCAGGGCTGAAGCTGCCAGAAGTTTTTCCTTTAACTCATGAAAGACTTGCTGTTGTTGGGATCCCCCTTCCAAAGGTTCTCAGTCCTCGCCCCCTTTGTGACATCATACAAACTCTTGGCTTATACTGCAAAGTTTGGGATCCACAGTCTACAAAACCCCACAGCTCCTGAGAATTCTCTCGCCTGCCTTCGGCCCTTAGGCTCTGGTAGATTGCAAATAACCTGCTTTCTTTCTGTTCCAGGGAGGCGTCGGACCCCGTCCGATAGTAAATCCCAAGTAAGGTACCTGCCGTCGGCAGATTTGAGCTTTCTGCCTGGACACCTAATACCCACAGTCCTCCAGGTGGGTCCTAAGGTTCTTAGGATCCACGATGGGTGTCCTAAGCCAGCGGGGGAAGAGTGGCTGGCTCTCAGTCCCCACCTCGCGGGTGGTGCCTCCCGCCTCTGAGATGGTGGTCCTAAGAGCCAGGTGGTGAAGAGGGGCTGGAACTCAGTCCCCGCCTCGTGGGGGCTGCCTCGCCCCGCTGCCATGGGTTTCCGAAGAGCCAGGGGTGGAAGACGGGCTGGCTCTCAGTCCCCGCCTCGCGGGGGTGCCCTCCCCAGGTGCGATGGGGGTCCTAAGAGCCAGGGGGTGAAGAAGGGCTGTCTCTCTGTCCCCTCGTTGCAGGGTTTGCATCCCCCCTCTTGAGATGGCCGTCCCAAGAGCCAAGGGGGGAAAGGGGCTGGCTCTCAGTCCCCGCTTCGCGGGGGTGCCTCCCCCACTGCGATGGGGGTCCCAAGATTCGGGGGGGAAGAGGGCCTGGCTGTCAGTACCCGCCTCGCGGGGGGTGCCTTCCCACCCTGCGATGGGGGTCCCAAGTGTCAGGGGGGGAATACGGGCTGGCTCTCAATCCTCGGCTCGCGGGGGCTGCCTCCCCCTACTGCGATGGGGGTCCTAAGAGCCAGGGGGGAAGAGGGGCTGGTTCTCAGTCCCTGCCTCATGGGCGGTGCCTCCCGCTCTGCGATGGGGGTCCTAAGAGCCAGCGGGGGAAGAGGTGCTGGCTCTCAGTTCCTGCCTGGCGGGGGGTGCCTCCCCCCCTCTGCGGTGGGTGTCCTAAGAGCCAGGGGGGGAAGAGGGGCTGGCTGTCAGTCCCCGCCTCGCGGGGTGTGCCTCCCGCCCCTGCGATGGTGATCCCAAGAGTCTGGGGGGGAAGAGGGGGCTGTCAGTCCCCGCCTCGCGGGGGTGCCTCCCTCAGGTGCGATGTGGGTCCTAAGAGCCAGGGGTGAAGAGGGGCTGGCTCTCTGTCCTCTCGTCGCGGGGGTTGCATCCCCCCCTGCGATGGGGTTCCCAAGAACCAAGGGGGGATGAGGGGCTGGCTCTCAGTCCCCGCCTCGTGGGGGTGCCTCCCCCCCTGGGATGGGGGTCCCAAGAGCCAGGGGGGGAAGAGGGGCTGGCTCTCAGTCCCCGCCTCGCGGAGGGTGCCTCCCCCCCAACGCGATGGGGGTCCCAAGAGCCAGTGGGGGAAGAGGGGCTGGCTCTCAGCCACCACAAAACGGGGGGCCTTTATGTTCAGGTTTTGCCCAAGAGTCAGCTTATTTTCTTCTTGTACTAGCAGGGCAGTTGCTGCCAAGGCCCCCAAACAGGGTGCCATCCTTTAGAAACCCTGTCTAGTTGTTTAGAGACGTAGGCCACCGGCCTCTTCCAGGGCCCCACAGTTTGGGTTAAAAGTCCACCCGCCATCTTGTCTCTCTCTGACGTGTACAATCTAAAAGGCTTTGTCAGATTGGGTAGCCCCAGGGCTGAAGCTGCCAGAAGTTTTTCCTTTAACTCATGAAAGACTTGCTGTTGTTGGGATCCCCATTCCAAAGGTTCCCGGTCCCCGCCCCCTTTGTGACCTCATACAAAGGCTTGGCTTATACTGCAAAGTTTGGGATCCACAGTCTACAAAACCCCACAGCTCCTGAGAATTCTCTCGCCTGCTTTCGACCCTTAGGCTCTGGTAGATTGCAAATAACCTGCTTTCTTTCTGTTCCCGGGCGGCGTGGGACCCCTGTCGGATAGTCAATCCCAATTAAGGTACCCGCCGTCGGCAGATTTGAGCTTTCTTCTTGGACACCTAATACCCACAGTCCTCCAGGTGGGTCCTAAGGATCTTAGGATGCGCGATGGGGGTCCTAAGGCAGGGAGGGATGAGGGGCTGGCTCTCACCCACCCCAAAATGGGCAGCCTTTATGTTCAGGTTTTGCCCAAGAGTCAGCTTATTTGCTTCTTCTACTATCAGGGCAGTTGCTGCCACGGCCCTCAAACAGGGGGGCCATCCTTTAGAAACCCTTTTTAGTTGTTTAGAGACGTAGGCCACCGGCCTCAGCCAGGGCCCCAGAGTTTGGATTAAAAGTCCAGCTGCCATCTTTTCTCTATCTGACGCATTCAATGGAAAAGACATTGTCAGATCGGGTAGACCCAGGGCTGGGGCTGCCAGAAGTTTTTCCTTTAACTCATGAAAGACTTGCTGTTGTTGGGATCCCGATTCCATAGGTTCCTGGTCCTCGCCCCTTTTGTGACCTCATACAAAGGCTTGGCTAATACTGCAAAGTTTGGGATGCACAGTCTACAAAACCCCACAGCCCCTAAGAATTTCCTCACCTTCCTTCCGCCCCTAGGCTCTGGTAGATTGCAAATGACCTGCTTACTTTCTGTTCCCGGGCTGCGTTCTGACACCTGTTGGACAGTAAATCCCAAGTAAGGTACCTGCCTTCGGCAGATTTGAGCTTTCTTCTTGGACACCTATACCCACAGTCCTCCAGGAGGGTCCTAAGGTACATAGGATCCGCGATGGGGGTCCTAAGCCAGAGCTGGAAGAGGGGCTGGCTCTCAGTCCCCGCCTCTCGGAGGGTGCCTCCCCCCCCCTGCAATGGGGGTCCTAAGAGCCAGGGGAGAAGAGGGGATGGCTGTCAGTCCCTCCCCCGTGGGGGTTGCCTCCCCTTCCTGCGATGGTGGTCCTAAGAGCCAGGGGGGGAAGAGGGGCTGGCTCTTTTTTTCCCTTCATCACGGGGGTTGCCTCCCCACCCTGCGATGGGGTTCCCAAGAGCCAAGGGGGGAAGAGGGGCTGCCTCTCAGTCCCCGCCTCATGGGAGGTGCCTCCCGCCCTGCGATGGGGGTCCTGAGAGGCAAGGGGGTAAGAAGGGCTGGCTCTCACCCACCGCAAAATGGGGGGCCTTTATGTTCAGGTTTTGCCCAAGAGTCAGCTTATTTGCGTCTTCTACTAGCAGGGTAGTTGCTGCCACTGCCCTCAAACAGGGGGGCCATCCTTTAGAAAACCTGTCTAGTTGTTTAGAGACGTAGGCCACCGGCCTCAGCCAGGGCTCCACACTTTGGGTTAAATGTCCAGCTGCCATCTATTTTCTCTCTGATGCATTCAATGGAAAAGGCTTTGTCAGATCGGTTATCCCAGGGCTGCGGCTGCCGGAAGTTTTTCCTTTAACTCATGAAAGACTTGCTGTTGTTGGGATCCCCCTTCCAAAGGTTCCCGGTCCCCGCCCCCTTTGTGACCTCATAAAAGGGCTTGGCTAATACTGCAAAGTTTGGGATGCACAGTCTACAAAACCCCACAGCTCCCAAGAATTCCCTCACCTGCCTTCTGCCCTTAGGCTCCGGTAGATTGCAAATAACCTGCTTTCTTTCTGTTCCCGGGCTGAGTTCGGACCCCTGTCGGAGAGTAAATCCCAAGTAAGGTACCTGCCGTCAGCAGATTTGAGCTTTCTTCTTGGACACCTAATACCCACAGTCCTCCAAGTGGGTCCTAAGGTTCTTAGGATCCGCGATGGGGGTCCTAAGCCAGGGTGGGACGAGGGGCTGGCTCTCAGTCCCCGCCTCACGGGGAGTGCCTCCCCCCACTGCGATGGGGGTCCTAAGAGCCAGGGGGGAAGAGGGGCTGGCTCTCAGTCCCTTCCTCGCGGGGGGTGCCTCCCGCCTCTGCGATGGGGCTCCTAAGAGCCAGGGGGGGAAGACGGGCTCGCTCTCAGTAGCCGCCTCGCGGGGGGTGCCTCCCGCCCTGCGATGGGGGTCCCAAGAGCCAGGGGGGGATGAGGGGCTGGCTCTCTGTACTCGCCTCTCGATGGGTGCCTCCCCGCCTGCGATTGGGGTCCTAAGAGCCAGGGGGTAAGAGGGCCTAGCTCTGAGTCCCTGCCTCTCGGGGGGGTGCCTCCCCACCCTGCGATGGCGGTCCCAAGTGTCAGGGGGGGAAGAGGGGGTGGCTGTCACTCCTCGGCTCGTGGAGGCTGTCTCCCACCACTGCGATGGGGGTTCTAAGAGCCAGGGGGGAAGAGGGGCTGGTTCTCAGTCCCTGCCTCAGTGGGGGTGCCTCCCCCTCTGCGATGGGGGTCCTAAGAGCCAGCGGAGGAAGAGGGGCTGGCTCTCAGTTCCCGCCTTTTTTTTTTTTCTCAGTGTTTTAGACGCCCAGTTGCACAACTTGATTGCCTTACAAATGACCTGCTTCCAGGATGCGGAAATTCCTAATTTCTTCTGTGACCCTTCTCAACTCCCCCATCTTGCATGTTGTGACACCTTCACCAATAACATAATCATGTATTTCCCTGCTGTCATATTTGGTTTTCTTCCCATCTCTGGGACCCTTTTCTCTTACTATAAAATTGTTTCCTCCATTCTGAGTGTTTCATCATCACGTGGGCAGTATAAGGCCTTCTCCACCTGTGGGTCTCACCTGTCAGTTGTTTGCTGATTTTACGGAACGGGCGTTGGAGGGTACTTCAGTTCAGATGTGTCATCTTCCCCGAGAAAGGCTGCAGTGGCCTCAGTGATGTACACGGTGATCACCCCATGCTGAACCCCTTCATCTACAGCCTGAGAAACAGGCATATTAAAAGTGTCCTGCGGCGGCCGCACAGCAGCACCGTCCAATCTCCGTGTCTTCTTAACTGTTCCATTCCTTTTGTAGTGTGGGTTAACAAAGGCAGCAAGGTCAAATAAGAATGATATCACAGGGTGAACACCCAAAGTGATATTAGGAGTAATACTCCCTAGGATATAGAATATACTGTCACAGAGTACACACAGATGGGGTACACCCACTGTCATATTAGAAGCAATATCTCCCTAACGTATGAGGAAAAATATCACAGGGTGTGCACACTGTGTGATATGAGGAGTAATATTTACCCTGGATATTACGACTAATATCAAGGGTGTACACACACGGGGTACACGCACTGTGATATCAGGATTTGTATCTCCCTAGGATATTACGAATACTATCACAGGGTATATACTATGTGTGTACATCCACTGTGATATTTGAAGTAATATCTCTCTATGAGATTGCAAATAACATCAAAGCGTGTACACCCCTGTGTGTACACATTAGGAGTAACATCCTTCTAGGGTATTACAGATAATGTCACAGCGTGTACACCTCTGTGACGTTTTGTACACACTTTGTGACATTAAAAGAAACATCCCCCTAGGATATTGTGAATAATAACACAGGAGGGGTACACACATGGTGTACACCGCCTGTGTCATCAGGAGTAACATTCCCCTAGGATATTATAAATAATATCACAGCAGGTGTACACACATGGTGTACGCCCCATGTGACATTCGGAAGAGCATGCCCCTAGGATATTAGGAATAGTATCACAGGCGTTGAATACGCATTTTTAATGTGTAATGTCACCCCCGGTGACATTAAAAATAACATCCCCCTTGGATATTATGAATAATAGGACCGGGAGTACACCCCGTGTGACATTAGGAATAACACCCCCCGAGGATATAACGAATAATATCAGAGGGTGTCCATGCATTGTGACCTTAGTAGTAACATCTCTTTAGGATATTACAAATAGTATCACAGGGTGTACAGGCATTGTGACATTAGTAGTAACATCCCACTGGGATATGACGAGTCATATCACAGGGTGTACACCCCGGTGACAATAATAACAACATTCCCCTAGAATATTACGAATAATATCACAGGAGGTACAGCCCCTGTGATTTACAAGTAACATGTCTATAGAATATTACAACTCATATCACTGTGTGACTCTGTGTACACCCCGTGTGACTTTAGGAGTAACATCCCACAAAACTATGATGAAAAATATCACAGGGTGAACACCCCCTGTGACCTGAGGAATAACGTAGTTTTAGGATATTATGAATGATGTGACAAGGTGTACACACCCTGTGACGTTAGGAGCAATATCCGTCTAGGATGTTAGGAAGACTATCACACGGAACACACCCCCTGTGACATTAGGATATGACAAATAATATCACAAGGTGTACACGCATCGTGACATTAGTGCTAATATCCCTCTGGCACACTATGAATAATATCACAGGGTGTACATCCCTGTGACATTAGGAGTAACATCCCCCTAGAATAGTAAGAATAATAACACGGGGTGTACACCCCCTGTGACATGAGGAGTATCATCTCCCTAGAATATTATGAACAATGTCACAGGGTGTTATCGTCTGTTCCAATAGGAGTATAGACCCCTGGGAAATTATGAATACTATCACAGGGTGTACAGCCCTGTGACATTAGGAGTAACATCTTTCTAGAATATCACGAATAATAGCAAAATGTGTACACCCCCTGTGTCATTAAAAGTGAAATTGCCGTGGGATATTACGAAATAGAACACAGGGAGGACACCCCGTGTGACATTAGAAGTAACATCCCCCGAGGATATAACCAATAAGATGAGAGAATGTACCTGCATTGGGACATCAGTAGTAACATCTCTTCAAGACAATACTAATAATATCAAAGGGTGTACACACATTGTGAAATTAGTAGTGAACTCCCGCTAGGATATTAGGAATTTTATGACAGGGTCTACAGGCCCTGTGACATTAGCAGTAACGTTTTCCTAGAAGATTACGAAGAATATTAAAGGGTGTACAGGACCTGTGAATTACGAGTAACATTTCCATAGCATATTGCACGTAACATCACTGTGTGTACACGCCATGTGACATTAGGGGTAACATCCCACAAAATTATAACGAATAATTTCACAAGCTGTGCACTCTCTGTGACATTAAAAGTAACATTTCCCTAGAATATGACGACAATATCACGGAGTGTACACCCTCTGTGATATGAGGAGTGACATCTTATGAGGATAATACGAGTAATTTCACAAGGTGTACAAACTCTGTGACATAAGGGGTGACATCCCTCTAGGACATTATGGATAATATCAAAAGGAACATACCCCGTGTGACAATAAATGCAACCTCCCATTAGGAGAATAAGAATAACACCACAAGGTGTACACACAATGTGACATTATTATTAAGGTAAAGCTAGGATATTGGGAATAACATCACAGTGTACAGAGTCCTGTGACATCAGGTTTAACATTCCCCTGCAAAATTACGAATAATACTGAAGGGTGTATACCCCCTGCGACTTTAGAAGCTGCATCTTGCTAGAATATGGAAGATAGTGTCCCAGGGTGTGAACCGAGGGTGGCAGTATAGAAAGGATCCTAGGAAAAATCCGGGAGTAATATCACCCCACTATCGCCCCCTGGATATGACCATCCACATCGCGGGGGGCACCCGCCCCCCTGCGATGGGGGTCCTAAGAGCCGGAGGGGGAGAGGGGCTGGCTCTTACTCCCTACATTGCGGGTGGTGCCTCACCCCCCTGCACTATTCACAATAGCAAAGACTTGGAACCAACCCAAATGTCCTTCAATGATAGACTGGATTAAGAAAATGTGGCACATATACACTGTGGAATACTATGCAGCCATAAAAAGGATGAGTTCATGTCCTTTGTAAGGACATGGATGAAGCTGGAAACCGTCATTCTCAGCAAGCTATCACAGGGACAAAAAAAGCAAACGCCTCATGTTCTCCCTCATAGGTGAGAATTGAACAATGAGAACACTTGGACACAGGAAGGGGAACATCACATACTGGGGCCTGTCATGGAGTGGGGAGAGGGGAGAGGGATAGGATTAGGATATATACCTAATGTAAATGACGAGTTAATGGGTACAGCGGTGTTGGTATAACATGGGACATGTATACATATGCAACAAACTTGCACGTTGTGCTCATGTACCCTAGAACTTAAAGTATAACAAAAAAAAATATATATATATATATATATTTAAAATGAAGCTGGTTAGGTTTTAAAAGGCTCCTCAATGACAATTACTTATATAGCTGAAGAAATGGGAGACAAAAGGAGGGCTTCTCTGCCTCCCCAGGGTCTTGGTTTGCCTGGAGGATGGAAGGAAAATATAAGAAACACTTGCAGATAGCATACAGTCTGGCTTTGAATGATCAGATGTGAATATGTTTCTTGGGATTTGAGGGAGGTTGGACAAGGGGTAGGTGTGGAAGTGCAGAGTGAGTTGGAGAAAGAAGTCTGGCAAAGAAGTTGTAATGACTCAGGAAAGGGAATAGGGTTGTCTCTTTCCCTATGGGTAGAGGTAGATATTTTAGGAAAAAAAGAGAGAGAGAGAAAAAGGATAAAACTTTGTTATGATCCCCCCAAAACTTGTTATGTAAGATATATATCTACTGATAGGACATTTTGAAAATTAGTATCAGCTTTATATTTGGGCACATGATTTCACTGAGATGGTTCTTTGGCAGAGCAGATTAAAATGATGTTCCTGAAATGAAACTCGAGTCTCCAAAATAATTGGCTCATTTTAAGCAAAATATTATTGATGATCAACAGTGACTGGCACATAATGATTGTTTAAATATTTGTTGGCTAAGTCAGGGAATGAATGATATGCTTTGGCAATTATATAAAGGTCTCAGGGAAGTAGAAGACGTCCACACCTCAGAAGCATCTTCTTGAAACCCATCTCAATTCTCTCCTCTTGACAACATGTGTTGCAACTACTACGGCAACTCCTGTGGCTATGGCTCCAGCTATGGCTGTGGCTATGGCTCTGGTTATGGCTGTGGCTATGGCTCCAGCTATGGCTGTGGCTATGGCTCTGGTTATGGCTGTGGCTATGGCTCCAGCTATGGCTGTGGCTATGGCTCTGGCTACAGCTGTGGCTATGGCTCTGGCTCTGGCTGTGGCTATGGAACTGGCTACGGCTGTGGGTATGGCTGTGGTTATGGAACTGGCTATGGCTGTGGATGTGGCTCTGGCTCTGGCTACTGTGGCTACCGGCCATTTTGCTTTAGAAGATGCTATTCTTCCTGCTAAAACATCACTGTCAGAGGACAATTTGCTTCTAAAATGACACGGCTAAAGATAATACTGATTCAAGGATTCATACTCCAAGATTTCTATATCCAAGAATTACATGCTTGACAGAGTCTTGGACCTCTAGCCTCACATTTCTTTGAATGAAATCATGGCCATAGGATCCACGGTGTCATCTGACTGTTTTCCAAATGTTATCTTTTGCTCCCTTAATCTCTGACTCTCTGTTATGACTGTGTTAATGATCATAACATCTACAATTGGGGAAGTCAATCATTTGTAATAAAAATGGTTCTTTATTCCAAAAAAAAATGTTTTAGTACAAAAGAGTCAAAAAGCTAAAATAAAATATAGTTTATAAAGCAAAAAATTATCAGTAAGCTAAGTTTAATGTATTATTGAAGAAATAAAATGTATTTTATACATTTACCCTAATGCCTAATGTTTAAGACATCTACTGTAGTGTACAGTAATATCCCAGGCCTTCACATTCACTCACTAATCACTCACTGATCCACCCAGAACAATTTTCAGCCCTGTAAGTGCCATTCGTGCTAAGTGGTCTATATAGGTACTGTTTTATTATTATTATTATTATTATTATTATTATTATTTTATACTGTGTTTTTACTGTATCTTTTCTAGATTTCAATAAGTTGAGATACACAAATATTTATTATTGTGTTACAATTGCCTATATTATCCAATATGGTAACATGCTGTGCAGGTTTGTATTCTAGAAGCAATAGGCTATACCTTATAATCTAGGTGTGTTCTAAGCTATATCATACAGGTTTATGTAAGTACACTGTGAAATCTGCATGGCAAACATCATTGCCTTATGATACATTTCTCAAATTTTCAGAACATATCCCTGTTGTTTAGCAGCACGTGAATGTATTTGATTTATTGTCTTGATGTCCCTTTGCTTTCCCCATGTGTTACCATCAACTGCCTAATGAAACAGCCTGGGATTGTGTAATGACTAACTTAGTGCTTTGAGTTTAATTCTTTTTCAGCCACTGTGGTATGTTGATTACTATATTAATAATGTGTCTCCTTTATGTGTTTTTAAATAGTTACTTGGTCATGAACTATTTATAAGCTTTGGAAACATGATTTCATTTATTCTGCAGGATAACTTCAGGAAGTGGGTATTAATTCTCACTGTATAAGTGAAGACATTAAGCACCAGAGTTTAAGTAGCTTGGTAAGTGTTATTCCAGTAATTAAATAGGCATAAATAGAGTTCAACTTTCTCAGTTCTATCTATAATTTCTCTCTATGTATGGGCTTATTTATATCAACCAGTATACACCTTGGTTTTGGCAATCAGTTATTGACTTTTTTAAAGAAGGAAGAGAAGAAAAAAAAGGGAAGAAAAAAAAAACATAACCCTCTTTTACTATCAGACACCACATTTTTCTCTTCCACATTATCTTCTTTAAAGAACTCCATGTTGCAGATTCCATGAGTGCAAGTGCTAGAAAGGCCAGGTAGAAATATTAAAAGTGATGCAGTTCAATACTGACAGTGATGAAATACAGAATGTATGGACCCTAATACACCAGTGGAATACTATGCAGCCATAAAAAAGGATGGGTTCATGTCCTTTGCAGGGACATGGATGAAGCTGGAAATCATCATTCTCAGCAAACTATCACAGGGACAAAAAACCAAACACTGCATGTTCTCACTCATAGGTGGGAAATGAACAATGAGAACACTTGGACACCGGAATGGGAACACACACTGGGGCCTGTCGTGGGGTGGGGGGAGGGGAGAAGGATAGCATTAGGAGATATACCTAATGTAAATGATGAGTTAATGGGTGCAGCACACCAACATGGCACATGTATACATATGTAACAAACCTGCACGTTGTGCGCACATACCCTAGAACTTAAAGTATAATAAAAAAAAAAAGAGAGAGAATGTATGGACCCTATAATCTCAAGGAGGGGCAGCAACCCGGTTGAATATTTTTTCAAGCCAGTTTAGGGAAAGATTGATAAGGTTTCCAATTTTTCAAAAGGACCCATAATCCAAATTTTTATACGAAATCTAATTTTTAATTTGAGTTGGAAATTAAAATCAATGTGTTATTTATGTTATGATCTCCACTTTTGGTTCTATGAGATTATTACTTGTTTAACTCTCTGTAATCTGAATTCTGCCACCCACAAGCCATATTAATGGAGATCGTGAATGACTTACATATTGTCTTTTGAATACATATTAATTTGCATCTTAATTGACCTGCAAGCAGTTTAAAACTCTTCAGGTGTGTTTATCAAAAGATTCCTTCATGTGACTTTTTATCTTTCTCTACTCTTTCATCAATCTCATTTATTATTAAATTTCGGTTATCAGCTGCCATGCCAATAACTGCCAACTCTAAACACTTATCACAGTTTACTATGCAAGCTTTATAGGAATATTAATATACTTCATATTCACATATTCAGTATACATCTTAAGTATTAATTCCCCAAACATATGATTGTCGTTCAGGAGACTTTCTTTGAACCTCAATAAATGTCATTACACTTTACAGCACTATATTTTTGTTTCATAGAACTTCACTGTTTTATTAATCATTTCTTTGGATAATATCATATATCTTCTACAAAAGCATAATTTCTATAGGGAAGACAATTTTATTTCTTATTTTTACTATGACATTTTAGCATCTACTATACTGGCCAGCACGCCACACATTTGTCAATAAATAATGTATTGCCTCTCAGCTCCAAATTTACCCTGCAATCACTCTGCCATAATGTGTGGAATTCCTCTTGTATTTACTTCCTCATAGTGAGCACAGTATTCAAGCCTTCTCAGTAGAGGGCACCGGAGAGATGTTGTAGAGGAAAGGGCTCTCCTATGGTGCCTGGCTCCTTACAGTGAGTGGGTGGTGTGAGTGTGAGAACATCTAGAGGTGCTATACTTCAGAATCTGAGGTCCCTCAGGAATCTTACAGCTGGGGCTGGCTTCCTGCATCCTTCTCAGCATGGACACCACAATTTCCAGGCTTCATACCTCCACAGGGTTTTTGATTCCCTCTGCCCACCTGTGTACCTGGGCCTTTGCTAACTTTGGCCTGTGGCCTGCTTGCAGTTAAGAATTTGTCATTAAAAAAAAAAAAAAAAAAAAAAAAAGAACTTGTCATTGGCAGCCGGGCGCGGTGGCTCACGCTTGTAATCCCAGCACTTTGGGAGGCCAAGGAGGACGGATCACGAGGTCAGGAGATCGAGACCATCCTGGCTAACACGGTGAAACCCCGTCTCTACTAAAAATACAAAATTTAGCCGGGCGTGGTCGCGGGCGCCTGTGGTCCCAGCCACTCTGGAGGCTGAGGCAGGAGAACGGCGTGAACCCGGGAGGCGGAGCTTGCAGTGAGCCCAGATCACGCCACTGCACTCCATCCTGGGCGACAGAGTGAGACCACGTCTCAAAAAAAAAAAAAGACTTTGTCATTGGCTCACTCCTTCTATATCCTTTTACCTAGATCCACTGAAAGAGATTCAACTGTGTGGAACCTATGCCGCGGAGAATTGCTTTCTGCCATTGTTATTGTCCAGCAGTTGCCGAATAGCTCTGACCTGAGCAAAGCAGTGAAACGCGGTGCTGTTGAGTGGGTTGCCACTGCACCTTTTTCAACTACTCTAGTCTTGTGGAGAAAACACCCCTTCTAAATTTTTTCTTCATTGAATACTCTCCCTCAGCTCCAGGGTACCATATAGAGTTTTCTTGTATTTTAGAGTTACTGTTTTATCAAAGTGTACCAGTCTTTTGTATTACATTTCTCCTGTCTAAATCAACTGTGTGGTTTCTACTCATTATGGATATAGATTGACACAAACTCAATAAATATTTTTGAATGAATAACTCCACAGTCCAAGTTATTTTAATCACTATACAAAATCTCCAGAGTTTCTTCCATATTTCTGAACATGGTAACTATGTATCAAGAGACAAACCACAAATTTAAAGAAGGTGTGGTCAAATTTTATAAGTGTTTATAACATTTGTAAATGTTTGGCATCTAGAATACATGTATAATTCCAACAAATAAATAAGAAAAAAATAAATAATCCAGTGGGATATTGGGCAAAATATTGAAACCAAAGTGTCATAAAAGAGGAAATATTACTTTTTAATACACGTGGAAAATGTGTACCCACCTGAGCAATCACATATGCAAATGAAAGTTAAAACAAAATACAACGAGGCAAAAAAAATTCCCTTGCTTAAGCCTAATGTAAACAAACAAAAAAAATTCATCAAAAGACTATTAGTTTCTATACAGTCAAGGATAATGTCCAAAATCTGGAGCCGGGAACTGATTCAGTGAGGAAACCACGCTCACCACCATTAAAGATAAGTTGCTATAACTTACATGGGTGTCACTATTGTTTCAGTAACTTGATCTTGCCCCTACTGCTATTGCTACCAGTGAGAATTTTATAGTGCTTAAATGTATCATTATATCATAATTAAAATTCTGGGGAGTGGGTTAACCTAATTGATAGAGCTTAGGTCATCGGGCATACCCTAGCTGCAACAGAGACTGAGATAATGATTACCGTTATCTTCAGCTTCTATAGTAGGTGGCAAGCTCCGCATTGCAACAACAGGCACAAAATAAAAGGTTTCTCAATCATATAAAGGTGATTAAGATACTGAGCAGCCAAAATGCACATATGTACATAAACAGACACTCTCATTACACATATGCCCAAAGAGATTTATTTCAGTATTCTATATAATATTAAAAAGTTGAAGAAAATCTAAATATTGGCCAATACAAAAATGCTTGAATAAATGGTGACATGTTATTGGCAGACGTTATTATTAGCAGCCATAAGTCAGTCTCTATATGCCACTTTCTCTGGCATTCTACTATGGAAAATAAACAAACACTTTCAAAGTTTCTCTTTTGCCTTTTAGTCCATGTAAATTATATCTTGGTTAGTAATATTTGAAGAGAGATCTCCTGTGAGGTTTATGAGAAAGTTATTTCTCTTCCTATAAAGACGTGTGTGTGTGTGCGTGCGTGCGTGTGTGTGTGTGTGTGTGTGTGTGTGTGTGTTGAGGGGCTGTACATAGGAGACCAGCCTAGTTCTTGCTTAATAGTGAGGGCATAATATGGTGAATTGAAGCAACTACCTTTCAGTTATGAGGCTACGGGTCTAAGAATGAATGTGAGGATTGCTGATGGAAAGAAGTGAGCCTGGCTTACAATAACATTATTTAGTGACTGACTCTCTGTCCAAATCTTTATTATTTGAGAAAACAACCCCTAAATTTAAATGGAAGGTTGTCGGGAATTTCTATTAAGTAAACTGAAAGTATCCTTAACTTACTCAACATTTATTTCATAGAATATTAAACAGCACTTGATTATGCTGGACCCAAATGCATCAATGGGAATAAATCTTAAAAGTATAATGTTGAGTAAGAAACCACTATGTTTGGAATAAGTATAATATGATGAAATGTATTAATTAAGAAAAATTATAAAACATTTCTGAATATTGTTCAAGCATACATATTTAATGATAATGTGAAATATGAATAAGAAAGTTGCACAGCGACACCAGAGAGGGAAAGAATAAAATAGAAATCGTTCAGGAGAGGAAAATTTTGACTCCCTCTTTAATACTCAGAAATAATATAAAGCAAGTTTAATTAAAATTGTTGAATATGGAAGTAAATACGTGGATGTCTATTATATTATTCTATTTTGTTTTGTATGTTAGGCATATTTCAAACTTAAAAACTTTTAGAGTGCTTTCCAAAGTAATGTGCAATTAAATTCTTAGAGAAATACTGTAAAGAAAGTAGTATTTTCTCATACTACAGAGTAAACTACTGAGCCTCACTGACATGAAGTAATTTGCACAATTGTTTCTACTCCAATTGAAGTATTTTACAAATTGTTATGTCACAACCTGGGATTTTTCTTTTGCGTTATCATCATAGATATTCAGGAAATATCTACTCATATGTTCATAAAATTGCCTTAAAATGTTTTTTACCAAAGAGACAAATGTTTTCATAGCCTTCATTCTTCGAAAAACCATCTATAACTTTAAACTCATGGTAATGTGTTTCAAGGAATACGTGAAATATGAAATTTTCCCACAGATTAAGTGGTAAAGATGAGAGCTCAGTGGTGGATAAAGGACAATAATAAATAGCTATTTTTGTATTTCTCCTTTTTTACATATTGCTTTTCTTCACTATAAATCAAATATACATTAAGTATTTTATTAAAATAAGTGAAACACTAGAATCTAAATATCTACAAAAATTAAGTGAAGAAATATATCAGAACCCATTGTAGGTTGAGCATTCTGAATCTGAAAATATGAAATGCAAAACACTTCAAAATCTGAAACATTTTAAGTGCTAATATGATGCCACAAGTGGAAAATTCCACACCTAACTTCATGTGATAGGTTGCAGTCAAAAGGCACGACCCACAGTTTATTCAGCATCTCCAAGGAAAAATGACCATCTTAGCCCACTTCAGCTGTGATATATCTTCTCCATGCCCTTCTACGAAGGGTAATAAAATGGCACATGCACAGGCTGGATGTGTGTTCCCACCAGTGCCCTACATGGGGCCAAGACCTACGTGCATTACTGACTGTGCTTTTTCTTGCTTATTCTCTGCTCTTTGGTGTAAAGACATTACTGAAAATGTCAAAAAGGTCTGCAAATACCTCTGTGGGTAATGGTAATAAGAAAAAATAAAAGCGTTTCTGTTTATCTATATAAGAGAAAGTCAAGTTGCTAGAGAAACTGGACAGCAGTGTACGTGTGAAACATCTTACAGAAGAATATGGTGGTAGAATAACTGTCATATATACCCATGGAGAAACACAAGGATAGACTGCTGAAGATCTGTGCTGAAAGTGATGAGCAGAAGATATTGAAAAATACGAAACACTGCATAAAGCTAAAAATAAATATGTAAGTTGTGTAACCAAAGTGGATATGTTAGCATCCCTGAAGAAACACATATATACACCTGAAGAAACTTAAGGGTAAACTGCTGAAGATCTGTGCTGAAAGTGATCAGCAGAAGATAATGAAAAATACAAAAACGCTGAATAAAGCTAAAAATAAATATGCTTTATTTATAAAGCATGCCACTTAATGGTGTGTGGATCATGACATTAGCAAAGATCTATTACAATGAACTAGAAAATTGAAGAGAACTCTGAATATTAAACAGATTGGTTGCAAAAATTTAAGAAAAGTCATGGCATTACATTTTTAAAGATTTATGGGGATAAAGCATCTGCTGACCATTAGGCTGTAGATAAATTTATTAATGAGTATACCAAGATTATCGCTGATGAAGACCTGATGCCAGAACAAGTCTATAATGCTGATGAAACATTCATTTCTGTTTTGGTGTTGTTGCTCTAGAAAGACATCGACTAGAGCTGATAAGACAGCCACTATAGGAATTAAGTATGCCAAGGACAGAATAAGTGGCTGGGATGTACTAATGCAACAGGCAAACATAAGTATAAACTTCCTGTGATAGGAAAAAGCTTGCATCCTCACTCTTTTCAAGGAGTAAATTTCTTAGTCCATTATTATGCTAACAAGAAAGCATGAATCATCAAGGCGTCTTCTTTGACTGGTTTCACAAACATTTTGTACCAGCAGCTCAAGCTCACTGCAGCGTCGCTGGACTGGATGATGATTGCAAGATTTTGTTATTCCTTGACAACTGTTCTCCTCATCCTCCTGTTGAAATTCTCATCAAAAATAATTTTATGCCATGTGTTTTTCCCCAAACATGACTTCATTAATTCTGTCATATCACCAAGATATTGTTAGATCAATAAAGAGTAAATATAAAAACACTTTTTTTGAAGAGCATGCTAGCAGCAGTGAACAGAGATCTGACTGTAGAAGGTTTTCAAAAGAAGTTTAGCATGAAGGATGCCATCTACGCTGTTGCCAATGCTTAGAATAAAGTGACTAAAGACACAGTTGTGCATGTCTGGAATAGCCTCTAGTCTGTAACCATGTTTAGTGATGATGATGAATAAGGTGGTGGGTTTGAAGGATTCCACATATCAAGTGAGGGAAAAAAAACGATGTCTGATCTCCTTACATATGCAAAAAATACCTTCAGAGTCCCTCAGTAAGCCGGAAGAAGTGGAATTTAGGAAGTTTTTAACAGTGATAATGAGAATGCAGATTTTCATTCATTGACTGATGATCAAATAGCCAAAATGGTTCCGAATCAACGTGATCATGAAAATAGTGATCTTGAAGATGATTTATACGTTGCAGAAAAAGAGCCCACGACAACATGGTGAAAATAAGTGATGAGCTTATTGAAGGCCTAAAGCAGTGTGCACTCATAACAGAAACAGAAATCTTCTCAGTTCATAAAATCAGAAAGTGACTTCTAAGACAAAGAATGTTGTTAATGAGACAGATGATTCTGGAGGAAGCATTTAAAAAAGCCATCCAGCTGAATGTCTCCTCATCCCTACAGGATCCACTTCCTGGTTGGCGACTGTTTCTAGTGTTTTTTTCTCACCTATAAAAGATAAAATACTGTCTACAGTAACCTTTTAATCAAAACACAGCTTCTTAGGTGGAGACTGAAAGCCTGCTCTTCTTTTTTGTTGCTGTTGTTTAACAGCTGTTAAAGGTATTCTGGTGAAGCTGGTGTGCTGATTAGTTACCCTAAACCTATTATTTTTTCACTGTATTAATATTATGTCATATTTATTATGGTTAGGTGCTTATGTGTGAAAAAAATATAAGAAAATGCTTATCAGTAGTTATAAATTCAGAGTTAGGAATGATGGTCTTGCCAAAAAAAAAAAGCCCCACAGACTGTTCACGTGGGTGGCTGAGATAGTAGCACTTTTGGTTTCTGATGGTTCACTGTACAAGAACTTTATTTTATGCACAAAATTGTTAAAAATATTATGTAATGTTAGCTTCAGACTATCTTGGTAAAGTGCTTATGAAAAATAAATTTTGTGTTTACATTTGTGTCTCAACCTCAAGACGTCTCGTTATGTGTATGCAAATATTTCAAAATCCCAAACAATTCAAAATCTTACACACTTCTGGTTCCAAGAATTTTAGACAAGGAATAGTTAATATGTATGAATAAACAGCACTTAAGAGAGAAAACGAAATTAAATAAAAGCTGAAAGAAGAATAAAGAAATTTTACTTCACTAAGAAAAATAAAAATAGCAGAGAAGAAATGTGATGTGTTACTGTGCTAACCTAGAGTTAGAGTTATGCTACCATTGCAATGACTTTCAGGAATATTTGATGATATCAACAAGGTATTGTTTCTGCAATACATGGAAAAGGCTACAGAGATAGTTTCGGCTTAATTGAAGTGGAGCTAACATTGTTAATTTTACTAACAATGGAAGTGATATGCATAATATTAGAATTATATAATTGTTCTGCAGGTTTTGATTGCATGCTCTATGTCACCAATTTTTAATATTACAAAAGTATAAGAGTGGGAAAAGTACAAATGGGCATTATTTTTTGTGTGTGCTTAATGTGTTGCCAAAATGTAAGGGCTGGTGATTGGTAATTCTATCAAAAAGAACACACACACTGCATACATACATATCCTGGAAAGAGAAGATTTAAAAGAAAAGTGAAATTAAGATCAATAGAGTCTGTGCTAAATAACAGTTGACATAACAGACATTGTATACTATTTCAAATAATAATTTCCATAATAGCTATAAGATAGGTTACCATTATTATTCAAATTTTAGAGATAAGGAAACTGAATTATGGTTTTATTTAGCACTGGAGAAAGCACAGACAGTAAGTAGTAGATATTTATGTAAAACAATATTCATATGTTATCTAGAGCCCGCAGTTTGAACATAATATCATAAAGGATTAAGTTGGAAAAATTAAGAACTATTAGAAGGTGATGACAGTCATAGGTTTACATCATATTCTTATAATTTATTAATTTTTCTTCCATATTTATGTGTATTTTCTGAACCCATTTCCTTATCTTAAAAATGGAAGTGTTAATACTAGTCTTGTAAGAGTTATTCTATCTTTCCCACAATTTTATCATGGACAGGAAAAAAAAACTGATAGCTACATATAAACGCATGAAAAATGAAATGATATTCATTGTTCAAATATTTTATCACATGTGTACACCTCTTGTTAAACTTTATTTTTTCACAGAAAATGATACAAGTTATTATTAAATTTGTTGCTTAATCAATGTCTTATAAGCTTAACGTATAAGTTTGTAGTTGGCCATTTTATTCTCTATTTTATTGAGAATTATTCACTAACCATGCAGTAGTATTGTTAGTACCTTTCTTTTTGATCATATGAATGATTTTTTAAAAAGTGAAGATAGAGTTTTGTGGATTAAATACCATTCAAATTATAATTTATTGTTTTATTTCACTGGCACTGCTAGAAAACTAGTAGGTTTAACTATGTAAAGGCGCTCCATGTTTTTCATATTTTAACTAAATGTTATATTTAGTTTAACTATATAAATATTAACTTCCTAATACCCCAATATATTACTCACAAGCCATGAATGAACATACTTTACATGGTAGTCATTAAAAAACAACTTTTACAAGTAGACTCAGATGCCAGTATGTAATTCCCAAAAGGCTAAGAGGCTAAGAACTTGGTCTTGTGTACTGCTGTATTACTAATGGCCGAGAAAATGCCTGGGACTCAGTGAACACTCCATAAATATTGATCCTATGAGCGTGACAGTGTGTGTGTGTGTGTATGCACGCATGTGTCTGCGTGTGTGTGAGAGACAGAGAGAAGGAGAGAGAGAGAAAGAAGAGAGATCAACTTCCATCTCATTATTTCAGGCAAGAGCCACCATAAACAATGTGTACTAAGTCGTAAGAAGAAATGGAATTAGAGCTTTATTTTAGAATAAGTACTCACTGATATTAAGCAATGTCAAACATACAGAAGATTAACATAATGTTCAGGATTTGAGTAAAAATAAATCAGAAGAACTGGGAAAAGAATATATCTGCTTAAGTTTTGAAACCCTACAAAACAAAGTAGCAGCTTACATATATCAAAGTCTGGCTGTTTAGTAACTATTTTCTACTTCTGTTTAATTTTTATTGTGTGTGTGTGTGTGTGTGTGTGTGTGTGTGTGTGTGTTTGTGTAGCCTTAAATTTGCAGAATAGCTTAGGACAATTTTACACTGTTATCAAATTAATGCAGCAAATGAGGAAAAAAGTCAGTGTATCTACATCAAAAAGCAAGGGTTATTTTTAACATTAATAGTAATGAAATGTTTAAATGCATTGTTTAAAATTCAAAACAGAAGTGATAGGTGCCCATTTTTAATGAGAGGAGGCAAATGAACATTTGGGAATTTTCCAACAATTCCACAATTAAAGAATATATAAAAACTAGATATTGAAAATGTGTATATCATCAGGGTGTTTGACTAAAATGTACTGTCTGTTTTGATGAACCAGAGCAAGGAAGTGTTTCAGGAGTTCATCAGTGTTGAACAGTTGCTGACAACTTTGTTCTAATTTTTGAAAACAATTGTTTGCTAAATTATGGGGTACCTGATGAATAGCTTTAATTAGATTAGCATCAAGAAAAAAGAATAAAGAAGAATATATTCTTTAACTACATCAAGATCTAAGCTTATGTTTATATTCAGTGAAAGAAATCTATTAATGAGAAAACCTTTTTTGTTTTCCAAAAAATACGATTTAAAAAGCAGATGTCTATCTCTTACAGTCCACTGTTTTCCTGGTTTTAATACCAGGGTGTGCTTCCAGTTTTAAACTCCTTTAGTCCCCTTGATGGTAGAAATCTTTTTCGGAGCCAACATCATCATTTCTTAGGGCAGATATCAAAAGCTTAACATATTATTTCAGGCTGAAAATATATCAGTGCAAATGTAATTGCAATCTCTGCAGCATCAAAGTAGAAATACCCAGAGTTCATGATTGGTCATTCTTATCCATGAATGTATCATAATAGGCTGATATGCTCCCTTTCCCAGGAAACAAATTTTCTTTTGGACATGGTCCTTCTGATTAAATAATATCTTATCACAAAGAATGACACTAATCGTAGAAATTTCAGGCCTTGGACATTTCATCACTGATCCAACCTGGTAAGTATAGAACATTATTAAAGGGGAAAAAATGCTTATAAGTTGCTTAGTAATCAATCAACTAGCATTTACAACCATCATTTGATTATTACTGTCTGTGGTACTGTAGTGGAAGGAAAATCTAAGCTGTCCATCCACTCCTAAAAGAGATTTGAATTAAGCATATCTGATATATCACATCAATTTAATGAGTAAAATTATTCAATTGAGCACTTTCTGTTGAATATTTTCAAAGAGCAGCTTTGGACACTGTCAGTGTTATGTTTAATGCTTTTTCCCAGAAAGTGCTAGCCAATCTAGTATTCAATGATCAACTCTAGTCACATCATTTCTAAATTATATCTATAAATGTAAACTTTCTTTAATATTCCAGAAATCTATTTTCGTATTTAATATATTTCATTTATTCAAAAGATACATTTATTAGTCGCCTATTTACATGTACCTCTCTAAGCTCTGTAACAATTTTACCAGTTTTGATAGCTCAGTGTCATAATTGTTGATTCTTGATCATTGAAATGTTCAATAACATGGACATCAAGTCAAGCAATCATAGACACTTAAATTACTTATAAAAGCCCCTAGACAATTAATTTTCACTTACCAATCCTTATTTGCTAAAAATTTTGTCAGGATTTATTCTTTCTAGAGTATTCAGATGGTACTTTTATGAAGCTTAACCTGAGTTTTTCTATTTTTCAAAAAATATTTATTCAAATTTCTATTTTCTAGAGTAGTTATCCAATTTTTATCTAGAATTTCAATTTCTTAAAATTTTTACTTTATATTTTTTAAACCTGATTGTCACCAAGATAATTTTTATTTAGTACAGTAAGCACACAATTTTTCTGCTAAATATATACCTAGTTCTACCTTTCTACCTTTGATTCCACCACAGCAAAAAAACAAAGTCTGGCATAACCTCCTCCTTTTGTTTCAGCTTTTTTTCTCATAGATATTGGCCTGTAGCTTTGAGTTTATTTATTCATCTGCATCATTTACCTATTCCAAGTATTGTTGCAAAAATGTGCCCATCTATCTACCTTTTTCTTTACTTCGCATTTTACTGCCAACTTCCTTTTTCTTCTCTTTTCTAATTGCCATCAATAAGTATAAAGCATCACAGATTTCAGTGTGAAAATTAATGTGGCTGAAAAAAGAGATGTTAAGAAATAAATGCCTATAAATGCATTTTAGGTAAGGAAAATATTATCCTGTGTAAAGATTCCTGAATTACTCTGGTGGAATTTACTTTATTCTTGTTTGTGGAGCACGGGAATTATTAAGATAAATAGAGCTTTGTTGATTCCCTTCCCCTAGTGAATGGATTCCTCCCCACACATTCACAAATTTGGTAATAGAGAATATGTTACCAGAGAAAAAGGAATACTTTTATTGATTTTTTCTTTTTTACAAACATCATGTGCAAGCACCACAGTATGATTTTATGCTATCTTTATCCCAGAATGAATGATATGTTAAATTTTATCTAATATTGGCTTCTAGGGGCAATAGGGAGTGAAATAGATTAAAGTGGATTATCTCAGAGGCGGGGCAGATTGAAATTCCAGTGCTTTGATGTGGGAGACAGGTGTAGTATGGCATTAGAAATAGTGCTGGAAATCCTAAACTGAGACCATTAGGTATTTGAATGCTGTTTGCATGAATAATACCAAATAATTTGCATATATACGTCTTTGCAGAGGCTGAAAATGAACATGCAGCACTTCTGCCTTGGGATTCTAAGCAAAGACCTTGTTGGCTGAATGTTGCCTTTGGGAGGAAAGATCATTCTAGGGGAGTTTACTATTGAACTTTGAAGGGGCCATGTGGGCACAAGAAAGGTGCCAAGTTGGCCCAGGAAAGGTGCATGTCAGCCATGGCAACAACAGGAAGTTCTTCCCATTTCCCTGAAGTGTATAAACTTCAGGACACTCAGGATGCTCAAATGCTTTCAACTGGCAATCTTCATAAACAATTAAAGATTAACTCTGGAGAGAGTAAGGGGAGCGGGACAGATTTATTTTGCTCAGGAAAAAAAAAAGGAATACAATATTTCTTTCACCTGCGGATATTTTAAAACTGTAAAATTACCCTTGAATTTCAGTCAGTTATGAACTGAGATTAAATCTTACTTAGAATATTGTTCTACTTCAGGAAACACGCACTGTGATTCTCTAATGAGAAAAAGCAATATTGTGCTATGTGTTCTATAAAGATTATTAAATACATGGAGGGAATAATGTTTACTTAGCACAATTAAAATAAACATTATGATAGGTGAGGATTGGTATCTTATTGTTGTTTAATTTGAAAGACTCCAAAGATTAATGAGCAAGTTGGAATATGTTTAGCTTTCAGGCAACTTGGTTATACTCTTTTTTGCAGTACGCAGTCCAGTCTTGGCCCCTGTGCATGTGTGTATACACACACACACACACACACACACACAGACACACACACACACGCAAAGAGAATTATTGAATTCTCTTGAATTATTAGGAAATCATGACTTTTGTTATGGATTGAGGTTAAAGTTCAAGGTGTTTTTAAATCCAATATGAATATCAAATTTCTTCAGCATGACTTATTAAAAAATAAGCTATACTTTTTCATATATATATATTTAAAGAGAGAGACAGAGAGAGAGCGAGTGAGAGAGAGAGATCATGAGCCTATAGAGGTGAGTCTTTTTCTGGACTGGCTTTTGTTCCATTAGTGTACATCCTATTTTTGTTTAATACTACACTATTTTAATTATTGCAGAATAGGAATCCTTGATATATTGTAGGGCATAATCTCCATCTCTGCTCTTTTTCAAGATTGATTTGGCTCTTCTAGATTCCTTAGGATTTGCTTAAAGTTTCCACAAAAAATAAAAATGGAAACAATCAAATAAATTTTATAAAAAGAAAACTTTCCATGACATAAAATATCACAAGATATAGATAAAACTTTTTCACAATTATAAAGTAAATAACTAAATGTTCATTTAGGAAAAGAATAAATTAACTAAGTATTCCAGTTGGCTGAAGGAAAGGGAGAATGACCATATTATAGGAGGAAGAACGAAAAGTAAATTAAAAAAAATACAGTAATCACAGTGATTAATGCAAACACTTTAAGGAAAGGTAAACCAGAAAATATCTAGAAAATCTAATCATATTTTTTAATAAACAAACTTCAAATAAGATAAGAGCATTAATTTGCACAGAGGCTACTTACAATATATAATACATTTCAAAGTACATTAATATGACATATGCTTAAAAATATTTTTATTTTTGTGAATAAGATGGCAGAAACAAAATGGCACAAAGCAAGAATAATAATAGGGTAAAGTAGCAAAGAAGGAAGGTGAAAAATTTACTTTGTATATTAGAGACCTTTGAGGATTATAATATATATTATGAAGATACAAGAATCATTATTTCATTTTATGCTCTAAAAATGAAATATAAATTCAAATAATACTATCTTAATCATTCTTTTCAGTTTTTCTTAAAAATAAATAAACTGATGGTGCATTCTTAGGTGAAGTATAAGTGAATTTGCAAGTTTAGAGAAATACAAGATTATATATTTCTCATTAAATGAATGAATTATTCAGCATTTAGAGAAACAAATTCTTAACCAAACATTATGGAACCATCCAGAACCTGAAGTAAAAGGTTATGATGTGCACAATGGAATAAATAATTTGAATAAAGATATATTTTAAGCAAAAGTTAGGTATTAAAATTAAACCTTTTAAAAATTTATTTAAAATATTAAAGCTAACTGAATATGCACAGAAATATGTGTTTGCACAAGCAGTAAAAGGACATAAATATTCATTAACAGAAAGTGTTGAGGCATCATTCTGTACTTAGGTTATGCTTATTCAATGTTACCTTGCTTCTAATTATTCTTCATTTAACCACTTGTGTCTCAAAGGTTTTCTGATATAAAGGAAAAATGTAGCTTGAAGCAAAAACCAAATGCTCGAATGCATTCAAATTTATACACCTGGATATACTTTCTCAACTTACAGAGGCACTTTTGTGAATTACCACTTCATCAGTGAAATGAGGTGAAAAACTAACATTGCTTTTACTTTAGGCATTCTCTTCAAGGGAACATTAGAAGCTGAAAAATGAGACTCTTTAAGTCTTCATTTATCATATTCTCCAAAATCTTAAAGTAATTTTATGTCATTTCACATATAAACACAACACATCCACTTCCCTGGATATTCTAAAAACAAAATCACAAACTATCTGTGAAAACTCTTATATTAAAATGTGGATCAGAACAGCTGTTAGCATTGTTTTATTTGCTTGCTTAAAAATCTAATGTTATGAACATTAATTATCCATAAAATATCATCATTATGTAAAAGAGATAATTTCTCAAATCACTTTTTCTCCAAACTAATTACAGTCGAATAAAACCATGCTTCATCACTTTATGAGAAAAGAAGGGACATATTAAAAGTGTAAGCTTAGAAGCCCATCACAACTTATAAGTAAATACTGACCTAAAAATAAATCTACTTTGACCTGTCTCTGTTCTGCTTGTCACTTCTTCAAGGAGTTTCTGTAACTTCTCTAATCCTCTTTTGTCTCTCTATCTTATGCCCTCCCAATTCCACACATTTTTATTTTATTCAGAAATTAACTTAGGGAAACATGACTTTTTTTCTGCTTATGCCTGTGGCATCATAGAGATTGCTGATTTTAGCATGCTGGCTTTCCCCATTTTCTAGAAGATCATGGTTTCAAAAAGGTGAAACCATCACTTCTATGTGAGAACATGGTAAATTAGATAATTTATTCACTGACTATGTCAATAATAGTGGAAGAGAAGGATAGTTTTTGAAACTATGGGAAATATTGTCTTAATTCTTTAATTCTAGTTATATATAAGTGACATTAAAATGAGTTTCACTACATAACTCATTAGATTTTATTTTTAATGAAGATTTCAAACTGAGTTTGAAAACAATTCATTTTCTCATAAAACACAAAAATGACTGAGACTTTAAAACATATAAATGTATTCACATATATAATTGTACCTAGAGTTATGGAATAAATACTTTAAGACTATTAAGGAAAGTTAAAAGAACTTTCCATAATTAAAATATTATATTTTTGATGTAGAATATAATGAGTTTGTTTTGGGAGCCCTTATATAATAGGGAAAAAAGGATTTCATTAAAACATAGAGGATGCAAACATTATGGTCAATATCTTACAAATCTCATGGATTTTGAATTGCCTTGCAGAATAAATGAGGAGAATAAAAGTGTTGACACAGCTTGATGAGTTGATATTTTTTAATGCTTACTTTAAAAGAGTGCCTGGTGCAAGCTATTTGGCAATTTTGCCAAGTTTCTAATTTCTGAACTCTCATTTGAATTAAACTGTCTACCAACCTCTTGCTCCTTGCATGAGGAGACATAAAAACTGAATTAAGTTGATGGAATATACATTTTAACTAAACAATTTTTAAGTGTATTGTATTAAACCGGAATTAAAATTTTAGCAACTATAAAGACACCCCACTATCCAAAAATAAATAGATAATAGCTCAACTTATAACTTTATAACTATAGTCACTAATTCTGTCTTAAAATATTTCCTCTTATAGTATATAATTATTCAATGCTAGCACTAAATGGTTACAATCTAAGATGTAGTATTTGTGAACTTACATTAATAAAAGATGCTATCGGTGGTGGCGGGAGGCAGACAGGTTCCTAGGCAGGGCAGGTCCCTGGTGGGGCCCAACCATCAAGTCAAGGATAACCTAAAGCCTGGGGGCTGGGCTTCCAGTTCAGGGTAGGGTCTGCAACCCAGAGTGGGAACTTCCTTGATGCCTTTCAGCCAGTCAGTTGGCGCTTTTTCCACACTCACCCATGGACCAACTCAGAACCACTTCCTCCTGCCCATGGACCAATCAGCATGCACTTCCTCCATTCTGAGCCCATAAAAACCAAGGTCTCAACCGGACTCAGGCACCTCACAGGCTACTCGACTTTGGGTAGGGGGCTGCCCTCTTTGGGTCCCCTCTCTGCTAAAAACTGTGCTGTTGTTGCTCAGTAAAAGTCTCCACCCTCCTCATCCTTCAGTTATCAGAGTAACTTCATTCTTCTTGGAAGTGGGACAAGAACTTGGGACCTGCCAAACGCTGGTATGAAAAAGGCTGAAGCACTTGTAGCCCACGGTCCTCCACCAGTGTCCGGTGGCTGCTCTAGACAACAGAAAGTAGCAGTGGGGCTGGGTCTGCCCAGGAACCACAGGCCAGAGTTGGGCAACAGGACTGAAAAAGATGTTAACACACCCCTTACACTGAGCTGCAAAGGGTGGGAATGATACCCCCTCAATAATAATACTGGAGTTGCTGGTGTCTCCGAGTTTCTTGGCAGCCACTGCATTCCCCTCATCCAGATGCAGGTGCCCAAGGTGGAAGAAGGTTGCTGCATGCCCGGCTGAGCTGCAGGCTGAGTGTGGGATCCCACCGTGAGTGCTCGATCCAGCCTGGAGCACAAGCCAAAGGCAGCCCACTGAACCAAGTGGGTGGGGTACCTCCTGTGGCAATCCAAGGGCAATCCTGGGTAGGGGCGTCACCAGCCTCAGAAGTCACCAGCTGGCAAAGCAGCACCGAAAATTCCTGTGTCACAAGTCTACTTTCTTAGTTTAAGATACTGGGAGAAGACATAGTTCTTTGCTCCGCTGATACTAATAAAAAAATACCTTTTGAATATTAAGCCTCCTTCTTACTTGTGCCTCCCCCAACAATTTGCTCTATAAATTCAGACAAATGTCTTAGCATCATCAATGCATTTTTCATTAGCTCAACCTATTTCTCAGTTCCTTCATGATCTGGCATATTTTTTAAAGGTGACCTATTACTGTATAAATTCTATTTAAGCAACACTTCAGCAGGACACAATGCTTTTCTAAGTAAGTATTCATTGACAAAGTGTATTTTCTAACATAAGTAATTCTCTAAAGGTCACCATATATTGAACTAGAATTCTTAGTATTTGATGTACTTAACCTAAATTTTATATTAACTTAAACATTTGTGTCAAACACAAAAAAATATCGCAGGCATGAAAAAAGTACATTTCACAGAGAATGAATTGAATCAATAAGGATAAATTTGAAAAGTGTTAGGGAAATGAATAGAAGGTCAAAAGTCAAATATTCTTTTGAATATATGCAAACAGTCTTAGTGCCAAGACTGAAAATTAGTTTTTATGATTACAGAAGCTGTAGATATGCCCTGACATTTGCAAAAAATATGCTATAGTAGTGGGCCAAGGGAGGTAGTCTAGAAACTGATTGATTTGGAGAACATATAAAATAATCAGCTTAAAATGTATTATTATTGTTTTCTTACGATAGCCAGTTCTGTGAATCAGGAATGAATCTAGGAATGCTGTATTCTGAAAGCATGTGGTGATTTTATGGTTCAAGTAAAACAATAACAAAAATATTAAAATAAGTACCACACACTTGTTACAAAAGGAATGAACACTGAAAAGAAGTCAAATATGATTCGGTTTTAAATCTCTTAGATATATTAGTGTATCTTGACATCACAAATGTATTTAATAAATATACTTCTAATTTGATGTCAATTTGAATTAAGAGATTACATAATAACATAATTATTGTTAACTTGTAAAGAGCTTCTTTTTTGTCAGTCACTATTCTATTTTGTTTACTCCTTACAACTCAGTGAGAAAGTTATTTTTTTTTTCATTTTACAACAGAGGAATGTGAGGTTATAAATGAATTTCCCAAGATCACACTATTCCTGACTTGATACCAGTTATATCTTAGTCCAAAATAAAAATAAAAGCTGTAATTTGTTTTAAAAATTTGTGTAAAGAATATTGTTATTTATCATCTATTTATCTCTATCAGCTGTATTTCTTATAACATCCCAATTGCTAGATATCATGACACTGCAAGTCATTCAATCCCTTCTCAGAATTAACGAGATTTAATAGTGCTGAGTATATTAAGTATATTTTGACTGTAAATGAAATGTTTAATGACTGATATTCAAGTATAAAGTCATCAATCATCTGGCAGGCACCATTTTTAAGAGAAAAATAATGCATTTTAAATTCATGATGAAAGAAGGAATTCCTAATTTGGACTCAAAATAAGATCAAAAGTCCAACGACTAGCACTGGTTCTGCTAATAGCCATCTCAATGGCTCCTTGCATAAAGATACCTGATATTTTCCGTCTCACTCATCTCCATATTTATTCAAACAGTATTTTAAAAGGACTTATGATGTGCCAAAAACAAAAGCCGAGCTCGGAATAAAGTGGTATAACAGAGTCATCAAACATACAGACTACTTTTCCAGGCATTGGACTGCACGAAATAACTTAGCAACAGGGTGCAGAAATTATAATAGAGAAGTGGTTGGAAGTCTCAGTTCGTAGACACAGAATAAATTCCAAATCCATAAAATGAAAAAGGATAAGCAAAGGGGAGTGAGAAACAGCTGCCAATGTGATAGAATTTAAACCAAGGTAAGATATCGCGAGAGGGCGGGCCCGCTAGGCTTGGCGTCGCTCCGGAGCTGGAGCTCTTGCCGGCGTCTCCCCGCGAGCAGCGGCTGAAGTGCTGGCGGCTAAGAGCCCGTGAGCAGCCGCCACTCCTTCGGCGTTGGCTCTTGCGCCGGGGTCGTTGTTTCGTGACAACCACCCAGGTAGCCGTTTCTGAGACGGCAGATGCGGCCGCTTTAGCCCTGAGCGGGCTCCGCGCCTCCCTGGACGGTCTCTGCCAGTGCCCGACTCTTCTCTTCCGGACTCCACGCCAAGCAGCGACCCTGAGCCAACAGACAGAGCGCCCAGAAATGGCGGCCTGGACTGCCTCGCACTGGCCAGTGAAGGGGATCCTGAAGAACAAGGCCTCTACAGCTTCCTCTATGGTGGCCTCGGCTGAACAGCCCAGCGGGAGTGTCGAGGAGGAGCTGAGCAAAAAATCCCAGAAGTGGGAAGAAATGAACATCCTGGCGACATATCATCCAGCGGACAAAGACTATGGTTTAATGAAAATAGATGAACCAAGCACTCCTTACTGTCGTAAGATGGGTGATGGTGAAGATGCGTGTAGTGATACAGAAACCACTGAAGCCGTGGCACCAGATATCTTAGCTAAGAAATTAGCTGTTGCTGAAGGCTTGAACCCAAAGTATCGGGTTCAGGAACAAGAAAGCAGTGGAGAGGAGGCTAGGACCTCTCACCTGAAGAACGAGAAAAAAGGCGACAATTTGAAATGAAAAGGAAGCTTCACTACAATGAAGGACTGAATATCAAACTAGCTAGAGAATTAATTTGAAAAGACCTACATGATGACAAAGATGAAGAAATGTTAAAGACTGCAGATGGAGAAAGCATGAAGACGGAACAATCAAATCAAAGCTCTACAGCAAGTGACCAACGGCAAAACACATTCAGTAAGTTCATAGAAGAGCTTTGTTCAACACTGCAACTGTTTGCTAGATATAAACCCTGTTACTATAATACATTGCTTCTTGATCTCCACAATTTATGATTTAAGTATCAAAATCATACCAGTTATTATATATTACCAAGAATTAAATGATATCCTTAGAAACTGATTAGACTGAAAATGCCTAATTGGTATATATATCTTGTGCCTAGTACTTTACCACAAATACAGTGTAATATCATCAGTCCAAAACTGCATTACTTTTGTAAAAACACTGGTTAATTTGTGTAAGATATTATATAGCATTTTTAAAGGATAAAAAATATCTTTGGGGAGGAGAACTAAGTTATTTTCATCACTCTAAATGGGGCGATACCTCTTATAAGTTTGTTGGTTTGCTTTTTTTTAAAATCAAAAGACAATTGAACAACAGGATGTATAGGCTGATAAATATTCAGGCCGAATAGTATTTTAACACTTGTCTTCAACTTGATTTGTCTGTTTAATTGAAAAGGATTATAAGAGTTACTCTTGCATTTTCTGTCCTACTACCTTTAAAGTTACTGTTGAGTTTCTTTGTATTTACAAGGAAAGGACTGAACTTTTTCTCATCAAAACTAGCCTTTTTTCTCACAAATAAATTATCAGTTTAAACTTGCAAAAAAAAAAAATTAAGCCAAGGTAGAATGTAGTTGTGGTCTGAGGAAATTAATGTTCTAAAAGTTGTAGAATGATAACAGGGTGTGAAAAGATACTGTTAAGTCAACTTAAACATGTCCTGATAATTGACCACTGGATTCAGGTGAGCAGAGATGACAACAGCATGTGATGTTTCTTCAGAGTAGAGGAAGCAAAGTCTGATTGAAGTTTGTTGGAGAGAGGATGGGAAGAGAAAGAGTTCAGACAGTAGGTACAGTTACACTTTCAATGAGTTTTGTTGAATAGAACAGTCAAGTCAGGCATTAGAGGAAGAGGCAGAGTCAATGGACTTTTATTTTTTTTGTTGCTTTGTTTCTAAGCCCGTAGAAACTGCAATGTTTCTATGCAAATGAAAATGCCCAAATAATAAGGAAAACATTGATCATACAGGAACATGACAGGGAAGTTGCCGGAGTAATTCGCTTTGCAAACAAGAGGTAATGGGATCTGTTGCACAAGTGTAGAGCTGAGACTTATATAGGAGCATATAGCTTATTTGTTGTGGGAAGAGGATAGGAGTATAGGAAGGTTGATAGACTCGATGATGGGTCCATGCAGGCATTTTCTTCATTTACTTTCTACTTTCTCAGTGAAATAATAGCCATGAATATGTATCTGGAAGAAAAATGCTCTAGTTCCATAGAGTGGGGAATAATTGGAACAGTTACGCAGAATAATGGGAGAGCAAATTGAATAAGGAGATAGAGTGGTATCACCCTACAGCCTTAAGGAATCCCTTGAGTTCAGTGGTCAGGATATTAAAATGAGATCATTCAACACTGTTGTGAGGTTTTCTCCTTTAAGTTCACTTATTCGATGATGACTTAGAACAGGTGACCAGTGAAAAACCAGTGAAAACAGTAAACATTTTTTTCAGGAAAATAAAACAGGGGTGTTGATAATGGTATTGAGGCTTTATGAACAATGGAAAGAGATTATAATGAGTGGTCATAAGATGTAAGTCAGATAGGTAGGAAAGACATGGTGAACAGTGAAAATACAGTAGTATCAATGGATTGATTGGAAGATGGGATGAACCTAGTAATAAGTGAGGAAGAGGGGTTAGCTGTTACTGGTAATTTTCAAAGTTCAGATGGCTGAACTAACAGGGACCAGAAGTCCATTGAAGGAGAATTCCTAAAGGAACTGCGTGTGTAAATGGATATTGAAAGCATAGTGTATATGGATAGGAAATTTACTGAAAAGTTGCAGAGATAGTTTGGAAGAGAAAGATAGTAAGCTGAATTACTAAACTTCCAGAGAATGAGGGAGACAAAATTATAGATCTGGAGATCTGTAAATAGCTGTGGCAAAAAGGGGCAATGTGTGTCATAAACTGTTGTCATGAGCTTCAAAATAGATGAGAGTTTGGAGAAATGATAAGGAACATTGGTTTGTTTGTTGTGAATAACACCACAGATCATTATGGGATAAGTATAAGACTTTTGAGTGGATATGAAGAATCAGGTAGGCCAAAATCATACGAGCATAAATTGTGTTTGTTGATTGTAAATGCAGTGGGCTCCTTGAGTTAGGGAACTGGGTGGTCCTTGATGCTTCCCAAGAGTCTGCCTGGCACTTGGTCTGCCACACCTTAGGATCAGACTTTTTGGTAACCACACCCTGATTATAAATACCCGTGGTTTATCTGTTGAATCACATTTCTCCCCTCCTATTCAACAAGACTTGTATATTTAAGAAACCATTATCCTACTACAGTGGGAAATCAGTACCTTGTCCCATACTCCAAATAGAATTTCCTCACTCCAGCAGAGTAGCACTTCCATTGTGATGCTATAAAACAGGGGGCACAAACTCAAATATGTACAGGAAATTTAAATAAAGTTGCTAGAGGAAAGAAAAATCAACTACCAAAAATATAATAAAACACTACTTTTACAGAACTATGTAGTAAATAACAATATAAGGATGATTAGTCCTAACAATTATATTTTAAATTTAAAAAAAAGTAATGCAATTACAATCAAAACAGCTGTGCATGACCTTTTTCTTAACTTTTGATTCAGTTTTGATATAATAGAACTTTTTTTCTTAACTTCAAAATGAGAATGTTATATCTTTTTTTTTTTTTGGATGTTGTAATATAAACCATAGCATGTCAGAAACTTTTATAGCGACCACATGAAGATTATTTTAAAATTAGATCTGTTACAATTTTAAATTGTAGTTATAAGTTGTTAGTGAATTGAAAATATGTTGAGTAAATTAAGTTTTTATTTTTAAAGGTTAGTATCTATAATTGTCAACTATAGTACTGATGTAAGGATTTTGTTGGGAATGTAGGGATTAAATTATAATGACACCATGAAGAATAATTCTATCTTCAGAAGTTACTAAAAATAAATCGACTCAAAGATCAGAAGATTGGAGGATTTGTGAGGTCAGGAAATGTGTCTGTATTGTTCACTGTTACATTCTTGGAACATGGAATAAGGCCTGGAACATAGCATCCATTCAAGAAATATTTTTGAGTGAGTTAATAAATATATTTCATACCTGTGAAATATTTTTTTTCTGTTAATGCTGCCTAAAAGGGCATTGCTAGATAAATTTTAATAATTTTATGTCTCACTTAATGAACACGTCATGTTAACAATAACATAAAAAGTAAATTATTTTCGTATTTGAAATTAACTTTTGTAAAATCGATGTTCCCTTTTTTTGCTTCTTTGTTTCCAGAAAAGTACAGCGCTATGCATTTACCCTTGAAAAAAAGATGTGCTTTAAAATAATGAATTGAATCCCATTATTTAGGATGTGAATGCATTATTCTGTAGAATTTACACTTGAAAATGTCAATTAGTAATTGGGGCAGTACTTATTTTGAAGTGCAGAAATCAGATCATAGGATCATAGGCTATATAGTGTTCATCTTTACAATGCTACAAGGCACAAGCCCAAAGAGATAACAGTGTATCTTAGAAATCCTGCAGAGAAACACACCCCTGTCACCCAGGCTTCAATCACAAGCCTATGATAAGGTTTGAGTATAGAAGAATATTACTCCCTTTATCTCATTCCTGTCCCCAGCTACTCTGGCTAAGAAGAATCAGTGGAAGAACATTAGGCTTAGTAATCATTTTAATGCATGCCTGAGCCTATTTGTAGCTATCTCTCATAGACAATATTGTTTCTTTAACCTTTCATTGTTTCTGATTGTTCTATTTGTGAATGGTTTTATTGTTTATAATGAGGTTCTGTATTGTTGATTGTTGTAGTTTTGTGTTCTTTGAGGTTTTTTTCTTTTTTTTTGTCCTATCTAGCTGTAGTTGCCTCTGTTTCTTCATGGTGTGTTTATGTGTGGTTGTGTATGTCTGCATGCACCTATGTGTGTGTGTCTTTACAGAGTACTCTGTAGACAAATTTGGAACTCCAGATCTCATGAGGCTTCTGTTGGAACAGTGAGACTATCCAGAGTTGACCTCAGTCTAACTCAGTGTAGGAAATTTATATGACATAAATTAAAACTCGTTATGTAAATAGGAAGAGATCCAAGTTAACATAGTTTCTAATAGTCCCACAAGGTGTTACAGTTCATCTGACAAGATTATCAGGCTATTTCATTTATATGAGTCATTATGTTCTGTATTACATTCTTCAAAGTAAGACTGTTTACTTTAGCTCCTAGGAAGCAGTCACATTACCATCAGTGATAATTACCATCATTAAAACAATAACTTAATAGAACACTAATTTGGGGGCTCTTGCAATTCTTTTATAGGAAGCATTACATAATTAGTGGATGTTACACTTACTTTCACACAAGTTCCTAATAATAATGAGACACAAGAGAGCCTCCCATTGGGAAATGTCTCACCTCACCAAACACTACAGAATTTCACGGGAAGTGATTTTAATTCAGATATAAAAGTATATTCATAAAAAGTCCAACTTGTTTAACTACTTATATTTTTATAATGAATGAACAAATACATAATTATATTTTGAGTTTGGAGAAAGGAGTATCATCATCAACTATTTGATTTATAATTATAGTTATACCCTTTGGTGCAAAAAATGTGTGTTAAATATATCTAACTAATGGCTGATTGGTTTTAAAATAATGATGGAGCTGTGTGGAAACAATGGAGATATAAATGTAAGTTTTAAAATTTTGATTATCTTGAATGTGTCTAGTATTTACAAAAATCAATCCCTTACATCAGTGGTTCTCTCCTTAGGCTGCATTCTGGTATTACCTTGAAGTCTTAAAAACCCGAGTGTGCTGGATGCAACCCAGTCCAATTAAATCAATATCTCTAGAGATGGGACCCAGGGACCTGTATTATATAAAGCCTCAGGTGATTGTTTTGTGCAGACAGTGATGAGAACCATTGAGGATAATCTGAATACATGATTAGGCTTCAAGCTAACCTGGAAAACTTCGTAACAAAAGAATGATGTGAGTCAAATCAAACACAAATTTTTTTTATGAAGATAATCAATAACAATGTTTTTCCTGAAGAAAATGTTCTATAGCGAGTTATTATCCCAACTAGCTACTGATTTTGAAGAGCTATAACCAATATTTTCTCACTGTTTTGTGTGCTTTTCCATAAGACAAAGTTTAACACCAAAGTTTATTGTATTTATCACTTAAGTCAGATAAGCAGTTTATTAGAATAAAATTATATTCTATGTCCTTTATTTTCTCTAATGTGTGGGACACATATGTACACTACATATATATGTGTATGTATATATATGTGTGCATGTGTATATGTGTATATATGCATATATATCTTAAAAACTATTCTGGTATACTAATTTTTGAGACAATATAAGTATATACTGAAAAAATATAGTGATGTTTGTTCTATATACACAAATGAGCTCTGAAACATGAGCTCATTTCTTTGCTAGATTATGTCAATTAAAGGACTTTAAGATAAGCTCAATTATTCATCAATATTCAGTTTTTTCAAGAAATTCTTTCAAAGAATAATATTTAAGAACAACGTAAGTTCATTTAAAAATGCCCCCACCCAGATATAAATCTTACAACAATCCCATTAAATGCATTGGATTTTATTTAAGCTTTTAAAACATATAGGCCCCTCAGCAGATATGCTGCTTTTTGTTAAAATTTCCCAACCTCTTTTGGACAGTAAACATATCATGCATGTTTTATGCAAATGGTAGAAACAATTTTCCATATGTGAATACTTTCAGCAATTAAAATAACTACTTTCATGAGTATACTAGTGTCTTTTGAACATTTTAAAACTGACCTTATGCTAATTTTTCCTGTGATAATCTTTTAAACAGGGCATTTTTCTGACCTAGAGAACTACCTCTATATATTTTGTTTGTCCAAAAGATCAAGAAAACCGGTATCATTATAATCTTCCTGTATAAACTGCAAGGTGCAAGGGTTTCATTATTGTTCTATATCTGAAATTTAACATGTAATTTATGTTATTACGTACCCATTTGCGTATCAAATTAGATAATATGCTGTGCTCAGTGACATAAATAATTATATTCATTTATGTCACAGAGGTTAATTATATTCAACCTCTGTAGGCTGAATGTCTTTTCAGCTCTCTAATCAAATGCTGATTTAGAGTTATAGGATTAAATAAAATTATAAGATAATTAGTTATATATCTCATCTATTGATTACAACAGAAGCTTGTTTGTTTTATCAACAATAAAATGTATGTCGTTCTAAATAAGAATTTTGATACCTTGTAGCTCTTTGAAATAATTATCATTATGAACTGAATATAAATGATCACTTAGGCTATAATCAATAAAATATGTCAATATTGTTTTAAAAAATAAAGTCCTTTTAATGTTTAGTTATCGTGCTTTTGAACACTATATAAAATAAATGGTTTTGAAAATTTTTATAAATCCACTTTTACAGCACAAATTTTAAAAACTTGAATACTGTATATAGGTAATAGTCGTATTCACTGTTTTATTAGAATTCAAGCATCCTACTTAACTACTTAGATTTATAATATGTTACCTGTAATATAATTTTATAATTAATGGTAATATAATCAGTCTTCCATCACACATATTATTAGGCACCCCTAAATACACTTAAGATATTACCAAATAAACAAGAATTTATGCTTTCTTACAACCCAGTTCTAAAAGATGGATGTTTGTTAGTTGCTGCAGCAGTAAATAAATCTTGGCCATGACTCTCCTGAAACAGTCCAACATGCTGTGTGGCAAGCTTGCCCCAGGTAAAGATGTGGTAGGTACGAAATTAAATGTTAGCTTAAAGGTTAGAAAGTTAAGTTCAAACAAGTTGAGAAAGGCAGCATATGCAACTTCTTGCTGCCTGCATGGCTGCGTAAGAGTGGCCTTGGGCCTGTAATATTTCTTATTGGGAGATAAAAAACCCTCACAGCCTGGGCCGGGCTTGTCATATTTCCAGCAAGAAAATACTTTTCCCTGTTTAGGCTTGATGTATGTTCCATAAATATTCTGCTTAGGCCCAAGCTTCAGTGATCCTTTGGCACTCCCCCAGCTTTCTATATTTCAGACCCAAGGGGAAGAGGTCATGGTCCCTTTAGTGCAGTACAAAGTGAGGGACCTGCAGCCACACTAACCACATCGGCTATGGAGTGGATTCTCTGGCCATGGGGAAACAAAGTCTTGCACTGCTTTTCTTCTTTTTCTGTAAATAAATAGCTGTACCATACCACTGGAGCCTAGTGTACATGTCTTCGGTTCTCAGTGACCCCAAATCATGCAGGTCTCTTCCCTGGGTGGCATTCATCTGCTTGTTAACCTTGGCCGCACTCATTTTATATTCTGTCCTGCAGCACAGCTTGACCGCCCCGTGAACAGTGAAACACAGCTATTTCTAAAAAGTATTTTGGTAAACTCTCTTGGAAGGAACAAAACTAGTGTTTGTTGGTCTTCTATATTACCATGTGAAACTGAGAGTGTTAAGGCACAACTACTGCAGGTAGTTGCTAAGTGATGTCAGGGAAACTTGTGCACCTCTTAAAAATGTGAACAACTCAAAGTTGTGCTGTATTCAAAGTTTAAAATCAGGCTGGGCGCGGTGGCTCACGCCTGTAATCCCAGCACTTTGGGAGGCCAAGGCGGGCGGATCACGAGGTCAAGAGTTCGAGACAAGCCTGACCAACATAGTGAAACCCCGTCTCTACTAAAAGTACAAAAATTATCTGGGCATAGCGGCGCGCGCCTGTAATCCCAGCTACTTGGGAGGCTGGGGCAGGAGAATCGCTTGAACCCGGGAGGCAGAGATTGCAGTGAGCCGAGATTGCACCACTGCATTCCAGCCTGGGCGAGAGGGCGAGACTCCGTCTCAAAAAAAAAAAAAAAAAAAGTTTAAAATCAAGCATACAGCTTCAAATATTTTGACACATGCTTTTAAACAAGAGTTTGTCCAAGTAGGCTATACATCAGAAAAATCTAGAGGCTCAGAACATACCTTGCAAATAGAATTGTAAAAAATGTAGCCTAAGTAAAAGCAGATAAAATCTTCTGATTGAAAAAATTACTGCATAGCATTGGGCAATTTTTTTTTTTTTGAGACAGAGATCTGTACTGAGAAACTATTATATACAGGAACTGAAGTCATCATTTGGGGTACACTAGAGTAAATAGAAAACAAAAATAGGAAAAAGATAAAAGAAAAAACAAAATATATGAAGGTCTCCATCTTTGTGTGTTTTATATTCTGGATAGGAGAGATGGATTATAACCAAAAAAGTACAATCAGTTAGAAAATGTTATAGAGGCTAAAATATGATAAATGTTAGTGAAAGAATAAACAAATAGATCAACAAAATAGAAAAGAAAGAGAAAGACTAGAATAGAAAGCCCAGGAATAAACCCAAATAAATACAATTGATCTTAAATCAACTTAACTTAGACAAAGGAGTAAAGGTCATACAATGCAGGAAAGACAGTATTTCCAACAAATGGTGCTGGAGCTTCTGTGTATCCACATGCAAAATAATGAAATCTAGACACAGACCTTACATCCTTCACAAAATTTAATCCTAAATGGATCTTAGATCTAAATGTAAAACACAAAAGTATACAACTACCAGAAGATAACATAAGAAGAAGCCTAGATGATCCTGGGTATGGTGATGACCTTTTAGATACAACGTCAAGCGCATGATCCAAGAAACAGAAAAATTGGTAAGATGAATTTAAAAACTGTTCTGCAAAAGACAGTGCTAAGATAATTAGAAGACAATCCACAGGGTAGGGGAAAATATTTGCAAAACACACATCAGATAAAGGACTGTTACGAAAAATACGACGAACTCTTCAAATTCAACAATAACAAATCAAATAACCTGATTGAAAATGCAAATTAAATAAGAATGAGATACCACTACACATCTTTTGAATGATCAAAGTCTGAAATACTGGCAACACTAAATGCTGGCAGGTATTTTGAGTAATAGGCACTCTCATTCATTGCTGGTGGGAATTAAACATGGTACAGTCACTTTGGAAGACCATTGGCACTTTCTTACAAAATAAACATAAAACCCAGCAATTGCCCACTGTCCACCTGTATACTTAACAAAGGAATTGAAAACTTATATCCACACAAAAACTTGCACAACATATTTTTATAGCAGCCTTGTTTATCATTTCCAAAACTTGGAAGCAACCAAAATGTCCTTTAATAAGTGAATGGGTACATAAACTGTGACACATCCAGACAATGAAATATTAATCATCACTAAGAATAAATGAATTATCAAGCCATAAACAGACATAGAGAAACCTTAAATGAATATGACTAAGTGAAATAAAACAATCTGAAAAGATACATACTGTATGATTCTGTCAGTTTGATATTTGGACATTTGTCCAAACCCATACAGTGTAAATCCTAATGTTAACTATGAACTTTAAGTTATGAGATGCCAGTATAGGTTCATCAATTATAACAAAGGTATAATTGTGGTAGGGGATGTAGATAATAGGGGAGCAAATGCATGGGTGTGGGCAGTGGGTATATAGCACACTAGTCACATCTTATCTACAGGGTAGAAGTTCTAAGACTTCCAGTGGATGCCTGAAACCACTACAGATAGTACCAAACTTTGTATTTTTAGTTGACTCTTGAACAGTATAGGGGTTTGGGGTGCCAGTCCCCCATGCAATAAAACACCCGCATATAACTTTTGTCTCTTCAAAAACTTAACTACTAATAGCTACTGTTGACTATAGCCTTATCAATAACATAAAAGAGTCAATTGACACATATTTGTTGTATGTATTATATACTATATTCTTACGATAAAGTAAGCTAGGAAAAAGAAAATATTAAAATCTTAAGAAAGAAAATATGTTTTACTATTTATTAAGTGGAAGTGGATCATCATAAAGGTCTTTATCATCATTATCTTCACATTGAGTAGGCTGAGGAGGAGGAGGTAGAGGAGGGGTTGGTCTTGCTGCCTCAAGGGTGACAGTGGTGGAAGAAAATCTGTACATAAGTGGACCCACTTAGTTCAAATCTGTATTGCTCAAGGGTCAACTGAGTATTATGTGTTTTTCCTATACATATATACCTATCTACAATAAAGACACTTTAATTTATTAATTATATTAAGAAATTAATAACAATATTACTGTATTAATCAGTTTTCATGCTGCTGATAAAGACATATCTGGGGCCAGGCGCGGTGGCTCATGCCTGTAATCCCAGCACTTTGGGAGGCCAAGGTGAGTGGATCACCTGTGGTCAGGAGTTCGAGACCAGCCTGACCAACGTGGTGAAACCCTGTCTCTAGTGAAAATACAAAATTAGCCGGGGGTGGTGGAACGTGCCAGTAATCCCAGCTGCTTGGGAGGCTAAGGTGGGTGAATCACTTGAACCCGGGAGGCGGAGGTTGCAGTGAGCCAAGATTGCGCCATTGTACTCCAGCCTGGGCAACAGGAGCAAAACTCCATTTCAAAAAAAAAAAAAAAAAGAAAAGAAAAAGAAGATATACCTGGGACTGAGAAAATTTACCAAAGAAAGAGGTGCATAGGACTTACAGTTCCATTCCACATGGCTGGGGAGGCCTCACAACCATGGTGGAAGGCAAGAAGGAGCAAGTCACATCTTCGGTGGATGGCAGCAGGCAAAGAGAGCTTGTGCAGCTCAACTCTCGTTTTTAAAACCATCAGATCTCATGAGACTTTTTCACTATCATGAGAACAGCAAGAGAAAGACTCACCCCCATGAATCAATTACCTCCCGCTGGGTCCCTTCCACAACACGTGGGATTTCAAGATGATATTTGGGTGGGTACACAGCCAAACCATATCAACTACCAATAAAATATGACAGATAAAAATATCCCAGCATCACAGTCCTTGTACTTTGGGGCTGTTATTAAGTAAAATAAAATAAGGGTTACATAAACACAAGCACTGCAATTCCATGGCAATCAATCTGATAACCAAGGGGTCTACTAAGTGACTAATGGGTGGGATGATTTGTGGCCCTGATCCCTGGGCAGGACAGAGTGGGACAGCATGAGGTTTCATCATGCTACTCAAGATGATGTGCAATGTTAAACTTATGAATTGTTTATTTCTGGAATTTTACATTTAATATTTTTGGACCATGAAAGTAACTGAAACTGAAAAGTCAAACCACAGATAATGAGAGACTACTGTAATTCTCTGTACTTTCTGCTCTATTGTGGCATGAGCTTAACTGCTCTAAATAAAAATAAAATCTTTAAAAGTAAAAAAAAAAAGAGGTGGCTTATTTCATCTACATATAAAAATATATATGCATATATGGTAAATGTTACATTTTTTTAAAGTAGAATATGGATTATGAGCGGTTCCCATGGTAATGCCTCATGGTGCAGTATTGTGGGCATAACGACACATAGAGAAGATGAGATTTGAGCAAATCTTTGAGAAAGGTAAAGGAGATGCCAAGCAAATATTTTAGAGATGTGCCCTGCAGTCATGGGGAGTGTTGAAAGAAGAACACTGTGGTCAGTGTGTCTGGATATTATCTGTTCTTACATGGAAATCATTTTATTATTCTGCATGTTGTGGGTTTCCATGAAAATGCCATTTCTCTTCTTTAATCATAAGCTGCGTATGAAAATATATTTTCTGTAACTCATTTTTTATCCCTGCATATACTGGTGGTTAGAAGCTGCATTGAACCAAATTAATTCTAGATATGAAGTCAGACAAAAATGATAAATAAAGTTTTCATAAGCCTCCAGTTTGAATTACTGAAAAGGTATAAAGGGAAAGAAAAAAATAATGAGAATGCAATATTTATATGATATTTGTAATGAGGTCAACTTTAATGTTATTTTTCTGTGTTTTGGGTCAGCTTTGCATGGGGGGAGGATGATCTAGTCAGTATGCTCAGTTGAAAGAGATATATAACCACTAGAAATTTACAAAGATAATTTATATAAAACAACATTGCTTACTTAGCAGACAAGACTGAAAAGCAGGTAATAAGCTGAAATATATAACAAGAAAATTCTGGGAAGACAAAGTAATAAGCATGTAAAAAATAAAGCAATAAAAAGACATGGTAGGCAGAGTAAGGTAGTATGATCTGCATCTAATTGAAGTTCTGGAAATAAACATAAAAATAAATGTGTAAATATGTAATAATTTCAGAGGTAATGGTAAAATTTATGGCAAGTGTTGACACACAGATTTAAGAAGCCCCAAATTCAAATCATAATGCATAAAATATAAATTTCACTTCAATGCATCTTAGTAAAGCTAGAGTTAATAAAAAGACTTTAACAATTGCCAGAGAAGAGATAAATAATAACTGGAAGTCAGAGAATAAATGAATGTCTGCAGAGTACTAAGAGAAAATAATTAGCTTAGAATTCTAACGCACAGTCAATATATCTTTCAAGAATGATCGTGGAATAAAAATACTTTCTACTAACAAATGTTCTCTATGAAAGATATTTTCTAATGAAAGATCTAATAGATGTTTTTATGATGAAGGAAAATTACTTCAAATGTAAAATTTGAGATTCAAAAAGTAATGATAAAGAAAATAATTGATAAATTTGTAGGTTGATAGAAACAAAGACATAATTTTTAAAAATCATTACTTCATTTAGCATGAGGAAAGAGATATTAATTTTAACAATTACTTGGTTGACATACGTTCTGGCTTCCCACGATATTTTAAATGTATAATTATGTAAATAAACTGTATGTCTCACTATAAATACAAATATAACTCATACTTTCAACAATGCCCTGAATTAGATGACAAATCATATGCTAATAGTGGCCCTAACGTTGATAGGTGAGTTTTGTAGCAAAAATCTGTCAGAAAGTATTAGGGAAATAGAAATGACATATTTAAGTTACAAATTATTAGAGAAAATAAAGAAAAAATTTAAATCAATTAAAACATAAGAAAATAGAAAAACCACATTAAGGGATGGTATAAACAGAAATTACATAAGATATTTGAGAAATAACAGTAGTTCAGTAATATAATAATTATTAATTAATAAAAAAGACCTAGAAAAGACAAAGATTATAAAACTGCATTAAACTACTAAATTTATCTATATATTTTTTAAATAAACATATGTAAAAACAAAGAACAAATTTTCAGAATAAAAGAGTGATAAAAGATGATCTAGCCAAATATGTAGTAACTGGAAATAGCGGAGATAGCCACGTTTATATCTGACAATATAGACTTTACATAAAATTTTTACTAGAAAATAAGAATTCAAATTACCCTTAAATATCTAAATCTTTTAAAATGTATAAATGTAAATATTCCTAACAGCACATCTTCAGAATATATAAATTAAAAATTTATGTTCTGGTTAGGGGATGGGTAGCAGCAGAAACCTAGCGGTATTCATTGTGTATTTGGTGGTTCTACCATCAGAAGAGTATATGAATTTCAGTTCTCATTATCAAGTTGATTTTGGGGGTTGTATATCTGGCCAGTTGTTCTGTGAGAAGGTGATTTTCTTCAGCGTGATTTCATCTGACAATAGACTAAAAACAGAGAAGTTCTCCTTTATGGAAATCTTTAGGGGATACTCATGAGACTGCTTGTTGAATTTCAAGTTGGGCAGATTCTAGAACCTCTTGTTGCAGAGAATCCCATTCAGAGTGGACTGATTTGTGAATTATAGCATAAATTAGGCTAAATAAAATTTTAAAATAGGAATATATTGCCTCCAGAACCTTCAAAGCCTTAAAAGAAATCAAGATTCTTTCAACATTCTTGGCGCTGAGATGATCAATAGTTTGTTGTTGTTGTTGTTGTTGTTGTTGCTAACAGTGTCAGGGATGGAACAGTTTTTAACAAACCAAATAATTTTCAGAAATCTAACTGAAGTAGTGGGACCTTGTTGTAAATGCAGAGTTATAACCTATTTCCACCGCTACTTTTTGTAAACGCCTTTGTGATTACTTTTATGTCCTGCATGTGTGTGTGACAAATAAATCTCCTTGGAGGAGATACCATCAATGTAATGTCAGACCTGTGCTCCTGGAGAAAGCCAGATACAACTAAGATCTTTCCTACAAAGACTGTAAAAGAATGCAAGGCTATTCAATCACCCCATCAGTATCCAGGAAAATGCATATCCCTTCAAAGGTGAAGGCACTGCAGCTGAAATAAGCATTAAACAGAACATGTTCACCTACCTAGGCACTGAGTAGAGCATATTAATCAAATCTAGTACTATAAAGTATTTACTAGTTGTTGATTGGATGGAATCGATGATTTCAGTAATGTTATAGATGTGGGCTTTAATGGTTAGAGCCACACTGAGTTCATGGTCATCCACTGCCACTGCAAGATGTCCACCATTATTTTCAGTTTTAAGAACAGATTGAATTGGGCTATTTAATAGTAAAATAGTAAAAATAATCATCCTTTTCTACATAGGGCTACAAAGTAGATTTCAAACATTGAAACCCACATTTTAATTTATATTAGGCTTTATGAACTCTTTTAATTAAAAAAACTAGAAGATCCATCGGGTTTTATTTGTCAAGTTGATTTTAAGTTCCAAAGACATAATTTTATTTCAATTATTTACTTGAGTCAAAGGGGCCACTATAGGATATTTTAAGGGCAATGAATACTATGGCCATTAGAAATTTTGGCAAAGCAACATTTCTCATGGTTAAGGTAACACATATCTGTTAGTTTTCTGTTTTATGCCTGGTAACTTCCTTAAGAAAATAGCAGGTACTTTGTTTAAATATAGTGAATTTAGTGGGACCTCCATGTATAATAACAATTTTGTCACCTATATCAGTTAAGGCCATGAATAGTTGTCAATACGTACATTTCAGCAGATTTTAGAATTAATTTAGAACCAATGATGTAGAGAATTAAATGTCAAACAGCACCCTTTTAATATTTCTATTGGGTAAATTCTTTAAGTAAGTAAATTTATTTCCATTTATATCAGACTGTGGGCCTCTGTCTCAGTTTCTGGCTTGTCATCATGTATCTAGGTGTCTGTCTTGGTTTTTGTGCTGATGGTAGCTCATTTTGTGTATTTGTCCCTGTTAGTCCCCATGTTCTTAGGGTCCTTCTCTACACTCCTAATATTTATAAGTTTCTTCCTCCAGAAGTTCCCAAATTGCTGTCATCACAGTAAAGAGGCTCCCCACGGTACTTATTGCATTACTGGCTTTAGAGGCACTAGGCAAAAGCCAGGTTTGAATGATCTCTTTGGTATGTTGACAAGCCACAACATTCATCAGACTCACAGTCCAACCATTTTATCCTTGTCCAATAGATTGATGATGCCCCCTGGCTTTTTAAACAAGAGGTGGGTGGAAGATAAGGCGATATAAAGGATTCAAGACAACTTTTCCCAAGATCTATGCCAAGGTTCCTTGGATGTTTTCCTCCTTAAGTTTGAGGATCAGAATCTCTGTTGTGATGGAAGTATAGGTGGCGGTAGCAGCATTTGGATTCCTAGAGACCTATCTGATATTAAGAGCGTTGACATCAGCATTCAAAAATGGTGACTATAGTTATTTAAGCAACCACCTAATGGGTCCATAAATTGTACAGTATATAGGTGTTTTCCCAAGCACTCAGTAGAAAGTGAGTCAATGTTTTATTGATGTCTAGATTCAATCAAAGCTTATGGTTAGATCAAAATAAATGATTTAATTTGACACACAGATAGGTATAGGCTGAAACACACAATCTGTGCCATGTTAAGAAAGATCCCTAATCCCATGCTGGTATTCTTGAGCACCAACTACCAAAATTTTCAAATAATGCCAGTTAAATATGAAGCAGAACCTTGACAGAAGTAACATATGTGGCACTAAGAAGTAAAGCTCAAAGCACATGGAAGTCAGCTGGCAACAGCTCAAAGTACATACTGTCCAGCAGAGAGCAGAGCCAATCAGTGAACCAGGATGTAAAGAGCCACAGGTGGTGGTTATTACCTAGGCTATCCTGTTCACATACCAATTGTTTTCTGGTTCACTATGGGATCCATCCCTCCAACCCAAAACTGATATGGATGTGGAGATTGATTATACCACAAATACACCAAGGTATAAAAAGATTTATTACTCACATAATGGGATTTTTTGATTGAGTGTTTAAGGTGGAGGAGCAGAGAGAGGGTTTCTGCATGGGAGCTTGAGTTTGTGTTGTTTGATCTTTCCTGTTCATCAAAGAAAGGTGCCTGTGGGCTCTATCTGCTTTTCCAGAAATAGCACAAAAACAGGGGCAATTTAGGCCTCAAAGCTATCCAACAGTCGAATATTAAAAAACAGAGTCATTTAAAAAGATTGTGTCTTTTTATTTGTATAAATATAACAGGTATATAAAAATTTCACAAGGCATATGTATATCAAATCATCACATTGTATACTCATATATATATATAATTTTTGTCAATGGATATTAATAAAGCTAACAGAATTTTATTTTAAAAATAGAAGCCTATAACCACAATCCAATTAAGCAAAAATAAAGAGAAACCAGGAAAAATGTGTTTGGAAACTAAAATATATTTCTGAATAAATCAATGTCAAAAAAAGGGAAAATATAATAAAAGCAGGAAATTATCTTAACAGATGTCTTTCTTTCTTTCTTTTTTCTTTTTTTTTTTTTTTTTTGAGACAGAGTCTCACTGTGTCACCAGGCTGGAGTGCAATTGTGCGATCTCGGCTCACTGCAACCTCTACCTCCCAGGTTCAAGCGATTCTCCTGCCTCAGCCTCCTGAGTAGCTGGGATTACAGGCATGTGCCACCATGCCCAGCTAATTTTATATTTTCAGTAGAGATGGGGTTTCACTGTGTTGGTCAGGCTGGTCTTGAACTCCCAACCTCAGGTGATCCACCCGCCTTGGCCTCCCAAAGTGCTGGGATTACAGGCGTGAGACACTGCGCCAGGCAAATAGATGCCATTATTAAAGCTGTGAACTAAGACTACAATATTGCTCCAGAAATAAATGAATTGATTAATGGAACATTAAAACACTTCAAAAATATATATTGTTTCAGTTGGCCTTAGTTGCATGTGATGGGCTGAACTGTGGCAAAATTCAAATGTTGAATCCCTATCTCTCAGTGGATTTTATTTGGAGATAGAGCCTATACGAAAGTGATAATTGTTCAATGAAGTCATTATTGTGAGAATAGGGCTGATGATGTTATAAGAAATGACATCTCTATCTCTGTGCACACCCAGAAGAAAGGCCATGTGAAGCTACTGCCAGAAGGGGCATCTGCAAACCAGGAAGAGACCTCACTGGAGACAAACCCTGACATTACCGTGATCTAGATGTACAGACCCCAGAACTGTAAGAAAATAAATTTCTGACATTTAAGCCAGGCTGTGGTATTTTATTATGGCAGCCCAAGTAGGCTAATACATTCCATAACACAATAGTGGCTTAAACAACAATTAATTACTTCTCATGATTCTGTGCATTGGCAAACTTGGTGGTTCTTCTCTTTGTTTACCTAGAGTCAATTATACGGCAGCAGTAGTCTGGTATCTAGGCTGGAGCTAGAGATTCTCTTAGAGACCCTCAGCCTAGTAGTGCCTCACCATACACCTGCCTCCAGTGCTTCATCACGCTAGTACTGGACAGTGATCATGAGGTCTGGCACCTCATCAAATGCCGACCGCACATTTTCTCTCATTTCAGATGTCCACATTTTTCTTGGGTGGAGGGTGTTCCTATGGCACAGTCATTCATATTTCATTCACGTGAGTGGTGGATACATTTTTTAAAAAGCAGAAAACCAGGAATCACACAAGCACAGGGCCCTCTCAGGCACTCACTAGCACCTAAACATTGTCTTCACTACTTCTAGACTCTTGCCCTGTGCTAGGCTGGTTTTTCTACTTTATTTCCCACCAGTTGTTTATAGTGTAAATCTTAAGATTGCCTTAAAGCTTACTGTTTTAAAACTCTAATGGCACTTTCAATGTTAAAAAAAATGCTTGCTTGAAAAATGTAAAATATTTACTCTCAACACTGCTCTTCTGATACAAGTTTCTGGATCATGTTTTGGGCCACTATAGCTATCATTCTTTCTTTATGTAATCTTGCCATCAAATTTTCAGTGCTTCTAACTAAAAAAGAGGGTTGTTAAATCTGTCGGATTAGGTCATGCCATGTAGCTGTAGAAAACATTCTAAAAATCATAGAAACTTATTAAAACAGACCTTATTTCATTTTCCCATTTTATTTTAATTATGGGTCAGTGGTTGCTCTGCTCAATGTCATCTCATTTGCAGGACTCAAATCGCAAAGCAGCTTCTATCTAGACTATTTCCATACATCACAGCAGAAGAGAAAAGACATCTGCACTTGATTCATGCGTTTCTACCTTTCATTGCCAACAAGAGTCACATTCATATTTCTGAGTAGAACAGGGAGAAATTGTAGTCTTGTATGGAAGGCAACTGCCAGGAAGAAAAACACATGTAGCATGGTCACCTATGCAGAAGGCCAGGTGTTACGTTGCCACAATTTTACTACTAATATCTATGACTCATCAAATATATAAAATACAGAGTGTTATGGAACATTTTACACTTATTATCTCAGTGAATTTTCACGCTAATTTTATGAGTAAATTTGCCTAGACCACACAAATTTTAGTGACACTTCTTATATAAACCCAATCCTGTGATTCTTGGTTTTCTGCTTTTTGAAAAATGTCTCTACCTCTTATGTTAATGAAATATGAATTACCATATGCTGCTTCATAATTATAACACATTGCATTTACGTAGTATCCATATTATACAGGTGGTTCTTCTAGTTTTTCACTTATAAAATCAATTGATTCATATATGTATTTAGCAAATATGCACAGAATGTCTAATATGTACCCCCAAAATTACTCTGGGGCACAGTATTGAACAAAGCAAATATGTGACCTACTATCATAGAGCATATTGTCTAGTGAACAACGGAGACATATCACTAAAGTGACAAATAATTTCCAAATCATGTATAGAGATTTGCAAATGCCTATGGTAGTTGAATCTAGTTTACTCTGTGCATTTAGGGAGACCAGTCTGAGAACCCACTTTTATACTGAGATCTGAAGGTGAGTGGACAAATTGTTTCCAATAAAAGCACTTTATAGCTAAAGCGTATCATATTCTTGACCATAATTATATAATCAGGCATGTTTCATCTTTAACTCCGCCATCATTCACTATAGTGTTGTGCATTAAATGATCAAAGTTTTCTATTTACCAGCAATAAAAGTTCAATTGTCGTTGTTTAGCACTTTCTCAAGATATATTTTGGCTAAGCGGTTTATCAAAAAAGCATCAACATAAGCATATCTAAAAGATGGTGAGAGCTGCAAAAAGAGCATTAATATACTTTGGGGCTGTAAAGGTGATCTCTTCTGTCTCATCTCACACAGCTTCTGTCCTTCCGGTATAATTCTGGATGAACACAGGCTGTTCAGAAGAGCCTGCAGACAATGACCTAGTGTACTTTGTGGCCTGAGGTAAAATTGCTATTCATCAAGTCAGTTCCTTTTGAACTTAACTCTCACAGTTGTCCTTGATTCATCACAGTTGTCATTCTCAGTACAGCACAAACATTGTCCTTCTTTGTCAACATAGATTTATTTATGAGCCTCATTTTTATGTAAATATCTAAAATAACTGTAAAATATGATGTTTTTCCTCATGCAAATGTGATCAACACATTTCAGTGCTAAAATAAATTTTATAATATTGTTGAAGGGTTATTTCTCTGTGTAGGCAGCTTTGTATGTAACTTTTTTCCCTCTTATTTGTTATTCTTTTGAAATGTTTGTTATTCTTTTGAAAATCAACAATGTCTGTTTTATTACAAATTTATATTATTATTTTTGACAGTTGACTCTACCAATATAGTAGCAGGAATGTAGGAGCAATTTTTTCACATCAAATTTAGGATTACCGTAATCACCAATGACAAATTTTAATGTTAACAATGTTCGCCTCACAAGTAACAAATGACAGTATGTTTGCAGACAAAATCCTTGAGAAACAAGTTAAAAATACAAAGCGAGAAAAAACTGAAAAGGGCACAAATCATCCACATATATATATGTAATTATCTTGGAAAAATACTCTATTACCTATTTCATAATGATTAATATTAAACCAAATCAATTTATAAAAATCATTATACCAAAAGGAGTCTCTAATTTTTAATTGTCCAAATAGTGCCTCAACAATTAACAGTAATCCAGTATACAAGTTAAAGAATAAGGGTGTGTGTTTGTGTTAAACTAAACAAAATTACAACAAAATGAATTATTATCCCTTGACAGAATGATTTCTGGCTGCAAGAGAGTGCTTACTTAACAAAACCAGGCATGAGAAACGAAAAAATAATATAATGTCTAAAATGGAAATAGGAGAAAATGCTCTTATCTCAATTTATTGAGTGTTCTCTCATGAGAAGAAAAGGTAGTCTAAATATTCTGTTATTTCTATCATGTGAAATGAGAGAATTGCTTTTCTATCTAACCCAGACTTTACTTTTTGCAACTTAATATAAATTCTGCCTGGCATCTTTGCTTTTGATTCTTTTCTCAAATAAGTTGTGGCTAGTATTACATTACTTTAAGTGCATTTCTCCTGGTGGAATAAAGAGTGATTAAACATTTGCATTTCTATTACAGTGTTAAGGTACTCCTGTTTTTTTTTTTTTTTGAAATATTTTATCCACATCTGACCCTCCATATTCCATTAAACACTAGTTTCCCTTTGTTTTGCATTATCAGTCACTGTTTCAGAAATTTGTATTTGATTCCTGAAAAAGACGTTCTTGTTACCTGTAGTCATATATAACCAAGTCGTTATTAAATAAAGTGATTTTTTTAAGCAGCAATGTATCAGTAAATGTACTGTGAGGAATAAACTATTCTAAGAATCTTCGGGATGAATTAGATCAGAGAATAATTTGATTTTGATTACAGGTTGTCTCTCTACTCCTCATTTAATGTTCCATTAAGATTATTTTTTAGTCAAGCCAGGTAGAATCAAAATATCCAAGAATATAGTTATGAATTGTCATAGGAATCTGGCATTAATCACATACTTATTATTAAAATGCAAAGGTTACTTTATCTTCCTGGAAATCATAATTCGCTTTTCTCTGCCTTTTCTGATGCAATTTTAAATTTTCCCATGTAGATGCTCCATCAAAAGCATGGAAACTTAATTTTTTGTATTTAGAAAAATGTCTTAAATATCTTATGGGCAGCTGATTAGAACTTTATCGATGATATTTAACTCAAGTTTATAAAATATTTTGCTATTAATAAGGCTAAGGTAACAATAAGGTAACTATGCTAAGTAAAGCCTTTGTGCATTATTTATATTTATTATTTGTCACATTTAAATATATAAAAGATGGGAATAGGCATTATTTTGTCTTTTTAAATAAGTTTTAATTTTTGTGTGTACATGTTAGGTGTGTACATTAATGGGGAACATGAGATCTTTTGATTGAGGCATACAATGCATAATAATCACATCAGGGTAAATGGGGTATTCATCACCTCAGGCACTTATCCTTTCTTTGTGTTACAAACAACCCAATTATAATGTTTTAGTTATTTTAAAATGCCTAATAAATTACTGTTGACAGTAGTCACCATGCTGTGCTCTCAAATACTAGATCTTATTTGATTCGATCTTTTAATCAAATGGTTTAAATCATTTTCATTTAATTTAAATGATTCAATTTAAATTTAATTAGGTTACATTTTCTTTTTTTTCCTTTAACTTTTAAGTTCGGGAGTACATGTGCAGGATATGTGGTTTGTTACATAGGTAAATGTGCACCATGGTGATTTGCTGCACAGATCATCCCATCACCTAAGTATTATGCCCAGCATCCATTAGCTATTCTTTCTGATGAGCCCCCTCCCACCACAACTGCCCTGACAGGCACCAATATGTGTTGTTTCCCCCACAGTGTGTCCATGTGTTCTCATTGTTCAGCTCCCACTTTTAAGTAAGAACATTAGTGTTTGGTTTTCTGTTCCTGCAAAAATTTGCTGAGGAGTACAGCTTCCAGCTCTGTCCATATCCTTCCGAAGGACATGATCTTGTTCCCTGTTATGGCTGCATTGTATTCCATGGTGTATATGTATCACATTATCTTTATTCAGTCTATCGTTGATGGGCATTTGGGTTGTTTCCATGTCTTTGCTATTGCGAAGAGTGCTGCAATAAATATACGTGTGCATGGGGCCGGGCGCGGTGGCTTACGCCTGTAATCCCAGCACTTTGGGAGGCTGAGGCGGGCGGATCACAAGGTTAGGAGATCGAGACCATCCTGGCTAACATGGTGAAACCCCCTCTCTACTAAAAATACAAAAAATTAGCTAGGTGTAGCAGTGTGCGCCTGTAGTCCCAGCTATTCGGGAGGCTGAGGCAGGAGAATGGCGTGAACCCAGGAGGCAGAGCTTGCAGTGAGCCAAGATCGCACCACTGCACTCCCGCCTGGGTGACAGAGAGAGACTCTGTCTCAAAAATAAATAAATAAATAAATAAATAAATATATGTGTGCATGTATCTTTATAGTAGAATAATTTATATTCCTTTGGGAATATAAATTATTCCCGGTAATGGGATTGCTGGGTCAAATAATATATCTAACTTTAGATTTTTGAGGAATTGCCACACTGCCTTCCACAATGGTTGAACTAATTTACATTCCCACCAACTGTGTAAAAGCATTCCTTTTCCCCTGCAACCTCACCAGCATCTGTTGTTTCTTGACCTTTTAATAATTGCCATTATCACTGGCATGAGATGGTATCTCATTGTGGATTTGATTTGCATTTCTCTAATGATCAGTGATGTTGAGATTTTTTTTTCATGTTTGTTGACCGCATGTACGTCTTCTTTTGAGAAGTGTCTGTTCATGTTCTTTGCCCACTTTTTAATGGGGTTGTTTGCTTTTTTTCTTGTAAGTTTGCTTAAGTTTCTTGTAGACTTTCCATATTAAAGCCTTGTCAGATGGATAGATTGCAAAAATATTCTCCCATTGTGTAGGCTACTTGTTCACTCTGATGATACTTTCTTTTGCTGTGCAGAAGCTCTTTAGTTTACTTAGATCCCATTTGTCAAATTTTGCTTTTGAAATTGCTTTTTGCATCTTCATCATGAAATCTTTGCTGGTGCCAATGTCTTGAATGATATTGCCTAGGTTTTTTTCTACGGTTTTTATAGTTTCCAGTTTTACATTTAAGTCTTTAATCTCTCTTGAGTTAATTTTTGTATAAGGTTTAAGGAAGGGGTCCAGTTTTAATTTGCTGCATATGGCTAGCCAGTTTTCCCGGCATCATTTATTAAATAGGGAATCCTTTCCCCAGTGCTTGTTTTTGTCAGGTTTTTTGATGATCAGATGCTTATAGGTGTGTGGTTTTATTTCTGAGGTCTCTATTCTGTTCCGTTTGTTTTTGTATCTGTTTTTGTACCAGTACCATGCTGTTTTGGTTACTATAGCCTTGTAGTATAGTTTGAAGTCAAGTAGCATGATGCCTCCAGCTTTGTTCTTTTTGCTTAGGATTGTCTTGGCTATTCAGGCTCCCTTTTTGACTCCATATGAATTTTAAAATAGTTTATTCTACTTTTGTGAAGAACATCAATGGTAGTTTAATGCAAATAGCATTGAATCTATAAATTACTTTGGGCAGTATGGCCATTTTCACAATATTGATTCTTCCTATTCATGAGCATGGAACGTTTTTCCATTTGCTTGTGTCTTCTTTGATTTCCTTAAGCAATAGTTCATAGTTCTTGAAAAGATCCTTCACTGCCCTTATAAGCTGTGTTCCTAAATATTTTTTTCTTTTTGTAACAATTGTCTATTGCAGTTCATTCCTGATTTAGCTCTCTGCTTGACTGTTGCTGGCGTATTGGAATGCTAGTGATTTTTGCACATGGATTTTGTATCCTGAGACTTTGCTTAAGTTTCTTATTGGCTTAAGAAGCTTTTTGACTGAGACAATGAAATTTTCTTGACATAGGACCATCTGCAAATAAAGATAATTTGACATTCTTTCTCCCTATTTAAATACCCTTTATTTATTTCTCTTGTCTGATTGCCCTGGTCAAAACTTCCATACTATTTTGAATAGGAGTGGTGAGAGAGTGCATCCTTGTCCTATGATGGTTTTCAAGGAGAATACTTCCAGCTTTTGCCCTTTAAGTATGATATTTGATGTGGGTTTGTTAGATATGGTTCTTATTATCTTGAGGTATATTCCTTTAAAACCTAGTTTATTGAGAGTTTTTAAGATAAACGGATGCTGAATTTTGTCAAAGGTCTTTTCTGCATCTATTGAGAAAATCATGTGGTTTTTGTCTTTAGCTCTGTTTATGTAATGAATTGTATTTATTTATTTTAATATGTTAAACCAACCTTGCACCCTAGGGATGAAACTAACTTGAATGTGATGGATAAGCTTTTTGACGTGCTACTGGATTTGGTTTGTCAGTATTTATTAAAGATATTTGCATCAGTGTTAATCTGGGATATTAGCTGAAGTTTTCTATTTTTGGTGTATTGTGGTCAGGTTTTTGGTATCAGGATGATGCTGGCCTCATAAAATTAGTTATGGAGGAGTCCCTCCTTTTCAACTTTATGAAATAACTTCAATAGAAATGGTACCAGCTTTTCGTTGTACCTCTGTTAGAATTCAGCTGTAAATCCATCTGGTCCTGGGCTTTTTTGGTTGGTAGACTACTTATTACTGACTCAATTTTAGAACTCATTATTGGTCTACTCAGGGTTTTAATTTCTTTCTGGTTCAGTCTTGGGAGGATGTATGTATTCAGGAATTTATCCATTTCTTCTAGATTTTCTAGTTTATGTGGTTTATGTGCATACAGGTGTTCATAGTATTCTCTGATGGTTGTTTGCTTTACTGTGGGGTCATTGGTGATATCCCCCTTATCATTTCTGATTGTGTCTACTTGATTCTTCTCTCTTTTCTTCTTTATTAGTCTAGCTAGTGGTCTACTTTATTATTTTTTTTGCAAAAAAAAAAAACCTCCTGGATTCATTGATTTGTTGAAGGAATTTTCATGTCTTTATCTTTCAGTTGCCCTCTGATCTTGGTTATTGCTTATCTTCTGCCACCTTTGGGTTTGTTTGCTTTTGGTTTTCTATTTCTTTTAGTTGTGATATTAGGTTATTAATATGACATCTTCCTAGCTTTTGGATGTGAGCATTTAGTGCTATACATTTCCCTGATAACACTGCTCTATCAGCATCCCAGAGATTCTGATTCATTGTCTCTTTGTTCTCATTAGTTTAAAAGAACTTCTTGATTTTGCCTTAATTTCATTATTTACCCACGAGTGACTCAGGAACAGCTTGTTCAATTTCCATGTAGTTTTGTGGTTCTAAGTGAATTTTTCAGTCTTGAATTCTAATTTGATTGTGCTGTGATCTGAGATACTGTTATGATTTCAGTTCTTCTGCATTTGCTGAAGAGTGTTTTATTTCAGATTATGTGATCAATTTTAGAGTAAGTGTATATAGCAATGAGAAGAATGTATATCCTGTTTGCAAGATGAGGAGTTCTGTATATATCGATCAGGTCTGCTTGATCCAGAGCTGAGTTCAGGTCCTGAGTATCTTTGTTAATTTTCTGTCTTGATGATGCATCTAACATTGTCAGTGTGGAGTTAAAGTCTCCCACTATTATTATGTGGGAGTCTACATCTCTTTGTACGTCTCTAAGAACTTGCTTTATAAATCCAGGTGCTCCTTTATTGGGTGTATATCTATTTAGGAATAGTTAGCTCTTCTTGTTGAATTGACTCCTTTACCATTATATAGGGCCCTTCTTTGTCTTTTCTGATCTTTGTTGGTTTAAAATTTGTTTTGTCAGAAACTAGGTTTGTGACCCCTACTTTTTTGTTTTCCATTTGCTTGGTAAATTTTCCTCAATCCCTTTATGTTGAACCTATGTGTGTCTTTGCATGTGAGATGGGTCTCTTGAAGACAGCATACCAACAGATTTTGACCCTGTCCAGCTTGCCATCCTATGTCTTTTAATTGGGGCATTTAGCTCATTTACATTTAATGTTAATATTGCTATGTGTGAGTTTGATCCTGTCATCATAATTCAAGCTGGTTATTTTGCAGACTTATTATGTGGTCACTTCATAGTGTCACTGGTCTGTATACTTCAGTATGTTTTTGTAGTGGCTAGTAACAGTTTTTCCTTTTCATATTTAGTGCTTCCTTCAGGAACTCTTGCAAAGCAGGCCTGGAGGTGACTTATTCCCTTGGGTTGGAAATTCTTTTCTTTAAGAATGTTGAATATTGGCCCCAAATTGCTTCTGTCTTGTAAGGTTTACACTGAGAGGTCTGTTGTTATACTGACGGATTTCCCTTTGTAGGTGACCCAGCCTTTCTCTCTGGCTGCGCGTAACATTTTTTCTTTTCTTTCAACCTTGGAGAATCTAACGATTATGTGCCTTGGCATTGATCTTCTTGTGAAGTATCTTACTGGGGCTCCCTAGATTTCTTGAATTTGAATCTTGGCCTGTCTTTCTAGATTGGAGGAAGTTCTCCTGGATGACCTCCCGAAGTATGTTTTCCAACTTGGGTCTGTCCTCCCTGTCTCTTTCAAGTACCCCAATTAGTTATAGGTTCAGTCCTTTTACATAGTCCCACATTTCTCAGAGGTTTTGTTCATTCGTTTTCATTCTTTTTTCTCTATTCTTGTCTGCCTGTCTTATTTCAGAAAGATAGTCTTCAAGCTCTGAGATTCTTTTCTCCACTTCATCTATTCTGCTATTGATACATGTCATTGCACTATGAATTTCCAATGTTATGTTTTTCAGCTCCATCAGGTCAGTTATGTTTCTCTCTAATCTGGCTATTCTGGTAAAAATATGGAATGCTTCAAAGATGTGTGTGTCATCTTTGCATAGGGGCCATGCTAGTTTTCTCTCTATTGTTTCAATTTTAGTATAAGTGCCAAAGTGAGCATGACAGTATATTTTTAAAATCCCAAGTGGTTTGTATTTATACCCCATTTATTTACTGACTCCAGAATTATGAAGCTATTTTAAAAATGGTTAGCAAATTTCCCATATCTAGTTTACTAACAGATTTCAAAAAGGCAAAACATAAACAAAAGTAAAACAAAATAATATGAAATTAATATGTACAGTATAATAATGAAAACTGTTATTTAATGTTAGGATTTACTATAGTCATCATTTATATATTAATTTGTGATATAGGAATTTTTAAATCTTAATGACTTATATTAATCCTTTTAAAAGTGCTTCCTTCTAGTAATATTTAACATGCTGATTAATGCATTTTAATATTTTTGTTGAGGTTTAATTGACGTACAATAATCAGTGCATAAAGTGTTTAATTTGTTGAATTGATATGCATATAAGCCACTCAAATAAACACTGCAATTAAATTGATAAGTATACCCACCAGCCCCAAGAGTATCTTCTTTTGTAATTCATATAGAGTCCTACAACCTCTCCTTTCTACAACTATTAATTTCCTTTCTGTCATTATATTTTGTTTTTCTTATTTTAAGCATTTTATATAAGTGGAATCTCACATTATGTACTCACTTTGTGGAGTTTATTTTACTACCTTGTTTTTGTTTTCAGATTTATTCACATTTTGGTGTTAATCAACACTTTAAAATTTCTGAATAGTATTCTGCTTTATGGGTATACAATTTGTTTATTCATTTACCTGTTGATGGATATTTGGAATGTTTCCAGTTTGGTGCTTTACAAATAAAGCTATACAAATTTGTGTATAAATCTTCATGTGAACATAAATATCTAGGAATGAAATGTTTAGAATATATGCAAGTTTAAGTTAGAAAGAATTTCTAAAACTATGTTATAGAAGAGCTTGCTAGCAAGATGGCTGAATAGGAACAGCTCCAGTCTGCAGCTCCTGGTGAGATCAACACAGAAGGCAGGTGATTTCTGCATTTCTAACTGAGGTACCCAGCTCATCTCATTGGGACTGGTTAGACAGTGGGTGTAGCCCATGGAGGGCAAGCCAAAGCAGGGTGGGGAGTCACCTCACCTGGGAACCACAAGGGGTCGGGAACTCCTTCCCCTAGCCAAGGGAAGCTGTGAGGGACTGTGCCGTGAGGAACAATGCACTGCGGCCTAGATACTATGCTTTTCCCACACTCTTAGCAACCTGTTGTCCAGGAGATTCCCTCGGGTGCCTATGCCACCAGGGCCCTGGGTTTCAAGCACAAAACTGGGCAGCCATTTGGGCAGACAATAACCTAGCTGCAGGAGTTTTTTTTCATATCCCAGTGGCACCTGGAACACCAGTGAGACGAAACCATTCACTCCCCTGGAAAGGGTGCTGAAGCCAGGAAGTCAAGTGGTCTAACTCAGCAGATCCCACCCCTATGGAGTCCAGCAAGCTAAGATCCACTGGCTTGAAGTTCTCACTACCAGCACAGCAGTCTGAAGTCAACCTGAGACACTCGAGCTTCGTTGGGGGAAGAGCATCCACCATTACTGAGGCTTCAGTAGTTAGTTTTCCCCTCACAGTGTAAACAAAGCCACCAGGATGTTTGAACTGGGTGGAGCAAACTGGAGCTCTGCAAAGCCTCTGTAGCCAGACTGCCTCTCTAGATTCCTCCTCTCTGGGCAGGGCATCTCTGAAAGAAAGGCAGCAGCCCCAGTCAGGGGCTTATAGATAAAACTCCCATCTTCGTGGGACAGAGCACCTGAGGGAAGGGGCAGCTGTGGGCGCAGCTTCAGCAGACTTAAACATTCCTGCCTGCTGGCTCTGAAGAGAGCAGCAGATCTCCCAGCACAGTGCTCGAGCTCTGCTAAGGGACAGACTGCCTACTCAAGTGGGTCCCTGACCCCTGTGCCTCCTGACTGGGAGACACCTCCCAGCAGGGGTTGACAGACACCTCCCAGCAGGGGTCCACAGACACCTCATACAGGAGAGCTCTTGCTGGCATCTGACAGATGCCTCTCTGGGACGAAGCTTCCACAAGAAGGAACAGGCAGCAATCTTTGTTGTTCTGCAGCCTTTGCTGGTGAAACCCAGGCAAAGGGGGTCTGGAGTGGACCTCCAGCAAACTCCAGCAGACCTGCAGAAGAGGGGCCTGAGTGATAGAATGAAAACTAACAAACAGAAAGGAATAGCTTCAACATCAACAAAAAGGACATCCAGACAGAAACTCCATTTGAAAGTCACCAACATCAAAGACCAAAGGTAGATAAATTCATGAAGATGAGGAAAAGCCATTGCAAAAAGCCTGAAAATTCCAAAAACCAGAATACTTCTTCTCCTCCAAAGGATCATAACTCCTCACCAGCAAGGGAACAAAACTGGATGGAGAATGAGTTTGACAAATGGACAGAAGTAGGCTTCAGAAGCTGGGTAATAGCAAACTCCTCTGAGCTAAAGCAGCATGTTCTAAACCATTGAAAAGAAGCTAAGAATCTTGAAAAAAGTTTAGCGGAATTGCTAACTAAAATAAGAGTTTAGAGAAGAAGTTAAATGACCTGATAGAGTTGAAAAACACGGCAGGAGAACTTTGTGAGGCATACAGAAGTATCGATAGCTGAATTGATCAATCAGAAGAAAGGATATCAGAGACTGAAGATCAACTTAATGAAATAAAGCATGAAGACAAGATTAGAGAAAAAAAAAATAAAAGGAACAAGCAAAACCTCCAAGAAATATGGGGCTATGTGAAAAGACCAAACCCACGTTTGACTGGTGTACCTGAAAGTCACGGGGAGAAAGGAACCAAGTTGGAAAACACTCTTCAGGATATTATCCAGGAGAACTTCCCCAACCTAGCAAGACAGGCCAACATTCAAATTCAAGAAATACAGAGAACACCAAAAAGATACTCCTTGAGAGGAGCAACTCCAAGACACATAATCATCAGATTCACCAAGGTTGAAATGAAGGAAAAAATGTTAAGGGCAGCCAGACAGAAAGGTTGGGTTACTCACAAAGGTAAGCCCATCAGACTAACAGCGGATCTCGCTGCAGAAACCCTGCAAGCCAGAAGAGAGTGGGGGCCAATATTCAACATTCTTAAAGAATTTTCAACCCAGAATTTCATATCCAGCCAAACTAAGTTTCATAAGCGAAGGAGAAATAAAATCATTTACAGACATGCTGAGAGATTTTTGTCACCACCAGACCTGCCTTAAAAGAGCTCATGAAGGAAGCACTGAATATGGAAAGAAAAAGCCGGTACCAGCCACAGCAAAAACATACCAAATTGTAAAGACCATCGATGCTATGAAGAAACTGCATCAACTAATGGGCGAAATAACCAGCTAGCATCATAATGACAGGATCAAATTCACACATAACAATATTAACCTTAAATGTAAATGGGCTAAATGCCCCAATTAAAGGACACAGACTGGCAAATTGGATAAATAGTCAAGACCCATCGGTGTGCTGTATTCAGGAGACCCATCTCACGTGCAAAGACACACATAGGCTCAAATTAAAGGAATGGAGGAATATTTACCAGGCAAATGGAAAGCAAAAAAAAGAGCAGGGGTTGAGTCCTAGTCTGTAATAAAACAGACTTTAAACCAACAAAGATCAAAAAAGACAAAGAAGGGTTTATATAATGGTAAAGGGATCAACGCAACAAGAATAGGTAACTATCCTACATATATATGAACCCAATACAGGAGCACCCAGATTCATAAAGCAAGTTCTTAGATACCAATACAGAGACTTAGACTCCCACACAATAATAGTGGGAGATCTTAACAGCCCATTGTCAATATTAGACAGAAAATTAACAAGAATATTCACGACTTGGACTCAGCTCTGGACCAAGCTAACCTAATAGACATCAACAGAACTCTCCACCCCAAGTCAACAGAATATGCATTCTTCTCAGCACCACATAGCACTTATTCTAAAATTGACCACATAATTGGAAGTAAAACAATCCTCAGCAAATGCAAAAGAACAGAAATCATAACAAACAGGCTCTCAAACCACAGTGCAATCAAATTAGAACCCAGGATTAAGAAACTCACTCAAAACTGCACAACTACATTGAAACTGAACAACTTGCTCCTGGAGGACTGCTGGGTAAATAACGAAATGAAGGCAGAAATAAATAAGTTCTTTGAAACCAGTGAGAACAAAGATGCAATGTATCTGAATCTCTGAGAAACAGCTAAAGCAGTGTTTAGAGGGAAATTTATAGCACTAAATGCCCACAAGAGAAAGCAGGAAATATCTAAAATCAACACCCTAACATCACAATTAGAAGAACTAGAGAAGCATGGGCAAACAAATTCAACAGCTAGCAGAAGACAAGAAATAACTAAGATCAGAGCAGAACTGAAGGAGACAGAGACATGAAAATCCCTTCAAAATATCAGTGAATCCAAGACCTGGTTTCTTGAAAAAATTAACAAAATAGATAGACTGGTAGCCAGCCTAATAAAGAAGAAAAGAGAGAAGAATCAAATTGACACAATAAAAAATTACAAAGAGGATATCACCACTGATCCCACAGAAATAACAAACTATCATCAGAGTATACTATAAAAACCTCTAAGCAAATAAACTAGAAAATCTAGAAGAAATGAATAAATGCCTGGACACATGCACCTTCCCAAGACTAAACCAGGAAGAAGTTAAATCTCTGAATAGATCAATAACAGGTTCTGAAATTGAGGCAGTATTAATAGCCTACAAACGAAAAAAAGCCCAGCACCAGATGGATTCACATCCAAATTCTACCAGAGGTACAAAGAGGAGCTAATACTATTCCTTATTTAACTATTCTAAGCAAATGAAAAAGAGAGACTCCTCTCCAACTCATTTTTGAGGCCAGCATCACCCTGATAACAAAACCTGGCAGATACACAACAAAAAAAACAAAATTTCAGGCCAATATCCCTGATGAACATTGATGCAAAAATTCTCAATAAAATACTGGCAAACTGAATCGAGCAGCACAACCAAAAAGTTTATCCACCACAACCAAGTCAGCTTCATCCTTGGGATGCAAGTCTGGTTCAACATATGCAAATCAATAAACATAATCCATCACATAAACAGAACCAATGACAAAAACCACATGATTATCTCAATAGATGCGGAAAAGGCCTTCCATAAAATTCAACACTGCTTCATGCTAAAAACTCTCAATAGAGCAGGTATTGATGGAACGTACCTCAAAATAATAAGAACTATTTATGACAAACCCACAGCCAATATCATACTGAATGGGCAAAAACTGGAAGCATTCCCTTTGAAAACTGGCACAAGACAAAGATGCCCTCTCTCACCACTCTTATTCAACACAGTATTGGAAGTTCTGGCCAGGGCAATCAGGCAAGAGAAAGAAATAAAGGGTATTCAATTAGGAAAAGAGGAAGTCCAATTGTCTCTGTTTGCAGACCACATGATTTTATATTTAGAAAACCCAGTTGTCGTCTCAGCCCAATATCTCCTTTAGCTGATAAGCAATTTCATCAAAGTCTCAGAATACAAAATCAATGTGCAAAAATCACAAGAATTCCTATACACCAATAATAGACAAACAGCCAAATCATGAGTGAACTCCCATTCACAATTGCTACAAAGAAAATAAAACACCTAGGAATATGACTTACAAGGGATGTGAAGGACCTCTTCAAGGAGAACTACAAATCACTACTCGATGAAATGACAGAGGACACAAACAAATGGAAGAATATTGCATGCTCATGGATAGGAAGAATCAATATTGTGAAAATGGTCATACTGCCCAAAATAATTTATAGATTCAATGCTATCCCCATCAAACTACCATTGACTTTCTTCACAGAATTAGACAAAACTACTTTAAATTTGATATGGAACCAAAACAGAACCTGTATAGCCAGGACAATCCTAAGCAATAAGAACGAAGCTGGAGGCATTACGCTACCTGACTTTGAACTACACTACAAGGCTACAGTAACCAAAACGCATGGTGCTGGTACCAAAACAGATATATAGGCCAATGGTAGAACAGAGGCCTGAGAAATAATGCCACACATCTGCAACCATCTGATCTTTGACAAACCTGACAAAAACAAGCAATGGGGAAAGGATTTCTATTTAATAAATGGTGTTGGGAAAACTGACTAGCCATATGCAGAAAACTGAAACTGGACCCCTTCCTTACACCTTATACAAAATTAACTCAAGATGGATTAAAGACTTAAATGTAAAACCTAAAACCATAAAAACCCTAGAAGTAAACCTAGGCAATACCATTCAGCACATAGGCATGGGCAAAGTCTTCATGACTAAAACACCAAAACCAATGGCAACAAAAGCCAAAATTGACAAACTGAATCTAATTAAACTAAAGAGCTTCTGCACAGCAAAAGAAACTGTCATCAGCATGAATGGGCAACCTACAGAATGGGAGAAAATTTTCACAATCTATCCATCTGACAAAGGACTAATATCCAGTATTTACAAGAAACATAAACAAATGTACAAGAAAAAAAACATCAGAAAGTGGGCAAAGGATATGAACAGACACTTCTCAAAAGAAGACATTTGTGTGGCCAAGAAACATATGAAAAAAAAGCTCATCATCACTGGTCATTAGAAAAATGCAAATTAAATCCACAATGAGATACCATCTCATACCAGTTAGAATGGCGATCATTAAAAAGTCAGGAAACAACAGATGCTGGAAAGGATGTGGAGAAATAAGAAGGCTTTTACACTGTTGGTGGGAATGTAAATTAGTTCGACCATTGCAGAAGACAGTGTGGCGATTCCTCAAGGATCTAGAACCAGAAATACCATTTGACCCAGCAATCCCATTACTAGGAATATACCCAAAGGATTATAAATCATTCTACTATAAAGACACATGCACGTGTATATTTATTGCAGCACTGTTCACAATAGCAAAGACATGGAACCAACCCAAATGTCCATCAATCATAGACTGGATAAAGAAAATGTGGCACATATACACCATGGAATACTCTGCAGCCATAAAAAGGATGAGTTCATATCCTTTGCTGGGACATGGATGAAGCTGGAAACCGTCATCCTCAGCAAACTAACACAGGAACAGAAAACCAAACACCACATGTTCTCACTCATAAGTGGGAGCTGAACAATGAGAACACATGGACACAGGGAGTGGAATATCACACACCAGGGCCTGTCAGGAGGTGGGGGGGGGGGCTAGGATAGGGATACCATTAGGAGAAATACCTAATGTAGATGACGGGTTGATGGATGCAGCAAACCACCATGGCACGTGTATACCTATGTAACAAACCTGCACATTCTGCACATGTATCCCAGAACTTAAAGTATAATAAAAAAAGAAAAGATTAAAAGCTCATCATCACTGGTCATTAGAGAAATGCAAATCAAAACCACAGTGAGATATCTCATGCCAGTTAGAATGGCGATCATTAAAAAGTCAGGAAGCAACAGATGCTGGAGAGGATGTGGAGAAATAGGAACGCTTTTACACTGTTGGTGGGAGTATAAATTAGTTCAACCATTGTGGAAGACAGATTCCACAATGGTGATTCCTCAAGGATCTAGAAACAGAGATACCATTTGACCCAGCAATCTCATTACTGGATATATACCCAAAAGATTATAAATCATTCTACTATAAAGACAAATGCACACATATTTTTATTGCAGCACTGTTCATAATAGCAAAGACTTAGAACCAACCCAAATGCCCATCAGTGATAGACTGGATGAAGAAAATGTGGCACATATACACCACTATGCAGCCATAATAAAGGATGAGTTCATGTTTTTTGCAGGGACATGGATGAAGCTGGAAACCATCATTCTTAACAGTTTCCAGCTTCATCCATGTCCCTGCAAAAAAAAAGGAACAGAAAACCAAACACCGTATGTTCTCACTCATAATTGGGAATTGAACAATGAGAACACATGGACACAGGGAGTGGAACATCACACACTGGGGCCTGTCAGCAGGTAGGGGGCTGAGGGAGGGATAGCATTAGGACAAATACCTAACGCAGATGACAGGTTGATGGGTGCAGCAAACCACCATGGCACGTCTATACCTATGTAACAAACCTGCATGTTCTGCACATGTATTCAAGAACTTAATGTATTTTAAAAAAAACTGCATTATAGAGGGTCAAATGCCAGACTTCTTAACATTTTAAGAAACTGCCATTTTTAATGAATAGAAATTTGTTTCAGCTTACTAGTGTATGCCAAATAATTGCCCACATAGTCATTTTCATAATAGAATCGTAAAATAATACACTCCTTTGTACTTTACACTTTCTTGTGTCAATGTGTTTCATTCTCTCTAATTATATGGTAAGAAATAGTTGGGATTCTTCAACTGAGGTGGTTGAACAGGTATTTGCTATTATTTTATTTATTTATTTATTTTTGAGACGTAGTCTTGCTCTGTCGCCCAGGCTGGAGTGCAGTGGCGCGACCTCCGCTCAGTGCAAGCTCCGCCTCCCAGGTTCACACCATTCTCCTGCTTTAGCCTCCAGAGTAGCTGGGACTACAGGCGCCCGCCACCACGACTGGCTAATTTTTTTGTATTTTTCGTAGAGACGGGGTTTCACCGTGTTAGCCGGGATGGTCTTGATCTCCTGACCTTGTGATCCGCCAGCCTCGACCTCCCAAAGTGCTGGGATTACATGCATGAGCCACCGCGCCCAGCCAGTATTTACTATTTCTTTGCTATTCTCAACTATGTATACACTGAATAGTTTAATAGGTTAAAATTGTATATTTTCAAAGGAGTTACAAATTTTAGAGTTTAGTTTTTAAATATTATTTAATCATGTGCATAGGTATATATTAAAATACAAAACTATCATTGTTAACTCATTCTGTTGTTTTAAAATATGATTACTTCAAAGGTAACACTTGTTTTCAAAGGTAGTTGTCAGTTATTTTCCACTTATGTTCACAATGAAAAAAATTAAAAACTATAAAAACCGTTTTTTACATAGCTTGAAGTGATTAATTACTATAAGATTTCAAATTAACCAACAGTTTGTAACCATCTCTGTAGTTTAAAACATTCCTTTATCTGGTAATTTGGGTACTACCCAAATTTTCACACATTTATTAGAAAGATAAATATATTCAAGACATTAACATTTTAAGAGATTACCTCCTACAGGAACATGCTACATCTGACCACTTCATATGATCACCCCCACTAACCTTGATGCCTACTTTCTAATGACCACTATCATCTCATACCTGGACTTTCTTAATGGTCTCCTTGCTGCTTTCTTCATTTCCATTCTTACCACAAAGGAGCAGGAAAGATTCTCCATGAACATAAATCATCCCGTTTCTCTTTTGCTTAAAACATTCCAGTAGCTTTCTATTACAACTAAAAAAAGTACAAATTCTGGCAGGGTTCTATGTATTCCTGTTGAGTAATTTATTTATCTTGGCCATGTTTGATATGCTCCCAGGTGAGCAAGGTTTATGCTTGTTTTGTTGTCTCCCAAGAATCTAAAACATCCTGGCACATAGTAGGCACCCGATATATATTTGTCTAGTGGATGAATAAAACATTTTGCCATTTTATTTTTTCAGTGTAATTGTATTCATGTATTCTTGCATATTTAAGCTTCAAAAAACAGTTTTATTTAAAGGATAGTTGTTGATCATATGTTAGAAAGAAAATAAATATCCATGTGATGATAAGAAAATTTACCCAGCAATATCTCTTGGGAAATAAAAAATTGCAGGTAGTTCCTTATTCCCTAAATAAGTATGGTGTGTTGAATGTTTGCAAATATGCTTTCTGTGTTAATGCACTAGCATCTATTTTTTTTGTAAACATTGCACACTAAGTTAGCAGAAGCTGAATTTTATTCAAAAATTTAAATGGAAGTCTAAAATAAAGACATCGAAGAGTGAAGACGGTGAGGAGTGAAAGTTTCAGGGGATTTTGTTCTCATTCTAATAGGGATATGCTTAAAACTGGATTTATTAAGTGTGAATGTATAAGCAGGAGCTCTTTGGACTTTTTTTTTTCTTTTTTTTACAAGCGTAAAAGATTTGTCTGCCACTCTTGGAGGCAATCCCAAAGGAAGAGTTCCTTTGAATGTGGCTTCTCTGTTCCCTGGGGCAATAAAAGGCATGCTATTGCTGAAAACTTGTGTTTTACTTGTATCAAGTGGTGAGAAATTATGCTGCAATGCATCCAAGAATTCTTTTAGATGTCTTCTTTTTTATAATAGAGTCTTTTACTAATTATTCCTTACATAAAACCATTGTCAAGAGAGATGTATAAATGTTGTTATAATTTCCCTGAGTTTGATAATAGTGACTGCTAAACTAAGGTCATGTGGAGTGACCATGTCTTAGGGACAAAATTTAATGAAATAAAATCACTTCTTTCAGTCAAAGAATAAAGCTTCGAGATGATGTATTGCCATCTGAAGGCAGCAGTGTTTTCCATTATGTATTAAAGTTATTGCCATAGTAAAGTAACATCAAATAGACATGGATAAAGCTTGTCTTTCATCTATTGTTGCTTCAGGTTTTCTATATTAATTTCAGCATAATTCTACATTCTTGTGTTTTATATGGAGGTGTAATTTATTTGCTTTGAGTCTATCAAATTTATTCATGTATTCTCTTAAGTTTATCTTTAATAGAATATATTTACATACTTCAAAAATGTTAAAGTCTTCTGATTGTTTACTAGATATAAGTGGGACAGATTTGACATTGACATACTCTTTATGCTACAAGATATATACTATACAATTTAAAATGTCAACTACATTTAACATATATGTTGAACATTGTGTAAAAATGAGTAAAGTAGTATCATTTATCCTGAGTTTATCACAAGTATTTTTGTGGTCAGAATTCTCTAAATTAAACCAAAAATTGATAAAATCACTTTTGGAGAGCTGAAGATTTTTCAAGGTAAAAATGACGTTAAATATTTTTTCCAAACTCTTTTATGTATAAATTCATTCTGCAAAATGCACTGCCTATGCAAATGCAATTGTCAGAACTTTTATATTTACTCAAACTTTTTTATTTTTGAAAAAACGTTTATGTGCTGTTAAGATTTTCAGTATCACTTTATAAACTCTCAATAATGGACTTTTTGGTTTAAATAGTAATATTTATTTTTATTAACAATTATTTTGTGGTTTCCCTGTGCTAGACACTGCAACAATTGGTTTATATGGAATATCTTGTTTATTTAACAAAATTATACAATGAGGGAACCATTTTTACTTTTCCTATTTATAGAAGGAAAAAAATAAGGATTATGTGACTTCTTCAAAGCTCTATGCCAGTAATAGAAGAAATTAGAATCTAAATCAAGCTAGTCTAAATTTGCATATTATAACCCTAACAAGATATATCATGTTCATACAGGCACTGCACTTCTATTTTTTGATGATGAAGGTGATTATAATCATGATCATAATGAGAATTTTATGTTTTATTAAACCATTTTAGATTTAATTAGTCACAGCTCTTACTTGATGTCTCTCTGCACAGAATTTTAAGTCATGTAGCGTACAATTAGATTACATGTATTCAAGATGGACAACAACCAGAAAAATACAAAGACGTAAAAACTTATCATTTATTCAGCTTTTGTACAAGTAAATAAACCAATTTAAGTCCCGTAATCTGTGGAAGCTGGGAATATGTGAAGTGGGGGAAGGTAGGGCAGTGGAAAACACATGAACTTTTGAGGCAGGTATAAATGGGTTTTAATCCCTGTTCTCTTATTTGGAATATCTGCCTTAATAAATTACACATGACATTGAAAGATCAGTTTCTTCATTTTTAAAACCAATTAGCATTAAAATAATTAGTCTTTTTTACCTTATGTAACTTTTCATGGCTGTTTTTATTATTTTTATTCTCATATTTGATTTTTGATAGTTGTATAGTGTAATGCTTCAGAATATTTTTCTTTTGCTATTTATCCTGCTTAGTATTTATAGTGGTTTTTATATTCATAGTTTCATGTCTTACATCAATTTCATGAGCCTTTCATGCAATAGGTCATCAAATATTGATGCTGATTTATTTTCTTCCCCCTCTTTTTCTGGCACTCAATTAGCAGTGTGTTTGCCATTTTGATTCTACCTCCTATGACTCCATACTATTTCTTTATTCTGGACATTTCTTTCTTTTTTTCAGTTTATTAGCTATCTTATTAACTATGTATAATGTGTTTTAAATCCATGCATTACGTTCTTAGTTTTATTTATTGAGTTTTTCATTCTATACATATCATTTATTAGAATCTATTACAGTTCTTTGACAAACAATTTCTAATTTAAAATCCATCTTACATGCAAATTTTAATGAAATTAAGGCTTGTGCTTAATAACAAATATGTCAGCAGAATCTCACTATTGCACTTTCAGAAGCTATTTCCAAAATAATTTTCCAATTTTTATTATCAATATAATATTTATACAAAAAAATAGGTTTCCTAGTCATACCAGTTAAATATCACTCTGTAATAAAATACCACAAATCTCAGTGACTTAAAACGAGAACAATTATTATTTCTTATTACTGGTAGTTATGTGAGATTGCTAGGGCAGACTCAGTTAATCTGGCCTTAGGCTTGTGTCTGCCATGAATTGATTTGGCTGTGGTCTAACTGCACAAGGATGTCCTCAGTTGGACAATTTATTTCTGATCCACCTGCACTCTTATTTTTTAACAAGTTAGCACAGACTTGTTCTCATGTTGGTTTCAATAGAAAATGGAAATGTGTGAAGACTCGAGGACTACACTTGAAACTAGCATACTATAAATTTTCTTAGTTCAAGGAAAGAAAGAAGCCAGCCTAGGCTAACTAAGAGTGAGAAAATACATTCAAACTCTTGATGAGAGGATTTGCAGATGACATTAATATGGAAAATTTGAGACTTGTAGTCATTTTTTCAATCAACCCAACATATTAGCTTGTACCTGAAATTCTCTTAATTTAATAAAGTTCAAATGGCATAGTGATCTAAACATATACAATCATATCTAAAGGGATGTTTTAATCAAAGAAGTCTGAGCAAGAATAGATTAATAACTATCTAAAATTATAATAATAATGGTTTATCAAATAACCTATTAGCACATTAACCTAACCTTAGTTAACAGTTTTTAAGAACATTATGCATACTATAATTAAGAGCAAAGTATAAGTCAGATAAAATTCCCCGTACTTTCTCCATAATTAAAAAAAATTTCCAAATTAGAAGATGACATAGTAAACTAAATATTCTCTATGATTATAAAATCTAAAAGCAAAAACATTATCATAACCAGCTACCAAACAATTTAATTTATCATTTTTCTTTAAACTTTAGCCAATATTTATATTCAATTTTATGACTTGTATACTATTTGCATTTATACATACACATAATACTCAATTTAAGGATTTCAAGATCTCGAAACACATATTTTCAAACTTCCAAGTACAGAATTAAAGGATTTTAGATATTGTATTGGTGAATTAATTTTGACATAGTACATTTCCAAGTCCAGTGACCTCAATTATGGAATAATTAATGATGGCAAACATTCTTAATCCAAGGAACTGTATTATATCTTAAGTCCTGAATAAATCCATTATTTAGTTAATAACTTTAGAACCAAGGTCATCTTAATTACAAGTTTTCATCTCACTTATCTTCTCATTTTTTTGTGAAGGAAACTGTTTTCCTCTTTCAAATGCATTTTTCAGCATATTAAAAACACAATAGAAATATATTATTAATTTTCTTATGAAAACACCCACTAAAAAAACAGAACACTTTTATATGGCAGCGTTAGTATCAGCCAAATAATTTGTGTTAAGGTGATCTATTTTGATTTCTTAAAACCAATACATGGTTAAATGAACCAAATTTCGCTTAACATTGTGTTCTTACTACCTAGCAAAATGTGGTAGCTTGAAAAATATTTGTTTAATAAATTATGTAAATCATAATTAGAAGTAAATATTATATTGTCAGCAAATTTTAATTTGTTTTTAGGCCATAGCTATTTAATTGTAAAAGGCCTTCTTTAATCTTTGACAGAAAAGAGCATGAAGTAGGTAAAGGCAGTACAAGGAGAATTCCATAGCAGAAGTTTCCCTTTGTTTTGGTTTAGTTTTTCCATATTCTTACTGATTTTCCTCTTACACTGATTATTTTCTCCTTCTCATCTATGCCTATATCCCTTTCTTCAGTACACCTATGTCGAGAGCACGGCACATAATACAATCAGTATATTTACTGAGACCTGGTATTCTCAAATAGGCGTCCTGTTTGCCTGCTGGCATTATGTCTTATCCATGCAAACTTCATTGCTCTGATCTTTATGCCCAAAGAGATTAGCTCATATCTATAGGCCACAAAATTGGTGTTACCCAGGCTTAAAATACCTGATGATGATGAATGCCTTTGCAGAAATGCCTTCTCAGAAAAGAGATGAATGTCTTCTTAGAAAAGAGAGTAGTGTTCAGGGAAAACAGAGCTTGAAGAAAATAGAGAAAAATAAAGTATTTCATAAATGTGAGACTAAGATAAGCTCATGTGCTCTTCTCTATTCCTGTCCAATGAGAATTCTTGTAGAAAATTAGAAAAAGAAGACCAAAGAAAGTATTTGCTTTCTCTGGAGTTAAAATTTTTAACAAATAACTGGACCTACTAAATTTCTCTTAAATATTCTTTTTTAAATTTATTTTTTAACTTTTATTCTAAGTTCAGGGGTAAATGTGCAGATTTATTACATAGGTAAACTTGTGTCACAGGTTTGTTGTACAGATTAGTTTTTGTCACTCAGGTGTTAAGCCTAGTGCTCATGAGTTATTTTTCCAAATCCTCTCCCTCCCTCCATCCTCTGACAGCTTCTAGAGTCTGATGTTCCCCTCTATTTGTCCATGTGTCCTCATCATTTAGCTCCACTTATAAGTGAGAACTTCTGGTATTTGGTTTTCTGTTGCTGCGTTAGTTTTCTAAGGACAGTGACCTCCAGCTCCATCCATATTCCTTCAAAGGACATAATCTTGTTTTTGTTTTTTATGGATGCAGAGTATTCCATGGTGTGTATACACAACATTTTCTATATCTGATCTGTTATTGCTGGACATTTAGGTTGATGCTATGTCTTTGCTGTCACGAGTAGTGCTGCAATGAGCATACGTGTGCATGTATCTTTATGATAGAACAATTTATTTTCCTTTGGGTGTATACCCAGTAATGGGATTGCTGGGCTGAATGGTAGTTCTGTTCTTAGGTCTCCAAGGAATTGCCACACCATTTGCCACAATGGTTGAACTAATTTACACTCCCACCAACAGTACCATTTGGCACAATGGTTGAACTAATTTACACTCTCACCAACAGTGTATAAGTGTTTCTTTTTCTCTGCAAACTTGTCAGCCCTTGTTATTTTTTGACTTTTTAATAATAGCCATTCTTACTGGTGTGAGAAGGTATCTCCTTACAATGCAGAAGATATTGGGTGCCAATATCCAATATTTTCAAATTGAAGAAATTGCAACCCAAAATTTCATATCCAGCCAAACTAAGCTTAATAAGAAAAGGAGAAATAAGATCCTTTTCAGACAAGGAAATGCTGAGAGAATTTGCTATCATTTAACCTGCCTTACAGCACCTTTGGAGAGAAGCACTAAATATGGAAGTGGAAGACCATTACCAGCCACTACAAAAACACACTTATGTTCACAAACCAGTGACAATATGAAGCAATCATATAAACCAATCTGCATAGTAAATAGCTTACATTATGATAACAGGATCAAATCCACACGTATCAATATAACCTTGAATGTAAACAAGCTAAATGCCCCAATTCGAAGGTACATATTTGCAAGTTTGATAATGAAGCAAGACCCAGTGGTATGCTGTCTTCAACAGACCTATCTCACATGCAGTGACACCCATAAGTTCAAAATAAAGAGATGAAGAAAAATCTACCAAGCAAATGGAAAACAGAAAAAAACAGGGATTGCAATTCTAATTTCAGACAAAATAGACTTTAGCAAAGATAAAAAAAGATAAAGAAGGGCATTACATACTGGTAAAGGGTTCAATTCAACAAGAAGACCTAACTATCTTAAATATATATGCAGCCAACACAGGAGCACCCAAATTCATAAAGCAAGTTATTAGAAACATTCAAAGAGATTCAAATAGTCTTTGAATACTCTGGAGGAAGTGAAGAAAGAGGGATCGTGATTTAGTATTTTTGAATAAACTTGATTTGATTTTCCATCTTTTTGACACACACCTTTAAATAAAAGCTTGTTAAATAAAACTGCACTTGTACAACTTAAAGATAAACTGAGGTATGCCAAACATCATCTTGATTCAGGTAATAGTATATTTTTCTCCTTTATGTTAATATTTAATTAATTAATTACTTACTTTTTTAGAGACAGGGTCTCACTCTGTTGCCCAGGCTGGAGTGCAGTGGAGGAATCCTCGCCCACTGCATCCTTGAGCTCCCACATAGCTTCATGGTAATATTCATACTATTTTTTCAATACTGTTTTTCTATTCTCTCTATTACCTGTGAGTTTTCATATCACAGATTTTTGGAATCAGATAAAATGGGGAGGGAAAATAAGTTATGCTCCCTGAGCCTATGTCAGTGGTCCCTAAGACTTATCCCAGGACTGGCAATTTGCTAGGAAGGCTCAATGAACTCAACATATAGTTATATTCATGTCTATTATTCAATGCAGCAAAAAGATACAAAGATAAATCCACAAAAGTAAAAGGTGAATGCAGCAAACTTTACAAGAAACTAGGTACAAGTATCCAAAAGTCCTCTCACAGTGGAGTCACACAGGCCTATCCTCCAACAATGAGTTATGACAATATATATGAAATATTGTCTATCAATATTTTATTAGTTCATTCATTAGCATATTCTAATTAGCTCATTAGAGACTCGGTGCCCAGGGTTTTTACTGGGGTTGGTCACGTAGGCACTTTTTGCTTTGTATATATCAAAATTCTTGGTTCTCAGAAGGTAAGTAGGTATTCGGCATAAACCATACTGTTTGCAAAAAAAGTTTAGGTATAATAGTTTCTCTTATAAATTTTGGGAATGGTAGGAACTCTCCTGTAATCCATGTTCCCAGATCAGCTAACAGACAACCATAAGAGCAGTCCTTTCTAAGGATATCAGTCTCCAAACTACTACATTAACTCTTTTCTGCGCAATCTTTATTTGAAAATTAGAATAAATGCTTATGTTAGAATGCAGTTTATTATAAATAATACAAACATAGCATGCCTGTGGCAGGGTTACTTATGTAATGCTGTGTTTACTATTTTTATATTTTTTATTCATATATATCATTTCCCTGTACAACAAGAATTGAAGAAAAGTCAACTGTTTATTCTTTTCCTTCAGTTAATTCTTACATCCAATTCATGGATTAGTACTTTGTTATCAGTCATTTCAGACTGTCATAACAAAATATTGTAGTCTGAGTTGCTTACATGGTAGCAATTTATTTTCTTACAGTTGTGGAGGCTAGAAGTCTGAAACCTGGATGTCTGGATGTCAGCATAGTCAGGTTCTGCCTCTCTTTCTGGCTTATAGACTGCTGCTGCCTTTTCACTGGGTGCTCACACGACTTCCTTTTTGTGCATGCAAAGAAGGCAAGCTATATGTAGTCTATGCTTGAAAGGACACTGACACAATTATAAGGGCTCCATCCTTGTGTCCTCATCTGCTCTAACCTCCAGAGGCTTTATATCCAAATTCTGTCACACTGAGGGTTAGGGCTTCAACATATGAGTTTGGGGGAGGGGCAATCATTCAGTTTATAATAGTTTAATTTTTCTAACTTTATATTGAATCAGTTGATTAACAAAATCATTAACTTGTCTGGGATCATACTGAGAGTATCCTTTTTCTAAATTCCTGTCATCTTGTTATTGTTATGCCATTAAAACCTTTGAGAAATATATTATAATTGAACATATATAAAAAGTTAGAAAAACAATACAGGATAATAGAGAGTGGAAGGTAAATACGTTGTTTAAGCAAAATTAACAGAGCTAGCTATTGTCAGAAAGTGATTTCCAAAGTAAAAGAAAGCTTTTCTTAAACTCCAGATGTTGAATTTGAAGATCTAATGCAAGTCTCACAAATTAATATTGATGTGAAACCTACGGCAGTCACTTAACCTCTTTAAATGTCATTGTTGTTACCTGTTAAATTGAAATAATAATTAGACTCGCATCACCTTTGAAGTCCCAATTACCCATGCCTTTACTTTCTAATTGTTTTAGAGTTTCACTTGTGTGTGTTTGGGGGGAGGGTAAAATTCTGGTTTATTTCTGTTAATATCTCCCTCTGCAGCTCTGTAGACATTTCATTTTCTGCTTGCCCCATTCTCCTAAATTATTTACTTTGCTGCAACCACTTTAAAGCTTTTACAATTATGTTGAAATATTCTACCAATGTTTACTAACATTCTTATCTTTGTAGGCTTCTAATTAAAAAAAATCTCTCATTGTACTAATAAAAATTGGTGAATAAAACGCTTTCTGTTAAAAACTTTGCTGTTTAATAGCAAAGAGAAGAAACACACGTAAACAATATTTGAAATTGAAGTGACTTTATATCATATGTTATGTACATTAATATGACAAGGAAATTACAAAAAAAAAGTCAGATTGAGATTCCAGATATGTGATTTTGTTCTAGAGAAAACAGAATTTGAAACAAATGGGATGTTTAGGCTATTCTGGTACAGCACTAAGTTTTATATGGGCCTAAGGTATAGAGCATAAGTTAAGGAATAAATGAGAGGCCCATTGGAGGAATGATGAGTATTTAATTTTGGTATAAAAAGTTGTAGAAATGGAAGACAAAACTGGAAATTTACTTACAAATTTTATAGTTCTCTCACATATTTACTGTATTTACCATTATTGAGAACTAGGTTAAACAAAATGCACAGATTCTATGAATTGCAACCCATTCAGTTTTCATGCTCATGATATGGCCTTAGATTTCAAATGTCAAAACAGAAAAGCATTATTATGTTTATTCAAAATGTACATTTATTTTCATGTCAGGTTTACTATCTTGAAAAAAAAAAACGGCTATGATTATTTCCTTCTCTATATCCAAACCCCTTTCCATGTGACTTAGCAGATTCTCCTAAGAAATGTGGTGAACTTTCTCACCCTTTCATAAGGGCTGGCCTTGTGTGATGGTTAATATTAAATGGCAACTTAATGCGATTGTAGGATGCAAAGTATTGTCTCTGGGTATATGTGGGTGTTTCTGGGTGTTGCCAGAAGAGATTAAGATTTGAGTCAGTGGACTAGGAGAGGAAGACCCATCCTCAGGAAGACCCATCTACAGTGTGGGTGGGCACCATCCAATTAGCTGCCAGACTGGCTAGGAAAAGGCAGAAGAAGGTGGAAGAAGCTGACTTGCTGAGTCTTCCAGCCTTCATCTTTCTCCCATGCTGGATGCTTCCTGCCCTCAAACATCTGACTTCAAGTTCTTTGGCTTTTGGACCCTTGGACTTACACCAGTGATTTGCCAGGGGCTCTCAGGCCTTTGGCCACAGACTGGAGGCTGCGCTATCGGCTTCCCTGCTTTTGAGGTTTTGGGACTTGGACTGAGCCACGACTGGCTTCCTTGCTCCTCAACTTGCAGATGACCTAATGTGGAACTTCACCTTGTGATTGTGTGAATCAAGTCTCCTTAATAAACTCCCATTCAGATATACATATATCTGATTAGTTCTATCCATCTAGAGAACCCTGACTAATATACCTGGGACGTGCTTCAGTCAGTAGAGTGTGGCAGAAGTGACAGGTTGTCAATTCTGAGCCTCCCTCAAGTTATCTAGTATATTTTTGCCCTTTTTCTTGGGTTTCTGAAGAGCAAGCCCAATCTAGGATGGTGGTGCATAAGAAAATATGTGAGGTAGAGCTGAGTCAACTCTTTCATCTCTACCAGGTTTCCAGATACACAGAAAAACCTAGCCAAGATTAGCAAAGCCAATCTGCCATTGATCCTCTAACTGACCTCTAAAAATTGAGCAAAACTCTCTTAGTCATTTTCCAGCTGACCTACTGATTTGCCAGCTAAATAAATGCAGCTATTTTACGCCACAATATGTTTTGAATTGTATGTTACATAGCAATGACTGTTACATTATCAGATGGAAAGTGCTATTATTCAAAGTACATTTTTTGTACTAGTATTTCCATTACCTAATATAGGGATTGGAATGTGTATATGCACAAAATGGAAATGAAATTACAAGTACTTAATAAAATAAATGAATAAATACAACAATAAAATAAAATAAATAAAAAATTATAAGTACTTAAAAACATAAAGAAATTGTCATAAAAAATCCTTAAAAGATGGTTACCAGAAGCTGGGAAGGGTAGTTGGTGGGTGAGAGGAAGGAGGGGAGATGGTTAATGTGTACAAAAAATAATTTAAAAGAATAAATAAAACCGTAGTTGATAGCACACCAAGGGCACTATAGTCAATAGTAATTTAATTTGACATTTAAAAATAACTAAAAGAGTATAATTGGATTGTTTCTAACACAAAAGTTAAATGCTTGAGGGCATAGATACCCAATTTTCCACTATGTGATTATTACACATTGCATGCCTGTACCAAAATATCTCACATACCCCATAAATATGTACACTGACTATATACCTAAAAAATTCAAAATTAAAAAAATCTAATTAGAAATTGCTTAAAGATATTAATGAAACAGCAAACAAAGGGTTTGTATTAGTTTCTTCTCACACTGCTATGAAGAAATACCTGAGACTGGGTAATTTATAAAGGAAAAATGTTTAATTGATTCACAGCACTGAATGGCTGGGGAGGCCTCAAGAAACTTACAAAACGTCATGGCAGAAGGCAAAGGAAAAGCTGACACCTTCTTCGTATGGTGGCAGGACAGAGTGAGTACAAGAAGGGGAAATGCCAGATGTGTATAAAACCATCAGATCTTGTGAGAATTCACTCACTACCGTGAGAACAACAGCGGGGAAACCGCCCCCATGATCCAATTACCTCCACCTGGTTCCACCCTTGACACATGGGGATTATGGGAATTACAAGAGATTTCAAGAGGACACAAAGCAAAACCGTATCAGGGGCACTCTTCATTATTAATTGTAATTTTTAATAAAAGTATTACTTCCGCGTGGTGCATTTTTTTATACACTGGTATTTGTTTAATCCTCCTTGCATAGCCCACTGCTTAGAATATAGTAAAAGCATTGTAAGTACATGTTCGTTTTAATAAATAATGTTAAAATATTGAAGGTGAATGAGTCTTACATAATTTACTAATTTAATTTCTCTTATTTTAAAATCTTATTATATTCATTCAGTCCTCCCTCCATATTTATGGGTTCTGCATCCATGGATGTAACCAAGCTCTGATTAAAAAAAACTTATAAAATGCAATAAAAATAACTCAAATAAAAAACAATACAATAAAACAACTATTCATATAGTTGTATATATAAACATATATAAATAGCATTATATATGTAAATGTATTACATATATAATGTAATATATATAGCATTACATATATAAATAGCTTTACATATAAATATAGCATTACATAAAATAAATATAGCATTGCAAATACTACACCATTTTTGTATCTATAAGGAGAATTTTGTATCTATTAGGGGTCCTAGAACCAATCACTACATGATATCAAAGGATAACTGCATGGTTTAAATGGTAACTTTTCATTAAACAAAATAGTCAGTGACCTAGAGTAATTAATCACATCTCTGTTTGTGTGTTTGTTTATATGCGTGTGTGTGTGTGTGTGTGTGTGTGTGTGTGTAACTTCAAGCAAAATGTGTTCCATGTATCACAACCTATGTAAATGTTTAGTTTAAATAGGTATTGTAACTGAAAGCCAGTGAAATAAATAATGAAGTATTTCTGATTGATTATTTTTTAGAAATATTAAAATAGTCATTTAAAACCTAATTCAACAAGAAATAGCCAGATGTTCAGAAATGAATAAAGAAATTTCATAGGATGACTTTTAAAAATTGGTTTCTGTATCCAATTTCATTAAAATGTTTGAACAACAAAACTCATATTTTCATAGAAGATATAGCATCATTTTGTTAAAAATTACCCAACTTCAAAAATTGTCTCTTATGAATAATAATAAGTGTACAATTTACTTTCTAATGTTACAAATGCTGCAATGTATAAGAAAGCTTGAACGTATAAAGAAAACAGAAAATTTATATTTGAAAAAAAGGAAATTTGTATCTATGTCAGTATAATTTTTAGGTTTAATTAAATAAAAATAAGCTGGTGAAAAATAAAACCACACTGACTTATTTTGAATTCATATATATGCCAAACTATATCATTATAAGAAAAATATTAAACAAAAACATAAAACTGACCAATTTATCATGTGCAGAGCACCATCTCAACAAAGTTATTTATTAAAGCTGCATGAATTCCAAATACCCATATGAGGTATAATTGTAGCTGCTAATAAGTAACTACATATAATTCAAAACTATTATAACCTAGCTGTCTAATGAGACAGTAATTTCTTCCTCTGACAGCTTCATTTTAAAGAATTCACATTATTTATGCTCCATCATGGATTATAAACTATGAAAAGGTTAAATTATAATGAGTGCCGATTTTATTTCACTGCAAAGGGCAGAGAATTTATAAAGAATGCATATTAATTTAATTACTCCTCTAATAATAATACTATGCACATGTGAAGAAGATTAGCTCAGAAGAAAGTAAGTCTGAAAGCCCAATGGAAGACAAAGCAATATGAAGAGGCTATAATAAATTGTTAAATGGAATTTGACTTTGACTCTTGACTTAATAACAGCAACATATTAGCTTAGGTAAATGCATCAATCATGATTTTTTTTCATGTAGGATGTATCAGTCAGGATAGAATGGTTGTGTTGTGCTAACAATGGATATGACACGACTGAATTATATCTCTCAGTTCCAAGCATTCTCAGTCTTCCAAAGGTTATCTTAGCATTTTAGTTAGGTTCCTTTGGTCTCCAGGGCACCTACTCATAAACGTATATTCACATGGACTGGATCTGGATAATCAAGGATGAGGAATTAAACGCTTCTGCCCAGAAATGAGAGCTATTACTTTTGCTCATATTCATTGTCACAAGCAATTCATTTCACTATGGCCTAACTTAAAAAATACAGGAAAGTTCACTCTTTCCAGCTGCCAGAAAAGGAAGAGAACCTGATGTGTGGTTTACTTGTGATATCATTTACTCTTCCATGTTTTAGAAATTTTGCTATATACTTAAGTTTGTTAGGGATAACATACTTAATTGAAGAATACAATTTTAAAGTTAATCACCCAATGGTGATGAAAATCATGCACAATATTGCATGATTCTTTCAAAGTGAACATTTCTTGAAAGTTCCATGACTTTAAAACAGACAGCCTAGAGCTGACGGCATTAATTTGCCATTTGGCACTTTAAATTGACTATTAGTAATCTTTGATTTTCAAAAGATAAGTGTCTTTTTTTACAATTAAATCAACGCATTTTTGAAAATCAGATTTAAAAGTTGTAGTTATGACAGAAAAAGGCATTTAAAAAAATTTTCTTAGGAAAACGTAATTGCAATAAAGTTAAGACAGCACTTTAAGAACATTTGCTTTTCAAATATAGTCAATCAAAAGTTTTATCCAAATGCCTTAATATTATTACAACCACCAACCTATTGCAAAATGTACTGATTTAATTAAATGGTAAGAGAATCATTTAAAATTGCTCCTGAAAAATCTACAATTTAGAAAATAAATAATTTATCATTACTGCATATTAATTGAAAATCATTTTTATTTGTGACATTATGTAATTATGTACTTGAGTTAAATTTTTCAAAAAAATCTTTGGTGAACCTGTATTAATTTATAATGTGAAAAATTATGGTTTCATATTCATACTATAGAAAACTTCCTGTAGTATCATAGCCCAATGATATGCATGAACAAGATATTAAAGCCAGCTGCAAAATTAACCTTTGCTCTTATGTAATATAGCAAAACATTCACTATTTAGAGGTGAAAAGCCTGCCTCTACTTATTCTAATTTCATCGTATACTATATTGTTGATACTGGCAATTATCTTCTTTCTCTATTATATTTCAGAAATTGTATCTATAAAATAGTTTCCGTTTATTGTGGACTACGAGAAGTCTACTTTAAAGATAGCATTCGTAATTTAGTTGTTTTTTGAACTTTTATTATAAATATTAATCCAAAATCTTATAAACTCTGGATTTCAATACTATTCAACTAACTTATATTCTACATATTCTTCATTGCTTGAACAGAATGGTAAAATTAACAACAATAACAGCAATAAATTATAGTAACAAAAGGAGAAGAGAAAAAAGTGAAGGATATATGATGGGTAAGATGAAGAAAAAAATTGAACTTGCCAGTCATCAATGACGAACTTTTCTTCTGTGCTCTATGGGTTAAGAAAATCATCTATATGAATTTTAGTTGGACCTTATAAATTATTTTGTTCAGTGTATTAACATTTAAATTTATTAAAGTTTTAATGTATGCTCTACTATTAACTAAGCATTTAAAACATGCATCCAGAATGAAAACTTTCCTTATAATTTCTTCACATGGAAGAAAACTAACCTTTTTGGTAAATTATACAGCACACTCTTTCTATCTATATCCTACTAATCTGACAAATTATCGAACTTTCAATCAGAAAACCACCACATAAACCATAATATTGAATTCAGTAATATATCTATCTTCTAAAATTATAGATATAATACATCTGGCCAGATGTAGTTAAAGAATATGTTCTTTTTTATTCTTTTTTCTTGATGCGAATCTAATTAAAGCTATTCATCAGGTACCCCATAATTTAGCAAACAATTGTTTTCAGAAATTAGAACAAAGTTGTCAGCAACTGTTCAACACTGATGAACTCCTGAAACACTTCCTTGCTCTGGTTCATCAAGACAGACAGTACATTTTAGTCAAACACCCTGATGATATACACATTTTCAATATCTAGTTTTTATATATTCTTTAATTGTGGAATTGTTGGAAAATTCCCAAATGTTCATTTGCCTCCTCTCATTAAAAATGGGCACCTATCACTTCTGTTTTGAATTTTAAACAATGCATTTAAACATTTCATTACTATTGATGTTAAAAATAACCCTTGCTTTTTGATGTAGATACACTGACTTTTTTCCTCATTTGCTGCATTAATTTGATAACAGTGTAAAATTGTCCTAAGTTATTCTGCAAATTTAAGGCTACACAAACACACACACACACACACACACACACACACACACAATAAAAATTAAACAGAAGTAGAAAATAGTTACTAAACAGCCAGACTTTGATATATGTAAGCTGCTACTTTGTTTTGTAGGGATTCAAAACTTAAGCAGATATATTCTTTTCCCAGTTCTTCTGATTTATTTTTACTCAAATCCTGAACATTATGTTAATCTTCTGTATGTTTGACATTGCTTAATATCAGTGAGTACTTATTCTAAAATAAAGCTCTAATTCCATTTCTTCTTACGACTTAGTACACATTGTTTATGGTGGCTCTTGCCTGAAATAATGAGATGGAAGTTGATCTCTCTTCTTTCTCTCTCTCTCCTTCTCTCTGTCTCTCACACACACGCAGACACATGCGTGCATACACACACACACACACACACTGTCACGCTCATAGGATCAATATTTATGGAGTGTTCACTGAGTCCCAGGCATTTTCTCGGCCATTAGTAATACAGCAGTACACAAGACCAAGTTCTTAGCCTCTTAGCCTTTTGGGAATTACATACTGGCATCTGAGTCTACTTGTAAAAGTTGTTTTTTAATGACTACCATGTAAAGTATGTTCATTCATGGCTTGTGAGTAATATATTGGGGTATTAGGAAGTTAATATTTATATAGTTAAACTAAATATAACATTTAGTTAAAATATGAAAAACATGGAGCGTCTTTACATAGTTAAACCTACTAGTTTTCTAGCAGTGCCAGTGAAATAAAACAATAAATTATAATTTGAATGGTATTTAATCCACAAAACTCTATCTTCGCTTTTTAAAAGATCATTCATATGATCAAAAAGAAAGGTACTAACAATACTACTGCATGGTTAGTGAATAATTCTCAATAAAATAGAGAATAAAATGGCCAACTACAAACTTATACGTTAAGCTTATAAGACATTGATTAAGCAACAAATTTAATAATAACTTGTATCATTTTCTGTGAAAAAATAAAGTTTAACAAGAGGTGTACACATGTGATAAAATATTTGAACAATGAATATCATTTCATTTTTCATGCGTTTATATGTAGCTATCAGTTTTTTTTTCCTGTCCATGATAAAATTGTGGGAAAGATAGAATAACTCTTACAAGACTAGTATTAACACTTCCATTTTTAAGATAAGGAAACGGGTTCAGAAAATACACATAAATATGGAAGAAAAATTAATAAATTATAAGAATATGATGTAAACCTATGACTGTCATCACCTTCTAATAGTTCTTAATTTTTCCAACTTAATCCTTTATGATATTATGTTCAAACTGTGGGCTCTAGATAACATATGAATATTGTTTTACATAAATATCTACTACTTACTGTCTGTGCTTTCTCCAGTGCTAAATAAAACCATAATTCAGTTTCCTTATCTCTAAAATTTGAATAATAATGGTAACCTATCTTATAGCTATTATGGAAATTATTATTTGAAATAGTATACAATGTCTGTTATGTCAACTGTTATTTAGCACAGACTCTATTGATCTTAATTTCACTTTTCTTTTAAATCTTCTCTTTCCAGGATATGTATGTATGCAGTGTGTGTGTTCTTTTTGATAGAATTACCAATCACCAGCCCTTACATTTTGGCAACACATTAAGCACACACAAAAAATAATGCCCATTTGTACTTTTCCCACTCTTATACTTTTGTAATATTAAAAATTGGTGACATAGAGCATGCAATCAAAACCTGCAGAACAATTATATAATTCTAATATCATGCATATCACTTCCATTGTTAGTAAAACTAACAATGTTAGCTCCACTTCAATTAAGCCGAAACTATCTCTGTAGCCTTTTCCATGTATTGCAGAAGCAATACCTTGTTGATATCATCAAATATTCCTGAAAGTCATTGCAATGGTAGCATAACTCTAACTCTAGGTTAGCACAGTAACACATCACATTTCTTCTCTGCTATTTTTATTTTTCTTAGTGAAGTAAAATTTCTTTATTCTTCTTTCAGCTTTTATTTAATTTCGTTTTCTCTCTTAAGTGCTGTTTATTCATACATATTAACTATTCCTTGTCTAAAATTCTTGGAACCAGAAGTGTGTAAGATTTTGAATTGTTTGGGATTTTGAAATATTTGCATACACATAACGAGACGTCTTGAGGTTGAGACACAAATGTAAACACAAAATTTATTTTTCATAAGCACTTTACCAAGATAGTCTGAAGCTAACATTACATAATATTTTTAACAATTTTGTGCATAAAATAAAGTTCTTGTACAGTGAACCATCAGAAACCAAAAGTGCTACTATCTCAGCCACCCACGTGAACAGTCTGTGGGGCTTTTTTTTTTTTGGCAAGACCATCATTCCTAACTCTGAATTTATAACTACTGATAAGCATTTTCTTATATTTTTTTCACACATAAGCACTTAACCATAATAAATATGACATAATATTAATACAGTGAAAAAATAATAGGTTTAGGGTAACTAATCAGCACACCCGCTTCACCAGAATACCTTTAACAGCTGTTAAACAACAGCAACAAAAAAGAAGAGCAGGCTTTCAGTCTCCACCTAAGAAGCTGTGTTTTGATTAAAAGGTTACTGTAGACAGTATTTTATCTTTTATAGGTGAGAAAAAAACACTAGAAACAGTCGCCAACCAGGAAGTGGATCCTGTAGGGATGAGGAGACATTCAGCTGGATGGCTTTTTTAAATGCTTCCTCCAGAATCATCTGTCTCATTAACAACATTCTTTGTCTTAGAAGTCACTTTCTGATTTTATGAACTGAGAAGATTTCTGTTTCTGTTATGAGTGCACACTGCTTTAGGCCTTCAATAAGCTCATCACTTATTTTCACCATGTTGTCGTGGGCTCTTTTTCTGCAACGTATAAATCATCTTCAAGATCACTATTTTCATGATCACGTTGATTCGGAACCATTTTGGCTATTTGATCATCAGTCAATGAATGAAAATCTGCATTCTCATTATCACTGTTAAAAACTTCCTAAATTCCACTTCTTCCGGCTTACTGAGGGACTCTGAAGGTATTTTTTGCATATGTAAGGAGATCAGACATCGTTTTTTTTCCCTCACTTGATATGTGGAATCCTTCAAACCCACCACCTTATTCATCATCATCACTAAACATGGTTACAGACTAGAGGCTATTCCAGACATGCACAACTGTGTCTTTAGTCACTTTATTCTAAGCATTGGCAACAGCGTAGATGGCATCCTTCATGCTAAACTTCTTTTGAAAACCTTCTACAGTCAGATCTCTGTTCACTGCTGCTAGCATGCTCTTCAAAAAAAGTGTTTTTATATTTACTCTTTATTGATCTAACAATATCTTGGTGATATGACAGAATTAATGAAGTCATGTTTGGGGAAAAACACATGGCATAAAATTATTTTTGATGAGAATTTCAACAGGAGGATGAGGAGAACAGTTGTCAAGGAATAACAAAATCTTGCAATCATCATCCAGTCCAGCGACGCTGCAGTGAGCTTGAGCTGCTGGTACAAAATGTTTGTGAAACCAGTCAAAGAAGACGCCTTGATGATTCATGCTTTCTTGTTAGCATAATAATGGACTAAGAAATTTACTCCTTGAAAAGAGTGAGGATGCAAGCTTTTTCCTATCACAGGAAGTTTATACTTATGTTTGCCTGTTGCATTAGTACATCCCAGCCACTTATTCTGTCCTTGGCATACTTAATTCCTATAGTGGCTGTCTTATCAGCTCTAGTCGATGTCTTTCTAGAGCAACAACACCAAAACAGAAATGAATGTTTCATCAGCATTATAGACTTGTTCTGGCATCAGGTCTTCATCAGCGATAATCTTGGTATACTCATTAATAAATTTATCTACAGCCTAATGGTCAGCAGATGCTTTATCCCCATAAATCTTTAAAAATGTAATGCCATGACTTTTCTTAAATTTTTGCAACCAATCTGTTTAATATTCAGAGTTCTCTTCAATTTTCTAGTTCATTGTAATAGATCTTTGCTAATGTCATGATCCACACACCATTAAGTGGCATGCTTTATAAATAAAGCATATTTATTTTTAGCTTTATTCAGCGTTTTTGTATTTTTCATTATCTTCTGCTGATCACTTTCAGCACAGATCTTCAGCAGTTTACCCTTAAGTTTCTTCAGGTGTATATATGTGTTTCTTCAGGGATGCTAACATATCCACTTTGGTTACACAACTTACATATTTATTTTTAGCTTTATGCAGTGTTTCGTATTTTTCAATATCTTCTGCTCATCACTTTCAGCACAGATCTTCAGCAGTCTATCCTTGTGTTTCTCCATGGGTATATATGACAGTTATTCTACCACCATATTCTTCTGTAAGATGTTTCACACGTACACTGCTGTCCAGTTTCTCTAGCAACTTGACTTTCTCTTATATAGATAAACAGAAACGCTTTTATTTTTTCTTATTACCATTACCCACAGAGGTATTTGCAGACCTTTTTGACATTTTCAGTAATGTCTTTACACCAAAGAGCAGAGAATAAGCAAGAAAAAGCACAGTCAGTAATGCACGTAGGTCTTGGCCCCATGTAGGGCACTGGTGGGAACACACATCCAGCCTGTGCATGTGCCATTTTATTACCCTTCGTAGAAGGGCATGGAGAAGATATATCACAGCTGAAGTGGGCTAAGATGGTCATTTTTCCTTGGAGATGCTGAATAAACTGTGGGTCGTGCCTTTTGACTGCAACCTATCACATGAAGTTAGGTGTGGAATTTTCCACTTGTGGCATCATATTAGCACTTAAAATGTTTCAGATTTTGAAGTGTTTTGCATTTCATATTTTCAGATTCAGAATGCTCAACCTACAATGGGTTCTGATATATTTCTTCACTTAATTTTTGTAGATATTTAGATTCTAGTGTTTCACTTATTTTAATAAAATACTTAATGTATATTTGATTTATAGTGAAGAAAAGCAATATGTAAAAAAGGAGAAATACAAAAATAGCTATTTATTATTGTCCTTTATCCACCACTGAGCTCTCATCTTTACCACTTAATCTGTGGGAAAATTTCATATTTCACGTATTCCTTGAAACACATTACCATGAGTTTAAAGTTATAGATGGTTTTTCGAAGAATGAAGGCTATGAAAACATTTGTCTCTTTGGTAAAAAACATTTTAAGGCAATTTTATGAACATATGAGTAGATATTTCCTGAATATCTATGATGATAACGCAAAAGAAAAATCCCAGGTTGTGACATAACAATTTGTAAAATACTTCAATTGGAGTAGAAACAATTGTGCAAATTACTTCATGTCAGTGAGGCTCAGTAGTTTACTCTGTAGTATGAGAAAATACTACTTTCTTTACAGTATTTCTCTAAGAATTTAATTGCACATTACTTTGGAAAGCACTCTAAAAGTTTTTAAGTTTGAAATATGCCTAACATACAAAACAAAATAGAATAATATAATAGACATCCACGTATTTACTTCCATATTCAACAATTTTAATTAAACTTGCTTTATATTATTTCTGAGTATTAAAGAGGGAGTCAAAATTTTCCTCTCCTGAACGATTTCTATTTTATTCTTTCCCTCTCTGGTGTCGCTGTGCAACTTTCTTATTCATATTTCACATTATCATTAAATATGTATGCTTGAACAATATTCAGAAATGTTTTATAATTTTTCTTAATTAATACATTTCATCATATTATACTTATTCCAAACATAGTGGTTTCTTACTCAACATTATACTTTTAAGATTTATTCCCATTGATGCATTTGGGTCCAGCATAATCAAGTGCTGTTTAATATTCTATGAAATAAATGTTGAGTAAGTTAAGGATACTTTCAGTTTACTTAATAGAAATTCCCGACAACCTTCCATTTAAATTTAGGGGTTGTTTTCTCAAATAATAAAGATTTGGACAGAGAGTCAGTCACTAAATAATGTTATTGTAAGCCAGGCTCACTTCTTTCCATCAGCAATCCTCACATTCATTCTTAGACCCGTAGCCTCATAACTGAAAGGTAGTTGCTTCAATTCACCATATTATGCCCTCACTATTAAGCAAGAACTAGGCTGGTCTCCTATGTACAGCCCCTCAACACACACACACACACACACACACACACACACGCACGCACGCACACACACACACGTCTTTATAGGAAGAGAAATAACTTTCTCATAAACCTCACAGGAGATCTCTCTTCAAATATTACTAACCAAGATATAATTTACATGGACTAAAAGGCAAAAGAGAAACTTTGAAAGTGTTTGTTTATTTTCCATAGTAGAATGCCAGAGAAAGTGGCATATAGAGACTGACTTATGGCTGCTAATAATAACGTCTGCCAATAACATGTCACCATTTATTCAAGCATTTTTGTATTGGCCAATATTTAGATTTTCTTCAACTTTTTAATATTATATAGAATACTGAAATAAATCTCTTTGGGCATATGTGTAATGAGAGTGTCTGTTTATGTACATATGTGCATTTTGGCTGCTCAGTATCTTAATCACCTTTATATGATTGAGAAACCTTTTATTTTGTGCCTGTTGTTGCAATGCGGAGCTTGCCACCTACTATAGAAGCTGAAGATAACGGTAATCATTATCTCAGTCTCTGTTGCAGCTAGGGTATGCCCGATGACCTAAGCTCTATCAATTAGGTTAACCCACTCCCCAGAATTTTAATTATGATATAATGATACATTTAAGCACTATAAAATTCTCACTGGTAGCAATAGCAGTAGGGGCAAGATCAAGTTACTGAAACAATAGTGACACCCATGTAAGTTATAGCAACTTATCTTTAATGGTGGTGAGCGTGGTTTCCTCACTGAATCAGTTCCCGGCTCCAGATTTTGGACATTATCCTTGACTGTATAGAAACTAATAGTCTTTTGATGAATTTTTTTTGTTTGTTTACATTAGGCTTAAGCAAGGGAATTTTTTTTGCCTCGTTGTATTTTGTTTTAACTTTCATTTGCATATGTGATTGCTCAGGTGGGTACACATTTTCCACGTGTATTAAAAAGTAATATTTCCTCTTTTATGACACTTTGGTTTCAATATTTTGCCCAATATCCCACTGGATTATTTATTTTTTTCTTATTTATTTGTTGGAATTATACATGTATTCTAGATGCCAAACATTTACAAATGTTATAAACACTTATAAAATTTGACCACACCTTCTTTAAATTTGTGGTTTGTCTCTTGATACATAGTTACCATGTTCAGAAATATGGAAGAAACTCTGGAGATTTTGTATAGTGATTAAAATAACTTGGACTGTGGAGTTATTCATTCAAAAATATTTATTGAGTTTGTGTCAATCTATATCCATAATGAGTAGAAACCACACAGTTGATTTAGACAGGAGAAATGTAATACAAAAGACTGGTACACTTTGATAAAACAGTAACTCTAAAATACAAGAAAACTCTATATGGTACCCTGGAGCTGAGGGAGAGTATTCAATGAAGAAAAAATTTAGAAGGGGTGTTTTCTCCACAAGACTAGAGTAGTTGAAAAAGGTGCAGTGGCAACCCACTCAACAGCACCGCGTTTCACTGCTTTGCTCAGGTCAGAGCTATTCGGCAACTGCTGGACAATAACAATGGCAGAAAGCAATTCTCCGCGGCATAGGTTCCACACAGTTGAATCTCTTTCAGTGGATCTAGGTAAAAGGATATAGAAGGAGTGAGCCAATGACAAAGTCTTTTTTTTTTTTTGAGACGTGGTCTCACTCTGTCGCCCAGGATGGAGTGCAGTGGCGTGATCTGGGCTCACTGCAAGCTCCGCCTCCCGGGTTCACGCCGTTCTCCTGCCTCAGCCTCCAGAGTGGCTGGGACCACAGGCGCCCGCGACCACGCCCGGCTAAATTTTGTATTTTTAGTAGAGACGGGGTTTCACCGTGTTAGCCAGGATGGTCTCGATCTCCTGACCTCGTGATCCGTCCTCCTTGGCCTCCCAAAGTGCTGGGATTACAAGCGTGAGCCACCGCGCCCGGCTGCCAATGACAAGTTCTTTTTTTTTTTTTTTTTTTTTTTTTTAATGACAAATTCTTAACTGCAAGCAGGCCACAGGCCAAAGTTAGCAAAGGCCCAGGTACACAGGTGGGCAGAGGGAATCAAAAACCCTGTGGAGGTATGAAGCCTGGAAATTGTGGTGTCCATGCTGAGAAGGCTGCAGGAAGCCAGCCCCAGCTGTAAGATTCCTGAGGGACCTCAGATTCTGAAGTATAGCACCTCTAGATGTTCTCACACTCACACCACCCACTCACTGTAAGGAGCCAGGCACCATAGGAGAGCCCTTTCCTCTACAACATCTCTCCGGTGCCCTCTACTGAGAAGGCTTGAATACTGTGCTCACTATGAGGAAGTAAATACAAGAGGAATTCCACACATTATGGCAGAGTGATTGCAGGGTAAATTTGGAGCTGAGAGGCAATACATTATTTATTGACAAATGTGTGGCGTGCTGGCCAGTATAGTAGATGCTAAAATGTCATAGTAAAAATAAGAAATAAAATTGTCTTCCCTATAGAAATTATGCTTTTGTAGAAGATATATGATATTATCCAAAGAAATGATTAATAAAACAGTGAAGTTCTATGAAACAAAAATATAGTGCTGTAAAGTGTAATGACATTTATTGAGGTTCAAAGAAAGTCTCCTGAACGACAATCATATGTTTGGGGAATTAATACTTAAGATGTATACTGAATATGTGAATATGAAGTATATTAATATTCCTATAAAGCTTGCATAGTAAACTGTGATAAGTGTTTAGAGTTGGCAGTTATTGGCATGGCAGCTGATAACCGAAATTTAATAATAAATGAGATTGATGAAAGAGTAGAGAAAGATAAAAAGTCATATGAAGGAATCTTTTGATAAACACACCTGAAGAGTTTTAAACTGCTTGCAGGTCAATTAAGATGCAAATTAATATGTATTCAAAAGACAATATGTAAGTCATTCACGATCTCCATTAATATGGCTTGTGGGTGGCAGAATTCAGATTACAGAGAGTTAAACAAGTAATAATCTCATAGAACCAAAAGTGGAGATCATAACATAAATAACACATTGATTTTAATTTCCAACTCAAATTAAAAATTAGATTTCATATAAAAATTTGAATTATGGGTCCTTTTGAAAAATTGGAAACCTTATCAATCTTTCCCTAAACTGGCTTGAAAAAATATTCAACCAGGTTGCCGCCCCTCCTTGAGATTATAGGGTCCATACATTCTCTCTCTTTTTTTTTTTTATTATACTTTAAGTTCTAGGGTATGTGCGCACAACGTGCAGGTTTGTTACATATGTATACACGTGCCATGTTGGTGTGCTGCACCCATTAACTCATCATTTACATTAGGTATATCTCCTAATGCTATCCTTCTCCCCTCCCCCCACCCCACGACAGGCCCCAGTGTGTGATGTTCCCCTTCCGGTGTCCAAGTGTTCTCATTGTTCATTTCCCACCTATGAGTGAGAACATGCAGTGTTTGGTTTTTTGTCCCTGTGATAGTTTGCTGAGAATGATGATTTCCAGCTTCATCCATGTCCCTACAAAGGACATGAACCCATCCTTTTTTATGGCTGCATAGTATTCCACGGTGTATTAGGGTCCATACATTCTGTATTTCATCACTGTCAGTATTGAACTGCATCACTTTTAATATTTCTACCTGGCCTTTCTAGCACTTGCACTCATGGACTCTGCAACATGCAGTTCTTTAAAGAAGATAATGTGGAAGAGAAAAATGTGGTGTCCGATAGTAAAAGAGGGTTATGGTTTTTTTTTCTTCCCTTTTTTTTCTTCTCTTCCTTCTTTAAAGAAAGTCAATAACTGATTGCCGAAACCAAGGTGTATACTGGTTGATATAAATAAGCCCATACATAGAGAGAAATTATAGATAGAACTGAGAAAGTTGAACTCTATTTATGCCTATTTAATTACTGGAATAACACTTACCAAGCTACTTAAACTCTGGTGCTTAATGTCTTCACTTATACAGTGAGAATTAATACCCACTTCCTGAAGTTATCCTGCAGAATAAATGAAATCATGTTTCCAAAGCTTATAAATAGTTCATGACCAAGTAACTATTTAAAAACACATAAAGGAGACACATTATTAATATAGTAATCAACATACCACAGTGGCTGAAAAAGAATTAAACTCAAAGCACTAAGTTAGTCATTACACAATCCCAGGCTGTTTCATTAGGCAGTTGATGGTAACACATGGGGAAAGCAAAGGGACATCAAGACAATAAATCAAATACATTCACGTGCTGCTAAACAACAGGGATATGTTCTGAAAATTTGAGAAATGTATCATAAGGCAATGATGTTTGCCATGCAGATTTCACAGTGTACTTACATAAACCTGTATGATATAGCTTAGAACACACCTAGATTATAAGGTATAGCCTATTGCTTCTAGAATACAAACCTGCACAGCATGTTACCATATTGGATAATATAGGCAATTGTAACACAATAATAAATATTTGTGTATCTCAACTTATTGAAATCTAGAAAAGATACAGTAAAAACACAGTATAAAATAATAATAATAATAATAATAATAATAATAAAACAGTACCTATATAGACCACTTAGCACGAATGGCACTTACAGGGCTGAAAATTGTTCTGGGTGGATCAGTGAGTGATTAGTGAGTGAATGTGAAGGCCTGGGATATTACTGTACACTACAGTAGATGTCTTAAACATTAGGCATTAGGGTAAATGTATAAAATACATTTTATTTCTTCAATAATACATTAAACTTAGCTTACTGATAATTTTTTGCTTTATAAACTATATTTTATTTTAGCTTTTTGACTCTTTTGTACTAAAACATTTTTTTTTGGAATAAAGAACCATTTTTATTACAAATGATTGACTTCCCCAATTGTAGATGTTATGATCATTAACACAGTCATAACAGAGAGTCAGAGATTAAGGGAGCAAAAGATAACATTTGGAAAACAGTCAGATGACACCGTGGATCCTATGGCCATGATTTCATTCAAAGAAATGTGAGGCTAGAGGTCCAAGACTCTGTCAAGCATGTAATTCTTGGATATAGAAATCTTGGAGTATGAATCCTTGAATCAGTATTATCTTTAGCCGTGTCATTTTAGAAGCAAATTGTCCTCTGACAGTGATGTTTTAGCAGGAAGAATAGCATCTTCTAAAGCAAAATGGCCGGTAGCCACAGTAGCCAGAGCCAGAGCCACATCCACAGCCATAGCCAGTTCCATAACCACAGCCATACCCACAGCCGAAGCCAGTTCCATAGCCACAGCCAGAGCCAGAGCCATAGCCACAGCTGTAGCCAGAGCCATAGCCACAGCTGTAGCCAGTTCCATAGCCACAGCCATAGCTGGAGCCATAGCCACAGCCATAACCAGAGCCATAGCCACAGCCATAGCCACAGCTGTAGCCAGTTCCATAGCCACAGCCATAGCTGGAGCCATAGCCATAGCCATAACCAGAGCCATAGCCACAGCCATAGCTGGAGCCATAGCCACAGGAGTTGCCGTAGTAGTTGCAACACATGTTGTCAAGAGGAGAGAATTGAGATGGGTTTCAAGAAGATGCTTCTGAGGTGTGGACGTCTTCTACTTCCCTGAGACCTTTATATACTGTCAGTAATTGCCAAAGCATATCATTCATTCCCTGACTTAGCCAACAAATATTTAAACAATTATTATGTGCCAGTCACTGTTGATCATCAATAATATTTTGCTTAAAATGAGCCAATTATTTTGGAGACTCGAGTTTCATTTCAGGAACATCATTTTAATCTGCTCTGCCAAAGAACCATCTCAGTGAAATCATGTGCCCAAATATAAAGCTGATACTAATTTTCAAAATGTCCTATCAGTAGATATATATCTTACATAACAAGTTTTGGGGGGATCATAACAAAATTTTATCCTTTTTTTCTCTCTCTCTTTTTTCCTAAAATATCTACCTCTACCCATAGGGAAAGAGACAACCCTATTCCCTTTCCTGAGTCATTACAACTTCTTTGCCAGACTTCTTTCTCCAACTCACTCTGCACTTCCACACCTACCCCTTGTCCAACCTCCCTCAAATCCCAAGAAACATATTCACATCTGATCATTCAAAGCCAGACTGTATGCTATCTGCAAGTGTTTCTTATATTTTCCTTCCATCCTCCAGGCAAACCAAGACCCTGGGGAGGCAGAGAAGCCCTCCTTTTGTCTCCCATTTCTTCAGCTATATAAGTAATTATCATTGAGGAGCCTTTTAAAACCTAACCAGCTTCATTTTAAATATATATATATATTTATTTTTTTTTGTTATACTTTAAGTTCTAGGGTACATGAGCACAACGTGCAAGTTTGTTGCATATGTATACATGTCCCATGTTATACCAACACCGCTGTACCCATTAACTCGTCATTTACATTAGGTATATATCCTAATCCTATCCCTCTCCCCTCTCCCCACTCCATGACAGGCCCCAGTATGTGATGTTCCCCTTCCTGTGTCCAAGTGTTCTCATTGTTCAATTCTCACCTATGAGGGAGAACATGAGGCGTTTGCTTTTTTTGTCCCTGTGATAGCTTGCTGAGAATGATGGTTTCCAGCTTCATCCATGTCCTTACAAAGGACATGAACTCATCCTTTTTATGGCTGCATAGTATTCCACAGTGTATATGTGCCACATTTTCTTAATCCAGTCTATCATTGAAGGACATTTGGGTTGGTTCCAAGTCTTTGCTATTGTGAATAGTGCAGGGGGGTGAGGCACCACCCGCAATGTAGGGAGTAAGAGCCAACCCCTCTCCGCCCCCCGGCTCTTAGGACCCCCATCGCAGGGGGGCGGGTGCCCCCCGCGATGTGGATGGTCATATCCAGGGGGCGATAGTGGGGTGATATTACTCCCGGATTTTTCCTAGGATCCTTTCTATACTGTCACCCTCGGTTCACACCCTGGGACATTATCTTCCATATTCTAGCAAGATGCAGCTTCTAAAGTCGCAGGGGGTATACACCCTTCAGTATTATTCGTAATTTTGCAGGGGAATGTTAAACCTGATGTCACAGGACTCTGTACACTGTGATGTTATTCCCAATATCCTAGCTTTACCTTAATAATAATGTCACATTGTGTGTACACCTTGTGGTGTTTCTTATTCTCCTAATGGGAGGTTGCATTTATTGTCACACGGGGTATGTTCCTTTTGATATTATCCATAATGTCCTAGAGGGATGTCACCCCTTATGTCAGAGTTTGTACACCTTGTGAAATTACTCGTATTATCCTCATAAGATGTCACTCCTCATATCACAGAGGGTGTACACTCCGTGATATTGTCGTCATATTCTAGGGAAGTGTTACTTTTAATGTCACAGAGAGTGCACAGCTTGTGAAATTATTCGTTATAATTTTGTGGGATGTTACCCCTAATGTCACATGGCGTGTACACACAGTGATGTTACGTGCAATATGCTATGGAAATGTTACTCGTAATTCACAGGTCCTGTACACCCTTTAATATTCTTCGTAATCTTCTAGGAAAACGTTACTGCTAATGTCACAGGGCCTGTAGACCCTGTCATAAAATTCCTAATATCCTAGCGGGAGTTCACTACTAATTTCACAATGTGTGTACACCCTTTGATATTATTAGTATTGTCTTGAAGAGATGTTACTACTGATGTCCCAATGCAGGTACATTCTCTGATCTTATTGGTTATATCCTCGGGGGATGTTACTTCTAATGTCACACGGGGTGTCCTCCCTGTGTTCTATTTTGTAATATCCCACGGCAATTTCACTTTTAATGACACAGGGGGTGTACACATTGTGCTATTATTCGTGATATTCTAGAAAGATGTTACTGCTAATGTCACAGGGCTGTACACCCTGTGATAGTATTCATAATTTCCCAGGGGTCTATACTCCTATTGGAACAGACGATAACACCCTGTGACATTGTTCATAATATTCTAGGGAGATGATACTCCTCATGTCACAGGGGGTGTACACCCCGTGTTATTATTCTTACTATTCTAGGGGGATGTTACTCCTAATGTCACAGGGATGTACACCCTGTGATATTATTCATAGTGTGCCAGAGGGATATTAGCACTAATGTCACGATGCGTGTACACCTTGTGATATTATTTGTCATATCCTAATGTCACAGGGGGTGTGTTCCGTGTGATAGTCTTCCTAACATCCTAGACGGATATTGCTCCTAACGTCACAGGGTGTGTACACCTTGTCACATCATTCATAATATCCTAAAACTACGTTATTCCTCAGGTCACAGGGGGTGTTCACCCTGTGATATTTTTCATCATAGTTTTGTGGGATGTTACTGCTAAAGTCACACGGGGTGTACACAGAGTCACACAGTGATATGAGTTGTAATATTCTATAGACATGTTACTTGTAAATCACAGGGGCTGTACCTCCTGTGATATTATTCGTAATATTCTAGGGGAATGTTGTTATTATTGTCACCGGGGTGTACACCCTGTGATATGACTCGTCATATCCCAGTGGGATGTTACTACTAATGTCACAATGCCTGTACACCCTGTGATACTATTTGTAATATCCTAAAGAGATGTTACTACTAAGGTCACAATGCATGGACACCCTCTGATATTATTCGTTATATCCTCGGGAGGTGTTATTCCTAATGTCACACGGGGTGTACTCCCGGTCCTATTATTCATAATATCCAAGGGGGATGTTATTTTTAATGTCACCGGGGGTGACATTACACATTAAAAATGCGTATTCAACGCCTGTGATACTATTCCTAATATCCTAGGGGCATGCTCTTCCGAATGTCACATGGGGCGTACACCATGTGTGTACACCTGCTGTGATATTATTCATAATATCCTAGGGGAATGTTACTCCTGATGACACAGGCGGTGTACACCATGTGTGTACCCCTCCTGTGTTATTATTCACAATATCCTAGGGGGATGTTTCTTTTAATGTCACAAAGTGTGTACAAAACGTCACAGAGGTGTACACGCTGTGACATTATCTGTAATACCCTAGAAGGGTGTTACTCCTAATGTGTCACAGGGGTGTACACGCTTTGATGTTATTTGCAATCTCATAGAGAGATATTACTTCAAATATCACAGTGGATGTACACACATAGTGTATACCCTGTGATAGTATTCTTAATATCCTAGGGAGATACAAATCCTGATATCACAGTGCGTGTACCCCGTGTATGTACACCCTTGATATTAGTCGTAATATCCAGGGTAAATATTACTCCTCATATCACACAGTGTGCACACCCTGTGATATTTTTCCTCATACATTAGGGAGATATTGCTTCTAATATCACAGTGGGTATACCCCATCTGTGTATACTCTGTGACAGTATATTCTATATCCTAGGGAGTATTACTCCTAATATCACTTTGGGTGTTCGCCCTGTGATATCATTCTTATTTGACCTTGCTGCCTTTGTTAACCCACACTACAAAAGGAATGGAACAGATAAGAAGATACGGAGATTGGACGGTGCTGCTGTGCGGCCGCCGCAGGACACTTTTAATATGCCTGTTTCTCAGGCTGTAGATGAAGGGGTTCAGCATGGGGTGATCACCGTGTACATCACTGAGGCCACTGCAGCCTTTCTCGGGGAAGATGACACATCTGAACTGAAGTACCCTCCAACGCCCGTTCCGTAAAATCAGCAAACAACTGACAGGTGAGACCCACAGGTGGAGAAGGCCTTATACTGCCCACGTGATGATGAAACACTCAGAATGGAGGAAACAATTTTATAGTAAGAGAAAAGGGTCCCAGAGATGGGAAGAAAACCAAATATGACAGCAGGGAAATACATGATTATGTTATTGGTGAAGGTGTCACAACATGCAAGATGGGGGAGTTGAGAAGGGTCACAGAAGAAATTAGGAATTTCCGCATCCTGGAAGCAGGTCATTTGTAAGGCAATCAAGTTGTGCAGCTGGGCGTCTAAAACACTGAGAAAAAAAAAAAAGGCGGGAACTGAGAGCCAGCCCCTCTTCCTCAGCTGGCTCTTAGGACCCCCATCGCAGAGGGGGAGGCACCCCCACTGAGGCAGGGACTGAGAACCAGCCCCTCTTCCCCCCTGGCTCTTAGAACCCCCATCGCAGTGGTGGGAGGCAGCCTCCGCGAGCCGAGGAGTGACAGCCACCCCCTCTTCCCCCCCTGACACTTGGGACCGCCATCGCAGGGTGGGGAGGCACCCCCCCGAGAGGCAGGGACTCAGAGCTAGCCCCTCTTTCCCCCCTGGCTCTTAGGACCCCAATCGCAGGCGGGGAGGCACCCATCGAGAGGCGAGTACAGAGAGCCAGCCCCTCTTCCCCCCCGGCTCTTGGGACCCCCATCGCAGGGCGGGAGGCACCCCCCGCGAGGCGGCGACTGAGAGCGAGCCCGTCTTCCCCCCCTGGCTCTTAGGACCCCCATCGCAGAGGCGGGAGGCACCCCCCGCGAGGAAGGGACTGAGAGCCAGCCCCTCTTCCCGCCTGGCTCTTAGGACCCCCATCGCAGGGGGGGGAGGCAGCCCCCACGAGCCGAGGAGTGACAGCCACTCCCTCTTCCCCCCTGACACTTGGGACCGCCATCGCAGGGTGGGGAGGCACCCCCCGCGAGGCGGGGACTCAGAGCTAGCCCCTCTTTCCCTCCTGGCTCTTAGGACCCCAATCGCAGGCAGGGAGGCACCCACTGCGAGGAGGGTAGTGAGAGCCAGCCCCTCTTCCACCCCTGGCTCTTAGGACCCGCGTCGCAGGAGGGGAGGCACCCCCCACGAGGCCGGGACTGAGTGCCAGCCACTCTTTCCCCCCTGGCTCTTAGGACCACCATCGCAGAGGCGGGAGGCACCCCCCGCGAGGCAGGGACTGAGAGCCAGCCCCTCTTCCCCACTGGCTCTTAGGACCCCCATCTCAGTGAGGGGAGGCAGCCTCCGCGAGCCGAGGAGTGAGAGCCACCCCCTCTTCCCCCCTGACACTTGGAACCCCCATCGCAGGGTGGGGAGGCACCCCCCGCGAGGCGGGAACTCAGAGCTAGCCCCTCTTTCCACCCTGGCTCTTAGGACCACAGTCGCAGGCGGGGAGGCACCCACCGTGAGGAGGGTAGTGAGAGCCAGCCCCTCTTCCCCCCCTGGGCTCTTAGGACCCCCATCGCCGGGGGAGAGGCACACCCCGCGAGGCGGGGACTGAGAGCCAGCCCCTCTTCCCCCCCTGGCTCTTAGGACCACCATCGCAGGAGGGGGAGGCACCCCCCACGAGGGAGGGACTGACAGCCATCCCCTCTTCCCCCCTGGCTCTTAGGACCCCCATCGCAAGGGGGGAGGCACCCCCCGTGAGACAGGGACTGAGAGCAAGCCCCTTGTACCCCCTGGCTTGAGACCCCGATCGTGGATCCTATGAACCTTAGGACCCACCTGGAGGACTGTGGGTATAGGTGTCCAAGAAGAAAGCTCAAATCTGCCGACGGCTGGTACCTTACTTGGGATTTACTATCCGACAGGTGTCAGAACGCAGCCCGGGAACAGAAAGTAAGCAGGTCATTTGCAATCTACTGGAGCCTAAGGGCAGAAAGCAGGTGAGGGTTTCTTAGGGGCTACGGGGTTTTATAGGCTGTGCATCCCAAACTTTGCAGTATTAGCCAAGCCTTTGTATGAGGTCACAAAGGGGGCGGGGACCGGGAACCTACGGAATCAGGATCCCAACAAAAGCAAGTCTTTCATGAGTTAAAGGAAAAACTACTGGCAGCCCCAGCCCTGGGGCTACCCGATCTGACAAAGTCTTTTCCATTCAATGGGTCAGATAGAGAAAACATGGCAGCTGGACTTTTAACCCAAACTCCGGGGCCCTGGCTGATGCCGGTGGCCTACGTCTCTAAACACCTACACAGGGTTTCAAAAGGATGGCTCCCCTGTTTGAGGGCCGTGGCAGCAACTGCCCTGATAGTAGAAGAAGCAAATAAGCTGACTCTTGGGCAAAACCTGAACATAAAGGCTGCCCATTTTGGGGTGAGTGAGAGCCAGCCCCTCTTCCTCCCCTGCCTTAGGACCCCCATCGCAGATCCTAAGATCCTTAGGACCCACCTGGAGGACTGTGGGTATTAGGTGTCCAAGGAGAAAGCTCAAATCTGCCGACGGCAGGTACCTTACTTGGGATTTCCGATCCGACAGGGGTCCGAAGCCACCCGGGAACAGAAAGAAAGCAGGTTATTTGGAATCTACTATAGCCTAAGAGCCGAAGGCAGGCAAGAGAATTCTCAGGAGCTGTGGGGTTTTGTAGACTGTGGATCCCAAACTTTGCAGTATAAGCCAAGACTTTGTATGATGTCACAAAGGGGGCGGGGACTGGGAACCTTTGGAAGGGGGATCCCAACAACAGCAAGTCTTTCATGAGTTAAAGGAAAAACTTCTGGCAGCTTCAGCCCTGGGGCTATCCGATCTGACAAAGCCTTTTCCATTGTATGCGTCAGAGAGAGAAAAGATGGCAGGTGGACTTTTAACCCAAACTGTGGGGCCCTGGATGAGGCCGGTGGCCTACGTCTCTGAACAACTAGACAGGGTTTCTAAAGGATGGCACCCTGTTTGAGGGCCTTGGCAGCAACTGCCCTGCTAGTACAAGAAGCAAATAAGCTGACTCTTGGGCAAAACCTGAACATAAAGGCCCCCCATTTTGTGGTGGTGGAGAGCCAGACCCTCTTCCCCCCCTGGCTCTTGGGACCCCCATCGCAGTGGTGGGGGAGGCACCCTCCGCGAGGCGGGGACTGAGAGCCAGCCCCTCTTCCCCCCCTGGCTCTTGGGACCCCCATCGCAGGGGGGGAGGAACCCCCGCGAGGCAGGGACTGAGAGCCAGCCCCTCTTACCCCCTTGGCTCTTGGAACCTCCATCGCAGGGTGGGTGATGCAACCCCCGTGACGAGGGGACAGAGAGCTAGCCCCTCTTCACCCCTGGCTCTTAGGACCCACATAGCACCTGGGGGAGGCACCCCCGCGAGGCGGGGATTGAGAGCCAGCCCCTCTTTCCCCCCAGACTCTTAGGACCCCCATCGCGGGGGGGGGAGGCACCCCTCGCGAAGCGGGGACTGAGAGCCAGCCCCTCGTCTCCCCCTGGCTCTTAGGACCACCATCGCAGAAGGCGGAGGTACCACCCACGAGGGAGGGACTGACAGCCATCCCCTCTTCCCCCCTGGCTCTTAGGACCCCCATCGCAGGGGGGGGGGAGGCACCCCCCCGCGAGGCGGGGACTGAGAGCCAGCCCCTCGTCCCTCCCTGGCTTGGGACCCCCATCGCGGATCCTATGAACTTTAGGACCCACCTGGAGGACTGTGGGTATTAGGTGTCCAAGAAGAAAGCTCAAATCTGCTGACGGCAGGTACCTTACTTGGGATTTACTATCCGACAGGGGTCCGAAGGCACCCAGGAACAGAAAGAAAGCAGGTCATTTGCAATCTACCTCAGCCTAAGGGCAGAAAGCATGTGAGAGAATACTTAGGGGCTGTGGGATTTTGTAGACTGTGCATCCCAAACTTTGAAGTATTAGCCAAGCCTTTGTATGAGATCACAAAGTGGGCGGGGACTGGGAACCTATGGAATCGGGATCCCAACAACAGCAAGTCTTTCTTGAGTTAAAGGAAAAACTTCTGGAGGCCCCAGCCCTGAGGCTACCGGATCTGACAAAGCCTTTTCCATTCAATGCGTCAGATAGAGAAAACATGGCAGCTGGACTTTTAACCCAAACTGTGGGGCCCTGGATGAGGCCGGTGGCCTACGTCTCTAAACACCTAGACAGGGTATCTAAAGGATGGCCCCCCTGTTTGAGGGCCATGGCAGCAACTGCCCTGATAGTAGAAGAAGCAAATAAGCTGACTCTTGGGCAAAACCTGAACATAAAGGCCGCCCATTTTGGGGTGGGTGAGAGCCAGCCCCTCTTCCCCCCCTGCCTTAGGACCCCCATCGCGGATCCCAAGATCTTTAGGACCTACCTGGAGGACTGTGGGTATTAGGTGTCCAAGAAGAAAGCTCAAATCTGCCCAGGGCAGGTACCTTACTTGGGATTTCCGATCCGACAGGGGTCCGAAGCCACCCGGGAACAGAAAGAAAGCATGTTATTTGCAATCTACCAGAGCCTAAGGGCCGAAGGCAGGCGAGAGAATTCTCAGGAGCTGTGGGGTTTTGTAGACTGTGGATCCCAAACTTTGCAGTATAAGCCAAGACTTTGTATGAGGTCACAAAGGGGTCGGGGACCGGGAACCTTTGGAAGGGGGATCCTAACAACAGCAAGTCTTTCATGAGTTAAAGGAAAAACTTCTGGCAGCTTCAGCCCTGGGGTTACCCGATCTGACAAAGCCTTTTCCATTGTATGTGTCAGAGAGAGAAAAGATGGCAGGTGGACTTTTAACCCAAACTGTGGGGCCCTGGATGAGGTCGGTGGCCTATGTCTCTAAACAACTAGACAGGGTTTCTAAAGGATGGCCCCCATGTTTGAGGGCCTTGGCAGCAACTCCCCTGCTAGTGAGGCGGGGACTGAGAGCCAGCCCTTCTTCCCCCCCTGGCTCTTGGGACCCCCATCACAGGGGGGGGATGCAACCCCCGCGACGAGGGGACAGAGAGCCAGCCCCTCTTCACCCCCTGGCTCTTAGGACCCCCATCGCACCTGGGGGAGGCACCCCCCGCGAGGCGGGTACTGAAAGCCAGCCCCTCTTCCCCCCCAGACTCTTGGAACCACCATCGTAGGGGCGGGAGGCACCCCCCGGGAGGCGGGGACTGACAGCCAGCCCCTCTTCCCCCCCTGGCTCTTAGGACACCCATCGCAGGGGTGGTCAGGCCCCCCCCGCCGCGAGGCGGGAACTGAGAGCCAGCACCAATTCACCAATACACAATCAGTAAATATACCGATTGTATTATGTGCCGTGAACATTCCAAAGTAACCACATGAAAGAGAAGACTCAGAACTACAGGTGTTTTTCTTCTGAATTTTTTCAGATTTTCTTTTTCCCTTTGAAATTCTGCAAGTTTGAGTATGTTATGCTCATGTTTCGATTTTTAAAATGTTTTAAAATGTTTAACCGTCTTAGTGTTTTATTAGTTTAGTGGACCTATGGCTTTGAGTCATATTCACAGTTGAACATTTTCAGTCATTATTACCTCAAGTATTTCTTCTGTTTTTTGTTTTTTTTTTCCTCTCTCTTCTCCTTCTGATGTTTAATTTTGCATTTGTGGTACCTTTTCTAACTGGCCCGCTGTTCTCACATATTCTGTTCATTTGTTTAATTCTTTCATTTTATTCTCTGTTTATCAGTCTGAGAAATTTTATTAGACATACCTTAATTATTTTTTCCTTAGCCATGTTCTGTTCCCTGATGAGTCTGTCAAAGGCATTGTTTATTTCTGATACAGTGTTTTTGACTTCTAGCATCTCCCTTTGATCCGTTCTTAGACTTTTCATTTCTCTTTATTTCATTACCCATCTGTTCCTGTGTGTTGTTCTCTTTTTCTGTTAGAGCTTTTAACATATTAATCATAGTTATTTTAAATTACCTGTCTGATAACTCCAAAATCTAATTTGAGTCTGTTTCTGATACTTGCTTTATCGCTTCATTATGTGTTTTCTTTTGCCTCATAATGTGCTTGTAATTTGTGGTTGAAAGCTAAACATGATGTGTTGGTAAAAGGAACTGAAGCAAATAGATCTTTAGTGTGAGGTTTTATGTTTATCTAAGAGTTAGGCTGTGTTTACTGTTTGTTGTTGCTGTAAGTGTCAAAGGCTAACATTTCCTTTTAGTGCCTTTTGTTTCTTGTCCTGAAGTTTCTCTAGAGACATTTAAAAAGTCTGAGTCTCAGTTATTCCAACTCAGATCCCCTGTTATTAGACAGAAGTCTGATTAATGTTGTGGTAAGTTGTAAGGTTTCTCTATTAGGGTAGAGAAAATCATTTTATAAATTGTTATCTCCAAGTGTTAGGGGATGTCTTGACTTTTTCCATTCAGGAAGCTCTATCTGGGGTATTAGTTGCAGTTGTAGTTAGGTATTAGTTAATTTCACTCTAAACTACTATTATTATTTCAGATCTATCTCTCTCAGAGGCAAAACCATGAGAGAGTAGAGGCATCTAGTAGAGGGGACTGGAAAAAGAATTGTCTTGTGCTGCTGCATATCCCATCAGTCAGAACATATTCCCCTTTTGCCACATGATTTCACCACAGGCTATTCACAGATACATCTGTTCATGACAAGGAAACTTACTTTCCCCTCAATACTATGTCAAAAATTTGCATATTTTCTTCAAGGTAAATATATTTAAATGTTCAGAAATTGCCTAGTTTATTTCCTATTGTATCTTTTGTTTTTATCTATTTCTAAATCTAATTGATTTATAATACACTTGCTATTTACCCATCCCCTATTAGGATGTCAGTTTTCCTAAAAATAGAATTCAAGACTTGATATCTTTAGGTGTGACATTAAATGTGACACCTGAACTCAGTAAATGATTTAGAAGTCAGTCTTTATGTGAGTTAGAAATGAGTATTTATTGAACTAGGACACTACATTTCAAGCTTTATTTGTTACATCTTACTGGTATTACCTTAACCCATTACTTACTTCTCTACTTTTATATTTTTCCTAAAATTAACAAGCTTTGTTGGTGTAAGTATAAGCACTTAGATAACACATTGACATTACTTTCTATCTGTCCTTTTCAAAAATTTATACTTCTCAGCTCTCTTTTCTACAACCTGCTGCCTCCAACTTTAATCTCTCCAGCTATCAACTTTTTATGGCTTTATTTGCTCCTTGCTAAACCTGAAGTCTAGCTATATTATAAAATTACTCAGTCCTTAGACTTTTTTTTTGTATAACTGAGCTGCTCATCCTTAAGTGTGTGAACCTCTAACTGTCTGCTTAGTTACTGTAGAGTACTTACATCTTTGTTGACAGCTCACTCAAATATCACAAAAACACACTCCTTCAATCAGAGATTTTAAAATTTTATTGCATGTAGAATACCTTTTGAATCTTATTGCATAACTCATAGCAGTTTTCATAAGCAGTTGCCAGTTTTTTGAAGCTTTTATTCTCACCTTGTTGCCCATACTAGTATTTTGCTGAGAAATCACTCTTCTTTCTAAATCTGCCATGCAGCTTCTTGTGCTAATGTAAAAATATTTCTGTCCATATATTCTCTCCTCTTTCCATTTTGATTTACTGAAATAGAAGTATTTTGTTAGTTACATGATTGAAAAATATAGACAAATTGTTCAAATATAAAATGCAATTAAAACCACAGGTATGTGTTGTATACTTCTTTTTTGCACTGCTAATAACAATGATGCCATAACAATTTGTAAATTTATGTTAGGGTTCTTTATGTCTATCACTGCATAGTGATAGAGGCTGCATTTCTAATCTCACCATTGCTTCACTTGGCCATGAATAAGGCTGTTATCTAGCCAATATGCACCAGTGGGTCCCAGGTTGCTCCAGTATGGCAGGTGTGCATTTTGTTAGCTAAAGCTCATGCTAGAGCAATTGTTATAGAAATTCAATGTCATCCTTGATCATATGTTTGAAAGATAATATATATAATGCTGCATTGATGTTTATCAGCTTATGTTGTTCTGCCATTTATTTTCATTAATTTATTGAAATATATATATATATTTACTTTGTGTTTGTCTTGTACGCACAAACAAAATCATCTCCCTTTCTTCCCCACTTATAGATAACCTGTAGTTAGATGAACTTAAATATTTGCCTAGAAACTCTGTCAACTATACATGAAGTGTCTACTTAGTAAAACCTTAAGGCTATTTTTTAAACTCAGCACTTTATATTTCACTTGAGCAATTTCCCTCAGTTCCAATGAAAATGAAAAGCTGAACTACCCAAGATTTTTTCTGTAGTAGAACATTCTTGAATCCTTGAATTGTGAGCAGACAATTTCCTTACAGCTCCAGAAATGTAATGACACTTTGAATCAATAAAGATACATGAGAAGGGAACTTCTAAAAATAGGCATCCAATAATTCTAAACCAAGATTCTTAAATCACTCCATAAGGGTAGGATTGCTTCAAAACTTGGTACTTTTTGTCAAGAGCTTTTTAATAAGAGTGCAAGAGCTTGAATCAACTTTAGAGGTTCATCATTCTGTTGAAAATAGGAAGATCATCAGTCCTACTGACATACCTTCCTCTTGAGCTAAAATAGTTATTTTTTAAAATTAAAAGATTGGAATACTACTCATAGAATCAGACTTTGTCATTCATAGGAGCAAAACCTAGACACCATGATTCATTTAAACTGGCTACTTTCAGTATCTACACACTTGTCCATGAAGGAAGTATAATTCTTATTGATTATTTTTACCCAAAGGGCTATGTCTCCTGTTTTCTCTGCCCTAATATTTAAAAGTGAATTATTTTAAACAACAAAGCAGCACTCTGTATGCTTTTTCCTTCTTTGGCTCTGTTACAGTCTTAACAACAGAATAAAACTAGCTACAGAATATCTTTGAGTTCAAAAAAATGAACAAAATAGCAATAGCAATACTCCCCTAACTAAAACAAGGTACAGCATTTCAATCCTTCAAACTCACTGGCTAATTTCCAGTGTCTTTTTCAATGTATTTGCCATATTTTGCATACTGGATTTTTCAGTTTTAGAACAGAAGCAACATTAGTTCTCTGAAAATATTGTTGAGCCAGTACATGGATTCGAGTAACTCCCTCCTATCCTTAAATAGAATGGTAAATTAGTAAAACTTTGGAATTGGATCCCAGTCATAGCCAAATCACTAACAAGTTATGTCATCTGTGAGGTGCCTCTTAAATTCTGTCTGCTTCCATTTACTGATCTTTAACATAGAGATTATACTAACCACACCAGGTTACCATAGAACAGCTAAATAGAATAACATGTGTCAAATTCTGCCATACAACCTGGTGATCACAAAAGATTAATCTCTGTAAAACTCAGCAAGACATAGACAATCACACTTGTGTGTGCAGACACACACACGCACACATACACACACCACACACCACAGGACAAATAAAGTTAACACTTCTTCCTCTTCCTTAAACTTTCTTCTTCAAATTCAGAGTGGCATATTTAAGGAACAGAAGGATATCCTGACAATTACAATAGATACTAACTAGTTACAATGGTCAGTGTGGAGAAGTTGAGACACAATGAGAGTACCTTGCAAGTCATTAAATGATTCTTTTATCTGGAAACATGATGTTTCAGCAGACAATTTTTGGGGTGGCTGCTGGGTTCATATATTTTCTCCTCTATAAAAGGCCAAATCAGCATGTGTGAAGCAGGTTCACTGTGCACTGGTTGCCAACTTGTCTGGGTCTGGTGAGACAGAACACCCATGTATACAAGTTACATGGAGTGAGTTTATTATTAATACTTACAGATAGGCAGAAAGGGACAACAGAACCCTGAGAATCAATGTGAGCCAGTCCCCTAAGCTTCAGAAACACTGCTTGGGGCAGATGGAGTCTCCTGTGTGTGTGCCCCCTTGCACTGTAGCTGAGGGAGTCTGAAAAACAGCCCATCCTAAGTTTTTTATTCTGGGGCAATGAGATCCCCAGAATAAAAGTCATCCCATATCCAGGGGGAATTAGAAGAGATCCTGGGCTGTTTCAGGCATCTTCCCATAATCTCAAGGTGTTGCATTCCCAGCACATTCTACAGTTATTCTTGAGAACTACAAGAAAGAAAGGGAATAAAACTGGTTTGGTCCAAGCCCATCCAGACAACTGTCTTACAGGATGGGATCCTAAAATCATAGCCATGATGTCTGACTGTGGGACAATTACATTCTTTCTCTCCTCATAAGAGGCATTCAAACTTCAGAAACCCATGTCCAATTCTTAAGATCTAGAGAAATGTTAGCTTTACCTACTCTTCTGACTTAGATTCGATTTTTATTTCTGGAACCTGGAATTTACCTGCCTTGGTTTTAGCTTTAATTGTGCATTAATGACTATAAGGCAAATCACTGGGCCCACAAGGTTTCATACTTGTGGAACAGCTTTCCTATATAGGCAAGGTACTCGGTACAGCAGTATCAGGAAAAGGATATGCACTGAAATGTGTCCTGACAGCTAAGGCACAGACGTATTCTTCCTCATACTGTTGGGTTTCCTGGACCTCCATGTCTGAAACCATCACCAGCGTACCTGCAATGCACTTTGTACCAGGAAGTCCAAAGACTGCCCTGATTTCTTATATAAGCTGGCTGTGTAAGCACATTCCAGCTATGTGACCAAGCCTTATCTATCAAAACTTTTCAGGCTTCACTAAACATAAGTTTAAAATCACACATTCAATTACTGTTAATAAATAGCTAGGATGGTATGGTCTGCTCCCAAAACAACTCACAGATCTATGATCACAAAACATTATTTGTTTCTATTCCATATATTTCATAGCATTGGCCCAAAAGTCTTGTCAGGCTCCCAGAAACCTTGGGAATAAGAATTGGTCAATCCAGAGTAGCTGATTAGCCCATCTTAGGTAGTCTCAGATGCAAATATGTATTAAAACTTATTTTCCTTCATTATTTGCTTCAGTATTTTAATCTGAAATTAGACAAATGAGATGGGGAAAACAATCCTTTAATATTGGTTCAATTTGTTCTATTGACTGGATATCCCTTAGTTTCTTTTCTTTACATCTGAAGAAATAAAAACTGAAAGCAGTTTAATTACTTGTTTAAAATCAGAAGGTAATAATGAGGCCTGATTTTTAAATTGTTCAAAATTGTCATTGAACACTGCTGTGTAAGAGACCACAAATGGATCTGTATCTATCAAGGTGAAGTCTTGTCATATAAAGTCCTCTGTTCATTATGTCAGTAGGTTTGTAATAGGAATACTTTGAACCGGAATACTGCAGGTCTTATTTTTTCTATTTCTTGGATCCAAGAAACATGTAATGTCATACTTACCTAATCTATGCTTCTATTACAGTGGACACTTGATTAAATGGTTTCTTTAACAAAAATTTACCTGGCACCTAAAACAGTGTTTTATGTGTATTATCAATTCAAATATATATATTGAACTTAATTTTCACTAGATAAAACAAAGAAATAAGCTGCTATAGAAAAGTCCATTTCAAGCATAATGTTTCTTTGAAAAAACTCTAGAAAAAGATGCAAAAGACAGCACAGATAACTTATATTTTACATTTGTCTGAGGTAGGTCATATTTTGTTTTCTATTAGAAAAAAATACACATTCATGTCTTGAGTTGCTTTACGAATAAATACAAGTATAAAATATTTATCACTCATGGTAAAACACACTCAAGGGGGCTTATTTCTTCAATGCTAACAGACACACTTGTGAAAGTAATTTTTTTGAGACAAAGTCCCACTCTGTCACCCAGGCTGGAGTGCAGTGACGCGATCTCTGCTCACTGCAACCTCTGCCTCCCAGGTTCAAGCGATACTTCTGCCTCAGCCTCCTGAGTAGCTGGGACTACAGGCTCCCGCCACCATGCCCGGCTAATTTTTGTATTTTAGTAGAGACGGGGTTTCTCCACATTGGCCAGGCTGGTCTCAAACTCCTGACCTCAGGTGATCCACCCGCTTCAGCATCCCAAAGTGCTGGGATTACAGGCATGAGCCACTGCGCCCAGCCAAGAAAGTAATTTTAAGCACCAGTTTTCTCGGCATCATTTTAATCACCATGGATAATGTATATTTTTAGGACAATCCAACAACATTATCTCAATAAATGGAAACTTCATTGTTCCAGTTTCTCAGGCCAAAAACCTTGGAATCACCCTAGGCTTTGTGTCCCCACATTTAGTTGGTCATCAAATCTATTCATATATTCATAGAAAATTCCAAATTATATCAACAATCCATCTACATCTCAAAACTTCAGCTACTACTTCTTTGGCCCAAGTCTCCAGCATCTCTGGGTCACTGATTGCCTTCTGAACTGTCACTCTTCTTTTGTGCTATCACCTCTCCTCAGTCTATTTTCCATCCAGCAGTCTGAGTGATTCTCTTCAAAAGTAGATCTTGCCCCTCCTTTGCTTCACACCTTCTCACAGTAAAAGCCACAGTCCTTACAAGATCCCAGAACATCCAGCGCTTTTGTTTCCTCCCGAGCCTTTATCTCAATTCCTCCCATTCTGCCACTTGTTCACTCGGCTCAGTTTCACTAACCTCAATCTTTCTCAAAAATGTCAGGCACACTTCTGCCTCCAGTTCTTTGAATTTGCTCTTCTCTTCATCTCAAAAGTTTATTTCCCAGACATATACCTGCCTAGCTACCTGGCGTCTTGCAGTTCTTTGTTCACATACCTGCTCCTCAGTAAAGCAATCCCTGGGTACACTACGCCCTTCCCATCATTTTTTTTTCCTTTGATTTTTGTCCTTGCTACTTGTCACTGAAAACATGCCAATGATTAACGGAAACTTTTTCTATAATTATAAAATAAAGCAATCAAATGTGGAAATGACTAGAATGGCCAACCTCCATGGTTGATGAAGCTGTTAGAAAGGTTTAGTTGCCTAAATTCTTTGTTAAGGTGTGTGCTTTCAACTTGGCAGGGGTTATACAATTTAAAAACACAACAGATAAAGATTATTTGTGAAATGCCTAATAAGAGTCAAGGCACCTAACTGAAATAAGTAAGAGTGTTTAAGCCAGGAAAAACAATCATTTTATTGTATTATAATAACAAAGAAAATCAAAGTCTCCATTCGAAGATTTTGGTTTTTTATTCCTCCCTTGTTTCCTCTCCCCCTGTCTATGATTATATCACCTTGACTGGGACTATTATTCAACAGAGAAGTCCTTCAAATGTAATTGCAAAGTCAGAGACCTACAGGGAAATGGGGATCAAAAGCTCTCATCACTCCAGATGCTACAAAGCCTTCCCTTCCAGATGCTACCGATTTTACTCCCCAGGTATTTTTAAATTAGGAATCTGTCTTAGCTGGTACAAGAAGACAAGAGGTCAAGCTAAACCAGATGATTCACCTAAACCTACTCAAAAAAGAAAGTGTCCTAGGAGTCTTGTTGCTATTATAAAGGATTACTTAGTGAATCTGATTGCTGACTTTCTAAATATCTCAGCAGTTTGACAAAACTCGATATCTTGACTTATCAGGCCAGAGTCTGAAAATAGTGAAACCTTTATCAGAGTGTGTCTGTAATCACTGTGGCTGCTCAGAAATACTGATAACTGCTTACTGTGGAAAAAGCAGAAGCGTTGCTTCCTGGACTAGAATGCCACCATTACATTTTCAGGACTTACTTCTCAGCAGAAAACAAGGTGATATACTTTGATCCTTGTTCCTGAAGTATGTTAATAATTACTTATGAATATAATTTTAGAAGATAGATATATTTCTGGGCAAGTAGTCTAAAATGAGAAAAGAGTATATTTTAAAATATCCAATGCATGGATAAGGATAGGATATATTAATAAACTTTTCTTTCATTTGTTTGTTCTTGGTATTGAGTTTATAAAATATATGAAAAAATATTTGATTATATTACGTCTTTCTAACTCAGAAGGGCATAACTATTGACAGGCATCAAAACTTGTTCTTAGACATTTGTATCTAAAGAATGTGAGTAGAACTCAGAAGGATATTATATTTGTTTATTGATCCTTTATTCTAAACACTCCTAGGTATTCCATGTCATAAAGATAACTCAAAGTGCTAAATGTGCTAAAATCAAACTCAGACTTATCCATTCATACAGAAAGAAGGGGAGTGGGGAAGGATAGAGCGATAAGAAGGAGAAAGAGATTAAGGCAAATGCTTTTTAAAATTGTGGAGGATATTTAAGAGTCTAAGTAAAGATTACTATTCAGAGAAGAATAATGTCATTCCTAGGCAGAACTTCAAGCCTATGTGGCCAAAAATTAGCTGTGTGACACAGGCAAGTTTTCTAGCCTCTTTATGCCTCAGTGTTCTCACCTATGAAATGATGAAAGCTGATTATCAGTCAATCAAATGATGAGGAAATTAATACCAATCCTCTCATTGAGATGCTGTGAGGATGAAATAAGACAGTAATGTTAAATATGACTTTAACAGTTGTTATAATAACAGCTAAATGAAGATAATATCTACAAATGGGCTTATTGGAAGGGCTAAATAACACATTTAAGATATATTGAAAAGGCTCAGGAAAGTTATTTTTTAAAAATATCACTAAATCTAATTCTTTATTGCTTTGCAATAGAATTGGGTTTCTTCCCAGTAATTTATAAAAACTTCTGAATTTTACTGATTCATCTACCAGACTAACAAGTTGATAGTAGGATTGTGGATATTAATCAAGAGTTATTGCTGTTTCTAATGCTCTTTATAACTTCAATTTTTTAAACAAATATCTCAACCATGTAAAATTACTCTAATGAAGGATGCCATTCTAGTCTTGTAAAAGTGCAAATTCAAAAATTCTGGAAAAATGTACACTTTTTATGACTTTTTTTTAAACCTGAAAACATAAAATGCTTTGAAATAGGAATAAAAGCCTTATATATGTTTTCTAGTATTTATTATTAAACTTTCTTTTGGGAAATATTTTTTAAATTTATTTTTGTTGAGTATTTTTGTGTCTTTTAAAATGGAGAAAAATATAAAATAAAAATACATTCAATGAAAATACAAAATACAATCCTATTTTATGTGAACATATTATAGATTGTATTATCTATATTTTCGTTTTTTAGCTAAAAGATATATTCTAAAGCCTAGATGTGGATAAAGTAATTTTTTGTTCCTTAATACATATTTCCCAAACATGTTTATGTTTCTGTTAGGAACAAGATTTGACATCTGAAGGATGTCTGTACATTGATCTTCATAACACTAGGGCTTTTACCACCTGTCAGAAACTTTCATTACATTAATAATTCATTTCTTTAGTTGGTTCTCCACTTGTTTTAACATCAAAAACTTTACTGAATTCAATATTATGGTTTATGTGGTGGTTTTCTGATTGAAAGTTCGATAATTTGTCAGATTAGTAGGATATAGATAGAAAGAGTGTGCTGTATAATTTACCAAAAAGGTTAGTTTTCTTCCATGTGAAGAAATTATAAGGAAAGTTTTCATTCTGGATGCATGTTTTAAATGCTTAGTTAATAGTAGAGCATACATTAAAACTTTAATAAATTTAAATGTTAATACACTGAACAAAATAATTTATAAGGTCCAACTAAAATTCATATAGATGATTTTCTTAACCCATAGAGCACAGAAGAAAAGTTCGTCATTGATGACTGGCAAGTTCAATTTTTTTCTTCATCTTACCCATCATATATCCTTCACTTTTTTCTCTTCTCCTTTTGTTACTATAATTTATTGCTGTTATTGTTGTTAATTTTACCATTCCGTTCAAGCAATGAAGAATATGTAGAATATAAGTTAGTTGAATAGTATTGAAATCCAGAGTTTATAAGATTTTGGATTAATATTTATAATAAAAGTTCAAAAAACAACTAAATTACGAATGCTATCTTTAAAGTAGACTTCTCGTAGTCCACAATAAACGGAAACTATTTTATAGATACAATTTCTGAAATATAATAGAGAAAGAAGATAATTGCCAGTATCAACAATATAGTATACGATGAAATTAGAATAAGTAGAGGCAGGCTTTTCACCTCTAAATAGTGAATGTTTTGCTATATTACATAAGAGCAAAGGTTAATTTTGCAGCTGGCTTTAATATCTTGTTCATGCATATCATTGGGCTATGATACTACAGGAAGTTTTCTATAGTATGAATATGAAACCATAATTTTTCACATTATAAATTAATACAGGTTCACCAAAGATTTTTTTGAAAAATTTAACTCAAGTACATAATTACATAATGTCACAAATAAAAATGATTTTCAATTAATATGCAGTAATGATAAATTATTTATTTTCTAAATTGTAGATTTTTCAGGAGCAATTTTAAATGATTCTCTTACCATTTAATTAAATCAGTACATTTTGCAATAGGTTGGTGGTTGTAATAATATTAAGGCATTTGGATAAAACTTTTGATTGACTATATTTGAAAAGCAAATGTTCTTAAAGTGCCGTCTTAACTTTATTGCAATTACGTTTTCCTAAGAAAATTTTTTTAAATGCCTTTTTCTGTCATAACTACAACTTTTAAATCTGATTTTCAAAAATGCGTTGATTTAATTGTAAAAAAAGACACTTATCTTTTGAAAATCAAAGATTACTAATAGTCAATTTAAAGTGCCAAATGGCAAATTAATGCCGTCAGCTCTAGGCTGTCTGTTTTAAAGTCATGGAACTTTCAAGAAATGTTCACTTTGAAAGAATCATGCAATATTGTGCATGATTTTCATCACCATTGGGTGATTAACTTTAAAATTGTATTCTTCAATTAAGTATGTTATCCCTAACAAACTTAAGTATATAGCAAAATTTCTAAAACATGGAAGAGTAAATGATATCACAAGTAAACCACACATCAGGTTCTCTTCCTTTTCTGGCAGCTGGAAAGAGTGAACTTTCCTGTATTTTTTAAGTTAGGCCATAGTGAAATGAATTGCTTGTGACAATGAATATGAGCAAAAGTAATAGCTCTCATTTCTGGGCAGAAGCGTTTAATTCCTCATCCTTGATTATCCAGATCCAGTCCATGTGAATATACGTTTATGAGTAGGTGCCCTGGAGACCAAAGGAACCTAACTAAAATGCTAAGATAACCTTTGGAAGATTGAGAATGCTTGGAACTGAGAGATATAATTCAGTCGTGTCATATCCATTGTTAGCACAACACAACCATTCTATCCTGACTGATACATCCTACATGAAAAAAAATCATGATTGATGCATTTACCTAAGCTAATATGTTGCTGTTATTAAGTCAAGAGTCAAAGTCAAATTCCATTTAACAATTTATTATAGCCTCTTCATATTGCTTTGTCTTCCATTGGGCTTTCAGACTTACTTTCTTCTGAGCTAATCTTCTTCACATGTGCATAGTATTATTATTAGAGGAGTAATTAAATTAATATGCATTCTTTATAAATTCTCTGCCCTTTGCAGTGAAATAAAATCGGCACTCATTATAATTTAACCTTTTCATAGTTTATAATCCATGATGGAGCATAAATAATGTGAATTCTTTAAAATGAAGCTGTCAGAGGAAGAAATTACTGTCTCATTAGACAGCTAGGTTATAATAGTTTTGAATTATATGTAGTTACTTATTAGCAGCTACAATTATACCTCATATGGGTATTTGGAATTCATGCAGCTTTAATAAATAACTTTGTTGAGATGGTGCTCTGCACATGATAAATTGGTCAGTTTTATGTTTTTGTTTAATATTTTTCTTATAATGATATAGTTTGGCATATATATGAATTCAAAATAAGTCAGTGTGGTTTTATTTTTCACCAGCTTATTTTTATTTAATTAAACCTAAAAATTATACTGACATAGATACAAATTTCCTTTTTTTCAAATATAAATTTTCTGTTTTCTTTATACGTTCAAGCTTTCTTATACATTGCAGCATTTGTAACATTAGAAAGTAAATTGTACACTTATTATTATTCATAAGAGACAATTTTTGAAGTTGGGTAATTTTTAACAAAATGATGCTATATCTTCTATGAAAATATGAGTTTTGTTGTTCAAACATTTTAATGAAATTGGATACAGAAACCAATTTTTAAAAGTCATCCTATGAAATTTCTTTATTCATTTCTGAACATCTGGCTATTTCTTGTTGAATTAGGTTTTAAATGACTATTTTAATATTTCTAAAAAATAATCAATCAGAAATACTTCATTATTTATTTCACTGGCTTTCAGTTACAATACCTATTTAAACTAAACATTTACATAGGTTGTGATACATGGAACACATTTTGCTTGAAGTTACACACACACACACACACACACACACACACACGCATATAAACAAACACACAAACAGAGATGTGATTAATTACTCTAGGTCACTGACTATTTTGTTTAATGAAAAGTTACCATTTAAACCATGCAGTTATCCTTTGATATCATGTAGTGATTGGTTCTAGGACCCCTAATAGATACAAAATTCTCCTTATAGATACAAAAATGGTGTAGTATTTGCAATGCTATATTTATTTTATGTAATGCTATATTTATATGTAAAGCTATTTATATATGTAATGCTATATATATTACATTATATATGTAATACATTTACATATATAATGCTATTTATATATGTTTATATATACAACTATATGAATAGTTGTTTTATTGTATTGTTTTTTATTTGAGTTATTTTTATTGCATTTTATAAGTTTTTTTTAATCAGAGCTTGGTTACATCCATGGATGCAGAACCCATAAATATGGAGGGAGGACTGAATGAATATAATAAGATTTTAAAATAAGAGAAATTAAATTAGTAAATTATGTAAGACTCATTCACCTTCAATATTTTAACATTATTTATTAAAACGAACATGTACTTACAATGCTTTTACTATATTCTAAGCAGTGGGCTATGCAAGGAGGATTAAACAAATACCAGTGTATAAAAAAATGCACCACGCGGAAGTAATACTTTTATTAAAAATTACAATTAATAATGAAGAGTGCCCCTGATACGGTTTTGCTTTGTGTCCTCTTGAAATCTCTTGTAATTCCCATAATCCCCATGTGTCAAGGGTGGAACCAGGTGGAGGTAATTGGATCATGGGGGCGGTTTCCCCGCTGTTGTTCTCACGGTAGTGAGTGAATTCTCACAAGATCTGATGGTTTTATACACATCTGGCATTTCCCCTTCTTGTACTCACTCTGTCCTGCCACCATACGAAGAAGGTGTCAGCTTTTCCTTTGCCTTCTGCCATGACGTTTTGTAAGTTTCTTGAGGCCTCCCCAGCCATTCAGTGCTGTGAATCAATTAAACATTTTTCCTTTATAAATTACCCAGTCTCAGGTATTTCTTCATAGCAGTGTGAGAAGAAACTAATACAAACCCTTTGTTTGCTGTTTCATTAATATCTTTAAGCAATTTCTAATTAGATTTTTTTAATTTTGAATTTTTTAGGTATATAGTCAGTGTACATATTTATGGGGTATGTGAGATATTTTGGTACAGGCATGCAATGTGTAATAATCACATAGTGGAAAATTGGGTATCTATGCCCTCAAGCATTTAACTTTTGTGTTAGAAACAATCCAATTATACTCTTTTAGTTATTTTTAAATGTCAAATTAAATTACTATTGACTATAGTGCCCTTGGTGTGCTATCAACTACGGTTTTATTTATTCTTTTAAATTATTTTTTGTACACATTAACCATCTCCCCTCCTTCCTCTCACCCACCAACTACCCTTCCCAGCTTCTGGTAACCATCTTTTAAGGATTTTTTATGACAATTTCTTTATGTTTTTAAGTACTTATAATTTTTTATTTATTTTATTTTATTGTTGTATTTATTCATTTATTTTATTAAGTACTTGTAATTTCATTTCCATTTTGTGCATATACACATTCCAATCCCTATATTAGGTAATGGAAATACTAGTACAAAAAATGTACTTTGAATAATAGCACTTTCCATCTGATAATGTAACAGTCATTGCTATGTAACATACAATTCAAAACATATTGTGGCGTAAAATAGCTGCATTTATTTAGCTGGCAAATCAGTAGGTCAGCTGGAAAATGACTAAGAGAGTTTTGCTCAATTTTTAGAGGTCAGTTAGAGGATCAATGGCAGATTGGCTTTGCTAATCTTGGCTAGGTTTTTCTGTGTATCTGGAAACCTGGTAGAGATGAAAGAGTTGACTCAGCTCTACCTCACATATTTTCTTATGCACCACCATCCTAGATTGGGCTTGCTCTTCAGAAACCCAAGAAAAAGGGCAAAAATATACTAGATAACTTGAGGGAGGCTCAGAATTGACAACCTGTCACTTCTGCCACACTCTACTGACTGAAGCACGTCCCAGGTATATTAGTCAGGGTTCTCTAGATGGATAGAACTAATCAGATATATGTATATCTGAATGGGAGTTTATTAAGGAGACTTGATTCACACAATCACAAGGTGAAGTTCCACATTAGGTCATCTGCAAGTTGAGGAGCAAGGAAGCCAGTCGTGGCTCAGTCCAAGTCCCAAAACCTCAAAAGCAGGGAAGCCGATAGCGCAGCCTCCAGTCTGTGGCCAAAGGCCTGAGAGCCCCTGGCAAATCACTGGTGTAAGTCCAAGGGTCCAAAAGCCAAAGAACTTGAAGTCAGATGTTTGAGGGCAGGAAGCATCCAGCATGGGAGAAAGATGAAGGCTGGAAGACTCAGCAAGTCAGCTTCTTCCACCTTCTTCTGCCTTTTCCTAGCCAGTCTGGCAGCTAATTGGATGGTGCCCACCCACACTGTAGATGGGTCTTCCTGAGGATGGGTCTTCCTCTCCTAGTCCACTGACTCAAATCTTAATCTCTTCTGGCAACACCCAGAAACACCCACATATACCCAGAGACAATACTTTGCATCCTACAATCGCATTAAGTTGCCATTTAATATTAACCATCACACAAGGCCAGCCCTTATGAAAGGGTGAGAAAGTTCACCACATTTCTTAGGAGAATCTGCTAAGTCACATGGAAAGGGGTTTGGATATAGAGAAGGAAATAATCATAGCCGTTTTTTTTTTTCAAGATAGTAAACCTGACATGAAAATAAATGTACATTTTGAATAAACATAATAATGCTTTTCTGTTTTGACATTTGAAATCTAAGGCCATATCATGAGCATGAAAACTGAATGGGTTGCAATTCATAGAATCTGTGCATTTTGTTTAACCTAGTTCTCAATAATGGTAAATACAGTAAATATGTGAGAGAACTATAAAATTTGTAAGTAAATTTCCAGTTTTGTCTTCCATTTCTACAACTTTTTATACCAAAATTAAATACTCATCATTCCTCCAATGGGCCTCTCATTTATTCCTTAACTTATGCTCTATACCTTAGGCCCATATAAAACTTAGTGCTGTACCAGAATAGCATAAACATCCCATTTGTTTCAAATTCTGTTTTCTCTAGAACAAAATCACATATCTGGAATCTCAATCTGACTTTTTTTTTGTAATTTCCTTGTCATATTAATGTACATAACATATGATATAAAGTCACTTCAATTTCAAATATTGTTTACGTGTGTTTCTTCTCTTTGCTATTAAACAGCAAAGGTTTTAATAGAAAGCGTTTTATTCACCAATTTTTATTAGTACAATGAGAGAATTTTTTTAATTAGAAGCCTACAAAGATAAGAATGTTAGTAAACATTGGTAGAATATTTCAACATAATTGTAAAAGCTTTAAAGTGGTTGCAGCAAAGTAAATAATTTAGGAGAATGGGGCAAGCAGAAAATGAAATGTCTACAGAGCTGCAGAGGGAGATGTTAACAGAAATAAACCAGAATTTTACCCTCCCCCCAAACACACACAAGTGAAACTCTAAAACAATTAGAAAGTAAAGGCATGGGTAATTGGGACTTCAAAGGTGATGTGAGTCTAATTATTATTTCAATTTAACAGGTAACAACAATGACATTTAAAGAGGTTAAGTGACTGCCGTAGGTTTCACATCAATATTAATTTGTGAGACTTGCATTAGATCTTCAAATTCAACATCTGGAGTTTAAGAAAAGCTTTCTTTTACTTTGGAAATCACTTTCTGACAATAGCTAGCTCTGTTAATTTTGCTTAAACAACGTATTTACCTTCCACTCTCTATTATCCTGTATTGTTTTTCTAACTTTTTATATATGTTCAATTATAATATATTTCTCAAAGGTTTTAATGGCATAACAATAACAAGATGACAGGAATTTAGAAAAAGGATACTCTCAGTATGATCCCAGACAAGTTAATGATTTTGTTAATCAACTGATTCAATATAAAGTTAGAAAAATTAAACTATTATAAACTGAATGATTGCCCCTCCCCCAAACTCATATGTTGAAGCCCTAACCCTCAGTGTGACAGAATTTGGATATAAAGCCTCTGGAGGTTAGAGCAGATGAGGACACAAGGATGGAGCCCTTATAATTGTGTCAGTGTCCTTTCAAGCATAGACTACATATAGCTTGCCTTCTTTGCATGCACAAAAAGGAAGTCGTGTGAGCACCCAGTGAAAAGGCAGCAGCAGTCTATAAGCCAGAAAGAGAGGCAGAACCTGACTATGCTGACATCCAGACATCCAGGTTTCAGACTTCTAGCCTCCACAACTGTAAGAAAATAAATTGCTACCATGTAAGCAACTCAGACTACAATATTTTGTTATGACAGTCTGAAATGACTGATAACAAAGTACTAATCCATGAATTGGATGTAAGAATTAACTGAAGGAAAAGAATAAACAGTTGACTTTTCTTCAATTCTTGTTGTACAGGGAAATGATATATATGAATAAAAAATATAAAAATAGTAAACACAGCATTACATAAGTAACCCTGCCACAGGCATGCTATGTTTGTATTATTTATAATAAACTGCATTCTAACATAAGCATTTATTCTAATTTTCAAATAAAGATTGCGCAGAAAAGAGTTAATGTAGTAGTTTGGAGACTGATATCCTTAGAAAGGACTGCTCTTATGGTTGTCTGTTAGCTGATCTGGGAACATGGATTACAGTAGAGTTCCTACCATTCCCAAAATTTATAAGAGAAACTATTATACCTAAACTTTTTTTGCAAACAGTATGGTTTATGCCGAATACCTACTTACCTTCTGAGAACCAAGAATTTTGATATATACAAAGCAAAAAGTGCCTACGTGACCAACCCCAGTAAAAACCCTGGGCACCGAGTCTCTAATGAGCTAATTAGAATATGCTAATGAATGAACTAATAAAATATTGATAGACAATATTTCATATATATTGTCATAACTCATTGTTGGAGGATAGGCCTGTGTGACTCCACTGTGAGAGGACTTTTGGATACTTGTACCTAGTTTCTTGTAAAGTTTGCTGCATTCACCTTTTACTTTTGTGGATTTATCTTTGTATCTTTTTGCTGCATTGAATAATAGACATGAATATAACTATATGTTGAGTTCATTGAGCCTTCCTAGCAAATTGCCAGTCCTGGGATAAGTCTTAGGGACCACTGACATAGGCTCAGGGAGCATAACTTATTTTCCCTCCCCATTTTATCTGATTCCAAAAATCTGTGATATGAAAACTCACAGGTAATAGAGAGAATAGAAAAACAGTATTGAAAAAATAGTATGAATATTACCATGAAGCTATGTGGGAGCTCAAGGATGCAGTGGGCGAGGATTCCTCCACTGCACTCCAGCCTGGGCAACAGAGTGAGACCCTGTCTCTAAAAAAGTAAGTAATTAATTAATTAAATATTAACATAAAGGAGAAAAATATACTATTACCTGAATCAAGATGATGTTTGGCATACCTCAGTTTATCTTTAAGTTGTACAAGTGCAGTTTTATTTAACAAGCTTTTATTTAAAGGTGTGTGTCAAAAAGATGGAAAATCAAATCAAGTTTATTCAAAAATACTAAATCACGATCCCTCTTTCTTCACTTCCTCCAGAGTATTCAAAGACTATTTGAATCTCTTTGAATGTTTCTAATAACTTGCTTTATGAATTTGGGTGCTCCTGTGTTGGCTGCATATATATTTAAGATAGTTAGGTCTTCTTGTTGAATTGAACCCTTTACCAGTATGTAATGCCCTTCTTTATCTTTTTTTATCTTTGCTAAAGTCTATTTTGTCTGAAATTAGAATTGCAATCCCTGTTTTTTTCTGTTTTCCATTTGCTTGGTAGATTTTTCTTCATCTCTTTATTTTGAACTTATGGGTGTCACTGCATGTGAGATAGGTCTGTTGAAGACAGCATACCACTGGGTCTTGCTTCATTATCAAACTTGCAAATATGTACCTTCGAATTGGGGCATTTAGCTTGTTTACATTCAAGGTTATATTGATACGTGTGGATTTGATCCTGTTATCATAATGTAAGCTATTTACTATGCAGATTGGTTTATATGATTGCTTCATATTGTCACTGGTTTGTGAACATAAGTGTGTTTTTGTAGTGGCTGGTAATGGTCTTCCACTTCCATATTTAGTGCTTCTCTCCAAAGGTGCTGTAAGGCAGGTTAAATGATAGCAAATTCTCTCAGCATTTCCTTGTCTGAAAAGGATCTTATTTCTCCTTTTCTTATTAAGCTTAGTTTGGCTGGATATGAAATTTTGGGTTGCAATTTCTTCAATTTGAAAATATTGGATATTGGCACCCAATATCTTCTGCATTGTAAGGAGATACCTTCTCACACCAGTAAGAATGGCTATTATTAAAAAGTCAAAAAATAACAAGGGCTGACAAGTTTGCAGAGAAAAAGAAACACTTATACACTGTTGGTGAGAGTGTAAATTAGTTCAACCATTGTGCCAAATGGTACTGTTGGTGGGAGTGTAAATTAGTTCAACCATTGTGGCAAATGGTGTGGCAATTCCTTGGAGACCTAAGAACAGAACTACCATTCAGCCCAGCAATCCCATTACTGGGTATACACCCAAAGGAAAATAAATTGTTCTATCATAAAGATACATGCACACGTATGCTCATTGCAGCACTACTCGTGACAGCAAAGACATAGCATCAACCTAAATGTCCAGCAATAACAGATCAGATATAGAAAATGTTGTGTATACACACCATGGAATACTCTGCATCCATAAAAAACAAAAACAAGATTATGTCCTTTGAAGGAATATGGATGGAGCTGGAGGTCACTGTCCTTAGAAAACTAACGCAGCAACAGAAAACCAAATACCAGAAGTTCTCACTTATAAGTGGAGCTAAATGATGAGGACACATGGACAAATAGAGGGGAACATCAGACTCTAGAAGCTGTCAGAGGATGGAGGGAGGGAGAGGATTTGGAAAAATAACTCATGAGCACTAGGCTTAACACCTGAGTGACAAAAACTAATCTGTACAACAAACCTGTGACACAAGTTTACCTATGTAATAAATCTGCACATTTACCCCTGAACTTAGAATAAAAGTTAAAAAATAAATTTAAAAAAGAATATTTAAGAGAAATTTAGTAGGTCCAGTTATTTGTTAAAAATTTTAACTCCAGAGAAAGCAAATACTTTCTTTGGTCTTCTTTTTCTAATTTTCTACAAGAATTCTCATTGGACAGGAATAGAGAAGAGCACATGAGCTTATCTTAGTCTCACATTTATGAAATACTTTATTTTTCTCTATTTTCTTCAAGCTCTGTTTTCCCTGAACACTACTCTCTTTTCTAAGAAGACATTCATCTCTTTTCTGAGAAGGCATTTCTGCAAAGGCATTCATCATCATCAGGTATTTTAAGCCTGGGTAACACCAATTTTGTGGCCTATAGATATGAGCTAATCTCTTTGGGCATAAAGATCAGAGCAATGAAGTTTGCATGGATAAGACCTAATGCCAGCAGACAAACAGGATGCCTATTTGAGAATACCAGGTCTCAGTAAATATACAATTAGACATCCTTGTTTGATCCTGAACTTAGGGCAAAACATTTAGTCTTTCACCATTAAGATTATGCAACCTGTGAGTTTTTGCAGAGGCTTTTTATCATATTGAGGAAATTTCATTCTATTCCTAGTGTGTTGAGTGGTCTTTATCATAAGAGGGGAATGGATTTAGTCAAATGATTTTTTCTTGTGTCTCCTGAGATTGTTATGTGCTTTTTGTCTTGTTTTCAATTATTATGGTATGGTATTACAGTAATTGATTATCAGATATTAATCCAACATTGCATTCCTTAGATAAGTCTCAATCGTTCAGAGAATATAAGTCATTTTATATATTGCTGGATTCTGTTTGCTAGTGTATTGTTGATGAATTTTGTGTCTATATTCACGTGGGAACACGTGGTGGAACAGTGGACTATGACATTCAATTTAATTCAAAATTACCACTCATATGGTAACATGCCCTTCTTCTGAAACCTGATTTACTTTGCTCCTGGGACACTATTTATAAATATTCAGACAAAAATTTTTAAAGCTTCAATATATTGATCATGTCAAAATTAAAGACTTATTTAACTTGCTTGTACACTCATAATTTATTCATTTTTACATTTGGGATTTGACACTTATAAATAACTTATAATTATTAAATTGACTTCCACTAATTGCTGTTAGTCAAGCTTTTCATATATGAAATGTCAAATACATATAATATGATTAAGCACCAAAGTTGTAAAATTATTTTAATTATCAATCATAGAAAACTACAACTAAGAGTTACATCGATAATATGCAGAGCTTTTGTTCTTGTTAACAGGCATATAAATATTTGAATTTTCACTGGTGTTGTGGGAAATGCCACTAGCTTAGCTAGAAGTTGAAATTTCTCTCTTAAATCCATTTTATATGTCTTTTCTTTTAAGAAAATGCAATTAATTGAGCAGAATGGTTTATGTTTCAATAGTCATATGGGTTGGTCACAAGTATACTCTTGTATCTATCTTGCTGAAAAACAGTAAATCAATGAAAAATGGTCTAGAAATACCAGAAAGTCTTGTTTTCTTCTTTGAAAATAAAATTATATCAAATATGCTTAGTTTTACATCAACTTTACAATTTTTACATCAATTTACAATGTTTTACATCACTTGCTAATTTCAACAACACAAAGGAAATGTGATAAAATGTATTTATTTTTATTTGAGTGCATTTTTCATAGACAGCTCTTACATTTCGTTGATTCCATTCATGCTATTATTTCTTATTTCTTACCTGTTTTCTAATATTCACCCAAATAACAATCTGATTTTACTAAACAAATGCACACTTTCTTTTTCTAATTCTTATCTATTTTCTAGACCTCTGCTTTCTATTTAGTACGGCAATTCATAAGAATTACCGTAATATCTTAGAGTAGAATAAGCATTGGAATTAGAAATCAGACAACTTTTTTTTCTGTATTTGACCATTTGTATAAATCTGGTTGTATTATCCATCTTGCACATCTGAAGCTTGCTCATCCACAAAATAAGAAAAATGGCTTTCAATTGAGTATGCATGTACACTAAATGAGAAAATATATTTAAAAGTGTAGTGTAGTGTCAAGTTCATGTGAGATACTCTCTAAATGTCTATGATTATTTTGTGGGAAATATTATAGTGCATTGTTTAAATTATATAGCCTAAATTCACAGAATAAAACAGAATAAAAATAACAGAGTTCAAATTTAAACTCCACGAACTTCCTGTATGTTTTTGGTACTTTTTTTATCGTCCATATTACTCATCTGTAAAATTAAGTTACATTTTAACTACTAGGGTTAAATGCAAAGTAATAAATTAAAAATTTTAGCAGAATGCCTGATAAATAGTAAATTATTTCTAATTCTTCACTTTCTCTAATTTCTAATCCTTCTCCTTCCACATTGCTCTCAGAATAATCCTTTTAAAAATATGTACATGTGACCAAGTCACTTTTCAATAAAGCCCACTTATCCCCAAGAAAATATCAATAACTTATACTAATAATTTATTTCTGGAATCATCTGACTCTAATGCCCTCTTACTTTCTATACAATTGTTTTATTCATCATTTTTTAACAAGTTCTTTTTTTCTGTCTATATGACTTTGATCTTAATCTGCCTGGAGAATGTCTACTTCTCTAAGATATTTTGCAAACATCATTTACTCCAAAAGACCCTATTTAACCATTTCAGTTAAATACATTACTCTGTCCTCTGTGGTGCTAGGTAATTTTTTGCATACCTCTTCACAGCAAATTATATTGCATTTGTGATTTACATTGCCATTTTTTTTTCAGACGGAGTCTCGCTTTGTCGCCCAGGCTGGAGTGCAATGGCACGATCTCAGCTCACTGCAACCTCCGCCTCCTGGGTTCAAGCGAGTCTCCTGCCTCAGCCTCCTGAGTAGCTGGAATTACAGGTGCCCACCACTATGCCTAGCTGATTTTTGTATTTTTAATAGAGACGGGTTTCAGCATGTTAGTCAGACTGGTCTTGAACTCCTGACCTCAGGTGATCTGCCCTCCTTGGCCTCCCAAAGTGCTGGGATTACAGTAGGTGTGAGCCACTGCGCCTGGCCTATATTGCCATTTTTAATCTTCTGCTAAAATAATGAGAAAAGCCGTCATAAGGTTCTTCATTTGTTTGCCTTTGTACTAGCAGGTCATATCAGAGTGCCTCACAGATGGTAGGTTCTCAATTGTTGGATTGAATTAAATGATTATTAGGCTGTATGGCTAATATCTAGCCAATTAACATTTATTCATTCATTCATTTAAGCAATCTATCATCGAATAAATATTTATGGAACTCCCATTATATACATGTTCTAGGCTTAGTAGTGTGAACAATAAATTGAATAAGACGCATTTATCAAGTAACTTAAGGTCAATAGTACAAATAAAGAGGTGTCTAACACTGCGTGAATAAAATTTAATGTTGATAGAAGGAAAGATTGCTAAAATGATATGATCATCAGACTCATTCCTAAAAATGATATTTTTCTCTGTCAGGAAGTCCAAGTGTAAAAAGAAACTATGGGAGGAATATTCACAATTGAAAAAGCTTAAAATTGTGTTTATCTTGTAATTCCCAGGAAAATGTATAGAGGGACAGAAAAACCTTATGTAAAGGGACAGAAAAGATAGGACAACAGCTAGGCAAATTATTCACGCAAGATTATGACAGTTTATTTGGTTTTGTAAAAAGTATGTGATACAAAGGGAGAGAATTATAACACAGGAGAAAGAAATAATATTGTGTGAAACTGCGTCTAGAAGAGAACAGAGAGTTTGTGCTTGTAAACAGCACCGGAGAGACCATTCTTTCTATAATACTGAAAAAAATAGACTCAGAATTAGGTCAGATGCTGTTATGAGTTTGGAGTATTAAGTGAAGGAATTTCTTGTCTTGTACACCAAATGAAGGTAACCTGACCCTCGTTTGCATGCCCTCTTTCTCTTTTTCCCTAAGCTTCAGAATCTATAAAAGGAAAAGTACATAATCAACCCATACATTGCACACCCCAAGGATTCTCTAAAAATTTCTGGCACAGGTTATTCATAGCCAAGATGCCAGCCACTCCATTATGAATGGCATGCTTCAGCATTGTGTGGGACTTAAATGTTACCATCTGCTAACTGTACATAAGAGTTCTGACAAGTATTGCTTATAAATGTCATCTCCATAGGGAAGCTTTCAACAACCACATATGTGAAATTATTCTCTGATTCCTATCCCCCAATACACACACACACACACACACACACACACACCCCTTCAGTTTCTATTATCTGTTACTGTCTACATCATTAGTTTATTTCATATCTGTCTCATTCATGTAAGCTCCATGAGGGCAATTACTTGTCTTATGTCTTAGCAATACCTGACATATAGTACAGACGCAATAAGTACTTGTTGAATAAATGAACACTGAAGTAATTAAAATATATTTTTCAGAAAAACAATTTTATAAGTCTGATGATCAACACATTTTGATCAAATATTTCTGGCATTTTCTATATTTTAAAAGTTGTTTGCAGCTCAGGACACTCACTTCTCTCTCCCTTCTTCATGTAAGTAAGTATGCTTAAAAATAATTTGATGTCGGCCGGGCGCGGTGGCTCACGCCTGTAATCCCAGCACTTTGGGAGGCCGAGGCGGATTGATCGCCTGAGGTTGGGAGCTGGAAACAAGCCTGACCGACATGGAGAAACCCTGTCTCTACTAAAAACACAGAATTAACAGGGCATGGTGCCACATGCCTGTAATCACAGCTACTCAGGAGGCTGAGGCAGGAGAATCTCTTGAACCCAGGAGGTGGAGGTTGCAGTGAGCCAAGATAGCACCATTGCACTCAAGCCTGGGCAACAAGAGCAAAACTCCGTCTCAAAATAAATAAATAAATAAATAAATAAATAAATAAATAAATAAAATTTGATGTCAGCAAGGAGAAAAAATAAGACATTGTGGCATGCGCATTCAGTGAATATAAAGTACTTCAACCTGAATTTTTCAATCACATAAAAGAAACATTATGTAGCCAGAAATCAAACAATTTTTTAAAGCTTTACTTACATCTGTGAAGAAAATACAAAGGTTTATATTTCAAACCAGATATAATTCTGTCAGACTGATCCAGATATCACATTAACAATGAAGATATTATTGGTGGGAAATTATAGCTAATAATGTATCATAGTCTCTTTTTATTTATATAGAGTGAATATTATTATAAAATGTTACGTTTAGGCAGCAAATATTATGTTTTAAATTTTAAAAAACATCGGCACTACTTATATTGAGGATAAAAAGAACACAACTGAGTAAATTATAATAGGTTGGTATATTTTGAATTGTTTCACATAATTAGTTTATCACAAAATAAGGTAGTAGTTTAATTGTAACACAAAAAATAATTTTAAGAATGAACAGAGTAATAAGTACCATTACTAAACAACTTATTGATAAAATAAGTTTAATATCATTGATTAAAAAATGCTAAGGAAGTAAAGTAGAAATTAAGTGTGCCTTAATAAAGCTTTTAAACGGAAGCATCCAATTTTGGAAACATACGGCAATATTGCCTTAAAAAACTATTTATACAATTTTGTTCAATATTAAATTCAAATTTAATAATATATAAAACGTGATTTGGAAAATAGCACATTAAAATAAAGAAGACGTTTTAAATGATGTTACCCATAATTGCAAACACATTCAAACATCCAATAACAGGACAATGGATCAATGGGTCATAGTATACCACTGATCTTCATAAAGTTCTGTAAAATTCGTATTATGAAAAACACAATGCATGGATTTCAAATCTTTTTGCACCAAAATAAAGTCACACTAACTTCTTATTACATGTCTGAATTGGGATCTAGTTTGAGGTATTAAGAAGGATAAGAGCCCCTATAAGAAAATACTAACGCAACTAACATTGAAACAAGAACAAACATCAAATTTATGCTGAAGCTTGGATGGAAGAATGATCAAATTATTGATGTTTTATGAAAAGTTTCCTATGGGAACAATGTCCCAAAGAAATCAGCAGCTTACAAATGAATAACTCATTTTAAGAAGGGACAAGACAACATTGAGGTTGAAGCCTGCAGTGGCGACCATCCACAGCAATTTGCGGGGAAAAAAGTTTATCTTCTTTGTTCTCTAATGGAAATGGACCAACAATTAATAGCAGAAACAATAGCCAACACCAAACAATTCTCAATCAATTCAGCTTACACAATTCTGATTGAAAAATTAAAGTTGGCCCAACTTTTCTCTTGATGGGTGCCAAAACTGTTGTGCCCACATTAGCTCCAGAAAAAAGTAGAACTTTCAATGGAAATTTTACACAGGCAGAATCAAGATTCTAAAGCATTTCTTCAAAGAATTGTAACAGGAGATGAAACATGTCTTTATCAGAATGATCCTGAAGACAAAGCATGATGAAAGCAATGCCTGCAAGAGGTGGGAATGACACAGTCAAAGCAAAAGTGACTGGTCAATAACAAAGATTATGGCAATAGGTTTTTGGGATGCTCAAAGCATTTTGCTTGTTGACTTTCTGAAGGGCAAAAGAATGATCACATCTGCTTATTATGAAAGTGTTTTGGGGAAAGTTAGCCATAGTTTCAGTGAAAAAACACCCAGGAAACCTTCACCAGAGAGTCATTCTCCACCATGGCAATACTCAAGCTCATTCTTCTCATCAAGCAAGGGCAATTTTGTGTGAGTTTCCAGGGGAAATTATTAGGCATCCACTTTATAGTCCTGATTTGGCTCCTTATGACTTCTTTTTGTTTCCTAATCTTAAAAATATATATTTAAAGGCTGTCCATTTATCTTTGGGCAATAACGCAGAAAAGACTGCATTGACATGGCCAAATTCCCAGGACCTTCAATTCTTAAGGAATGAACTAAATGACTAACATTATTGCTTAAAATGTGTCTTGAACTTGATGGAGTTTATGTTAATAAATAAAGTTTGTATTTTTATTTTATCTTTTAATTCCATTTTCCACACACTTTTTGAAGTCCCCTTGTATTTACTTTAGCTTGTGTCTGTATCCATTTAAATTGAAGTCAATAAAGACTATGTGGCAACATGGAAACTACATATAAGTCTATATAAACCCAAAGCACACAAACAAAGTACACACAATTTTATTTTCTGTGATTGCATCTCTGTGAGATGGGAAAAAACAGTAATAATTATTCACTCTGCTAAGTAATTCTGTTGGTGTAGTGGTTTTATGAGTATTTTTTTATCTCATTGGTTCTATATTTTATATTATATAATGATTTTTTACTTAAACGATAATTGGTTTGGGGCCTCAAAAAGCCATTAAAATTAAAGTGAGAAAGCATTTCTTTTAAAAATATTTATTCCTAGTGTAGCATCATTTGACTTATTTCATAAATCATCTTTTAAAAATACATAACAGAGTAATTCTTTCTCTTTTTGCCTGGAACTTTATCATGTCACAACTCTGGATTAATGATATTCTTTTAAAGTAACTTTATTGGTTTGTGCATTTGATCAATGCATCCTTGGCACTATAAATGCACTGGAAAAGAATCCAGGGAGCATTCTTAAATTGATATATAGCACTCAGTCTGAACACTTTGCAAACCTAGCAAGTTAGACTACCAAATAAAAATTAATAAATGGAGGCATTCAATTATTTCCTGTTTCTCATATTAACCTTGCTAGTTGAAAATAGAATTGTGATAGGAATAAATTCTACCTGAATAATTCAAGTTTTACCGCAATAATTGAGAAGGATTGACAGAAAGAAAATACGTTTTATTAGTCAGGTATCCTCATTTTTCAAAGTTCTTTCAAGTATTTTTCTTTCTCTCACTTTCCCACTGGATATAATACATGCTTGCAATTCCCAATAGAAGTGTCTCATATTAATTTCTATTTGTGTTTCTAGTTGACTTTTCCAAAAGATAGCTACATACAACATCTTATTAGTTTGGCAAATCCTACTAATAATGTTCCAATTCATTTAGAAAATTATTTATTTTTCCTTCAATTTTATTTTTTAGTATAAAAGCATGCTTATTCCAAGAGTGCTAAGTTAAAAATATAAATTATATTTCATACAGTAAATTTGATGGAAGCAGACGCCTTAAAATATATATATATATATTCATGTATAAATTTAAAACTAAACAAATACACACAAACACACTTACTTGAAATGTGATATAGAACATATTATATGTATTTTCCTAGGATTTTTTTCTACAAAATCTCATACATGTGATTTACACTTTTTTCTGACTTTGCATGCATTTGTTATGAATATGTATGTGTCTTTAATAAAAACATGTATCAAATGGGTATCAAATATATGTCATTTGTGTTTCAAGACTTGAGTACTGCTGCATGATCACATCTTTAAGCCAAACAGTAGTTTATACATGAAGATATTTGATATAATATATAATTTATTATTTTATTTAAACTCTGATTTACCAATTTTATAATTACTAAATATTTATAAGCTTCACTGGACTTACATATATGTAACAGAATGGATATAGCCTATTATAGTCATTGAGGAGGGTGATTTGATATACTTGTGTGTAACTCTACTATTGCATAACATCCTAAAGACATTTTCACATTGCTTCGTAAGGGGGATATATGCAGCAGTTATTCTGTTGTTGTTGTTGTTTTGTTTTGTTTTGTCTTTGAGACAGAGTCTTGGTGTGTCACCCAGGCTGGAGTGCAGTGGCGCGATCTCGGCTCACTGCAACCTCCACCACCCCAGCTCAAGCAATTGTCCCGCTTCAGCCTCCCCAGTAGCTGAGATTACAGGTGCCCACCAGCAGGCCCGGCTTATATATATAATTAATATATATATTATATATTATATATAATGTATATAGAAACCTTGTCTCTACTAAAAATACTATATATAATATATAATTATATATAACATGTATTATACATAATATATATAAAATGTATTATATATAATATATATTATATAATTATATATTTTTAATTATATATTATATATGTATTACATATTATATATCTATTAAAATTATATATTATATATAATTTATATATTATATATAGTATTTTAGTATAATATATATTATATATAATTAATATATTATATATAGTATTTTTTGTATAATATATATTATATATAATTAATATATATATGTATTATATATAGTATTTTTAGTAGAGACAAGGTTTCACCATGTTGTCCAGGCTGGTCTTGAACTCCTGACCTCAAATGATCCACCCGCTTCAGCCTCCCAAAGTGCTGGGATTACAGGCATGGGCCACTGTGCCCGGCCTACAGCAGTTGTTTACGGTGATAGAAAATAGGTAGCAAACTGAGTATTTACCACGTAGTACCATGCAGTTGTTTTAATCAATAAACTGAATGTACACTCACTCAACATCATGGATATAAGTTAAAAGCAAAGTATTGAACGAAAAAGAAAACAAGTAAACCTGGAATTAGATATAGGTATAGATGTAGATATAGATATATATATAGATAGAGATATAAATAGATCACTATCATTGATTGTGAATGAAAATAGATATTAACAAAACAACAATGGGAGGCAGTGAGAAAAGAAGTGAAAGTGGGGGATGAGGACATTAATAATATAGAAAGCAGAAAAAAATACTGTCTATTGAAATTGAACTGAATACTATAATTAATTACTCCCTCTTTATCAAAGGTTGTGATAGTCCTAAATTAATTAATTATTTCAAAGAGATTCAACAGAGAAAAGCTAAAGTATTGCATTACAGTATCTTCACTGAATTATGTAACTACTTTTAGTCATTCCTTATCTGTGGAGACTTGCTCTTAATACAACATTTCTAAAGAAAGCATTTTTCAAAACATGTTTTGATTTAGATCATATAAAGGCACTTTTAAATTGCAATAGCCTAAATTTGGATGGAATTTTTCCTTGGATACCAGCTGGCATCTAGGACTGGCTTAAATTTCAGGTAACTCTTTTTGGTTGGTTTCTTGTCCTCTGTCAGTACCAATTCCAGCTTAACCAATTTAGCAATAGTGCTTCCTGGAGCTATAGTGGGGAGGGAAACTAGGATGCAAAATTTTATGTACAAGTTTCTTTCAGGGTCGTGAAAAGACACCTGCAGAGTATATTTTCTTAATACTGTCTCTGGGGAGACAAACACTTTGACTTATTGTAGTAGTCTTAATAACAATGGCAGCAATTAGGCTAGCTTCCTAAAAAAGTCATAGGAGGGAATAAATCATGTTCGTGTTAATCCAGTTGTAATGTCAGCCTGTGTCCACTGGAAAATAGAAACTTTTTTAACAGAATAATACAATAAGAAAAGAAAATTGGTTTTATAGATTTGCCATGGTTGGAGAAGAGAAAGGTGAACAGAGAGAGGTCAAATATAAAAGAGTTGTGGTTTTTAAAAGTTATCTGAAAATAATAGTTCAGTATTGTTATACCTAATATAAAGTTGATCAAAACCTTAAGCTCTAGAAACTTTGAGGAGTAAGATATCAGTTTATTTGTTCTTAACTACAATTTTATCTTGATGTTTGTTCCAAGGGAAAAAATAGTAAATTTGAACTTGTTTCTTTTTCAGACCTACCACTGTGTATCTAAATTATATTACTGTATTATAATTTTTACATCCGCCTATAAAGGAGCCATATCTAAACTCTGTTGGGGGTTATAAAGCTTTTTCCTCTGGTATTCTAATATTACTTGGGAGGACAAATAATACTGTCTGTATTCCAGAACTAGCAGGATATTTTCTTAGAATTTGAGTAAGAAGAGATACAATCATAATAGTAATCACAGCAGAGTCACTGAAACAATTTTATTCAAGTAGATAAGATAAATTATTCAATTTTAAACAATATTTTAGCATGTGCCAAGTATATCCATAAAATTTGGAAGCTACATCTAAGATGACTTAGTGTGCACTGCCTAACTGGGACTTATTTGTCACCTAGGAAGATTATATTTAGTTTCCACTCAGCAGGGAAAATAACAGAAATAACAGCAAACCCAAGCTGCTAATATCTAGGCACACTTTATCCAGGATTACAGTTTACCAGTCAGGAAATTGTTTAAATACCTAGGAGGGCAATATAATCTTCCTCAGTGCATGCCCCAGGAAAGAATTGTCTGAGACCTCTGGCCTCTCCCTGGTAATTGGAATCCTTTTGAAAATGTTCTTTATATTTATAAATATTTTAGTTACAGGGCACTAACTTATTTGGGGAGTAGCAATTTTTATGAGGTAGCAGGAAAGATCTTGTATTAGTTATTTTAGTTCTCATTTAATGCATAAAAAATGATTATTATGTGGTGCTGAAGTACTGAGATGAAGATGAAAGCATGAGAAGCAGTAATAGAAAGCATCCCACCCTAAATTCCACTGTTAATTTTATGAAATATGTTAAGACACAATGCAAAATCAATATGTCTATTAACAAAATTATTTTAAAAAATCTTTCTAAACCACTTCAAAAACAAGGTCTGTGTCTTGCCTACAATTCTGTCCTCTCCTGAACTCAAGATGGATTCTCTATATTCATAAAAGCCATAGCAGGGCAGCTATTCAAAGACATATTTTTAAATAAAATAAAAAAAGTATATTCAGAAATCTAGGGAGAGAAAAAATTTTTTTCTCTGCATATCCATATTAAACTAGAAACATTTTGTTTTTCCCTGAATCTAGCTTTTCTTATGTTGCATATTTTTTTGAATTATACCACTACTATATAGCCAGTTACTTTCAACAGAATCCTATGATTTTAAAAATCAGATATACCTCCTAATGACTCTCTCATTTCACATGCCATCTCCACTCTAAGCCTCCTAAAAACTGGTACAGTTCACATCTCATAACTGGTCTGCAGTTATGTCTCTTTCCAACATGTGTTCCATATTGCTTCTAAGCTGATCCTCCTAGGGCAAATATCAGATCAATCCACCTCTTGCATTACAAATTCATTAATTATATCACGTTCTTAACAAGGTGAAGTCCAAATCATTTACTGCGGAGTGTTTATGTTTCTAGTAAACTCCATGGTAACTGGCTTAAATCATGTAAAATTTATTAACTCACATACTTGGAAGGCAGTGTGGACTTCAGCGTTTGCCCATTCCAGTGACTCAGTAATGTCACAAATGTAAAACTTCTCATCTGTCCTCTCTGCCACTCATAGTTTCAAATTCAGTTTGATGCATTACTATTCATGAACTTAAAATGACTTCAAATAGTTGTTAGGCTACATAAGCTTTCATCCATGTTTGAGAAGAGTTTTTCAATTATGAAGAATGTCCTAAGCTTGCTTCAGATTTGGCAAATTGGGGCAGGTACTTAACTGAAGCAATGACTCTGGCCAGGGGAATGAAATTTGTTGATTGGCTCAGCCCTTGGAACCACAAGGGCATCTAATCTAGGGCAGATACAATGAATGGCGAGAAAATCACAATGTTCTCTACAAGCTGCTAACTTGGCTGAAGTTTCCTACTTCTCTTCGTTCATTCACACATTGAATATGAAACACACGGTGACAGCTTGTCTTTTCCAAACATGTCTGACACAGTATGTTTTATTCCACATGCTCTTTCAAAGTCCTCTCCTTGAACCTGGGAAATCCTTTGTGACTGACCTGATAGAATATAATGGAAGTGAGGGTAAATGACACGTGAGTTTAGGTTACAAAAATGTCACAAAAATCTGCCTTGTTCTCTGGGGATGCTGACTCCTGGAACCAAGCCACGATACCACAAAGAAAGTCAGACAACATAAAATGGCCTTGTACAGTTTCCTTTTTCTATGTTTTTTTTTTTTTTAACTGAATGCACCAGATTTGGCCTGAGTCAATTGTCAATCTAATGTATCAAACAGCATTCACTTGAGTGAAGAAAAATTCAATACGACTCTAGCCTCCACCTCCATCTGAATATGAACTCCTGAGAGACCACTAAAGAAAATTGTCTGTCTCAAACTAGCAACCTTCAGAATTGTGAAAGATATAAAATAATTGTTAATGTTTCAAACCACTAAAATTTGGGTGATTCATTGCAAGCAATAGACAACAAAAACACATTGATACCAATACAACTTTTAAGAGCCAGTCAATACTTCATCTATATAAAGCTTTTTCTTTATATTCTTGTTCTCTCATTCTCAGTTATTTTCTCTCTTTTATGCTCCTAAAGCTTTCTACAGAAAGTTTTACAAATCACATCCTGCATTAAAACTATTTTTATGTATGTCTCCTTCACCAGACTGCATTCCTTGAGGAAATTGGTTATACTATGTACATTTTTTTCAACTGTGGAGAGTGTAGTCTATGTAATGGTTCCCTATAAATGTTGATTGAATCAATTAATCAACCAATCAATCATTTAACTCTGAATTAATGTTAATATTTGTAATAATCTTTACTTCTTTAGATTATACCTGTCTTTGTGTATGGCATGATTATATGATTTCAATATTTCTGTTTCTAAGAGGGTACTATAATGGCAAAAACCATGATTACTTTTGCCAACTTTAAACTTTACTTTTACTTTTGCCAAAGTTAAGAACCAACTTCTTAACTTTTGTAAACATATTGCACATTTATCATATATGCCTGAAAGCTTATATTAAAGTTGAAAACTATTTTCTAGAGAATTGAAACTATTTCTGTTTGACACAGCACTTTTTTATTTATTTATTTATTTTTTTTTTTTTTGAGATGAAGTCTCACTCTGTCGCCCACGCCAGAGCGCAGTGGTGCAATCTTGGCTCACTGCAACCTCTGCCTCCTAGGTTCAAGCAATTCTCCTGCCTCAGCCTCTCGAGAAGCTGATATTACAGACCTGAGCCACCACACTCAGCTAATTTTTGTATTTTTAATAGAGATGTGGGTTCACCATGTTGGCCAGGCTGGTCTTAAACTCCTGAACTCAAATGATCTGCCCGCCTCAGCCACTCAAAGTGCTGGGATTACAGGTGTGAGCCACCACGCCCGTCTGACACAGTACTTTTTGAAATGAAACTGATAATATCATCATCATTTTGCCTTTCTTTTTATCTAGTGGCTTTGTTTAGAAACAAACACAAAACAAAACTTCTATTTTCATGTGGATTTGCAGTTTACTCTTCTCATGTGTCTGGAACTTCTAATGACATCAACATTTTGTATGAAATAGGGTAGAAATCTTCCCTCAAGTTTGTGTACATTCTTCAAGCTATTATCAGTAAGTTCCCCATTCTGATAGCTAATGCATTTCATTTATTGGTTTACCAGTTTAACCATTTATTTATTGCTCTGCAATAATTGCTTCTTTTTCATCATGACTCCTTACATGATGAACTTTTTCCATATGACTTAAAAATACTTTATTTTGCAGCAAATAAAAGCATTTATTGTTCGGAATGCAATTTTCAACATTTTCAATGACAATATAATCCTTTATATTTGTTTAGTAGTCTAAGTGAAAAAGTATTAAATATGTACTCTCCTCTCCTCTTATAGTATGTATCTTTGTATAACATTAAAATTACTGAGAAACGTAATTTGAGAAATCTTTGCAAAAACTTCCTTCCGCAAACTTTGGTTTTGCCATATACAAATGACAGTGTTTTCATGATAGTATGGTATATACAGAAAGACATAAATGACATCCTCTGCCTCCAAAATAAAAAATGACATTATACAGTAAAGTTGTTCTCTAAGCAAAAGATGTTTAAAATGGAGTGTTAAAGTAGTAAAGTGGAGGGAGAGACTACTTTATGCTGAGAGAATCAAGGGAAACTAGAAAAGTTATGACGTTTTAGCTGGGCTTTAAGATATTGTTTTGATTTGCATATATAAATATGGCTGAGGACATTTGAGTCAGAAATTATACAAGCAGGTCAGAATAAAGAAAAAAATATGTAACTGCTGGGCATGTTGTGATATTACCAATAGAGTATATGAAAAGATAGTAACAAAAGTCAGAGATGACTACAGGTTTAGAAATATGAATAACAGATTGTGGCACTAATAAAAATGTGAAATTCATGTTTGGGAACTGACTTGTAGAAAAGTAAGATTAGTTCAGTTTTAGTCTGTGGTGTTTGAAATACTAATTGGATACTGAGTCTTATACGGACCTGGAAGTTCAGAACAACAGCTAAAGAGACCGATTGTAGTTAACAGATATCAGATATTTGGATAAATTTAGAGGAAGATAGGTGGATAGATTGATAGATACTAAAAATGTAGAAAGAGATACAATTAAAGGCAATTTTAGGAAAAGTAAGAAGACATTTTAATTAGCTTATTTTGTCTCCAACTGTTTACTTAAAGCCTTTTGTTTTAACCAGAGGTCCTGAAAATGCAGGAAAAGTTGAATCTGAAGCCATGTTTTGTTTAGCTAGCGTAATTCTGAAAAAGCCAAATTTTGACTGTAAATGTCATGTGCATTTCCCATTTGCCTGTGAACTCCAAATTATCCCTCATCCTGGGTACATCACAAATTTGTGATTCTTTCTTGCTACCTGAAGTTACTGAACCTCAAGGCCACCATATGTAACCATTGTTGTGAATTCATTGCTTACTTCAAGTGCCTTGGAAGTTTATTTACTCATTACTCTTTTCCGAAAAGCATGGAACATGCAGCGTGCAATGCTAGAAGTTTAGAGTATGAAAATGGCAGTGATATAGCAAAAAATAAATAAGACAAATATATATAATACCACACCACAAAAAGAGCTAATGGCAGTGCTTTTCCAACTGTCTGAGCTGAAAGGTTATTTTTCCCCAGTCTTTTGTGGAGTGATACAATTATGAAAATAAAAATGTTATAAAAAATAAAATGAGATTAAACATTATACACACAAAATAGAAACAAATTTTTTATTATTAGATTCAACAAACATAAAATTACATTTCAGTAAATATAATCAGAACAAATGTAAAATAGAAAAAAGGAAACAGAACAAAATGAAATCTATATAACTCTCCAAACTGTTTTGATGTTTTGTTTTAATCAAAATCTTAACATAGAAATCAGTCTTACAATAATATACCAATAGGAATGGAAAATAAGAATTTAGTAGCAAAAAAAAGGCAGATAAGAGGCAGGACTAAATCGTAGCTCCCACTGGGACAGACAGAGCAGTATGTGGAGACTCACATTGTGAACTTCTGCTCCAAGAACTACTGCAGAAATAAACCAGGAAAGGCAAGAGAATCCACAGACCCTTTGAAGGAAGCAGATGGTTCCTGCAGGACCGAGGAGACAGCCAAATACTGTGAGTGCCAAACTGTGAAAGTGGGAAAAAGGAATCATCCTCCCCCAAATACAGACCTGCACTGGGGAACCTGAGGCGGATTACGGGAAAAGGATTTGACCATAAAATTACCTGGAGGTGAGACAATTTGGAGAGCCAAGTGAAATACGGGGTAGAGGAGGCAATTGTAAAAGCCCTGTGGGTCCTCCGGAAAGCCATTTCTGACTTGTCTCACTGGGGTCCCCTTGGGGACAGCTGCCAGAGGAACTGGGGAAAAAAACACAGGGAGAGGGAAACCTCCAGCTGAACTTGGTAACAATTCCAAACAGATTGGAAGTGTCCTGGCCAGAGCTCAGGGGAAATCATGAATCCAGAGTGCAGACTCCACAGGCGGAAAGATGTGAAAGCCCTGCTTGCATTCTCAGCTGAGAGGGTGGTAGCCTGGGGCAAGTTCTCAGCCCTGCTCACTCACTGCCTGGAAACAAACTCCGTGCTGTTGTGGGAGTGCACAGTGAGAATAAGACCAGCCTTTTGGGTTGTGAGGGAGCTGGGTGAGGCCTGAAACTGCAAGCTTTCCCTCACTTCCCTGACAACCTTCATGACACAGAAGAGGCAGCCATGATACTCCTCGGTACATAACTCTATTGACGTAGGAAACACACCGCCATCCCCCACAGAAGTAGCAGCAAGCCCCACCCAAGGAGAGTCCTAGCTCAGATACATCTAACCCTATTCTCATCTGATGGTTCTTCCCCTCCCACCCGGGTAGCCGAAGACAAAGGTCATATTCTCTTGGGAGTTCTAGGGCCTTGCCCATCTACTGATCCTCCCCTATACTTACCACACCTGATGCTGTCCTGAAAGCATCACCTCCTGGCAGGAGGCCAACCAGCACAAAACTAGTGTATAAAACAACTACAACTAAGGACCCGCTCAGAGTCCATTTCACTCCCCTGCCACCTCCACCAAAGTATCCACAGCTGAGAGACCTGAAGGTGATTCACATCCCAAGATTGTGTGCAGATACCCCTCAGTACCAGCCCAGAGCCTGGTAGCCCTGCTGGGTGGCTAGATCCAGAAGAGAAATAACAGTCACTACAATTCAGCTCTCAGGAAGCCACATTGCCAGGAAAAGGGGGAGAGTAATGTATCAGGGGAGCACTCTGTGGAACAAACGAATCTGAACAGCAGCCTTTAACCTCAGATCTTTCCTCTGACATAGCCTACCACAATGAGAAAGAATCAGAAAAACAATTCTGGTCATGTGACAAAACAAAGTTCTTTAACACTCCCCAAAAAATCACACTAGCTCACCAACAATGGGTCCAAACCAAGAAGAAATCCCTAAATTGCCAGAAAAAGAATTCAGAAATTTGATTGTTAAGCTAAGCAAGGAGGCATTAGAGAAAGTTGAAGTCCAACTTAAGGAAATAAAAACAAAAATACAAGGTATGAGGGGAGAAATCTTCAGTGAAATAGATGCCATAAATTAAAAAACACAACTTCAGGAAATAAAAGACATACTTAGAGAAATGCAAAATGTACTGGAAAGCCCCAGCAATAGAATCAAACAAGCTGAAGAAAGAACTTTAGAGCTCGAAGACTAGGTTTTCGAAATAACCCAATCCAACAAAGACAGATAAAAAATAAAAATAAAAAAAAAGAACACAGTCTCCAAGAAGGTTGGGATTATGTTAAATGACCAAACCTAAGAATAATTGGTGTTCCTAAGGAAGAAGAGGAATCTAAAAGTTTGGAAAACATATGTGGGGGAACAATTGAGGAAAACTTCCCCGGCCTTGCTAGAGGTCTAGACATCCAAATACAAGGAGCTCAAAGAACACCTGGGAAATTCATTGCAAAAAGATCACCACTTAGGCACATAGTCATCAGGTTATCTAAAGTCAAGATGAAGAAAATAATATTAAGAGCTGTGAGGAAAAACACCAGGTAACCAATAAAGGAAAACTGATCAGGTTAACAGCAGACTTCTTAGCAGAAACCCTACAAACTAGAAGGCATGAGGATCCTATCTTCAGCTTCCTAAAACAAAATAATTATCAGCCAAGGATTTTCTATCTAGAAAAACTAAGCTTCATAAATGAAGGAAAGGCACAGTCTTTTTCAGACAAACACTTTCACCACTTTTATTCAGCATAGTACTGGAAGTCCTATCCTGAGCCGTCAGACAAGAGAAAGAAATAAAGAGCATACAAATTGGAGAAGACGAAGTCAAACTGTTGCTGTTCTCTGATGATAGGATTGTACCCTAGAAAACCCTGAACTCATCCAATAAGTTCCTAGATCTCGTAAACAAATTCATTAGAGTTTCAGGATACAAAATCAATGTCCACAAATCAGTAGCACTGTGGTGATTCTCATTTCTAAATTTCCAACATGCAGGTATGTTCTTACATTGACAATTCAAGATATTACATTAAAGTTTTAGGATTCATAATTCCATTTACTTCTTGATTATTATGACCAAATTACAGATCATCTCTCTCTCTCTCTTTTTTTCTTTCCTGACAGGGTTTCACTCTGTTGCTCAGGCAGGAGTAGAGCTCTGTGATAACAGCTTGCTGCAGCCTTTGCCAAAAGGGCTTAGTTGATCCTTCCACATTAGCCTCCTAAGTAGCTCAGCCACTGGAGTAGCTGGAGCTACAGGTGGGCCACCACGCCTTGCCTTTTTTTTTTTTGTAACTTTTGTAGTGACATAGTCTCACTGTGTTGCCCAGGCTGGTCTCCTGGGTGCAAGTGATCCTCCTGCCTCAGCCTCCCTAAGTGCTGAGATTACAGGTATGAGCCAACACACCTAGCCACTACTTCCCCTCTTTTTTTTTTTTTTTGACAAGGTCTTGCTCTGTCGCTCAGGCTGGAGTGCAGTGGCTCAAATATGGCTTATTGCAGCCTCCACCTCCTGGGCTTAAGTGATTCTCTTGCTTGCCTCAGCCTCATGAGTAGCTGGGACTACAGGTGCACACCACAAGTATGTTCCAGCTATTTTTTTGATTTTTTTTTTTTTTTGTAAAGACCAGGCCCCACTTTGTTACCCAGGCTTGTCTTGAACTTGTGGGCTCAAGTGATCCTCCCACCTTGACTTCCGAAAGTGTGGGATTACAGACAAAAGGCACAGTGTCCAGTCAGATCATCTCTTAATAATGTAATAAAAATACAAAGAAACTCTATTCTTACAAATGTCTAATTTTTGCCTTTTGATCTTATCTGCCACAGGAAATAATTTTGTATTTCTCCCATGAGGAGGTTATAAATGAATTATTGAATATTTTCAGACAAATAAGCTAATCTAGGGGTTCAATTCAGACCTCTAAATTGGTACCAAATTTATTTCTTATTATGCAAAATGTTAATTCCAGAAATTTCCACCTTGATAACCATTGCACCTAAGCATGTGATAATAGCTATTAATGATCATATTCTCATTAATCATGTGATAAAGACAATAATCCAAAGTTTAATATAGTATTTATTCTGCAGTTTATGAAGTATTGTGTTGAATTCAGCTGCTATTTTGTTTTGTTTTTATTCTTACTTGCTTGATGAAGAAAGAATAGTGTTGATTTATATTTTTGGCAAGTTTCTTAATCAGCTTCATTTATGACTGGTGACTGGATGTAAGGATTTTATTTATAAGGAAATGATTTAAACTTTGATGATTTAAGAATATATGAAATTATTAAAATGAAAAGGGGTGATTCATAGAATTATAGAGAAAAAAGAGACATAGGTACAAACTAAAATATGAATAAAGTGAGCCCATGAATCCACACTCTCCTTAAAAAATAAACCAAATCCATACCATACTAGTAATTCTCTTAATAAGATAAAAAAATTTCATAGTGCTGTTGTAAATATTAAATGGGATAAATAATGCAAATTAACTCAACATGTGCATGAAACACAACCAGTTCTTGGTAAGTGTAGATTTGAATCTATTGCTTAACACTTATTCAATAATACAGGATTTCTTCAATCTGAAAATAATACAAGCTCCTCAAGAATTATTTAATTTCATCTCCACTGAAGATTCCTGGATGGAGAATGCTTCCAAGTCTATGTTTTTGGCCCATTCCAGATATTAAGCATTTTGAATTAATACACTGTAAACCTATCTAGTTATAGGTTACTTCCTTGTTCCTGATGTAGCAAATCACAATCACACAGAGTTGGAGATCTTTACATAAAAAGGATATAGAAAAATAGATTTCAACTAATGAGTGAAAAACATGGATTTTAAGTAACAAAGGTGAATTCAGAAATGACATATTTTAGAAACAAAGTGGGCCAAACATCTATAATAAAAGCTGATTTTAGAAAGTCACACCTGCTTAAAATCAAACTGTAACTTTCTGTTAAAAATAATCAAAAAGTACATGAAGTAATTTTTTCCAAAAATAAATATTCTTTGACAATATTAAAAGCATTACAAAGAAATTTCAGATGATAAAATATGCCTATGATTTTTCTTTTTTTACACAAGCCCATCTCAGGTAAACAATAAAATTAATCTGTCCTCTTTACCATAAAAATGATATTTTGCTATGCATAGCTATAATTTCATCTATGAAATTGCTTTGTTATTTTAACATGGTTAACTATTACTCTACAAAGACTGTTTATTCAGTTTCAGATATCTGTGACTCATTTTTTTCTTCTACATCTAGTTTTCTGCTATCTGATCTTTTAAAATGCTTATTAGCAAACTTTCTTCTGTATGGAAAGCAGGCAAAACAAATCATGACCATGCATTCTTTTGCAAGTAAAAGTATGAGCACTTGGCTAAAGTGATGGTTGTTTATACTTTTCAATAATTTGTGTTAGTGTTAGTATTCTAAATGCTGGCTAGAAAGTATTTTAAATATTTATGAGTCATCTACAGGAGTGAAGTTTTTTTTTTTAGCTGTATCAAGAAAATTATGTTTAACAATAAATTCTCTACAGACATTTGTGTAACGCTATATGCCATAAGTATTGCTGTCATATTAATGATATGCTATAGAAATTACAAATATTTCAAGAATTATTAAATTTAACATTAAATGAAAGCCATAAGAAATCATATAAGGAATACAACTAAGGCTATAAAGGAATGATATAAATCTGATAAATTGCATAAATACAATTTTATCAAAGCGTGCTCTGTTTTTAGTTTTCTTTAACTTAGTGAATTCCATTTTATCCTACTTTATTTGGCATTTCAACTATTTTACTTTTTATACTTTAAGAAATTTATCTTGATTCCTTATATTATTGATGGTAGCCTAAATAATTCCACTGTTTCTTGCTTAGAGAATTCTGGAAAAAGCGAAAGGAATCCATGTGTGATTTCTAGGGTTGGGCCAGCCTTCTGGGGGTGAGTCTAACAATCAGGGCCAGCTGAACCTCCCCGGTATAGGAGTTAGTCCCTTTGGGATGAAGACAAAATACAGGAAAGGTAATAATGGATTAGCCATTGCACCCAATGGTCATCACAACCTCCAAGGGACACATTACCTTGCTCAAAAAGAATTGATGATCTGTTGGCTGCATTAACTTTTCAGAACTAGATTCTCTTTATGACTGAAAGATTACTAAGGAATCTTAAGTGTGTTTTAATAGAAGAGACTGAAAGCCATTTGAGTAAATGAAGAAGGCCACCGATTGGGGACCAGCAGTAGATTAAGTGAAAAATGACCCTGGAGTAGAACAGCTTTTGGCTATAGGGAGTGTTTAACACACGATTGACCTACTACAAGATCAATTGCTATTTTGGCCACTTGGCTGTGTAGAAGCAAAATAAATGTCTTTGAGACTCTAAATGCAAACTACAAATCTCCTGTGGGAGACTCATACTGGGACATGGTCACTGAACTGAAATGAAATCTATGCCAAATAAGTTGCACAGATTTTCTTCTACTGGCAGTGGACCTCAAAATCATAAAACTTTTTGAACTCACAAAATGTGTCTGTTAATTGTTTTAGGAGATAGTGCAGGAGACAAACAGTGTTAATTTTACATGTCAGCTTGATGGGGCCACAGGGTGCCCAGGTATTTTGTTAAACATTATTCCAGTTATGTCTGTGAGGGTGTCTGCAAAATGAGATTAACAGTTGAATAGGTAAACTGAGTAAAAAATATTGCTCTTTCCAATTTGGGTGGGCCTCATCCAAACCATGAAGACCTGGAGAGAACTAAAAAACATTTTGTAAGGAAGAATAAGATAAGCAAGGAAGGAAAGATAAGTAAGGAAGGATTCACTCCCTTTGCCTGACTCTTTTAACTGGATTACTGGTCTTCTGCCTTTGAACTCAGACTCAAACTGGAACTGTCCCATCAGCTTTTCTGGATCTTCAGCTTGCTGGCTGCAATTCTTGAGATATCTCAGCCTCCATAATGCTGTGAGCCAGTTCTATCTATCTATCTATCTATCTATCTATCTATCTATCTATCTATCATTTATTCTTCTTCTTCTATTCTGTTTCCCTGGAAAACCCAGATTAATACAAAAAGTATGTATACCAATGCTTCTTAGTGATTTGAATAAAAAACTGCATTGGCCATTCTGTACATGAAGTGTCTACCCAGCAGACACTTAAGAGATGCCTATTTCTTTAGCTCAAGGAGTAGAATGAATTTACAGTAATAGCTTTTTTATTATTCAAATTGGTATCCTTTATTGGAAACTGCTATGGGCAAAAATATGTCCTCCAAAATTTACATGATAAAGTCTTAATCCCAGTACCCTAGAACGTGACTATATTTGGAGACAGAAATTTTAAAAAGATAATTACATTAACATGAGATTAAGTGTGGACCCTAATTCAATATGATTGGTGTCCTTATGAAAAGAGGAAATTTGTACACTGACAGTGAAAGAAGGAAGACCATGTGAAGATGAGAGGTGACAATGTGCTAGCAGCCCTCCCATGCTCTCAGCGCCTCCTCGGCCACGGCGTCCACTCTGGCTGCTCTTGAGGAGCCCTTCATCCTGCCGCTGCACTGTGGGGGCCCCTCTCTGGGCTGGCCAAGGCTGGAGCCAGCTACCTCTGCTCTTGCAGATGTGTGGAGGGAGAGGCGTGGGCGGGAGCCAGGGCTGTGCATGGCTCTCCTGGGCCGGCACGGGTTCTGGGAGGGCACGGGCTTGTCGGGCCCACACTCGGTTTGGCCGGCGGGCACATGCTGGGCTTGATTGGGGGACAAGCTCCCTCTGGGCTGCTGGAGTGCCCTGGCTAGGTGCCGCAAACTGCCATGGCAAGTGCCATTGAGAGGTGAAGCCAGCTGGGCTTCTGGGTTGGGTGGGTACTTGGAGAACATTTCTGTCTAGCTAAAGGATTATAAACACACCTATCAGCACTCTGTGTCTAGCTAAAGGATTGTAAATGCACCAATCAGCACTCTCTGTCTAGCTAAAGGTTTGTAAACGCACCAATCAGCACTCTGTGTCTAGCTAATCTGGTGGGCACTTGGAGAACTTTTGTGTCTAGCTAAAGTATTATAAACACACCAATCAGCACTCTGTGTCTAGTTAAAGGATTGTAAACACACCAATCAGCACTCTGTCAAAACAGACCAATCAGCTCTCTGTAAAACGGACCAATCAGCTCTCTGCAAAATGGACCAATCAGCGGATGTGGGTGGGGCCAGATAAAGGAATAAAAGCAGGCCACCTGAGCCAGCTGTGACAACCTGCTTGGATCCCTTCCATGCTGTGGAAGCTTTGTTCTTTTGCTCTTTGCAATAAATCTTACTGCTGCTCACTCTTTGGGTCCATGCTGCCTTAATGAGCCATAACACTCACTGCATAGGTCTGCAGCTTCACTCCTGAAGTTAGTGAGACCATGAACCCACTGGAAGGAAGAAACTCTGGACACATCTGAACATCTGATGGAACAAACTCATGACACACCATCTTTAAGAACTGTAACACTCACCATGAGGGCCCACAGCTTCATTCTTGAAGTCAGTGAGATCAAGAACCCACCAATTCTGGACACAAAAACATGGAAAAGACAGCCATCTACATGCCAAGGAGCAATAATTTTTTCCTTTTTCAGAATAAAATACCCCTGTGAGGGTTTATCTTGGACTTTGATGCTCTAGAATTGTGACAAAATAAATATCTGTTGCTTAAGCCACCTATGTGATGGCAGGCATAGTAAACTAATACAGCAATTCAGTTAATCAAATGAAAAGTTGGCCTTCATATATTGTTTTCACCTCTGTCCTTCATGGTATAAAGTTTTATGCTTATTGTTGTCAAAAATTAATTAAAATATTTTTAATAAAAGAAAAATGTAAAACATGCAATAATGATTTTATGTTTCATGTAAAATAAATTGTTAAAGCTATTAAATTTATCTGCACTTTATTCCACTTTTAACATGTTGCTCTTGGCATCTAAAATGTTTTGTATATTTTTTGTGGATTGATATTAAAATTGTACATGAAACATATAAATAAAATTGTACATTGATTACAATGGGTTTGAATAAATTAAATACAAAATTTAGTTTCTTGACATGAGAGGGATTTTCTCTATTATTTAGTTTTCTATTTTAAAAGTGCCATGAGACACATCTTTAAAATATTCATCAGAGAAATCTAATAATTTTAAATGGGATTTAAAATAATATTTCACAAAAGAGGCATTAAGATTTAAGAAAAATTTGGTATTGGGAAAAAATATAAAAATGTCACTCCCTAAGTGATATTTATAAGACTAGTTGGTGCTGAAGTAAAATGAAATGTTCAATTATGGAGCTTGTTTTATGGTCCTTATCGTCACTGGATAAAGACATTTTATAGATCTATTGGGCTTAATGCAGAACATGAAAAAAAAGAAGGACTATTTTGCAAAAGAGCTTATACGTGCTTTAAAATAAAACAAACCCTTTAATAACCTGGATATATCAAATTATCCGATGAACTCCATCATAATCAAACTGTGATTTTTACTTTATATAATTTTTAACTTGAGTTCTTCAATATTAAAAATGTGTTTCATTTGATTTGACATATTTAACATAGTTGTTAATATAATTTTAATTTACCAGTTGTTCAATGCTTAGTGACTAGTCAAATTTATTGTTTGAAGCTCCTCTGTACTTTTATGTGGAAAATCTGACCTTTCTAGTATGGACTACTTCCCTTTTTTCAACTAGTCTGATAGGATTTTCACTTGCTAAAATGAAAATTGTTTATCCATCTACAACAGAAGTCAATGGAAATGTGTTCATGGCTGTATATACAGCTCGCAGCTAATCTGAGAGGAATACAATGCAATGCACGATATGGTTTCTCCAGACGTGTTGCAGCATACAAATGGAGTCAAAAATCAATATTTCTCAAAGAGATGATTATCTTAGTTGTATGCTTACCCCATACTGCTGAATACAGTGAAGAGGTTAAATTAATGATAATATCACAAATGATGCATTATACCATATATTAAAACCATATGAAAATAGACCTGTTATAGGTTACTAAGGAAAATTAATAAAGATTTTAAAAATGCACAGAAATGCAATTGAGCTGTGCTTCAAATTTTATTGATTTAAAAATCAAAAATTCAACTCTAATTTTCAATAGAAATAACCTGTAAATACAGTAGATTCCAGATTTAGTCACAAAATACATATTCTTAAAAATACCATATAAAATATGTGTGTATATATATATACAAACATACTGTTTATGTATATAAAACATATAAAATACAATACATATTTACAAATCAGATATATACACACACACGTAAATGTATATATACGTGTGTGTGTATATATATACTGATTTACAAATTCAAGACCAAAAAAGTGTTCATAATGGAATATACATTGTGGCAAGTACACTACTAGTCAGACTATGCCAGATATCAGGGAACAGAATGGATCACAGATGAATGATATTCAATTCGAATTGCCTGGTTTCTTGGATCCATTTAAAGCGAGCAAGAAGTAAAGGGAAAAATATTGGGTAGGCAAAAATGTTTAGAATGCACTCAGGACGGAAGGACCACACTTACTGAATTACTTCCTGTTTAGTCCCCATGTGTCCTGTTCCTCTTTCTGCTGCATCAGCCATCCCCACTAATAGTATGATTTTGAGGACCCAAGTAGACAGCGAGTGAGAGGCCTTAGAGTCTGAATGAGTCAGAAATTAAATCACCCTTGTTCAACAGAAGGGATGCAGATGCAAGTACATCTGGCTACGATGGTAATTTGCAGATAGCCTGATGAGCAGCTATGGTTTTATTGCTGTGTTTGGCACAGAGGACACATGGGGCCAGAGTGTATGTCACCAGTGGGTGGTTAATTTCGGGATTTTATACCTGTCAATATGGAAGTGACATAAAATGTCCTTTATGAATAATTACAATGTATGTGATGCTTCCATCTCTTCCTATATATAATTAATATTAATTAATTACTTTATACTTTGGTTCAACTCACATATGTTCCATTTATTCCATATCTAATTTAACTTATAAATTAATTTCTATATTCTTACTTATAAACACACCTTATAAGATTTACCTGTGTCTCAAAAGCTATTCACTTATTTGCTATCTATATTTACTTTTATATTTTCTCTTTATTGTTCCCCTTGTTAATTTTTCTTATTCCCTGTGTTAAAATAGAATATTTTTAAATACTTAGCAAACATGCATTACAAAACTATACGGCACTGGCAGGACAATATATAGTAGCACTTCAAAGATTTTTTTTGTATTCTTACTGTTTCTCCACCCATTGCTTTAATCATGGAAGTTGTCAAAAACAGCTTTGCAACAGTCTTAAAGAATCTCCAACTCTAAGCTGACCTTTCAAAAATATAAAATATTCAAAGTTAACTGTTTATTATTTCAACTCTTCCAGTTCAACCTAAGGTAAGCCTTTATACATTGAAATGTCTTTATAGAGCATTTGGAGGTGCTTTTAAGAATAATTCAGTGGCAGGAAACAGAAACTTTTTGATGTATTTTCTGCCAGCTACTATTTGTACATATTTAGTTCTCTGACTTTCAAAAGTTGAAAAAATAATTGATATTTTAGTATTGGAAGAAGCAGCAACAGATATTTACAAACAAGACATGCAAACTAATGCAGGCATTTTAAAATAAATGCATTGTTGCTCCCTAAGATTGTTCATTAGCATAGATCAAGCACATTTGTATAAGAATTTTAGCTATCAATATAATCTAAAAAGTGTAAAGATGTGCTTTTACCTCTTTTATTGCAAGTTGGATTTTGATCACAATGAGTTCTGATATCAGATGCTATAGTCAATGACATCTAACAGTTTCTTTTCAGTGAATTACTACAGGAAGCTAAACTTACCTGTGTATGTCACAAACATTAAAGCAGACTGAATAATAGTAATAGCTCTAACTTTTGTGTAAGTGCTATTCGTCATAAAATCTACTAGTTGTGCTATTTTATTTTATTCATTCATTTGTTTTGCAAATAGTTAACTATGACTCAGAAAGTTAAATACTTGGTCATAATGCCAGTAAGTAACTAATGTAGGAAAGAAGTGCATATTTTCCTGATTTCAAAGTCTCTGTGGTTCTGCTCATAAATGCTACCTTTTTCAGAATGTGTGTGATCTTACGTGATAATAGAGTTTGGGTTCTTTTACCCTGGTCTACCATTTATGTCACTATTTCTGTAGCCAATCCATCTATGTGGAGTGCTCTATCTATCGTTCCTCTCATCTTACTATGAATTTTGTTTTATATATTTATTATGGAAATTTTCAAGGATACTCGAAAACAGAAAAACATAATATAGTGGATCGCCATATGCTAACCATCCACTTCAATTTTATCAACTCACAGGTATACTTGCTTCTATTATAATCTCATCTGATTCTCCCCTTTTCTACCATTTCATCCATAATTTTTAGATACTGGATATGTTAAAAACAATAAATATATTACAATAAATAGGACCACACACATTTTACACATTTAGGAAAGTAACAATAATTATTGTTCATTAAATAATATTAAAATTTGTCCAATTACCTTGTAATTTTCAGTTGATTATTATCATCTTGTCTCATCTTCCTCTTCCTTCACCTCTTTCTTCTTCTAACTCAGGATCTAAACAGTGTCCAGTGTTTTGACAAAATGCCTCTCTTACCAGTTATTATTGCCTCAAAACAATTCACCCTCAAAATCAGTGTGTTCATTTTTGAGTGATTTCATCTAGGCTTGCACATTCTTCTTCAGTTTTACAGGTTAGCTCATCAAAGCTGGGCTCAGTAAGTTTGGCTCTGCTCTTGTCCATGAGCATCTCACTTTCCTCCGGTAACCAGTAGGCTAGCCTAGAGGTTCTTACATCAGTAACAGACTCACAAGAGAGTAAGTTCAATTGCACCAATATATTTTTGTAAGCTTCTGATTTAATCAGATCTGCTAGCTTTTCATTCTCCAAGTGAAGTCACCTAATCAAACTCAGAAACAAAAAGAAAAGAATTCAGCTCCACTCAATGAAGAGAACACTGTAAAGGCAAATGAAAAATGGCAAGCTAAAGGAGGAGTAAAAAATTGGAAACATCAGCACAATTTTCCACAGTTGTTGTTTATTATGTTTCTTTAATCTATAGCTGTTGTGAAACATTTTGGTCTCAGGACTACCTAACAGTTGTAAATGTATTGAAAACCATATAAATCTTTTGTTTACTTGGCTTATATCTATCAGTAGTTACCATATTAGAAATTAAAATGGAAAATACTTAAATGCTTATATATTTCTATAAATTTGATAAATTTTATATTTAGATATAAATAACGATACCAAAATTAAAAGTAGTGAAAACGAGTTTCACGATTTTGCACATGCATTAGTATCCGAATTAGTAGAAGGCAGTTGGTTTCAAACATCTATTTCTGCATCATATTTGCTGATATATACTTTGGGCTAAAATATACTTAAAAATCAGATTTAATACCAAAAAATCAGATTTAATGACCAAATATATATTTGAGAGAGGCCTATTTTATGTACCTTTTCAGGTAATTGCAGATTATTTTTTGACATTATACAAAATTCAACAAGTGGTACTTTAAGGTGATTGTGACTGGAATTCTCACCTATATTAACTTTATGTAGTAAGTTGCATGCAAATCCATTGTCTATCTTGCACCTTAAATGGATGTAGACACATCATGCATTGCAATTTGGAAAATATTTGTTTACTGAATTGTGCAGATTTTCTAAATTTCCACGTCTTTACATAAGATTTAAAAATTACACTTACTATATCACTGATTATATCACTGTAAACTCCTTTTTAAAGTATTACATATTATGAAGCCGTTAAGGTGAGAGTGGGGGATTTTCTAAAGAATTTTCCAAGATTCTTCTCTTCTTCATGCTGATGGTATTTTGCTTATAAGCTCTAATGTTGTTACCGGGGGTCCTTGCTCACAGAACTTCCAAGATGGTGGTGAGCCGCTTCCAAGATGGTGGCAGGCCGCTTCCAAGATGGTGGCAGGCCGCTTCCAAGATGGTGGCAAGTCTCGTGTTCTCTGACCTGGGGTTCTTGGCCTCATGGAGTCCAAGGAATGGAATCTTGGGTCATGCGGTGAGTGTTATAGCTCTATTAGAAGCCATGGGTCATGGAAGAGAACCGTGGAACCCAGTGACTAGTGTTCAGCTCGATTAGGATGAACCCAGGCACTTAGCTGTGCAGGAACAATGGCAAGCCTTTAGCCCAATTGGGAGTGGCAATGGGCGCCTCGCTGGATCAGAAGCACAGCAGATACCCTGCCAGATCTGGAAGAATGAAGTCAGCTTGAGCTGTAACGAACACGGACCAGAGTGCAGTTGCAAGATTTAATAGAGTGAAAACAGACCTCCCATGCAAGGGGAGGGGACCCAAAGGGGGTTGCCATTGCTGGCTCGAATGCCTGGGTTCATATCCTGATCCTTGTTCCTCCCGCTGTGCTCTCAGGCAATAGATGATTGGCTATTTCTTTACCTCCTGTTTTTGCCTAATTAGCATTTTAGTGAACTCTCTGATTGGGTGTGAGCTAAGTTGCAAGTCCCGTGTTTAAAGGTGGATGTGGTCACCTTCCCAGCTAGGTTTAGGGATTCTTAGTCAGCCTAGAAAATCCAGCTAGTCCTGTCTCTCAATGCTATCATTAGTAACAAATACTGCTAGCTGTTTTCCATGAAGTGATAGGCTCATTTGATTCATTTTTGAGAAATATCTGCCAAACGCCCAAGTCTGAACAACCAGAGTTTGACTTTTAGTTGTTCCTTTAAATATAAAATATATTATATGAAAAAACAGCTATTTCAGCTTACAAATCATACTAACACAAACGTGTTTGCCTTGGGACACTGTAATTCAGTATTCAATAGAAGTGCTTTATTTTTACTTCCAATGTTTTTCAAAAGAATTTTAAAACTCAAGTATCGGTGCCAATAAAACTAATAATTATTGCTTCAATGAAGACCATCATATGTGAAACTATTATTTAAATGTGTGTGTGTATGGCAATAAAAGATACAATGATACTAGTACAACTTGCTGACACTTCCTCAATTTGTGGTAAGATGCCACCATTATTTTGTCCACATTAATGTCAATGTCCATACAGCAAAAAAGGAAAATAATATCCAAATAACATTATGTAAATAATTTCAATCTCTAATATCTCCAGCAAGGGTCGGGAGTTTTGCTGACACATTTCTGTGTTTGTTTGACATGGTGATATGCTTATCTGTGTTCTTTATTTTCTTTAAATTTATTGTTGCATCTAAGGCATTTATCAATGCAGTTTCTTTTAGGTAAAAATACCTTATAGGAGATGCAGTGAATTTTCTTCAGTAGATATACAATATCTGGTTGTCTTTTGTGTGTGAGTGTGTGTGTGTGTGTGTGTGTGTGTGTGATGTTAGCAACTACCGATAATCATTGGTTAGATCTATTATTTTATAAAGAATATCAAAACATGATTTTTTAAATTCTATTATGTCTTCTCCATATATCAAATAGAATAATTCTATGTAGGGAGAATTTCCCCTTATCAACTATTTGATCACCAGGAAAAGACATTCTACAGGAAAGGCAGGATAAATACTCAAATATATGAAAATAAAGGAAATCTCAATGCTATGCAACCAAAAACTTAACTGATTATTCTGGTAAGCAGGCTTGTATTTTGAAAACAAGTTAATAAGGGAAAAATATACATTTGTCTTGCTTTTTTCCGGGGTAGACTCTGCTAATGTAGATTTCTCTTAAATTTTACATTTAATCTTCACAGTTTAAAGTAGAAAATGCCTTTGGGGTGGGGAACCCATTAATGGATTATAAATTCTAAATAGACATTTTACAACAGCAATAAGCAAAACAGATGTGCCTGGCCATGTCAATTGGCTTCACTAGTAGATTCCTAGAGTGGTGTCATTTTAGTGAATAATTTGTTTCTTGGCAGGGTTGAGGCCTTCAGACTTTCATTCTCAAAAACCTAAATTAGCAAGGCAGAAATAATAAATTTGCTTCACTAGAGAGTTACAAGAGCAAAAATCTAAATATATATGAATGAGAAGCCAATTAAAGCAACGAGGTGTTATGTTGAGAGAATAGAATCAGATGAAGGGAAAACAAAGATACTTCCTTTATATGTATGTACTGCCGGGGCTTGGCTGGAAAGCCCTGAGAACAAAGATTCCTCTCCCCTAAAATGACCAGAAAGAATCCTGTTAATAGTCACCTAATACTCCTGTTTTTGTGTATATATGCTTTTACTACTAACCAATTCCAATTATGCAAGATATATTTAATATATTCATCATGTCACATAACTTATTTAGAATCTGGGAAACATTTTTCCTTAAAGTACTGTTCTATTCAGTTACAATCCATTATTGGTAGAATTGTATTTTAACAATTGAAGACAATGCTGTTTTCACATTCTTAGAATTTTTAGCACATTGATTTTGTATCCTGAGACTTTGCTGAGTTTGCATATCAGCTTAAGGAGTTTTTGGGCTGTGACAATGGGGTTTTCTAAATATACAATCATGTGGTCTGCAAAGAGAGACAATTTGACTTCCTCTCTTCCTATTGGAATGCACTTTATTTCTTTCTCTTGCCTGATTGCTCTGGCCAGAACTTCCAATACTAAGTTGAATAGGAGTGATGAGAGAGGGCATACTTGTCTTACGCCAGTTTTAAAAGGATATGCTTCCAGCTTTTGCCCATTCAGTATGATATTGGCTATGGATTTGTCATAAATAGCCCTTATTATTTTGAGATATGTTCCACCAATACCAAATTTATTGAGAGTTTATAGCATGAAGGGAGGTTGAATTTTATTGAAGGCCTCACCTCAGCCCCAAAACTCCTTAGGCTGATAAGCAACTTCAGCAAAGTCTCAGAATACAAAATCAAAGTGCAAAAATCACAAGCATTCCTCTACACCAATAAGAACAAACAGAGAGCCAAATCTTGAGTGAACTCCCATTTACAATTGCTGTGAAGGGAATAAAATACCTTGGAATACAGCTTACAAGAAACATGAAGGACCTAGTCAAGGAGAACTACAAACCACTGCTCAAGGAAATAAGAGAGGACACAAACAAATGGGAAAACATTCCATGCTCATGGATAGGAAGAATCAATATCGTGAAAATGGCCTTACTGCCCAAGTAATTTATAGATTAAATGCTAATCCCATCAAGCTACCATTGACTATCTTCAAAGAACTAGAAAAAACTATTTTAAATTTCATATGGAACCAAAAAAGAGCCCTCATAGCCAAGACAATCCTTAGCAAAAAGAACAAAGCTCGAGGCATCACGCTCCCTGACTTCAAACTATACTACAAGGCTACAGTAATCAAAACAGCAAGGTACTGGTACCAAAATAGATATATAGACCAATGAAACAGAACAGAGTCCTCAGAAATAACACCACATATCTACAACCTTCTGATCTTCAACAAACCTGACAAAAACAAGCAATGGCGAAAGGGTTCCTTATTTAATTAATGGTGCTGGGACTGACTAGCCATATACAGAAAACAGAAACTGGACCCCTTCCTTACACTGTATACAAAAATTAACTCAAGATGGATTAAAGACTTAAATGTAAAACCTAAAACCATAAAAACCCTAGAAAAAAACCCAGGCAATGCCATTCAGGGCATAGGCATGGGCAAAGACTTCATGACTAAAATACCAAAAGCAATGGCAACAAAAGCCAAAATTGACAAATGGGATCTAATTAAACTAAAGAGCTTCTGCACAGCAAAAGAAACTATCATTAGAGCGAACAGGAAACCTACAGAATGGGAGAAAATGTTTGCAATCTATCCATCTAACAAAGGCCTAATATCCAGAATATACAAGGAACTTAAACAAATTTACAAGAAAAAAACAACCCCATCAAAAAGTGGGTGAAGGATATGAACAGATAATTCTCAAAAGAAGACATTTATGCAATCAATAAACATGAAAAAAAGCTCACCATCACTGATCATTAGAGAAATGCAAATCAAAACCACAAACGGATACCGTCTCATGCCAGTTAGAATGGCAATCATTAAAAAGTCTGGAAACAACAGACACTGTCGAGAATGCAGAGAAATAGGAGTGCTTTTACACTGTTGGTGGGAGTGTAAATTAGTTCAACCGTTGTGGAAGACAGTGTGGTGATTCCTCAAGGATCTAGAACCAGAAATACCATTTGACCCAGCAATCTCATTACTAGGTATATGCCCAAAGGATTATAAATCATTCTACTATAAAGACACTTGCATATGTATGTTTATTGCAGCACCATTTACAATAGCAAAGACTTGGAACCAGCCCAAATGCCCATCACTGATACACTGGATAAAGAAAATATGGCCCATATATACCATGGAATACTATGCAGCCATAAAAGGGAATGAGTTCATGTCCTTTCAGGGACATGGATAAAGCTGAAAACCATCATCCTTAGCAACTAATACAGGAACAGAAAACCAAACATCACATATTCTCACTTGTAAGTGGGAGTTGAACAATGAGAACACATGGACACAAGGAGGGGAACATCACAAACCAGGGCCTGTCAGGGGGTGAAGAGCAAGGGGAGGGAGGGCATTACAACAAATATCTAATGCATGCGGAGCTGAAAACCTAGATGACGGGTTGATGGGTGCAGCAAACCACCATGGCACATGTATACCTCCTATGTAACAAACCTGCATGTTTCTTATAGTAAAATAAATAATAATAATAATAATTTTTCAAGCACAATATCCAACATAAACTCAAAGATAAAAAGACACAAAAGGAAGGAAGATTCCAATAGCAAGAACCAACACAGAGGAGGCATATAGGGATTCCAGATAATATAATTAGTAGACACAGATGGAAAAATAATGATGCTTATGTTGTTTTAGGAAATAAAATGAAGCCTGAAAATGTTATCAGGAATTTTTACAAACAGACAGTCATAAGTAACCAGCACTCAGATGAGAAATACATCACTGACTCTCGAGAAGTCACCTTATATTCCTTTCTAGTCACTGTTCCCGCATGGGATTCACTATCCTCACTGCTAATAGTATAAAGTTAGCTTTATCCATTTTTGTACTTTATTTAAATGGAAGTATACAGCTTGTACTCCTTTGTGTTGGCTTTTTCACTTGTTGTATATGTGAGATTCATCCACATTGTTGTTTGTGGTTGTAGATTTTTCATGCTCATTGCTGTATGGTGTTCTATTGTGTAAAAATACCATTAAAAATCCATTTATAGGCAAAAAAAAAAAAGAATTTTTAGACCTAGTGCTACTGACAAATATTTTATAAAATTTAAGAATTACTTGGATACACAAAGTCTATGTTTTAAGAAGAAAATCAGTTTAAAAGTTTTGCAAAATACCTGGGCAAAGATAGGCAGATGTCAAAAAGTATGTTTTTCTTTTTTTCTTTCTATTTTCACTCAAGCCAGCTTTTTTTTGGAAACAAACTTTTGGCTTTTGCTTAGCTACCCAGGCCTAAGTGCTAAAATCAGACCTTAGTGAGGTCTTTCTCAAACAATGTGAAATGCAAGATGTAAATTTTACACTCAATGTTCTTGTGAATTACAGTTAATAGAGCCAAGCAGTATCTTCAGTTTTGAGAAATTAACTCTTAAGAATTCTTTTAACTTCAAGAAAACTAAATAGTCACATTTTACCTTAGTTTTAAGCTTAATTTTTATTTTAAGGCAAGTACAGTAATTTTGGATTCATTAACTCATTTATTGAGGTGAAATACACATAATATGAAATGAACCTTTTTATAGTGAAGAATTCTGTGGCATTTACTACATTCACAGTGGTGTTCAATGACCATCTCCATCTAGTTCTAAAAAATTTTCATCAGTCAAAAGAAAATCTCCTGTCCGTTAGCAATCATCCTGCTTCCTGGTATCTGAAGGTGATTTTTCATATATTTTTAGTGTGTTTGTTTATTTTTTAGATTTTCTCTCTCTGCTAGATAATTTTATTTAAAATATTATTTCTGCATCATTTATAAAAGAAATAAACTTTAAATCTCAGATTTGTTTTTTATTTAATAAGTACATTTCATAAAATTTGTCCAGATACTACACATGTTAAATTACACAAAATAATATATTTTAATTTTGTGTATTACAGTTTTCTAATTGATACACTTTATGCTGTTATTTACCTTTTAGTTTTTAAGTATAATTTTAAAACTCATATAGGAAATGACATATTTGGACACTAAATATTGACCTAATGAATATTCACTTTTGAGGAGAATTCGAAAAAAAAGAAACAATTATTTTTCTACTATGTTTGTTTCCTCTGAGATAAATAACTTATGTAATCAGAAAACAGTCATGTTAAAGCAAATACTGCAAGTGAAAGACATGTCAAATATGCCTTCTGTAAGAGCAGAAAACAGTGAAAGCAATCAGGTTGCCAATGACAGTTTAGCCAAGGGTGATAATCCCTATTTCATCAACTACATTTAAACAACTCGGTTTCACATTTCCTCCAAAGCACTTTGTACATGTCACAGCACAAATTAGTGAAGTCTAAATTTCAGCTTCAGGCTCCATGTGTCATTTAATAGCATACATTTGCTAACTGTAGCCAAAAAGCAAGCTTCCATCAGGGACTCTGAAACTCCTCATTTACATGAGAATGAGATGTTAATGTTAATTGTGTTACAGATATTCTGGTCTCCCCAAGGAGTTCATTAAGCATGCTGAACATGCTGAGATTATAACTTAACTGTCACTTCTGAGAAATTGGGAAAATTCAACTTCAGATACAACACAGTCGGCAATAACAAGCACAATTTAATGTATACATTGCTCTGAATCAGAGATGGACCTCCATTGAAATATATAATCTCTCTGATTTCTATATTCATTGCTAAAATACTATGTAATATCTGGGAATTAAACAATCCAGAGGACTTTCCTCCTGCCCCCACTTCTCTTCCTGCATATATGGATATATTACCTACAGGTTTTAATTACTTAAAACATTTGTGGCACTATGGAGGTCACCTGAAACGCCTCATTTACATTAATAAAACTTGTAAGAATAAATATGAAGCAAAAAATAGAAAAAAATGTTAAAAAAGAATGAAATTCACCATTATATTTAAACAAAATTTATATACGTATATATGTATGCATATTATATATGTAGCAATATTAATTATTTGGAGAGGAATTTAATTTTATAAACATTGTTCAAATAAGCCTAGAGATATTTTAATTGGGATTGCTTTGTATAATGACAAATCATCTATATGTAGGACACAGGACTCCAATCCTACAGTAAAAATGTCCTTCCACTTAATAGATACTAGAACATTAGCTAAAGAGCATTGCTCTTTTTCTCAAACAATGTTTCAGTGTTAATAAAGTTTCACTCAAAAGTGACATGTACAGCTATGCTGCCAGAAAAAAAAAAAAGAAGCTTTTTTCTTTTTGTCTGTTTCATCTCATTTTTTTCCCTCTGATGCAACCAACCAGTCTTTCTAGTTAATGTGTTCATCCATGCTGGGAGTGGTGAGAGATATTCAGTGTCAGAATAATCTGAGATTATATTCCAATAGTAGAGACAATGAACACAGGTACAAACCAACTTCGCCAAGTGGTGATGACTAAGGCAAGATAGGAGAATAGAGAGTAATGAAGAGGAAAAATAAAGCAGGTGAAGAAAAGAGTGATTAAAAGGACTATGTTTAGGCTATGTTTATATAAGAGATGCTCGTTATACTTCCCAATTAGTAGTCTCTGCCTATGTACATATCTGATACAGATGTGTAAACTCAGAATTTGCCAGATGCATTCCATTACAAATGCACAATTCCACATTTCTTTAGTATGATATTCATATATACCATATAAAGCAAGTAAATCAGAAGTTTTACCTAACATAACATTTTAAACTCTAATTTTTAAAGAGTCCTTTCATTGAGGTAAGTGCATTTGAGAGGCACATTTTACATCTTTCTCTAAACTCGTTATGCAATCTTTTGCAACAATAGTGAAACTTGGAATATGGAAAAGCTAATACAGAGACTATATTTGTGCTTCTCTTCTGGTTTATTTCTAGAATGAACAAACTTGAATGTCCAAGAACTAGAAATATTTTGCCCTGTAAGGCTTTTGAATCTCAACCCTGCTACAAAGCAAATCAATCAGTTGATGAAAACTAAAATGTTTCACCAGGTTGGCAACAATGTTAAAAATCTGTTGTGGTGTTCCTTCAATGGCTAAAAACTTTTTAAGTTAATTTGTATTATGCTTTTCCTGTATTTTAATGCTATAATTCCCTTTTAAAGTATTTCCTGTTAATGTGAAGAGCATTGACTCCTTTTGAAATTTTATCTAGCTTATCATATTTGTCATGAGTACGGATGCATACGTGAAATTCCTTTAAGAACTCCTCTCCAAGTGATTGTGATGGCTGCCTCCTTTGAACCACAAAAGCCCTCTTTTTTCCCTCCTCTTACCGTGTATCATAAACTTCCCAATGGGTACTTTTCTTATCCTCCCCAAAACACCTACGATTCCCCCGGCTGGATACCCAATTTATCTTTGTCTTTCAAGAACGTTTCTCCATTTATTTTTGCAGACCTCTTTGTATAAATCTGAAGGCCCACATATTAAACAAAGGAAGCATTTTCCCAAATAATACTGATATCAATAGTATACTAATGGATACAATTATATTTTTATTCTGATTTGATTATGAAAACATTTAGAGACCACTTATAACTACATTTTTTCCAATCTTTTTCTCCTATTTTCAGCCTTACTTCATCCCCTTGGGAACTCTATTATATAGTTATGGTATATTCTCCTTACATTTACCTCAACACAAACACACACACACACACAAATACACACACAACCATATAAATTCATATAAATATAAGGTGATGTTTTATGTATGGTTTTCTAAAATTATTTGACTGTTATTAGAATTTCAGTGTATTTTATAACTGGTTTTTACAAAAACTATTTTTAACCATTCATTACTGAAAAAATGTTTATTATTTCCACATTTTAATACTGTAATTAGTGGCACACTGTATGCTCTGATATACCATTTCTTATGCAGGCATACCTTGTTTTATAGCACTTTATTTTATTGTACTTTACACATATTATGTCTATAAATTGGAGGTTTATGGCATCCTTGCCTTGAACAAGTCTATTGGCACCATTTTTCCAAAGGGATGTGCTCAATTTGTGTCTCCGTGTTACATTTTAGTAATTCTTGGAATATTTCAAATTTTTTCACCATTATTTTATTTGTCATGATGCTCTATCATCACTGATATTTAATGTTACTATTGTAATTATTTGGGGACACCATGACCCTGACTATATAAGACAATGAACCTAATAAATGTGTGTTTTTACTGCTCTATAGACCAGACATTACCCTGTCTCTCTCCTTGGGCCTCTCTGTTCGCTGAGACAAAACATTATTAAAAATAGGCCAATTAATAAAATGCCTCCAAGTGTTCAAATGAAAGAAAAAGCAGCACATCTCTCACTTTAAATCAAAAGATGTAAAAGAGAAATATTGAAAGCTGAGAAAGGCTACAAGCTAGGCCTCTTTAACCACCAAAGAGTTAGCTAAGTTGTGAATGCAAAAAAAGTTCTTGAAAAAAAATTAAAGTATTATTCTGGTAAACACATGAATGCTAAGAAAGAAAAACACTTTATTGCAGATATGGAGATAGTTTTAGTTCTCTGGATAGAAGATCAAACCAGCCAAAACATTCCCTTAAGCCAAAGTCTAATCCAGAGCAAGGCCAGAATGCTCTTCAATTCTATGAAGGCTAAAAGAAATGAAGTTTTTTAAGTTAGGAGAGGCTGGTTTATGAATTTAAGAAAAGAAGTCATCTCTCTAAGATAAAAGTGCAAGACGATTCAGAAAGTACTGGTGGAGATGCTGCAGCTAGTGATTTGGGAGATCTAGCTGAGACAACTGATGAAGGTGACTACATTGTGGAAGAGATTTTCTATTTAGATAAAACAGCATTCTACATAAAAAAAGATGTCATCTAGGACTTTCAGTGCTAGAGATGAGAAGTTAATGCCTGTCCTCAAAGCTTCCAAGTACAGGCTGAGTCTTGACAAAGGCTAATGTAGCCAGTGACTTTAGGTTGAAGCCAATGCTCATTTACCATTCTAAATATCATAGGGCCCTTAGAACGATGCTAATTCTACTATTCCTTTGCTCTAGAATGGAAAAGCAAAGACTGGGATAGCACATCTGTTTACAGCACGGTTTCCTGAATATTTTAAGCCCCCTGCTGAGATCTACTGCTCAGAAAAAAATATTCCTTTCAAAATACTATTGCTCATTGACAGTGTACCTGTCGCCCAAGGGCTCTGACGGAGATGTATCAAAAGATTAATATTGTTTTCATGACTGCTAATTCAATGTCCATTCTGTAGCCCATGAATTAAGGAGAAATTCTGACTTTCAAGTCTTATTATTTAAGAAATAGACTTCATAAGGCTATAGCTGCCATAGATAGTGATTTCTGTGATGGATCTGGGCAAAATAAACTGAATACTTTCTGGAAAGAATTCACCATGTTAGATGCAATCAAAACCATGCATGACTCATAGAAGAAGGTCAAAATATCAACATTAGCAGGAGTTTGGAAAAAGTTGATTCCAGCCTTCCTGGGTGACTTTGGGGTTTCAAGACTTCAGTAGAAGAAGTAACTGCAGATGTAGTGCAAATAGCACAAGAACGAGGATTAGGATTGGACCCTAAAGATGTGACTGAATTACTCCAATCTTATGATAAAACTTAAAGGGATGAAAAGTTCCTTCTTATGGATGATAAAAATAAGTTTTTTTTTTTATGAATCTACTTCTGGTGAAGATGCTGTGAACATTATTGAAATGACAAAAAAGAATTTAGAATATTCCATAGATTTAGTAGGTAAAGCAGTGGCAGGGTTTGAAAGGATTGGCCCCAATTTTGAAAGAAATTCTACTGTCAGTAAAATGCTATCAAACAGCATCACATGCTGGGCAGAGAAATCTTTCATGAAAGGTAGAGTCAATCAATTCATCAAAGTCATTATTGCCTTATTTTAAGACATTGTCATAGCCACCCCAACTGTCAGCAACTACCACCCTGATCAGTTAGTAGTCGTAAACCTCAATGCTTGACACTTTATCAGCAAAAACATTACAACTGACTGAAGGCTCAGATGGATGTTAGCATTTTTTAGCAATAAAGTATTTTAAATTAAGGTAAGTACATTGTTTTTTAGAGACAATGCCATTGCACGCTTGATAGACTACAGTATAGTGTAAATATAACTTTTATATGCACATGGAAACAAAAAAATTTGTGTGACTCACTTTATGGTGATATTTGCTTAATGGAGGTGGTCTGGAATGAAACTGGCAATATCTCTGTGTGATGAAGTTATACCAGTGTACAAAATTCTGGAATCAGAATTGGTTGATTGCCTAGTATTTACAGTTTTCCCTTTAATTAAAACTGTTACATCACTCTTCATTATAATTCAATTATTTACATTAATACCTGCAGTATATGAGAGGTTTTTTCCACAAACTTAATGACTTTAGATTTTAATCCAAATTCTAATTGTTTTCAAGTTTATTTGTGTAGATACAGGTAATTTATTGTTGTTTCTCTGATCAATAGTGAGATTGAACACCTCTTTATATTCATTTACTATTTATTTGCTTATTCTGTTATTGTCCTCTTTCTTACTTTTATCTATTTTTCCTCTGGGTTATAAGTATTTTATTTTTAAATTTGTGGAAACTCAAATATATTCTAGATTTCCATTTACTAACTTTTGTATTAATTATACATCTATTAATAATTTTATTTATTTTATATATTATGTATTTTGTAAATACCTCCTCTCAGTCCACCACTTAATTCTGAACTTTGTATATGATGTGATATACCATAAAGAGAGGTTTTATTTTAATGTAATTAATTATCTCTTTTGTGCATGCTTAATGTATTTTGTATGTTATTAAAGAAAATATTCTTCAGACAGAATGTATATTATTCCTAATGTCAGGTGTTTTATATTTATCCCTCTCTACATTTGTCAGCTGGTCCTCATAGTCAATATTAGAATATATTTTTAATATCATTTATAAATTTGCTCAGTATTTTATACTTAGTTGTTTTAGGTTTAATACATTAGCATTTCATCATATCTTGCAAACAAGGGGTCTCCAAAGATATATTTTCACAAGAATTGAGAAACAATGAGAAGATTCTGTGACACTAGAAAGCCTGGCTATGCAACTACAATAGGGTGTAGTCATACACAGTGAATCTGAGACCCAGGAAAGCTTCGTGTGGTAATAAAAATGAAAGAGGACTTATAAATGAGAGTAAGTGAAGGAAGACAACATAGAAATGCAGAGGAAAAACGATGAACAGAAATTTTACGTGTTTTACATAAATTAGATAAATGACGAGTTAATGGGTGCAGCACACCAGCATGGCACATGTATACATATGTAACTCACCTGCACATTGTGCACATGTACCCTAAAACTTAAAGTATAATAATAATAAAATAAAAAAGATTTATCTTTGTTTCAACTTTTTGTATTTTTCAAAAATTGAAAACACCTTTCACTTATTTCACTGGCAAAGTTATTATGTGACAATGAAAGTGAGGCGTTATTGATTATTCTGCTTGGATACATAGAGTAAAATCTATTTCACAGGTTGTTTCTTGAAAATTCAGCTTAACCAATAGATTTGGGCAAACTTCCTCCTTTTGTCAACTTCATTGCTTCTAATTACTCCCTCAATGACTAGACTAAAAAAATACAAACATCTGCCTCATTAAAAACAGAAGCCAAAAATGTAAAAAACAATGTATTCCCACATAAGAGATGCTCATAAAAACAAAATTTAAAAATGGAATACAATGAGTGGTATCTTTAAAAACATTTGTCTAATTTTCTTTAGACTGAAAGTGATTTCTTTGGGACTCTGATTCATGGAATTGTGCTTATTCTCATGGATGATTATATATTATTTTGATTATTATTGTGATTACTGTTGTGTGAAATGAATTTGGCAGTCCCAACATAGTGTTAATTTTCATTGTCCTGACACAGTGTGACACATTGGAATCAATGGCTATAGAACAACAGAAATTAGATAGAAAAGCCACAGTAGATTTATGTTCCCTGAACACACATTTCCTACTTTACAGCCAGAAGAAAACTGAGGTGATTGTTGACTTACCTGGAAAACCACATACACACACATAAAACAGGCTGATAATATAAATTTCTTTGTTACATGTATTATGTTTTGGTAGTTAATAAAGTATCAATGTTCCTTGCACTTCTTCTTTGAGTTTAATTTTAAATCTCAATTAAATTTTGAAGACCTCAAAGTTTAGATATGAATTTCACTAAATTTTTAATATTTGGAGTTTTAAAATCAGATATGCAAAATCTACTCATTATAATTGTCTAGATAAATAAATAATATTAGAATTAAGATCAAAATAACCCATTTATTCTACTACTATCATTAGAAAAGTTATATACCTTTCATTTAATTGATTATCTTATCTCTGTCTTGCCAAACAACTAGTTGATTTTTTTCCACATAACCCATTTTTTTTAAGGTAACATGGATAAATGGTCAGATGTTGTGTTTAGGGGAAAGAGTGAATGTCAAGAAAGTTAAGCAAATGAGGGGTAAAGTCTGAGACTGGACTTAAGTAATTGGCTCGGTGGAGGACAATGCTCCATTTCCAGGACTGCCTTATAATTGCTCATTTACACATTCTAGGAAGTAAAACAACTGAATTCACTTCACAGTATTACCAATTAAACTGTTTAAGAAAAAGACCTGCTGATAATGTATTAATGATAAATGTTCCTTTAATGCACGTAAATGCATGCTGGGAATCTGTAATTGCAACATTTAATTTCTTTTAGATAGTTATGTCACCTTACTCCTATCGAGAATATTTCTAGTCTTTGTCCAAATTTGCTCCACAAGAATTTTCTCTTTTCAGCAATAAGTAATATTGTAATAGACATATAAATATTTAACAGTTTTGTTTTTAAGAATATTTGCAACACCATAATTTAATGATACAACATTTTTAAAGCTCTTTCAGAACAGCGATGCAGGAATTGCCACAATATAATAACAAAAAGAAAATTAATCTCAACAATTTTTTCAAATAAGCAAACCTCAATTTTGATATCACACATAAAAATGTTTTTACCTTGAATATCAACTTTCATACAGTCATTGAACCAATATTTATTAAGCATTTCTATGCCAGGCATTGTCCAAGCATGTGTGGTACAGCACAGAAACACACATATACATAGGCAGATATGCATATATACACACAAACACATCCCCTGCCTTGTGAAGGCTTCATTTTAACAGGACTTGACACTCAATCCCATATGAAATTTTAAGATCAGAGTGGGCTGACAATGTAATGTTTCCTAGTTTTACAATCAGCTAATAAGAAGCTAAATAATTATTTGCATTTCATAGTCTTCAGTTTTCTTACCCACAAAATAAATCTCCAATGATCTTCAAAGACCTTAAGATTTGTTAGAGTATTTTTATATGAATGTAAAATGAGATTGGATACTGCCCTGTGCTGGGGGAGAGCGTACTTAATGATGGATTTTGATTCTACTAAAGGACTCAGAAAGTAATGTGAATGACTTAAGGTGGGTGACTGTGCCCATCATAATCAAATGCAGTGATTTTAGTCTTTGCCTGGTAATGCTGAATAATCTTTCAAAGAATCTTGATCACACTGTGTATTTTTAGACAAAAAGCTGAGATGAATTCCAAAGCCTTAGCAGTTAAAACTGCTATGTTTTGAACAATGAACTGAGAAATGTTTCATATGATTAGGTCATGTTATTACTTCCCCACAATCAAATTTAGATCTATAGACAACTAGTACTCTAGTAGACTTTTGGCAGCATGCACACTTTGGAAACAAAAGACAGTATTAACTGATAAGCTGGATCCACTCAGGACATCAACATTGAAATTATACTTAAAGGCATTTTTCTATGTAACCATCCTCTTCATTACTCTCTCATGCTACCTAATAAGTCTTGTTAAAGTGAAATTGGGATGGAAACAATCTATTCTTCCAAGCACTCAGATTATTTAACACCAAGGTGTTCATTTGCGAGTTACTGGGATACTAGGGTGAGAAACAAATGCTTTTAAAAATACAATTCACATTCCTAGTACAAGCATTACATATTATCTATCATCCTTCATCATTACTGCACTAAATGGTACAGTATCCCATCTTCTTTCTCTCTATTATCCTCATTTTATTTTATTTCCTCTGGAAATCTCACCTTTTTGACTGCTATCTTTTAAATTAAGACAACACGATTATAACTATTTTATCATGGTGACAGTATGTACCAACCAATGCAACAGTGAGCTGCAGCCATTCACAGGAATCATGATTTGGAGGAGGCTTATAAATTTCATGCCTATGCCTATATCTCTTCTGATAGTTCTTATCAGTGAAATAATTCCAGAGTTAATGGAAATGAGGCTGTAAAATGTGTAACCGTAAAACATGATTATCTTCTGCCCTGTAAACAATATTAAGAAGAAATTCTTTGTTATCACCTGTAGGCCATAGAAATTTTTTTTAAAAAGTGTGGTAGATTCAGTTAGTAGAGATTATTAAGTATTATTAAATGATCATCTTTAGTATGATTGTACTTATTATATGTACTGGTTACCAATCCCTCTCTATAAATAGACACTATTTTTAAAAGGTTTATGTAAAATTAGTACACAATTTTAAATTAAAGATATCTACATAAACTGATATTTAGAAAAGTGACATAATTGGTTAAATTTCTAAGTGTATTTAACACAAATATTTTCCTACTTATTTACTTCTCATAATGTCAGTTTTCAAATTAAGTAAGATTTACATTTACCATCTGTTCACTTTTAGTAGGCCTGTTAGAGAATTAAAAATGTATCCTAATCTGCAGTCTTCTAAGTACCAGATGTTTATTATGTGGCACTAGAAACAAAAAATCAATAAATTAAGAAAATATAAATCTAGTGATTCTAGATTTCTCAAAATAACAATGTTTTAGTCAAGGATCTTCCCCCTGAAAATTATGTGTAATTTTAAGTGTTTACTTCTAAATCATGCATTTTCAGTTTCATCAAAGTGCCTCAAAATACCTAAATTTTATTCATCACATGCATATTTCACCAGCAGCATGGTTACAAATAAAAAGATAACATGAAATTCAACCCCGATTTTGTCTAACATAACACATTACCCACCTATCACAATGAGGCCATTCATGACATTGCTCTAGAGTATAATGGTTCTATAAAGTCCTAAACATGTGTCTGTGATACAGTTGGGCAAACTATGTGGTTATCTAATATCACACCAATTATGGTAGTTTCTAAATTCAAATATATGATAGTTAAGAATGAGCCATCAAACACTGGTGGAGTGAGAGTAATGAGGGAGGGTAAGCTGTATTTTATGCCGCTCTCCAGGACTCTTGCCATAAGAAGCACATTTCTTGGGAAAGAGAAATATTGTACATTGTTCCTGTACTCTCTGTACTATTTATACAATTGTAGTGACAATATTAAAACCGAAAATTTTTAGTCAGATTCTCTGCATCATAATTAGCAAAGTCTTCCCTCCAAAGTGTTGTTTTATATACTCCTTGGTCTTTAGACTAAAAAGAAAAATATGTTTCATAGACTCTTCAAGAAAAAAAGAGCATTATTTTTCTATCAATGAGTCTTCTTTCCAGAAGAATGCCTTGTCTTCAAATTACATAAGAACTTTATGAAATAAAGTGTAAATTGTAATATACAGTCTAATTTCCAAACTTTCTGAAAAATAAAAGGAATCTATAAATATATATGAAAATATATATACACGTGTCTTTGTCCACCAATTATATAATCTTAATCTCTACTTTTTTCTAAAAGCTTTATTGAGATATCACTGACCTATAAAAATTAGATATATTTAAAATGTACAACTTGATATTTTGATATATTTATGCATTGTAAAGTAATCACCACGTTCAAGCTAATTACCGTATCAATCACCTCTACATGGTAATTATTGGTGTGTATATGCAGAGAATATTTAAGATTTACCCACTTAGCAAATTTCAAATATACAATACAATATTTTAACTATTTCTTATAGTGTACATTACATCTCCAGAACTCATTCATCTTGCATAATTGAAACTTTGCAACTTTCGACAAACAGCACCCCGTTATCCCCTCTCCCCAGCCCATGGAAATCACTATTCTACCGTCTACTTCTATGAGTTGGAATATTTGAGATTACACATATGAGTGACATCATGCAGTATTTTTCTTTCTTTGTCTTGCTTATTTTGCTTAGCACAATGTCTTCCAATTCAACCCATGCTGTTGCAAATGGCACAGTTTCCTTATTTTTAAAGAATGATTAATATTACATTTTATATACCACATTTTCTTTATCTGTTCATTTTTTTGAAGGACAATTAAGTTGTTTCCAATTTGGCTATTGTGTATAATGCTGCAATAAACATGGGAGTGCAGATATCTATTGGAGATCCTGATTTAAATTCCTTTAGGTGGATCCCCAGAAGTAGGGCTGCTTATTCATATGCTAGTTTCACATTCCCACCAACAGTGTACAAGGATTCCCTTTGCGCTGGATCCTGGAAATACTTGTTACTCTTTGTCTTTGATAATAGTCATTCTAATAGGTCTAAAGTGATATCTTATTGTGGTCTTAATTTGCATTTCCCTGATGATTAGACTTGTTGAGCAGCTTTTCATATGCCTCTTGACCGTCTGAATTTCTTCTTCCATGAAATGACTATTCAGATCCTTTGTCCATTTTTAAATTGGGCTATTTGTATTTTTGTCATTGACTTGTATAAGTGTCATCTATTTTGCATATTAGCTCCTTATCAGGTATGTAGTTTTAAAATAGTTTTTCTCATTTTGGGGGTTCCATGAGTTGTTTTTCATTTTGTTGATTGTTTCCTTTGCTGTGCAGAAGCTTTTTTAGTTTGATATAATCAAACTTGTCTATTTTTGCTTTTGTAGCCTGTGCTTTTGGTGTCACATACAAAAATTTATTGTCAAGACCAGTGAGAAGAGGAATTTTTCTTATCTTTTATTCTAAGAGTTTTATAGCTTCAAGTTTTATGTTTAAGTCTTTGATTTAGCAAGGTGTATAAATAAACCCTCACTAAAAGAAACTGTTACTACTGAAGTTCAATATGTACCTTAGTAAAAGAATTTTTACTTGAACATTTAAAGAACATATTAAAAGCAGCACTATTAATGCCAAAAACATCCTAGGGAGTAATATGTATCATCGACCCTTTATATTTCATAGAAGGTAGCTGACTTCAATTCTACAAAACAAAAGCTATGAGAAAAGCTCTACTTTCTACCCAAAACCAAATTTTTCTAGCTTCTGCATATAAAACAAGGAGTGAGGCACATTTCTGAACAGAAGGAGACATATGTGAGTGAGTATCTTAGGAACCCTGCATTCTCTGCCTTTGGAGAAACTGTTCCTGGATGTACATGTTTACCTCAGTCATGAGATAAGTGATATAACACTTGGGTAACATCTACAGCTTTTCCTATGTGTGTCTATATGAGTAAATTCAATTCAGTGGTAAAAGTGTTACAAAACACATTTGCCTTAAACCTAAGCTAAGTTATTAATCAGGTTTATCAGTAATAAAAATATATTCCACTTTATTTCTACAGGTTTATTTTGTATTTCTAAATTGGTTATAACATCAGGAAGAGTGAGAAAGAGGTGCAGGCATTTGTAATTTTCAGAAAAACTCCAATAAATGTTAATTAAATATCTGCCTCTATTATGGTAGAGCATGTCATTCTAAAAAAAAAAAAAAACTTTTGACTACCTTTACCACATTATTATTGAATTATATAGAATTTCTACTCTATCTTAAGTTTTGAATAATTATAACAGTGACAGGACATTAGATACAGTAGAAAATGGAATAAGCATTAAACAGGGTTTCAATATTTTATTTTAGCTAATCTATTCATATTTAAAAGCACATATTTTAATTTTTACAATGATAAGAAGTGATTAGTGTTGAAGAACATCACAAATTAAATATTTTAGTCTCCAATAATGTTTCTTATTAGAGACATAGTATACTGAGGATAAATGAGAAAATTGTCAGAACTTACATAATACTCATTGACTCATCACAAATGATGTGTAATTATCACAAAATGCTTTTCCCAGTAAGTCAGAGAGAATGAGTTCAAGATATATGCAGAAAATAAAGAAAAGTATATATGTGTTTGAAAAGGAGAATCAGGCCTGATCTGCCTGATTAAAAAGCTAAAATTTTCCAATGTTATTGCAAATAGGAGTGGCTAGTTGATTAAACTGCAGTTAAAGGAATCAGAGTTAAAAGTTACCGAGTGATTTGTCTAAAAGAATTTCTTACAAAAAGAGATGATTTCATAAACATTCTTTTGTACTTGTCCTTTTTCTCTTCTTGCTTCCTGGACCATGGATATGTCTGAAGCTACAGCTGTCATACTGAAATCATGAAGCTAAAGGCTACAGAGGGCTACTAGAAGCCTGAGTTTCTGAAGACTGTGTGGAACCATCAAAGCAGCCCTGAATATTTCCCTTGAGACTTTTCCATTATAGGAAGGGCAAATAAATAGATGATGTATGATGTATGATGTTTTTACTTAGTTTTCTTCATAATTCTACTGAAATACATCATTGAAACCCAGGAATTCTATACAATCTTGAGTTTAGATTGGTGAAACATTTATAAAACATTTAGAACATTATCTCCCAGTTTCTATGGGTCACAAGTCTTGGGATAGCTTGAATAAATAATTATTTTTCAAATTCACATGGTTATTGGCAGATTTCAGATCCTTGCCATTGTAGGACTAAAATAAAATGTCTCAGCTCACAGATGTAGTTTCCTGTGATGTTGTCCTCTCCATGGGCCATTCATATTACAGCATCTTTCTTCTTCAACGCAAGTAGGAAAGTCTATCTAATGCATATGTAGATATAATTATATATAACCTAACCAAAGGGATTGCATTCTATCCTCATCTCCTTTGTCGTATTTTATTAGAGGTGAGTCACATGTCCTACCTACACTCAAGGTGAGAGTATTTATAGGAAATCCACCAGGTGCTGGAGAACATGGAACCCATATTAGAATTTTGCCTAATACATCAACTAAAAAAAATTAATCTTGCGAAGAGAGTCTGTTGAGAGTTTCTTCATCTTTTTCTACATTTTTTCACTAGAAAGAATGTTCTAGATGGCTTTTCAGAGAACCCCCCCCCCTTAAATCTTTGTAGAATTACTTAAATGTAGATCTCAGTATATTCCCATCATAAAATATATTTATTAATCTCTTCCAGTCTAAATTGTGGTTTAATCTAGCTCTCCAGAGTCACAACTTACTTGTCAGGAAGAAAGAACTCTCTCAATACATACTGCTTTTTACCAAAAGTTTTCAAAATTCTTAACAACTTTTAGAGTTAAGATTTCCTTAATCAAAAACCCACATCATAGAAGTTTACAATGAAAAACTTCTGGAAAGAGGCATTTTCTAAACTTAACCTGAAGTTTAGCTCTCCTTCATTCTTGTGTTTATGCCACTGTTATTTAAGGTGTATGTATCAAGACAATGGGCAAAAATGAACATATTTTTGTTCGTTCTGTCATATTTATTCTTGTATTTGTCCTGTGTCTTGGAAATTGAAAGTCTGATCTTTTTTCTTCTATCTTGGTCTTTATTACACTGTGTTTTAATGATCTGTTTCCACATTTACTTTCCCTGCTGGACCAAGAATTGAGATGGCAAACTCTCTAAGGACAGGAAGTTCATTCAGTTGATGTTTCTATTTCAGAGCTTACTCAGGCTGAAACTTAATTTTATTTGAACTGAGGGAATGACATCTTTTTTTTAATGTTATTTATTTTAAAGTGATCCTAACTTGTTTGGCAGAGTCTAAGTAAGATGCCACTTTACAAAATAAAGTATTTTGATATTATTTAAAAAGAAAAAGTAAGACATTAATATTTGTGTTCTTAGAGTCAGGGACCCAATTAGACAATTGTCCTAAAATCCACACTAGATATCTGAGGATAGCTCGCATACGTAAAACAGATTTGTTAATGGTATCTACATTAACAAATGTAGACATGGTATCTATGCTCTTGTTTTACATGAACTCTGGGTGAGTTAGAAGTTAAAATATTTATAAAAAGAGTTCACTTCTGTATTTTGGGATAAAGATCTTTGTGCTAAGGGGCTCCCTACAAAAACCATTAAATAGTACTCTATGTATTCAAAAGGCAGCAGAAGAATCAGCATTATTAATAGAAACCCTTGCACTTTAAATCTCTTGTTGCATTAAACTTTCAACTACGAAAGCTGAAATTGTGCACTTTTTATGTTGAAATCTCAAATTTGTATAAATATAAATTACATTACCATGAGCAAAATATAGAGGGAAGTCTCGTTAATTTACTTGTTACATGAATTTATCCAAGTATGTGTTTTTTTTCTTTTCACTAGCAAGTATGTAAAACAATTAATTCATTATTATCATTATTATTATTTTGAGACGGAATTTCGCTTTCATGCCCAGTGCAATGGTGCGATCTCAACTCACCGCAACCTCCATCTCCCGGGTTCAAGTGATTTTCCTGTTGAATCAGCCTCCCGAGTAGCTGGGATTATAGGCATGTGCCACCATGCCTGGCTAATTTTGTATTTTCAGTAGAGACGGGGTTTCTCCATATTGGTCAGGCTGGTCTTGTACTCCTGACCTCAGGTGATCCACCTGCCTTGGCCTCCCAAAATGCTGAGATTACAGGTGTGAGCCACCGTGCCCGGCCTACAATTAATTTATTAATGAAGGAATATCTAGTGCTTTCATAAGATCTGAGAGACAAGTAATGCCAATAAATTAAAAATTAGCATCTCTGTTGTATTTGTATGTCTTTCATTTTTTAGCATGTGCATAGAAATAAGAAGATAAGTGAAAAATTAAAATTACAGTTAAGGGGACTTCTAGTTTAGACAAGGGTAGGCCAGTTTTTTTGTTCCTTCCTGCTAGACTACAGACCCCAGAAACAATGCAGGAGGTAATCAAAGAGATCACTGAAAGGTACTAAGAAGGTGATACAGTTTGCGTGTTTGTCCCCTCCAAATCTCATGTTGAAATATAATCCTGAATGTTGGAGGTGGGACCTGGTGGGGGGTGTTTGGGTAATAGGGTGGATCCCTCACGAATGGCTTGGTGCTGTCCTGGAGACAGTGAGTGAGTTCTCACCAGAGCTGATTTTTTGAAAGTGTTTGGCACCTCCTTACTCTCTCTCTTGCACCCACTGTCATCATGTGACACATTGGCTCCCATCACCTTCTGCCATGACAGTAAGCTTCCTGAGGCTCTCACCAGAAGCAGATGCCAGCACCATGCTTCCATGTACAGCCTCCAGAACCATGAGCAAATTAAAACTCTTTTCCTTATAAGTTACCCAGTCTCAGTTATTCCTTTATAGTGACACAAAAACTGACTAAAACAGAAGGAAAACTGGTTTGACTAGAAAAAGAACACAGTCTCAGGGCAATCTTACTTGCAAACATCCCATGGAAGAAGTTGACCCAGACTAAGTAACCCTCAATTTATCAATAGAAGGCAGCCCAGGCAGTTCCAGTCACCCCCCACAACAAAATGAGAGTCCAGTTGGAAACAACAAGCATGCATGGTAGACTTACAAGGGGGACTGATCAGGAGCCCCAGTAACAATAGCAGCCAGAAGAAGTACTTTGTTTTCCATGCAGGCTTGAGAACTCATCACAAGAAGTCTTTCTTGTCCCTCTAGACTTGAAATTATCCTCTGCAGAGACACTACAAAAAGGAAGACAAGGGACACATTTGGGGGATTCCATTGTAACAAATGGTTTGGTCTAGGAGTATTCTTCATCCTAATAGACCTGAGATTCTCTTTCCACACTGGCACACACTGAGGCAGATGGACACAACTGGCAAAAAGCACCTAGCCACAACGAGGAGGTACAACAAAGAGACTTTATATTCTGGAGACTCCACTCTATCCCCAGGAGATGCCGAATGGCCCAACCTGGGGAAGTCTGTTATGTCCCATAAGCCAAACACCACTAGCAGGGACACATGGAAACACTGTGACATCAGATAAACCAAGCAGATCATTGCAAAGCCTCTAAAATTCAAACTGTCATTGGAATCAGAGACCACAGAATGAGGCCAAGACCTGTATGCTAAACTTAAGCAGGGTGAATGCCTATTAAAATAAAAGTTTTAAATAGAACCTAGAGTGTCCTAACCTAATAGACAAAATATCCAGGGTACAATTATAGTCAGGGTCATAAAAAGAACCAAGGAAATTACAACTTGAATGAGAAAATACCAACAATGAGATAAATCAGATATTAGAACTATTTGACAAGGATATTAACGCAGCCACCATAACAAAGTTTCAAAAATTAATTAAAAATTATCTTGAAGGGAATTTAAAAATAGAAAATCTCAACAAAGAAATAAAATTATAAACAGAACCAAAAGTGCATACAGTAAAACATTGTAAAAAGATATTCATTTTCATTTTCTATGAAGAGAAATGAAGTACTGATACATACTTCAACATGGATGTACCCTGAAAACATATGCTAAGTAAAAGAAGCCAGTAACGATAAACTATATATTATAGATTTCCATTTATATAAAATGGTCAGAATATTTAAATCTGTGTAGGCAGACGGTAAGACTGTCTGCTAAGATTGAGGGGGATGAGTTACTTAGGGAGCAATGGCTGAAGAGTACAGGGTATCTTTTAGGGAATAATGAAAATATCTTAAAATCCATTACTATGATGAATGCACAATTCTGTGACTATACTAAAAACTATTAAATTGTGTATACTTTAATTGGGTGAATTGTGTTTTTTTGTGCTTTTTAAGAACCCTAAGAGAATGAAATATTTATAAAACACACACTGCAGAAAATTTTTACAAAACACATATCTGAAAAAGGGCTAGTATATAAAAATATACAAAGAACACTTAAAGCTCAACAAGAAGAAAACAACTCCATTAAAAAATTGTCAAAAGGTCTAAATAGGCACATCACTGAAGAAGATAGATGACAAATAAGCATATTTGCTCAACATCATATTTAATTAGGGGATTTCAAATTTAAAACAACAACAGAATACCACAATATACAAATTAGAATGGCCAAACTTCAAACAACTGAGAAAACCAAATGCTAGCAAGGATGTGGAACAACAGGATCTCTCATTCATTGCTGTTTGAAATGCAAAATGGTATAGCTACCTCAGAAAACAGTTTGGCAGTTTCTAACAAAACTGAAGATACTCTTACCGTAAAGTCCAGCAATTATGCCCCTTAGTATTTACCCAAATGAGATTAAAACTCTGTCCACACAAAAAGCTGCACATGAATATTTATGGCAGTTTAATTAGTAATTGCCAAAATATGGAAGCAACCAAGATCTCCTTCAATGGGTAAATGGATAAACATTTTTACATCCATAGCCTGGACTATTTATTTAGCAATAAAAAGAAAGAACTATTGCTATTATCTGAAAGTTTGGGTCTCCCCAAAATGTACATGCTGAAGGCTAATCACCAATGTCATTTTATTAGGATGTGCGACCTTTGGGAGACAATTAGGCCATAAAGGTTCATGGGGCTAGTGCCCTTATAAAAGCGTCTCCAGAGAGATGCCTTTCCCCTTCTGCCATGTGAAGTCACCGTAAAAAGTCAGCCATATATGGGAAAGCAGTCCCTCAACAGACATCAGATCTGCCGATGCCTTGATTTAGACTTCCCAGTCTCCAGAACTGTGGGAAGTTAATTTCTATTGTTCATAAGTTACTCATTTTAGGGTATTTTGTTATAGCAGCCAGACAACTAAGACAGCTATCAACTGTGGAAAGTCATGGATGAAAGGTTAACAGCATAATGCTAAGTGAAATAAACCATCCTGAAAAGGCCACATGCTGTATAATTCCAACTATATTACATTCTGGTAAGAGGAAAACTAAGCCAAAATTAAAATGCCCAGTACTTTCCAGGGATTCTTGAGAAAAGAGGGATGAAAAGATGAAGCACAAGGGATTTTTAGAGTAGTAAAATTCTTCCATGTGATACTATAATGGTAGACATGGGTCATTCTACATTTGTCAAAACCCTTAGAATGTACAACACAATGCATAAACCCTAATGCAAGCTATGGACTTTAGTTAATAATGTATCAGTATTGGTCAATCGACTATACACAAAATACTACATAAATGCAAGATGTTAATACAGAGGACACTGTGTGTGTGATCCAGCAGGTGAGGACTACAGAGGCTCTCTGAATTTTCTGCTCAATTCTTTTGTAAACTTAAAACTTCTTTAAAAGACACAGTTAATAAATTGAAAAAAGAAACAGTGGATTAGGAAAATGAAAAACATAAAACACAAAAAAGGAAACAAACTGAACAGATGGGCTCAATAGTAGAGATGATAGAAGACAGAATCACTGAATTTTAGGACAGATAAACACAATTCACCCAATCTAAATAATGAAGAGAAAGAAAAAAATTAAAGAAGATTTTGGGAATCTGTGGGACTACAATAAGATATACAATACATATTCTCCTTGCCAGGGTGGATATGGAGTTATGTCCCAATAACCCCATTGTGTTATACATATTATAAGTAGAAAATGCATGGCTGTCTGGGAGCTGTGTCTTGCTGCCACTGCTCAGCATTGCAAGAGAAATACAGTTCTACTAAATGTGTATTGTTGTCACATCACTGTAGGGTCAAAAAATGATAAGTAGAACCGTCATATATCAGGGACCATCTATATTCCTGTCACCACAGTTTCAGAAGAAAAGGAGTGAGATTGAAAGATTATTTGAGAAAATAATAGCTGAAAAGTTTCCAAATTTCACAAAAGACAGAAACTTACAATTCTAGAAGCAAAACAAACCCTAAACAAGGTAATTCCAAAAAATTTATGCCAAGACACATTATAATTACACTTCTGAGACTGAAACAGAAAAAAAGCAAAGCAAAACTTGAAAGCAACCAAAGAAAAATGACTCTACCTATAGGAGAACATCAATTTGAATGCTAGAAATTCCACATCTGAAACTATGGAAGCCAGAAGAAACTGGCACAAAACTTTCCAAATGCTGAAAGAAAAGTACAATCAATAGTGAACTATATATATGGTGACACTATGCCCCAGGAATGAAGGGAACTAATAGAATTTGACTCATAGGTAAAGGGAAACAGCAAAACAATACGAATACAACACTCAGAAACATTAAGCATATATCAGGTTGAATCTTTAAAACATTGCCCAAATAGCACACAGGAAACCAGAAAAGAGAAGCAGAGAAACACACAGAAAATCAATAGTAAAATATCATAGGTTAGTACTAGAATATCAATAATTACTTTAAATGTAATTGATTTGAATACTGCAATCAAAAAACAAACACTGGATTTAAAAATTTACCCATACATGCAGCTTAAAAGAAACTCACTTCAGATTTATTGACATTAGCACATTGCAAATAAAAATATGAAGAAAATATATACCATGCGATAGTAATTTAAAAACCAATACACTGGCTATATTGGTACCTGAAACATTAGACTTTAAATTAATGACAATACTAGAGACAAGAAGAGGCGTGACATAAGATAAAAGTTCAACCAGCAAGAAGACATAAAAGTGTACACACTAAAAAAATAAAGCTTCAAAATATATGAAGCAAAAACCAATAGAGCTGAAAAGAGAAATAGACAAATTCACAGTTATAATTGAAGATTTCAAGTTCATTGACTATTCATGAATGTGAAACTGGCATGTCCAGAGAATAGCGAGGAAGAGAATTGTAGGAGTTGATGTTGGAGAATAGGCCAGAGTCAAATTATGCAAGACCCAGGTGGGTGCTGTGGCTCACACCTGTAATCTCAGCACTTTGGGAGGCTGAGGAAGGAGGATAGCTTGACTCGAAGAGACTAGCTTGGGCAACATAGTTAGACCACGTCTCTAAAAAAAAAAATAGAAAAAGATAAAAATTAGCCAGGTGTGGTGGTATTTGCCTGTAGTCCCAACTATTCAGGAAACTGAGGCAGGAGGCTCATTTGAGCCTGGGAGGTTGAGGCTGCAGTGAGCTGTAATCATGTCCCTGCACTTGGCCTGGGTGACAGAATACAACCCTGTGTAGAAAAAAAAAAGGCCCTTTTAGATGTAATATTTCAGTGATGATAGAAGGTTCAAAATATATTTGTGTAGTGGAACTATCAAGATTTCCTGATGAATCAGACTTTGGAGATTTTTATACAGACAGCTAGGTGGTCAATAGTTTCCTTTGATAAGAGAGAGGCTGGGAAATAATCAGATTTGGAAGGGGGAAAAAAGGAATTTCAGTTTGGATATGTTAACTTTGAGATGTGAGTTTTTATAAAGACTCTCTTGACCAAACTTTAGACAGGCTCCTATGAGTCCACTTTCTACTAGGCCTCATCCTTGATCTTTATACTTAGCCTGCATAGTCCAGCTTTGAAAAGAATCCTGTTATGTAAATGTATTAATAATAAGAATCCCTCCACCCTTCACATATGATTTGCCTTGACATCTGTTCAAGTTTCTCATTCCCTGGCTTTAAAATCCGATTCACCATGATCTGCCTTTAGCAGTAATCCTGTTGAATCAGTTTAACAAGAATCTCCCTACCCTTGATGTCGCCTCTTAATAATTTTCCATTGACTTATCCCCCTCCTCTGGTCTTTGGCTCTAAATCCCTACATGTTCTGGCTGTATTTGAAATTGAACTCAGTTTTAATACTCCCATTGCAATAGTACTGAATAAAAATGGCTTTACTGCCTTTCACTGTGGCCTGACATTATTTCTATTTAACAGTTTGTTTTATTAGATTATCTAATAATCAAACATGAATGCAAATCTTCTCTACCAAAAATCACATTTTTTTTTTCCTGAGGCAGAAAGCCCACTTACATTGGCTTTCTAATTCTTCCCTCCCTTGGAGAAGCAGGTACTGGGCAAAATGCAATTGCTGGATCCAGAGTATGTCTGTTACCATTAAATGTTGATGAATCTGTAGGCCTGTGTGCTAAGCTCAGAAGTACATCTAAGAAAGAAGCCAAAGGTACATCCCTAGCACAATAGCTTCATGGTTCAGTGCAAGTACTGCTATCCATGGAAACGCGGGCTAGCCCTGCATCTTATGTAAATGGGGTCATTTTCTTTCTAGTAAAATAAAACCATTCCTTTTGTGGTTTCACTTCATGTACATCCTTAGAACTTGGACATGTCCTAACATATTACCATCTACTCTAATTTAAACTTTACTCTAGATGAAAACATGTTTATGAAATAAATATTTTAAGGTAGGAAAAAACCTCACTATGGATAGGATATGTTATACTACCAAGTGCTGCTTTTCAGGTGCAATAAGTGTTGGTTTTTAAAAATTATATTGGCTTAGAATTCTCGATACAGATTAATATAGACATAGATATACTCAAGTTACCTTTGCTTCTAGAACAAACAATGCTTCCTTTAATGTGGAAGACGTAATGGGATTCCAATCAGAGCATTCCTAGAAGTGGGAACAGCCAGTGTAGTGATCTTGAGATGGGAAAGAACTTAGCTGTTCAAGGAACAGAGAAGATACCTGTGTTTTAATTTTGAGGATCACTGAGAGGAAGGAACTATATATATATTATATATATATTATATGTAATATAACATATATTATATATGTTTTATGTTATATATGTTATATATGTATATGTATATGTAACATATAATATATATGTTACATATATTATATATGTTATATATTATATATTATTAGTTATATATATTATACAATTTCTATCTTTTAGCAAATCCCATGAAAGAAATGATATAAAATTGTTGCTGTATAATTGCCTGAGCAATTGAGACATATGTTTATAACACTGTGCAGGTTTTAAAGAAATTATCATCTTGTGAAATCACATTAACACAATCAAATAATTAATAATAGCACATCGTGGTATATAATTTTACTAAAGTGGTGTGGTTGATGTCGTTGCATAACAAGGGAAATCAGTGTGATTTCTAATAGTCAGGGAAGATATTATTTTTGAATAAGGACATGGTCAGAAGCTTATCTTAACAAATGAGTCTTTTACTTTTAAAAAAATTCTCAAATATAAGCTTTCATTAATACATTTTAGGAATATCACACTTTTTATCTTAAAAAAATGATGGTTGGGAGTGAGCATGTGTTTCCCTCATATTGAGAAAAATAAAGGCAATTATTGGTTAATGCTCATGTACTTTAAGGAAGAGGACATACGTTGGTAGATTAAAAATAAGTAATAACTTAAGAGACGGCTAGAATTGCCTTTTACAATCAATATTTGTTTTACACATTTATCTTTTAAGAATTTCTTAACTTACAGCAAATGTCCTTCCATTTATAGTATATTTGTGAATATTAATTTAGATGACACCTTCTGTATGAAATTTACTTAGAACAAATCTAAGGCATTTTCAGGAGTATTAAGAATTTTGGAAATTATTTGGCATTTTCAGTTAAAACACCATGGTGTTCTTTTCAAGCTAAAGAATATACCCTATTGGAATTAATTTAAAAAATCTCAAAGACTTTCTTGAATTAGTCATATTTACTGAGACCACAAAAATTCAAATAATAAATGTGTTTGATATTTGTAATAAATAAAAAATCTTTCAAAGATTCTTAAATTTACTTTTAAGCAATATGTTTCTGTGATGATTGGTTATGTAACTGATAAACGTCTTTTTCTGATGTTATGTGTTTTCATTGATACAGCCCTTCAGTTTAGATCATCTAGTTTTAATATAAGGACTGACTCTTCTACCTTGAAACTACCAACAGCCCCAGAGAAGTGCTTCTGTTGAATAGCTGACATTTATGTTTAACTTAGTGAGACTCCCAATGTGCTTATCCTGTCAATATATTTAGTATAAATAAGCAATACATCAGGAAAAGATAGGAGAAGTTGTTAATTTGTTAATAATACACTTGATAATATATCTTCTCCAAGACTAATCTTTGGTACTAAAATTCTCTCATGTCTGATGAATCCTAAGATGAATATTTTAATTTATACTCATGCACTTACTTTTAAGAGAATAATAGGTCTAGCTTTGATTTGTTTATTGTGAAGTTTATGGTTCATATAATTCATATTTCTGCTTTTGAGATGACTAGAAATGTTTTAAGCAATTAATTATATACAGTAAAATTGTTTTACTTATGTGAAAAGGCCTAATTCCTACTCTTAATGGCAATATTTCTAATACATAAGATATAGCTCTTCAAGGTTCTTATTTTTATTTCTTTTATTTTACTCATCATATTCCATCCTTTTTAAAGTTATTAGGTCCATTTTACATTGCCTAAAATATTAAACATTCTCAAGGAAATGACATTTGTTTTTATCTTAATTTTCACTGTAGCACTTAGAGCTATAGCACATATGGTAGGTACTTGATAAATACTGTGTGAATTGAGTGTGTCACACTTTAAAGATTTTTTTTTTTTCTGAGCAGCTAGCTTTAGTTTTTATTTAAGATGGAGACCAGAGATCAATAACTATTATTACCTTGCAATGGAACAAATTGATATCTATTTATTGATGGGACAAAGCCCACAGACATAATGTGTATCCATGAAATAAAAGGAAAATAGTTATTTAAGGCCAACCTGAAATTAATTAATTGATTTAAATGTAAAAATCTACTCCAGAGCCAAAAGAATCTAGGTTTATATTGTTCTAGATTAAAATATAGAAGCTAGGTCATATTGTTAAGTGCATATTAAACTGTAATTAATATTTAAAAATTGAAAATACATTTATTCTTAAGTCGTTCATTTACAAACAATATTTTTGATTTTATCATATGCTGTTGTAAGTACCAGGGACAGGGCATTAAGAAAAGAGACAACTTTCTTACCCTCACAGAATTTACCTTTTAGTTAGAATAAGAAATGGGATAACAGGATAACAAACAAATTAATAAGTAATTGTAATGTAGAGAAAATAGTGAAAATTGCTAAAAAGAAAAAATAAGCAGGATAACAGAGACTATAAGTGCTAAGTTTGGGAATATTGCTATTTTATATAGGGTTTGTGAGTGTTTTAAGGAGGGTATATAGTCAGAGAGGTCTTATTGCTAGAGTGTGAATTGAGCACAAATCTGAAAGGAGTGAAAAAGTGAGCCATCTGGCTATATGAAGAGAGAGCAGTAAACTCAAAGATCCTGTGGAAAGTGCAAGCCTGAAGTGTCCAATAAGCAAGGAGATCCACTATGGCTGTAGTGGAAATGAGGGAGATGGCCACTGATAGAAAATGTGGTCAGACACATAATTGGAGGTAAAACACTCCTCCGCAAATGTAAAAGAATGGAAATTTTGACAAACAGTCTCTCAGACCACAGTGCAATCAAATTAGAACTCACAATTAAGAAACTCAATCAAAACCACATAGCTACATGGAAATTGAACAACGTGCTTCTGAATGACTCTTGGGTAAATAATCAAATTAAGGCAGAAATCAAGAAGTTCTTTGAAACCAATGAGAACAAAGAGACAATGTACCAAAATCTCTGGGACACAGCTAAAACAATGTTAAGAGGGAAATTTATAGCACTAAATGCCCACATCAGAAAGCTGGAAAGACCTCAAATCAAAATGCTAACATCACAATGAAAAGAACTAGAGAAGCAAGAGCAAACAAATCCAAAATCTAGCAGAAGACAAGAAACAACTAAGAACAGAGTGGAACTGAAGGAGATAGAGACACAAAAATCCCTTCAAAAAATCAACGAATGCAGAAGCCGGTGTTTTTAAAAAAACAAACAAAAAAACAAATTAATAAAATAGATAGACCACTACTAGACTAATAGAAGAAAAGAGAGACAAATCAAATAGGCACAATAAAAAATGATAACGGGGATATCACCACTTATACCACAGAAATACAAACTACCAGCAGAGAATACTATAAACACTTCCATGCAAATAAAGTAGAAAATCTAGAAGAAATTGATACATTTCTGGACACATACACCCTCCCAAGACTAAACCAGGAAGAAGTCGAATCTCTGAATAGGCCAATAACAAGTTCTGAAATTGAGGTAATATTAGCTAGCCTACCAACCAAAAAAAAAAAAAAAAAACCCAGGACCAGATGGATACACAGCCAAATTCTACCAGAGGTACTAAGAGGAGTTGGTACGACTCATTCAGAAACTATTCCTAACAATTGAAAAGGGGGGATTCCTCCCTAACTCATTTTATCAGGCCAGCATCATCCTGATACTAAAACCTGGCAGAGACATAACAAAAAAAGAAAACTTTAGGCCAATATCCCTGATAAACATCAGTGTGAAAATCCTCAGTAAAATACTGGCAAACTGAATCCAGCAGCACATCAAAAAGCATATCCACCACAATCAAGTTGGCTTCATCCCTGGGATGCAAGCCTGGTTCAACACACACAAATCAATAACCGTAATCCATCACAGCAACAGAGCCAATGACAAAAACCATGTGATTATCTCAATAGATGCAGAAAAGGCCTTTGATAAAATTCAACATGGCTTCATGCTAAAAACTCTAAATAAACTGGCTTAATGGAAATAAATAAAGGGTATTCGCATAGGAAGAGAGGAAGGTAAATTGTCTCTGTTTACAGATAACATAATCCTATATTTAGAAAAACCCATCATCTCAGCGCAAAAACTCCTTAAGCTGATAAGCAACTTCAGCAAAGTCTCAGGATACAAAATCAAAGTGCAAAATTCACAAGCATTCCTATACACCAACAATAGACAAGCAGAGAGCCAAATCATTAATGAACTGCCATTCACAATTGCTTCAAAGAGAATAAAATACCAAGGAATACAGTTAACAAGGGACATGAAGAACCTCTTCAAGGAGAACTACAAACCACTGCTCAAGGAAATAAGAGAAGACAAAAATAAATGGAAAAAATATTACATCCTCATGGATAGGAAGAATCAACATCATCAAAATGGCCATACTTCCCAAAGTAATTTATAGATTCAATGTTATTCCCATCAAACTACCATTGACATTATTCACAGAATTAGAATAAACTACTTTAAAAGGCATGTGGAACCAAAAGAGAGGCCGCATAGCCAAGACAATCCTAAGCAAAAAGAACAAAGCTGGAGGCATCACACTACCTGACTTCAAACCATACTACAAGGCTGCAGTAACCAAAACAGCATGGTACTGGCACCAAAACAGACATATAGACCAATGGAACAGAATAAAGGTCTCAGAAATAACACCATACATTTTATCTTCCAAAAGCCTCACAAAAACAAGTAATGAGGAAAGGATTCCTTATGTAATAAATGATGCTGGGAAAACTTGCTAGTCATATGCAGAAAACTGAAACGGGACCCTTTCCTTATAATTCAAGGGGGATTAAAGACTTAAATGTAAAACTCAAAACCATTAAAACCTTAGAAGAAAACCTAGGCAATGCCATTCAGGACACAGGCATGGGCAAAGAATTTATGATGAAATCACCAAAAGCAATTGCAACAAAAGCAAAAATTGACAAATGGTAACTCATTAAACTAAAGAGCATCTGCACAGCAAAAGAAACTATCATCAGAGCAAACAGGCAACCTACAGAATGGGAGAAAATTTTTGCAATCTACCCATCTGACAAAGGCCTAATATCCAGGATTTCTGAGAAACATAAACAAATTTACAAGAAAAAAACAAACAACCCCATCAAATAGTAGACAAAAGATATGAACAGACACTTCTCGAAAGAAAACATTTAGGTGGCCAATAAACATATGGAAAAAAACTCAACATCACTGATCATTAGAGAAATGCAAATCAAAACCACAATGAGATACCATCTCACGCCAGTCAGAATGGCGATTATTAAAAGTCAAGAAAGAATAGATGCTGGCAAGCCTGTGGAGAAATAGGAACACTTTTACATTGTTGATGGGAATGTAAATTAGTTGAGCCATTGTGGAACACACTGCGGCAATTCCTCAAGGATCTAGAACCATTAATAACATTTGACCCAGCAATCCATTACTGGGTATATACTGAAAGGAATATAAATCATTCTGTTATAAAGATACATGCACACGTATGTTCATTGCAGCACTATTCACAATAACAAAGACATAGAACCAATCCAAATGCCATACATAAAGAAAATGTGGTACATATACACCATGGAATACTAGGCAGTCACAAAAAGGAATGAGATCATGTTCTTTTCAAGGACATAGATGAAGCTGGAAGCCATCCATCCTCAGCAAACTAACACAGGAACAGAAAACCAAACACCACATGTTCTCACTCATAAGTGGGAGCTGAACAATGAGAACACATGGGCACAGGGAGGGAAATAACACACACTGGGGCCTCTCAGCAGGGAGGGGGTGCGAGGGGTGGGGAAGCATCACGAGAAATACCTAATGCATGCGGAGCTTAAAACCTAGGTGATGGGTTGAAAGGTGCAGCAAACCACTACGGCACATGTGTACGTACATAACAAGCCTGCGCATTTTACACATGTATCCCATAACTTAAAGTAAAAAATAAATAAATAAGTGAATAAACAAATAAAAAAGAAAATGAGGTCAGAAGGGTAACTTTAAAACACTAAACAGTATTTACTGTTCCAAAGAATGTTATATTTTATAATAATAAATATCTTTTCTAAGTTGTGTTGTGGTATCTTTTATATATTAAACATGATGCTAAGTGTTTTATGAAAATACTATCATTTAATACTTCTAACCATCCTGTAAATGAACCTTAGAGAAGTCATTTAATTTGACAAGGTTATGGAACAGGAAAGTTCCTGAATTGAAACCATTTTATAGCTAATATTGTTTTTTCTTTTTTTTTAAAAAGTTTTTAAAACATTTTTGAAACATTTAAAGCAATTTAAAAATAGTTTTAAAATGTATTACTTTTCATTTATTTTATTTTCTTTATATGTTTATATTTCAATAGAATGATCTAATTCAGAACAATATTTAGTATGCTACTAATAGTTACCTTGTGTTTACTAGAGTGGTTCAATTATACTGCAATATAACACTCTAATATCCATTTCATTGAACTGCACCTATTTGTCAGCCAGAGATAAGTATCTAGCAACAGCATTTGTGCACTTATGACCTGTCCAAATTTTATGTCCTGTACAAGTGTTTGCATGCTATATAAATCCAGCTGCAAGTTGAATATCTGAACTTGCAGTGGAAAATAATGATCTGAACTCACTTTTTAAAAGTAATAATCCTTCTGCTATAGAGCAATATTCACTAGTTAGGTGTGCAAACAGAATGTAAGTTTAACTCTAAATTCACATTCTACCCAAGTGTAATTACTTTTGATCATATCAGTTTCAGAACTATTTTCCATCCAATGCATTTCCATTGCTCAAAAATATAATGTGAATAGAAAGGGGAATGTGTGTTAGTACTTACATAAAATTAGAACATAGAAGAAATGTGCCTATGAATGGATTTTACACAGTTTGGATAGATTGTTGATGAACCAGAAGGTTCTTTTGAATTTAATCACCAGTCATATGAAATTCAAAATTTTAGACAGCAGCAGTGACTTGCAATTTCTGATGCCAGTGTGACAAATGACCTAAATCAAAATTACTGGATTTTCATATTCATAATGCAATTTGAGTACTAATGCTTTTGACCACTAGGGAACTATTGATATAATTATGTTAACTTCCAATATGTTCCCCAATGTTCTCTCCATACCAGTGATTGCGTGAAAGAAAGTTAATATTTTACATTTAAAATGAAGCATAAAAATAGCATAGTTTGCTTCACAGAAGCTGTATTCTATTAAAAAAGACATTCACATAGCAAGTATAGAGAAAATCAACAGATTACAACTGAATTAATACCAAGGACTTTGTTTACATTTATTTACTTATTTATTATTTATTTATTTACTTTTTTTTTTTTTTTTTTTTTTGAGACGGAGTCTCGCTCTGTCGCCCAGGTTGGACTGCCCTGGCGTGATCTCGGTTCACTACAAGCTCCGCCTCCCGGGTTCAGGCCATTCTCCTGCCTCAGCCTCCTGAGTACCTGGGACTACAGGCGCCCACCACCACGCCCGGCTAATTTTTGTATTTTTAGTAGAGACGAGGTTTCACCGTGTTAGCCAGGATGGTCTTGATCTCCTGACCTCATGATCCACCCACCTCGGCCTCCCAAAGTGCTGGGATTACAAGAATGAGCCATCGTTCCAGGCCGGATTTTGTTTATATTTAAATTGCTTTTAGATCAAACTCACCATATTATAACATTTCTGTGAAAAATGCATTGGCTACACTCACGTGAAAATACTGCAATTTGTTTGCCTACCTTAACAATTGATCCTATGGCGTCTTGATCAATTTGATTTCGGTAATGAATATATATATGTGTGTGTATATATATGATATACATATATATATATATATATATATATATATATAGAGACAGAGAGAGAGAGAGAGAGAGAGATGATATAGATGATATAGACAGGGAAAACAAATTAATTGATATGCTCCTGTTCAGTAAAATCTCAGAATAAAACCTTGGCAATTATAAAGTGAATTCTATTTAACTAATAAATAATTAATAACGATGCCAGTACATACAGAACAAAAAAACATAAGCAATAAATAAAATGACCTTTTGTTTGACTTACAAACATAAAATAAATTCAAGTCTGAATGTTTCCATCAAGTTACAGGAAAGTGCGTATGCACATCTAAATGGAAACACATTTTTATTCCTTTTTTTTTTTTTTAACTCACCATTCTAGTCATGGTGAGTTTAAACTAACTTCCCTGAATTTATCTTGGTTTCACTCAAACGAGACATTTCAAATAATATCTAGCTATTGATATGAGAAAAACTTGTGACTTTAATTTCCCCTCCCCACCCCCCAAACTGGGAAGGAGCCGAGAGATCAAGACTGACTCAGACAAGTCTAGCTTGACCAGTAGATAAGTTTATTAGGATTTATGTATGGGACTCTTCTGGGGGACAGCAGGACAGATCTAGAGATCTGCACCATCTCCCATCTCAAAGCTGCTTTTAGGCTATTTTTCTGGCTCTTTGCCTACTGTATGTATGTGATAGCACTGTTTTCCATGGTAGGTTCTCAGATACTCTCTGGGATTTGTGGGTTCTCAGGGACACTTGCTCCTTGGCTAGGTACCATAGCCTTGGCTCACTGTCCAGCCTTCGGGGTTCAGGTAGCAGACATTCATCCTTACATAACCCTGGTGGGGTACCCATCACACTACAGCTACAACTCATGTAAAATAGCAAATACACTCCAAACACTATGTGGCACAGCAAGGAATTACATTAAATTCCTTTTCTTAAATATAGTGATTAAATATAGAAAGTCATTAGAGGAAATGTGGCAGAACAAATACAAGTGAGACATATAAATTAGGGATAATAAGGAGACTTTTGTTCAGCAAGCTCTAACTAGGATGAATAACAATAAGCTCATTAATCAAAACTATGCCAATGTCCCAAAGTTTAGAAATGCAGGACATTTTCGCATGGGCCACATGTCAAAGATAGTGATAAAACAAAAAGGCCGAGAAAAAAAAAAGTCACAAAGAAGACACAGTGAAATAAATTTGCATAATGTTACATTTCACCTTTTCTAAGGGGAAGAGGACATTTTATCAGTCTTAGCCTGGTCATTCTTTGTAATTAAAAGCAGTAACTATTAAATCTAAAATTTAGACGAAGAGTGTATATGTATGTATATTAAACTGTCTGTTAATGTTATACTAAACACACCTCCCAAGTTTTAAAATTAAAAACAAAAACAAAGAAACACACTTTATCACAGGTATTTTACATTGATCCAATGAGTTATGTCTTGTTATTGTAACTGTAAAATAGTGTGTGTAGTTTTCGCCACTAAAATAATTGAGTTGAGAGTAGGGTTTATAACCCCTGACACTCAAGCTGTGACTATCTAACCTTTCTACCAAGCCTGGAAGATTTAAGGATGGTTAGGTTCCCACAGTAGATTCAACCTAAAATGGAATTTATTATCCCAAATACAATCTCTTGTGCACATCGAGGAATCTATTTTCTATCTCTTCTAACATCTGTAATATTATTCCATCTTTTTGGCAGAATTCATTTTTGCTTTTCTAAGTGTGCTCAGATAATCTTGTCGAAATGGAAAGTCCATGGGAAATTAGTTTTTTTCTTGCTTGGACTTAAAACATTGGCCTAAATTCTGCAGTTTCCTTCCTCAGTAGAGCTAACTGATTAGTTTTCTTTGCTTTGATTGTTCTTTTTCTCCACTGCAGTTATCATTTCATTGAAGACAGTTGTATGCTTAAAGGTCAAATGCTCTAATTTATGTGAAGGGTGGTAAATGCCTTAAAACTGGGCTCAAAACTCATCATTAATCTATACTTGCTACTTCTATAGCAGATCTTTTATCTGCCAAATCACATTTCATATTTTAAATTGCATTTTCATTCCAAGGCAGTATTTAATTATGGAGTATTTTAATCAAATACTCTAGGTAAAGGGAAAAGAGGTAATTACCTCTCTCAGGTTTCACAACAGCTCTACCTTACTGAAAATTTGGGAAGAATGTATATTTTGTTATATATTGTATGAAACATATATTGATATATTGATATTGTATTAACTTTAATTGGTACAATATCATCGCATATATTGTATTACTTTTGTATTAATTGTATTAATTTTAACAAATTCTGACTTATAAAATGACTTAAATTTAATACACTATTTAGATTAAAATATTTTTAGGGCATGAACTAATAAAAAATATCTAATAATTTCTCTGTCACTTTACATTCATGAAGTCATTCCTACTTCCCATAAATCAGTGTGTTCAACAAAGATAACAAAATATTAAGAGTTTTTAAATGCTAATAATATAAAATAAACAAAAGCAATGATCTGAATTGTATCCTCTAATATATAAAGAAATTGTAGAAAATAATTTTAAAAATTCATATTCGTCCTGCAAAATTCAACTAAGGGATCACAAATTTGAAGGATGGTTCATTAACACACTGTCTTAGTCTGTACTGCTATAACAAAACATCTGAGACCAGGTAATTAATAAAAAACATAAATTTATTTTCTCATGGCTCTGGAAGCTAGGAAGTCCAAGATTAAGGCACTGGTAGGTTCAGTTGTCTTATAAGAAAGGGCTACTCTCTGCTCCCAAGTTGGCACCTTCTTGCTTTATCTGTTCAGGGGAGGAAAGTTTTATCCTCCCATTGTGGAAGGCAGAAGAGCAAGCTAGCAGAAAGCTATGAAAACTTTCTTTTATAAGGGCTTTAATCTTGTTAACTAGGGAGGAGCCACTGTGTCCTAATAATCTTTTAAAGCCCCTCCCTTCTTAATACCATTACATTGGCTATTAAGTTTCAACACCTGAATTTTGGAGGAGAGCACATTCAACCACAGCACACGTATATAATAAAATTAGGTTTATTATTTTCATGTATGAGCAGAAATGCATTGTTCCTTATAAATTAATAAATGAAAAATGAACGAGGTGTCATAACATTCTGAGTTTATGCTACACATTTTTAATAGAATATACATTAAACAGTATTCTAAATAACCAAAAAAAGAATAATATAGTAGATCAGATTATATTTTGGAACAATTTGATTATGAACTTGTGTAGCTCTGTTGCATTCCTTTTATATTTTAGACATAGCACAACAATTTATACTGTAGGTTTGCATATCTGCTAAAGAGGGATAAAGTCAAGTTTTAAAAGAATAATTTATTTTTCTTAATGCCATCTCTCTTTAGATACATGTAGGGCAGTGTATCTATGGAGCTGCCAAGTTCAATTCATTTAATAATGACTTCAGTATCTTTTTCTGATGGCCTAAATTTGATAAAACATCAGCTGAATTGTACTGGATGTGTAGATCAGATTCATTTCCAGAATGTTCCATTTCTGTCAACAAATAATCTAAAAACTCAACATTTTCTACATCACTTTCTACTTTGGATGAGCAAATTTCACAACGTGAGACAATGTCAGCTATCTGTTACATTGACAGCAAAGGTTCATAGATTTAATTTGCAAAAGTTATTTCAAAAAAGGGATTCAGCAAAAGGTAACTTCATTCCTCAAACATTATATAAAATATTGGGCAAGAAGAATTCTATTTTTGCATCAACAAAGTTGATATGATTGTGGATGAAACAAATAAGTTATAAAAAAATCTACCTTTCTGTTTAACCTACAAATATAGCAAAAAATGTTAAATCTCATCTCTTTGAATTATTATAACCAGTATTGAGATGGGTAGTTATCTGAAGTCCATAAAGGCCATTTGTAAGTGTATTTGCTTTAACGTAGAAAAACAAATAATTTCTACTTAATAGGAAGATGTCAAAAATATGATTTTTAATTTATCAGTATATCTCTCTGATTTTCTACTTCCACTCTACTTTTCTAAGGTTATTTTAGAATCTAAAAGTGGAGAATAAGCATGCATAGAACATTACGGAAAAACTTCTTAAGATGTTTTCACTGAAAGCTCGTTTTCCAACACTGATTTTGTTCACCTCTACCTTATCTTCCTCTAGAATTTTGTACTTAGTCTATTATCTTGAAAACATTTAAATGTCATCAGGAATTTAAGCTATGACTGCTTTTAATATTGTAATATTTATTCCTATTTATTTTTATGCTAACAATAATTGCTTTCTTTGACATGTTTATTCTCATCAGTAGCATTATCAATTTTACAAAAAGTTTATTTTAAACCATTTTAAGAGACTTTGTGTGTATCTATTTGTGTGTGTGTGTGTGTGTGTGTGTGTGTGAGTGTGTACAAGAACACTTAAGGGGAAATAACATAAGACCAGATTCAAATGATACTGCTAAATACTCAGGTAACTATATGTAAGCTCGCAGTAGTCAAGAGACTCACTCACACTCATAGAGAATATAATACAAAATAAAATTACTTTGAATCATACATATCCAATTTTTCTTCCAAAAATATCCAGAGTATGCATATATGGATCTCAGTTCAGTTATCGCTTTAAAATAAATTGAAAATATTTTAAAAATGAATAAAAAGAGAGATTTTGATTTCTAGCAGAAGTGTTACCTGGAACCCTGGCCTAATCTCCCAGTGAAAGGGTAGATATTAGTTAACTAACACAAAGATATATACTATGCAAAAACTGAATGAAAGTTGAACACAGATAACTTTTTGAGCTGAATCAAATAAAATTTCAGTTTTCATAAACTCGAAGTTTGTGGAGAAGCGGAGGCCAGGATTCATCCAAAATAAGCAGTCTAATAGGTGAGAGCACCTCTCCCTGGCCCATTCACAAAGCTGGGAAGACCAGGGTGACGCACTTAGTGTAAGTATATAAAAAAAGAAATAAACATAAAACTTAAACTTAGAAGACACCAAATAAAATATTCTGACCAAAAACGTGAAGTTAAGTAGAGCTTTAAAAAAAAATGTACAAGTTCACCTTTAATATGGATTTGCCTCCTGAATTTTCAGTGTATTAGTATCACCAAGATTCTGGAAATAACAAATGCAAATTCTCTCTGGAGAAATTAATCTCCAAACTAGACCTCAAAATTTTGTCAAATCAAGTTCCTAAATATAGAAGGTAAAAGTAAAAATTGTAAACATCAAAAAAGACACTGTGAATAAGAACAAGCAGAAACAACATAGAGCATAGTTAGGCTCTCAAAGACTAGAAATTCTATAACCATCGGTGACAAAATATTAAATATATTAAATATGTTCTTAATATGTTGAAAGGAAAACACACAAGAGAAAAATATTAAAAATGGCCACCTGTTTAAAAAAATAATAAAACAAGATGTTTATGTGTGAATATTTTAAAATAAAAAATTCTAATACAGATTTGGAACTAATTGAAAAGGAATTTGTGAAATTACAGATATATCTGAAGAAAGGCTAAAATCCTAGTGAAATTCACAAAGTGATAAGTAAGAATGAATCCATACCTAGAATATCAGATACAAACTGCTGATTGAAAAAGAAAAAGAGGAAATGTAAAAAGCAGATAGAAGTGGGGTTAGGAGAGGAGAACAAAATATCTTCAAAAATACGTCATATTTGCTATCTATTTTCTCATCATTGTCAATCTGACAATAGTGGGACAATGTGCTTCTAAATTTGCTGAGAGAGTATGACTTTCAACCTAGAATTTAATTATCTTATAATAAAGTTAAAATAAATTTAATTTCAGAAAAACAGATTTTCCCATTGACAGCTCCCTTTAAAGAACATTTTGAAAGTTATATTTCTAGAGGGAGGAAACTAAAAAAAGATAGAAAATTTGGGAAAAAAAAGAAGGGAAAAGAAATAAATGCATAGTTAACATAAACAAAGATTAACAGTCAAAACAAAATTGCTACCTTGAAGTTATAAAATGAACTAAAGTTCACAAGAGCAGAATTCTATATGTTACACTGTTTGCAGGCTCCTTGTATTTTCTATAATCAGGGGCAAGTTTCAAGGTTTATTTGATTCAATGGCTCAATAATATCAACAAGCACCTGCCTTTATATTTATAGCCATAAGTATAGATACAGATATCATATGCGTATTGGCATAGGTATAGTTATACGTAACAGTAGGTGTTGGAGATTTGTTAGTTACATTTATTGTTTCCAATATAAATTTCCTTTAATTTTTTTTTCATTAAACCCCATTTTGCACTCCCATCCTCCTTTACATTCTATGTTATAGGTAGTCATTTTAATGTATGTATTTATTGTGAATTTTGGTGTTTTGTTTATACTTCAACAAAAAAAGAGTGCTGTTTTGTATGCATGCATTTTTAATTAAGATAAATTACGTGGTTAGACCCACATTATGTGGCAGAGTGTGGTTTCTATCCCTCACTCTGCCTTTCCAGTCACGGCTTCATTCCATGGCCATCTTTCTTTCTGGTGTCATAACTTCTGGCACATATTTTTGTATCCATCCTAATAGAGGGAGTATTTATCTTTTGGCCATTAATTTTGTTTTAAATTTAGCTTTATTTAATTGGGCCTACTTTGCCAAGCACCTAAACTTGAACCAACACCCTTGCGTGGGGAATGGAATTCCACTGATTGGCATAGGCCAAATGGGGTTTGGAAAATGGGTTGATTCCACCCAAATTGAGAGGGAACAATTGTTCTTCTAGGAAAATTTGAATGGATTTAAATGAGAGAAGGGGAGAATGAAAGCTAGATACCAACACACAAATGATACTTGGTTGGTTGTTTTTACATTAGTGCTACTCAAATATGTTCTGCAGACCAGTGGCAGCACACTGTTTATTATTAAACTGTGATAAGATATATAAATAAATTGAGACTAAACATTTCTAATCTTGTAGAGCAATGTGACACTGCTGAAACATGCAAGCCTGTGATCAGTGGGTTTGTTTTAATTAAAAGTACAGATGAGTTTTTGAAATTGTGTGGTGAGTCACTGGAAGTAAGAACGGCATACTAATCATTTCAGTTATAACCATGTTAAAGTATGTGATAGTTTAAGGTTAGTTTGTAAATTATGACTCATTAATTTCACTGAAGAAAAATTCAAGAATCACAACAGGCAGAATGGTTCACACCTGTAATCCCAGCACTTTGAGAGTCCAAGGCAGGACGACGGCTTGAGGCCAAGGGTTCAAAAGCAGCTGGGGCAACATAGTGAGAACTTCATCTCTCCAAAAAGTTTTTAAAATTAGCTGGGCATGGTGATCTGAGCCTATAGTCCTAGCTTTTCAGGAGGCTATGGTGGGAGGCTTGCCTGAGCCCAGGAATTTGAGTTTGCAGTGAGCTATAATGATGCCACTGCACTCCAGTCTGAGTGACAGAGCAAGACCCTCCCTCTAAATGAAAAACAAATAAATAAATGAATAACACTGACTTCTAATCAAAAATGTAATAAAATATTTAAAGTCATAATATTGCTTCCTTTGTTTTGAACAAAATAAAACATGATATCCTTACTTTGCTTGAATTCTTTAAAACATCTTCCATTCTCAACAGGGTAACTCTGTGAGATGGGTGTTTCTACTCTATGAGTTATTAGAACAAAACACAGAAAAATTTTCAATATGTATTATACCTTGTGAACAACATTGTTACTATGCATCCCTACAATAAACAAATCATCTATTAAAATAGATGAAAATTAATTTAAATAGATAAATTGAACAAAACAAAGCTGACTTGTTCCATAAAAATTTTAATATAAATTACATTTTTATTTAATTGATATTAAATTGTGTTTAATGTGAGCATATAGCCATATAGGCACAATGTATAATCCTTCTTTACCCCTAACAACAAAATGTTATCTGTGTAATAACAATTTTCTAAATTATACATCTATTTGCGTACTTTCAATAAACTATGCATATAATTTAACTTTTTTTACCCTGCAATTTTTTTCTGATTTATTGATTGCAATGTTATTTAAGGTTTATTAAATCTAATATTTAGAATAATATGGCCATAAATTTTATACATTTTATGGAAACACATAAGTTGACCTAATCAAAATAAAGTTTATATTTTTTCTTAATTTTTTCATGGGTAAGGAACAACTTCTCTTGTACTAATGTCACCACAAAAGACTCCAAATAGCCAAAGTAATCTTAAGCAAAAGAACAAAACTTGACAAAAAGAACATCACACTACTTGATATTAAAATCTACTATAAAACTCTAATAATCAAAGCAGCATGGAACTGGCATGAACACAGACATGTTGACCAATGGAAGAATCGACCTGTGTTCATTAACGGATGAATGGATAAAGAAAGTGTGGTGTATATAGACAATGGAATACTATTCAAACTTAAAAAAAAAGAATGAAATACTTTCGTCTGTGACAACACAGGAGACCTTGGAGTAAATTAGGTTAAGTGAAATAAACTAGGCACATATAGAAAAATACTGAATGATCTCACTTAGATGTGGAATCTAAAGTAGTCAAAATCATAGAAGCAGTGTAAAATGGTGGTTACCACAGGTCAGGTAGTGGAGGGATTTGGGAAAGTTGGTCAAAGGGTACAAAATTTCTCTCAGACAGAAGGACCCAGTTAAAGATATCTGTTGTACATCACAGTGACTATAGTTAGTCACAATATATTATATACTTGAAAACTGCTAAGACAGTAGATTTGAAGTGTTCTCATCACAAAATATAAGTATGTAAGGTTATGCATATGTTAAATAGTTTGATTTAGGCATTCAGAAATGTATACACATTCAAAACGTCACGTTGTACACCGTAAGTATATGCAAGTTTTACTTGTCAATTACAAAATTTTAAAAATGGACAACTTAAAAATGTATATTTTTTCATTGAATTTTCTTAATTATTAAATTTTATTGTATTTTACAAAATATTAGAGTGGACAAGCAAACAAAATAATGCTAAAACAAAAAATACTCTACCACAGATAGTTAAGAATCATTATTCCATGGGATTGAACTAAATCAATAGTTTTCAAACCATGCAGTGCCAAGTGTCTACTTAACTTCAAAAACAATTTTTATTAGTTTTACACATTGAATAAAGGGGCCAATAGACTGTGAAATACAGTTTGCAAATCCTCTGAATGTAATGTTCTCTCACCATTTGATCTAGGTTTCAGTTTAACAAGAAGGCTCCTTCGAATTACTTTCTTTAATTTGCTGCATTTTCTTTGGGACTTTAAGATATGTCTGGAGCTTAACTTGATTAAAAATGCAGCAAATTAAAGAAAATAATTCCAAATACAAAGTTAACATCCTCTTAAAACATTAGGAACAACTTGCACAGTAGTAGAATGAAAAAACCTAGAATAATACCATTAGCTAATGAACAAGAGGATGTCATGACTTGTATATAAGTCTCATAGCTTGCCTCATGGTTTGCAAGGTAAGCCCAGAGTGGGGGAAGTTTAGAGCTTGTGAGGAAAACAAAATGAGTATACATTACCCTAATTTTATATATGCATATATTTGAGGTAATAATACTGCTAGATATTTTTTCTTTAGTATTTTTCTATATATCAAAAGAGAAAAACTTTAAAACATGCTTATCAAATTAACATTAAATACATATATAATGCATTGCTACATTTTATGAATATACTGTTTTGATACCTAGCAACTGGCCTTTAGATTCATTGTTAATGTTTTCAATGTATTTGTTCATTGATGAAATTATTCATATTCAATTTCATAGGAGTCAATTATTATTAATTATCCTTAGATTTAATTAAACATACTAAAATAAAAGTAATCACACTTTTTTGTTTCACAGTGTTTTTTTTTTAAAACAGTCTTGATTATAAGATGAAAAATAAACTGTTAAAATAGAAAGTTAAAAGTTTGCCATTGCCCAGCTTACATTTAAGAAACACTGACTTCTCAAATGCTTCTCTTCTTCTTAAGCCATCTGATTTCATAATTTCATAAACATTAACTTTACAATAGTAGACAATATATACTGTTTAAAACTGAGTCTCCAAAATCATAGTTCTTAGATTCTGATTCTGATTCACATTTTGGAATTGTTGTAGTTTTAAAAGAATTTAGAAATTCCAAGAGATATAGAGAAATGTCATCTATTAATAGATTAAAACTTGGCTTACTTAAAACGCCTGCTTTTCTTTTGTTAGTACAGTATATTGTAGAAAAATCTATATTTATCCCCCATCCTATCATATATGATTGAACTCAAGATAAGATTTATGGATATATTTGGAGTTATAAAATTATTTCACTGTTTTATAGAGAACAATTTATATCTTATTAGTTTTATGTACAAAAGCCTGGAAAAATCAATTACATAGTGCCGGCAGACAAAACTAGAGAGTGATTATGTATTTATTCCAAAGTTGAGATATATATATACACACACAAACACACATATACAAAGACATATATATATACACATATATTTATATATACGTGTGTGTGTGTGTATAGATAGATAGAGAGCGAGAGAGAGACACAGAGAGAGAGAGAGAGATCACCCTAGTTTTCACTCTGTTAATAGGAAGTTGTTTAACCTTGGGCAAGTTTCTCAACCTGTCTAGACCTTAGTTTATGTATCTGTAAATTGACAGAGTTGAAATAGAGAAAGACCCTTTAGGCTCTAAATTCTATAATTTTATGAAATAGGTATTGAAGATTAATAGAGCAAGAATGGATTCAATGAAAACCTGCTGCTCTGAAGTTAGTCAAGTGAGTATATGTTTTACATGGGTGCCAGGAAACATATTCAATCAAAGCACACTTTGGCCTTCATGCAGAAGATGCTTTTGCTCTCAGTCACTCTCATACTAAAAAAGCCTGAGGTTAGAATTCAGACTAAATGTTCCTCAGCTTTAGTGTGAATTATTTTCTAAAGAAAGTGACTGTACCTGAAAAAATAAAAATAACTATCTACCAGTATATCTGCCAATTATTTGAAAACTTGAAACATTGTTCTGTGGGTTAGATTATTATTTTATTTTTGAGGAAACCTGTCCACCATTTAATGTCACTTAAAATTTCCTTCTTGTGAAGATGTATTCTTCTGGTGCCCATTAGATGTTATTATTATTATAAATTATAATGTTATTATAATTTCACATATCATGATACTTGAGATTTCTTACAATTATTTCTGCAGTTTTAAATGGAGGTTGATGATAGTGAATATATAGCAGCTGTTTGAGTTAGGGTTTTGTTTTAGTTTTTGATATGTACCTTTGTGCTAATAGATCAATAGAGAAGAAAAATAATGAAGCTCTCATCACTTTAAGAGGAAGAATGGTTATAAGCTCACTTCTAACGTATGTCTAGGCCATAGTGGGAGCTTAAAAAAACATTTTTGAAGCACTTATCTTTGGCTTTTCAAAAACCGCCTCATATCTCTCTGTAACTTTGTTTTATTCCTTTTTTAGCATGTTTTTCTTTCTTAATGTGTTTGATCTTCATTATGAGAACTGTCGAGATCATAAAACTAATTTTGCTTTCTTAACCTAAACCAAAGTTTTGTTCGTTTGTTTTCATATTAAATCTCATTAATGCTGATTTTGAGCATCAGGGAAATACTGTTAACTCCTGAATCACATGTTATTCTCAATTGAATTCAGAATATATGTAGATGCTGATTTTTATATGCAACCTGACACTATTTAGGAAAGATGTAATATGTCTTGCTGAAGTTCATCTACTCATTCAGTCATTTATTTATTCAATTGACAAATATCTCTTGTGCTTATTAAATATAAACCCACTTCTTCACATTTACCTTTATGCTTGTTTTAAACTTAAAGTGACTATTATGTAGCCTCAATGGTAATAGAAAAATAAAACCCAAAATAATCTTGTTTCATGAATCAGATGAAAACCAAAGATTAAAACCCATATCTATCTCTCATTCAGTTTAACATTTTACAAAATGTATTGGCACTTACTTTCTCTAATTCTCAATGAGTAATATTATTATTATTGATATATATTATTACTTCTGAGGTGACAATAAATATGTCTTTTATTGAATAGATTATAGACTGATCACAGCTGACCTTTTCTGGTCAACAAAGATCAACGTGGTAACAATGTTCATCCACCACAAAATTAGCAGTATATATGATTTAGCTAAAGTCTCAGAAACAATAGTGACAGGGACAATTGAAATTCACAGGTCTAATTTTAAATCTAATGCTTTCTGTACTACACCACAAGGAACCCCAAATGATCACTTCTGTTTCAAGTGTGCATAAAATATTATGAAATTTCACAGAAGACTTTCATGGGATTATATTGAAGAAAATCTCACACATCCAATAAATAGCATTTTCGATCTAACAAGGGGAATGAGATTTCTGTATAGAAAAATACAGTCTAGATTGAATTATAAGAGAAAATAAAGCAGGGAATCAGGAAACTGCAGGACAGGTATGGGAAATACTACATAATTCCATTTAAATGGAATGCTGAATGATATTCAGAAATAATAAAATACAGATTGAAAAAATTGACTAGGTCCTGAGTGTAAAGGGCCTTATATAACAATTTAAGGTTTCTTGTTTATTATTTTTTTCTAAATATGTAGTGTAATCATTAAAATCATTTATGACTAAAAGGGAATATTAAGTTAGAAGCAGTGTGTCTTAAAACTTTTTAGTAAGTGGTTTTAATATAAATTGGAATGGGAAAGGAAAGAGACTAGAGATGCTGATTAGTTTGGGTGGTCTTACAAAAGCACCTGAACTGTGCAATGGTAACAGAAATAAAAGAGCAGGAAGTGGCTGCATGTGAGTAATCAGTGAGATGAAGACAGAGACTCTGAGTCTTTAAGTTTTAGAGACTAGAAATATGATGGAGTCATAAGTGTAGGAAAAGATTTAGAAAGAAAGAAAGATTTAGTGTAGCATACATTGACTTTGAGATACTAGTGGATCATCCACACAAGCAGTGCCCAACAAGGGCCTGGGAAATATGCTAAGGTATTTAAATTCTTTTAAACTCTGTAAATTCTTCAAAGACATGACCTTTTGTTTTTGTATTCTAAACAACAATCACAGAGTCTCAAAATGATACATGCCTCGTATAAGTCTTCTATTGAACAGATTACAGACTGATCACAGCTGACCTTTTCTGGTCAACGAAGATCAATGTGGTAAAACTGTCCATCCACCACAAAATTAGCAGTAGAACTGCCTCTTTTGTGCGTTGTCTTATGCATATTTTTAAATTGACATCTGTAATTTTACTACAGTCACATATTTAAAATAGCTGTCTCTTTTTATTAAACTATGCACACTTTGAAGACAGGGGAAATTTCTTAGTCATTAATTTTCTTGCCCCTAAGTTTATGCTAAACACATACAATATGTTTAATAAACAATGTTTGGTGAATAAATTAATTAACAAATATCATATTAAAAAAAAAGACCTGATGTCTATAGTAAACTTAGCAGGGCTGTGGGGGCCAGTGTGCTTATAGCACATTTTAAATCAGTATTTGTAAAGTTTCATAATATTACATGCCTAAGCTCTCTACTATATTCATAAGAAGATAAAAATTGATTAGTCCTAACCTTTTTTCCCACTGTCTTATGTATGAGAAACAAGCATTTTTATGGACAATCTTAATGACAGAGATCTAATTCTCTTTTATGTGCCTTAGCTTTTAAAGTAGTATTATCAAACAAGATTTCTTAGTTGTAATTTTCTTTTTATAAATATTTTCTCTCCTGGATATGTGTGTAAGTGTGTGTGTAAGTGTATAATAGGCAGTCTCAACACTAAAAACATTATTTAATTTTGCTATCCAGTATAAACTTTTACTTTCACTTCACCTGACTGAAAATGGAAGTAAAACTACATTTAAAGTGTTAATGATCTCTGTCAATCTACTAAACATTCTTAGATCTCGCTGAGAAAAGCATTACTTTTGTCTTTTCTCTTGGCTTATCAGAACCTTTCTGAGTTCTTCACAGAAGCAGCAACAATGGAAAAAACTCCGTAACATATTAGCAGATATCTTCTCCAGATGGCAGTAACTCTATTAACAACAGGGAAGCAAACATAAGCACCCAGCTTGCATCCAATCCAGTACAAAGATACTCTAAGGGAATATCTAAGTTGGGTCATCAATTAAATTCACTCTGAGGGACTATTAAGGTATAATATATTGTCAGTTCAGCTAAATTACACTCCTAAACAAAATCGGCTTCATCCGTCTTCTGTCTGTACCTCCCCCTGTTGGCAATATCATGCTGTTTACCCAAAGCAGGTGGAATAATACCCGGGAGCAGCGGCAAATAACTCATCACCTGCAAGGTCAAGCCATCTTCATATTTCTATCCAGATGCTTGTGGGTTCCAAGTTCTTACACCATCTTTCACAATTGAAATACATTGGTAATAAATAAATTCTGGGAGAGTATTGCCTCATTTAGAAGCCAGGTGAATTCTCTATCAGCATCTCTTATATATTTCAGATCAGTCCTTCATATAAATCTTCGTGAAACATGTATGCAGTTCATCTTTCAGAGTGTTAATAGCTAGCTGTGGCTTAAAATATTATATTGTGAGTGTTTTATTCGGGAGCCACTGCAGTTGATTAATTCCCAAAAAATCTTTGTCGAATGTTAGCAGGGATGAATTTTAATGCTGTTGAATGAACTTCTCTTGTTTTTTCAACAAATATGCAAACTGAAACCAGGGTTAGGAACTTATGAGATGATGCTTGAAATGTTAGAGCTTTATGAAATACAAGATATTGACACTGATCCTTCTCCTCCTTGGTAATCTGCTAGATATCTAACTGTTTAAAGAAAATAAGAGCTCAGACTCTGAACATTACACACTGTTCACCATGCAAAGATAATGAAAAAGAAATTCCATTCTTTACTCACATCTATCAAAGAACATTAAAAACATCTAATTCATAATCACAGCAATACTGAAGAGCTGCATTTCTTTTTCCCCCAATTTTCTCATAAATCATGCCATAAAGAGCCTCTGGTTTGCCAACTACTCCAAAAAATCTCTCTATTCACAATCATATTCTTCAAAATTCTGTGGAAATTTTATCTCTTGCAAAAAAGGTCATTTTCATTCATCTTATTTAATTTACAAATTACTTACCTTAAATAAGGTTTATTCTAATGGGACAAGCGGTGTGAACAGGGCTTGAAGACGTAAGATTCTCTTTGTTGGAGAAAAACAGACATTTTTTAAGGATCAATATTAATACGTTTTCTGCTCACGCAAGTACATAAACTTTGGAGTATTTTTCCAGTTTAAGGACAATCACATTTAAATTCATTATTTTTGTCCTATGTTTAAAAACTGATGTGATCGAATATATCAAATGATAAAATCTGTGATTTTGAAAATTCTGTTTTCTTGAATCCACTTTAAAGTTCAATTTTTAATTAATAGATGAGTTGATGAATGAAAGAGAAATTTTAGAATGAGAGCGTATGATGTGGGGTTCTCCCAGAAAATATATAGCAACTACAAAATGCTTAAGTGGGAACCAAGATTTTCATATAGTACACAGTCATTAAACATTTATTGATTTGGCTTTTTGTCTTGATATCACTACCTAAATCAATATCTCTGTGAATCATAAATCCCTTATTTGTATACAGACAACTCTTATGCTACCAATTAAAAGGTTTGATGCTCCACTTTTGAAATATTAACAGAACTCTTCACTAAAGAACAAACACAATTCTCCACTTTTGTCAGGTTTTCAAGAGCTTTTAGGAAATAGCTATTCATATGCTATTACTCTCTCTTTCCTCTGCCTAGAAGAACATTAAATAATATAAAAGGAAAAATAGCTGTAGGCATTTTAATTACTGAAAAGATGGATATTTAAATAACTGGTAAAAAAAACACTATCTACTTAAAAAATGTATATGCACATATAATAGATGTCATCCCATCATGAATGTTTAGGCATTTAATGATCCAAATTCTTTCTACTTTACAAGACAGAATAAGTAATGTACATCTTCATACTCCATTAATTCAGGTGACTCAGGTACCATTTAGTAAATTAATATTTAAGTGCACTAAATTTGATATACTTACTTCAAAGTGAATTTGATGAAGTAAACATCCATTTGCTTGCTACTCTTATTATTTGTCATGTTTTTGCCTAATGCTTATACTACTAAAATCTGATGTTTTTTTTAATTTGTAAAGACAAGTGCCTGTTATACTATTTGACTTGCCATAAAAGGGACTGCATCAAGTTCCTGGAAATAGGGAGACACATCATTTATCATAAAACTTTACCTTATAACAAGGAGCAGGGTGGACTTACCAGATTAAAGAAGAGACAGAAGTTCACTTCAAGTTGGCTTAAAGCAAATAACTACGGTGTAGGAGAGGATTTACTGACCTACCTAGCTGAAAAAATAAGCTGTAATTAGGCATGGAGGAATCCAAGACTTCAAGAATTTTGTTATTATCTACCCCATATTTTCTAGAGTTTGTTTCCTATGTGTTGATTTTAATCTCCACCAGGCTCTTCATGCCTGAGATCTGTGCGTAATGGCAAAGATGATAACTGTCTCCTATGATATATCCTATACTCTTCATAGCAAATGAAATGTATCACATTTTCCCTGATAGCATCAGCAAGATAGCTTCATCTTTACCAGAATCAGTCACTACAGTAGCAGCAGGCACCATATTCATATTGATCAATCTACAGCCACAAGCCTTCCTCTGAAAAGAGGTATGAGGGTAATCCCACCCAAACTACATGGGCTGAAAGTTAAGAGAGTGCATGTTGTCTACTAGAATACAGATGCTGGGTGAGAAAGAAAAATCAGAAGTCAACCTCATAGTCCAATATACTATTAGCATTCATTCTAACATAAACCATACATAAAAAAGGAAAAATAAATTATATATCAATATAATATTGGACATAAACATAATTTTGACTGTTCATTATCAAGGTAGGTGTCCACATAGACTAAATTTAATTTGATAAATGTAAGTTTTTTACTTTAAGTTTTCCCCTTCCTTCTCACCATTTGAAACGCAAGGGTCAAATGCTGTAGTTAAGGCTTCTATACTAAGTATTAAATTAAGGCAGCAGAGAAACAAGTTTTTACATGGTTTATATTTTCTAAGCTAGGTAAATGAAACAGCAATTCAGTGTTAATCAAAATAACTATGGCCCATAGTTTGAGGTAGGAATAAAAGTTCTGACAATCTTATCCTTCATCCTTACTGGAATCTGCTTACCTATCACTTGGTGAGAAAATTATTCTACTGACGCAACATTATGTAGAAGAATGTCCTACAAAAAAAGAAAATAAGCATGCATTTTAACAGTGGCAGATAGTAATTCTTCAGTCTCAGTATTAAGGTTCCAAAAGGTAAAATATATCTGTCACGTATTTCAAGAAAAATGATAAGGGAACAATAAAATATGTTCAAAATATCTAATAAGTCAATTTTAATTGAGAGAAGTTAAGCATTGTAAAATACAGAGTAATTCTATCCAATTCACTGAACACCTTAAATGTGAGAAAAATACACAGATTTCTATTGTAAGTTTTAGAAGCTTTGGTGCCTACATTACATCCTTGCTGATCTTGGCTACACAGCTGTAGTGGAGCACTCAGTGCACTGTGACAGCCTCCCCACTTGTAAGGCAAAGTGAATCTGGCTTTCTGCCTCAAGGCTTTGCTCCCAAGTTATTTAGGAGATTGTTAAGCACACAGTTATTAATACAACCCTGGGACAGTATAGGAGTTAAATGTCTCTAAACTACCCTTTACTGAATAAGGAATGAGAGATGGTGGAGAAATATCTCTGCCCCATGTATATAAGAAAAGTCTGGATGGAGTTTCTGGGAAAAGCCAATAAAAGAGTTGCACACCAACCCCTAAGGATCTAGAGCAAAGCCTTGCCTTTTATGGAAGATAACAACTTAATACTTGTAAAAGGTTTCCTGGATTCTTAGTAGAGACTGAACACCTTTTCATAAAACATCAAGTGATTATGGGAATAAAGCTGCCAAAATTGAGTACCTAGAGTATTTTCTGATCTACCAGGTTATAACTGTCAGGGAAGCATTGCAGCAATCCATTGTACCATGGAAATGATGCATTTGGGATTGAAGCCAAAAAAGCTCGAAGAACATAAAAGTTATTTCAATGAGTAGTTCAAACCCCTATGTATCTTACAACGTTACACTTAACATCTGTCCCTAAGCTCATTCTTATGGCCTTGTGACTACTGTAGTCTGGCCAAGAAAAGTAGGTTGGAATAAGCTATAATCTTCTGCAGCTGATCTCGAGGCATTAATTAATAGTTAGTGTTTCCTTTTCTATTACCCATTCTAGATTTGAATACTGATGGTAAAGAAAATCTAGATTGGATGAGTGAAGAAAAAAATAGTGAATATCATATTTTCAGAAATAGTTGCAGAAGTAAATACTGATTCATTCCACTCGTTTTATGGTCCGGTTTTTCCCCCCTTTTCTTTTCTTTCTTTTTCCTTCTTTCTTTTTTTTCTGCCCCAAGAAATTGCACTTGACCCCAAACTGGAAAAGTTAGTGAGATGGATTTAACATAAATCATGAGACATTTGAACAATGCAAGAAGTGAATTCTAGTAGACACTTTGATTCATCGTTTGCACCTTTTTGAATCACCTCTGACTTCATGCACAAATGTGGAGGAGAGGTTGTTGCATGCTGAAAGTTATATTCTAAGCACTCATGGAATGGATCTCAGGCTTTCTGCTTCAAGACTTTACATTGAAGTCCAAGATTCTGCTCAGTTTGAGCAGGCCCAACTCAGAAATGTGAAATGGTCAGCTCCAGAAAAGATTGTCAGGGGAGCAAAGGCACAGATACTTTAGCCTTTAGTCCTTCAAAAGAAAGGATCAGGGAAGCACTGTACCTATATCTCAGCGGTCCTTTGACAGTCATCTTCATACCACACTGTTTATTAGCATTTTCTCTATCACTTTCTCACTTTACCTGTTCCATTTCCATACTCCCTTCTTATGTTTTATTTTACAAAGCAAATTCATGCAACCAAAGTCTTATCTCAAGCTATGCTTTTGGGGGAACCAAAGGAGCAATAGTTATAATAACACCTAACATCTATTATCCCCCAATTCGTCATTTTAAGCAATGTTTTATTCTTGCTTAGAGAACACTGAAAGTGTAGTAAGATATAACTTCCAGAAATATATGACTCTCTTTATCTTGTATTTTGTAACAGCCTAAACTTACTGAAGGAATTATGCCTAATTATTTAGGGGACATGGAGAAAGCAAAAATGGCTTTGTGAAACTAGTGGAAGCAGAGATTAAGAACCCTGATGTGACAGTTAATTTTAGGTGTCAGCTTGACTGGGTTAAGGAATACCTAGAGAACTGGTGAAGCGTTACTTTTGGTAAGTCTGGGAAGGGTGTTTTCCGAGAAGAATGTCATGTGAGTCAGTGAACTGAGTGGGGAAGGTCCACCCACCTGCAATATGGGTAGGCAACATCTAATGAGCTGGGCTCTTGGATAAAAGACAAAAAAAGGAGAGCAAAACACTTTCCGTCTCCTGAAGTGAGGACTCTTGTCCTCCTGCCCTTGAACATCAGAACTCCAGGCTCTCCATGCTTGGGACTGAGAATTACACCATAAACTTCCCTGGTTCTGAAGCTTTTGGATTTGGACTGAGACAGGGCACCTTCGTCCCAGGGTCTCCAGTTTACAGACCGCCTGTCAAGAGATTTAGCCTTCATAATCATGTGAGCCAATTCCCCTTAAGAATCACAACTCATATCTATCTATCTCCATGTTCATGTCTGTATCCATATTTATATCCCTATCTATATATCTCTCTATCTTTTCTATTGGTTCTGTCTCTATAGAGAACACTGACTAATACATCTGATATTTCAGCAGGCCTTGTGAAGAAAGGACCAGAGCTACTCCACAGCACTGCAAAAGGGTATGGTGTGACCTCAGAGAAGATGTCTACTTGGCATGGTTAGGTACGGGCGTTTCCAATCAGCAAAGTTTCTCATTGTCCATAGACAAGCAAAGAATTGCTTGACATCAAATGAGCACTGAAAGTTTAGATACATGGAATTTTAGTAGCGACCATTTTTGATTGGTTAAAACTGCTTACATCAATTAAGCATCATAGGATTATCTCATAATCTAGGATGGAAAGTGGGGGTGGCTTTAATAATCAGTAATATGGCTTTTTCCATATTATTATGTGTGGGTGTTCTTAATCAGGATTATATTAACTTAAATTTTATCTGAGTTTATGGATTGAGAATCATTTTCTTTAACTCTTTAGTTAGATTAACGCATTTATATCTCAAACAATCTTACAAGGTCATTGTTACTGATGCTTTGTGTGTACCAGAACTTTTTCTAGATCATAGTCAATGTAGGATCATCAAAGAAAAAATATCTTTCATTCCATCTGAGAATTAATACCAAAAGGAGTTAGTAAAAACAATTGAATATGAAATATTTTTTCTAAAAGCTATATGTCTGCTAAATTTAGATTAGATTTTATAAATTTTAAGATCATATTTTTATATGTAAATGTATATTTAATTATAATATGTCTAAGAATTGGTAGTTTGCCACACTTTAATTGGCAGGGTTTTTTTTCTTTCTTAGAGACATAAAATACTAGTTTGTCTCAATTAACTTACATTAGATAAAATACTCAGAACTGAGAAGTTATAAAATTCTGCAGTTTGTATTTTATTCCAGATTTTGATATTAATCATTAAAAGACAAACTTCAGAGAACAAACTGCTGCTGTAGAATTTGTCTAGGACACATGATTGTACACTGGACACATGAGTGCACACTGGATCATTGCCTGACACATCGCATGAGCTGCCACAAGTCAAGATTATCTGTTTTCATAGAAACCACCTCATTGATTTCCAGAATCAGAGGAATATGCTAGTTTTTCAAGTTAGCTCGGCTGCACAGTGTATATTTCACAGGCAAATTATTCATAAGGAAGAGGGGGTGTTACTCTCAGGCTTTTTACTGGAAAGCAGAAATGAGCAGCAAGCAAGGAAACCTTGTGGAATGGTGCTATATAGATATACAGTTTTCCTTTGGGGAAAATGTTTCAAAAAATATTCACTTTTGTTGTATTATTTGAAATCATTTAATTGTCATATAATTTGCTTGCGTATTTGGAAAACCCATGTTTGGAAATACATTTCGCTACTGTAGCATTTTTTATTTACATCATATAATTTTTTAAATTAAGGAAACACTTTAACAAAGCTATTAGAAAATAATTTGAAAAGAACAAGTAGGTGCATTCAATTCAGGAATATTTTTTTACCAGTAGATACCTAATATGTTTCATAATTTCATTATTAGGTTTCTGTAACTCCTCCTATTTATTATGACAAGAGTTGGTTCTGGAATTGATGATACTGTACCACAGATTTTTGTAAAAGGCAAATAATTACATATTTTAATGCTAATATTAGACTCAAGATGTCCTAAAACGTGCCACAAAGCAGTGGAAAAATGTTCATGGCTACAATATAGGAGAGAAAATCAGTATGTGCAGTTAGCATAATAAAGAGAAGAAAAATATATTCTAGATATAAACAATCTGATAAAACTGAGTTAAGCTTAAATTAGTGAGGGCAAATAATAAGGATAGAAAATAGAATATGATTAAATAGGCAGAAACAGAGAGAAATTAACAAGAAAATATCAACAGAAACAATAATCTAAGATTCAGTAATAATAGCAATATAAAAAAGATGCCAATATGCTAACTGGGGAAAAATTCAAAATATTAGGAGCAAAGAACAAGATAAAATCACAGATAAGTGGAGAAAAAATAGGGATAGAATGTATAAATTAAGAAGCTGGAAGCTGATAAATGAAAGACAAAAAGCACAAGATGAACACAACAAGAAAATATAGAGACCTTATCACTGGAAGGAAAGGGAGAAAGTAAAAGAAAGATAAGGGCTCAAGAAAGAACAAGATGAAAGAAATCAATCCCACAAGAAATGTGACTCTTGTCAGTTATAGGTGGGAGAGATGTTTCATTTCAGACAGCAGGAAATGAAAGCTTGATAGGTCAAAGCTGAATGACCTTACTGAAAGTTTAAGTGAGAAAAGTGACCACTGTGATAATAAAAAGGAAAGTGAAATAAAAATTTTGATTTATGCTTAAGCCGAAGGTCATTTTAGTGCTCTTATGTAGACGTACATTTTCAGCAAGAAATTACCAATATGTTAAAAATAAAGTTTCAGACAGCATATGAAGAAATGCGTAAGATAATTTTGCTGTACTACACAGTACAGTTTTGAGATAACAGAAAGTTTGTTGTGAGATGCAAATTACTTTTCCTTGATCTCTCTGGGTCTATTATGTGAACATTTGACATGTATGACCTACTGTAACTCCTGATAATACAGTAGTGCATTGAAACTGAGACTTACCAAAGGGAGAAGGAAAATTCCTAAGTATATTTATTAATCTAATAATTCATATACTTATACTATACATTCTTAGTTTCTCTCTGTTTCTATGCTAGGTTCTGGAAATTTAAAAATAAATTAGGTGCAGCTCTTGTCCTTTAAAATTGTGAAGTAAAAAAACAGCGGGAGAAAGAGATAAGGAGTCAAGATCATTAGAGAGAATGATAAATGTTCTCATTGATATAAGCACAGGGTAGTATGTTGAGAGGAAATATTTGGGCAGGATGAAATTTCCAGACAAGAATAGGAGGCAAATCAATGCAGGAGTAAGAGGGCAACTAAGAAAGGGTAAATCTAATTCTATTTACATTTCAATGAAGATATGAGTGACAATTATTAATGGGCCTTTAAGAATTCTTATACCTTTGTTCCTTTTTATGTTTGTTATATTTACCGTGGTTTTCAGATAATTCGTTTTAAAAAGCACTTGTAAAATTGATGGTGTTTTTTACATAAAGAGGAAGGAAGGGGACAAATTAGGAGAACAAATCTCACCTTTTTCTCTCATTACCACGTACATGTGAACCCCCAAAACAAATGTGTTCAGCACAAAACACACATACTTCCCCAAACATAGATGGATTTATCTTCTGAAATGTTTGTGAAGCTCCTTTTGGGTGCAAGGAACAGAAAATACTGGGATTATCTCCAGTATCAAAGATTCTCATAAATATACAGATAATCCTCTTGGTAAATTTGAAGCATTTACAAGAGTAATTCTAGCTTGCAGGTCAAGTCCCCAACTGATATGCCTTGCTTCTTCTGCAAGCAGTTTATAGAAAGGGGACACATAGACTGTAAGAACGGAAACACTTAGTACTTTAGTAAATATAACCTAATGAAACTGAACACCTCATTTAATAAAATTATCCTGCTATCCAGCACCTAACATCTAAGTTTTATAGTATTATCTCATGAAGAGCTCTCATGAGTTCTTTAAATATATTCAGAAAGGCCCTTTATGTATGTGTCAGCAATAGTAAGCAATAAACGAGTAAGATTGGAAATCCATCTGCTGCCTATAGCTAGAGACTGGGTTAAAATGTGATCAGTAATAAATGAATGATAACATATAACCTCACTGCTTACAAATCTATTTAAGACCTTGCATATTACACATAGCTAAATCATGGAAGCTACCGTACCCATGTAACCTTAGCAAAGAGGCTGCCCCATACCAAGTTTCCTACCTTAGAGAAACAGTAAGGCTCCACAAGTTAAGCACATCTTCTCTGGCCATAGCTGAATAGACTAGGAAAGATTAGCTGGACCACAAGCCACAATTCATGAGCTGGCCAGCAATATCTAAGGTGGTCTGTCAAGAAAAAAAAGAAAGTGGGAAAATGTTAGATGCAAGAAGATTCTCTTCTTTGGAAAAATAACCAGAAAATACGAAAGCATCAAGAAATTACTATTCAAAATAGACAATAAAACTGTGGATATATGTAAGGTATGAAGCAATAAAAACAATAATGGGCAGTAAATTGGTCCCACATCATGAGGAGATAGAAACACAAATAAGCAAAAACCACAAGACACAAAATCTATACAGAATAGCACTGGCAGATGCAGTGAAAGAAAAACTAAAAAGAAGATAAATGACAATAATGACAGAGATTGATAAATTTATATAATAAAGAAAAGATATAATGTAAAATGTAAGCGTTAAAACTTCTAGCTTGAAGGATATATCACTGTCTCTATGGGCCAAGCTTTATACTCTGTTATTTCTATGAGAGTTTATGTTCATTACGCCTATACATATTTTTAAAATATTTCTGTGCTGCCTGAGTTAGACTTAATGTATCGCTTTTAGAAAACCTAAATAATCCAACTAATATAATGATGCTGAGTACAGACATTTGCACTGTTTCTCTATGTGTTATTAAATTAGTAGAAGGCCATTAGCCTGAGGCTGTCTCTGTACTTTTTGAGTTCCTGCATAACAAATTGCAACCTAACTTAGTACATACACATGCCAAAAAGCTAATTTAGGAATATAACAAAGCCAAGTTTAGCCAATCACAGGCAGCCAGTTCATCACATTATGCCCAAATAAGGCACATGGTTCATTATGTCATGCCCAAAGAAGGCAGATGACTCATCACACCATGCCCAAATGAGGTGGATGCCTAAGTGTAGCAAATGACTTATCTACTTTGCTTCTGTGTTCACCCAATAAGGCCTATAAAAGCTCCCTGCCCATACTGCCAGGCAGGGCTCTATGAACCTCCTCTGGTTCTGAATGTCACTCAGTTAAGGAGTCGTTCTTTGCTCAGATAAACTCTGCCAAATTTAACTTGCCTACAAATTAAATGTTAACAATCCCCAAATGGTATGAAAATTTTCATATGTCCATGTGTGCACCAGCCAGTTCCCTTTTCTTTCCACCACAGTTATTACTGGTGTCGCTATTTAGGTCCTCATGATGGTGAAGGGTGTATAATTTCAAAAAATGTCTCCGGCTTGGGAGGTAGTATACAAATAGTGTATTAACTGAGCTCTGGAAAGGCTTTCAAGCTCTGTGATTTATTCTAATAAATAGTCATCCAAGGTGTTGTGAGATGTATTTGTATACTGGAAAAAATGGAAAATTAAGATTTCTTTTGTGATGAGACCATGCTTTAACTAAAATACTCACAAATATGGCCAACGAGGCATTTTTGCTACAAAAAGCTATCGTTCAGAACACTAGATTTGAATATTCTCTCATTTTACCTGTTATGGTTTGGGTAGTAATTTAGTTTCTCTGAATCCGAGATGACTGATTTGTAAAACAGGGTAGTATGGCAGTGCTACTTAATGTATAGTCCTCTTATGAGAAGCAAAAAGAGAAGCACTTGGTAAATTTAAAAAGATAGCACAAAGCCAGGCGCCATGGCTCACGCCTGTAATCCCAACACTTTGGGAGGCCGAGGCAGGCAGATCACAAGGTCAGGAGATGGAGACCATCCTGGCCAATACGGTGAAACGCCGTCTCTACTAAAAATACAAAAAATTAGCTGGGCGTGGTGGCAGGCTCCTGTAATCCCAGCTACTCAGGAGGCTGAGGCAGGGAAATTGCTTGAACCCGGGAGATGGAGGTTGCAGTCAGCCAAGATCGTGCCACTGAGCACTGTACTCCAGCCTGGGCAACACAGCAAGACTCCGTCTCAAAAAAAAAAAAAAAAAAAAAAAAGATTGCAAAATACGAGGCACTGGTGTCGACATCACTCTATAAATGAGAGGGAGTTTCTCACCTGTCGAATTTAAAGCCCACACAACACTCAAAAAGGCAAGATGTTTCTATTAGGTAGAAGAAATTCTATCACATCTTCACCCACACATCTAGATGAGGAATATAGCATAGTATGAGAGTGGCTACTATACATTTATTTATTCATCTTATTTTTATATGTTTTATATTAAAGCAGTTACTTATCTAATGAATGAAGCTTAATATTAACTATATAAATAGTTTCTCTTTTCTATAAATAATTGATAGAGAATTTCTAAATGGGAGAAAGTAATCCAAATGTAGTTTTTTATTCGATTATATAATGGACTTATTCATTACGTATATATTTAATAAATGGTTTCAAAACATGTCATGTTTCCTTGACTCAAGCTGATGTCAGTTAATGAAGAGACACATACAACTTTCGGTGATATTTTAACCACACAATCCATTGCTCCTGCTAGCTTTATAATCCATTGCTCCTGCTAGCTTTCCTCTTCAGCCATATCATGTCCTTAGTTTCTTCTGTAAATAGGTTAAATCCTGATTTCAGTAGAATACCTTCAACCCTCTCAACCTTCACTCATTTTTCTTATTTCCTAGACCAGATACCAACACTAGATTAGCACAAATTCCTTTCTTCTCCATTCCTAAATCTTCACCATTGTACATGGCTGAAGTATGCATATAATCATGTTGAATAGTTTGACTTTAAAATTTATGGTCTCTAACATTTAGAAAGACCTAATTAAATTCTTTTCAATTTTCAAACTTTCAAAATTTCATCCTCATACTTGTTCTTAGATGATGACTTTTATTCCAATTTTCCACAGTCTGAAGAGAACCTTAACACCTTCCCACCACCACAACCCCATCTCTGTCTTTTCTTGTATTTTTTTTTTTTAAAGTCTTGCGCTGTCACCAGGCTGGAGTGCAGTGGTGAGCTCTCTGCTCACAGCAATCTCCACCTCCCGGGTTCAAGTGATTCCCCTGCCTCAGCCTCCGGAGTAGCTGGGACTACAGGCGCACACCACCACGCCCAGCTAATTTTTTGTATTTTAGTAGAGACAGGGCTCCACCATGTTGGCCACGATGGTCTTGATCTCTTAACCTTGTGATCCACCCGCCTCAGCCTCCCAAAGTGCTGGGATTACAGGCGTAAGCCACCACGCCTGGCCTGTCTTTTTTATTACTGAGGTGTAACATTCCATGTACTTGGCCAAAGACTGCTCTCTTACTTTTGAAAGAGAGACCCCATTTGCTCTTGTCATTCAAGGACATTGCTTAAGGAATTCTCAACAATTTCTTCTACATATTTTCAAGCAACATATAAACTTTCTGTTATTTCTGTTCTATTTTTAAGAAGCCTCTTTGACTATTTCCCTGGTTAGCTACTAAATCATGAATTTTAGTTTTTACAGAATTACTCTTTGAAAGACGTTTGTATATTTGGTCTAATTTATTTCCTTCCATTCCTATTCTCCTTTGAATCCAGTTAAATCAAGATCCTAATCCCATTACTTTGCCAAATCTGTTTGTCAAGTTTCCAGTGATCTTCACATTTTCACATCCAGTTGTCAATTCTCTGTCTTCGCTTACTTACTTCACTCCTTCCTGCTGAAATTAGGCCTTTACATGGCTTTGAAAACATAAGATTTTCTTGTATTTCTTTTTCCTCAATAAACATTTATTCTTTGTCATCAGTTTGGATTTCCCTCATTTATTAAGGGCTTTCTACCTAAAATAATTTTGTAATAATTCCTTCTATTCTTGTGGCTTTAAATGATATCTAAATTCTTATAACTTGATATAACCAGCATTAAATTCTGCCCTGAACAACTTCATATTGGGTATACAATTGCCTCTTTAAAATATTCAATTGATTATCTAATAGAAGTCTCAAAAATAACGTGTTCAAAATTCAGCTCCCATTCTACCCTCCCTATCACAACTTTCCTTTCTACAGTCTTCTCTATCTTAGCCATTGGCAAGCCCAACATTCTAGTTGCTTTAATGAAAAACCTCAATTATATACTGGACACCTCCCTTTCACCTAGAGCTCACAGTCATTCCAACAACCTATCTTGTTGACTTTATCTTCAAAATACATTCAGAATCTGATGACTTTTCACAACTACTGTTATCCTAATTCAAGCCACCCTCATCTTTTGTTTGAATTATTACAACAGTCTCCTAATGATTCCCAGCTTCAACCCATGCTCTTATCACTCTCTTCTTAAACTAGTAGCCAAGTGACCCTGACGTAAAGCAAGTCAAATTATGCCACTACTTGTATTTGATATCCCCAATTGCTTCTCATACCACTAAAAGTAAAGCTTATTTTTATCTGAGATTAAATTTATTATATTTTATTATTTGTACAATTGGAACAATGACATATTTATTAGCCAAGGAAGTTGTAAGAACTAAATTAGAGTATGCTACTTTTAAAGTACACCATAAGAAACAACATTCAATGATTAAACAAATATTATTTTCATTATCTTATGTCCTTGGTCTTGCTCCATATTTGGTCTGTGATACATATTTCAAGAATATACCAAAAGAATAGTATAGTATTTTCCTTTTTCTTCTATTCCTTTTGCTTCTAAAAATGTAAAATTGCACAAATGCAGTTTTACTGACATCAAGACACACAGCTATGGATTATGTTATTTAATATACTCAGTCCAAAATGTTAATGCTTGTTAATTTCTTCTTCTTTTTATTAGATAATGAATTTGAATTTCATGGGGATCTTCAGTGTCTCAAATTTAAGAAGTAAATTTTATAGTAAATATTATGGGAATCAAAAAGTGAGATCTTTGACACAATAAAGGAGATTTATTGTACCTTATATTTCACCAATGTACGTAGGTTCCTTTCTTACTGCAAGAAAGGTCACTTGAAGATCGAATGTGCTTGTATTTTTCTTAATATGTTAATAAAGCAGAATAGCCATTTCGTTTTGTTTCAGGTGGTTTGTTTATTTACAAACACAGACACAAAATTATTTATACTTTTCTGTTAAGACACCATCACTGTGGTCACTGTGGTCAAACACATACTTGTGTTCGAAATTTGGGCAATTTTTTGTGGTGTTACCTCAGGCACTTGTATGCACTCAATAAATGGTACCTGTATTCATTATTACTTCTTATAATTCTGATTTATCAGAATCCTTTTTGACAATAAGAAGCAAGTTCTCCTGCCATTTTAGCCATTCATTCCATTGCCTCATTGGTACAGGGAAGGAGTGAAGATCTTAAGTAACTTACCAGGTACAGAAGCCAATTGAGAAAAGTAAAACTTACCTTAGAGTAGAGAGAGAGCACTAGCACCATACTGGAAAGTAAAGCATACAGAAAAAAAGATTGAGGGTGAAGCAAGATTAATAAAGATGGGAGTAAGGTACACCAGAAAATAAAAAGTGTTAAAAATAATAAAACCAACAAAAGCAATATCAATAACCAAAAGGGTTATGCAATGCCCCATGGTCAACTATAAGCACAGGGCTTTCTCCTGTAAGAGCACATTTCAAAAATCCTAATTTTAGTCATCATTCATAGAGTGCAATTAAAGAATGGACTAATGTTTTTGTGTCCATGTCAGAATAAACAAAGAGACAAGGTCAACATTACACAGAATAAACAAAGAGACAAGGTCAATATTTTATCTCCTTGTTGGTATGTTGGTGGTTATATGTTTTATATACAGTTATACACAGGTGTACAGATTATATACAGTTCCCTGTATTGAGAAAGATTAAGAGAAGGGAAGAGGACGTAGGCTTTGAATACAGAACCAGCAAGATAGAAGGTAAAGCACATTTATGAAACACCCACTATACATCAGAGACTGTATGTCTCTGACTGGAAAACAATTTAACCTAACATATTTTATAACCAGGTCATTTGTGCCAAAAAATGGAATTGTATTAATTACAGAGATGAATAGATTTCATAGCTTCCTTAATAAATTAATATAGCAGCCTCATGCTATCATTTCATTACATCATTTGAGGGGAGATGTTTGGTAAAACTGACATGAAGTTTTTTTACTTACAAACTTTTTATGATAGATTAAGCCATTGAATATTTTTTAAAAAAGAAATATTTTATAGATTTGATTCAGTAGCTGAGAGATATTTATAAGTAAAGAGTAGGCTATAATTCATAATTAATACTGATTTCTGATTAACACAATGCCTTATAATTAATTCAAAAAGAAAGCAATTTTAGGTAAGTCATCGAAGAGATTTTTAAAAATTATCATATCATAAAAAAGCCAAATTATCTTCCATGTTTTAACTAATTTAGTTTTCTTTATCTGCAGATAATACGAATTCATGTACAAAACTTAATTTTATAATTTCTCCAAATACACACACGCATTTGTGTGCATGTGTGAATTACATCCATATTTTCATCTTTTATAAGAGTTCCCTGTATTGAGGAAGGTTAAGAGAAAGGAAGAGGCCCTAGGCTTTGAATGTGGAACGATCAAGACAGATAGAAGGTAAAGCACATTTATTGAGCACCCACTATGTAATCAGGAACTATATGTTTCTCTTAAATGCCCCAGCTAATCCATGATGGATATTTCCCTATACAATTAAATATATGAGTTAAATGAGGTTTTAAGGTTAAGAGATAGATATAAAGTCACAATGGCATTTACTTGGTATTTGAACTTTGACTACCATGACTCCTAAACTCGTGTAGCTAATATTGCATTACACAGCTTATAGGTTGCCCTTCTTATACATTCCCAAATGACCCCAATCAAATTATTTTGGTTTTACTTCACAACCTGAAAATTTTAAGAGGTTTTACACTCAAGTTCCATTTGGAGAAAATACATATGTTCAAATATACTGCACTAGTAAGCAAACACCATATTTCTTAGCAGAGTTCAACAAAAACTTAGGTGGTTTTAGCTGTGTAGGTGAGAATAACATGAAAACAGAAAATTAAATCTGAGTTTAAGTGAGAAAATAACAAAAGCTTTGTTGAATAATTCATAATAATAAAATTCAGAGGATTTAGTGTCATCAATGGAAAGCTTCTGAGGCAAATGGGAAAAAATATATACTTTTCTTATTCTTGAAGAAGTGGATATAGAGCACAAAGGTTCATCCTATCTACAAAAAGAAAATAGTTTGCTGGATGCAGACTAAATCATAAGGAAGGGCCTGTAATCCCAGCACTTTGGGAGGCCAAGGTGGGCAGATCACCTGAGGTCAGGAGTTCAAGACCAGCCTGGCCAACATGGAGAAACTCCATCTCTACTAAAAATACAAAATTAGCTGGGTATCGTGGTGGGTGCCTGTAATCTCAGCTACTCGTGGGGCTGAGGCAGGAGAATCGCTTTAACCCAGGAGTTGGAGTTTGCAGTGAGCTGAGATTGTGCCACTGCACTCCAGCCTGGGTGACAGAGAACCCATCTCAAAAAAAAAAAATCTATATATATACACACACAAATGTGCACACATACACATATATATATACATACATACACATATACATACACACACATATATACATATATATGTATATATGTGTGTGTGTATATATATGTGTATATATATTATATATATATATGTATCTGAGCTCTCTAACACAAGATACTTAAAAGTCCTTGATGGACTTAAGATTAACCCTGTGTGTGTGTGTGCACACGTGTGTGTGTATGTGTAATAAAATAAAAGTCAAAAGGTCTTGGATGTTTCATCATCAACCAATGTCAATACATTATTAGATATTTACTATGCTCAGAGTACCAAATCTGAATTTCTAGACTAGATCCTCTTTTTAGCTCCAAAATTCTATTTCTAAAACCTACCAAGCTTCCCCACCTATGGGCAGAACAAGCAAAATATTTCAAAAATAACTACCATAATGCTCTTCCAACCCTCACCTCCAGAAAGATTTGCTTCTTTTTCTGACTCCAGCACTCCAGTATCACAATAGCACAATTACGTACCCAATTTCCTTTGCCTGGAATTTAAAAATATGTTGTGGAGTATTGTCAGCTCTTCCTACTATATATCGCTTTAATTCCCACCGCTTTCTACATTGCTACTGCCTTTACTAAACCTCATGTTATCTTTTTACCTAGATTTTGTTATGGGAAACTTGATGTGACTAGCACACCTTTCTGATTCATTTAGAATTTTTTGTTCTAAATTTGTTAAAATGTATAAAAGATCATTTTACTTCCCTGCTAATAATATACTGTATAATGATTATGATGATTACTTCTTTTTGCTTCTTTTCTTTAGTAGCAGAGTTCTGTTTTTCAAACTAAACCTTTTGCACAACCCAATTAATTAAAATAGATTGATGAAGTGATGCACTAATTGCTAACTCCATATGACCACAACACCCTCAATTTTGCCACCAAAGTCCATGACAACTTAAGGTATAAAACTAACCATTGCAGAAACAACAGCAACAATAAGTGCTTTTTAGTATGTCATACCTGCACACAATATTCATTGCCCAGTTATATATAAATCAACCATAATTATTTTCCACATAATTGCCACATTCTATACTGTTTCTATGTCTGTAGCATTCATCTCAAAACTTTGGTGCGACAGTAAGACATCACCTTGTTCTTAGTGTATTATAACATTTGTTGGTACACCTTAAAACTAAGTATGAGTTTGGAAATGCTTAGTTACGGTATAACAAATTATATCATACCTGGATTTAAAAATGACACATCCTGGGGTAGAATGCAAAGCACATAAAAGACAAATATGCATTGCAGAGACAAGGAGAGATAATTGGTCCATTTGAAAATAAATATCTATGACAGCTGTGAGGTAAGTGACCACACGAGCAGCTAGAGAAGTGAGAATGAAGAGAAAAAAACTAACAAATTAGGAAGAGCCAAGGAGCTACTTCACTAAGGCAGATTCTCATTGTGGACTTCTACATATGTGCTAACTGTGAAGTAGAAATTGAAGTAAAAATTGCTTTATGTATTAAGATGAAGATGAATTACTTTTTTGAGACAAATGATTTCTTCCCATGTGTCTTTTACCTTGAGAAAATAATAAGAAAACGTGTTTATCAAATATAGAAAACTTTGCTGTTAATCTTCCAACTAATGGCTTATATTATTTAAATTTCCTTTTGATCTTAACCTCAGACATATAATTTTTGCTTAGCTTTATTAAGTTGAATATGTTGTTTCTGTTTTCTTCATACTCAAAAGTAGCCATTTTAATTGCTTTATGAGAGGTAGAACAATAATAAGAAAAAATGTGTAAGCTAAATATTGCCTATTTAAAAGTTATATAAATATTAATGAAACACACAAGCTTGGTTTAAAAAAAAAGTCATAGACATGTTTTCCTATCTTCACTGAGTTAAAAATATAGGATGAGACAAGCCTGATCTCCAGAAACAGGTTAAACATGTCAATATTGCAACATGGTAAATAGAGGAGAGAATATTAAAAGTTTATAGAATATTCTTTCCTTAAGGTCATTAGGAAAAAGACTCGCATTCTTATAAAGGGTTTGTTTAGATAAGTTTTACACTAAAGACAACAGAAACACTGGCGAATCCAAGGTGACTTCCAGTCTTACTTTGTATTCTAAGGAATAATGCATTTATTTTTGAAATGATATTTAGGATCAAAATAGAAGGAAGTCACAGAGACTGATCCAGCTGGCAATAGGGAGAAAATATTTCAATAATTCTGGTGAAACAGCAGGGGAAAGCAAGTTATTGTGTATGTGAGTAAGCAAGGAAAATAGTAGCTGAACCTGATTACTTCTTACCCCAAATGGATGTGCCACTGCTACGGAGAAATTCCATCTAGTCTTTAAAATGAGTGTGAACTAAAGTAACGTAAAGAGAAGCTAGCCGAGCACAGCTAATCAAAATCTATCAGAAAGCATTATACTTGGCATTGTGCTTGGTTCTGTATAGAATCAAATTAAATGGAACTGGGATCTTACCCTCCAAAACTCCGGCTTTCATTTGTCAACTACCCCTTTGCCTGTTTTTCTGATATTAAAAAAAAAACTTCAATACTCAACAGAGAATATAAACTTTCTTCTTGGGAAGTAATTCTTGCTGGTTCAGTACAACTGAACCTGTGATCTCTTATTTAGGGTAAATATGGTCAAGCAATGAGGAAATATGGGGAAAATAAATTAACAGTGAGTAATTAATCTTCTTTGTCAGAAACAAAAATTCACTTTTGATGCTCTCCTGTGCACAAAAGGGAGTACATTTCTGAGTATGAAATAACCATGGACATTTTGTATCTGCGTGTCCTACATTACAGGTGACATAAAAACGTTCCTGAAGTAGTGGCATTGCTAATGATTTTATCACAACAACGTGCTATTACTTTCAGTACAGCCAACAAATTTCTCCACTTGACACTCTTACAAGGAACAACAGGGAATCATTTGTGACAAACTTTCATTGATGAGGACAAATTCTGATGTGAACTTAGCTAATGGGCTTTCATCTTATGATGGATATGAAATGTGAGAAGTCAACAATGCCATCTTAGTTGTAGGAGAACATAAGGACACACTATCCATGTTCAAAATTCATGAACAAAAGACATTCTGTTTCAATAATGATAAATTGCCAGCAGGAAACTTATAAAAGGATATTCTCCACTTTTTCTTTCTGAACAGTTATTAAACATTAAACTGATGCAGACATCATTTTGGTTTTGATGTTTAAAAAACGTAATACCTTTATAGCAGAGACTAATGAAGATTAATTTACTTTATTGTTGCTCATGTATATTTAGCCTGATAAATGTATATGTGTGTACATGTACATATATAAATACATATGGGAGATATATCACATAAACATCTTTAGCCTAGGGAGTAACTGTTGCTTCAATATCCCGTATCTACTCTTCCTAGCTAAAACACAAGACCACAGTCTATTGCACACAGGCCAGCACACGTCTCCTGGCATAGTACAGCAGGGTCAGAAACATCTAGAGAGTCATAGAATGTCAGCGTCACAGCACAGTCAGGGCAAGCTGATTGAACTTTGTCTACACTGGGATTGTAGAATGTTTTGAGTGTTACTGAATGACTGTTTTGACAGATCAGGAAACCTGAGTAAGAGGTTTTAAGATAAGTCAGACTTTATTCTGCAAGAGACCAGCACACATCTTTCAAGAAAAGAAAGAATGGTTAAGATGTGTTTAATAAAACATTGTGTCTCACGTAGTTTACCTTCTAACCTAGCTTCCATGCACTCATATAGTGAGGCAAGAGGCCTGCAAGAAGAGTTTAAAAATAAATATTGGGACGTTGAAAATCTGATTCTTACTATTTAAGCCATGGTTGTATTATTAATGTAAGCCTTCAATGACTTTACAAAGGCTGTTCAAGGGCAATAGCAAGGGAGTCAGCAGCATTATCACTTTTTCAGTGTTCACTGGCATTAGATTTGCAAACTTGTATAGTACAAGACATCATCCTAGTGGAATGAAGCTGAAAAGGAGAGTAGAGTACGCAAAGTTGTGAAACACCACTTGGATGATCAAAAAATGACTTGGCAAAGGTGTAAAGGGAGCTCAAGTTTTCACAGTACAGGCTTTAAGGCACATAAATCCTCACTGTGTTCCATTATTAAATATGTATGCGAATCAAGATTAATAGTATCTCAGAAACAGAGATTACATACAAATAAGACTACCGAAGCCCATTATAGTCATCAATGTGGAATCAGAGTTTAAAGTCTTAACTCTCAGATTAATGTTCTCCATTCTTTAGATTCTTTTTCATTAACCAGGAAAGCACTTCTAGTATAAACACACAGATTAAAGACACTATTCAATCTGTAGAAGAAGATGACTATGCCCTGGTAGTATCCCTGCAGCTCACTTCAAAGATCTAGTGTCTGCATCTGTCTCTCTACATTCTTTTTAGAACAGTAGATGGCTGCTTTGTCCAGAGGCCAGAAAGGCAAATGCCTGTGAATTACAACTCCCACCCGCTACCCAAGCTCTTCCTTCACCCTTCATCCTCACATCTCCTCAGTTCCCAACCCACCTAAGTAACTTCAACCTAAATACCCTGGTTTTTAGGGTGTTTTGCAGCATTTCCCAGAATTTCCATAGGGGATTAAGCTCCACTTTCCCACAATGGGAACTGGCTTAATAATAATTTATTTTTTTACCCCCCTCCTTTACCAATATCACTTCCCACTTCCCCACCACCCTATGTTTCATGCAACTGCAAAATAGCCTGCATAATTTTACATTCCCGTCTCAGGGTCTGTTTCTGGGGGAAACTCAATCACGCTGCTCTATGGCTGTTTTATTAAATTTACTTTTCATGAACCAGAATGTAGTACAGAACAAAATATGGTATGGTCCCAATACTTGATTTTGGAGGAATAAATGAATTAGAAATTATGACATATGGAATTAGGAGTGCATTTCCTCCAGGTAGGCTTGCCAGATTTTTATCTGGCTAAATATCTAGCGAAAGGGAAAAGGAGACAGTGCTGTGAAAATTTTGGTTACTTGGTGATATTGTCTCTGCTGCATCATTAAAAATGTTTAAAATGATTTTGAGACAACTTTTTCTTTTATCAAAATATTTCCACAATACTATGGGCTTCCAAATGTAAGCAGAATATATTGCAACTTTTTAATATAAATAAACAGCTTTGTTTGAAGTTGGAGGGATATTTCCCATGGTGGTTTCCATCTGTTTATACACAGAGATGGAGAAATTGGCACCAATATAGTGAAGTGATTACAGGAAAGTGATGCATTGGAATACAGGATGATAGGCAAATTAAGCTTGACACTGGAACTCACTATGCTGCTATCAAAGTAATAACATAAAATGTCTTAGTTACTTACAAACAGAAAGTAAGCCTATTATGATGAAGTAAATATAAATTTAAAAAAATTTAGACCTCTAATTTCCAGAAAGAGGTTCTGTGATACTTAAATATTAGCATAAGCTAATTTTTTTCTGCGTCATATATTTTCATAAGTTTTATACTGCCACCTCAGTATGTGATTGTCTATATTACCCTTTAGAAGATAAACTACTTCACAGTGATTTATAGAAATTGAGAAAATGTTATGCTTAGAAAATAAATTTAAGAAATCATGATTGTACACATCTGTACAATGTTCAATAGTCTTATTACACACATACCATTTTGCATTGTTACTATATAATAAATTCTATACAGCCACGTCTCAGATGTGTTTGAGTTTGTTTTATCTTTACTCCTACAACAGAAATGCAAGCCATTTCTATATAATGGCCAAAAGCAGAGCTATTGCAATTTAAAATTTTTAAATAAGTTAATGCAATAAAGATTTCAGGTGAAAGAAGAAAATATTTTACTGAAAGTTAGGGTGTGCACACGCATGTGTGTGTGCACAAGTGCGCAGTCATGTGCATGTATGTGTATTCCTACTCAAGGCAGCAATAAATGTTCTCACTTTGCTTTAAAACTCTATTAAGATAAAATAATCATTTCCACTTAATAAGTAATTCAAAGCTAATATTTGCCTTTATTATCTAAAATGAAATAATTTAGCATACTTCCTATCATTTTAAATCTATGTTTGATCATTGCTTCATATTTTAATAGAGAATGTGTCAGGAGATAAAGGAGAAGAAAAAAAAGTTTTGACACCCATTTATGGGTTTCATTCATTCTGATCTCCCTCCCCCTGTATTACTATACAGGATAAAGCACATTACAATAGAAATAGACTGTTTATAATAGCTATGAAACATGTGTGGTGTATTATTGTTGATATTCCTGAGTAGGAAGAATCATACCTAAAAATGACCCAACATAATAGAAGTAAATAACATTTTAAAGTCATTATTTTTCAAAATGCATAATAATAATAGAAATCATAATAAGAATATATTTCAGTTGTCTTTTTGCCTTCATTTTGATACCTAATTTATCATGTCAATTCTTCAGGAATTAATAGAAAGACAAATTTTAAGGGAAAATAGTAACAAAAAACTATTTACAAATATTTTTCCAAGCAATAAAAGGTGCTTATAATATATTGAAACACATCATTTAAGAAACAGAGAACATTTTAATATAGATTATTAAAAATTAGAATTGTTTATAAATAAATCCTTCAATGTATAAAAAGCCCCTGTATACAGTTTAGGTGCTATTCATATGTATATCTGTATTTATTTACATATGTAAGAATATGCATATGTATAATATATTCATATTTATGGTATTTTTATTCATATATCAACTGGATATGACATAAAATATAATGGGTTCTCTGTAAAATTTCAGTTTACTGGACAAGTCAACATATTAGGTTTTACAAATTATTTATTGTCTTACTTATTAAATAAGTATTTATTGAGTTACTACCATATGCAAAGTATGATGCCAGACCCTGGGTATTCATTGATTAAATTTAAAAACAAGGTAATCTATATACACTGTCGGAGGAAATGTAAATTAGTATAGCCATTTTTGAAAACTATTTTAGTTTTACTTTACATATAGTTACCATATGATCCAGCAATCCTAATTCTGCGTATTTACCTGAATCTTTGAAATCAGTATGTCCAAGAAATATCTGCACTCCCATGTTCATTACAGTAATAGTCCCAATGGCCAAGTTGTGAAAACAACCCCAGTATCCATCAACAAATGAATGCATAAAGAAAATATGGTATATATACACAATAGAATACTACTATGCATCCTTAAAAAAGAAAGAAATTTTGTCATTTGTGACAACACGGATGGAATTGGAAAACATTCCACTAAGTGTAATAACATGGGAAGACAAATACTCCATGTTCTCACATATATGTGGAACAAACATGGGAAGACAAACATGGGAAGACAAATACTCCATGATCTCACATATATGTGGAATCCAAAACAATCAAATTCAAAGAAGCACAGAGTAGAATGGTTGTTACTGAAGGCTGCAAGCATGGGAGGATGGATTGTGGAGGAAGAATAAGAAGATAATTGTCAAGGGATACAAAAGAATATATTGCACAACATGGTGAATATAGTAAAAATAATGTATTTTACATTTCAACATTACCAAGAGAGTGAATTTCAAACACTCTTACCACATAAAATAATAAGTATTTGAAGTGATGGACATGTTAGTTAGCTTGACTTAATTATTTCACATTGAATTCACATATCATAGTATCACTTTGTACCCCATAAATACATACAACTATAATTTGTCAATTTGTAATTTTAAAAAGTAAAAAGGAAATAAATAAAAACAGACAAAAATGTCTGCTTTAATAGAGCCTACAAGCTTGAGTATAAGAAAGTAACTATTTTCACAGTCTTTTTATTTAATGTCCAGTAAGTCTTTGGGCGTATTTGTGTTTTCCCACATTCCTGAAAAAACTATCTGTGCTCATGTCTGATCACTGAAGGAAAAGTATACTAAGTACTGTCATTAAAAAGTTATCACTTAAATTATTAAAAATAACTTTAAAATGACAATTAGCTAGTGAAGTCAGTGTGAAAGACTGCCTTGTATTAATTGACCTGCTAATTAAAGGATAAGTACATCTTCAACTGAATTGTTTAAACAAATGAGCTGGTCTTATTTTTTAATTATGTAAAATAATTATTAAAATGTCAAGACCAAACTCTATGCAAAGATGATACAGGGACATCTTTTATAGACTTCTAGTTCATTTTAATTGCACTATATACAATTTGAAACATTATGATATATCTACAGATTGTTGAAAGTTTTGGATTGCAAGAAATCTTCAGAAGAATGAAAGTAAGGGCAGGGTAGTAGATCTAGTTACAAACTAGCTCACTTAGAATCATTGGGACTCTCTAGTCTAATGATTTCTTCTAAATTCTCAGGCATCCATCACATGTGAAATATTACCAGGATTGGCATAAAATATCATCAATTCAAAGTAGAGACTAAAGATTCAAAAACAATTCTTTTTGGAGAAAAGGGGAAAAAAGAAACAAAAAGATATTTAATTTTAAGATCTAAGTAATTGAGTAAGCAACAGAATAAGAATAATTAAAATTATTGTTCTTTTTCTTTGGCTTTTAATAAGAAAATTACAATGATCTTACCTATCAAATGAGCTCTGTTTGGTTCCTTCAAACAAATATACTAGAAAAATGATTTTAACAAAGAAAAACCTGAATTCTATCTCTGGCTGCTAACTGACATTCAGTAAAAAACATTCCTGAAATCCATTGATCTCATATCTTCAATCCTCTTTTAAGGACTGGAGTCCATAGCTGCAAAATATTCTGCATATTATGTGATATATAATTAGAACCCAATATTTTTGAGCCCATGCAAACAAAAATGTGTTACTAATAATGTAGATAAAGATGGTAATTGATATTTTCAATTTGAGTACATAGTTACAAGTCATATCATTCCATTAGTTTTATTATCAAGTTTTGTGACTTCAGAAGAGACAAATCTCTTACTCTGTTCAGGAAGTTTGAGTGCTCCCTTGAGAAGCGATAGTTCAGCTGAGTTCTGAAAGTAGAGAAGTATGTCAAACAGAGGTGGGGAGTTCATGCTTGACAGAAGTTATACAGTGTTCCTGCAGTAGAAAGGAGCATGTTGTGAGCCATCAAGGAAGTAAGAAGACCATTTTTCTTGGAACAGAAGAACCTGGGGGAAAGTGGTAAAAGATTAGTGAAGAATATGCCATGAGAGATACTGTAACCTAAGACTGATTGTACATTGGACTTATTTTAATTAGAGGTACAAAACAATCAAATTTGCCTTTCAAAATGATTTCACTGGTTGTATTATTTTGTATGGTTTGAGTGTGGAGAGTACTAGTGATGATATATTGTAGTGGTTGGAGAGGTAGTTAAGTAACATATCATGACCAAAATGAGATGTCTCAGGATCAGCGAGTTTACGCTGCAAAAACAAACAATATTAGGATGTTGTAGCTTACACAACACTAAATTTTCACTTATGTTACATATATCTCTAGTATGTCAGACGTAGCTCTCTTAATTTCAGGTCCCAGGTAATGAAATAGCCTTTATCTGGGGCACTGCTGGTGGTTCTTGAAGAAAGAAGTTGACAGAAATTGACTCCTAAAGCTTTTATTCTAAAGTGCCATATATCATTTCCTCTCATACTTTATTGGGCCAGTCACAGGGTCAACTCTGTAATTAATGGACCAGGGAAGTATTTTTAGAGAGAGGCACTGCAAGAAAGCAAATAGGAATAGACTAATAGTGAGACAGTTTACCACACATAAGGAAGAGCTTAGTTTTCATGATGTATCCTACGGAAAACTAGTGAACAATTTCAAACAGAAATGTATTTTAAGTTAGTACATACATATACAGGCATCAAAGCTAAGTTACAAATACGTAAAATTTTAGTATTTATTACTCAACAAACCTATTATTCTGCTTTCTGGACTGTATATCTTAAAAGACATAATCATGATAATATATCCTGATATTATCCTAAATATTAAAGTGCTTGAGTTTTTCCAAAACACTTTAATATCCACAAGAAAAACATGTGAGCTATCTGGAAAGACTTAAAAATCTTTTTAGGAAGATTCAACTTTACCACCAGAGTACAATATAAAACTATATGTATGGAAATGTCAACTAAAAGGGCCAGAAAAAGAACAAATGCACACAATAATTTATCTTTGTTTACTCCAACAATAACTAGATACAATATATTAGAGAAGAAAATGTGTACTTAGGTATAAATGTAAAAATAACAGTGCAAGACTAAAGTGATTAGAAACAAAACTTTATAAATTAAAAATAAAGAAAATGTAAAAAATTATAAACACTTTATTGTACCCTGAAAAAACCTAATAGTGGAAATATGGTGGTCTTTACTATATTAATATACACATTAAATTTAATTCTCATTTGTGGACAAATAGAATTTGGTAGAGAAATGTCATATATTTTTGATAAAGTTCATCTGGAAAAGCACTTTCACAGAATATCCAGGAAAATAATTGTGGAAAAAGAATAGTTGATGATATAGATCCTTTTCTGTGTAAAATTATACAATAGAACCACAGTAACTGAAATAGAATGGCATCAATACCAAAACACATATACATACACAGAACAGAAAGCCTCATATTTATGAAATCTATTATAATATAAAGTGTCGATTTTAATAAATTAGCTAATTGAAGAAGCAAATAAATTATAAAGTTATTTAAATTAATATAACCAATTCAAGACTAAAATTAATATATAATTTATATTATTTCATATAATTGGGTAAGGTTTTTCTAAAGTAAAATACATACAGCAGAAAACATAAAAAGAAATTCTGACACTTGTACTTCACTTCCTCTCCCCACATTTTGCATTTTTGATGTTACCATTTACATCTCTTTACATACGATATCCCTTAACAAATTATTGTAGTTATTATCATTATTATTATTATTATTATTTTGAGACAGAGTCTTGCTCTGTTGCCCAGGCTGGAGTGCAATGGCACGATGTTCGCTCACTGCAAACTCTGCCTCCTAGGTTCAAGCAGTTCTCCTGCCTCAGCCTCCCGAGTAGCTGGGATTACAGGCATGTATCACCAGGCTCAGCTAATTTTTGTATTTTTAGTAGAGACGGTGTTTCACCATGTTGGCCAGGCTAGTCTCGAACTCATGCCCTCAGATGATCCACCTGCCTTGGCCTCCCAAAGTGCTGGGATTACAGGTGTGAGCCACTATGCCTGGCCGCTATTATTATTTTAATAGTTTTGTCTTTTAACCTTCATGTTAAAGATAGAAGTGATTTAAACACCACTATCACAGTATTAGAGTAGTCTCAATTTGACCGTGTACTTACTTTTAGCTGTGAATTTTATCTTTTCAGATGTTTTTGTGTTAATCATTAGTGTTGTTCTCTTTCAGCTTGAGGAACTTCTTTTAGCATTTCTTGTAAGACAAGTCTGGTGGTGATGAATTCCCTTCGCATTTTTGTTGTTGTTCTGGAGTGTTTTTATCTTTCATTTCTAAAGGACATTTTTGCTGTGCACAGTCTATTTGGCTGGCAATTATTTGTTTTAGAACTTTGGGTATGTAATCTCACTCTTTCCTGGCTTGCAAGGCTTCTGTTAGGAAGTCCACTGATAGCCTTTTGAGAGATCCTTTATATATAACAAGTTTTTTCTCTCTTGCTACTTTTAAGATTCTTTGTCTCTGAATTTTGTCAATTTGATCACAACGTGCCTAGGAGGATTCTTTTTTGAATTGATCATGTTTGGGATTCTTTGAACTTCCTAAATCTGTATGTTCATATGCCCCCAAAGATTTAGGAAATTTTTAGACATCATTTTTTTTAAAAAAGCTATTCGTCCCTTTGTCTCTTCTCCTTCTAGTACTCCCATAATTCTTGTATTTGTATGTCTAGTAGTATTCCATAGTTTCCTTATGCTTTCTTTACTCTTTTAAATATCTTTTTTTTTTATTCTCCTAATTGGTTACTTTAAAATGACCTATCTTTGAGTTTTCTATTTCTTTCTTTTGTATGCCAACTCTTCAATTGAAGCTGTTGATTTTTTATTTTTTTCACTGTATTCTTCAGCTCCAGGATTTCTGTTTATGCTTTCTATTTATTCACCAAACTTCTCTTTTTGTTCATGTATTTTTTTAATTTCATTTAGTCGTCTGTCTGTATTTCCTTGCATCTCACTGAATTTCTTTAAAATAGCTACTATTTTAGATTATTTTTCAGACAATTTGCATATCTCCACTTCCCTGGGGTTGGTTACTGGAGCTTTTTTAGTGCCTTTGGTTTTTGTCATGTTTGCCCAATTTTTTGTTATCCATGTAGCCTTGTGTTGATGACTGTGCATTTGAAGAAGTGAACTCTACTCTCAGTTCTTAACATTGATTTTGAAAAGTTAGCTCTCCAGGCTGATAGGGTTGCCTCTAGGATTGTAGTTGAATGGGGCTGGAGTCAGTTCACATGGTTGATGCTGGGTCTACAGTGGATACCACAGTTAGTGGCCTATTTCCAGGGGTTGTAAGTCTGATCTGGTCCCTAAGTGCCCTGGACTGTCTCCAGGACTTCATTCTATGGGGCTGGTACTAGGATAAGGGTACACTTTAGGGTTCGCAGATCAGCCAATTTGTTATCAGGTATACTGACATGTGTGGCTTCTTCTGGGTCTCTGGGAGGGTTCCCATGGGATCACTAGATGGACTGCTAGGCTGGCTGGTCTGCTCTAGTCCATGGCGCAATGTGCTGGATCTAAGACTCATGGTTGTTTTAGGTCCCCAGTCAAGAACAAGATCTTCAGACCTGTATCCAGTTCACAAATACATGCATTTCCAGGTGGGTTTCTGGGTGAACAGGCTGGCTCTCAGACGGCAGTTGAGAAGACTTGGAGACAATCTATAGGGCTCTTCAAGATCCACAGTGGAACCAAGGTCAGTGCATCAGCCTGTAGGGGTATTGTTGGATGTGCCTCCTTCCAAGTCCCCAGGCAAGCAAAACTGCTCTGTGCCCATAGACAAGAGGGGCTGGGATCAGGATACGGGGATGTTTAAGGATTGGCTGTAGGAAAGAGATTATCAAGGCTACCACAAGGACTCAGATGAGCACATCTTCCCACAGAGACCTGGCAGGGCAATAACTGCCCCCAGACCACAGCTGAGAGGGACTATAACTGAGTTTCAGGGCTAATTCAGTATTTGCTGTGGAAATGATGTTGACAAGCTTGACCTGGTGACACAATTGGGTAAGAATGTTAGGAGTTCTCTATGCAAGCAGGATTGCTCACAGATGAAAGCTTAGAGGGACTACAACTGAGATTCAGGCCCCTTTCAAAAACCTCTGTGGGATAAAGTTCAGAAAGCATGTCAGGAGTTTTCTGTAAAGTAGGATAACTCTGGGGCTGTGGAAAAGAGGGACTATGGCTGAGACAGGGCCCCTTCAAGATGTGCAGTGAGACAGAGTCTGGCAAGTCTTTTAGTGGTGGCACAAATGGGTGAGTCTCCCTCTGGGTCCTTGTCCAAGGAGCACTAAGCTGGGACTACAGCAGAAGGAGGCTGGAGCTAAGTTACTAAATAACTTTTAGGTCCATAGTGGTGATGGATATCAGAGTGCAGACATGCCTGTCTTCTAAAAAACTAGTGTAAGTGATTTCTCCTAGACCTCCGGATAGATGGTTTTGGTAGTAGGATAAAGCCTAAAGGTATCTGTAGCCTTGCCTGTCAGGGAAAGGAACACTTTCTGGGTCTGAAACTAAGAACACGATCAGTGAGCCTGCCACAGGTGGTGTGGGTTTGCAGTCTCAAAATGATCTTTCTAGGTCTTGGGCTTCACTGGGGTTTCACAACCTCCTACCTGATGTTCATGGCTCCCACAGTTTTGTCTGTGGATGGTTGCAGAACTCTTGTTTTCATGAGAAACTTCTGGCAGATTACTTCCTATTCTTCCATCTTGCTCAAAAATGACATTGCTTTATTATTAAAGAAAAATTCAAGAAATTCCAGTATTATAGGACAAGGGGAGCATGTGGTTCATAAGGGTAGAAAAAAATTTGTTTTTGAGTAGAAGTAATTTTGAGAGCAGCAGTGTTTGTTTAATGAATTGATCTTTCCTGTGAGGATTTAGAAAACTAAATCTCTATAGATTATTTAGAAGAGCGTGGGAAGCAAGTGAAATTCAATCTGTCTCCCAGAAGAGGTGACCACTTCTACATTCTTTCCTCCTCATCTACCTCTTCAGGAATGATGGAGGAGGCTGAGGGAATCAGATGGGCAATACTGAGAAAAAAATTACTAATTAGAATGTCGATGTATATCTTTCTGAAGACTTGTATAATAAAATATATAAAGTTGTATAATTAGATAAATATATTCTTATGAAAATAATAAAATATGGACAGGCACAGTGGCTCTCGTCTGTAATCTCAGAACTTTGGGAGGCCAAGGCGGACAGATTACCTGAGGCCAGGAGTTTGAGACCAGCCTAGACAACATGGTGAAACCCTGTATCTACTAAAAAAACAAAAATTAGCTGGGCGTGGTGGTGGGCGCCTATGACCCCAGCTACTCGGGAGGCTGAGGCAGGAGAATCGCTTGAACCGAAGAGGCAGAGGTTGCAGTGAGCCAAGATCATGCCACTGCAATCCAGCCTGGGCAACAAGAGCAAAACTCTGTCTCAAATAAATAAATAAATAGCAAAACATGAAGATATAAAATGTTGGGAAGAGTTTTGGTCAAATATTTAAGATTTTTAAAAATAGCTTCATTGATTTGATAATATAATACTTATAATTCTATGTTGTCTTATTTTCAAACTACAAATAATTTAAAATTAAATGAATCTAAAGTTAGCCATTATGCAATTTTGACAGTTCAATCTAATTGTAACATTTTCATTTCTTTTGAAAGTCTTATTTTCACTTTCATAATATAACACTGACTTTTTAAATACATTTGCCATATTTTTGTAATGAATGGTATTGTTTTCTCTTTTATTAACATCTTGGGAGATTGACCAAATATGTAAAAATGTTTACACCATAAAGTATTTCTTAAAATGTAAATGGACTAGTAACATTGGTGGCTATGTTTGCAAACTTTGTCTTGCTGGTTCCACCAGAACTATTCTGTTATTCACAGGCAAATTTAATTTGAACAATCCCTGTTTGCTTTCCCATCTGAATTTGATCAGAAGGCTGCATCTTTTTCTGTTATTTTCAAACTCTATGCAGGCTATAGATGCTTCATATTTCATAATCCTCTGTCTCAAATTAAAACTTTTCTAGATATAGCATCATGTCATCTGCAAACAGGGATAGTGTGACTTCCTCTCTTCCTATTTAGATGCCTTTTATTTCTTTTACTTGATTGCTCTGATCAGGATTTCCAATATTATGTTGAGTAGGTGTGGTAAGGGAGGGCATCCTTGTCTTGTGCCAGTTTCCAAGGGGAATGCTTCCAGCTTTTGTCTGTTCAGCATGAAGTTGGCTGTGGGTTTGTCATAGATGACTCTTATTATTTTGGAGTATGTTTCTTCAACGCCTCATTAATTCAACATGAAGGGATGCTGAATTTTATTGAAACCTTTTCTGCATCTATTGAGATAATCACATGGTTTTAGAATTACTTCTGTTTATGTGATTAATCACATTTGCTGATTTGTGTATGTTGAACCAACCTTGCATCCCAGGGATAAGGCCTACTTGATTACAGTCGATTAGCTTTTTGATGTGATGCTGGATTCAGTTTGCTAGTATTTCCTTGAGGATTCTTACATCTATGTTTATCAAGAATATTGACTTGAAGTGTTCTTTATTTGTTGTGTGCCTGCTGTGTTTTGATATTTGGATGATGCTGGCCTCATAGAATGAATTGAGGGAAAAGTCCTTCCTCCTCAAGTTTTTGGAATAGTTTCAGTAGGACTGGTATCTACTCTATTTTATGCATTTGGTAGAATTTGGCTGGGAATTCATTTAGTCCTGGGCCTTTTTTGGTTGGTAGGCTTTTTATTACTGATTCAATTTTGGAACTAATTATTGACTCAAGTTCAGGGATCCAATTTCTTTCTGGTTCTGTTTTGGGAATTTATCTGGGTCCAGGATTTTATGCATTTCTTCTAGATTTTCTAGTTTGTATGCATAGAGGTGTGCATAGGAGTCTCTGATAATTTTTTTGTATTTCTTTGGGGTCACTGGTAATGTCCCCTTTGTCATCTCTAATTATGCTTATTCGGATCTTCTCTGTCCTTTTTTCTTTATTAGTCTGGCTAGCAGCCTATCTTATTAATTTTTTCAAAGAACAAACTCCTGGATTCACTGATCTCTTGAGTGATTTTTGTGTCTCAATTTTCTTCAGTTCAGCTCTGATTTTGGTTATTTCTTGTCTTCTATACTAACTTTGGGGTTGGTTTGTTCTTGCTTCTCTAGCTGTTCTAGTTGTGATGTTAGGTTGTTAATTTGAGATATATATATAACTTTTTGATGTGGGCACTTAGTGCTACAAATGACCATCTTAACATTGTTTTAGGGGTGTCCTAGAGATTGTGATATGTTGTATCTTTGTTATCTTTAGCTTCAAAGAATTCCTTTATTTTTGACTTAATTTAATTATTTACCCAAAACTCATTCAGGATCAGATTGTTTAACTTCCATATAATTGAATGCTTTGGAGGAATTTTCTTAGTATTGACTTTTATTTTTGTAGCGCTGTGGTCTGAGATGTGGTTGGTATAACTTCTAGAAAACCCCCACAGTCTCTGTTCAAAAGCTCCTTGATCTCATAAACAACTTCAGCAAATTTTCAGGATACAAAATCAACATATAAAAATCAGTAGCATTTCTATATACCTACAACATCCAAGCCAAGAGCCAAATCAGGAACTCAATCCTATTCATAATTGCCACAAAATGAATAAAATTTCTAGGAACATAGCTAACCAGAGATTGAAAGTATTATAAACCACTGCTCAAAGAAATCAGATATGAGACAAGTAAATGGAAGAACATTTGATGTTCATGGATAGAAAGAATCAATATCTTTTAAATGGCCATAATTCCCAGAGAAATTTACAGATTTAATGCTATTTCAATCAAATTACCAATAACATTATTCACAGAATTAAGAAAAGCTATTTTACAATTCATATGGAATCAAAAAAGAGCTTGAATAGCCAAGGCAATCCTGAGTGAAAAGAACAAAGCTGGAGGCATCATGATACCTGACTTCAAACTATAATACAGGGCTACAGTAACTAAAAGAACATGATACTGGTGCAAAAACTGACACATAGACCAATGGAACAGAATTGAAAGCCCAAAAATAATGCCACACCCCTACAACCACCTGATCTTTAACAAAGCTGACAAAAGCAAGCAATGGGGAAAGGACTCCCTATTCAATAAATGGTCATGGAATAACTACCTAGACATACGCAGAAGATTGAAACTGGACCCTTTCTTTACACCATATACAAAGTCAACCAAGATGGATTAAAGACTTAAATTTAAAACCAAAAACTATCAAAACACTGGAAGATAACCTAAGAAATAACACTCTGGAAAAACAACTTGGCAAATATTTCATAATGAAGATGCCAAAAGCAATTAAAATTTTAAAAAAAGAATGACAAATTGGATTTAATTACATTAAAGAACTTCTGCACAGCAAAATAAACTATCAACAGAGTAAATAGACAACCTATATAATGGGAGAAAATTTTTGCAAAGTATGCATCTGACAAAGTTCTAATATCCAGAATCTATAATGAACTTAAACAAATTTACAAGCAAAATAACAAGCAACTCTATTAAAAAGTGAGCAAAGGACATAAACAGATACTTTTCAAAAGAAGACATACATGTGGCCAACAAACATATGACAATAAATGCTTAACATCAGTAATCACAGAAATGAAAATCCAAACAACGAGACATCATCAAACACCAGTCAGAATGGCTATTATTAAAACGTCAAAAAATAACAGATGCTGGCAAGACTGTGGAGAAAGGAGAACACTTATACACTGCTGGTGAGAGTGTAAATGAGTTAAGCCATTGTGGAAGGCAGTGTGGTGATTTCTCAAATAACTTAAAACAGAATTACCATTTGACCCGACAATCCCATTATTGGTATATACCCAAAGGAATATAAATTTTTCTATCATAAAAACCTATGCACGCATATGTTCATTGCGGCACTATTCACAATGGCAAAGACATGGGATTAACCTAAATGCCCATCAATGACAGACTGAATAAAGAAAATGTGGTATAAATACACCACGGAATACCTTGCAGCCATAAAAAGGAACAAGATCATGTCCTTTGCAGCAACATGGATGGAGCTGAAGGCCATTATCTTATGAAAATTAACCCAGGAATGGAAAAACAAATATGCATGGTCTCATTTATAAATAATGAGAACACATAGACACAAAGGAGGGGAAAAACAGACACTAGAGCCTTCTTGAGAGTGAAGAAAGGGAGGAGGGAGATGAGGATAAAAATACCTATTAGGTGCTATGTCACCTGACTGATGAAATTATCTGTACACCGAAATTCCATGACACCTCCCAGTACTTTTGAAGGTCAAGGCAGGTGGATCACCTGAGGTCAGGAGTTCAAGACTAGCCTGGCCAACATGGTGAAACCCCCTCTCTACAAAAATACAACAATTAGCCAGGTATGACAGTGGGTGCCTGTAATTTCAGTTACTCAGGAGGCTGAAGAAGGAGAACCAGTTGAACCCAGGAGGCGGAGTTTGCTGTTAGGCAAGATTCTGCCATTGCACTCCAGCCTGGGCAACAGAGCGAGACTCCGTATCAAACACACAAACACTCCATGACATGCAGTTTACCTATATATCAAACCTGCACATGTAGCCCTGAACTTAAATTTTAAAAAAAGAAAGTAACCATTTTTTTAAAAGTTTAATATTTCATCTTTCAAATTTCTTGAATATTCATGTATTTATGTAATACATACATTTTATAATAAAAAGTCCTTATAGATAGAATATTTAAGAAAAAGTCATTGCTCATAGTCTTTGAGTGCAGAGCTTCATAGTATGTACATTTATTTACATTTTATTCTTATATGGATACTATTTATATAATCAACATTCTCAAAATAAATTACCTGCATGAGCCAGCACCTAAAAAACTTTTAAAACTTTTATTTTAAATATAAGTAAGGGCTGGGTGCAGTGGCACCCACTGGGTGAGTGGTAATCTCAGCATTTTGGGAGGCTGAGGCAGGTGGATCACCTGAGGTCAGGAGTTTGCGACCAGCCTGGCCAACATGGTGAAACCCTGTCTCTACTAAAAATACAAAAAAAAAAAAAAAAGCTGGACATGGTGGTGCACACCTATAATCCCAGCTATTCAGGAGGCTGAGGCAGGAGAATTGCTTGAAACCAGGAGGCAAAGGTTGCAGAGAGCTGAGATCACGCCACTGCACTCCAGCCTGGGCAACAAGAGTGAAACTCTATCTCAAAAATAAATAAATATTAATAAATAAATAAATGTAAGGATCTACTGTGAATATAATTACTCTGTCTAAGACTTTGTGGAACTAGAATCTATGTACAAAAAGACAACAGACAGTCAAAACTGTGCACATGTCAGAGTAACTGCTTACTCTGGTGTAGACACCAATTCTTTTTTGACCTGGCTTATTTAATGAAGCATATATTTCATTTTTAACCCAGCTGCCTTATAAACAATAGTAATCAATGTGATTGCAAATGTTTATTTCTGAGTCCTGTGGTGAGTACAGACATTGTTCATAGGAAAAGACTATACATATTTAAAAACAATTCACTTTCAAATGGTTGAAAAGGGGATGGGGTCTATAATGCTCTTACCGTAACACAAAAGAGCCTACTGGCCAAAAGTCATGAGTTAGTTTGTCAAATTAAGGTCACTCAATTGAAGATGAATTTTTAAATTCTAAATCATTGGGATAATGTTCCCAATATGAGATAATAACAAAGATAGAAAATGTAGCATTTTGGATATTTATAAAAACTTTCAAAAACTTACCATTATAAATGTCAGTTAGGAGGATTTTAAGTCAATTTTTGTTTTTGTATTTGTTTTTTAGCTGAAATCGAAAGGGATTATCTGTCTACCTAGCCAGTTAGCTCTCTTTTTCATTTAAATTGTCAAAAGTCAAGGTTGATCTTCTATTTTGTGCTGAGTGTAAAATGGAGCACAATCACACAAAAGCTGGGCATGGACAAAGGTCTGTGATCTGGGTAGACAGACTTGCATAAGGCTGGAATTGCTGTTCACTGCAGCAGCAAATATCAGGAGTTAACACCTGGAGATCAGATTCCGATTTGGGTTCTTGATTGGTTCATTTTGTATTAAGGAATTTAACTTCCAAAGAGAGGTCTGGCCATTGTCTCAGCCCCTGAGAGACAGGTTCTAAACCTTTTGCATTTCTTAAGTGATGGCAGTGTCTTTGTTATTCATTGTGTGCATCGCTGGCCACAGGTGACAGTTCATGATGTTCCCCTTAATAGTTTATGCTAGTGAGATGACTCCGTGGTAGGGGTTGGTCACATCAAAGCCAGGCTTGGGGTAGAAGGTTTGGCCATGGGCCTCATGAGGCCTCCATACTGAGGAGTGGGGCTGAAAATTAAGTTCAATTATGTAAGCAATGAATCAGTCATGCCTATCTCATGAAGCCTCAATAGGCACTCTCAAGCTGAAGCTCTAGTGAGCTTCTTGCGGTGGCTATACTTTATTATTATTGCCAAAAATTGATGCTTGGTAGAATAAAGCATCCCTGAAGATAATGGAAATTTCACATTTAGAAACCTCCCAGACTATCTGGCTGTGGTGAATTATGCATGTAATTCCAGCACTTTTGCAGGGCTGAGGCAGGAGGATTATTTGAGGCCAGGAGTTTGAGACCACCCTGGGCAACACAGTGTCAGAGGCATTTGAACAAGAGCAACTCCATCTTGAACAGGGGCTGGGTAAAACAAGGCTGAAACCTGCTTGGCTGCCTTCTCAGTAAGTTAGGCATTCTAAGTCACAGGATGAAATAGGAGGTTGGCACAAGATACAGATAATAAAGATCTTGCTGATAAAACAGGTGGTTGTGAAGAAGCCAGCCAAAACCCACCAAAACCAAGATGGTGAGGAGAGTGAACTCTGGTAGTCCTCACTGCTCATTATATGCTAATTATAATGCACTAGCATAGAAGACACTCCTGCTAGCATCATAACAGTTTACAAATGCCATGGCAATGTCCAGATGTTACACTATATGGTCTAAAAAGAGGCGAAACTTCAGCTCCTGGAATTGTCCATGCCTTTCCCAGGAAACTCATGAATAATTCACACCTTGTCTAGCATATAATCAAGAAATAACCATAAAAATGGGCAACCAGCAGCCCTTGGGGCTGCTCTGCCTATGGAGTAGCAATTCTTCCATTCCTTTACTTTCTTATAAACTTTCTTTCACTTTACTGTATGGATTTGCCTTGAATTCTTTCTTGCATGAGTTCTAAGAAGCTTCTCTTGGGTCTGGACTGGGACCTCTTTCCCATAACATTAGCAAGACCTCATCTCTAAGAAAAGTAAAAAATAGAAACCTCCCAGAATTCATCTTATGCATATCTTTTCCTTAGACTGATTCTAATTTTTATACTTCTTCTATAATAAAATTGTAATCATCAGACATAACACTTTCCTGGGATTTGTGAATGTTTCTAGTGAATTATTGAACCTGAGGGTAGTCATAGAGACTCCTGAATTTGTAGCTAGCTATTGTGAAATGATGATGCTTCTGAGGATCCTTGAAATCGATGGTGGTGTCTGAAATGAGTGCAAACTTTGGAAATTGTTTTCTCAGATGTTGCAGTTTAGCTAAGCTCCTTTGCAATTATTAAAAGTAATACTGAGTTATAGTATTGGATAAAACATAATTTAAACTCAGATAAATTATAGGCCTAGTTACCAAAACAGGTTTTCAAGGAAGGGTTTGGTCACAAAATGCAGGTCTAATTACTAGAATTAGGTCACACTGAATTTTTCTAAAAATTTTATAACCTGAGGCACCCTCATTACCACCCTTATCTTAGTTGTTAAATCTCTGGCTTTTTTTTTCCTCCTAAAGGGTTTCAGATTTAGTTTCTGTTATATACAGAGAGCTATACTATAAATATGAATAACTTTCAAGACAATCATCGTGTAATATTTATACTTATTATGCAACAGCAATAGAATTTTAAATTTTCTTGAAAATTAGAAAGTCAGCTGGCCAGGCGCGGTGGCTCACGCCTGTAATCCCAGCACTTAGGGAGGCCGAGGAGGGCAGATGATGAGGTCAGGAGATCGAGACCATCCTGGCTAACACGGTGAAACCGGGTCTCTGCTAAAACACAAAAAATTAGCTGGGCGTGGTGGTGGGTGCCTATAGTCCCAGCTACTCGGGAGGCTGAGGCAGGAGAATGGCATGAACCTGGGAGGTGGAGCTTGCAGTGAGCCGAGATTACGCCACTGCACTCCAGCCTGGGCGACAGAGCGAGACTCGGTCTCAAAAAAAAAAAAAAAAAAGGTCAGCTGTAAAATAGTCTACTGAATTGTGTGAAAAATGCATTTTATTCCTATGCTGTCCTTTATGTAAACCAATGCTGGAAACCTACTATGACAAACTGGTAGTTTAGTGGCAAAAATACTAAATATAAATTAATTTGGTATTATTCCAACAGATGGAAAATCTTGTCACATCTTTAAAAATATGTGCATTTAAGCCTTTGGTCTTATCTTTTAAGTATATATATTTGTATACATTTGCATAATGTATAATACAATAATTTATATGCATTGTTTATGCATTTTAAATATATGCATATATTTTAATTAGATGCATTTGAAATTGATAGAGGCAGGAGGCAGAGAAATTCTAGGCAGGTAGGTGGGTCCCGAGTGAAACCCCACCTCTAAGCCAAAGACAGTTTAGAGTCTGAAAGCCAAGCTACAAGTTAAATCCTCAGACTGGATTGAGAACTTGTCTTCCTGTTTGGCATGTGTTCCTCTGATTGGTCCCTACCCTTTACCTATTTTACTTATACCTACCCTTTCCTAATTTGTTTTTCTACACTGTCCTGCCCATCTTTGAGTGGTATATTTTCTTTAACCGTTTTTGCATACTCACAAACCAATCAGCACACACTCCCCATTCTGAGTCCATAAAAGGCCCCACATAGAGCCACAGGGGGGGAATTTTCCCACCTTCTGGTAGGGGAAACATCCCCACCATGTCCCCTCTCTGATGAAAGCCATTTTCATCATTCAGAAAAATTCTTCTCCACCCTTCTCGCCCTTCAATATCCTGTCTATCCTCATTTTTCTCGAGCATGGTACAAGAGCTTGCAAACTGCTGAATGCAGGTACAAGCTGTAACACAGGCAAGCTGGGGCATGCCAGCATGGCCGAGTGAGGCTGGGGCGGGACGTCGCTGGCCAGGGAACTCTGGCTTGCAAAGTGACTGAGAAGAAAAATCCTGCATCAAAATCCCACTTGAACAAATAGCGAACATTAAATAGAATAAAAGTATTTCATAAGTTGCTAATTTTATGAAGGAAATGAAGTGTAATTGTTCTGTTCTCAAATGTGATATTGAATACACACACACAGAGTCAGTCATAGATGACCAATTAAAATTGGATATATCTTAGAAAAAATGTTTGCAATACTATAATTTTCTATTTGCTATGCACTTCTCAATGTAAGGGAAAATATTACTATGTTCTCTTCAAATCCTAATAAAAGACCATTCTCATTGAGCACTATTTACGAATCTGGAAATGTACGTTAAATGACAATATCAAAATGAGGGACTTCTAAATCACTTTTGCAAGAATTATTATTTCAATAAAGTATATAAAACGTTTTGGCAAAATGCTCTCAAGGAAATGGAAAGACCAATCAGGGTACCAGGTGAGCTATAAAATTTACTTACAGAGTATATTTCTGCAAAACTAAAATCAAAAGTAACACTATTTGTTAGTCTCTGTGAAGGGAAAACAATAAAGTGCACCCTGATGAATTCCAGGATTGAGCAGCTTGTTGTCAAGAGGTATTTAGTTTCCTGAAGTAGAGTCATTGTAGCAAATAACTGGCTGTGTGCATCAAGAGAATATATTTAATTGAAAGATACCAGTTGTGTGGAAAGTATTGGCATTTAGACATTAGTATGTTCAACCTCATCAGAACAAGTAACGTTATCTTGGAATGTGAGACATAATTAGCTATGCTATGTCTCTTTAACCTCTGATTTAGAATCCATGCATTTTCCATTTTATTTGATCAAATGATTTTTAAACAGCTTGGGAACTGCTCAGCATACATATCTACATAAAAAATATGCTAAGCATGTAAAAATAAAATTTCACTCTCAAGAAGAAAATTTAACTCTCATAATATCAAATAATCAATTTCATTATTTGATACTGTTTACACAGAGGAAAAAAGAGAGCAAAAACTTTTTAAACTGCATTTGTATGAGTAATTTATATTCATCAGCTTCAGGTATTTAAACAGTAAAAGGACTAATGAAGCACTGGTGACTGAACACCTATTGCTATGTTCCTTTATTATTTTTCTTCTTAAGCCTTAATGAGCTGTAATTAAGCAAAATAGGAGTCGCTCGTATTTTGTCTTGAACATGCTTTATTATAACAAAGAGTAGTGACAAGTAGCTGTATCTCACTTCATGAACACCAAACTTACTGCAGATATGTAAATGAGAAGCTACAAAGCTAGAGAAGAGCCTGGAGATATTAACATCTGTGTGAATGAAACAGCCATTTCACAACTCAGTGGACCTTAAACACAGCAGACACTGAAATCTGTTCAGTACATGGGGTGGATTTTTAAGTATGTTCAATTACTACTTATCTCCCAGCTGTTGTTTGAGCATGGCTTCTGTAATATTAGCGAGTTCTGCTTTGACATCACTGACATATAAACATTGTGTCCTTGATTAACAGTTACTACCAGACTAAATAGCCATTTTAAAATCATAAGTTCAAACTTGAATTGCACCATGCTATAAGTCTCTCCCTTGGGGTGAAGAGGTTAGAAAGTACTAAGAAGTAGAGAAAAATAAGAATGACCTCTGACAATCTTGATTGTTGTGAGTTTTATGTGTTACCTTCTGAGTATGAATATTTCATGACTGATTATATGTAAAAACATTTCAACATAAAATATATAACTATTTTTAATGAGATACTTGGAAAATCAAAAACAGGTTTGAATAGGGAGTGTTCAATCATAAGAAGGTGATAAGCATTTTGAAAAACTATATTTTTCTCCAAAGAAAATCAAACATTATATTAATGATTATTTAAAAACAAAGACAATCTTAGGAACTTTGAGATGATTTTTTAAACTATGTGTAAGGTTATTACGTTACGAATACTTGCGTGTCCGGAATTGGTGGGTTCTTGGTCTCGCTGACTTTAAGAATGAAGCTGCGGACCCTCGTGGTGAGTGTTACAGTTAAAGATGGTGTGTCCAGAGTTTGTTCCTTCTGATGTTCGGATGTGTCCGGAGTTTCTTCCTTCAGGTGGGTTCGTGGTTTCGCTGACTTCAGGAATGAAGCCGCAGACCTTCGCAGTGACCGTTACAGCTTTTAAAGGCAGGGCATCAGGAGTTGTGCATTCCTCCTAGTGGGTTTGTGGTCTCGCTGGCTTCAGGAGTGAAGCTGCAGACCTTCGCTGTGAGTGTTAACAGTTCATAAAGGTGGCGAGTCCGGAGTTGTTCATCCCTCCCAGTGGGTTCGTGGTCTCGCTGGCTCTAGCTGGCTTCAGGAGTGAAGCTGCAGACCTTCGCGGTGAGTGCTACAACTCATAAAAGGCGGCGGCGACCCAAAGAATGAGCAGCAGCAAGATTTATTGCGAAGAGCAGAAAAACAACCCTTCCACACAGCGGAAGGAGACCCCAGCGGGTTGCCATCCCTGGCTGAGGTGGCCAGCATATATTCCCTTATTTGTCCCCACCCACATCTGGCCGATTGGTCCACTTTACAGAGTGCTGATTGGTCCTTTTACAGAGTGCTGATTGGTCCATTTTACAGAGTGCTGATTGGTCCGTTTTTGCAGAGTGCTGATTAGTGCGTTTACAAACCTTTAGCTGACACAGAGCACTGATTGGTGTGCTTTTACAGAGTTTTGATTGGTGCGTTTACAAACCTTTAGCTAGATAGAAAAGTTCTCCAAGTCCCCACTCAACCCAGGAAGTACAGCTGGCTTCACCTCTCACTTGGAGAGGGCAGGCATATAAATGAGAAAGATCCAATATAGTTCCTTTTCCATTATGAAAGCACAACCATCATAAGTTTTTTTAAAAAAATAAAAATCAAATTGCTATACCATATAAAATACCAAAAACCTTTCCTATTATATTATGGATTCCAGTCTTTTATTAGTTTGAAAGCATGCAATTACAAGTTTTCCAACATAATTTATAGAATAACATGATCTCCTTTTTAAAATCAAAATAGTTTTTGTTCTGCTGAATATTTGCAGAAATGCCACCATTACCATTTAAAATGCCAATGATAAGAACTTTGGAGTGTATAATGGTAGTAAATTATCATTATTTTCTTTATGGCTGATGCCTTCGCAATTATAATAGGCTATTTCGTCAATTAGTCTCTTTCACAAAATCCAGGTGACATATATTTTGTAAGATTATACCAATTATTTATTGTAAAAATATCCTTTATATTAGGCTGCAAGAATCCAGAGTAAGTAACAAATATTTTAAAAAGTCATTCAGACTACTTAAACTCCCTATTTACTTTATAATTGAGAGAATTCTTAGGTACATTAAGGATCATAGGTTGCATACGAATCTTCAGCTCTCTAAGCTTATCAAACCCCATACGTGAGTAAGGACTTTGTATGACACACTTTCACAGGCTATAACTTTCTCAGGATTATTTTGCAAGTTATTTTTATTACTCCCAAAGCATTTCTATAATGTCATTTCCTGGCCTTTAAAAGAGCCATATTTTTATTTCTTCCATGTGAAGGGCTTGTGGATTGCTATGTAAAGTAAGTTGGAGTTAATTAGTGGTGCTAAACTTTAGGGAAGCTTATGTAAGTGACCCGGGATTTGAAGGGTATTATGCTAATCGTAATTTTTGAAGCTTAAACCTCTTTGTTTTCCCTAAGATATAGAAAATTCATAGTGAAATAGTATAACAGAGATTCTACAACATTTTAATAAGTCAAACATAATCATTATTTATTTGAAGCAGTATGCTACTGATTGCCGAAGGTCAGTGCTGTCAAATATCTCAAGAAAAGTATTTTTTAAGAAGAGAATTTAGTATAGTATAGTTATTTCATCTATTATCAATGTATTTCAGCAAAAGTAGTTGTAAAATTATTTTCCCGTTGATTTATATTATAAAAGCTAAGACAATTCCCAAGAGGCAGAAATATAAATGAGCAAATCCTTGCAAAGGAATAAATAACCCAAGAACTTTTATGTGTATGTTTCTAAACAAGATGGTGTTCATTGTTATTATTATTACTTTACAAAACAGCTTTTATTCATTCCCTCAGCACCTTTTAGGCACCTCATATTTATCAGCTATGCTAGGATTTGGAGATTTAAGGGAAAAATGTCATAAAAATCTTTGCCTTCAAGGAGCTTGCTTGCACTAAAATATGACAGAAAAATATACGTGAACAAATAAGCAAACACAAGTGAACAAATATAGATAAGGGGAATAGAGCTCTGAGGTAGGTTAATTTTGCTTGAGATGGTCAGGGAAAGCATTGCTGAGAACATTCATGTAAGCAAGGACTTGAAGGAGAGGTGAGTGAGCCACATGACTATCTGGGAAAACAGTGCTAAACAGACAGAACGGCAAATACAAAAACGCTGAGATGGAAATGTGTCTGGTTGTGACTATTGGAGCATTCCTTTATGATTGTTCTTTTGATACGAACATAGGTGAAATTTCAAGATTATTTATCATGAGGAAAAAATAATAACAACTAGGGAATAATCAAGTTAAAAATAACCAAGAGATGGAAGTAGCTTCTAGAGATTTAATATTTTTGAATAAATAATCTGCTATGTCACAAAATTGCAAATATAATTAGCAAAATAGTCTATGACTCCATTTCAATTTATCTCACAAATAATATAGAACCCACAAAAAACAAAACTATATTAAGATGCAAATTTATAGTTACATCAGCAACTAAACTTTTGATTCTGGATGTTAATAATGTTTTGAGAAAAAAATGCCAAAACACTTTGTATGTAGTTATTAGGGGGTGTGTGTGTATGTGCGTGTGCGTGTGTGTGTGTGTGTGTGTGTGTGATGAGAATCAGGGCCAGGGCTTGTGAAATCATCAATGTTTGTTGAAAATACAAAGGGTAAATAGGCACTTAAACAACAATAGCCTTGGAGCGCTTATTTCATCAAACATAAAGGAATTGCATCTATCTTATATAAATATCCTTTTTTTTTCTTTTGCGTGTCTGCTGTACAGTACTAAGGTAATCAACTCATCAGGTCACAGCACAATTGCCTTATTGACCTGTTGAAAGAAAAATAATTATTTTAATATGGCTTAATCTTTCATTCCTACTTCCCATTACGTGCTCTTCCACACCAGCATCCACCCTGAAACATTTAAAACGTGATCATAGATCAGTATGTATTTCTTAAATATAGATATATGCATTTGCTGTTGTATATGTTTCTTTGTTAATTATTTAATTTGAATGTTTTTGTACTATATGTCTTTTTAAATTTTAAAAGTCTTATTCAAGTTGGAGACAAGTGTCATTTTTGTTGTTGTTGTTGATATAGGATTCCACAATTTGCCAGACTGCTATATGTCAATCCATTCCTATACTAATAGAATATAGTCTGCCTTCAAATCTCTGTTACTAAAATCACTGCAAAGATCATTATACCTATGCTTGGCCTGTGTAAGGATTTTCTTTGAGTGTTTTCCTAGAATAGTGCATGAATAGTCCTATGAATCTACCACTTTGCTTATTCTTTACATGATCTAAATTTTCTAAGTTATCATCTAAAAATAAAAAACAATAATTAAAAATTAGATATGCAACGTAAACATTTCCTTCTTGTTATATTTCTTTAAAAAATTTTCTTCATGTTTATCAAGCTTAGAAATATCATGCTATACCTCACTAAGCACACACTTAAAATTGTGTGTCTGATTTTTTTTTCCTTTAATAATCTCTTTTTCATTTAGAAAACTGCATTTGTTGTGAAAAATTATACTCCCTGGATAATTTTTCTCCTTTAATGAATTTTTTTATTGGAACTTAAAAAAATTCCTTTATTGTTTTTCTTTTTGAAAAGTAACTATGTAGATTATTTGTGTCATATATATTTAGTAAACTCATTTCACTGAACCCAAGTACGATGTGAATAAATTATACTTTTTTGAGGTTTAGTTATGGGACTATCTACCTGCAGCCCAAGAAGTGTTTAGAGGTCTGTGCATTGTTGACTTGTGTTCTCTTTTTCATCTTCTAGAGCTCAAGTAGAGAGCTCAGCTGGGACATGCACAGTCATGATTCATAAGATTTGTCCCAGCTGTTTTTTGTGTGTAATTTGATTAAAAGCTCTCTATCACTCCTGAGCTAGGCTTTACACCACAAAGGCATTTCTACTTAGGATAAGACATTTGAACTATTTTTCCAATACAAGGTCAGTAATTAAGCTTTTACTCAAAATGAGAAAAACAGCCCTAGACATTTATTTCTGGAGGTTCACTCATCTTTACCCTGAAGTATTTCCTATTTTCCTTCTTGCTATGGGAAGGAAAGATTATGAGTTTGGGACATAATATTAATGTAAAATGTTTTTTTAAAAAAGAGGCAACCATGTGCTTCAGCCCTCCCACCCTTCCTTGACTATTTTTCTCCTTATTTATTTTGTTTTTGCCCTTCAGATATTTAGAATCTCACATCTCTACAGATTCTAACTCTAATCCTCTTTTTACATTAGAATTATCTTCTGTTATCATGAATCACATCATATGCTGTGCTTACTAAGCTCCTTCAGATATATTTAACCTCATTTTATTTCACTGTTTTTTTTTTTTTTGAGTCTCGCTCTGTCCGCAGGCTGGAGTGCAGTGACACAGTCTCGGCTTACTGCAAGCTCCACCTCCCAGGTCGTGATCCGCCCACCTGGGCCTCCCAAAGTGCTGGGATTACAGGCGTGAGCCACCGCTCCTGGCTGTTAGTTTACTCTTATTTCCATACACGGCACATCAGTTACACCAGTCCTTTCCTAAAATAGATTTGGAAATTGAAAAAAAACTCTGTGTGTGTGTGTGTGTGTGTGTGTGTGTGTGTGTGTGTGTGTGTGTCTGTTTTCTAACTCTGAGAGTTAACATGCTGAGCCTGGTGAGGTGGCCCCTCCCTGTACTCCCAGCCATGTGCGAGGCAGAGGTGGAGGACCACTTGAGCCCAGGAATTTGAGATTAGGCTGGGCAACATAGACTCCCACTCCAACTACAAAAAAATAAAAAATAAAAACATCCTGGCAGTGAGAACATCTAGCATCTATATACTGGTTTCTAAATACCATTCCCCAGCAAAACAAAACAAGCCTCTTGGAAAAATTCTTAACTCTGCGACTGTGGCCAGGAAAGTGTAAGGTGAGCCTGTAATATCTTGTAGTGCCAGAAAGTAATGAATTGCTCAAAAAAATAAAATAAAATAAAATAAAATAAAAGATAGGAGGGCATCAAAAGATTACAGGAGTCACTATGAAAGAACTCCCAATGACCGAGTCAAAGTTATTTTGAGCAATAAAAAAAGCAGTGTTGCTAATGGAATAAAACACATAAAATATAAAATAAATATCCATAACCACATAAAGATATAAATAATCAGGAAAGTGAATTAATGCAAAAAAAAGAGTTATTCTTTAGAGTAGAATTCAAAACAATGAATATAAAAGGAATGGTAGACATAGAAAAATCCCTACTTGGCAAACACCACATTAAGAATTATTGCAGCCAAGAGTAATTAAGGAATGTTAAACCGGGTGGGCAAAAATATTATAATAAACAGGATATTTTCTTAGTGACAAAAATTCTTTCCACAAGATAGTGATAAATTACAAATGAAAAAACAGAAGTCTACAGTAGAGAATTCTGACAAATACCATCTCAACAAAATGTTCTAAGTTAATATTTCTAGGAAGGAGACATGTCAACATTATTTACTTACTGATATAATATCCTGGGAAGAGAAAAACATCACTTCTCTTATTCCTGCCAAAACTGCACAAAGTCAGTCTAATTTGAGATTCACACCAAGGTACAGTCGACAAAATAACCACTACTTTTCAAGAGTGTCAAGGTCATAGAAGACAAGTAAAATTGAAGGACTGTTCAAAATTGAAGGAAGCTAAGGAGGCATGAAAACTAACTGTAATGGACAATCCTGGACAGATCCTGGGTCAGAAAAAGGACAGTACTGGGGCAACTGTTAAAATTTGAATAAGGTCTGTGAATCACTTAATAATATTGTATTAGTGTTAATTTTCTAGTTTTAGTAAGTGTGCTATGATTATATAAGATGCAAACATTGGGGAAACTTGCATGAAAGAAATATAGGTTCTTGAAATATGATTTTTGTAACTTTCTTCAAAAGATCATATTACTTTTTTGCATAAAAGTCATCTGATAACTTCCCACTTCACTCATAGCAAATTCCAAAATTATTAACATGGCTTACAAGATACTACATTTGACAGACCTAGATACTTCTCTGACATCAATTTTTTTCATACTTCGTTGGTACACTGTCCTTATTTGTCCTGCACAATTCTAAGTATGTCTTGCCTAAAGCTTTTGAAATAGCTGTTATCTCTGTCTGGAAGTCATTTCCCCAAGTACCCAAATGGATCGCTTTCTTCCTGAATTCCTTCATGTTTCTATACCCTATCACATAAAATAACAGTCCTTGCACCTCATTATCACTTACTATCCATTTGACCAGCTTTATTTTGCTTCATAGGACATACCATGACTTGATACATTGTGTCACCAGTTTTATTTTTAATTTTTGAGTCTTTCCTCATGCATCAAGCAACTAATTGTTCAAACACACAAACTTCATTCTAATTAAATAAGACAGTTATTGGAAAGAGGATGTGAGCATGTGATTACATTCCTAATTTCATATTCTATCTTAATGGAGCCACAGGATTACTAGTAGCAAAGGAAATTTTAGAATAAGTGCTGTGTTTCTTCTGAGTTAACAATCACATGTACTCTCCCAAGAGGCATTTTTCCTACCTGTCATTTAATGAAGAGGACTCTGAGGCCTCGCTGATTCACAATATGAAGGAATTATGTATTTTTAAATAGGCAGGAGGAAGGACACTTGATGAGGAGAATTTCTGGTAGATGGTGACATAAGAACAAAATAAAGGTTAATTATAAGTTGCCGAGATTTCAGAGTTTGTATGTTACTACACCTAGAATTACCTAAAATTATAATGAAACGTGTTTTTTTAAGTAGAGGTTAGCTAGGTCATTGGCTTAGTAGGCAGCATAGAAAATAAAACAAAATCATTTTGAGACAGCGAGGTGGGAGGGGGTCCCTAGAGAAACTCCAACCAGCCTGCCCACTGGGGTGGAGCCTTGGGAAATTCATGCTGTTCGCAGCGGGGAGGAGCCTAGCTCCTCCTCTTCCTATGTGGAACCTGGGATTCAAACTACAGAGTGGGAAATGCCCTAGTGGAGAGACTATGGCCATGGGAGAGTCCTTGTTTCCCCCATGTTTCCCTTTTCCACCCAATAAAATCCTGCTTCACTCACCCTTTAAATGTCTGAGAGCCTGAATTTACGTGGCTAGGAAACAACGAACCCCGTTTTTAGCTGAACTAAGGAAGAGTCTTGCAACAATTTCTGACACAACATTTAAGGCTGAGTATGTACTCTCTGAAGCCATACGTCTAAGGAAATATGTTGGAAAGTGGAATGCTAGTTATCTCTTTTTTTCCTAGTAAAAAATAAACCTTTGATTTTTGAGCATGAATAAAACAGCTCTCTAGTATTAAACTTGCAAAGGCTAAAAGCTGACTGCAAACGTTTACATCACCTCCTAAAGGCACACGTTCCTACTTCGACTTCAGATGTTGCCAAGGAGAATAAAGCACAAAGGAGAATTGTCTCTTGTCTGCATAGCAGAACAAAGAATATCGAGGTAAAGGGGATAAGGGAGTTTCTACCAAAAATAAAAAATTGTATCTAGCCTAAATAGGAGAACTGTCATCTTCGCAATGTCATGCAACTGACTGCATCGTTGTTATGAAGTACTAAGTGTTGCGTGGCCCCGATTCTTTCTTCAAGTGTCATGTTGCTCCTGCTTGCGTTAGTTTTAACCACGGTTAATTTTCCCGGCTCTACTCCTATAGATTCAGAGTTGGAGGGGCAGACATTTATCTGTTTTAGCTTACAGTTTGCCTCCTTGAGAGAACCACATCCAGATCTTGTGGAGATGACTCTTCATGACCTGGACTTTAAATTGGATACAGTTATTAGAGAAGATTTGAGTTGTCATCTTTGGGGAGAGGACACGATGTTATATGAGAAGAAAAGTGAAAGAGGTATTTGTTCCTTGACATGGGGGACGGTTGTAATAACAGTTAGCTGACGATATGAGTCTGTATTTCTCTCTACAGGGTGTAATTTTGCGTAGAAGCAGTTGTGAAGTCAGAAGTGACATTTCCCCGTAGTCCTAAGTGGTGCTCTGAAACTTGTTCTCATCGCTGGATGTAAGAAAAAGTGATTTTCCCTTTTCTACCCGAAGCAGCTAAGAGACTGCTGTGGTTTCTCATGTTCTCTTTCTTCATCGGCCATCTAGGTGTTAAGTTCATTGTATGGTGACATAAACAAGAAATAAACTTTCATTTGTTTAACCCATTTTGGATTTATCCATTACAGGAACTAGCATTACTTGAACTTAGTATCATATTAGAATGTTAGCTTCATGAAAACTGTTTTGTTGTTGTTCACTGCTTTATCCAGTCATGTGGAACTGTGATGGGTTCTAAATAAATAAGTGTAATAATGAATGAATCAAGGAAGAAAAGGTAGAAGACAACTAAAATATATTTATTTATTATCAACCTTTTATTTTCCTCTGTGGGAATATTCAAAATAAGGGTAACAACAAACCATTCAATATCAGCATAGCTGAGAAGTCTATGCCATTATAATAATCTGTATTATATTATAAGAACATATAAATTATAAAACAAATCACAGCTCTTAAAACTGCACATATTTAATTGTATGTTTACGTGCATGCACATTGTTTTGTTTTTTTTTTTGTCCTTAGTTTGCCAAAGGCAGAATGAAAGAAAAACCTTATTGAAAACCTCATAAATGTGTACATCGTTGTTTGGGAATGCAACTTTCTCAAACAAAAGCATCACATTCAGGGTTTTTTTAGCAAATTTAGGATAGACTTGGAATTTAACTTTTAACAAATGTGAAATATCAGCATATTCATTGCTTGGTACACAGGAGGTATTACATAAAGTTTGTAGACTTTTATTCTCCTATAATATTAAGTAGTGAAGAAGAGAGCTCTTTATTTATATTCTTTATAAAAATAAGAAAATCATATTCAGGCATTACTTACCAAGTTTCATATACAGTTTATCCATCATTTCGTGTATAGAATGTAGGGCACAAATTGTGAATGCCTTGCAGAAAGTCATATAGCTAGTCTGTAGTACAGTGATCTTGAAACTTAAGTGTAGTTTTCTCCATTATCTTACTAAGCCTGAAGAGTCATTATGTTCCCATAAGTAAATGTCTGATAATGCTGTCTCACTCCTAACTCGAACACAAAGGACTGTGAGCAGAATTTTCCATAGTTTCCTTAATTAAGATGAATGTGTTAAAGCTTGTTATGGTATAGGCTTTGTACATGACTATTCATGCAACAAAAGAATTGAGTTTATTTTAAAAAAAGAATTCTTCCAAGGCTTTTGTAATAAACATTATATTCTTTCAATATGATTCAAAAATGACAATAGATTTTTGTTAGAAACCTGAAAAATAATGTGTATGCCTTTGACAACAGAAATTACACAATGTTAGCCTCAAATGAGGAACAACATCTTAGCTTTAAGATTACTAGATAAACCTTAAAATAATCTTAACAGCAAGGAAAAAATGAATTAATTATATACCTAAACCCAAAAATATACTATTACAAGACAGTTTTCCAGGTGGCCTTAGACTGGTGCAGTTCCCTCCTTTTCTTGCTGTTTTTTGTTTTGTTTTGTTTTGTTTTTCCAGGAATAAATATGGAGTACCCTGGGAATGCAATATCTTAAGGAAGAGCTATCAGAAATAGTGCAGAACTGTTCTTGACCCTCTTAGGGAATGTAATATCTTGAGTTAGGAGGAAAAAGTTCAGGAAAGCCTGGGCTTTGTTCCTCTTTCCCCTGGAAGCAGAATGTCCATCAAAGCTTTGCCCAGCATGTGACATGACTCCTGTCACATGATGTATATAACTTGGTATGGACTGCCTTTCAGAGTTCTTCAGTTGTGGTGTGCAAAGTGGAGCATGGGCAGTCAGGACTTCTTCTCTCCTGGAAGGCTTTCTTGAGTCTTGGGGGACCAGTTCTCACTGGATTCTAGGGTGTTTTTCCCTTTCCCCTTTCTGTCTATCCATGAATAATAAATCCACTTCATGTAACTTGTGTATGAGTATTTTCTATTTCACTAAGCTCACACAATTTGGTGACCAGTGCATGGTAGACCTCCTACAAACTTTGAACATTTTTTTCTAAAAATTAAAAAGATACTTTTGACTATTTGAAATCAATGAAAAGTAAAAAGACATTGTTTTCTTTTTCATTGCATAAACCCAAAGATATTGTAATGCAGCTTGGTAAAATACACTTATCATTTAAAGTAATTTTTTTGGATATAATCCAAAGAAAATCAATGATTTTCCTTCAAAGGAAAACATTAATCACACAATCATGGAACATTATATTATGTACTTACCAAGCAAAGAAAGCCAGGGACCAGATGGATTCATAGCCAATTTTTTTTTTTTTTTTTTTGAGATGGACTCTCACTCTGTTGCCCAGGCTGGACTGCAGGGGCACAATCTTGGCTCACTGCAACCTCCACCTTCTGGATTCAAGTGATTCTCCTGCCTCAGCCTCCCAAGGAGCTGGGATTACAGGTGTGCGCCACTGTGCCCAGCCCAAATTCTAACAGATGTACAAAAAAGATCTGGTACCAATTCTACTGAAACTATTTCAAAAATCCAGGAGGAAGTACTCTTACTTAACTCATTCTGTGAAGCCAGCATCACCCTAATACCAAAACATACTAAAGACACAATGGAAAATGTAAACTACTGGCTAATATCCCTGATGAACATAGATGCAAAAAAAATCGTCATGAAAATACTATCACACTGAATACAACAGCAGATCAGATGTTAATTCACTATGTTCAAGTAGGCTTCATTCCTAGGATGCAAGATTGGTTCAACATATGCAAATCAATAAATGTGATTCACCACATAAAAAGAATTAAAAACAAAAGTTGATCATCTCAATAGACATAGAAATGTTTTTGGGTAAAATCGAACATTCCTTCCTGATAACAACCCTCAAGAAAGCAAGCATCAAAGTAACATAGTGAGAGCCATCTATGACAAACCCACAGCCTACACCCTACTTAATGGGCAAAAACCATAAACATTCCCCTTGTGAACTGGAACAAAACAAGAATGTCCATTTTCACCACTCCTATTCAACACAGTATTGGAAGTGCTAGCCAGAGCAATCAGGCATAAAAGGTGTCCAAATAGGAAAAGAAGTCAAACTATCATTCTTCCTGGATGATATGATTCTATACTTAGAATAGGTATGGAAACCCTAAAGACTCTGCCAAAAGGCTCTTGGAACTGATACAATTTCAAGGTACAAAATCCATGTTCAAAAATCAATAGCATTTTTATACCCCAATAACATTCAAGCTGAGAGCCCTATCAGGAACTCAATCCCATTTAAAATAGCCATTAAAAAATAAAATATTGAGAAATAGATCTAACAAGGAGATAAAAGAGCTCTACAAGAAAAATTAGAAAACACTGAAAGAAATCAGATGACGTAAATAAATGGGAAAACAATCTAGTGGTTATGAATTGAAAGAATCAATCTCATTAAAATGGCCCAACTGCCAAAGGCAATTTACAGATTCAACATCGTTTCTATCAAACTACTGACCTCATTTTTCACAGAACTAGGAATAAAAAATATATTTATCCTTGAGTTCATATGGAACCACAAAAGAGCTTGAATAGCCAAAGCAACCTAATCAAAAAGAACAAAGCTGAGGCATCACACTACCCAACACTAAACTAAACTATAAAGTGACACTAACCAAAACAGCATGGTACTGGTACAAATACAGAGTTATACAGCAATAGAACAGAATAGAGAACTCAGAAATAAAATCACACACCTACAGTCATCTGGTTTTTAGCAAAGTCAACAAATAAGCAATGGGGAAACAATTTGCTATTCCATAAATGGTGTTGGGACAGGTGGCTATCCATATGCAGAAAAAATTAAATAAGACCCCTACCTTTCACCAGATACAAAAATTAACTCAAGATGAATTAAAGAGTTAAATTTAAGGTTTCAAACTATATGGTTTGGTTCTGTGTCCCCACACAAATCTCATCTTGTTTTGGACTCTCATAATTTCCACCTGTTGTGGGAGGGACCCAGTGGGAGAGAATTTGAATCATGGGGGTGGTTTCCCCCATGAGGAACGACTACCATGGTTCTCATGGCAGTGAATAAGTCACAGAAGATCTGATGATTTTATCAGGGTTTCTGCTTTTGAATCTTCCTCATTTTCTCTTGCCGCTGCCATGTAACAGGTACTTTTTGCCTCCCGCCATGATTCTGAAGCCTCTCCAGCCATGTGGAACTGTAAATCCAGTTAAACCTCTTTTCTTCCCAGTCTCGGGTATGTCTTCATCAGCAGTGTGAAAGCAGACTAATACAGTAAATTGATACCAATAGAGTGGGGCGTTGCTGAAAGGGTACCCAAAAATGTGGAAGTGACTTTGGAAGTGGATAACAGGCAGAGGTCGGAACAGTTTGTTGGGCTCAGAAGAAGACAGGAAAATGTGGGAAAGTTTGAAACTTCCTAGAGATTTGTTGAATGGCTTTGATCAAAAGTCTGATAGAAATATGGACAATTAAGTCTAGACTGAGTTGGTCTCAGATGGAGATGAGGAACTTGTTGGGAACTGTAGCAAAGGTGACTCTTGTTACAGCAAAGAGACTGGAGGCATTTTACCCCTGCCCTAGAGATTTGTGGAACTTTGAACTTGAGAGAGATGATTTAGGGTATCTGGCAGAAGAAATTTCTAAGCAGAAAAGCATTCAAGAGGTGATTTGGGGGCTGTTAAAGGCATTTACTTTTATAAAGGAAGCACAGCATAAACGTTTGGAAAATTTGCAGCATGACAGTGTGACAGAAAAGAAAACCCCATTTTCTGAGGAGAAATTCAAGCCTGCTGCAGAAATTTACAAAAGTAAGGAGGAGCTTAATGTGAATCCCCAAGACCATGGGGAAAATGTCTCCAGGGCATGTCAGAGGTCATCAGGGCAGCCCATCCCATCACAGCCTGGAGGCCTAGGAGAAAACAGTTTCCTGTGCTGGGCCCAGGGTCCCCATTCTGTGTGTAGCCTAGGGACTTGGTGCCCTGTGTTCCACCTGCTCCAGCTGTGGCTGAAAGGGGCCAATATAGACCTCTGGCCATGGCTTCAGAGGGTGCAAGCCCCAAGCCTTGGGAGCTACCATGTGTTGTTCAGCTTGCAAGTGCACGGAAGTCAAGAATTCGGGTTTGGGAACCTTCACCTAGATTTCAGAAGATGTATAGAAACGCCTGGATCCCTAGGCAGAAGTTTACTTTAGGGATGGGGCACTCATGGAGAACCTCTGCTAGGGTAGTGTGGAAGGGAAACGTGGGGTCAGAGCCCCCACACAGAGTCCCTATTGGGGCACCACCTAGTGGAGCTGTGATAAGAGGGCCACCGTCCTCCAGACCCCAAAATGGTAGATCCACCAACAGCTTGCACCATGCCCCTGGAAAAGCTGCAGACACTAAATGCCAGCCTGTGAAAGCATCTGGGAGGGAGACTCTACCCTGCAAAGCCACATGGCGGAGCTGCCCAAGACCGTGGGAACTCACCTCTTGCATCAGGGTGACCTGGATGTGAGACCTGGAGTCAAAGGAGATCATTTTGGAGCTTTTAAATCCTCTGGATTTCAGACCTGCATGGGCCCTACAAATTTCTCCCATTTAGAACGGCTGTATTTACCCAATACCTGTATGCCCATTGTATCTAGGAAGTAACTAGCTTGCTTTTTATTTTATAGGCTCGTAGGGAGAAGGGACTTGCCTCGTCTCAGATAAGACTTTGGACTGTGGACTTTTGGGTTAACAATGAAATAAGTTAAGGCTTTGGTGGACTGTTGGGACAGCATGATTGATTTTGAAATGTGAGGACATGAGATTTGGAGAGGCCAGGGGCAGAATGACATGGTTTGGCTATGTGTCCCCACTCAAATCTCATCTTGAATTGTAACCATAATTTCCATGTGTTGTGGAAGGGACCCAGTGGGAGATAATTTGAATCATGGGGACAGGTTTCCCCATTCCATTCTCGTGGTAGTTAATAAGTCCCAAAAGATCTGATGGTTTCATCAAGGGCTTCCAGCTTCCACTTTTGTATCTGCCTCATTTTCTCTTGCCACCACCATGTAAGAAGTACCTTTTGCCTCCTGCCATGATTCTGAGGCCTCCCCAACCATGTGGAACTGTAAGTCCAGTTAAACCTCTTTTTCTTCCCAGTCTCAGGTATGAAAGCATAAAAATGGACTAATACAGAATCCTAGAAAAAAACCTAGGAAACGTCATTCTGAACATCAGCTTTGGGAAAGAATTTATGACTAAGTCCTCAAAAGCAATCGCAAGAACAACAAAAATTGGCAGCTTGATTCATTAAATTTTGTATCCAAAAAGTCTACAATCTCATCAATAGGATGAATAAACATAGTTTAATTAATACAACATTACTAACAATTTTGTAATGAATGATAGAATCATAGCAAGTCACCTCATCTTAGTCTTGCTCCCAAAACCAAAACTTTCCAATTTTTTACTGTTCTTTAGTAGGCTTCACCTCCATATTTCTAAGTAAAATATTTCTATTTATTTATTTATTTTTAATTTAGACGTTTTAAATTTTATTTACTGGTGTCACGTTGTAAGAAATGAAGATTATCTTTATTTCAACTTTGCCATGTATTTCTCCTCCAATTCCTTGGGTAATTAGATTCTAATTTTAACTGAATCATTAGTATGTGTTTATATTACTATGACTATATAAATACTGTACAGTAGAGGGCTAAATGATAAATTTCCTATATTTATCATGAGATTGACAATTTCCTCATTGTCATTTTGATATCTTTTTGTAACATTCTTAGTTATTCTTTATTCTCCTCCTTTAAAATTTACTGGTTTTTGTCAGATTCTTTCATATTCATTATTCTCAGATTTCTCTTGCCTGCTTGTCCCATTTCCCGAATCCTGTGTCTTCCCTCATTTTTGCTTCCTATTCGTTTGGTGAAGAGTGTTCCTTATTTCTTTCTAAGAAAAGAAAATCACAAATCTGAATCTTTAATTATCTAAAAATTTATCTAATTAATAAATTGGCTAAGTTAAAAATTCTAATTTTCTCTCAGAATTTTGAGGCCATTGCTCATAGGCCTCTTTTTTTTTTATTTCAATGCTACTTTTTATGATCCACATATTATTTTGTTTCTCATTTTAACCTAGGTACCTTTTATTCTGTCTTCCTGGAAGATGTTAGCATTTCTAGCATTCTAAAATATTGTAATAATACCATTTGGCGGTTCTTCCCCCTTTCCTTATATTACAGACAGCATTAAATAAGCCCTTTAAATTTAGATATAACTTCATATGAATCCTGTCAAATGTTCTTAAATTACTTCATTACTATTTGCTTCTCTCTGGATTATCTGTGATTCCTGAATCTCCCAAATTATTCTAATATTTGACCTCCTGGATTAGTTAAATACTTATACTTTTTTTCCTTCAAGAGCTCCTTGAACACTAGATTATTCTTGTACATTATTTCTGTTTTTATTGCCTAGTTTCTTTATTTTAAAGCTACACACAAAGAATTGCTGAACTACTTAGTTCCATCTTCCAAATTTCTTAGCAAGTTTAAAATTTATGTGTGTGTGTATGCATGCGTAAAATCTCTGTACCACCTGAATATAGGAAGTAATTTTCTGCTTTATATTCTTCTTCATTACTTCTTTTTTCTGCTGCATGGCGTCTGTTTAATTCTCCACTAGTTTTTCTTTTTAATAAAAATATTTTTATTTCTAAAAGTTACTTTTGACTACCTTTCTTAAATTTGTGTTATTTTTCACTATCATAAAAAACTCATATATCTGATTAATAGAATCTTATTAATCTGAATAGTCTCATTCAGATAGGTTTATTTTTTTAAGATTGTGGAGTATCAACCCACATTTTTAGTGAATACTAATGATGAATCCCCTCTATGCGCACATTGTATTTACTCATAGAGCTGTCCCTTCAGAGTAGTTTTACCATTTTCTTCTGCCAGAGCCGGTAGACTTATCATCAGCTCAGGGAAAATTCCTTAAAATCATCCTTTAAGATTTATAGCAGTTTATTTGACAAGCGTATGTACTTAGTTTCTCAGGAGAGTGTTTCCATTCTCTAACTAATATACTTTTTACATTTTATATTGTTTTTGTTCTCCTTTATTTCTTATGACATAGATATATATTTGTTCATTTGTTTGTTTTTAGTTACTTTCTGCACGCAAGAATGGCTGTTTTCTCCAAGTTTATTTTGTTATGGAATGGTTTTGGGTTTTTTGACACTTTCTTGTTAGATTATTCCCTAAAATACTGTGATATTTAGCTCTTGCTTAGTTCACTTTATATGGAAGAGTAAGACATGAAAACTTTGATCGAAAGTTTGTTTTCAGAGGAAACACCTGTCGGCTTTTAGTTCGTGGTGAGAGTGACCACCAGACACACTTAATGTATTTTTCCCCTGTGATTCCAGCTGTCTTTGTCTAGAGACAAATCTCTTGGCTGCTGCCATTCTTAATATAAAAAAATAGTATAGTGAGTGATTAGGTTCACTGTTCATCATGTAGAATTTTGCTTGTTATCAGAAAGTTTCCTTAGCCACAAATCAGACTTTTGCATTAAAGTATTAAGCCTGTTTGTGGCAAATCCTGTTTTATAGTCCCATTTTTCCATATATGCTGATGCCTTAAACTTTATTTTTACTAAAGATTCTTCGAAAGGGAAAAAAATTAAACACATATGGCCAAATTACCATCATTAATTAGAAGTCATATTCAGACATAATTAGAAATTATATTCCTTTTCAATCTTTGCACTAGGACACAAGCCAAAACCAGGAAGAGCTAAGGGAAACTTTCTGTATATACAGCTATAAATTACCACAGCTGTGGAATTAATAATAGATTTTCTCTATTCAAAGGAAGCTGTGCTGAAACAGGTACTATGTCTTTAATCCAAAAATATTTATTCTTTTCTTTCCATATTTACATGTTCCTATTTTTACCCCCTGATCTACTTCAGGTAAATGTAGGTACTATGATGGAGTTATTTAAGGAACATTTCTGTAATCATATTTCTGTAATATAATGTAAAGCCACATCATATAGGACACAACCCGTTTTTGAAGGTTAATATCACTTTGGAAATAATTTATCTTTTTATCTCTCATCACTTCCAGATTACCAGTTAAAGAAGGAATCAAATTTTTGAAGATAAATGCCTATTTAATGCCTATATAATACCTGCTATAAACATTATGATAGAATCACCTAATTCTCAGAAGCCAGTCTTGCAGACTTTCACAGAGACTCTTCCCTATAGTGAAAATATATTCACCTTCTTTAAGTACCCACAATTTTAGACATTATCATACTATTGGCAACTGGTAAAAGAATCAACACAGGTCACCCAAGTGAATCTGCTAGGTTTCTTCTGATCATTCAAATATTGCTACAAAGCTCTACCAGCAAATATTATATTTGAGAAAAAGTCATTAAAAAGTGGGATCAGATCTGGCATTCCATTTATTACATCAGTACTACCTTCTTCAATTTCTATACTTTATAAATAAATCTCTTAGCTCTTTTAAGGAGACAAATATTAAACATCAGTAATTCAATTCTATAATCATTTCTATTTTTGAATTCTATTGTTTACTAGTTTGGGCACACTTTTCACTTTATAATTTATAAATTATTCATAAGCTTTAAAATTAATTTAAAGAAACAATAAAATTTCAAAAATAGATGTCCTAAATTTTTTAATACACCTTAATGTTTACTAATCTTATAAACGCTACTCAATTGCCATAGAAAAACAGCTATGTGACAAGCTCACCTGTATAAAACCAGTTAATAATCAGAATCCATAATCAAAAACAAACCTTTCAAAAAATATAATGTGCATTTGGTAAAGCAGTAAAAAATAAATTAACAAATCCATGCCAAAATTAAATGGTGTTTTAGTTTTTTGTGTGTGATTTCTGTTGCTATTTTTATTGTTTTCTGGAGAGAGGGTCTCACTCCATCGCCCAGGCTGGAGTGCAGTGGTGTGATTACAGCTCACTGCAGCCTCAGTCTCCTGGGCTCAAGTGATCCTCTCACTTCAGCTTCCCAATTAGCTGGGCCTATAGGCAAATGACACCTGCCCGGCTAATTTTTGTATTTTTGATAGAGATGGGCTTTCATCATGTTGCCCAGGCTGTATTTTTTTTTAATTAATGGAATTCTTCTAAAGGGCTATATGTAAATAATTCTAAATTCTATATGTAGAATAATGTTTACAAAGTGTGATAGAACATTCCTTTCTTGGAAGCACATTCTTTTAGAATTGGTTTCAGAGCTTCTTGATGAACTCCTTGCTATGTAGTTGACCCTTCTGAAGATCTATCACTATGCTTCTATGAGCTGTGTAATAACAGTAATGGCAACTAGAGATTTGGTTTTATGACAAAGGACTACATAATGTGAAAGTTGTCAAGCTGCAGAAGGTGGAGGCTATAAAAAATAGGCTCAGATTAAAAACTCTATATATTCTCTTGGTAGAAAACTGCTGTATAATAAAGCAACTAGACTAAGATAAAAATATGCATTTCCATAAAAATATCATTATCATGACAAATGTATCATCTTTCTTGTCATCATACCATTTTGAGGAAAAGCTTGAAGAATCTATGACTCTGTAACTGAACTTTAACTGCATGGAAGAGTGATATTATGAAACCTGACGACTGACCCATATTCAATTCAATTTGATTCAGTTCAACAAATATTCACTGAGTGCCAAGTGCAAGGCATTGGACCAGTCACTTTCAGAAGCAGTCTGATGAAAAAGGTGTGCAGTGATAAATAAGGAGATGTCATTTCCTCCAATAGAGAAGATGTCTGACATACGTTTATGTATACAGCAATATGGAATGTTATGTATGTTGTAAAGGAAACAAAGGGTTTGGAGAGTGTTAAATTATGCATGCAAGATATATATCAATATAAAGTGAAAGAATTCATAGGTATGTTATTTACCTACCTAAGCACAATCTAGGAATTGGAATATTGGCTGTGATATTACTCGAAGAGCTATGCCAACTTACTACCTTCTGAAAATAGTAATAAATAAATAAATAATTGAAAATGATTAGCTGTGTTACACAGTAAGGCTCTCACATTATTTCGACGTTTTTCTAGTTTAACAGAGCTAGCGTGATTTAGAAAATCTTGATGTTACCATGGACATTTGTATAGGTTGTCATGGGAACAATTTTAAGTGGCACTTCATCCTAACTTAAAGGGTAAAATAAAGTTTTAAGAATGATATAGAGGATAATCTATGACCTAAAAAACACACGGGAGTTATCCAGAGAAATAACGCAAGGGAAAGCACCAGGTGGAGGTTGTTTAAAAACCAGAAACAAGCAAAATCATAAAACTTCCTGAAAACACCAACGCAACCCTGGATGGGGTAAAAGCATAAAGGTCTTAGTAAGGCTTGTTAAGTTTTAAGTGCATGAACATTTCATCAACGTGGGAGAATTTTAAGTGAGAAAAAGATATAATCAGATTTTTCTTTAAAATGAAACATTTATATTAACCAATATAATTATATAGTTCAAGAAATATTTAGCAATACATATTTAACAATACTATGAATAAAATATTTTTCACATTTATTGGTATTGGCATTTGAAAATTGACTATAATAGTTTTAGTCCAGAAATATTCAGATTGATAAAATGTAGTTGTGATCAAAACTCAATAGAAAGTGTATCAGTTTTATATATAAGCCTTTCCTAATTTCTATAAATATTGTAGCTGACTCTGTCCCCAAAATAAGAATTTGAACTTGGAGGGAAACCTACCGGATTTCTACTGGATAATCTGGTAGAATTCCTACTGGATAATCCTGAGGAATTCCTATTAAATAGGTAAAGATAGACATTTAAAATACCTAAAATAGATAAATTTAGGTATCTACTTTAAAGGTAAAATAGATATTTAGATTTTTAACTTTTCCCCAGAATGACAAAGGAATGAATAATGATTTGTGTCTGCCTTTCTACCAAATACTACTTGATTGATTCTCTCAAAAGATAAAAATGAGCTTTCTTCTCTTGTCTTCTCCTAAAGCAGAAAAAGGCTGACTCAGTTTTGGATTTTCCCTTTATTCCTCCCCAGTTGTTTTATTCTACCTCAATTTACCTCTCTTATCGTGTGAATATCTTCCACATTATTTTTTTAAAGGTTTACGTTTGAAGGACAAATTTGCTCTCTATGATTTTAGTAAACTTGGTCAATTATTAGAGCACTTTTGAGTATTTTAAGAATAAGTTAGATCACTTCATGCTCAAATGGATTGAAATTTCTAAATGTTATATACATTTTATTTTAAACTGACAATTTTATATATTTCCACCTATTTTTGTAATATATAACAAAGTCATAGTGAGATCTTTGCCACAACTAAATGCTGTTTTTTTAGTATAGATAAAGATTTCACTCTATTTAAATGCAAGCTCATAAGCTCAAATCCTAGTTGCTCTATTCTTATTATAAATTCTGCAAATTATTGTGATTTTAGACAACCCTCATGTATTTAATATCCCTGAACTGTACATTTAAAAATGGAACAAGATAGTAAATTTTACAATATGTGCATTTCATCACAATGAAAAAATAAAAAATACATATGTGTATACCATGAAGAAAAGACTCAATTATTTGCTTTAAGAATATATTATAGCTGCATATGCAAAAATAAGTGATTAAAAATTAAAACATTTATGTTCACATTCCTTTTATCTACACATCACCAAATAATTTCTCTTCTACTAAAATGATTTTATACATTATAAAGTCACATACTATCAAAAATGTAAATGTAGAGTTAGTTAGGATTAAGTTTTATAAATTGTACACAATAAAGTATGTAAATATTTATATCAATCAGGAGAGTAGTCAAAATATACAATGGTGCATTAAATGATGGTGAAGGTGGCACACTGTGTTCACCTCTCATATTTCCTAATGAAATGACTAAAAGTAAAGTGGCTCCAATAATTTCAAGGTTACACTACCTGTTCCAAATTTGGAAATTACTGTGGCAGATACTAAACCAAAATTTTTGGCAGAAGCATAGAGATCTCTTACTTAGATTTCTAGTAAGCTAGAATCTTTTCAAAGATCATAACATACATATGATCAAACCCCCATAGTTACATAAAATAAATGATATTACCTATTTATTTGATTCTAGTATGTACAAATAATAGCAGTGTTGAGTTCTCTGTGGTTTCTATTTATTTCCTCTAGAGAGTAGCTGCTGATTCTAGTAATTTCAAATAAGTAGAGTCATTTTGACAGGACTACACTCATTAGGGTGCTCTACTGCTTACAACACTGATTATGCCAATCTGTTTTGAGATGCACGGGAAAGAAGAGAACTTTGAATTTAGCCAATGTCACTACACAGGAGCAATTTCAATTAGAGTATGGTCAACTATTATAAAATTGTAAGGATTAAATATTCATGTTACCTTAATGCAGTTTATGCTTTATAAAATTCTATTCCTTTAACTTCAGGAAATTAATGTACTATACCTAGTTAATGAATGTTATGAAAAACATGAAATGTAAATAATAAATTGAAATTTAATAACCTTTCAATAAGCTCTCCTGCCATTTAAACACACACAGTTAGGCCAGGCACGGTGGCTCATGCCTGTAATCCCAGCACTTTAGGATGCTGAGGTGGGTGGGTCACATGAGACCAGGAGTTTGAGACCAGGAGTTTGAGACCAGTCTGGGCACAATGGTGAAACCCTATCTCTACTGAAAATACAAAAATTAGCCGTGTGTGGTGGTGCATGTCTGTACTCCCAGCTACTCAGGAAGCTGAGGCATGAGAAGCACTTGAACCCAGGAGGCAGAGGTTGCAGTGAGCCGAGATTGTTCCATCACACTTTAGCCTGGGCAACAGGGAGGGACTCTGTCTCAAAATTAATAAGTAAATACATCTAGTTTGTCAGATCCTAATTCTTACATAGATATTACTTCTTATACATATATGTAAATGTTTACATTATTTAGAGTGATAACCTGTGCTTCCTTTTTGGCTGCTTTTTGACTAAAATAAAAATTATTATTGATATTTATAGTTCAAATGTTTGCATATGTTCACAAAACATCAAACATCAAGTTTTATGAAGGAAACTATAAAAAGTTTTTTTCTGGCCGGGCGCGGTGGCTCACGCCTGTAATCCCAGCACTTTGGGAGGCCGAGGCGGGCGGATCACGAGGTCAGGAGATCGAGACCATCCTGGCTAACACGGTGAAACCCCGTCTCTACTAAAAATACAAAAAATTAGCCGGGCGTGGTGGCGGGCGCCTGTAGTCCCAGCTACTCGGGAGGCTGAGGCAGGTGAATGGCGTGAACCCGGGAGGCGGAGCTTGCAGTGAGCCGAGATCGCGCCACTGCACTCCAGCCTGGGTGACAGAGCGAGACTCCGTCTCAAAAAAAAAAAAAAAAAAAAAAAGTTTCTTTCTGTACCTTTATTGGTTTAGTTTTAAATGTTAAATGGTAGTTGAAAATTATATGTTAGAAATTACCTAATTTACAAATACTTCATTACACTGGAAAAGCCCACAACAACATCTTTTATGTTCTAGTGTTTCTACTATATAGGAATTTGAGAAGCCATACTATAATATATTTCTAGCACTTTCTGTAACTTGAATAAAGATAACCAATTCAAACTAGTTATGAGTGTCTTGTTTAAAATTTACTATTCTTTTTATTATGGAAATAACAGAGTTAAAGGAAGTCTCTGTATACACACACACAAACACAAATGTAAATTGCTTATATTAAAATTTTATTGACTATCATTTCATATGAAAAATTAATAAAATAGAATACAAACTATTCAGTTAATACATTTAAGCCAGAGGATTGTAGTATCTACTTTGTCTTACTTCTAATATAGAAACATAATATGCTGAACTATGTATAGCCATGTATATCTATCACCCTTGAACTCTATTTCTTTAATTTTTTGCTTGATTTTTTAAAATGAATTTGACTGGTAAACATTAACTTAATTGACATTTGGCTGATCTGTATAAATGCCAGCAGTCTTTTATATAGGAGAAGAACCTACAGAACTAAGGAAAGTGGTCAGGATTATTTATTGTGCTTTGCATCAGTGTATATACCTTGAGGTGCTACTATTTAATGTGATATATTGCTTCAAATTGCTGCCTAAATATGTAGTGCAAAAGAGTACACTAGCCTAAAAAGATCTATCGACATATCATAGAAAGTATTATATTAGTAAATGTTTTGGGGAAGACTTTATTACACGTAATATAACATAGTATAGCTATCACATAAAGAATTTATTTTAAAGGCATTCAAATTTGATCATTTCATAATAATTTGCTAAGAAATAGGAGGAAGAGAATTAGAAGAACACTGGTTAGACTACTAAAATATTCTCTCTATAGTCAATTAAACATACATTACTTGTTAATTAGCTTTTTGTCAGAGTGTAATTTTATGATAGGATTTTCAGACTATTTTTCAATCAAAGATCACTGACAGAACTCAAATTGTTTGATCAAAAATTTGGCACTTTGTACATGAATGACCTGGCCTTAAGTATTACTAAAAGGTTTAGGATAACTCAGTACATGTAAGAATTCTAGAAAGGTGCTAAAATATTTAATTCATCCCCAAAGAGTTTATTTTTATATGAAGTTTCCATAAGCATATAATGATAAGGAATATGAACTTGGTATTTTTTTAACTATTTTAACTTTACAACAATGAAAACAAATTAGAAAATTATAACAATTTTAAACTTCATTATTTATATTCTTTTAGTGCCATTGAATGTGGAATGTCATTTAAATTCATGTTGAGCATTATTACCTGAGCAGCAGATTTGTAGATGCTCGTATCATGCAGATATATTCTATCTGCTCCATTTATTAAAACAGGGACTGGAGTACTGAGAATTGTAAAATAAATGTTTATTCTAAAACTGACACACTAGTTCTGTCCTTATTGGGAAGGTGCTTTGACATGGGAAATGTCTCTGGAAAGAACCTGCCTCACTTCCTGCTAGGATTGAGGGACTTACATAGGAATCTGTTCTCTGCTTTATGGCATGTGAGAAGATCCCACAAAATGTGGAGTATGGGACTAAAGGACACTCAGCCTAAGAAACATTTTAGTGACTGGCATGGGTAATTTTCCAGGATTCTTGGCAAAACCAAGTAAGTATTTTTAAAAAGAAATAATGTCACATATGGATGGGTAATTTTCATAGAGATGATTAATTAGCTTTTATGTAGAAGGAGCAAAATAGGATCCAAGAGTTTCAGAATTTATAAATGTATGTTAGCAATAATTAAGAGTAAATTGAGTCAAGGCTGTGAAATCCAGATGGCTGTACAATCACTCCTTGAAATTGTTCATAAAATTTTCTATTCTTTTTAATGATCTGAAGAACTGCTTTCAGAAAGCACATGGGGAAGATGACAATGACACTCAATCTTATAATCTGCTTTAATTTAACCTTGAATTCTAAGATGTTCCTCGCTGTTCTGACATGGAGAGTAGATCAAATTATTTGTTGTCAGTGACATATCAAGTCACTTAAACCTAGTGACAGGAATATGGTTTAAAAGACCCAGCAGCTAAGAAAGCAAACAAGTTCATTCAAAAAACAAGTGCCTACTAAAAAATGACAGCCATTATCTATTTCTATTGAAAATAATGATAACTAAATACTATTCCACAAATTTACCTATTTATGATTTTCAAATGGTAAATAACAAAAGAAGTTTTGGAAATTATTTTGTGAAAAGTCACTTTTCCTTTCATCACCGTTCCTTAGTCTCCCAGCTGTCTCTCCCAGAAGCAACTCTATCTTATTCATCCCCTTTCTTCTATATCTTTTTAGATACATTCTCAGCACAGACATGCAGATAACATTAAAAAGGTGTGTGTATCACCTGAGGTCAGGAGTTCGAGACCAGCCTGGCCAACATGGTGAAACCCAGTCTCTACTAAAAATACAAAAATTGGCTGGTCATAGTAGTACATGCCTGTAATCCCAGCTACTCGGGAGGCTGAGGCAGGAGAATTGCTTGAACCTGGGAGGCAGAGGTTGCAGTGAGCTGAGATTACACCACTGCACTCCAGCCTGGGTGGCAGAGTGAGACTGTCTCAAAAAAAAAAGAAGTAACAATACCAAAAAGAAAATCATTTATCAAAAATCAGTAAACGTTTTTTAAAGTAGAAAGTTTAGGTTGTCCTTCAAAATTTATATTATAAAACTCTCTTCTCCCTAAACCTGCGATATTGTAACTGGAACATCACAAATGGGGCTAGCATATTTATAACTTAAATGGCACCTAAAGTACCTACAAAAGAAATTCCACAGAAAGAAATTATATACACATTTTTCATTCCCCATTGTCTTCTTCCTTCTTTTCACTTTTCTCATCTTATTTTTCTCTCTAATGTTCTTGATCTTTTTCCCCAACACTGTATTTTGTCGTCTCCATCTTTATTCTTTTTCCATGTTTTAAAATTTTTTCTTCTTTTCTACTTTCTTTCCTTTCCTTTCCTCACTTCACAAATTTGTTCATGTTTTCCAGAAAATTCTCACAACACTACCACTTTGTTCTGTTACAACAGTTAGTCTGACATTGTGTATCTTTGAGTTTATATTGCCTTCAGTGGCTAACATTAGAGGTGAGGCTAAGAGGATGGAAGGTAGTTCCCTCAAATACTGAGATTCTGTGCTTCCCTCCAGTGATTTTCAGAGCAAATTCATGATAGTTAATATGTTTACCAGCTATACATTGTTAATGTGTGATAGTTTGTTAATTGTGTCACTTCTGTCTGGAATTACTTTTTGTCTCTCTTACTGCTCTAAAAGTTTATAAATTTTTAGATCTATTAGGATTAAAATATGAGTGTTAGATACAAACAGCGTAGGTTTGAATACTGACTAACTTCTCTACTAATGGGGTCCCCTTAACAAAGTCAATTCATTTTATTGTGCCTCAGTTTTAACACGTAAAATAAAACATAACATAATACTGTAGAGGTGTTACAGGATCCTTGGGGTGTCACTTCATCAGAGATAACATAATACTGTAGAGGTGTTACAGGATCCTTGGGGTGTCACTTCATCAGCCAGAAACCTCTGTCTCCAGTGTTGCCTTTGCCTGAGTTTTGCTCAGGCCTGCTGGGCCCACTTGGCCTGGCAGGCTGTGCTCGGCTTGTGCTACTGATCTGGATCCCATGCCTGCCAAGGGTGAGCAGAGTGGTGAGGGATATGTAAGCAAGTGACCATGGGGTGTAGCCACTATGCACAGCCAGGCACACTGGGTGTGGTGGGTTGGGCAGCTCCAGGCACCAGCACTGGACACTGGCTCCCTGTGAGGCTGTGGCTGGACCAGGTGTCCTGCAAGCAGCTCCCACAGATGGCACTGGGAAATGTGGTAATTCCTGGAAGCTTGAAGATGCCAAGAATTGCAGAGCCCCAAAAAGGATGTCACAGCCCTGGCTCAGGGCTCCTAGGTCTAGGCTCCTGGAAGGGCTACAACTCTTCTCTCCTTCTTGTCACCTACATTGTGGCAAGCAAGGGGTGTGCTTCAGCCCTGTTTATGTTACAGCTCTTTCAGCTCTGCCATTCAGTGGGTCCCAATGTCTTGTCCCGTGCCCGAGAAGAAGGAGGTACACAGACAAATGGAGGGTGACCAAGGCCAAAAGGAGCTTTATTGAGTGATAGAACAGCTCAGAGATCTGCAGTGGGTGTGTAGCTCCTTTCTGCAGCTAGCATATGTCAGCGAGTGTTAGCTTTCAGCAGAGAGGAGACCCTGGAGTGAGTAGTTCCTCTCTGCAGCTGGTCGTCTGGTTGTCTCACGTCTCGCTGAGTCCGGGGATTTTATGGGCTTCAGAAGGGAGGAAGGGCATGCTGATTGGTATATGGGTGGCCATTGGCAGGCCCCAATATAGCACCGTAAGTCCCCACTCCAGTCCACAGGACTGGCGGCCTAGACCCCAGGCTTCAGGCCTTCCTCGGTTTGAAGGTGGGACTTCATCAGTAACCCTCACCTTTCCCCACAGAAGCCTGTCTGCGTCTTGCCACCATTCATAGCATGCAGGCTGTTCGTGCCAAGGGGCACTTGCAGGCCAGTGCTGAGTTGCCCTCAGTAGCCCCTCAGCCTTCCTCCCATGCTCATCAGCCCCCAATGTCAAAAAGGGTCCAACACGGCAGGGCACTGGTGTATCCGGACTGCCTTGAGGGTGTGCACAGCTGGCTAGATTGTGACAGTGCCCAGGCTTGGCCTCAACTTTGCCCCAAGATTGGAGCAGGTGCCAGTAGCAGGGAAAGGCCAGGCAGCAGTAGCAGACACTTTTAAGCCTGCTGAGCAGTGCTGGGAATGGGGAGAGGTCAGGCAGTGGGAGCAGGTACTTCTGAGCTTGCAGGGGTAGGGGGACCTTCCTAGGCCCCCGAGAGTTCAGAGATGGCTGGGTCCATAGCTGCAGCTTGGGCAGACACAGTTGCACCCAGGGAGTGTGAGGCTCCCACCCTGCCAACTCGGAAGGGGGCAAGGCTTCTGCCTGTTTCTGGTTCCTGCCAGCTCTGGGAAGCACGTGCCCCAGCCACACTTCCCCCACCGCAGCTGGCATCAAGGCAGTGGCCACTCCAGGCAGGCCACCACTGGCATCAGAGGCAGTGTAGAATATAGGGTTAGAAGATACACTTCACCAGAATTCTTGGGTTCTAGTTCTGGCATTAGCACTTACTCTTTTCATGGTTCTTAACAAGGTCTTTGATCTCTCTATGCTTCAGCTTTCTGCCTGAAAAATGTGAACAATGGAGTACCAGTGTAATCATAGGAATACAGTGAGATTATATTATGTAACATACATGACATACTTAGAAGAGTGTTTGGCACAAGGTAAACACTAAAAAAATATGTTTTACTTTCCCTCTAAGTGATAATGTGAACCCCAGAAAGACTGCAGTTTTTAACCTATTTATCCATCCCTGTATCCAGTTGTTCCCTGAACACTGTCTGGCTCAGTACTATTCAGGTAACATTTAAATGTCACAGGTGAAATTAAACACTAAGTGGTATATATGAGGAGGCTGAAACAGAGCTCTAACTTACACTGCTTTTTTCATAAATAAATTCCATTTTATACAAAATCGATTTATTAACAAATGAGTTTGCTACTAGCACATACAGGCATTTTTGTGCAAACTGGATAAAAGGGAGCTTCTTTCTTCAGGATGAAGCAGCAATGAGCCAGGGAATATGGCTTGATGGGAAGAATATCTCTGTAATCTAAGAACAATCTTAATGCCCTTGTCAGACCCTTCTCAATGAAAACCACTGAATGTTGAAGAATATTGTTAAATCATGCAGAGATTTAGAGAAAAGATGGTCAACTGTTAATAAAGCCAGTGTCTAAATTAAGATTAATAATTTTAAATTGACATTTTCTAAAACTACCACTTCTTGATTTTCTTCTTTAAATAAACAGATTATTTCAAGATAGAAACAAGATAAACATAAGAAGCTGCATATGTAGAGTGTGTGTATGTGTGTGTGTGTGTGTGTGTGGTTTGGGCTAGAGGGGGGGAGAGTAATACACTTATTACCATCTATGTGTCCACTGATATTTGGACATTGTTGTTTTAAAAAATAGCTTTAGGGCTGGGTGCAGTGGTTTTTGCCTGTAATCTCAACACTTTGGGAGGCTGAGGCGGGTGGATCATGAGATCAGGAGATCGAGACCATCCTGGCTAACACAGTGAAACCCTGTCTCTAACAAAAAAACAAAAAATTAGCCAGGCATGGTGGCACACACCTGTAGTCCCAGCTACTTGGGAGGCTGAGGCAGGAGAATTGCTTGAACCCAGGAGGCAGAGGTTGCAGTGAGCCAAGGTCGTGCCACTGCACTCCAGCCTGGGTGATAGAGCAAGACTCTGTCTCAAAAACATAATAATTGTAAAAATAAAAATAGCTTTAGGTATTTCCTTTTTTAAATCTGGTAGAGCAGCTAAATCTTCCATTTCATATCAAATGTCTGAAAAAAATCAGTTTATAAATAAATTTATAAAATTAAAATTTTACTGTTTATTTTATTTATTTTATTTTAATTACTTATCTTTTCTAACTCAAGTTCCACACTTTTTTTTGCCACTTCTGTTTTCCACAACCCTAAAAGGAAGGGATATTCTTTACCCTGATCCCTTCTCTTTACAGAGTCTGCTTTGAAGTATCTTCCTCATACTCTTTGACCAATAGTTCCTACTTGTAATAGATTCAGCTACATTATTAGTGTTTCTTGATTATGACAATTTGCAAACTTTTCTCTTTGCGGCCATTATTTCCTATAATAAATATCTTATTAAATCTATTATAAGTCCAGAATGGTGGTGTGTTCCTGTAGTCCCAGCAACACAGGAGGCTGAGGTGGGAGAATGGCTTGAGCCCAAGAGTTTGAGACTGTAGTGCACTATGATCATGCCACTGCACTCCAGCCTGGGCAACAGAGCAAGACTCTATTTCTTAAAAAAATTAAAAATAAATAAATATAATTGTTTACAGTGATAACCTTAGAAAATTTAAATAATTATGTTGAGTACACATGATATTTGCAAGATAAAAATTTAACAAAGTTGCTACTTTGCCAATTCTAATACTTGTTTAGAAAGTGTGTCTGAATTGACAAAGAAACTGTAAATAAAGATTAAATTTGTATTAGAGGTAATTCATTAGAGTTAAGAGGCAAATGCATTAAGCAAAGCTCTTATGTATGAGATATTTGAGCTGGTTGCGTGTAAGAAATGAGGATTGAGGAGAGATTTACATATGAAGCTCATACCAGCTAGAATAGTTCTGACCATGACATCTTTTTCGTCTAAGGTTCTAGGTCACTACAAATGCAGCTGGTGCATTTCTATTGTATTGCTATGAAACATTACACTTATAAATATTATATTTGTATATGGTTAAGAAATAATTCTAGGTCACCTCTGTTCATGTCCTAATATAGATGAATGGGCAAGAATTAAAACAACCAAATACAAAATGGGACAGCTACTTTGACAAACAGTTTGGTGGTTTCTTACAAAACTAAACATACTCTTTCCATGTGATCGAGCAACCACACTCCTTGGTATTTATTCAAAGGAGTTTAAAACTTAGGTCCACAAAAACCTGCATATAGGTGTTTACAGAAGGCTTATTCATAATTGCCAAAACTTGGAAGCAACCATTGTGACCTGGAGTAGGTGAATAAATAGGATCCATCCAGATAATGAAATATTATTCAGTGATAAAAAGCAGTAAGCAGTCAAACCGTGAAATGACACATAGGAAACTTAAATGCATATTACTAAGTGTAAGTAAAACTCTGGAAAGACTATATACTGTACAATTCCAGCTATATGATATTGTTTGTCTCTGGAAAGGCAAAACTATAGATACAGTGAAAAGATCAGTAATTTCCGGGGCTTCACAGAGAGAGAGAGATGAATAGACAAAGCACAAAGGTGTTTAGGGCAGGAAAACTATTTTGCAAGTTACTACAATAGTGGATACATTATAGTCTAAACTGTTATACATTTGTCCAAACCCATAGACTATATTAACTTTAAAAGCAATAAATTATTAAAATGCCCATACTCTCCAAAGTGATCTACATAATTAATAGTTTCTATCAAATACCATTGATGGTCTTATTAGCAATAGAATAAAACAATTTTAAAGTTTAAATAACTTTAAAAGCAAAATTATAAACATTGAATGGTTAAAGTTTCAATAAATCACAAATCTAGGCATGTTATTATCAGTAAAAGGAATATGTTAGATAAAAGTTTCTCACATACATGTGAGAAACAAGAAGCATTAAAAAAGTGTATAGGAACCATAAAGTTGAAAAATAAAGCAAAAAGAAAAAGTATTCATGTCGGACACAGTGGCTCACGCCTGTAATCCCAGCACTTTGGGAGGCCGAGGCGGGCAGATCACCTGAGGTCGGGAGTTCGAAACCAGCCTGGGCAACATGGCGAAACCTCTTCTCTACTAAAAACACAAAAAATTAGCTGGGTGTGGTGGCACTCACCTGTAATCCCAGCTACTCAGGAGGTTGAGGCAGGAGAATCACAAGGCGGAGGTTGCAGTGAGCGGAGATCATGTCACTGCACTCCAGCCTGGCAGCAGAGAGAGACTCTGTCTCAAAAAAAAAAAAAAGAAAAAGAAAAAGAAAAAGTATGCAAGTGAGAATATGACAGTTTTTAGACATCTAGAAAAATCTTGTTTCTTTCACTATTCTTGCATCAGTAAAACAGCTTCTGGGGATGTCTATTTATGGAGATTTTCTGATAAACCTTCGTTTAATATATTTAATAGGTTTAACTTCTCAATCTTATCATTTGAATATGGCTGTTTTGTTGAGTAGGACATATCCAAAGATCAATTCCTTTTTATTTTACTCTTGATAGGAACATCAATAATACTTGATAAGTTCGTTTTTGGTGATTGCTGTATGTTGAAACCTAATCCTCATAGCGGTCATATTATCAGCCGTGGGCCTTTAGGAGGTTATTGGATCATGAAGGTGGAGCCCTTGTGAATAGAATTAGTGCCCTCATAAAGGAGAACCAAGGGAGTTTGTTTACCCCTTCTGCCGTGTGAGGATGCAATAAGAGCACACATTGTATGAGGAACAGGCACTCACTACATACTTTATCTCCTGGCACTTAGACCTTGAACTTCCCTTCCTCAGGAAGTGTAAGAAATATATTCTATTGTTTACAAATTACCTAGTTTATAGTCTTTTGTAACAGCAGCCCAGACAGACAAAGGTCCTGATATTGAAAGGCTCAGACCTCTCCTGTTGTCTGTGCTAGGATACAAAATTACCCAGTTTTAATTTATTTAGGGGTACATTGGTTGGTTGGTGAGGATAGGCAGTCTGTAGTTCCTGATGGTGAAATGGAAAGTACTGAGTGTTATGTAGGTGAAAATATTTCATGTAATATGGCTGTTGTCAGTCACTCACAGTCTGACTTTCTAAGGAGAAAAAGTATAGGTTCGGTACAGCTGAGGGAAGAATTGTAGGCCATAAGAGATGTAAGAAGACTGTTAATTTAATTAAATATAATTTTAAATTTTCTTTTTATCTGTTGAAACTTTCCAAAGATTATGGGAGATAAGGCAGTCTTTTACCGACTTGAATGTGATTTTAGACTTATAAACCCTACATATTTTTTCTTCTTTCTGTTGACCTCTTTCATAATTTGGCAGGTTCTTATGAAATTAAACAGTCTCAGCACCATGAGTTATTGACTGGGAAAGGACACGACGGAAGATTTTGGAGTGATGGTTTTTATATCTTGATTGTGATGATGAATATGTGAGAATGTACAAGAATGTATAAATTTGTAAAAAAATCCATAGAATATATACTTAAAATAGATGCATTTTATTATAATTAAATTATACATCAATACAGTTTATTATATTAAATGGTGCTTTGAGAGTCAACTAAAACTTTTTTCCATGTTTTCCAAGGATCAATAAAAGATTGAAATTGATACCCCAGAAGCAGTCATGTTTGGTCTAAGCTACATTGTTCACAGAATGATTTTTTTTATCTTTAGAATCTTTCACCTTGGAACTGCATATGAAACATTAGGAAGAGGAAAAATTAGCGCCATGTTTGCTAGGCTAACTCTTGGCTATTATAAAGTGTCTTGCACTATAGAATGGTAAGTGTTGTGAAAACATTGGCAGAGAGAAAATTTTAATATGCGATTTATAAATTGTTAGACATTTTATTATAACATCTTCATAACTCACATCATGTGTGGAGAATGCAGTCTGGGCTAATGGTCATTTCAGCAGAGATTGGGATTGTAATGAGTACAAAATCAAGATGAGGAATCTCTTATATTTTTTAGTTTGACTTAGAAGAACATATACATGTTAGTAAGGAAATTGCAAGGAAGTAAATTCAAAATAAATCATGCAGCTTTTAGATAGTAACATTATTTTAAGTTGTAGAAATCTTTTGACTACATTAAACTACTTCTATTAATGATTTATAGATTGAACAAATAACTTTAATTTTAGGCAGACACAGGTTCTGTATTAGAGTTCTCTAGAAAAACAGAAACAATACAATCTGTATCTATCTATCTATCTATCTATCTATCTATCTATCATCTATCTACTATCTATCTATCTACCTATCTATAGTCTATCTATAGAGATATTTATTATTAAAAATGCCTCATTGGATTATGGAGACTTAGAAATTCTACCAATTGCAAGCCAGAGTATCAGGAAAGCAGGTGATGTAATTCAATGAGTCCAAAGACCTGAGAACCTGGGAAGTCAATGGTGTAACCCTCAGTCTGAAGCCAAAGGCTTGAGAATAGCGAGGCTGGGGAGAGTGAGGTAGAGAACCAGCTCTGATGTCCAAAGCAGGACAAGACAAATGTCTCAGCTGAAGATTAATGTCTGAGCTCAAAATTCACCCTTTTCTACTTTTATGTCCTATTCAGGCCCTGAAGGAATTGGATGAAGCCCACTCACCTTGGTGAGGGCATAGCTTTTTACTCAGTCCACTAATTCAAAGGCTAATGTCTTCTGAAAACACCCTCATAGGTAGATCCAGAAAGAATGTCTTATCAGCTATCTGAGCATCCCTTAGCTCAGTCAAATTGACACAAAAAATTAACTACCATAGTTCCTACACTTATGAAGCAGACACTCTAAAGGAGAGACATAGGAAGTTAATTATGCTATAATTAAAATTTGTGACAAATGCTGATAAAGAAAAAATAAAGTGCTAAGAGAATATATTACAGAAAAATTGGACATTGATTGAGAATCTCTCCTAAAGAGGTAACTTTTAAGCTAAGCAATAAATTTTATGTATGGATGTATAAACTGCTTTTCAGCATACAATATGAACTGCAAATATGCCAATTTTGCCAGAAGATGACTTTTTTTAAGAATCGTGCACATTGAATGTTTATTTAGCACCTACTCTTATTTGAATAGGCATTTATTACATTGCACTGAATTTTAAGATGACTTCAAATGATATTTTTGGCTGAATTATAACTTCCTTATGTGTACTATTTTGATAAGTGATGATATTTTAGAGAAGGGGTGACACTAGGAACACTATTTTGAAAAACTTATTCAAAAAAACAAGTTAAAATGGAATTTTAAAAATTTATTTTATATCAATAGCAATACTGTATTACTAAACACATTTTACAATCAATTAATCTTGAATAAAATCAACTAATAACATGTTTTATGCATATATTGTATCCATTTCCTATATTAAAACAAAAATATATTTTCATGGAAGCTTTTTGAAAATATTGTAAACTTTTCATGTTGATGTGCCATGGATCTAGCTTGTTTCAATGTTGTTGTCTTCTCGGAAATGTGTAGAAGAAAGGCAGTGGATTTAGTATTAATTAATCTGTGACATCACAAACATATCATAATTTTATAACATTATCTTCATAACCTTTATCTTGTGTGGACAGTCCATTCTGAGCTAGCAATTGTTTCAGCAGAGATTTTGTTTCAGCAGAGTTTGGGATTATGTAAAGAACATGATCAAGAGGAGGAATCACTTACAATATTTTTCAATTTGATTCAGAAGAACGTATGAATGCTAGTAAGGAAATCAGAAGGAAGTAAACTCTGGACCCAAATGTTCATATTTCATTAAGTCCCCCGAATAAATTTTTAAAAGTAAATTTTCCCCTTCTTATATATTAAACTAAAATAATAAAGCTTGAAGTTATATTTGCAATATTGTTAGGGTTTATGTGGAGTATGGAATGTTTCAGTAATACAATAATAATTACAATAACTATTTTATTAACAAGTAACAGATAATAATCATCATATTGTCTACTGTATTTGTTAATCTTCAAATCTTTATCTAGAACTTGTGTTTTCTAAGTTCAAGGCCTTTTTGTCTAGTATAGTGTTTGTCACATAGTAGGTGATAGGTAAATGTTTGTTTCTTCCATTTCTTTTCTTAGAAAATTCTTTGCAGGCTCATACTAATCAGCAAATATGCTTCTGAAGAATTACTGTATTAGTCTGTTTTCACAGTACAAGATGGAGTCTCGCTCTGTCACCCAGGCTGGAGTGCAGTGGCATGATCATGGCTCACTGCAGCCACCACCTCCCAGGTTCAGGTGATTCTCCTGCCTCAGCCTCCTGAGTAGCTGGGACTACAGGCATGCACCACCACGCCCAGTTAATGTTTGCGTAGAGACAAGGTTTCACCGTGCTGGCCAGGCTGGTGTCGAACTCCTGACCTCAAGTGGTCTGCCTGCCTTGGCCTCCCAGAGTGCTGAGATTATAGGCATGAGCCATCATGCCTGGCTAGGAAAGAGGTTTAATTGACTTATAGTTTCACATGGCTGGGGAGGCCTCAGGAAGCTTACAATCATGGTGGAAGACCAAAGAGAGGCAAGTACCTTCTGTACAAAGCTCCAGGAAAAAGAGTGTGTGAAGGAACTATGAAACACTTATAAAACATGAGATCTCATGAGAATTCACTCACTATCACGAGAACAGCATGGGGGAACCACCCCCATGATCCAATCATCCCCCACCAGGTCCCTCTCTTGATACATGGGGATTATGAGTTTACAAGTAGAGATGAAATTTGGGTGGGGACACAGAGCAAGACCGTATCATTCTGACCCTGGCCCCTCTAATATCTCATGTCTTTTTTACATTTCAAAACCAATCATGCCTTCCCAATAGTCCCCCAAAGTCTTAACTCACTCTAGCATTAACCCAAAAGTCCAAGTCCAATGTCTCATGTGATACAAGGCAAGTCCTTTCTCCTAGGAGCCTGTAAAATCAAAAGCAAGTTAGTTACTTCCAAGATATAATGGCATTGGATAATATGGGCACTGGATACATGGCATTGGATAATATAGGCATTGGATAATACAGGTATATAGGCATTGGATAAATGCTCCCATTCCAAATGGGAGAAATTGGCCAAAACAAAGCTGCTGCAGGTCCTATGCAAGTTCAGAATCCAGAGGGGCAGCCATTAAATCTTAAAGCTCCGAAATGATCTCCTTTGACTCCTTATCTCACTTCCAGGGCATGCTGATGCAAGGTGTGGGCTCCCACAGCCTTGGGCAGCCCTTTCACAGACTGGCGTTGAGTGCCTGTTACTTTTCCAGGGGCATGGTTCAAGCTGTCAGTGGATCTACCATTTTAGGGTCTGCAGGACAGTGGCACTATTCTTACATCTCCACCAGGCAGTGCCCTAGCGAGGATTCTGTGTAAGGGCTCCAACCCCACATTGCCTTTCCTCACTGCCCTAGCAGAGGTTCTCCATGAGAACTCTGCCCCTGCAGCAGACCTCTGCCTGGATATCCAGGCATTTTCATATATCCTCTGAAATCTAGGCAGAGGTTCTCAAACCTCAGTTCTTGACTTCTGCACACCCATAGACCCGACACCACGTGGCAGTTGTCAAGGCTTGGGGATTGCATCCTCTGAAGCAATGTCTGGAGCTGTACCTTGGCCTCTTTTAGCCATGTCTGGAGCTGCAGTGGCTGGGACACAGGGAACTGAGTTCTGAACAAAGCAGCTGGGTCCTGAGCCAGGCCCAGGACAAAATTTTTCCCTTCTAACCTCTGGGCCTGTGATGGGAAGGGCTGCTGTGAAGGTCTCTGACCTGCCCTGGAGACCTTTTCCCTATTGTCTTGCATATTAACATTCAACTCCTTTTTGCTGATGCAAATTTATGCAGCAAGCTTGAATTTCTCCCCAGAAAATATATATATTTTTTTCTACCACATTGTCAGGCTGCAATTTTCTGAACTTTCATGCTGTGCTTCATTTTTAAACGTAAGTTTCAATTTCAGATTATCCCTCTCAAGTTTAAAGTTCCGCAGATCTCTAGGGCAGGGACAAAATGCCACCAGTCTCTTTGCTGAAGTGTAGCAAGAGTGACCTTTGCTCCAGTTACCAATAAGTTTCTCATGTCCATCTGAGACTACCTCAGCCTGGACTTCATTGTCCATATTACTATCAGCAGTTTGGTCAAAACAATTCAACAAGTCTCTAGGAAACTCCAAACTTTTTCATATCTTCCCGTCTTCTGAGTTCTCCAAACTGTTCCAACTGGTGCCTGATCCCCAGTTCCAAAGTTGCTTCCACATTTTCAGGTTATCTTTAGAGCAGTGCCTCACTCTCTACAGTATCAATTTACTGTATTAGTCCATTTTTACACTGCTATAAAGATACTTACTATCTGATACTGGGTAATTCATAAAGGAAAGACATTTAATTGACTCACAGTTCCACATGGCTGGGGAGGCCTCCAGAAACTTACGCTCATTGGGGAAGTCCAAGGAGAAACAAGTGCTTTCTTCCCAAGCTGGCAGGAAAGACAGCGTGTGAAGGAGGAACTGTCAAACACTTATAAAACCATCATATCTCGTGAGAACTCATTCTCTCAAAAGAACAGCATGAAGAAAACTATCCCCATGGTCCAATCACCTCCTACCTTGTCCCTCTCTTGACACGTGGAGGTTATGGGGATTACACTTTGAGATGAGATTTGGGTGGGGACATGGAGCCAGACCATATCAAATACATTTAAATTTTAACAAAATACGATATAAAGCAGTATTTCAGTTATTAGAAACTGGAATAAATTATTCCCTGAATACTTACGGGGAAAAGAAACAAAGAAAAAGGTGTTGGAAGAGCAAGACAAAAGAAAATAAAGAGATCATTTTAATATACTAGTATTCAATTTTCATGCACAGCATATGCCTCACCATTATGCAAGAAATACCAGCAGTAATACATGCAAACATACCCACATTTCATGTTGTATCCCACTAGTTTTTTCCTAATGTGATCTGGATATTATTTTAAATTAATTTCATTGGAGTGAAAACATAGGACAGTGAAAGGGAAGAATTGTGTGATGGTTTTTAGTCTTTAACCACTATTAAAAACAGAAAATTGTAGAACTAATATTTGAAAAAGCATTCTGTAAATTGTGATAGATTACATCATTATTATTTCCTCCTTTATAAATTTATAATTTCATAATATGGCATTCAAAAATTTAAGACATTTCAGACAGAACTATATCTATATCATCATTCAGTACATTATGCAATATTTTCAAATCTCTCTTATCATAGATATATACTAACACGATATACCTTTGTTAATTACTCTTTCTTTTGTGACTGTAATGCATATGGAAATGAAAAGGGGCTACTCACAGACCCCCTTGGAGCACATATTGCCTATGGATAGATCCAGTGCCTGAGAGAAAGTGAATTATTACCTCAGATTTTGCTTTTCTAAATGTCAATGGGTTATTGAAAGCCCCTTGGTAATGATTTCCATTGGTTTCCCGGTAGGAGCTTTTCTCTCGTTGTGTGTACCTAAAGCCAGAGTACTGAACATTGCCCTGCATACTCTGCTCTCTATCCTACTTTTGACTTATGCATATATGCATTTTAAAATTTCCTAGAATGCTTTTGCCCTGGTAAATACAGTATTACGTATTGGGAGACAGGTGGCAAAAAATATAATAAATTAAAAACTTCAATCACCTCAAACATAATGTTATTAGAACATAATTGGAATATTTGTTGAATTTAATGTCATTTCTTTCACCTCTTAGGATTCATCTGCTTTGCCTATTACTATACATGCTTATTTTAAGGATCATATCCTATCCAAATCTCAAATACCCATTTCATTCCTAGTGAGAACTCTTGAAAAAGTAAAATCAATTTGTTTGCATAAAGATTCCAGGCTGTTTTTATCTTAAATGTCTTTTTTAAAAGTCATAATACTGCATATCTTAACAGTTGAAACAATAATACAATTGCTCCAAAAAAAGACAGGCTGTTTTGCTTAGACACCTAATTATTAATTCCAATGTTTCCTCATTCTCCAGCTCTTTAATTTTTTATTTCACAAGAATATTCCTAGACCTTACATTCTTAAATTGTTTCTCTAATAACATGTTAGAAATTGGATAGGAATAAAATTTATAATTTTACCTTACAAAATAAGTAATTTTTGGCCTACATAAAGCTCTTAGCATATTATCAGGAGACACTACATTTATGCCAGGATTTTGTTATAAACCAATTGTTCTCTGTTGTTTATTCAGTAGAAAGTGAGTGCCTAAGGGACAGAAATCAGACTTCATTGTCCTACTTTTTAAGTATATAAATAATGAATCACCCTAACAGGCTTCTCATGGGGAAGTCTGTCTGCAGCAATTACTAACCATTTTTATACAAAACCTTTACTGCTTAATTTATTCAATTTAATGTCAAGAGAAATGGGCCAAGCGAGTCTTAAACTCTTCCTAGTTGTCATGTAACACATTAGTATAGCTTGTATTATTCATTTTATAAATATCTGATAAGATATATACTGTAAGGTATTCTTCTTTGCCCTCATGATAAATGTTCTTTAATTAAACACATACACAGGCTGGGCACGGTGGCTCACACCTGTAATCCCAGAACTTTGGGAGGCCAAGGCTGGCGGATCACAAGGTCAGGAGATCAAGACCATCCTGGTTAACATGGTGAAACCCCGTCTCTACTAAAAATACAAAAAAATTATCCAGATGTGGTTGTGGGCATCTGTAATCCCAGCTACTCGGGAGGCTGAGGCAGGAGACTATCTTGAACCCGGGAGGTGGAGCTTACAGTGAGCAGAGATGGCGCTGCTGCACTACAGCCTCAGCGACAGAGCAAGACTCCATCTCAAAAAACAAAACAAAACAAAACAAAACAAAAACAAAAAAACACATACACACACACACACCCAATTTGGCCAGTAAGTATGGACTACTCTGACCTCTGAAATTATATTTGTCAAATATGCCAATGATTATAATTTATTAAATTCTGAACTGTGTCAGTTATACAAAGATTCACAATTTCACTAAATCTTATGTATTATTTTGATGATGAAACCAAGTGTCGTATGAGTGGCGTGACACAATTTTTATTCCTGCTTAAACAGTTTTAACTGCATGAATACAGTGACTGATAACTAAAAGTATTCTCTTTTGTTAGTCAAGTTACTAAGGAATTTAGTGACTGCGAGTCTGTCAGAACCATTTCTTCCATAAAGTTTATCTTTATCTACCTTTATCAGTCAATAATGTCAGAGAGTCTAACAAATAATACGGTAAGTAGTAAGAACTAATGCTTGGCCAGGTGGGTGACACATGCCTGTAATTCCAGAACTTTGGGAGGCTTAAGTAGGAAGATCACTTGAGTCCAGGAAGTCAAGACTACCTGAACCATGATCGTGACACTGCACTCCAACCTGGGTGACAGAGTGAGACCCTGTCTATCCATGGTGAGTTTAGGTTTTGGAGGGCAGATGACCCACATAAAATGCTACTTCATCATATAATAGTGATGTAATCTGGTTAAAGTTACTTATCCCAAATCTGACTTAGTTATTGTACCCGTAAATACAAGTTTATAAAATGGGGTCTGTTTTAATCACATTATAAATAACAGAGAGTAAGCTTTTATTAACCTCACACTTAACACCATCAGCAAAAGGCACATTCATTAATGTATAATATTTAATTGATATAAGAATAGTTACATTTTACCTTTCATTTGATATATATAATTTTTATCCAACTGTTATTAAAATCTTGCTGAAATATGATTGTTTTTCACAAAATGTTTTTCTCATTATTTTCAAAGATGGCATACATTGATGCTTGCAGTTAAAAATTTACTTTTGAATACAAGATATATTAACACAATGCATATTTATTATGTACATTTTATATGATAGTTTTCTTAGATTCTGAGCATATAGTGAGAATAAGATAGATGAGATTTCTGTACTCACAATAACACCATGCACATTGAATATAAACTTCTTAGTGTGCATTATTGCATTATAACCTATAGGTCACATACAGAAAATAATTTACTATAAACTCTGAAAAGATTGTAGTCTTAATATAACATGATGTAATATATATAGTACAAAAGAGTTTAATTCTTATGAATTAACTACAACTTTATATATTTATTTTTTTCATTACCTTACTGAAGCTGCAAATAAGATGAGAAGAGAAAAATACAGTGCAAGAAAATAAAAACACCTGCCTTTCTTGTGAAAGGTAAACATGCTAATTTAAGTTGATTTTCATATTTTCCAGGTTTTAAAAGCATTTTTGTTGATTTTTTTCAACTTATGGATCAAAGTGTATTTTAAGAGTTATACCTTGCTATATTATCAAAAATACATCTGAAATATAATCATAAAATTTGAAACTTATGTGGGGGCCGAGGCCCTTGGTCTCCCAAAGGTTCACTGAAAAATCACTGACATGAGGCAGATTGATTATAAGAGAAAAAGGATACAAATTTATTTAGCATGTACACATGGGAGCCTTTAGAAGACCCAAAGATACAGGGAAATGTGTTCATTTTTTATGCTTAAATTCAACAAAGTACGGACAGACATGTAGCAATATAAGTGGACCAATAGAATATAATCTTATATTAGCAGACTGAGTGTGCACCCAGGAAGACCTGTCTGTCTAGATTCTTCTTGGCCTCTGTGAGCATGCCTTCCTTCCTTCTGGGCATAGGGCAGGACCCTCTCTGGAATGGTGTTCTTACGACCTACAAACAAGGTAGGTCAGATAAATTTTTTTGTGGCCAGTTCTTATACCGATAAGATTGAAGAAACAGAGTAATATTTTTAGGTTTTATGGCTGGCTTTGAGGAAAAGGGATTCTGGTTTTCATTACCTGCCTTGAAGAAAAGGGATTCTAGTTTCCTCAGCTAGCTTTGGAGGAAAATGGGACTCAGGACAGGAGGGCAGGAAAAAGTCAGAGAAAAACTTTTGTTTCTGAGGTTACTGCTGAAGCCTTCATTTTGAAGTACTGTGTTCTAAGCTCCAACACGTCAGAAACAAATGTATTGTTGTCAGTTACTCTTCTTTAGCCTTAATAAATAAAATGGGCTTGAATTTTCTACAGTCACTTTCTATTTACATACTGAGAAATAATTAAAATGGATGCAATAACATATATTTGATACTTTGCTCACTTAAGCACAAAGGAGTTATTCTAAACACAAGTCTGTCTCCTTGACTTAATTTTATGTGGTTTACTATATTAAGCACTTGAAAAAAGAACTTTGTATTTATATTTATATTCATATAATTATTTGGTTTCTCTTAAATTTAGAAATCATTCTATAGTTGCTGAAACTTTTTTAAATCATAGAATAGTATCATTAAATATTATTTAAAAGATAATATTTCCAGTAGCTTGGGGTTTAATATTGAATTCAGTGTGCCACTTGTGATTTATGTGATCCTACTAGAATCCTCAATTTTCTGTTTTGAAAACTGGATCACAAATAAAGCCTAATTTAATTGAATGTTGTAAGAAGTGAAAGTAAATAATATGTAAAACACTTAACTTAGTACATGGCACATAGTAAACACTCAGTAAATGACAATTAATACCAAATCCTAATGATAAATATACTGTGATAATAATTATGTGCTTATAAAACTTCCTATCAAAATAATTAAGATTAATTTGAACACAATTGTAAAAGTTGTTGTTTTTAAAAATAGATGCCAATACCTTAAGAACTTTGATTTGTATACTCTTGTCATAATTTCTAGGATATCATATATTTACTCAAAACATATTATTTCTTTAGCATACATTTCTTTTTCTTTATTCTGTCCATCTCAATAAATTTGAGCTAGTCTCATTTCACTTATGAAATAAATTGATTTTGCTGATCTAGGCTTTAATTAAAATATAATGCTAAATGCAAAATACTAAAATTAGAATATAAATGGAAAATTAAACTATAATGCAATATGTTTTTTATTTTCAAAATTGTTTTTCTGATTATTTTTATTTTATGTAAATAAATATACTTAAAATTATTTGTGTAATTGAGTAAATGATTCAACTATGTGTTCCAAATAGTTGTATTGCTATCACATTCCACTATGGTAAGTCAGGTATAAATTTTAAGTGAGTTTGTTTAATTATATAAATTTAAGTAAACATTATATTCCAGACTAGTTAGCTGCATAATTTCTTGCTTTGATTAGCTTCTTTTCCTGAAAATGTACATTCTAAATAGATAAAATTTAGAAATAAAAACTTTAAAAATTACAAAGCTAGATTACACACACACACACACACACACACACACACACACACATTAGTAGATCAGAAACCAAGCCAAACCAAACAAACAAAAACAGTGAATGGGGCAAAAGATGAGGTATAACAATAGAAGGTATAACAATAGAAATTGAGACCTGTGTTCCTGATTTTGAAAAAGGGCCTAAAAATTCTCTTTATCAAGCTGAAAAGTAATGGGTTATGACTACAGACACATACACTAGAAAGATAACAAAATGGCACAGGAGACATGGCAAAAAAGATACAAAGAAAAAAATAACAATATTATCTTAGTCAAACTGAGGCAATAATCAAACTTTCAAAGCACGTAAGCAAATCTAATTCTAAACACACACACATACAAACTAAATATAAATAAAGTCCTATTGAAACTAATTTAATCAAAATGTCTGATAAAGACTTTACAATTACATGTTTAGGAGGCTAAATGTAATTGGGAATGAAAGCTTGGCTTACATTTTCCCTCCTCTAGGTACTTCTGGAGAGAAGAAAAACAAAAAATAAATGATCTGGCCAAATCTCATTAAATAATGAAGAAGGAGTTTTTACCAAATATCTTTAGCAGGATATACCTGTCCTTTCTAGGTTGTTTATAGTCTAAAAACCTCAAATTTATGGCTTGATGAGGCAAACTAAAACATTAATACCACCTATGTAATTATCAGAATACAAATCAGACATATTTTATAACTGAAATAGATCTTTCTGTGTGAAGGATGCACCACATGTGTCATTTAGAATTTCATATATTAAATCTCAACTAGATTCATTTTAATGTAACATGAAAAACCTGGAGAGTTGTCTGACAATTACTTGTATCATTTAGATTATTAACAAATTTGAATCCTACTTAAGATTTCTGATTTTGGTGACTGTGGTTTGATAATCAGACACCTCAATGATTAACCAAAGAATATCTTTCTTTACAATTAGGAAGACAGTATAAAGGAAAGATACACAAACATATAATAGAAAATAAAATTTTTAAATAAAATGTAGCAAGCTTAGAATAAAAAACAGAGTCATGGAAATTAATAAATGAGATAAACTCTTTCCTGACTACAGTTGGAAAGATAATCCGTGAGATGGAACACCATACCTAATTGCTCACAAAAACCATAAAACAAAGAGAACAAGAATTTATAACAAATTCATAAATTTTGTGTAAGGCCTGTAGGATAGATTCTGATGCTTCAACATACATCTAACAGAAATTGGAAAAGAATGCAATTAGGAGAATGGGCTAAATTCAATTTACAATTTACAGAATTAAAAAAAAATTCTAAGTGTCAATCACCATCAATACCTGCAGAATCCAAGTGTCTAAGAACATTATCATGCTGAAGAAAAATAAACATCTGCCTAGATTTTGTTTCCAGCTATTTCACACGTTTAAAGAGATTGAGGTAAAAGAAACATACTGTAATATCTTCAGGAAAATAGTAACATTTTATTTCCAAAAGAACTTGGAAAGATATCTTGAGTGTATTTCAAATGGAAATATCTTGGGCTTATGAACAGCCTCAGGAGGAATAAGTTTATCTTTTGTTTCATCCAAGACAATTAACTGAATGGCTGAATTTATAATAGTAATAATGATATTAACAATAGTAATAACTATAATCAAAAGAGTAAATTACTAATATTATTTCTACTATATGGCTAACATACTTGAAATATAATGATTGCTTTAAATTGAACTCCACCAACACCCACACTCATAGAAATAGACTTGATGCAGAAATAATTATTGTTTCTTCACTTATTTTCTATTTACTAAGAAATGAAGTCTGTTTTGACATAAGATGCATTACAGAAAATATAGTTCATTTATCATCTACTGGGTAGCATATGCACTGTCTTAGTCTGTTTTGTGCTGCCAAAACAAAATACTTGAGACTGGGTAATTTACAAAAAAAAATAGATATTTATTTCTCATAGTTTTGTAAGCTGGGAAATCCAAGAACAAATTGCCTCTATCTGATGAAGGCCTTTTTACTGCATCCTCACAAGGTGAAAGGTGGAAGGGCAAATAGTAGATTAATGTCGTTCCTTCACATAGCGGAAGAATAGAAGAAAGCAAACCCACTTTCCCAAGCCATTTTAATAATGACACTAATTCATTCATGAAAAATAGAGTCCTTGTGACCTAAACACCCCCGATTAGGCCTCACTTCCCAACAATGTTGCACTGGAGATTAAGTTTCCAACACAGAAATTTGTGTGGAGGTGGAAATTCAGATCGTAGCATGCCCTAAGTACTGAATTTTTGTTAATATACCTACAAATAAAAGGGCTGGGTTAATATAATTTGACTAAGCTTTAGCCTGTGCCTCATATTAAAATTACTGGATCTACAATTTTGGAGATATTGACATTTTAGTTCCTAAAATGATTAAATAAAATGAAATTGAAAAGAAATGTTGATGATTTTACTGATTGTAGATAGCCTACAAGTTGTCTGCACTCATTTATTTCTACAAATTCTGTGACATTGGTATAAAAGTTTATGTCTATAAAAATAAGTGTAGCATGAAAGTATTCAATTATTAATAAATACATACACACACAAAAATAAATAATACTTATACTAATTGTTTGCCAATTTTGCAAAGATTTCCACAGTTTAGGAAGAACATGACAAAGGTTCTTTAGCCAAAATAGGGTCACATTGTTTCAAAGACTGCTAAAATATAATATTTGGAAATAATGAATCATTTTTGAAGTCTCTTTCATAGATGGAAAGCATTTGTAAAGTATATAATTTTGTAAAAAAACAAATATTTAAATAATATAAATTCTGAAATTATCTTAAGCTATAAAAGGCCCTCAGAGTCAAGCTTTATGTGTTTTTTTTTACACAGTTAATACCAAGAAGATAGATTCAATATCATATACTAACTTCTCTATGCGTAGAACAGATTGACACAGATATAGGTAATAAATATGAGCCTGAATCTCTGGGCTAAATGCAATTCACTTTTAAATGGCAGTGTCCATAATAAGTAGTATACACCAACATAATATACAAATGAGCAGTGGATTTAATTCAAAGTCACACTCCACCCTTAGCAAATAGGCAGAGAGAATCTCCTATACATACATTGGAGTATATTATGGATATATCAATGGTGATTCACTACAGGGTAGATTTTCATATGTTGATGAAAATGTTCAGAATTTTATATTTTATACAACTGTTTACAGCACAGGGATTTGTACTGCAAAAGGCTCAGTAGGAGGAAAATTATTTTCAATTCCATATACAAGCGGCCTACTAACACTACTATGGCATCATCAAAATAAGTCCATACAGTTGTGCAGTCATAAGTCCATACAAACAGTCTTATTTTGGTGAATGACAGACTATATAACATTGGTCCTAAAAGATTCTAATATTATATTTTTAATTGGACCTTTTCTAAGTTTATATATGTTTAGATACACAAATACATACCATTGTGTTACAGTTGCCTACAATATTGAGTACAGTAACATTCTGCAGAGGTTTGTAGACTAGGAGTAATAGCCTAGGTTATACCATCTCTGTGATGTTCACAAGGTGACAAAATTGCCTAATGACAAATTTATTATGATGTGTCTCCATTGTTGAGTGACGCATAACTGTACATAAATATTGTAAGAAGGTGCTTGAGAATCTATGTCCAGATGCTTAATGACAACAGGAAACACTGATGACAATCTTTTAAGATTAAACAAAAGTGATTTAAAACTGACATGGTAATTATTCATGATTCAATTCACGAGTATAAATCAATGTTGACATTATAGATGTGCAAATGACCACTGAAAAAACCTTGGCTTTCAAAAATACTGAGTTTGGCTCTATTTTCCAAGGGAAGATTTTTAGCAAACTCACGTTGTACTGTCTTACATAAATAGATTAATTTTCCACGTTTTATTTTTAGTTCCAAGGGCAGGAGTCATTTTTTTCTTAATTATTTCCTGATTATTGGTATTTCAAATAGGTGCCCAGAAAAATTTCAAATATTTTGAAGTATAAAATCTTTTATTTACATTATAATTTAAGTTGCAAACACTGTGCACGTAGTATACTTTTTCTATTTATTAAAAAGTAGAGGCCGGTCCTGGTGGCTCACTCCTGCAATCCCAGTGCTTTGGGAGGCCAAGGTGGGAGGATCACAAGGTCAGGATGAGAGGAGGTGCCAGCTGGGCTTCCTGGGTCGAGTAGGGGCTCAGAAAGCTGTGAAACTCTCTCATTTCCTGCATCAGGACTTACTTTGGTCCTGGATGAATAATATTGAAGATACATGCTTAAACTATTCCTAACACCTGGATTCGTGCATGTGTTTTCTTCCCCAGGAAAGCTATAAACAGCTAAAATTTTGCTGTAAGTTTGCCTGTGTCCTCTCTCCCTCTCTCCTTGCCCCCTCCCCCGAATCTAAAGTAAAAGGAATGTTAACTGCCCTTTTTTCTGTAACCAGTGGACCTTATCTACACTCCCAATTTCAATTCCTTGTAAACATACTTTGTAAAGTCCTGTAAGATCCTGTCTCCTTTGCCATGTCGCTGCAAGGTCATAAGGTAGATAAAACCTAAGTTGCAATTCCGGTTTTCCTCAAAATCTAGGACATGTCACAAAATAATTTACTGCCTTTGTTTCTCACTCTGGTAACATCTTCCCGCCGCACATATTTCATGCCTTAGAGAGTTTAAAAGGCAATCATATAATCTAACTCTGGCTACCCATTCGGGACCCCTTCCATGCTGTGGAAGCTTGTACTTTTGAGAGAGAGGACTAGTTGGATTTCCTAGGCCGACTAAGAATCCCTAAGCCTAGCTGGGAAGGTGACCATCCACCTTTAAACACGGGGCTTGCAACTTAGCTCACACCCGACCAATCAGGTAGTAAAGAGAGCTCACTAAAATGCTAATTAGACAAAAACAGGAGGTAAAGAAATAGCCAATCATCTATCACCTGAGAGCACAGCAGGAGCAACAGTGATTGGGATATAAACCCAGGCATTCCAGCTGGCAACGGCTACCCTCTTTTGGACCCCTCCCTTTGTATGAAAGCTCTGTTTTCACTCTATTAAATCTTGCAGCTGCACACTGTTCTGGTCCGTGTTTGTTATGGTTCCAGCTGAGCTTTCGCTCACCATCCACCAGTGCTGTTGGCCGCTGTCGCAGACCCTCCGCTGACTTCCATCCCTCCAGATCCAGCAGGGTGTCAGCTGTGCTCCTGATCCAGCGAGGTGCCCATTGCCAATCCTGATCCAGCTAAAGGCTTGCCATTGTTCCTGCACGGCTAAGTGGCTGGGTTCGTCTTAATCAAGCCAAACACTAGTCACTGGGTTCCACGGTTCTCTTCTGTGACCCATGGCTTCTAATGGAGCTATAACATTCACTGCATGGTCCAAGATTCCATTCCTTGGAATCCCTGAAGCCAAGAACTCCAGGTCAGAGTACACGAGGCTTGCCACCATCTTGGACGCGGCCCACCACCATCTTGGAAGTGGCCCTAGAACATCTTGGGAGCTCTGGGAGCAAGGACCCCCACCCCTGTAACACTTTCACTTTACTCAATTAAGCCTACACCTTTTGCTTTCTCTTGGTCCGTGTTGCCACAGTCAGCTGCAATACTAATTCTTTGGCATGGCTAGGCAAGAACCTTAGGTGTTACAAGGAGATCAAGACCATCCTGGCCAATATGGTGAAATCCCGTCTCTACTAAAAAATACAAAAATTAGCTGGGCGTGGAGGTGCATGCCCATAATCCCAGCTACTTGGGAGGCTGAGGCAGGAGAATCCCTTGAACCCAGGAGGTGAAGATTGCAGTGAGCCGAGATCACGCCACTGCATTCCAGCCTGGTGGCAGAGTGAAACTCTGTGTCAAAAAAAAAAAAAAAAAAAAAAGAGAAAAAAAATGTAGAATACTCAAAGTTCTCTCTATTATGTAATGGCAAAATATAACAAAACAAATCAACTAACAAAATCTTTTGTTTCCAGTTGATTTGTTTTCAGAATTTTCTCCTACAGTTCCAAATATTGCTAATCACATAGATTCAAAATCATAATACCCTATGAATCAAATCTCATCAAAAAGGATGTATTTATTATTTAATATTTCTATTTCATACTGACACACATATGTGTGTATGTGAATTTTCCTATTTTGCATGAAATGTTCTGAAAGCAACAATTACAAATAGAAGGTGAGAGGAGATTAGAAACATGTTTTAAGTTTAATTTTAAAAAATCACAGTAAATGCTCTAGAGGAAACCAATGCAATTCAGTAAAGGAGAATTATTACATTATGACTGGAGTTTCTACTAGCTAACATGGCTAGAAAAAAATGTTTCTGATAAAAGAATGTAAGTTGAGGCCTGAAAAATGAGAAGCAATCAGTTATGCAGAAACACCAAGTAGAGACAAGAAGCTTTTAGAACAAAACCTCCAAACCATGAAATAGCTCCAGAGTTAAAGGCACTAAAGGAATGTAAGCTACTAGAGGGTAGTGAATGTCAGAGAGAGTGAAACAAGAAGAGATTTAGAAAATGACCCACAGGTCAATATCGAATTAAAAGTGTGCTTTGTGTGGTGTGCTATTTCCCATAATGTTATTCAATAACCAATGGGAAACCATGGAAAATGCTGATTTATTTAGATAGATGACAAGATACGATATCTATTAAATAGATTACTGTGGCTCCTATTGGGAGAAAAGACTTGAAGTTTACAAAAGTGGATGCAGAGATTATTATGGCAGACCCTCCTAGTCTCAACAATGTCTTTCTGTTTCCCTCTTTCATGAGTATATTTTTAGACAAATTAAGGCAAAAACCAGATCACAGACAAGAGAATAATAGGCAAGGTCGCTCCCCTTCTCCAGAGAGCAAAATGTGATTATTTGAATGAATTTTTCTCATTGCCAGATCAAAGTGAGCAGACAGTGTATATTCAGAGGAGTTTAATTATTATTCCAGACCAGTAACTGCTGTGAGTCTGTCAATATTTCCTTCCAAATGTCAATGTTTATTGCCGTTATGCTTTCCTTGTTTCATCCTTATATACGGAATGTAGTAAATGTTGGAATTGGAGACAGAATTTGTCTTATTAATTCATAGATCACTGTACTACAGGAACCACAGACCCGAGGAGTTCCACTATCAATACCAAATGAGAAGAAAAACCACTTACTATGTCTTAGCACTGACCAGACAAGATTGGCATTGATTCTTCAGTCTGTCACCAAGTCACAGTACAGGGAGTCAGTGCCCTAAGGGTGAATTTTCTTTCCTCAGTGAAAGGCAGAAAGCAGAAAGAAGCCAGCAGGCAAATTGATTGCTATCTCCCCACCCCTCAACCCCACTCCCCGATCCACAATGGACTGTTTGAGACTGAGTGATTTCAGTAGTCTCTGGTGACATTTTGTAGACTAAGCAATCATCTGTGACATTGTGATGCTGTGACTGTGCTCCTTTTTTGCTGCCTTGCTTCTCTTTTTTCCCCTAATTTTTGCTTTTGGGAGATACCCTCCCAACCACCACAATACACTCTGAATGTTATTAGGTAAGTATTCTCTTAGCCTCTCTTGTATGAAAGCTTGGCTAAGGCAATGGAAAGTATAGGATTTTGCTGCAAACATTTACATCAATAAGATTAAACCATCATTGTTGAGTACTTATAAGGCCTCTACATCTTTTTTAACTTTATTATTTATTTTGTGCAAATATGTAACCATGTCTTTTTATATCACTTTTACAGATACTTGTAAATAGAAACATGATCTTATAGACATATATATTTTACAAATTACAGTTTCTTGAATATAAGTCAATTTTATTCACATTTATCTTTAATGTGTGAAAAACAATGATTTGATAGTAAAAAGACCTTGAAATGGGCAGGCTAACACTTTTTAGTTATAATTTATAATTCAGTTTAAGCAGTGAAATTTTAAATTGCCCTTTCAGTACTATGAAATTGCCTAATATAACTTGGCAGTCCTGTTAGTTCTTTGCTCAATTAACTGGATAATGCATTTTGTGCCTAGAAATCCCTAGTCAAAATTCAGTGTTATAAGTAGTTTGGTGTTTCATAATTATATACTTAAAATATGTGACTAAATCCCAATTTCTACATTAGAATTTATATATTTATACTCTTAGTTGACTCAAGAGAACCACTTTTTTTTTCCCCGTACCCTATTTTGGTATGAAGTTTAGAATTCAACTTTTAGATATTAAGCCAAAATTCTAGAAATGGAAATACCGAAAAAAATCCAGAGTATTAATTACTTCTACATTTTAAGTCAAAAGTTAAAGCTGACTTTTAAGACTTTATTATTTGTATATTTGTACATTATATTTAGAGCTTCTAAATAGTCTTGTCCTGTCAATATTTCTGTACTATTTGAGATTTTATATATATATCCACCTGAAATTGTGATTTTTTTAAATGTACTTGAGCAGTCTTCCATTTTCTGCTCTATTTTCCTGTTCCTGTCATTTTTACACTCATATATCTACCATTTGTCCTTTTATTCTTGATCATTAATTTACCATACCTTACTGAAAGTATTTGGGCATACTTTTCTTCGAGTACTAGCTAAGATGACCTTAACATTCCTCTCCTTTTGATTAACCTTTAGAAGACTTCTTCCTGACTTTATGCCCGTGATTGCCCTTTTCCTGGAGTATTCACTTAAAAAAAACCGTGTAATTGCAGATTTTTCTCTGCCCCTTTCGTATGTAAATCTTCTCTCAGCCCCTTGCCAGTTTTACAAACCAAGAACAAATTCTTTCTCAAGAACCCCGAAACCATTCATTTGAAATGTAATCATGGAAATAGCTAGAGCTCCTGTCTACCAGTGTCTATGGGAGGGTGGGATCCTAACAGCAATATGGGGCAATTATCAAACACAGATCACCTAATCACATTGATCCACTTCTCCGTTTAATGTTCTGTCCTCTTGTATTTTTTCATTAGCTCATCTCAGAGTTTAAAAATTTTCCCACCTTTTGTTTCAGTGGAATTGAGTTCAATTTTTCTTCTATTGCGAGAGTCTTGACCATTATCATAGTTTTGAACACAATCTTCCTTGCCTATTTAACTGCATTAGTGCAATTTTTCTTTGACAGCTCATTTTAGATATTCATTCTCGACAGGCACTTGCTATGAAGAGGCAGGTCCGATTTCCACATCAAGCCATAGAGCCAGGGGGATTTATGGCCCATCACTACTAAAAAAAGAATTAGATGAGTATGTGGTGGTTCTGGATTGATTACATAGCTCTCAGAAAAGAAATTTGTATTTTCTTAACAAAGATAATAAAACCCCCATGAAAACAACGCGCACACACACACAAGCATATACACATGTACATACATACATATATATATATATATATATATATATATATATGGTTTAAAAATAAATGTTAATTTATAAGTAGCAACTGAAAGAATATTCTAAAAATTTCTGTTATGGTTTATATCTTATAAATTCTCAAATCTTGATGTTGAACTTGTTTTTATCTCAGATTCAAACAGATTTTAGTAAATTCATAAAATAGTCTCAAGTATTTCAATCTCTAATTCTACCTCCTATTTTTCAATGTAATAAGCTCTCATCTGCATAAATAAAATACTTTACAATATTTATACTTTCTTTGGTCTGATTGTTGAAGTCAAATTTGAAATATATACAAGTAATATTCATATAAATGGTTTCGACAAAGTCCTAAAATCTAAGGCTAACTTTGTCTCCTAAGTAACTGTATTTTCTAATTTTGATATATGAGCAAATACTTTATTCACTTTTGATAGAGTAAATTTTAATATGATAAAAGAGTCACGTAACTATTGACACAAACTTGACCCATGCTCTCAATTTTTGCCTTTTCAATCTGTTCACCCACCAGAAGTTAGTGTCCTTATTTCCCCAAATCCATTTAATTATATCACAACAAATACCCTAAAGAATGGGCACGAAATTACTGTGAAACATATGGTGTTAGAGATCAGAGTGTTAATGGGTTTGGGGATTATTTCCTCCTGTCACTCACTCTGCACATGGAAAAATCAAGCACATGTATAAATGAAATATGGTTTCCAAAAATAGTAAAGTCAAACAAAACCTCTCCACCAGTGCTTTGCAACATTTTAAGCTTAATGTGTAACCAAGTTAAGAAAAATGTTATAATACCTCTAAAATGAGTTATTTTTTTCCTATGTAGACTTGTAGAATAAAATTTATATTAAAGTTTTTTTTCCCTTATCTACACTCTGGGCAAACAAAAACAGTGATATTAAATCATTTGTTAAATGTAAATATTAAAGCCCCACTTTGAGCATTTTTCAGAAATTACACTGTGAGAGCAGGAGACAGAAATCTGAAAAAAAGAAGACAATAAACTCAAATTATCTTATTAAAAATGGCTTTTTGGTGTACAGAATGAGAATGCTTCATTTAATTATTTTTAAAAACTTTTACCCATAGTCAATCCAATTTTTGTTTTCTGGAGTAAGAATGATTCTTGAACTTCAGAGACACATGAGATTACAAACCTTATGAGTTCAGAGAATTGCATAGTTTTTATTTTAGTTGTTTCTTTTGTGTAAATAAATATTTACTTGCATAGAGATAGTAATTTGAATCTGTGAAAGCTTGTAGACAGTATTTTCATGTTTACAGAACCATAGATATTGAGAGAAGGACACACTCAGAGCAACTAGGTCCCGTTTTTTCCTCCTGTATGTGCAGAGACTTGGAAGACATCAATTGCATAAAATAGCTCAATATTTTAAATCATAAGTAATAAGGTACATTGAAATTATTTATTTGAAACAGTATAAATATTAATTCTAATATTTACTGCTTTATACAGGTATGTATAAAATTATAAAAATAGAAAAGAGTGCAATTACTTGGGACACTACTAATCTGCTACAATGGCACCTGTCCCTATGTAGTAGCTCTGTTTTAAGTTTGTTTATATATGTCCTTTACTGCATTTTTCCAGTTATTTTATATTTGACAGAGTGATCTCGTCTCATCTTATACACTGCTAAATATGAAATATTCTGTGTATGTAGAATTTCTTTAGATGTCTGATGGATCTAACACTTTCAGAGTAAGGTCATAGTCTTTTCATTTTATAATTACAAAACTCAGAAATGTTTCTTAAGAAACTTCCTGCCTGGAAGGTTGGTGTAAAATCTTTAATTATTTCTCTATTTATTTCATTTGTAAATAAATAGAAAATAGTATTATGATAGATGATAATTCTGTTTCACCATTTATTAAAGAACATTCCACTAATCAATGTCATAGAACTTCAAAGTTGGATATTACAACGTAAGTTACAACATAAGCAGGCAGCTATGTTGTAATCAAAAAAAGTTAAAAAATTTGAAGTTCTGGATTGGGATTATGACTTTACCATTTGTAATTGATATAAACTTGGATAACCACTTTGTATCTCTCCATCTCCTGGTCTTTTCAATTAAACTGGGATGACAATTACATTTTTTAAACATAAATTAAATGAAATAACCTAAATTAAAGTGCTTCACATTCTTTGAACTAATTTAAAATTGAGATACTATTGAAATCATGTAAGTTTTGGTGAAATGAAGAAATAAACTCTTGGATGACATTAGGATGATAATAGGAAATCAAATTTTAAAATGCTAGATGGATTAAACAAAGACGTGTATGATGAATGCCTGCTATGCTGTTTACACCATAAACATGAATGTCCAATGAGAAGAAGAAAATTAGTATTTATTTGTCCACTTAACAGACATTTATATTTTTGAAAATAGATTACTATGATAGATGCTAATATTTAAGGTAAAATAGAATATCTGCACCCCAAAAAGTTCACAGACAAAATAGAAGAGGATAAAATAAAGCAATAATGATCATTAATATTCCTAAATGTAATGATGGAATCAAAAGGAAAATGCTAAGAAACAAATGCAATATATTATTAACATGTATTAATTACATAATATACAATTATTTCCCTTCCATATATTTCTATTACCCTGCTAATATTGAACACTTAACATTTCATACAAGACATTTTAATTTTTAAAATATTTTCATATACTTAACGATCACTCATGTTTTCTGCAAGACATCCGTCATTTTTTTTTCTAATTTTCTTTTTATTGAGGACATTAGTTTTACTTTTTCTTCACTTTTTGGTTCTATGTGTTGAAATACTTCCTGCTAATTTGTTACTTATTTTTCTATTGCCTTTGTAATTTTTTATTTTAAATTTTCTTTTAGTGTCTTTTATTTTTGTTTTTAACCCAGGTGGTTGAATACAAACCTTGATTTTCCTGTCAAATTAGCTGTGAGTGCTTGAACAAATACCTTAGTCTTTTACCCCTCAGCTTTTGCATATCTTGGATTGGGATAAACAATAATATCTACCTGTTAAAATTATTATGATGATTAGATAATGTAATTTCTTCTGATATTAATAGCTTATATTTTGGAGTGTATTCAGCACAATTAATGAATCAATATTGATACACTGTTACTAGCTAAAATCTGTACGTTATTTAATATATATTTCTTTAGTTTTTACTCAATGACATTTTTCTGTTCTAGGATCTTGTCCAGGAAACCATATTAAATTTAGTTGTGATGTCTCCTTAGGCATCTCTTGGCTGTTACAGTCTTACTCTTTTTTTATTTAAAAATGATAATAGTCATAAGTTTTATTTTTAGAGCAGTTGTAGGTTCATAAAAGTGAGCAGAAAACAAAGAGAGTCACCATATATAGTGCCACCTGCTTCCACACACACATAGTCCCACCTACTCCGGCCCCTACTCTCAACTTCCCCCACCAGAGTGGTCTATTAGTTGTAATTGATGAACCTACACTGATGCATTATTATTGCTGAACATCTGTAGTTTATTTTAGGGTTTAGAGTATGGGCATTTTAATAATATTTTTTCTTCCAATTCAGATACATGAGATATCCTTCCACTGATGTTCTTTCATCGATGTTTTATAGTTTTCAGTGTAGCGGTTTTTCATGTCCTTGGTTATGTTTATTCCTCCTATATACCATTTTTTTTGGTAGCTATTGTAAATGGGCTTGTTTTCTTGATTTATTTTTCAGATAGTTCATTACTGGTAGGTCTTGGAGTCTGGGGAAGTGGGAGTCTATCAGGTGCCAAATTGTTTTTTTGTGTGTGTGGCAGGCCCAAAGTTGGAGTCCAAGGTACAGCCCTGTGCTCACTTTTATTTTTCTTTTTCATAAGCAGCTATTATCTTTCTCTCTGCTTTGCTGCCTGAGATTGGGAAAGGGGTGATGTGGATAATGTAAAATTTTCCTTCCTGGTTCTTCAAGGCATCATTTCTTATTATTGTGCTACAACCAGGTACTGTGATCTCTCACTTGGCTTTCTTGGCTCTTGTGAAGATATTTTCTGTATAGATAGCTGTTCAAATTGATGTTTCTTCTGGGAGACAATTGCTAGAGAGACCTATTTCACCACCTTGCTCTGCCCCTCCTCTCTCAACTACAAGAATCTTTGACACTAACACCTCACTGTGAAAGATGCAGTCTATCAAATCAGATTTTCTTTTGTTTTCTTTCTCATAAGGGAAGCAAAACCTCTCATCAAGGTAAACATCATTATAGATACAAACACAGCAATTCCGAAGCAGACATTTTATTTTTACATGGGAAGACAAATCATTAAATATATCTTAGCGTTTGCTTGTCTCAGGCAGTAATTTGTTGCAGACTGAGTTGTATTTAATTTCACCACCATTTACAAATCAGATAAACACTTCAGCATGGCATTTATGGGGGAAATCTGTTGAATCATCCACCTAGATTGAGAAGATGTTGTTTATTATATGAAACCCCTTCAGCCTCAAGTGACATATCATCAATACATTTATGTATATTACTTTTGTGAGTGGAACCTTTTCAATTTCTCATTTTACATCTTGTGTCAGCATTTACCCCATATAATTTACATGCTGGAATTATTAGTTTCTCAGGAGCTGAATGGCATTTCCTTTTCTAGTCATTTAGCTCCGTATCTAAAAATTTTGCTTTTTGAGACTTTTCACTAAATATCTTTAAAAAAGGCATTTCTCTGTTACTTTTGAGAGTCTAATGGCTGTATAAAGCAATCAGATATTTCACTTGTCAAATGCAGTTTTTTATGGCTATTTGTCTCTTTAATATTGCTGAAATAACTGCTTATTTTAAAGCTACTTGCCAGGTATGACACCAGGTGGAATAGACAGTCTTGGATTACTGGTCATGTAAATCCATGGATCAATCACTTTTCTTGTAATGGCTGATTTTGCGTTTGTGTGTCTTGAAGTGCCCATGCTGTGAAATGACTCAGAAAAGTGTTATCTTTCATCATTAATTTTATAAGAATTAGTTATAGGCCTAGAATGTTTCTCTGATGTTGTGCCTCACCACCCCACACCCATATCACTGTTGCTTGATTCTTCAAAGAGAAAATAAATTAATTGCAATAATAAAAAATTATGTTTAAAAAATCCAGTTCAAATAATTAAAGACTTCTGAATGGATATTTTTCCAAAAGTGAAATAACTGACATTCTTGTGGCATCTACTGTAAATTCAGCTAAAAAGTTAACTATTAAGATAAAATGAATTTATTTTACTATTGTCGATATGACCACAATGTTTTATAAACCACAATATAGTGCTAAAAACAATATTTTCCTATTCAATAAGAAATTCTAGGGAGGGGAGGCAGAGCGAGATAGCAGAATAGAAAGCTCCACCAATCATCTCCCACTGCAAGGACACCAAGGTGACAACTATCTACACAGAAAAAATTAACTTCCTAAGAACCAAAAAGTAGGTGAGCACTCATAGAACCTGGTTTTAACTTCATGTCGCTGAAAAAGGCACTGAAGAAACAGAAAAAACAGTCTTGAATCACTGATGTCACCCATCCCACACCCTCTGCAGTAGTGGTGTGGGTGTGGAGAGAGCCTCTGAGTGCTGGAGGAGGGCGAACACAGCAGTTCAGAGGCTTTGAACTTAGTGCTGTCCTGGTAGAGCAGAAAGGAAACCAGGACCAAACCTAGCTAACATCTGCCCATGGAGGGAGCATTAACACCAGCCTTAAAAAGAAGGGAATCTGGCCGGGCGCGGTGGCTCACGCCTGTAATCCCAGCACTTTGGGAGGCCGAGGCGGGCGGATCACGAGGTCAGGAGATCGAGACCATTCCGGCTAAAACGGTGAAACCCCGTCTCTACTAAAAATACAAAAAAAAAAAAAATTAGCCGGGCGTGGTGGCAGGCGCCTGTAGTCCCAGCTGCTCGGGAGGCTGAGGCAGGAGAATGGCGTGAACCTGGGAGGCGGAGCTTGCAGTGAGCCGAGATCCCGCCACTGCACTCCAGCCTGGGCGACAGAGCGAGACTCCGTCTCAAAAAAAAAAAAAAAAAAAAAAAAAAAGAAGGGAATCACTGATCCCAGTAATCCAAACTTGAGTGCCTGCAAACCTTGCCACCAAGGGATACAGCACTCTGTGTCTCCAAGTAACTTGAAAGGCAGTCTAGGCCATAAGGACTGCAGATATTAGGCAAGTCTTAGGGATGAATTAGACCCAGAGACAGTGGACTGAGGGGGCACACAGCATACTGAGACATCCACTGGAGCAGCCAAGGGAGTGATGGCATCACTACTCCCCAACCCGAGGCTGCACAGCTTGAGGCTCCGAAAGAGATACTTTCCTTCCGTTTGAGGAGAGGAGAGGGAAGAGTGGGAAAGATGTTGGTATCTTGGATACCAGCTCAGCCACAGCAGGAGAGGGCACTGCTCAGAGTCGTGAAGTTACTGCTTTGGATCCCAATTCCCAAATGATATTTCTAGACACACCCCTGGCCAGAAGGAAGGCCACTGCTGCCAGAACTTTGTCCAGAACTTTGTCCTTTCCTTCAAGGCAGTGGCCTTCCTTCTGGCCAGGGGTGTGTCTAGAAATATCATTTGGGAATTGGGATCCAAAGCACTGTTAACTGAAGAGCCAATGGGACCTGAATAACCAGCAGTGATAGCTAGGTACTACATCAAGGACTTTAGGTGAGCCTTTGAGACTTGCTAGCTTCAAGTGAGACTCAGCACATTATCTGCTGTCATGGCTGTAAGGCAAAACTCCTTGAGAAAAGTAGAGGATAAAGTAAGGAGATTTTGTCTTGTACCTTAGGTTCCAGCACAGCTACAGGGGTTAGAGAACCAAACAGGCTCTTGGGGTCCCTAATTCCAGGACTTGACGGCTGGATGGCATTTTTGGACCTGCCTTGGGCCAGAGGAGAGTCCACTGCCCTAAGGGGTGAATCCTAGGCCAGGCAGCATTCATGACAAAGATGACTTAAGAGACCTTGGGCCGTAAGAGAACATCTGTGGTAGTCTCACAGTACTCCTCATGGCCTGGGGTGGTGGTGGCTATTGGGTGAAACTCCTCTGCCTTTGGAAAGAGAAGGGAAGAGTAGGAAGAACTGAGTCTTGTGGTCTGACTGCCAGCTCAGCCACAATACAATGTATTACCAGGTAGACTTCTAAGGTTTGTTACTCCTCTGACTCCTGGAAGGCACTTCTGGACCAACTCAGGGCCTGGGGGAGCTCACCACGCTGAAGAGAAAGACACAGGCCTAGATGGCTTTGCCATTGACTGGTTATAGAACCCAAGGGCCTAGAACAAACATAAATAGTAGCTAGGAAGGTGTTACAGTGTAGGCCTTGGGTGAGACCAAATGCAGTGCTGACTTCAGGTTTAACCCAGTGCAGTCATAATAGTGGTAGCCACAGGGGTGCTTATGTCCCTCCACTCCTAGCATTACATGGCTCAGAACAGAGAGAAAGAGAGAGAGAGAGAGAGAGACTTTGCATGTTTTGGAGAAAGTAAGGAAAGAGAATAAGGGTCTCAGCCTGGTAATCCAGAGAATTCTCCCAAATCTGGTCCAAGACTATTAAGATGGTGCTCAGAGTCATGAAGTCTCCAAGAACCACAGAATTACTGGGCTTGAGCTGCCTTCTAAAGCAGATACAGCTCAGATCACAATATCTAAATCCTTTTAAATATCTGGAAAATCTCCCCAAGAAGGATAGCTAAAATAAGCCCAGACAGTGGAAACAAAAATAACTACCTAACTCCTCAATGCCCAGACACTGAATAACATCTCCTAGCATAAACACAATCAAGGAAAACATGACCTCATCAAATGAACTAAATAAGGCACCAGGGAACAATTGTGGAGAAACAGAGATATGTGACCCTTCAGACTGATAATTCAAAATAGCTATGTTAAGGAAACTCAAAGAAATTCAAGGCAATACAGAGAAGAAATTCAGAATTTTATCAGATAAATTTAACAAAGAGATCGAAATAATTAAAAAGAATCAAGCAGAAAGTCTGGAGCTAAAAAAATGTAATTGGCATACTGAAGAATGCACCAGAATCCTTTAATAGCAGAATTGATCAAGCAGAAAAAAGAATTAGTGAACCTGAAGACAGATTATTTGAAAATGCACAGTCAGAGGAGGCAAGAGGAAATAGAATAAAAAACAATGAAGCATGACTACAAGATCTAGAAAATAGCCTCAAAAGGGCACATCTCTTATTGGCCTTAAAGAGGAGATAGAGAAAGAGATAGGGTTAGAAAGTTATTCAAAGACATAATAAGAGAAAACTCCCTGTATTAGTCCATTTTCACACTGATGATAAAGATATGCATGTCTGAAATCCAGCAAGCCAGTCAAATTTTAAACTCCAAAATGATTTCCTTTGACTCCAGGTCTCACATCCAGGTTATGCTGATTCAAAAGGTGGGTTCCCATGGTCTTGGGCAGCTCTGCCTCTGTGGCTTTGCAGGTTACAATCTCCCTCCCACAGGCTGGTGTTGAGTTCCTGGGGCTTTTCCAGGCACGTGGTACAAGCTATCAGTGGATCTACCATTCTGGGGTCTGGAGGATGTGGCCCTCTTCTCACATCTCCACTAGATGGTGCCCCAGTAGGGACTCTGTGTTGGAGCTCTGGACCCACATTTTCCTTCTACACTGCCCTAGCAGAGGTTCTCCATGAGGGCTTCACCCCTGCAGAAAACTTTTGCCTGGGCATTTAGGCATTTCCATAATCTTCTGACCTCTAAGCAGAGGTTCCCAAACCTCAATTCTTGACTTCTGTACACCTGCAGGCTCAATACCATGTGGAAGCTGCCAAGTCTCAGGGCTTCCACACTCTGAAGCCACAGCCTGAGCTCTATGTTGGCTCCTTTTAGCCATAGCTGGTACAGCTGGGACATAGAAAACCAAGTCCCTGGACTGCACACAGCGTAGGGGCCTGGGCCCAGCCCATGAAACCACTTTTTCCTTCTGGGCTTCAGTCTTGTAATGGGAGGGGCTGTTGTGAAGTCCTCTGACAGGGCCTGGAGACATTTTCCTCATGGTCTTGGGGATTAACTTTAGGCTTCTTGATACTTATACGCAAATTTCTGCAGCTGGCTTGAGTTTCCCCTCGTAAATGGGGTTTTTCTTTTCTACTGCATCATCAGGCTGCAAATTTTCTGAACTTTTATGCACTGTTTCCCTTTTAAAACTGAATGCCTTTAACAACACCAAAGTCACTTCTTGAATGAATGCTTTGTCACTTAGAAATTTCTTCCACCAGATACCCTAAATCATCTCTCTCAAGTTCAAAGTTCCACAAATCTCTAGGGCAGGGGCAAAATGCCACTAGTCTCTTTGCTAAAACATAGCAAGAGTCACCTTTGCTCCAGTTCCCAACAGGTTTCTCATCTCCATCTGAGATCACCTTAGGCTGGATCTTATTGTTCATATCACTATTGGCATTTTTGTCAAAGCCATTCAATAAGTCTCTAGGAGGTCCCAAACTTTTCCACATTTTCCTGTCTTCTTCTGAGCCCTCCAAACTGTTCCAACCTCTGCCTGTTACCCAATTCCAAAGCTGCTTCCACATTTTTCGAAATATCTTCAGCAACATCCCATTCTGCTGGTACCAATGTACTGTATTAATCCATTTTCATGCTGCTGATAGAGACATACCTCAGACTGGGAAGAAAAAGAGGTTTAATTGGACTTACAATTCCACATGGCTGGAGAGGCCTCAGATTCATGGCATAAGGTGAAAAGCACTTCTTACATGGTGGTGGCAAGATAAAAACGATTAAAAAGCTAAAGCAGAAAACCCTGAGCAACTCTTCACATCTCATGAGACTTATTCACTATCATGAGAATAGCACAGGAAAGACCGGCCCCCATGATTCAATTACCTCCCCCTGGGTGGGAAGTTTGGGAGATGCAATTCAAGTTGAGATTTTGGTGGAGACAGAGCCAAGGCATATCACTTCCCAAACCTAGAGAAAGATATCAATATCCAAGTACAAGAAGGTTATAGAACACCAAGCAGATTTTTCCCAAAGGAAACTATCTCAAGAAATTTAATAGTCAAACTGTCAAAGTTCAAGGATAAAGGAAAGATCCTAGAAACAGCAAGAGAAAAGAAACAAATAACATACAAGGGAGCTCTGATAAATCTGGAAGCATACTTTTCAGTGGAAACCATACAGGCCACTAGGGAGTGCCATGAGGTATTTAAATTGCTGAAAGAAGGTAACTTTTACCCTGGAGTAGTATATCTGGCAAAGAATATCCTTCAAAAATGAAGGAGAAATGAAGACTTTCCCAGATAAACAAAAATTGAGTGATTTCATTAATGCCAGGCCTGTCCTACAAAAAAAAAAAAATGCTAAAGGAAGTATTTCAATCAGAAATAAAAGGACACTAATGAGTAACAATAATCACCTGAAGGTGCAAAACTCACTGGTAATAGTGAGTACACAGAAAAACACAGAGTATTATAACACTGTAACTGTGATGTGTAAACTACTCTTATCCTAAGTAGAAAGACTAAAAGATAACCAAATCAAAATAATAACTACAGCAATATTTCAAAACATAGTCACTACAATAAGATATAAATAGATACAACAAAAAATTAAAAAGCAGAGAACAAAGTTAAGGAATGGAGTTTTTATTAATTTGGGGTTTTTCTTTTTGCTTGTTTGTTTATGCAAATCCTGTTAAGTTGTTATCAGGTTAAAATAATAGGTTGTAAGATAATATTTTCAAGCTTCATGGTAACCTCAAACCAAAACACATACAATGGATACACAAATAAAAAGCAAAAATTAAATCATATCTCCAGAGAAAGTCACCTTCTCTAGATGAAGAAAGGCAGGAAAGAAAGAAGGAAGAGAAGACCATAAAACAACAAGAAAGCAAATAGCAAAATGGCAGGAGTAAGTCCTTACTTTTCAATAATAGCATTAAATACAAATAAATAAAATGCTCCAATCAAAAGACATAGACTGGCAGAATGGAAGAAAAGACAAGACCCATTGATCGGTTGTTCAAAAGAAACATACTTCAACTATAAAGATACACATAGACTGAAAGGGATGGAAGAAGATATTCCATGTGGATGGAATAAAAAAAAGAAAGCAGGAGTCATGAGACTTATACAATGGGGGTAGAGGTATTGGATAAATGGTACTTATATCAGACAAAACAAATTTCAAGACAAAAACTAAAAAGAGACAAAGGTCGCTATATAATGATAAAAGTGTCAATTCAGCCAGATGGTATAACAATTTTAAATATATATGAACCCAACACTGGAGTACCCAGATATATAAAGCAAATATTATTAGAGTTAAGTAAGAGATAGGCCCCAATATAATAATAGCTGGAGATTTCAACACCCCACTTTCAGCATTGACAGATCGTCCAGAAGGTAAATTCCAAAAACATTGGACTTAATCTGCAGTATAGACCAAATGGATCTAATAGTTATTTACAGAACATACATATGCAACCGCTGAAGAATACACATGTTTTTCTTCTGCACATAGGCCATTCTCAAGGAAAGACCATACGTTAGGTCACTAAACAAGTCTTAAAACATTCAAAAATATTGAAATAATATAAAGCATCTTTTCTGACCACAATGGAGTAAACTATAAATTATAACAGTATAAATTTTAGAAACTATACAAACACATGCAAATTAAAGAATATGCTTCTGAATAACAAGTGGGTCAATGAAGAAATAAAAAGGAAACTGAAAAATCTCTTTAAACAAATGATAATAGAATCGTAACATACCAAAATCCATGGGATACAGCAAAAGCAGTACCTTGAGGGAAGTTTGTAGGTCTAAGTGCCTACATCAAAAAAGATGTAAACTTCAAATGAACAATGTAATGATGCATCTTAAAGAACTAGAAAACCAAGGGCAAACCAAATGAAAAATTAGTAGAAGAAAAGAAATAATAACCATCAAAGCAGAAATAAATAAAATTGAAATAAAAAATACAAAACAAAACAAAACAAAAAGTTTTTTTTTTGAAAAGTTAAAAATGTTGACAAACCTTTAACTAGACTAAGAAAAAAAAGAGAGAAGATGCAAATAAGGCTTGAAAAAGAGACATTACAACTGATACTGCAAAAATTCAAAGGATCATTAGTGGCTACTCAGAGCAACTATATGGCAACAAATTGGAAAATCTAGAAACAAGTGAAAAAATTCCTTAGGAATTTTTCCCTAAAAAAAATCCCAGGACCTGATGGTTTCACTGCTGAATTCCAGCAAACATTTGAAGAAGAGCTAATACCAATTCTACTCAAACTATTCTGAAAAATAGAGAATGGGGGAAAACTTTCAAACCTATTCTGTGAGGACAGTATTACCCTGGTACTAAAACCAAACAAAGACAAATCAAAAAAAGAAAACTACAGTCCGAGATCTCTGATGAATATTGATGCAAAACTCTAGAAAACGCTAGCAAACAAAATTCAATAACACCCTATAAAAGTCTTTCATTATGACCAAATGGGATTTATCTCAGGGATACAAGGATGGTTTAACATACATAAATCAATCAATGTAACATATCATATCAACAGAATGAAGGACAAAACCTTATGATCATTTCAATTGAGGCTGAAAAAGCATTTGATAGAATTCAACATCTCTTCATGATAAAAACCGTCAAATAATTGGGGAGAGAAAGAACATACCTGAACATATTTATATAATTCAATATAACAAAAATATGAGGATTGAGACAATCCTTCAAATAACAGAATTTGCTAAGACAACCAAAAATTTCAGTGCTAATATGAAGTGCTAACTGGGGAGAGAAAGAACACACCTCAACATATTTATATAATTCAATATAATAAAAATATGAGGATTGAGACAATCCTTCAAATAACAGAATTTGCTAAGATAACCAAAAATTTCAGTGCTAATATGAAGAATATATTATCAATTTAAAAATTCTGTGATCTACAGAAGAGGATCAATTGACGGTGTCAAAATGTTCAAATTTCATAGACAAACATCAACTTTTGAAACGGGCCCAAGAGTCCCATAGACAGTTGCTTTTGGATAAACATAGAAATTGACCCTTTTGCTGTTAAAGCTTGAAAACTGTATTTGCTTTATCTGAGTTCTTTCACCTAGAAAGGACCTCAGGCCTCTCAAAAAAAGTATCAAAAACTGAAAATAGATCACAGCACCAGATGCCTTTTGCCCCTCCCTAGTTCTCGTTTTCTTACACATTGTTAAATTTCTTCCCTGCCACTAAAGCCCTAGTTTTAGTCAGTCAGGGAAATAGAGTTGATGCTAGCTCCCATCTCCTGGGCTGTGCTGCAGCACCTGATTAAAGCCTTCTTCCTTGGCCATATTCAGTGTTTGGCTTTCTGTCTTGGTGACTGACTTTTTCATCTTAGTGACGGGCTTTCTGTGCAGTGAGCAGCAGGACCTAGACCAAACCCCCAGTGTTTGGGTAACACTTTGATGGCAATTTTATATTTTAAAAATAGTATTATACATGAAAATCCTTTTTTTTCTTTTTTTACAAAAAGACCAGTGACATGGATTTGAGACATAAGACCCTGATTAAAATACATTTAAAAACAGAGATTATTAGTTTGCATGTCAATTTTAATATTTATATAGTTTATAAAGGATCTTTAAATTTTCTTTAGCACAGACATTTGCTATTTTCAGAAAATATTTTTGAAAAGAGCTTTAAAATTTTTTCTAATAACATAAAGCTGTTTTTGGCATAATAAATACTTCAAAATAATTTTAGGTAATTTTTACATGCTCTTCACTCTCAAAATATCCTGTTTGGACATCCAACTAAAGTAAATTCCTCCAAAACAAAGTTCTTACAAAATTTCACATTAGCTTGTCTTTTGTTTTGCTGTGTTTATAAATATGAAGAACCAATAATCATCAGATTTGTTTTAAAGGCTCAATTTGAAAGAGGTAAAGTGAATGAACAAATAAAAAAACTGAGAAAAGCGAGCAAGCAAGCAAGCATACATTTGCAGCATTTGTTATACTAGCCTTCTTATTTATTATTTTTCTCTTCATTTTTTCTAATGTGTCCAAGTTAACAGGTGGTTTATTTCCTACTCAAATATGCTTGTCTCCTACCTGCCTCTTTTGAACTGTTATTCTCAAATATATTACAATTCTTTCTGCTAAGCAACCACAAAGCCAGAATATTTTGCCTGCTCCCCACTACTCCAGTCTTCATGTTTTGATTATACTTTCCCGTTTCTTTTCACCTCTCATATTGTGTGTGTGTGTGTGTGTGTGTGTGTGTGTGTGTGTGTGTATTTGGACGTTTTAGATAATATAGCAACTTTGGACACTGAGTCCCCTACCTCCAGAGCTTGTTGATATTTTTGCTTCTTTGCCTATTTGTTTACCAACTTTTCTAAACTATTTTAGTAAAGTCTATTCTCCCCTTGATATACAGCCTCTGATGTCACTATTCAGAGGCTACAGACTTGAGCATAATCACGGTTAATCTGAATCCCTCTTCCCAGCCCCCATGACAGTGGCTTTCCCTGAGCTCTCTTTGGGGGTCTCTTTCCCTGATCTCCCTGTGTACTTTCTGGATTTTATCCCTTTATTGGCATATATCCAGCTCTTAGCATCTACTAAGTGCAATCTTATTTCTCTACTATTCTTAACAATACACTAAGGTATAAACTGATCCACATTTCAAACAATAAAATGTAGACCCCTTTGGATAGATTGTCATGGAGGCCAGTCTTTGAGGCTTGCTCTGACCCCAGCAGGGCTCTTCTTATTTCTGACTCTTTCCCTTATTCTCTCTGATAAATTATTAGCTGGTTTGAAATTTAGCTGTTGTTCTCAAGAAGCTATCAGCCTCCTCTTAATTTCTTATTGCCAAAATATCCATTATTTAAAATTGTATTGTTTGACTAAAACTGGCAGCACTCTTTTTTACATATTTGTCCCAGTAAAGTGAGTCCCCTTAGGGAGAGCTAAAGTGCCATATGTTTTCATGGCCTACCTCTCCCCAGGGTGGAAGCTCTATGTTGCAGCTCCAGAGCTGGAGGCAAGGACAGCAGCCCATTTCTCTCAAAGAAACATATCTGCTCTACAGGCAGAGTGCTAGGTGGGCAATAGCCTCTAATCCTCTTCACCTGCCTCTTTCAATGTAAAATTTCCCTGTAATCAAGCTAGGGTGAACCCAATCATAGCACTGTATTCTCAGCCAGCCTTGTACAGGGTAGAGTTTCTGCCATATGATTAGGGACTAGATTATGGAAATAAAGAGCCCCAGATAACAGCACTTACCTGGAACTGGGTTTCTTTGAACAGAGATGGAGATATGAGAGCAGCCTGCCACTCCTGAAGTGAAGCCATTGCCTTAGACTGGGAGGTGGAGGGAAAGGGAAACTCTGTCTTCATGATTGCGCCCACTTGGAATAGGGCTTCCATCATGCCTAGCTGGGGAAGAGTGAGGGGTGGATCATGGCTCAAATGCCACAGGCTGTCGCTGTTCCTAAAATGATAACCACATTTTCCTTAACAAATGTTTTCTCATATCCTATGTATCCTTAGGACAATTTCCAGAGATAGTAAATTGTTGTGTGTGTATATGCTTGTGTGTGTGTGTTTATATAGAATTTTCAACAATTATGATTGACTCAATAGAAAGAAAGTCTGAAAAGCTCTTTACGCCACCATTCTGGAAGTGCTTCTCTTCAGAGAGTGAACTGTTGACCGAAAATGCTAAAATATAGCAAAACACAGTCCCACCTATAAGAAATGTTATGCATTATTAATTAAATCATTACTTTTATAATTAAAATTTTATCTAATTTTTGTGCTCTGTATTTTTTTCATTTCTGAGTGTTATTTCTTCATATACATTAGCCATGATATAATACCCAATTTATGTGAAATACCATTTTAAGTTCTTTTATAAATTATTGCTGGTGTCAGTTATATTTTTCTTAGCTCTAAATGTAAACCTGATTATCTATACAACTTCTTTTCAGCAGTTTGTTCTGTTCCACTTTTGTTTGACATAGAGAATCTCTTAATTTAATTGTATATATTCACATATTTTAGGTTTTCCTTTAATGAATTACTTCATTGTTTAAGCTTGAAGAGATCTCCTCCTTTGCAGACTTGGAAATGTCATCAGTGATGATTTTACTTTATGTCACTTTGTGTTTAATCTGATTTTTATTTTAAATTTAACTTTCTTTAACCCATTTAATGAATATCTTCATGGGCATGCTGAGGCAAAGGTTCAAGCAAATTTTTATTTTATGAAAAATCAAGCCATTAATGTAGCTTCTTTGAACATTCGTTCCTACTGATTTGAGATGACATCATTTTTTCTACACTAAGGTATCATATATTGTATACAATGGTCTGTTTAGGCTACATTAATTTAATCATTGATACTTAATAATATATTTCAACATTTATTAGGCAAAATTTCTCATATTTTTAATCTTTTATCTATTCTAGCCTACATTTTCCAGATGACATTAGATTCATGCTACAAAGTTGAAATACATTAATTTGTCAAGAATTCATTGTCACACAAAATTCAGATGGGAAGTATTCAAACATGCAGCTATGTAGAGCAAAGCATTTCAGGCAGAAGAAACACCAAATGGGATTAAGGTAAGAGAATGCCTAGAATGTTCCAAGAAGAAAGCAAAAAAGCCAGAATGGCTGGAATAAGGTGAATGAGAGCAGGGAGTGGTGGGAGATGATGTCACAGAATGTCACAGAACGTAATAGTGGCAAGGGAGCCACATCACACAAGGTAGACTTCATTTGCTGAGTGAAGTAGGATGCCAAAGATGGGATGTAATTAGAAGAGAGTAAAACAAAATAATAACAAAGAAAAGAAAGAATTACTAAGCAATGTCCTTTAATAGAATTTTCTGAAAAACCGGTATTTTAACCTAGCAAGGAACAAAGCTATTTCATCTATGATATCACAAATATAGAGGATATGGGAACAGACCGAAGTGGCAAAGGAGTGGTGAATGTTTGTAAAAATTCAACTTTTTCAGTTTTCTCAGTAAAATATGATAGTCATTAGCTAAGAAAGGGTGAGGATATGTTGGAAGTTTGAGAAGAAAAGAGAAAATGTAAAATTATTATTTAAAGGAGTGGAAAAGAGATTGTACTAATACTTATAGGTCATTAATAAAGTGGTTCATTTTCATGCCTTGTCAGTATTTACCCAAAAATTTATCTAGCAGATAAAAGTCCTACCTATCACTTGTAACTATTCTGTACTTTTTGTATTATTGTTTGTTTTTCTGTTTGACCTGATTTTTATAACAGACTTTATATGCCAGAATCAAAAATGTATTTAGTATTTTCCATTTTATATATATTGTATGATCCATTTTTAGGCAGATAATTTTATTACATTAGAATGTTTGAATAAATATTGAAGAAGCCATCTGGGTTGAGACCCCCTTTTTTTTTTATTTTTTTTTTGAGGTAAGGTCTTACTCTTTTATCCAGGCTGGAGAGCAGTGGTGCAAACAGAGTTCATTGTAGCCTTGACCTTCTGGGCTCAAGCTATCCTCCCACCTCAGCCTCCTGAGTAGGTGGAACCACAGGTGCATGCCAGGAGGCCAGACTAATTTTTATTTTTATTTTATTTTTTGTGGAGACATGGTGTCACCGTGTTACCTGGGCTGGTCTCAAACTCCTGGCTCAAGTGATCCTTCCACTTTGGCCTCCCAGAATGCTGGGATTAGAGGCCTGAGTCACAGTATCCATCCTGGGCTGAGGTATTTATATAAATAATATCTTATAAATTTAAAAAAATTTAGTCTCTTCAGGTTTATTTTCTTCGTGAATAAGTACTCATAACTTGTATTTTAGAAAATTATCCGTTCATTTTTAATATATAAAATAATTTAAATAAGCAATAAAAATATTTTATCTCTAGTCCTGATTTGTTTTCCAGTATTATTTTCACTAAACCAAGCATTCTGTAAAATGAAAAGCAAAAACCAAAATACAATGAACAGTGATATAACATTCAAATATTCAATTTTATATGTTGAAAATAGATAATTCAGTGAACACTGCATATACACTTAGGTATTTTTGTCCATTTACAATTTATCCCCAGGAATAAGGCAAACAAATAAAAACTAACCCTGGTTATATTACTAAATAATGACAATATGACCCTTTCATGACAGGATTTTAAGCATTGCCATCAACTAAATTCACTGTGAAGAAGTATTTTTATGATCTTCAAAGCATGAATAATTTAACACATTTTACATTCTATAATACCTGGACAAAATAAGATAAGTTAAATATAGAACTGCCACCTTTAATTCAATTTTGTTGCTTCTATGTATTTAAACTTGACCATTAATGCACTTTTGCTGATTTAATTTCCTATACAATCATACTTAATTGCTTGCCATGTCATATAATGTTCAATAAAGCAAAGTAATGAAGCAAAAAATAGCAAGACCTTTAAGAGAGGTTAAAAGGAAACCTGTATTAGGACAAGAGTGAATAACACCTCCATGCTAATTACCACTGAATGGCTGAAGCTTATAAATAGTGGAAACTCTCATTAATGCTATTAAAAGGTAAGTTTTAATTTTATGTGGTCAGGTAAATAAATGTAACTTGGTAGTCATATTGCCTCTTAATGTTAACTTGTTATATTTATTTGTGTTTTACTCAAAATATTTTTCTCAGTTATGAAAATGGTGTATAACATTGAAAATTACAAGAAGATAAGAATCTGAAAACAGTAAATAGAAATTGTTATTTTGTGTTTGGAAATATTGTAGACACACTATTTTTCTAAAAAATTAGCAAACAAATTCTGTTTGATAATTGTTTCATTTCTTTCTATCTTTTCAACCACCTGTTTCTATTAATTAATATTTTTTCTATCTATCTATCTATCTATCTATCTATCTATCTATCTATCTATCTGTTTTGCTTACTGATTTCCCCTCAGTAGCCCTACTGCTCAGGTTAAAAAAATCATTTGTCATTTTACACATGTAGTGTTTTATACTTTTCTTGGCTGGAACTTTAAATTTCAGTTGACCTTCCAAAGAAGATTTTAAATAAAATATGAGCCTATTATTTACTAAAATATTATATAATGTATACATATTTAGTATAATTAATATATTAAAATATACATTTTCTTCAGTAAAGGGCATTAATCATCAAAAACTTCATTTGGTAAAACTGAGAAACTGTTGAATTACTTCCTGTACTGCACTAGTTTCTACATAAGAAGCTTAATTTGTACTCTTCATTTTCCTTAACAAAAACCTATGATGCCATAAAATTTACATATTTACGAGTTTTTTAAAGAATAATTGAATTAACCTCAACACTTTTAAAATTTGCATCAGCAGGTTCATTAAGCAGAGCCAATCATTCTGTTTTATGTGCTATTTATATCAAAGGTCTCCAGATTTCTTAGAAATCAATTGTTGCCTTTATGAATATATTTAGACTTCTCTCCTAAAATTGTAAAGGTCATATTTTTAAAACAAGATATATTACTTCATTTATTTGTGTATTTATGCACTTAAGCTAATAAATAAATATTGTATATATTTATGGTGTATAATTTGATATATGTATATATTGTGAAATGGCTAAATCATGCTAATTAACATATATGTTACCTCACATATTTTTTGGTGAGAATATAAAATTTACTTTCTTATCATTTTCAAGTATGAAGTATATTGTTATTAACTATAGTCATCATCATTGTAATTAACTGTAGTCAATATATTGTTATTAACATAGTCATGTGCAGTGGATCTCTTGAAGTTTTTTTCTAACAAAAATTTCATATCCCTTCACCAAAATCTCCTTGCCCCAGTGCCCTAAATCCTCAGCATAAGGTAAATACCATTAGACTTTCTGTTTCTATGAGTTCAACTTTTTAAGATTACAAAAATAAATGAGATCTTATTTATATTTCTGAACCTGCCGTATTTCACTGAATATAATGTCCTCCAAGTTCATCCGTTTTTGTCACAAATGAGAGGATTTCCTTATTTCTTAAGGCTGAATGTCACGTCATTTTGTACTTAGACCATATTTTCTTTACCCATCCATCAACAGTCTTTTTAGCTTCTTTACTACTTGGAAGAACATGTCTTCTTACATCTCTGTCATAAAACCAGTACTAACAGGCCAATTCCATTACATTGGAAATACTTATAGTTTATTTTTCTTATCATTTGCCAATGAGATTAATATAATCCCATTTGTCTATTTTTGCCTTTGTTGTCTTTGCTTTTGGGTACATATTCAAAACATCGTTAGCCAGACCAATGACAGAGATTTTCCTCTGTATTTTCTTGTAATAGTTTTTTATAGTTTGAAGTCTTATGTTTAAGTTTTTAATCCATTTCTAGCTGAATTTTGTATATGACATGACATGAGGTCTAAGTTCATTATTCTGCATGTGGATATCAAGTTTTTCCAATTTCATTTATTGAAAATACTGTCATTTACCCATTGTATATTACTGGCATTTTTGCTGAAAAAAAATTGGTCTTAAATGTATGGATTTATTTCTGGGCTCTCTATTCTCCTCCATAGGTCTTTTTGTCCTTTTTATGCCAGTACAATGCTCCTTTGATTACTATATTTTGTAGTTTATTTTAAAATCAAATAGTGTGATGTCTGCAGCATTGTTTTACTTGCTTAATATTGCTTTGATTATTTAGCATCTTGCGTTGTTCAACACAAATTTAGGATTGTTTTACCTATTTATGTGAAAAAATCATTAAAATTTTCATTGGGATTGCATTGAATTTCCAGATTGCTCTGGTAGTATGGGAATTTTAACAATATTGATTCTTCCAATCTATTGCTTTCTCTTTATCTGTCTTTACTAATGTTTTCAGAAGGGGAAGTTATTCTCAGGTTTTTTATTACCTCTTGGAAAATTAAATTCTTACATCTCTGTTATCAAACCAATGCTAAAAGGCCAAGCCTATTACTTTGGAAACAAAGTTTCTTCTTCTTGACATTTGCCATCATTCTGATAATTTCTAATAATGAATCCTAATTTATTTATTTATCCTGATCCTTCTTCTTATTTTCAGGAAATAAAAAGTTCAAAGATAGTCAGGACTTTATCATTTTAGTTGCGTTAATTCTTCACATCTAATCAGAAACTGCTCAACTACAAATTATTGATTTCAGCTTTTCCAGTCTCTATCTTCAATATTCTATCATATTCCATCATTCTAATTCCATCATAGTCCAATATTCCATTATGCTATTACTTCAAGTGAATCAATTTTTTATCTTCATTGAGATTCCCAATCCAACATGCTCAATTCTTCACTTTTTGCCAGGACATTGATGATCTCACTTTATTTCTTTTTATTAATCTTTTCCAGTGGAATATATTTATAGTCATTCTTTTAAATGGACTCAACTGCCTTGGCCTTCTTTCCAGTATACTTACCTCAAAAATCCCTAATCTGTTTTAATCTGTTTTTCACATAAGCAGTTGGATTTTGTAAAGCGAACAAACAACCAAAAAAAACCACAAATAATTTTGACTTAGTTCTCTTTACATTAATAGGCTCTCAACATTACGTGATAATTCAAATATATATTTTTATTTTAAGATTTCTTTTCCCAAAAACTAATTTCAAATTATCTACTCTTATCAAATTTCCAACATAGCTACCCAATCCTACTCCTATTAACTTCACATTGTATTTTCCTTCATAAAAATCTTTTCAACTTTATCCAAGTCCTTTGTCTTTATATTTGCTATAATGTAAAAAAGACTTTGTTTTGCTTCAACTCATCCACTTAATGCTCTAGATCACATTATCTATTGCTTTTTCCAAATCTTTGCCTTTGCATAGATAGATCTCTTTATCATATTTAAAAAATCGTTTGCTGTTTTTCATTAGATTTTTCACATCAGCATAAAAACATGTTCTAATGCCAGAATTTATTAATCTTTTGTATGATGGTATTTTTGATAGTCCAGTGAAGCCCATGGATCTCTTCTGAAAAAAATTAACTTGCATAAAATAAAACCATGGGATTACAGGGGAAACTGATCATACTAACATGAAGTCAGTGGGAGCAAGTGGGAAAGGATGAAACTGGCCTAACTAATGTATGTACAAAGGGAAAGATACAGAAATAATAATAGCTATATGTACACACATGGGTTAGTATATACATAAATATACCTTAGGCCTGTCCTATGGTATATGGTATAACAATTAACACACCCCAAGCTCAGACTTTGTTTTCTAAGTACCATTCTCCAATAAAAGGAATCAGGACTTCTTAAAGAGGTAGCTGATTTTAGTCTGCAGCAGAAAATTATGAGCATAGCATATGAAGCATAGCATAATGCCAGAAAAATACCAGACAATCCCAAATTTAGAGAAACATTATACAGAATATCTGATCAGAAGTACTCCTCCAATCATAAATAATAGAAAACTATGAAAGACTGAAAACTGTTACAGACCAGAGGAAGCTAAGGAAATATGACTAATGTGGCCTGTTGACTTGGATCATGGAACAGAAAAAGAATGTCAGTGTAAAAACTTGAAATCATTATTAAGAATTTAGTTACTAGTAGTGTACTAATGTTTTGTTTTTGTTTTTGTTTGGTTTTGACAATATTACAGTGGTAATGTAAAATGTTGCATTAAGGAAAAATGGTTGAGGGAACCACTAAATTGTTTGTGCATATTTGTATAAAAATAAATTACAGTTGACCTTTGAACAACACAAGTTTGAAATGTGTGGGCCCACTTATATGCAGATTTTTTCCATAAATATATGGGAACCATTTATTGGAGATTTTTAACAATCTGAAAAACTTGAACTGCATAGAATAGAAATATTTTTTAAAATAAGAAAAAATACGTTATGAATGAAAAAATATATATAGCTGCTAGTCTATTTTATCTTTTACTACTATAAATTTATAAAAATCTATTATTAAAAGTTAAAAATATATCAAAACTGATGCACATAATCACAGATCATATATAGCTCCATTTGCAGTAGAGAGAAATGTAAAAAAAAATTAAGATGCCGTATTAAATTATAACTACATAAAATTTCCTGAATTGCATACTGTACTACTGTAATAATTTTGCAGCTACCTCCCGTTGTTATTGAGGTGAGCTCGAGTGTTGCAAGTATCCGCTTAAAACGCCATGTGACTCTAATCATCTCCATGTGAGCAGTTCATCTCTCCAGTAAATTGCGTATCACAGTGAAAAATGATCTCTCGTGGTTTTTGTGTGTCTTTCATCATGTTTGGCGCAATACCATAAACCTTGAATAACAGCATGGGACCCGTACAAAGTGCCACTAATGATGCTGGAAGTGCTCCCAAAAAGCATAGAAAAGCCATGACATAAGAAAAAGTTGAATTGCTGGATATGTTCCATAGACTGAGGTCTGCAGCTATGATTGCAGTGATTACAGAGGATTCATCACGTAAACAGATGATATAGACTTACAGTATCAATAAATACAGTATAGTACTGTAAACATATTTTCTCTTTCTTATGATTTTCTTAATAACATTTTCTTTTCTCTAGCTTATTTTGTCATAAGTGTATGGTATGTAATACATACACCAGAAAAAATGTGTGTTAATTGACTGTTTATGTTATTGTAAGGCTTCTGGTGAACAGTAGGCTATTAGTACTTGGCTTTTGGGGTAGTCAAAAGTTATAGTTGAATTTTCAGCTATGCAGGGGCTATGTTACCCTAACCTCAGAATCAACTGTATTTCTAAGTTAAAATATTATTTAAATAATATTAAAATATTATTTAAAATATTATTAATAACAAAGTTTAGATATTGTAATGCATGCACTTTATTAAGTAATAATTAGTGGCATGATTTGTAACAATAATTTCTGAGTAAAAATGAGTGTAAATAATATCTGGGGTAACTATTACATTATTTGAAAATGACTGTGATTTCTACTGCTGTTGAAATGACAGATATGGCTATATTCCTTAAAAGTTTTTCTCTATATCAATAATTGAAATAAATGTTAAATTTAATTAGAAATTAGTGAAAATTAGCATGAAAATTTTCCCTCATTCAATTCCATAAACCTTGTGAATTCTACTCACAAACCTTATATTAAGAATTTCACTCAAGCATTTTCCAACTTTAAAAATAAAGCATCGAACATCATCTCTATTTCTCACTTTCTTATTTCATCAACATGTCTTAAAAGAAATTATTTACTCTGGGTCTGCATCTCAGTTACAATTAAGAATTCAAACACTGATTTTTATCTGAAATTGTTTTTGTCAAGGTTAATAACAAACTTTATATGCCTAACTCACTTGTCATTTCTTTATGCTCATCTAATTCAAATTATCCCCAGCTTTTTACCTAATTTACCATTCTGCCTTCCAAAGAGTTTATCCTATTAAAGCTTCCCTGATACCCCACTTTCCCAGCTCTCTTCTTACCACATTGATGGCTCACCCCAAATTATCTTGCTCCTTCTCAGGTTTTTGGTTTTCTGGTCTCTTAACTTACAAAACTGGAGACCACAGGCATGTAAGCATTTTGTGTCTACATCGTTCACTGTAACATGAGCAGCAAAATTCTGGAGATCAATAAATATTTATTATATAAAATGGTGTCTCATTAAAATGGATAAAAGCCTAATCTGTTAATCTGCAAAACTCTTGCTCTGTAAAATGCAATGTTGTTGCTTGAAAAATCATATACTTTAGACTGCTAGTATTGAGTATGCTGACATTAGGAAGTGTAGTGAATAGTTTCTAACCATTGATATGCAGTGCCCTAATTTCTCTCAGTAAAAAATTATATTATTATTTTTTAAAGCTTCCAGTGCTGACTTTATGCCTAGAGGAGTGTCTGGAGTATAGCCGCTGTTCAATGTTTTGTTGAAGTAATAAATTAATGCATGACCAGGCACTCTCTGTGCCTACTTCATGTTCTCAGATTATAGAATCATGAGATCTGAAGTGAGAGTTTAAGAAAGAGAGAAGGGAAGAACTGACATGATCTATGTTCTAAGGCAGTACTTTTTGCCCAAAACTGAATCATCAAGCCCATTATTAGTCTGCATAATTTAAAAGTGCTATGGGCATTTTTAAAAATTTTACTAAATTAATTTTAGTCCAATGAAATGCATTGTGTGTCAGTGCTTCTCAGGTGACATTTAATAAACTGTATTAATATTTTGTTAAATAAATTTTATTTTAATAACCTCAAGGAGAGAATGCGTGTAACCGTTTTGAAAGACCTTCATTGGCTTCAAGGGATGAATTGATACAGAAGAGTCTATTCCCCCTATCTGACAAAATAATAATGTAAATATCACCTAAATATGTCAGAAATAAATTGCCTTTAAGATTATACTCACAAATAACTTTCAACACCCTTTTAAAAAATTGCTTTAGGTATCTTAATGTATTTTCTAGAATGTCACAAGATGCAATTAAATGCTTCCACTTAATAACTTTGTTCATTGGACAACAGTGGGTACCTAGAGTATATTATAAAAATGTTTACCAAGGTCTATCAAGTTAAGGAATTTAGCAAGTAAAACTAGAGACAAAAATTGTTTGCTCCTATCTGTCTCTATGTCTCATCAAATCATGTCTGATTATGGCTAGATTCCCTAGTATTTAACTATTATTGAATGCAGTAATGAAAGAAGCCATGGAGATACTTAATTATCCACACAGTGGGTGTCCAATGGAGAAGCTTCTTTTTAACCTTTTCCTCCGTGATAAGATAATTACTGTCTGGTGCAATTGCTACTAATATAAATATTCACTGATTGCAAACTGTGGCCTAAAGGCTGCTACTGATAAAAGCTTCTCTGTGACCCTGTGGGGGTGCCGTTGCTCATTTCTAAACAAATAAGGCCTCATCAACCAAAGAACCATCAGTGTTTCCATATCCAGAAAATTTAAATAAAATTAGAAGATAATTTCTGGCAAAGCGTTATAAATCCATTTTAGTAAATCAAATATTCAGTAATGTTTCTTACTTTTTATTTAAAATAGAGCCAGATAATCATCCATGAGAATATGAATTAGCGTTAGGATGATTATCGTGTTATGTTTTCATAAATTATTGTGAAAATGTAATGCAGATTCTTTTCTCCAGGCAGTATTTCTAACCATCTATATTTTATAAGGGGATATTTCATTGCTCAGAGTAGTGGAATCAATTTGTGTTTTCTTAATGTACTAAATACTCAACAAAATATCAATGACAAATACTGACAGATAGTACTTGTATGCTTCATCAATTCAGTGCTGAGAAATGGTAAAGATTTTGACCCTAAGAGATTTCACGATTCTTTTGAATCAACAGAGATAAAATTTTGTCCAACTTGGTTTGCATACAGTACACTAATACCCTGCTCGAATTCCTTAAACATTGGTAGTTCATATATTTCTGGACTTATACTCTTTTGTGAATCAGAATATGCAATTAAAACTCCCATTATTAATCCATATTGGATAACAAATTGTGTACTATAATGGAGCTGAGTTGATGAGAAGGAATATTTTAAAAGAAACATGTTTTGTTCTCTGACTTCTTGGTATAGAATACACATTCCAAATAAATCATCATTGTTTTTTATATTCATGAGTAATCAGACACAAAATTGAATTCCAGTGTAATTCCCCTGTCGGGAAAAGGAAATAGAAACTTACTAAGGTGTAAGTATGTAACAACCTTAAAATTACCCACCTCTCAAATCCTCCTAGTGTGCCTTCTGCAACTGTTATTCCAAATTTAGCAAACTCAGTGCAATCTCAACATTTCCCCATACCTCTACTTACTGAAATTAAAATCTGGTCCTATTCTAAGGGCACCCTTCCAGTAAGTTGTGAGAAAGAGAGTTTTGTTTTGTTTTCTCACAATTTTATGTGGAGAGAGATTTGGTCCATTATTGCATTCGAAATGTACATTTTTATGGCAAACATTCTAAACTTTAACCTACCTAATAAATGCAGTAGTATTTGTCATTATTATACTTAACATTAGCATACTGATTAATAATGCTGATTAGACTTTCTTCATTTCTGATGCCTTTCAATGCAAAACACCAGCACTCTTTCGGCTTCTTTTTGCAGGCTCTTTTACAATCTTATTAAATATTGGTGTTTTTCAAGGCTCAGGTGAAGAACTTCTCACTTCTTAATCTATTTTTTGTCCCTTGGTGACCTCATTCAATTACCACCTCTATGTGAAATTAGTTTGATACGATTTCCAGACTGACATATCCAACTCATTACATCATATCTTTACTGTAATTTCTCAAGGTCACCTCACCTTCAAATCATCATGCAAATATTGAAATACTGATCAATGTCTACTACTCACAGTTATTCTCAAATATTGAGAAAAATTTTCAAACAGACCAAAAGATTGTTGGATGTCTTTAATGAAAAATCAGATACTTTCTGGCATATCTATCTGTGAATTCTGTGAATTTTATGGCATTTTATTGCATTTCCTTGTCTTTGAGCTATTGACAACTCTCTAAGTAATAGATGACTGGGAGCAATTAACATTATTTTTATCCATAGTCATTAATAAATTTTGTCTGGTAGAAACTCAGTTGATTTCCATTCCTTACTATGAAATAAACCACTTTTACATCCATTGAACAAATTCATTTCAGCATTCCATTCCTGATTGCCTATATATTTGTTATGCACCTTTAAGCTACAGGTAGTTGTAACTTCTTCAAAGTTCTCCTAATACCTACAATAAAATAAACCAGCTTGTAATATTAAAAGCTTTGGCATGTGTTTCTTTTAAATTTGTTTGAAAAATCATGATTATACCTTTCAAATAACATTCTTAATAAAAGTAACAATTATTTGATTGTGCAAAATAGAAATAAAGTCTTGACACATTATTCCTCACCTACGTCACCAATTCTAAACAAATCCTGTTGTTTTCACTTCTTTAATATTTCTATTATTTTAGTGACATCGACTGCCCATTATCATTGTCTTAGTCAAAATTATCATAATCTCTCTCAAGGACTATTGCAACAGGTATCTCACATCTATTTCTTCCCTCTTTTAAATTACTTTACATACTGTATACAGAAAATCATTTTAAAATCCATTAATATCAATTGTACACCTTTAACAGTTCAAAAATCTTTGTAAAGTAAAAACCAAAATATTGAAGATTTGTCATGTTCTCCATCTCACCTATCTCTAAGATTTCTTCTCTCAACATGCCTCACACACTTCTTTACATTTACCTTATTTTAGTTTGAAATTGTCATAAACCTTCATAATGCCATATTTTTGAAAAATGTGATTCCTACTGCTGGGAATGTGTTTATCATAGACGCCTCTGTCACAGGATCTTTTGGGTGTCACTTCACCAGCCAGAAACTCCTGTGGCTGGCGGCACCTCTGCTTGAGTTTTACTCGTGCCTGCTGGGCTCATTTCACCCACTCAGCCCAGCAGGCTGCACTTGGCTCGTGCTACTGGCCTAGATCCCATGCCTGCTGAGGGCAAGCCAGGCTCAGAGGGGTGAGGGGTGTGTGAGCAAGTGAGTGCAGGGGCCAGCCACTGCACACAGCCGGGCGTGCTGGCTGCTGTGGTGGGGCGGGCAGCTCCAGGTGTTGGCACAGGCATTGGCTCCTTGTGAGGCTACAGCTGGACCAGTAGCTGGACCAAGCATACCACAAGCAGCTTTCATTGTGGGTGGCAGCATTTGGACGAAGAGAATGTGGTGGTTCCCGAGAAAGAGATACCAGCAACCCTGGAGCCCCAAGGTGGGGGGTGCTCTACAGCTCTCTTGTTCCCATTACCCACAGCCCAGTGAATGGCGGAGAGCCTGTTTCAGCTCGTTTAGTGCTGCCACTTCCCACCAGCCCTTGGCGCTCGGGCTGGCCTAGCCCTGTCGCCACTTTCCATCACATGGGGTGGCCGCCTGATTACTGGCAGAGGACGGGAGGGTGATAGAGGTACAGGTCTGGGCCCCCAGAAGTGTCACTGCTCTTCACTCCTGCGGTCCAATAAACAGGAGCATGGCATCACTCCCAGCAGCGAACCTGCCAAGAACGTGTTACACTCCTTTTTACATTCGCCATTCATCTGGGTCCTGAGTTCTTGTCCCTCCCAGGAAGAATGAGGTTACCCGGACAATTGAAGAGTGAGCAAGGTGGAGGAGTTTTATTGAATGGCAGAACAGCTGTCAGCAGAAGTGAGTAGATTCTATCCATAGGCAGGCAGCCCCGATAACGTGGCTCAGTCCAGGGTTTTCATGGGCTCAGAATGGAAGAAGTGTGTGCTGACTGGTCCATGGGCAAGTGGAAGTACATGCTGATTGATCCATAGGCAGGCCTGGAAAACATAAAGACATAAAGGCTGGCTGAAAGACATAAAGGCTGGCTGAAAGACATAAAGGACGTTCTCACTCCTGGTGGTGGATTCCATCTGGAAGAGGCAGCCTGATTTTCAGGCTTAAGGCTGTCTCCAGCCTGAAGGGGGTCTTCCTGGGAACCCACCCCTGTCTGCCTAGAAATTGGCCTGCCTCCTGCCACCATCATTTCTCCAACTCGTTCTTTCCTACTCATCATACAATATATCTTAGAGATTTTTAGTAATTCTGTCAATCATATGTTTTCTTTGTCTTTTTGAATGAAAAATACATTTCTGTAGCTGGTAGAAAATTCCAATTATTAATCACACATATAAATATGTAAATTTATTTGTCTTTAACTCGTTTTACTTAGGCCACAAGTGATCATTTCTGCTAAGTAACAGAAAATAGATAATCTTCCCATTTGTAGTAATTTTCTAGTTTTAGAATTAATCATTTAAAGTCATCACCTGAAGTCAATATGAGCTTTAAATTAATTAATTTCAAAATTATTATTTCCCTTTCTTCTCTCCCTCCTTTTTCTCTATGGATATTATAAGTTTTTGGATATGGAGAGGGGAGAGGAAAGAAATTATATAGCATCCTAGTATGTATATAGGGCACACTGAACATAATTATATAGTAGTTCCTAGCTCACCTTGGGCATTTGAGCATTTATTATTTCCCAGCACCAAAGGTGAGGTTACTGGTCCAAATAAAATCACTGATTATGATGGTCAAGTGCTGTTCATCTTTCTTGCTCCCTGGGTTACTGTGTTCTTCATCAATTATCTCAGTATTTTTAATGTTCCTTTTCTGATATGAGTCGTAAGTTATGTAATATACTACTTTCTCTGAACCTTAATAGCCAAACAGCAGTTCTTTTGCTCAAAGATCTCCAAATGTGTCTCAGGTTTCTGTAATATTTCCCCTTGCATGCCCACTTGCATGTATGTGCACACACCACCGCATCCGCCACCAACACACACAGATACTCAGCTAGGTTTAGGAACAACAGAAGGGGACAGATATGAGGGCTTTTTCTCAAACATCCTCTGCTCTATAAATTCTAATTATGTTTCTACCAATATGCCTCAGCTTCTTTGTGTTTTCTTAATGTGTACCTTAAAGTTCTAAAGACAGTTAAAGCAAACTGCCTTTGACATTTTTATTTAATACTTAGAGGCTGGGTATTTTCAGCTGGGTAATTAAATTTATACTTATCTCTTCTTGAATAAATATAAAGTATTATAGTGTGGATGTGTCACTTAGAATCTAAGGCTGAATATGCATTCACTCTCTGAGATTTTTAGTTTAGTATTTTCATTTGCCTATAGATTAAATATTCAGCTATATGAATATAACTTATATATTATACTTCTCCAGTACTGCACTCTTTCATCTGACTTTAAAGTAATACATTCTATTTCTGGTTCATCCAGTTCCACATGCACAATTTCAACAATGTAGGTCACCAATAAAATATTAAGTAAGAATTAAGGTGTATATGTGTGTGTATGTGCTTGTGCTTAATTCTGAATAGAAACTTCTATATTCCTTAAATTTTAACTATGAAAATAGTATTGTCAGTAAGAAACAAAATGTTATTTTGAATACAATTAAAATATTTTCTCTAAAATAAATGTAAAAATCAACTTAATTGCTTTAGATAAAATTTTATTGGACTTTAAATTTTCCCATTCTATTGCATATTTTAATGTCAAGGAATTATTATATGAAACTTAAATGCAAAGCTCTGTATTTAAAATAATATCTTTATTCTTGGAAAATTATTACTGGATTTATTTTGCTCTCAGAATATTTAATTCTATTTTCTTTAAACCTTTGTTCAAAATACTATAGAGAAAAAAATTAAAAATCTAATGAAATATATCTGATATGGACTGAATTTTGTCCCCTGTAAGAGTCATATGTTGAAGCTCTATACCCTAATGTTACTGTATTCAGAAATAGAGCCATTAAGGTTAAATGCGCCATAAAGATGGAGCTCTAATCCAACAGAACTGGTATCTTCATAAGAAAACCCGACACCAGGAGTTCGTGAGCACAGAGAAAAGGCTGTGTGGGAACACAAGAAGGCAGCCATGTTCAAGACAGGAAGAGAGGCTTCACTAGAAGCCAACCCTGCCAGCACCTTGATCTTAAGATATCCAATCTCTGTAATAGAATGATTTATATTTCTTTGGGTGTATACCCATAATGGGATTGCTGGGTTGAATGGTATTTCTATCCTTAGGTCTTTGAGGAATCACCACACTGTCTTCCACAATGAAATAATTTACATTCCCACCAACAGTATAAGCATTCCTTTTTCTCCACAAGCCTCACCAGCATCTGTTATTTTTTGACTTTTTAATAATAACCATTCTGACTGGTGTGAGATGGTATTTCACTGGGGTTTTGATTTGCATTTCTATAATGATCAGTGATGTTGAACCTTTCTTCATATGATTGTTGGCTGTATTCCATTATAAAGACACATGCACATGTATGTTTATTGCAGCAATATTCATAATAGCAAAGACATGAAATCAACCTAAATACCCATCAATGATTGACTGGATAAATAAAATGTAGTACATATATACCATGGAATACTATGCAGCATAAAAAAGAATGAGATCATATCCTTTGCAGGGACATGATGGAGTTGAAGGCCATTATTCTTAGGAAACTAACACAGGAACAGAAAACCAAATACTGCATATTCTTAGTTGTAAGTGGGAGCTAAATTATGAGAACACATGGACATAGAGAGGAACAACACACACTGGGGACTTTTGGAGGTTGGAGGTTGGGAGGAGGCAGAGGATCAGAAAAAATAATAATGGATATAAGGCTTAATACCTGGGTGATTAAATAATCTGTACAACAAACCCCCATAATACAAGTTTACCTATATTACAAACCCGCACATGTATGCTGAATTTAAAATTAAAATTAAAAAAGATACCCAGGCTCCATAACTCTAAGATAATAGATTTCCTTTGTTTAAACTGCTCAGTTTGTGACATTTTATTATGGCAACCCAAGCAGAGTAACACATCATTGTATAAAAGGGTACTGGAAAGAGAAAACTTTGAAGTATCAATAAAATATGAAGTAATTTAATCTTTAAAATTCTAATAATGTATACCCTTGTCCCAACTTAGCACTAGAAATTTTGGAGTTCAAGATAGTAAACAAACTAATAGTAATATTATTATAAAAGTAAGAATAAGAATATGTTCTCATTTTCTAATTCATATTATATATTTACTAATAATAAGAAATTAATGAGTTTCTGCTTAATTTAGTTTCATATACTAAAGGTATTTTTAGAAACTAATTTATTTGAGATATGTTCAAATTAGAATGTAATTCTCAATTTTCATGTCTACAAGAACTTTAAAAACATTAAAAGAGAAACAAAAAAAAAAAAGAAAAAAAATCTGCCACTAGATTATTGAACTCAACATAACAGAGAGGTCTTATAAAATTCAGAATATAGTCTTTACCTTTTTGGTGGCCCTGAAACATACCTGACATAACTGGTTGTACTATAGCTCAGAAGTGTTGGCTAAAAATCAATTTTAACTAGGTCTTAGTTATCTTATTCAGAGCGGCTAAAGTCAATTGCACTTTTTCATCAAAGGAACATGTCTTAATGGAAGAAAAACCAGAGTGTCATCTCAGTCCCTAGCCCTTCTTTCCACCTTTTTTTTCCTCTTAAAACAACTTTTTTCTCATTATCTCAATATTGACTCCATAGATTGGTTATGTTTGTGATAAAATTGAACAACTTCAGTTTCTCATCTAATTAACTTTTTCCCCTCTTGAGTCTAACATACAAACTTAATATCTGCCCTCCTTCCTGGAAAAACAAACTCCAAACAAGGATATTTATATGGTATTTCATGTTAGAAGAATAGAAGAACAGGATAAAAGATTAAATGATGTATTCTATGGGCAAGCATGAAGAAAATATGGTTTATGTTTTCACAAAAATGCCCTATCATTAACAAAACACAAGATGTCAAAAATGTCCTTATTTAAAACCAACTAATTATGGAGTTTAATAACATATGCAAAAAAGAGAAATCTTCACAGCAACACCAAAGTTAGTGTTTGATTGAATAACTGGAGACTATAGAAGAGCCAAATTGACACAACGAAAAGATAACCACATTTCAGTTTATATTATGGTTTACCAAATGGATGAAATAATGTTCTAACCATGACATCATTGCTTTGCAACCAAGAAGTAATTCAATTCCAATCAGGATCAAACTTTCAATATTTGAAGTAAAGGAAATGTACTTATTTCCAGATTTGTCATCACTTATCTGGGTCTTGATATAACAGATTAGTAAAGATTCTTTGTTTTATTGGGAAAGGCATTAACCAAGTGATGGCAGTGCTGGAGGAAGAAGCCAAAGCTACTAGAGGAGCATCAACATCACTGGTGTTGCCATTCTTCTTACACAGGGGAACACCATCTCCATGTGTCTGCCTGCCATGGCAAACACACAGCAAAGTCCACTGAACTTTGGATTTAATCAATTGTAAACATCCTAATATCAGTACAGCATGACTAGAACAACCTAATTATATCAGAAGATGTAAACTGTGCATCAAAAGACTCCACAATGGTGTCCAACAAACATGGATATCCTATTATACAGACATTTTCAATAAGGTTGAGATGGACAAAGTCGTGGTGGCCAAAGTAATGATGGAGAATAAACAGAAAGTAATCCAGTTTTTCTATCTAGTGACTAAATCTTAAGGAAAAATTGAGTACAAACACTTGACCTAAAGAGTGGCTTACCATTAAGTTAAAAAATTTTAAAAAAAAATCTCTGCTACTAGATTACTGAACTCATCATAACAGAGAAGTCTTATAAAATCCAGAATACAGCCTCTTACTTTTTTAGTGGCCATGAAACATGCATTGAAGGGGTGATTTTAACTTCAATTTACATCAGCTAAGGTAATAATTTATTCTGGAAGCCACATATTGCTGTTGTGTTTATTAATGTATGAAATATGCTGATATCTATTTGCCCTATTATTTGATAATTTAAGAGTAGGGATAATGGTACATAGTAGTTTCAGTATGAAAAATATTTCACCAATATCAATAATCTTCATGCTGATACCTAAAGCTACTAATTTTGTTTTATATTCTATGATAAGGAGAATTAGAGAGAGCAGGTTATTCATAAATTTTAATAACAATACCTTATTATTGTAGAAGTTTCCAAACTTACTGTTACCAACATTCTTCATATTTCAGTAATTTTTTCACTATGCCTCCAGGCGAAAAGAAATACCTGGAGTCCTGCTTATTAAGGAGTTGGGTTCATACTACTTAATGTATATTTGTGCTTTAACAACTCAGTAATTATTTGTTAAAAAATGCATGAATTTAAAGAAAAAATATTGTTAAATATTGTTAAATAATCTCAATTACTTAGTAATTTTGAGAGACAGGACTAGCTGGATTTCCTAGGCCGACTAAGAATCCCTAAGCCTAGCTGGGAAGGTGACCGCATCCATCTTTAAACACAGGGCTTGCAACTTAGCTCACACCTAACAAATCAGGTAGTAAAGAGAGCTCACTAAATGCTAATTAGGCAAAAACAGGAGGTAAAGAAATAGCCAATCATCTATTGCCTGAGAGCACAGCTGGAGGGACAACAATTGGGATATAAACCCACGCATTCGAGCCAGCAATGGTTACCCTCTTGGAGTCCCCTCCCTTAGTATGGGAGCTCGGTTTTCATTCTATTAAATCTTGCAACTGCACACTCTTCTGGTCCGTGTTTGTTATGGCTTGAGCTGAGCTTTTGGTCGCTATCCACCACTGCCATTTGCCGCTGTCACAGACCCGCCTCTGACTTCCATCCCTCTGGATCCGGCGGGGTGTCCACTGTGCTCCTGATCTAGTGAGGCGCCCATTGCCGCTCCTGATCGGGCTAAAGGCTTGCCATTGTTCCTGCATGGCTAAGTGCCCGGGTTCATCCTAATCAAACTGAACACTAGTCACTGGGTTCCACGGTTCTCTTCCGTGACCCACGGCTTCTAATAGAGCTATAACACTCACTGCATGGCCCAAGATTCCATTCCTTGGAATCCGTGAGGCCAAGAACCCCAGGTCAGAGAACACGAGGCTTACCACCATCTTGGAAGTGCCCGCCGCCATTTTGGAAGCGACCCACCACCATCTTGGGAGCTCTGGGAGCAAGGACACCCCCCGCCCGGCCCCTGGAAACAATTTGATGTATTGTTGGAAGTGGACACTGTTAGTACTCAGACTGGACAGTAAACCCTCATCTCTCTTTCCACATTAGCTTTCACATAGTTCTTGCTTTTTATCACAAAAATTGCTAAAAACCCAATTTCACAAAGATATGAATGACATTGGGAAAAAAATGTAGCACTAACATGGAATCTGAACTACCTTGAGCAAATATTTCACAAGCTTTCCTACAGATGTTAAGCATTTCCATGTTCCCCAGGAGCATTTATTATATCATGCTGTGCCCCTGTGACTATGCTGAAGTACCCCGGGGTGCTTTGGTACACGTACTGAGACCCGACGTCTTATTAAGTTGTCAGTTTCTGTTTGTAAGTGTACATTCTTGTGATTTTATAAGCCAATTTGAAAACTATAAATCTTATTTCTCTGAAACTTAGTATCCCTCTACTGAGGGAAGATACTCTATTCAAACACAGTAGATATGTATACAATATTTTTTAATTTGTAGATAAGAATAACTGGCATATCTTCTACAATGACAGTCTCATCATGACAACTCTTAATCTTTTTGCATACAACGTATATACATTTTACTCCATTACCATGCAATCATGAATACCATGCATTCATCAATACCATTTTTAATTGCTCACTCATGTTACAGTTCGTTTTCCAGTGAGTGATTATCTGGTAAATCTACAGGTTATTTAAGTTAGTCTGTAAATGCTTCTACTACAAATGAAAGAACTACAGAAGATCTGATAATCATCTGTATAGGAAAATTCTTATACACAGAGATCAAGTATGTTTATGTTACTGACACTTAAAAAATGATTGCAAACCTTTTACAATTGGACACTTTTTTATTTCAATATACTAGTATTGAATATCTAGTAAATATAAGAGAATTTTATAGTCTTTGGATGAAATGGCAAGAAACAAGTTTTTTTCCTGAATATCATAAAACTTAATTCAAATTCACACATAAACATAAATCAAATGGAAATATTCAATGTTTAAAAGAGTCTTTACAAGCAATGCAAAACGGTAATGTTACTGAGAAGTCAATGAACCTCAGCACTCCGACAATCTTAGAACCTAAGCGGTCTGTTTTCTTCCTGAAAAATTACAGGTCAAGGTCATATGTCAAGGCTTGCTTGAAAGAGAAATTTTACTCACTGAGTCTATGCAAGAAGAATCACTTTAAAAATCTTGTTATAATAGTATGTTTTAAAAGAAGATATATTTTAATTATCATAGAACTCGAATTTATAAGGGTTTGATGAATGGTTCCTAAATTCATCTGGATTTTCAACCTTCCTTAAATCTTAAAATGAATCACTAAACAACTACTTGCGTGACAGTTGTCCCAGTGGCTTTGGACTGACTCCATTCTCCCCCCACTTTTTTCTTTTTTTTTTTGCTTGTAGTTCCCAAAAATTACTGTAGAATGTGTTGAAAATGCAATATCTGAGATAGGAGATAGGGAGGTACTGGCTAGAACAGCCCAGGCTCTGTTCCAGTCCTCTTTCCCCCAAAAGAGAATGACATTCAAAGTTTTAGCCCAGCATATCTCATTGTCCAAGTGTATAAAACCCAGGGGTTGAAGGGGAGACTGTTTTCCAGGGCCCTCAGCTGTGGTACAAGTTGGGCATGCGTAGTTTAGACTCCATCTGCCCTGGACTAGCATTCTTGAGCTTTGCAGGACCATTTCACAATGAAATCTAGGCTTTTTCCTTGCTGCCTATCTGTAAGTAATAAACCCATTTCATGTAACTTGTGTGTGGGTGTCCTGTTGTACCAGACTCAGGCTAGCTGCTAACCAGTGCACAGTGAACCTCTTCACATTACTATTCTTCTTGCCATAAGTAACTGTTCAATGATTCATAACATTACCAAGGCATCTAATTTCAGCATCTTTCTCTCATTCATATAATGAGACTTTTGTTCCCATTGAATTGGTAAAATTTAGACCACTGTGCAAGAATTATCTTATGTTTCTATTACCACATGAATGTTACTTGCATCTTTATTGTCCTTGACCATGTCCTTTACTTCTCTCCTAATCAATGTAATACATTTGGAAGGTGAATACTATATTAGAAGACATTTAAAGCATAGCATACAAGAATTAAGTTGCCAGAATGAGAATATCCTGGCATTAAATTCCAGATTCTTAATTAGTGAAGATTTACTTATGGAAATCACTTAACATTTCCATCTCCAAAAAGATTTCATTATAATAATATTTATCTCATAGTTATTTAGAAGCTATTAAAATAAGTGCAAAGTGTTTGGCAATTAATAAGTGCCACGGTGTACAACCTGTACTATTTATTTCTTCTTGTCAGATTTCCACAAGCAAATTGGCACACTGGAAAGAGTACCACCATTTTGTATTTTCAGCCATTCTTGGCATTAAGTCTTTTTAATTGAACAGATGTGCATATGCACGCCTTTCTTCAAATTTAAGCTCCCTTCTACAAAAAAAACAGTTTTGTTTCTTCTCTATCAACCTTCTAAACAGAGGAGGCTACACTTGGTGTTTCTAAATCTCTACCTCCTAAGTTGAATTAAATACAGCCTCTGCCTTAACTGTCTTTTACCTGGCAGCTGTGACTTGTTCAGCTCAATATGGTCCTATCAATTTCCAAATTGAGAAGATGCTTTAATTTTCATTCTAATGTTTTTAGCCCAGAAACCACATTTTGTGACTGGAGTGTTTGCCAATCCTTTTAACATTTTTCTTTCCTTCCCTTCTATGGAAAGAAAAAGTTCTTCCTTCAAAATTTTCTTCCCATAATTCTACTTGGCTTTTCCATAGGAGCCATTTCGCATAAATATGAGGATATCACTTATATTTGAGCTCCTATTCTCTTTTCCTCCTCCTACCACACAACTAAAGTATATTGTACATATTTTATTGTATTTTGGCTACTTATCTATATTTTCTACAATGGAATTTGAGGAGAAGTTACTTGCAATACATTCAGCCCTGGTTTTCAAAACTTCCCATGCATGCTTCTCCATAATCTTTCACTTCCAATTAGCTGGGTATACTAAAGAAAAGAAGAATCAAAATGTGGAAGAAACCAGGGTTTATCAATAACTGCATGAAGAAAAACATACCTGAAAACCTTGTCAGTGTTGTTAAATAAATAAGAAATAAATTTATCTTATTTTAAGCAGCTTACACTTGGGTTACATGTGATGCTGGAGCCTAGCCTGCCTTTGCTAAAGAATGATCAACCTCCTAGGCTCTCCACGTCTGCCACCTTCCCACCTTACACTCAGCTAAGCTCACATTAATCTTCTAACATGGTCATGACTCACATATTCCAAATGTCAGACAACTCATTTACAGTTTCTGGAAAACATTAAGCTTTGTTTTGCCTCAGCATATTTCAGTATGATCTTTTCAAATATTTCAGAATTTTTCTAGGTAATTTTGTTATTGATTTCCAGCTTAAAACTCTTATAGTTTGAAAACATACTTTGTATACTTTTTGCTCTTTTAAATTTGTTAAGGTTTTTTTTAGTAACTCAGAATATAATCTATATTGGTTCAATTCCATGTGCATTTGAGAAGAATATATATTCTTTTCCTGTTGAGTGGACTGTCCTAAAATACCATTTAGGTTAATTTGGCTGATGGTTTTCATTTGGGTCACCTTTACTGAACTTAAGCCAATTTGTTCTATTGGTTACTGAGAGAGGCAGGTTGGGGTTCCCACTCTAATTGTTGATTTGTCTATTTCTTCTTTAAGATCTATCAATTATTACCTCAAGTATTGCCTGAAACCCCCTTGTTAGACACATACAATTAAGATTCTTACATCTTGGAGAATTTACACCTTTATATTATGCAATGCCAATCTTTATTCCCTCCTTGTTATGAAGTCTACTTTTGCTGAAATAAATATAGCTATTCCAGCTTTTGTTTGATTAGTATTTATATTGTACATTTTTCTCCATCCTATTACCTTAACCTATGTTTTTTTTAAAAAATTAAGTTTCTTGTAGACAGCATATGTTTTCTTCTAATCTTTTAAAATGAAATCTGGCAATCTGGTATTAAATGTCTTATTTAATTTTGTGAAGAATGTAAATGGTAATTTAATGGGAATAGCTACTTTAAAATTAATATGGAACCAAAGAAGAGCCCATATAGCCAAATCTATCCTGAGCAAAAAAACAAAGCTGGCAGCATTATGCTACCCGACTTCATACTGTACTGCAAGGCTAAAGTAACCAAAACAGCATGGTACTGGTACAAAAACAGACACACAGACCAATGAAACAGAATAGAGAACTCAGAAATAAGACTGCACATCTGTTAATATAACCATCTGATCTTTGACAAACCTGGCAAAAACAAACAATGGGGAAAGGATTCTCTATTTAATAAATAGTCCTGGGAGAACTAGCCAGCCATATGCAGAAAACTGAAATTTGACCCCTTCCATACACCATACAAAAATTAACTCAAGATGTATTAAAGACTTAAATGTAAAACCCCAAACTATAAAATCCCCAGAAGAAAATCTAGCCAATACCATTCAGGACATATGCATGGGCAAAGATTTCATGACAAAAACATCAAAAACAATTGCAACAATAGCAAAAATTGACATATGGGATCTAATTAAACTAAGGAGCTTCTGCACAGCAAAAGAAACTATTATCAGAGTCAACAGACAACCTACAGAATGGGAGAAAATTTTTGTAATCTATCCATCTGACAAAGGTCTAATATCCAAAAACTACAAGGAACTTAAACAAATTTATAATAAAAAACAATCCCATTAAAAAGTGGGCAGAGGACATGAACAAACACTTCTCAAAAGAAGACATTCATGTGACCAACAAACATATGAAAAAAAGCTCAACATCACCGGCCATTAGAGAAATGAAGATCAAAACCACAATGAGGTACCATCTCATGCCAGTCAGAATGAAGATTATTAAAAAGTCAAGAAACAACAGATACTGGTGAGGCTGTGGAGAAATAGGAACACTTTTACACTGTTGGTGGGAATGTAAGTTAGTGCAACCATTGTGGAAGACAGTGTGGTGATTCCTCAAAGACCTAGAACCATTAATAGATTTGACCCAGTAATCCCATTACTGGGTATATACCCAAAGGAATATAAATCATTCTATTATAAAGATACATGCACCAGTATGTTTACTGCAGCACTATTCACAATAGCAAAGACATAGAATCAACCAAAATACCCATCAATGATCGACTGGATAAAGAAAATGTGATACATACATACCATGGAATACTATGCCACTATAAGAAGGAAAGAGATCATGCCCTTTGTAGGGCCATAGTTGGAACTTGGAGCCATTATCCTCAGCAAACTAACACAGGAAGAGAAAACCAAACACTGCATGTTCTCACTTATAAGTGGGAGCTCAACAATGAGAACACATGGACACAGAGAGGGAAACAACACACACAGAGGCCTGTCTGAGTGGGAAGAGTGGGAGGAAAGGAGAGCATCAGGAAAAATAGCTAATGCATGCTGGGTTTAATACCTAGGTCATGGGTTGATAGATGCAGAAAACCAAGATGTCACACCTTTACATATGTAACAAATCTGTACATGCTGCACATGTATCCTGGAACTTAAAATAAAATTAATAAAAATAAATTTTAAAGTGGCTTATTTAAATCACTTCCATGTAAAGTGATTGTTGATATGATTAGACTAAATATTACCAAGTTACTGCTATGTCCTTTTCATTGCGTTTCTTTCTTTTTTCTTTTTTATGTTTTTCTGTCTTTCATATTATTTTCTGTCTGATACATATTACATATATAATACTGAGAGAATAAAGGCTATTATATATTTATAGTTTTTCTTTATCAACTGTCTATTATTTCTGGTTCTCTTCATTTGTTTTTATGGATTTGAATTACCATATGGTATTATTTCCTTAGGCTAATGGAGCTTAGCTACTACCCACCATTATTACGTTATTCTTGGAAAAAAAATATTGCATTACTATATGTTACAGGCTCAACATTACATTGTATACATATTATTTTATACAACTGCTTTTCGAATCAGTAAAGAGAAGACAAATAAATATTAAATTTCTATTATCTTTTGTAATTATATAATTACTGGGATTATTTGCTTTTTTGTATGCATTCAAATTATACTCTAGGGTCACTGGTCACTTGATTTCACCCTGATGAAATTCCATTAGTATTTATTTATTATTTATTTATATATTTTTGAGATGGAGTCTTGCTCTGTTGCCTGGGCTGGAGTGCAGTGGCATGATCTCAGCTCACTGTAATCTCTGCCTTCCGCGTTCAAGTGATTATCCTGCCTCAGCCTCCTTAGTAGCTGGGATTAAAGGCACCCGCCACCGCGGCTGCCTAGTTTTTGTATTTTAGTAAAGACGAGGTTTCACCATCTTGGCCAGGCTGGTCTCAAACTCCTGACCTTGTGAGATCCACCTGCCTCAGCCTCCCAAAGTGCTGGGATCACAGACGTGAGCCACTGCGCCTGGCCAGTATTTATTTTAAGGAAGATATGCTTGCAACAAATTCCCTAGTTTGTTCATGTGTTTTTAGCTTGAGATACTTCTATATATTGGTTTCAGGTTTAACAGCTTCATCAAATGTAACATTTTTGATAGCCTGTTTTTCTTTTCTTTTTGAACTCTTTGAATACATTTTCCCTGCTGTCTTCATATCTTGATCTTTTCTGCATCAGCTATTAATCTTACTTAGGGTTTCTTGTAAGTGATGAATCATTTTTTCTCTTGCTGCTTGCACAATTTTCTTCTCATATTCGGTTTCTAGCATTTTTGCTATTGTATATTGATTAGTGGATCTCTTTGCATTTACTCCATTTAAAATTTATTGAGCCTCCTTAATGTGAGGGCTGGTGTTTTTCAATAAATTTGAGATGTTTTCACCCCAAACTATTTCTTGAAAAATTGTATCTTCCCCTTATTTTCCTCCCTTTCTTGTACTCCCATTATGCATATGTTGCTTTGTCTAATGGGGTTCCACATTCCTCTGATTCCCTGTTTATGTTCATTTATCTTTATTCTTTATTTTCTCTGTTTTTTGGATTGCATAATCTCTATGGATCTATTTTTGTGTTCACTGATTCTTCTGCCAGTTCTAATTTACTGTTCAATTCCTCTAATAAATTTTTTATTTCAGTTATGCTTTTCAACTCCAGAATTTCATTTGGTTCTTTTTCATAATTTAGATTCCTTTATTGATATTCTCTGTGTGATGCAATGTGATTCTCATACATTCTTTTTCCTATTTAACTAAGACTTCCTTTAATTTTTTGAACATAAGTATTATGGCCACTTTGAAGCCTTTTTCCACTAAATCTGACATCTGTTAGCTCTCACAAGCAGTTCATTTTTTTTTCCAGTGGATTAGTCATATGTTCCTGTTTGTTGCATGTCTTGTAAATGTTTTGCTGGAAAGAAGACATTTTTCATAATATTGTAGGAACTCTGGATTCTTGTCTCCCTACTTCCAGGCTTGTCATTTTTACTTAATTTATTTTTCAAAATAAATTACAAGACTATCAGATTATTTTAGCTAAGTCTTTTCCTCATTCCTCTGTTAAACCTCTGTTGTTGCTCCTCAGAGAGATATGACTTTGGGTATGCCCACAGCTACCCTGAAATAACACTGGTTTTGGCAGGGCTCTCTTCCTTTCTTTCCCTGACCACACCCAGAAGTTCCACTAATTTCTGGCTAATTATTCTATTGTATTCAATAATTTTCTGAAGATATAAATTCCTCTATAGCCTAATCCAATTATAAAGAGCTACTTTGCAGGAGTAGTTTCTGAGACCAGTGTATGATTTAAGTTCTAAAGTCAGACAGCTTCTTCTGGCTATCACTTTTCCCAGCTCTTTTCAGCAAACTAGCTGACTACAGTTTAAACTGTGTCTTCAGCAAATTTACCAATCTTTTTGGAATTGCCTTTTACTGAAACCACCACTACTTGTGAAAGCTCCCTTAGGTTTGAACTTTTCCACACTCTATAGCAAATGAAATCAGTTCTTTAGGGAACAGATTAGAAGCTATCTGTTTAATGATCTGCTTCTCCCCTCAGGCAAAATCTCTGAATATGGGCTTTGGAGCTGAGAAAATAAAGCAAATTGACAAATATTTTTCATAGTTAATTTTTAAAGAAACAAATTACTTTTGCGGAGTAGGCAAAAGTATTTTGTATTTTGTATTTGCGGAGTAGGCAAAAGTATTTAATAGGCCATTCTAAGATGTGCCTATTAAACGGTAGTAATAACAATGAGAACAATAGTAACACTACTGTATTTTTAAAATAGCAGGTTGTAGTACCACAATATAGTAGAGGAATAACATATTTGTTTAATATATGGAATATCTTACTTTTATCTATTGAAAATTTTAATTTTTTAAAATTTTTTTTTAGACGGAGTCACTCTCTGTTGCCAGGCTGGAGTGCAGTGGCACGATCTCTGCCTCTTAGTTTCAAGTGATTCTCCTGCCAGCCTCCCGAGTAGCTAGGACTACAAGCGCACGCCACCATGCCCAGCTAATTTTTGTATTTTTAGTAGAGACGGGGTTTCACCATGTTGGCCAGGATGGTCTCTCTCGATCTCTTGACCTCATGATCTGCCTGCCTCGGCCTCCCAAAGTGCTGGGATTACAGGCGTGAGCCACCGCGCCCGGCTGAAAATTTTAAATCTTAAAGACTAGAGATCCATGATTTCACACCAAATAAGAGATTATCTCCTATAGCACTAAAATTAGAAACATTATACATCATATCATTCTAATAGAATGTTGTCTAAGTTGGGTAACATTTTTAGCAACATTCAAAACAGGCTTTTTTTCTGGTTATGTAACTAGTGCAAATAAAAAGGCTCTTAAGAGAAAAATATTAATACACAATTCTTGTGCTACACATACTTTGCTGGTGGAAGTGAAATATGGCACAACCACTTTAGATAAATGTTAGGTAGTTTCTTGTAATTGAACACACACATCCCTTATATTAGAGTGATTCTAGTACTCAATAATTTAATAAAATAAATTTAAACACATAACCAGAAAAAATTTTAAAGCACAAATATTGTACAAAGACATGCAAAAGTCTTATTCCTAAGAGCGAAAGTTGGAAACATTACTAATATCAGTTAGTAGGGTAATGTTTAAATAAACAGTGGTATAGTCATTTAGACCATCATTACTAAGCAATACCACACAGCAATAAGAGGTACAAATTACTGATACATACAACAGCTTGGCTGAATCTCAGAAAGACATTACGTTGAGTGAAAGATGCCTGACGGAGAAATACACACTGTATAATTCTGTATATTTGACATCCAAAGGAGGCAAAAATAATTTTGGGGGATAGAAAATGGTTGTCTCCAGGGACGGATGAAAAATGTCTAAAAAAAGGCTTGAAGAAAATGTTGGAGATCAGGGAAATATTCTACATCTTGTTTTGGATAGTGGTTCCATGGATGTTTGTTAATATGAAAATTCATCAAAGTAACAAAATTAAGCTTTGTACATTTATTGCATGCAAATTATACTTCAATTAAAAATGGAATCTTTGCTGTGAATACATGAGTATTCAGGCATTTCATTGAGGTCTGTGTCCTGTGGCAGGCAGTTTAGCTGTTAAGAATCAGGGAAAGAAAGCTAGACAAACCTGTGTTCCTTTTCCAACCCTGACATTTAAATAGTTGTGTGAGAAACTTGTCATCTCTGTGTCTCTTAAATCATTATTAAAAGATCTTTCTCACAGTTCTATTCTGACGATAAAGTGATGGTGTGCTTATAAATCAACCATTATATGACCTAAAGAAACTGAAGTAGTTGTAGCCTTGTTTTTTCCACCTAACCCCTTCAGTTGTATTTTGTTCCTTCACATGAGTTCTTCAATCCCCTTAAACAGTTCCTAACCATCATCTCATATGAAGAGCACTTCATTCTTATTCCTGGAAAGAAAATTCCCCACCATCCATTTAAAAAAAATGACTTTAGGAGAGTATGGCAAGTATTTTCATCTTTTTCTGTATTAGTCTATTTTCACACTGCTGATAAAGACATGTCAGAGACTGGGTAATTTACAAAAGAAAGCGGTTTAATGGACTTAAGTTCCACGTGCTTGGGAAGGCCTCACAATCATGGTGGAAGTTGAAAGGCACGTTTCACATGGCAACACACAAGAGAAGAGGGTTTGTGCAGGGAAACTCCTCTTTTTAAAACCATCATATCTCATGAGACTTATTCACTATTATGAGAACAGCTCAGGAAAGACCTGCCTCCGTGATTCAATTACCTCCCTCCACATGAATTACAACATGTAGGAATTCGAGATGAGATTTGGGTGGGGACACAGCAAAACCATATCACTTTTACATGTATGCCTTCATATTTAGATGTGATAAAATTTTACAAATATGAATAAAACCATTTCAACTTGTTATGAGGACATTAAGAAATGATAAATACTTACACTATTAGAATGTGTTCTTTTTGTAACATTTACCCAGACTGTATACATGACCGAGTAAGCATTTTACAGTTTATTTTGGCTTATGTTTTTTTTTTTCTTTTCTGCTATCAGGATATATGCTGTATATTCTAGAGCTGTGTATAAGTTTTCTATGTTGTGAGAAAGAATAAGGGAAGAAGTGGTGAGTCAGACTGTCCAACCATGTAGCATAAGATGCTGAAGTCATAATACAGCAAAGGTAGGCTTAGGGCAGAGGCATGCCTGTGACAAAGTAATAGCCTAACAATGGTGAAGTAAAGGGATGTATATATTGCTTTTTTTCCACGCGTAATTCAGGGGAATAAAAGATAGATTAAAACAATGGACATCAGAGATTCATGATTTCACAGCAAATAAGAGACACTTTACAGAACAAAAATCAGACAACACTGTAATTATATATATATTTTTTGAGACAGGATCTTGCTCTGGTCTCCCAGGCTGGAGTGCAGTGGTGCAGTCATGGCTCACTGCAGCCTCAAACTCTCAGCCTCAAGTGATTCTCTCATCTCAGCATCCCAAGTAGCTGAGACTTGAGGCATGTGCTACTGCATCCAGGTAATTAATTTTTTTTCATTTTTACTGGAGACAAGGTCTCGCTATGTTTCCCAGGCTAGTATGAAACTCCTGAACTCAAATGGTCTTCCCACCTTAGCCTCCAAAAGTGCTGGGATTACAGGCATAAGCCACCACACCTGGCCAACACCATAATTGTATTATTCTACTAAAATATTGTTTAAGGTAGGCTACACTATTAACTATATTCAAAACAGGCTTTTTTCTGCTTAGATAGGTCGTTAAATTCTATTAACTGTGACTGTCTGTAAAAATGTATTGTGATATGTTAATGTGGAATTAGAAAATAAAGACATGAAGACAAGGGCTTTTATAAGCATTTCTGCCTTTCCTTTCTTTGTTTTTTTTTTTCTAAAGTAGGTAAGTGTCCAGAAACAACATGTCAAAATATCTAGAGCCTATATTGCCAGTTAGATGTGAGATGTTTAAAAAAAATTAAGGTAAGATAGTTTTATGGTCTATATTATAATTAGCTAAGCCCAACCATGCATGCTTATGTGAAATTAAAAATAGCAGCCTGAGTAATAGTCTACTTTCTTGGAAACTGGAGTCAATGTGTTTCTGTCACACACAGACACAGACACACGCACACATGTTTAGAAGATAATCTACTTTAGTTAGGATTAATCATCATATTGCTTTGCTTTGCCTAAAGAGCATTCCTAAGAATTTTTTTTTAAAACTTAAAATTGTAGTTAATATCTATAGTAGGAAAGTAATAACAGTTAAAGAAAAAAAACCCAGGCTATGTAGCACAGAAAAATGAGAGTCCAGGTTAGAATCATAAGCGTTTTGTTAATAATTCTAAAAAAGTGCTATACCTTAAATAATTGGCTTTCTGAAAATTCAGGATCAAGAATGATTGAGTCCTGAGTCGGGCCACAGACCATGTGGTCATCTATAACCAATGCAATTCTAGCTAAATAGCACATAAAATGTCTGGCAGATTTTCTAAAACAAATAAACATTATTAAAGAAAAAAATGCTATAGTATGGGATATTAGCTTGCAGGAAATAATCCGATGGATGATGACCCTGTCATCTTTTATTTTAAAGGATATAATATTTAACAGAAACCGAAGTTAAAGCTCTTACACTGAAGATATAATTGGGGATATCATGTGATTGTCAATAGCTGGGTTGCTTACCCCTCTTTAAAGTTTCTAAAATTTAAACAATTATACCATGAATGAACAATTTCCCACTTACGAAACTTAATAAAATAAAATTTAAAAAATGAAATTAAATTAATAAAATAAAACAAAATAATAAAATAAAAATAAAATAAAAAATTTTAAGTAGCTTTTTAAATAAAGCAGACACACTGGAAAGGAAAGCACAAAAAGAAAAGGAAATTGGAAACAAACCAATATCCAAATAGCCTCTATCCAGCCCCTCCCAGCAACAATCTGTCCCAAAGGTAACTAATCATATTCTAATACTATATATTGGTTACATCTGTTTTTTAATATTAGATAAATGAAAATATACAGTATATGCTATATTGCAACTGACTTCTTTTGATTTTAGTTTGTGATATTCATCTATATTATAGAGGATAGCAGTAGTCATTTTTCACTGGTGAGTAGCATAATATTATATAAATATGGCACAAAAAATAATCCATTCTACTCCTGAATAACTTTTGGATTGCTCTCATTTCTTTGGTTATAATGAAAAACACAGCTATAAACATTATCTTCGTGTTTCTTGATGCATGTATTTATGCATTTTTTGTGTTATAATAATGGAATTTCTGGGTCATGTAAAATGCATATATTTTTACCATCAGTAGGTACAACTACAAATTTTCTAAACAAATTGAGCAAATGTATTTATTTCCACCAGCATTATATGGAATTTCCAGTGGTGCCTCATTCTTATCAACATTTAGCTGTGTGGACATTTTAAAATGTGTCTCTTCTGGTGAGTATGTAAATGTATCTCATTATGGTTTTAATTTGCATCATCTTGATGATAAGTGATGTTGAACACATTTTATGTTTATTTGATATTTGATTGTTTGAAAAGTGTCTTTTTGAGTATATTGTCTGTTTCATTAAATTGTCTCACTTGCCTTTTTTAAAAATGTGAGAATTATTATTTATGCTGTATATCAATCCTTTGTTAAATATCTGTTTGGCAAATATTCTTCCTCCCACTCTATGATTCTGACATCTTTGCTTTATCAGAAACCCATCAGGAGCTTTTTGATACCACACTTTTTAAGAGCCTTGACAGGTGGCTAGTAATTGATATGGTAAACTAATATTGGAAAAGTTTTAATGGTAGGTAGTGAAGTTTGGTCTGTCATACTTCCCAGATAGCCATTTCTTTATAGGACCTTTTTTCAATGGCTCTATGTGATAAATCAAATAAATGACTCTATCACCAGGGCATATAGGAAGTCTCTTTTAGAAGATATTTATAGATGCCTCAATTACCCCTTACAACATATGTTCTAAGTGAAAATTCATTCCACTTATGTATATAGCCAAACCTGATTACACCACTATTTACCTGTCTAATCACCCTAATACCCTAGTGAGTTATTTTAAATAATGCCATGCAGAGCAGTTAAAATTTAAATGCTTCTTCAATGTGCTCCTTTAGCTTTCAAGGATCCTGTTACTAGAATCATATAATGTCAGTAGTCACATAGTGTTTCCCTGATTATCTGGCTATTCCATTTATACCACTAAAAAGAATGTTTAGTGCTGTAAACTTTTGTTTTTGAAATATTAAAATGTGCAGAATATAAAATGAATTTTATATTATTTTGCTAATAGATGCAAGTGGTAACATCAAAAAAAGAAGGCAACTCTAATTACTTGAATAGAAGAGAAGCATTCCAAAATTTTTGGATAATGCTATTTTTCTTTGCATATGTAGATAAAAAAGATCAAAACTTTAGAAAAACTGCCATGATTAATATTATTAAAATTAAATGAAAAATGCAGTTGATCCTCATTATTTGCGGGTTCCATATCCATGAATTTGCCTGCTTGCCAAAGCTTTCTTGTAACCCACAAGACAGTACTTAGAGCACTTTCACAGTCATTTCTGTAGTTGCTCAGAACTGCAAAAAATTTAAGTTACCCAATGCACAGATTCTCAGCTGAGATTGAACAAGGTGATGTTCTGTCTTTTAATTTGAATTTTTTCTGTAAACATGTCTTTTTTTGTGGTCTGTTTAATATCTTTTTTTAAAGTGTGCTTTTTGTTAGTGATTCTGCTATTTATAATGGCCCTAAGCACAGTATTAAAGTGTTGTCGTTATGTACAAGAAGGCTATGATGAGTCTTGTGTACTTTTTTACCTTCTAAAATTAAAAAAATAATAATTTAAAAGAATCATTTACAGTTGAAATGCAAAAATACAATCTCTAGAAATACTGTCATGAAGTGTAAAGGGTTTCGCTTTAAAACCTTTTTTAAAACTTATGAAATATAACTCATTTGAGAGAGCGTATTATAGATATATTGCCACTTAATAAATGATGAGTAATGCATCTGTGTAATACTGCCTTGTTCTAGAAATAGAGATTTGTCAGGCCTCAAGAGGACTTCAAGATCTACTTCCAGTCAAATCTTCTCTGGCCCTGCTAAACTAAACCTTGTCTTAATTCTCATAGTCATAATTTTTGGTAGACATCACTAATGTCTTATAAAGTAACAAAGTTAGTGTTTTGTAAGTAACAAAATTATTCCAGCAACATATGAAAGAAAATGTCGACTCAGCAATTCATTACTGAGGCTGATACCTAATAAATAACTGAGGCAAACATTGGTTTTTGTTTGAGGACAAAGTTATTTCACTTCTTATTTTATTTTATTTATTTTTATTTTATTTTATTTTATTTTATAGGGTTTTTTTTCTTTTAGAGGCAGGGTCTCACTCTGTCACCCAGACTGGAGTGCAGTGTGATGATCACAGCTCACTGCAGCCTTGAACTCCTGGGCTCAAGCAATCTTCCCACCTCAGCCTCTGAGTAGCTTCGACTACAGGTATGTACCACTACACCTTGCTAATCATTTCTCAACTTAAAAGTATATACTTGAAACACATTTGTTTACATTCGTACTGGTAGCTCATCTAAAAATGGCATAATAACAAGGAATTGCCTATGTAATTTTTTAAGATCTAATCTTAATTCACTTGTCTCCTACATAGAGTTAATTGCAGAAGCAAACCTCCAAAACAGATTTGCCTGATTGTCCTCAGGTTATTATAAATCTCAGGAAAGCAGTTAAGAAGGAGGACTGCTGAGCCACAGTGTGGGTTTAAATGCCAGTGCCATCGTTTAGAACAGCTCGGTATTGGCAGACTATTGAACTTCTGTAGGCATCAGTTTTCTCATCTGTAATTTGTGAGAAATAGTAATTTCCCCATCATGAGGTTTCTGAGAAATGAGTAATTTATGAAATGTGCTTCACATACTTTCTGGAACAATGACTTAAGCAAAAGTTAGCTATTACTAATAAATAAATATATTTGAATGTTTTGAAAATTCAATTAAAGAACATGTACTCTAAATAAGATTTGCAAAGGTATCTATAGGTTATTGGCATGTTGTTGCTGTGGTTATTATTAATATTATTAATATTTTCCAGACATGAGAGACATATGTCCTAAGATCTGGTAATAATGGGCAACTTTCATTATTTTTATTAATGTTTAAAATAATTATAAAGTTGTATTATATTAATCCATGTTTTAAAATTTTAATATTGCTCTTGGTCTACATTATTTCATAGTATTACATCAATTATTGTTTCAAATATAAATTTCAAAATATTGACTTGGGCCTGGTGGCTCACACCTCCAGCACTTCACGAGGCCAAGGCAGGTGGATCACTTGAGGTCAGGAGTTCAAGACTAGCCTGGACAACAAAGTGGAACCCCATCTCTACTAAAAATACAAAAATTAGTCTGGCATGGCGGCGGGTGCCTGTAATCCTAGCTACTCAGGAGGATGAGGCAGGATAATTGCTTGAACCCAGGAGGCAGAGGTTGCAGTGAACCAAGTTCACACCACTTGGTACTCCAGCTTGGGTAACAGAGCAAGATGCTGTCTCAAAAAAAAAAAATTGAAATATTTATTTTAATGTGTTAGATCATAATCCTTATATAGGATTTCACAATATCCTTATATTTGCTTGATTTTAATAAGTATTCCAAAAGGTATTATTTATTGCTATCTTCCTTTTTATATGTCAGCAAATTAATAGAAAATAAATGATTTCAAATATAGTTTTAATAATGTCACAAATGATCTCAAAAAGCATTATAATTAGACCCAGGAATCAGAACTTGTAATTTAAATTTTTTGTTTTCTTGTATTGCTAATAATATTCAACATATTTGTGCATCTTTCTTTTGGACATTTACATATCCTTTGTAACACTAAAATTCAACCCAAACCTAAAGTTATCAGGAGCTAATAGTGCATTTACTCCTGACTTCAATTAGGTGAATTAGCAATAAAAGTGTAAGTGATTATAAAATAGAGTCGACTAAGGCTATTGTGTTTAATTTCACTTTGGTTGTAAGCCCTATTTCAAAATTCCATTAGCTAAATTAGAGGTTTATCCTATAACCCATTTCTCCTACGCAAATGGCAACTCTTCATTTGTGCTGATTGTCACTGTATAATTTTATGAGTTTGTCATTTAAAAAAAATGTAATTGTACCATCTTATAGCAGAGAAAATGAAGCTATTCAACTATACTATTTCACAGATATTTACATGAATATTACATATTTTTCTACTGAGTGGTTGTGGATATAATGAGATTACACCTATTCCTGGTACCTTTCTGGATAATAAGAAGACACTACTGTACAAGATCATTTTCAAAGTCATTGAAAAGTAGAAAATGACTACGGTGTACCAATAATGACAGCACAAGTAAAATTGCTATTAATTTTTTTCACTATATAGTATCACACTGTATGAAGGGAAATGAAGAGATACCACTATTATTATTATTATTATTTAGCTAATGAGAAAATACATGAGAAAAAAGAATTCTATTGGCCATTTTTACTAAGAAATAACCATGACTTTTACTTCAGAAAACAATATAAAAGATTCATACTTTAAAATAGGGCACCATTTTTATTTAGCAGAATAAGTAGTCCTGATTTAACCTTGGTATGGAGTTGAAAACTGAAAAGATGATAATATATTTCACATTTATAATAGTGCTACCCTTCATAAGTGTATTATCAGCTAAATTCAGTAAATATAGTTAAATTCTATATATGCAGAGAACATTTTCAGAAAATTGGTATCCCCTCCTCTATCTAGCTGTTTTCTTTTATCACCATCTGCAATAATTGGACAAGCCAAGTAAAGATAATGACTATTCTCTTCATAAGAGTCATGAAAAACACATAGGATAAATCAAAAGCTTAATTCTGTCTCTGATATTTTCTTATAATTTATTCTAAATACCATGTATTATTAGTCAGGGTTCTCTAGAGGGACAGAAGTAATGGAATATATATATATATATATACATATATATATTCCACTCCTATATATATATAAAGGAGTTAATTAAGTATTAACTTACATGATCACAAAGTCCCACAACAGGCCATCTGCAGGCTGAGGAACAAGGAGGGCCAGTCCGAGTTCTAAAACTGAAGAACTTGGAGTTCGATGTTCAAGGGCAGGGAGAAAGATGTAGGCTGGGAGGCTAGGTCAATCTCCCCTTTTCATGTTTTTCTGCCTGCTTTATATTCATATTTAGCTGATTAGATTGTGCCCCCTAGATTAAGGGTGCATCTGTCTTCCCCAGCCCACTGACTCAAATGTTAATCTCCTTTGGCAACTTTCTCACAGACACACCCAGGATCAATACTTTGTATCCTCCAATACAATCAGGTTGTCACTCAGTATTAACCATCACAAGTCCACCCCTGTCAACTTGAACCCATACACGTCTCCTGAGATCACACATAATCTTCAAATAAAGACAATAATAAGGTCATAATTATGCCTAACATAACACAACTATCCTTCCTACCACTGGAAACACACCAATCCCAACCCAAATACTATTACATAAAATTAACAATACTTAAATGCTGATATGAAGTCAATAAATCTTATGTCATATGATAAAGGAAAAGGAAATAAAATGAAGATATTTTCTTAGTACAAGTGTATACATTCACAAACATGTTTTTAACAAAAGAAGGAGGAAATACTCATGACAGTTACATTTCTTGTTTCTTCAGCTGGTTACGTAGCCATAGCTGTTACTGATGCCTACCTTCTTCTACTACCCATTCTGTATTCCCTTTGCCTTCAGCAAGTACTATAGCAGGTCATGTTTTTTCCTGGTGGCATGACCCAAACCTTCATTCCTGAGGGGTCTGGATTCCTGTAGTCCTGCCTGGATTGGGCTGTTGTAGTTTCCTATTGACCTTAATCACAGGGCATGGTAATACTAAGAGACACCCTAATGGATCTCCTATATTCCATTCATACTCTTCCTTACTTCCATCAGTAGTAGACTGCTTTCATCTTGGTAGTCCAGGTCAATCACCCAGCAAACACTGTAACTCCCTTCTTAGCCAGTTGACTTCAAGGTAGGAGGAGCCCAAAGAGGTCCAAGTGGCAATCTTAAGTTCCAGTTTAATGGAATCATTGTTGTGTCTCCTGGTAGCAGCATTCCTCCCTCTGGAACTAAGACCTCTAGGCCAGCAGAACATAATGTGGTGGGAACAGGAAGCACAAATTTTGCTAGTGGGTCACTAGGGGTGATGGTGAGTGGTGCCACTTCCACCCTTGATTTCTAGACTTGTGAATCCTGGCAATGGGAAAGAAGTGCCGTATATTGGATGCTGAGTCAGAGCATACAAAGCCTTCTGGAGAACTTTGCCCCAGCCTTGCAAAGTATTGTCAGCTATTTAGCATTGTAATTGTGACTTCAAAAGGCCATTCCACTGTTTTCTTACTCCAGCTGCTTCAGGATGATGGGGAACATGGTAAGACCAGTGAATTCCATGAGCATGAGCCCACTGCTGCACTTCTTTAGCCATATAGCGAGTGCCTTGGTTAGAGGCAAAGCTGTGTGGAATACCATGACAATGTATAAGGCATTCCGTGAATCCATGGACGGTAGTCTTGGCAGAAGCACTGCTTGCAGGATAGACAAACCCATATCCGGATTAAGTGTTTATTCCAGTGAGGACAAACCTCTGCCCTTTCCATGATGGAAGAGGTCCAATATAATAAACCTGCCACCAGGTAGCTGGCTTATTACCTCGAGGAATGGTGCCATATCGAGGAATCAGTGTTGGTGTCTGCTGCTGGCAAGTTGGGCACTCAGCGGTGGCCGTAGCCAGGACAGCCTTGGTAAGTGGAAGTCCATGTTGCTGAGTACTTGTAAAGCCTCTGTACCTGCCACCATGGCCAGTTTGTTCATGGGCCCATTGGGTGATGACAGGGGTGGCTGGGGAAAGGGGCTGAGTGGTGTCCACACAACAGGTCATGCTATCCACTTGATTATTAAAATACTCCTTTGCTGAGGTCACCCGTCATAGAGCACTCACATGGTATGCAAATATATTCACAGTTTTAGACTACTCAGAGAGGTCCATCCACATACCTTTTCCCCAAATTTCTTTGCCACCGATGTTTTGATCATGCTTCTTATAAGTCCCTGACCATCCATCCAAACCATTGTCTACAGCCCACGAATCAGTATATAATCACACATCTGGCCATTTCTCCTTTCATGGAAAGTGCACAGCCGGGTGCACTGCTCGAAGTTCTGCCCACTGGGAAGATTTCCCTTCACCACTGCCCTTCAGGGATGTCCTAGAAAGTGGCTATAGTGCTGCAGCTGTCTGCTTTTGGGTGGTGCCTGCATATGGTGCAGAACCATCTGTGAACTAGGCCCTAGTCTTCTCTTCCTCTGTCAGCTGATCATAGGGAACTCCCCCTAAGCCATTGGTGCAGGCTGGGGCAGAGAAGGCAGGGTGGCAGGATTGGAGCCTGTGGGCATTTGAGCCACATCATCATTTAATTTACTTGTGCCTTCAGGACCTACTCGAGCCCAATCACGTATATACCACTTTCATTTGATGATGGAATACTGCTGTGCACAACCCACTTTATGGCTGGATGGGACAGAAAGCACCCAACTCATGAGAGGTAGTTCAGGTTGCATACTGACTTGATGGCCCATAGTCAAACGTTCAGTTTCCACCAAAGCCCAGTAACAAGCCAAGAGCTGTCTCTCAAAAGGAGAATAGTTTTCTGCAGAAGGTGGCAGAGCCTTGCTCCAAAATCCTAGAGGCCTCCGTTGTGATTCATCTATGGGGGCCTGCCAAAGGCTCCAAACAGCATCCCTATCTGCAACTGACACCTTAAGCACCATTGGATCTGCTGGGTCATATGGCCCAAGTGGCAGAGCAGCTTGCACAGCAGCCTGGACCTATTGCAGAGCCTTCTCCTGTCCTGGTCCCTACTGCTGGTACTAAAATCTGTATTAGCATTCCCTAGAGGGACAGAATTAATGGAAAATATATATATATATATATATATATAGGAGTTTATTAAATATTAATTTACATGATCAAAAGGTTCCACAATAGGCTGTCTGCAGGCTGAAGAGCAAGGAGAGCCAGTCCGAATTCCAAAACTGAAAAACCTGGAGTCCAATGTTCAAGGGCAGGAAGCATCCAGCACGGGAAAGATGTTGGATGGCTAGACCAGTCTCTCTTTTCACATTTTTCTGCCTGATTATATTCTGGCCATGCTGGCAGCTGATTAGATTGTGCCACCCAGTTTAAGAGTGGGTGTGCCTTCCCACCTTTCTGATTCAAATGTTAATCTCCTTTGCAACACTCTCACAGACACACCCAGGATCAATACTTTGTATCCTTCAATCCAATCAAGTTGACACTCAGTATTAACCATCATATACCAGCTGCCCAGATTTTTCACAGGGATAAAATACTCAAGTTATTCCACCTAAGTGCCATCTCTTCATGTCAATCACTGAAGTGTTGATGACTGAATTCCCAAACATCTCATCATTTTTTCTTCTTTCTTACTGGTGGCATACACACTACCAGATATACTGGTTCATAAAACCTGCTGTGAATCATCCCAAATTCTCATATGTTTGATTCCTCAATATGTATGTTGATGTCCATTCATAGCCTTTTTACTGGGTCTCACCTCACAGTATCCATTCTTTGAATGACTTTGTTTTGACCTGACTCAATATCTGTCTCTTCTTGCAAATATGGCTGCCACTTCTACAGCCCTGGTGAAAAGGAACATTAGTATGTTCCCAGTTCTGACCATAAAGTCTCCTGAGAGCCATGTTCACTAAAAATCTTTGCTGAGAAACAGACAACTCATAAGCAGAGGTGCTTACATTTACCAAGGGGGAGATGCTTGGGAAAAAAATTATTCCTGTAACCAAATCCTGAAATACAATGATTTATTTTCAATATATCCTGGGCATCACCTTTGATCCTCTTATATTTTTAAAATCAGCAGAATCCAAAGTTCTTCTCAATTATAAACCATTAAAATTCTTTTTGGATTTTACTTTTTAAAAAAATATTAAAGCCTCCCAGATATACTAATAGGAAGAATTTGATGTAATGGAATAAGAAAATGTAGACAATGTCACCCAATTATTTCAATGTTATATAGAGACGGTTAAGCCTTATTTGTGATGTTTATAATTTAAAATTAGTTGTGAATTAGTTTTAGTGGTTTAAGAAAGAAGTTAAACTAAGAAGGTAAACTAGATATCCATTTTGAGAATTATCCTATTTGCAAACGCTAGCATTGTATTTCCATTATGATGGTTTTTAATTTCTCAAGGGTTTAGATTGATTTCAAAATGTCTAAAATTTATTAAAAATTACTATTAGATGGCTTTGATTTTTATGTTGATATATAACACACTCTGTAAGGTCTAAAGAGTGGTTGAACTGAATTGCTATATATATATATATATATATATATATATATATATATACAAAGGAAATATTACTAGAATTGAGTCAATAGCCCTATAAGTAAATGAATTATTTTTAAATCACATTGTAATCCCTTAACAGAATTATAAACTACTTTGTAGACAAAACCAAACAAACTTTAAAGAATGAAGCAAATTGAATAGTTTGAGACAGTTTTCGCATGCTGTAAACTATTTATTAGCTATAATAAAATGTGAATAGCTAAAAACCTCTCTTACTTTTAAATATAACTGTTATAAGAAAAAATTCTATCATTACATGTATTTCAGCTTTTTAAGCCAAAAGAGAAAACATGTTTATAATTTTAAAAGTGTTTTTATATTTCAAATAGAATTAGTGTTTTTCCAAGTATTTTATTTTTAATATGTTTATTATTAACACTAATTTCTATTTATAATTAATCTACTTGGACACATTTATCTACTTGTTAAAATGTAATTTTGTTTATATATGTTCAGGCACACATAAATTCCATGCATGTGGGCATTCAATGATATCATTTATATTTTACAAAATGTATAGTTATGTGATATCAATTAAACACAATAAACTTTACTCAATGCAAAATAGTTTCATATTGAATTTTAAAGTATCCTAAATTTAATTTTGCCTCAAATTAAAAGAATCAAATTTTTACTTCAACAAAGATAATTTTAAAAATTTTGGAAGAAAATGTGTGGAGATTTTAAAAATATATTTTTATGAAGTAAGGAGCTATTCCTAAACAAAATGCAAAGCTCAGGAATTAAAAAAGTAAATAAATTCAACTACATAAAATTAAATATTTCTTCACACTGAAAATAAAAAGCAAAGATCAAAAGACAAACTTGGAATAATATATGAGTAAATGTCATACAAATTTATTAAGTCCCTTAACATGTAAGTATAGTTCTTACAATCTAATAAGAAAAATTAGGTACCTAATAAAGCACAGAAAAATAATTTATTCAGAAAACAAAATGCATATTACTTTTGGCATAAAAATATGCTAAACACTCTCTAGGATTTAAAAAGAGAAAAATCAAACCAAACTGATATACCATTTTCACATCAAGATAATTAAGGATCTAAAATTTAACTCACAGTGTGAGTGAAAATATGAAGAATGTGAACCACTTTGGGTGACCATTTGGCAACAGCTATCAAACTTTAAAATGAATATAACCTTTGACTCAACATTTAAACTTCCAGAGTCTTCTATTAAAGATAGGCCTTATAATATGCAAAAAAATCAGGGTACAAAAATAACCAATAACATTATACTTGCTAAATAGGGAAACAATGAAATATCCCTCAACAAAAAGTAACTAAAGCATAATTCCATTTCCTGGCAATGTGATATAATGCCACCAGTAGCATATTTTGGTACATTGCCCAGATTCATTTTGACAACCAGATAAACTCATCCCCCAGGTTCTGTGAGTTTGGGCTGCTAACCACTTATAATTTACAACAGCTTACAATGTTTCTAGGGAATTGGCTTCAGTAACTGTAATCACCTCACTTGGGAGATTATGTTTCCTTCTGGGAGTTGCAAGGATACTTGTTGCCAATTACATACTGACACTACAGTGCAAAATCTGGCCCCCTTCCTTGGAGATGAAGCAACTCTGTTGTGCCACTCATACTCAAGAAGTCTCCAGGGATAAAGCTGAGGCTAGACTTCAGCTAAAAGTATCTGTGTTTGCCTCTTCCCAGCCCTTATTCAGATTCCTTTACTTTCTCCCAGATTTCTCCTGAGAGCACTCTACTAGAAAATCACTTGCAAAAGAATCCTTACCTTGGGCTCCACTTCTAGGGAACCTAAAAATGGCATTAGAAGAAATAAGGTGAATGATATCTATTATTGATCAATCACTGAGATATATATGTATAATATATTGATCAATATGTTAATGACCAATTACTGAGAATATTAAGTGAAAGAGCTCTAGAGTGTACTTCTATTTTTGAAAAATAATAACATAAAGGCATAAGTATTAATATGTTATTTGTGTATGAATGCTTAAGAAACTGTATAATGGTTGCCTATGCAGATAGTGACCATAGAGATTGAAGACTTTTTATTACTAAATATATATAGTCTAATATTCTAATGTATAGAATATATGTTCACCATTTTTTACAGTAAGAAATTTTATAATGTAAAATGAATTGTATGTTAAATTATATAAGGTCAATTTAAATGACAACATGAACTATATGGTATAATTAATATGGCTTTAAAACATATTTTAAAAGGCAATGATACTTAAATACATTTGCAATTATAAGCATGTGTGTATTGCTCATTTGTATAAAAGGTAAACATGCATCTCTTAAAAATTGGAGATGCACTTATTAATAACAAATATAGAATGTAAGAAGAGGCTCAGAAAGCTACAATAAACAATATTTCTTTTATTAACATGACAACAACATTGGCCTGTTTTATCACTTGCAATTTTCAATTTTTTTAATGGTATTTCTGTTCATTTTTTAATACTTCTGTTAGGACTATCGGGTTTTTAAAAGTGCATTAGTGCCTCTTATAAATGACAAAATGTAAAAGCTAGTGATTTTCTTGTCTGTAAAATCTCAAATCACAAATATTTTACTAGGATTCCTTGTCCAATTTATTTTATACCAGTCTGTTTTCTTATATGAATATATCAGCAATTGCAATGAATTATAAAAAGGCACAATCATGATGATCATTTAAACTTTAGTGACTATTACTCTTTAAGTATCTTCTTTTTTTTACTTGTTTCCCATTTAAATGCTCAGAAAGGGAAATTATTTTTTAAAAAGTAATTTTGGTGGCTGTACTTTGCAGGTCACAGTTAATTATAGAATCAATATTCTTCTCTCCAGGTGGTCAAGCTCCACAAAGCTATGCAGCTATTTCATCACATTAGTCAAAGTTGTATTTCTGTGCTGCCCAAAGGAATGGAAAAGATTCTGTTTACTTTGTGAAAGTTTAATTGTCATGTAATGTTAGGTTTTTATACAAAAATATCATTATGATTATAATGATAATGATGTTATAAGCCCTTTATATGTATTAACTTATTTAATGTCCACAGAAAGCATATTAATCATGTTGATTGCATTAGCTTTTATGCCTGCAACACTAAAATTTCAGTTATCAATGTATGCATTTTTAATAAAATTTGAAGTTAATTTGAGGATAGTTATTATATATTTATTGTTCTGAATTTGATTTCTGAAATGTCAAAAACACATATCTATCCACTATATATATATGCACACATATTTTGCTTTAAAATATGTCAGATCACAAAATTAATTCGGATTTATTCAAGAAAATACTTTTTAATATTTTCATTGTTATAAACAATGCTTTTCATGTATTCAAAAAAGTTATTCATATACTCAAATTTAAAAATTTGGGGTACAATAGTCATTCTTTACATTGAAAAGTTTACTTTTCATGGAGACAGATTGGCATTAATTATAAAATATATAATGCAATATGTAAATGGATTCTATGGAGAAGAGCAAAGAGCTATGAAAGCATAAAACAGGTACCCTAGAAACAATCTGGTAGGAGGGGCAAATCAGTTACTTCTATACTTTCTACTTGTGCTTTTCAAATGTCATGCATTGATCCATGTTTGTATCTCTTGTCCATGCAAAGATGCCTTGAATTATGGTGCTAAGGTCACTGTTCTCTCTTCTTTTATTCTTATTTCTGTGACAGTTCCATTAAACACAGGAATAAGCCAATTGTGAAAGTTTAGTCAACAATTCTCCAATTAAATTAGAAATACATATACACAATTTTTATATCATGAAAATAAGTGCTTTCCAAAATTTGTTTCAATGACATTCAATGAACATTGTACATTAATTTAATATTTAACTTTTTTGGTATATAAATTAATAAAATGCCTGTGCCTCAAAAGCTGATAAATGTTGTCTGTGTGTGTGGAACAGGTAAACGCACACACACAAACACACTTACACACACACATTATCTGCTATAGTGATAAATGCCAAACTCACAATTGTCAATTGGACATCTTTAGATGTTTTGTACACATTTTATTTGATAATGTTGAGCCTGTTTAAGATAAAGTTAAAACACATAATATAGAATTGATTTTCAAAAGAGCAAACCCTGAATTTCCGATTGTTGCAGTATGAGTCTTTTTTAGAAAGCATAATAAGATATAAAGGAACAGTGCTGTATTTAAAACTAATATTTCAAATGGTTGTAACAAGATTGATTTTATGTCAATGGTATATTTTGAGAATCAAGAAAAATAAAATATAATTTTGTTAAAACAAAGCAAAACAAAGTTAATATTTGTTAAAATATATATATTTTAGTATACATAATAGTTGCTCACCAAGAAGAATCAAATTGGTGTGATTCTAAGATAATGCATAGTTGTACAAAGTGGAAGAATAGTATGTAAAATGGAATTGAACTTTAAAGAGGATATCTTAAATGTGTCATTTTGGCTCCTTTCTTCTTACTTGCATCAGTGTCACATTGAATTAGACAGCTGTGCTGTCAACATAACGATCTGCATTTAAATTCTCTTTTGTTTGTTGGTCAAGGAAAAATGCTTTGAGTCAGCTTTGGAATATAGAAAAAACACAACCTCAAATTATTTGGCTCTACATAAAACAGAATTAGAACTTGTGTACTTTATGCGTCTATCACCTATTTGGCACTTTTGTCAGAAACAAATTAAATTATCTTTGGAGAAGATTGATGGGACATGATTTTTCAAACATTCATAAAATTATTTAAATGTACATATTTAAATAGCTCTGCATAGGCCTATGAACTACAACACATTGAAATATGTTATTTTATAATAGAATAAAATATTTAATTATAGTAATTCTATCACTCAAATGGGTATTTTCTGTATTCTGATACTCCAGTAAAATATTATTTAACAGAATAAAATGCTTAATATTTATCATTAGTGCACTTTTCAGAAGAACTTGGGCACATGAATTTTGTCTTTGTCTACATGACATATAGTGGAAAATGTTCTCAGTGCTTGCTATGGTTTAAAATGTCTTTGCCAAAACTCATGTTGAAATTTAATTGGCTAGGTAGTATTTGGAAGTGGGACCTTTAAGAGGAACTACTCAGCCAGGCGCGGTGGCTAACGCCTGTAATCCCAGCACTTCCGGAGGCCGCGGCAGGCGGATCACAAGGTCAGGAGATCGAGACCATCCTGGCTAACACGGTGAAACCCCCATCTCTACTAAAAATAAAAAAAATAATAAAATAAAGATAAAAATTAGCCAGTCTTGGTGGCGGGCGCCTGTAGTCCCAGCTACTCGGGAGGCTGAGGCAGGAGAATGGCGTGAATCCGGGAGGCGGAGCTTGCAGTGAGCCAAGATCGCGCCAATGCCCTCCAGCCTGTGCGACAGAGCGAGACTCCATCTCAAATAAATAAATAAGTAAAAAAGAGGAAAAGAGGAACAATTCAGCAGCATCACTTATAGGGTTTTTAGAATTTTTCTGTAAGATCAAACCCAAGTTACTTTCCATGGAGCTGTGCTTGACATTACACTTACATTTGCCTCACTTTGCTACTTTACTACCAGCTTAACATTCTAATAAATCACTTTCACCCAATCCTCATCTTAGGCTCTATTTCTAAAGAACTCATTTTTTTTTTTTTTTTTGAGACAGGGTCTTGCTTTGGTGCCCAGGCTGGAGTGCTGTAGCGTGGTCATGGCTCACTGCAGCTTTACCCTCCTCGGTTCAAGTGATCTTCCCACCTCAGCCTTCCAAGTAGCTGGGACCACAGGCATGTGCCACTACACCTGACTAATTTTTGTACTTTTTGTTAGAGCCAGGGTTTCGCCATGTTGCACAGGGTGGTCTCAAACTCCTAAGCTCAAGCAATCCACCTGCCTCAGCCTAAAAAAATGCTGGGATTACAGGTATGAGAAAATGTGCCTAGTCAAGAACTCAAACATATAGATAATCCAATTAGATGTTTAGAAATTGGCAGATTTATTTCATACATTTTTGGATAGAATTATTAATCCTTTGTTTCAAAAGCACTCTTCAACCTTCCTTCTGTTAAAATTTTTATGATGTTCTAACTCCATCCTAACATTTTAAAATTTTAATTGGTCTGGATGATAGGCCAAGGAATATTTCTCTATTTTGTTTTAAATACCCAGGTGATGCTATTTTATAGGAATTATGGTTAGAAAAACTATACGGATGAGCAGGCTACTTCAGATTTTCTAGTGTATGGAAGATGTCTATGAAAGTTGCATTTGAACAGATCATTTGATGATAATATGGGGCCAAACATATAAAAAATACTGTGAAAGAGTATTATAGAAAAATGCAGGAGCCAGTTCCAAGTCTCTGAGGCCAGCAAACTATGGAGGTGGGAAGAACAGAAGGAAGGCTGGCATAGCTGGAGCCTGGTGAATGCTCAGAGTATATGATATGATGTCGGAGAGATCAGCAGTTAGGGCAGGACATCCTTGTAAGCCACAGTAGGGAGCTTTGAATTCCTTCCCAGTACAATTGAAAGCCATTGGACTGTTTTAACTAGAGTGATATAATATGATTTGTTTAAAATTATGCTGACAGTTATATGAAGAATGGATGAAAGCATTCAGAAGTGGAAAGGAGAAGGCCATTTGGAGACATTGTGAATTCAAGAAGAGAGCTATCTTTTTAAAACTATAGCCAGCACGCCAGCAATAGTAAGATGCACACTGGTACATGGTAGCATTTTATAACAAGGCAGTCAGAAACTGGTACACTAGTGTTGCTAGCAGGTAGTAACATGGAAGAATGATAAGCTGAACAGAAATAAGATGACATATCTCTACTGCAAAACTTCTCTTTTTGGTTTCACCTTAAATTACTGCAGCATTCAATGGCGGAAACAGAAAAATAAAAATCACTAAAACACTTTTCTCAAATATTCTCTCTTAAAAATTTTGGCCGGGCACGGTGGCTCATGCCTATAATCCCAGCACTTTGGGAGGCTGAAGTGGGTGGATCATGAGGTCAGGAGTTCGAGACCAGCCTAGCCAATATGGTGAAACCCCGTCTCTATTAAAAATTAGCTGGGCATGGTGGCGCATGCTGTAATCCCATCTACTCTCGAGGCTAAGGCAGAAGAATCACTTGAACCTGGGAAGCAGAGGTTGCAGTGAGCCGAGATTGTGCCACTGCACTCCAGCCTGGGCGACAGAGAGTGACCCTGTCTCAAAAAATAATAATAATAATTATTATTATTATGCTCTTCTATCTAACAGGCTGTGTTAGTAAGAGTGTACTCTTTTGTGAAGTGTTATCTCTGTTATGTCAATTGAAGTAGAAATCTCCAATGACTTCACTTCAACTAGAATGCTCAAATAGTATCACTTCCTGCACTTTTTATTTCTGAGAGATCCTCATGAAAGGTATGTAAAAATAATAAAGTGTCCTGTAATAAAATGTTATCTTTTGTTTTGTTTTTGGCTGAAGCTGAGACTGATACATTTGAATAGCTGATACATAAAGTTAAGTATAAGTCCAGGTATAATATACATAAGAATTTGTATAATAATCATCATAACAATAATCATTATTTCAAAAATTACGTTGAGCCCTTACAATTTGCTGAGTCCCTACTGTGCATTTTAAAGCACTTTACAAGTAATAACACATTTAAGTTTTGTAAGTCTTTAAGAGAGAAGTGCTAATTGTCTTTAGGGTTTAAGGAACTTCTACTAGCATGCATATAGAAAAAAGATTGAGAAATACCACAGGATTTCTGTATCATCTATCACTACAAAATATTCATTTATACCTTATTAATTTATGTTTCAAAAGCTTTAGTATCACAACATAGGCTAACAAGGTTTTCAAATGTATACTAGTTGACTACTTATTATGTAACCATTCTTTTAAAGATATTGCTGCGCTGTTATGCTTATTATTTCTTCAGTGAACAGAGTTTGGCAAAGGAAAACAATAGCAAAGGCGAATTCTGAGATAATATGTTTGTGTCAAGTGAGTCACCAGAAGATGAAGCCTAATTCCAACTGAATGCAATTCCACAATATTTCCTCAATTATTTTTAAACAATTTCAGGCACCAAGGCAATAATTTCAAGTGCATCACTTTACGTTTCTAATTTACTACAAAGATAGAGGATGCTTTTAACTTTTTACCAACTGTTTAGTGAGAAGAAAAAGTGGTGTATTGATGATCAAGACATACAGACTCCTTTTGTGGTTTTTCTATATATTAGCCATATTTATGACTTATAAAAGGATGTATTTTCTTTTACCTGAAGGATTGTCATTAAAAACTAAATCTATAACCAAAAAATTAAAACCAGAAGATTTTATGTAAGCATGAATACTCCTATTTGTTTACAGCAGAGAAACAAGAATTAGCATCATAATCATAATTATTCTCGTAATCACTAATTATTGAGCCTAATACTCATGCTAAGATTTATTTTAAATATTTTACATATATAATATCTTTCAATTGCCACAACCATGTTGTTAGGGTGGTTTAACATTTTCCCTACTTTTAAATTGTAAAACTTGCCAATGTGACACACAGTTAGGAAGGGGGATCTATTTTCAGCTTCTACACATTCTGCCTAAAAATATGACTGTTGGGAAAGAGAAGAACTTAGGATTCCAATTCTTAGTCAAACAAACCATAATGGCATGTTATACCTATACCTATAGACAGAAATTTAATAGGTATAGACAGAGATAGAGATGATAGAGACAGAGATGCAGATTTATCTGTCAATATATGTGAGGGAGAGGTTTCATAAGATTAATATTTTCATGGCTTATTTTATGTTATGAAATAAGGTACGTTTTAAAATTTTACACTTTTGCTTTTAATGTCTCAATAATAATTATACTAAACCAATTGTTTACTGAGTATATGGTTATAAGAAGAGTATATTATGAGATGAAATAAAAAGTTTCCTATGATATACCAACCTCTTGATGTTAGTGATCTCACACATCACCAATTTTATATGATCAGTTAATATGAACTTATTTGTGCTCAACCCATGAGAATCCATTTGCAATTCACTCTTCCTCTGCCATTATGGCTAATACTCATCTCTGCAAGAATAACATAATTTCAACTGGATCTCTTGTGTGGTGCTTTAGAGAACAGAACACCAAAAAGTTTAAGGTCCACAGGATGTTCAGTGTTCTCATTTCAAGAGAAGAAGAATTTTAAAATCCTCAAAATTACCAGAGCCCAGGATTGAGTGAAATAGAGCAATGGGTTCTTGCCAAGTCATTTTGGGTGAACATGAAAATGGTTTCTTTCCCTACAAAGTAAAAAGCTGCAGTGTTACTTTTTTTTTTTTTCTGTAGGCTTTTGAATATTGATGCACAACTACGGTTCACACTTTTTGAAATGTTGATGACTACAAATTTTCAACTGAAGTCTCAGTGTTGGTGGCCTTCTATATTACAATGCATAGGAAAAGGAGATAACTCTTTGGGGCATTGAATCAATAGGGTAGTTTATGAACTCTATTCGGTTTATTTACATTTTTTTCAGTTATCTCTGTTTATTGTGCCATTCCTAATAGAGACATCCGAAATATTGAATAACAATATTGTATTAGATTGTAAGAGAACTTCAATTTATTTATCCCCATGTCTTAATTTTTTCAGAAAAGAATAATAAAATAAATATTAGATACAAAGGAAAAGGAAGCCACTGAGTTTTCAAAGTGAGTAAATGCTAGAGCCTGAATTTACATGAGATATTCAGAATTTTTATTTAACTTCAAAATAAGCAATCCTATATAAGGCTTTTTAAGGTTTAACTTAGTGTCTTATTTGATGCTAACTCAATTTAGTATCAGATAAGAAAACTACTTTGAAAATAATGAAATCTTATACAAAATATAATTTTATATAACCATTATCTTTTCAAGATTTTATACTCAAAATAGCAAAATACATTTCTTTCTCAGCCTATGGAAACCATCCTCAACTTCCCTCAAACTAGTTTATTTGTATTCTTGGGACCCAAATTTCTAAGATGCAGGGCTGCTGGCAGTGATGTCATAAATCAGCAACTACACTTGGCAGCTTCAGTGTATTGACAAGCATTTTCTAGACATCTCATTTGTAGTTAAAAACAGTCCTGATGCTCTTTGACTCATTTACAGCCTCTTTGATTCATGTTTAAACTGCTTATCAAAAGCCAGAGTTATTACTGTGAACAGCATTGAACTCTGAGCAAGTCAAGCAAAAACAATCAGTCTACTAACTGTTTTGAAAGGTGTTTTTCTAAGATGCTGTGTGTGTGGAAAGCGATTCTTTTTTAAACATAAACAGAAAAAAATGTTAAGTAAAAATATGGATGATGTTCTTAGGAGGACTTTCACAGGTCACATATCTTCAGCATATTATAAAAGACTAACTCAAGGTATAGATTTAGATTCAGCCAATGAAAATAAAATAGATACTTTATTAAAAGCAAGTTATATAAGAAACATTCTGAGAAATGGTTTTCCTTTACTTCCTGCCATCCAACCCTACTAAGCAGATAATGTCAACACATTCCTAAGTTAAAAAAATTGAAACTAACATCATCATTTAGAAGATAAAAATAATAATTCACTATTATGGGCAAGTTGTGTCCCCCACAAAATTCCTAACCCTCATCACCTCAGAATGTTTTTGCAGAAAAGGTTTTTACAAGGATAACTAAGCTAACATGAATTCACTAGGAGCACCTTTATCCAACATGACTGGTGTTCTCTAAGAAGAGGAAATTTCAATTTACTAATTTGAATTTACAAAAGAGAAAATTTGAATTTAGTTTTCCTTTACTCACAGGGTATACATTCTAAGACCCACCATGGATGCCTGAAATTATGGACAGTAGAGAATCCTATATGTACTGTTTTCTCCTATAAATACCTATGATATAGATTATTTTTAAAATTAGGTATAGTAAAAGATTAACAATAACTAATAATGAAAGAGAACAAATTATAAAAAACTATAATAAAAATTATGTGAATGTGGTCTCTCTCTCAAAATATCTTTTTTGAGATATTTTGTACTATCATCATCCTTCTTGTGATAGTGTTAGATGATAAAATTCCTACATAATGAAATGAAATGATATGAATGACTTAGATATTGTAACATAATATTAAGCTACTATTAACCTTCTGAAATATGTCAGAAGGGGAATTATCTGCTTCCGGTAATCCTGGATCATTGAGCCATGAAGACGTTGATGGTTAGATGCCATGAGCAGACAATTTCACCAACTAATAGGCAGGTAGGGTACATAGCAGAGTTATGCTGGACAAAGGGATAATTCATGTTCCAGGAGGGACAGAGTGGTATGGGACCAGATTTTATTACACAAATCACAACAGAGCATAATGTAAAACTTATAACTTGTTTGTTTCTGGAATATTCCAGTTAATATTTTTGGGCTGTAGATGGCTATAGATAATTAAAACTGTGAAAATTGAGACTATGGATAAGTGGGAATGACTGAATACACCTACAGAGGTAAGACTATGTAAAGACACAAAAAAAGATGGCAATCAAGCCAAGGAGAGAGATCTAGAATAGATTCTTCTCTCATAGCCCTCAGAGGTAACCAACCTGCTGACAGCTTGTTCTCATACTTTTAGCCTCAAGAACTGTGAGAAAAAAATTATATTGTTCATTTTACACAATCTGTGGTACTTTGTTACAGTAACCCTAGCAAACTAATACGTTCAGTATAAAGAAATATACTCAGCCAGGCGCGGTGGCTCACGCCTATAATCCCGGCACTCTGGGAGGCCAAGGTGAGCGGATCACGAGGTCAGTAGATAGAGACTATCCTGGCTAACATGGTGAAACCCCATCTCTACTAAGAATACAAAAAATTAACCGGGCATGATGGTGGGCACCTGTAATTCCAGCTACTTGGGAGGCTGAGGCAGGAGAATGGCATGAACCCGGGAGGCAGAGCTTGCAGTGAGCCGAGATCACCCCACTGCACTCCAGCCTGGGCGACAGAGTGAGACGCCGTTTCAAAAAAAAAAAAAAAAAGAGAAATATACTTATGAATTAGCAGATAAATTTGTGTTTTCTTTATAGCTTTTAGCATTCCAGATTGCTGCCATTATTATAATTGTCACAAAGTCAATAAAGACATCTGAATGTACATTTCAGAGACACACACACACATACACGCAGGTGTGTGTGTGTGTAGACCTAATAGAGTTATGTTTACACATAAAAATAACAATAATATCTCCAAATTAACTGCCTCTTTTCTTCTACCTACATAACACAGTAACTCAAAACCCATTAAAAGTCCTTTCTCCTGTATCATTTTTAGTAGTCTTTCAGGGAATATCATGTATAATTAGAAATAATATTTTAAATTTTATTGTCTTTCTTTCATTTTACTCTACTTTGTAATATCAACTACTGACATGGGCTTTTGAAAATGAGTGTTGATCCTTTCCTCCTTTCACTGCCACCTGTATCCTTGAAAAGAGAAATTGAGTTCCTGAGGCTGAAGAAGCCCAAATGGCATCACCTGTTTTTTCTATTTGTTGTAAAAAGAAAAAAAAATCCTCTCTGCTTTACATGTTTCGCAATTATCCTATGAACTCTCATGAAAAGTATAAAAGAGAATAGATGAAATAGATGAAATAGATGAAAGTAAAAAAGAAAAGAAGATGAAATAGATGAAAGTAAAAAAGAAAAGAAAGTAGAAAGAAAAGAAAGAAAAAGAAAGAGAAAGAAAAAGAAAGAAAGAAAGAAAGAAAGAAAGAAAGAAAGAAAGAAAGAAAGAAAGAGAGAAAAAAGAAAGGAAGGAAGGAAAGGAAGGAAATAAGGAAGGAAGGAAGGAGGGAAGGAAATAAGGAAGGAAAGAAGAAAATAAGGAAGGAAATAAGGAAGGAAAGAAGAAAAGGAAGGAAGGAAAGGAAGGAAGGAAGGAAGGAAGGAAGATTCATCCCCTGGTTGACCCACCTGTTTTTAAATTTTGTTTCTTTTTTTAAAATTCTTTCAGTTTTATTGATGGATTTAAGGTATACAGTGTGGTGGTTTGATATATCTATACATTATGAAATGATTACCACAATCAAGTTAATTAACACATCCATCACCTAACATAGTTGTATTATTTATACAAATTTATTCTACATCTTGGCTAATAAGAAAAATGCTGCAATAAATATGGAAATGCAGGTATTTCTTCAACATATTACATTCATTTTCTTTGCATGTATGCCCAGAAGTGATATTGCTGGATTAAATAATAGTTATATTTTTAATTATTTAGAAACATCCATGCTGTTTTTTATAATAGGTGTACCAATTTACATTTTCACCCGAGTGTACACCAAGAGTGTACGAGGGTTCTCTTTTCTCCACATCCTGGCTGACACCTATTATCTCTTGTCTTTTTGATAATAGCCATCCTAACAGGTATGCAGTAATACCTCATTGTGGTTTTGATTTGGATTTCCTTGATAATTAATGGTGTTGAGCACCTTTGCATATGCCTGTTGGCCAGGCCATTTGTACACCTTCTTTGGAAAAATGTCTGCTTAGAATCTTTGCCCTGTTTAAGTCAGGTTATTTGTATTTTTGTACAGAGTGGTAAGAGTTTCTTTTTTTGTTTTGTTTTGTTTTGTGTTTTTGAGACAGAGTCTCACCCTGTCGCCCAGGCTGGAGTGGAATGGCGCAATCTCGGCTCACTGCAACCTCTGCCTCCCGGGTTCAAAAGATTCTCCTGTCTCAGCCTCCCAAGTAGCTGGGATTACAGGCATCTGCCACCACACCCAGCTAATTTTTGTATTTTTAGTAGAGACAGGGTTTCACCATGTTGGCCAGACTGGTCTCAAACTCCTGACCTCGTGATGCACCTACCTCGGCCTCCCAAAGTGCTGGGATTACAAGCGTGAGCCACTGTGCCTGACAGAGTTTCTTATATATTTCAATATTAGCCTCTTACTGGATACATGGTTTGCAAATACTTTCTCCCAATTTTCAGGTTGCCTTTGCATTTTGTTGCTTCTTTTCTCTGCTGTGCAGAAGCTTTCTTTAGTTTTATACAGTCCCACTTGTTTATTTTTGCTTCTCTTGCCTGTGCTTTCCATATCATCTACAGGAAATCATTGCTACAACCACTGTTAAAAATCTTTCCTCCTATGTTTTCTTTTGGGAGTTTTACAGTTTCAAATCTTACATTTAACTCTTCTTGTTGTTGTTGTTTTTGTTTTGTTTTTGTTTTGAGACAGAGTCCACATTGCAGCTAGAGTACAGCGATGCAATCTAGGCTCACTGCAGCCTCAACCTCCCAGTCTCAAGCAATCCTCCTACCTCAACCTCCTGAATAGCTGGGACGACAGGCATGGGCCACCACGCCAGACTACTTTTTAAAATTTTTTGTAAAGACAAGGTCTCACGATCTTGCCTAGGCTGATCTTGAATTGCTGGGCTCAAGTGATCCTCTGATCATGGCCTCCCAAATTGCTGGGATTACACGCACGAGCCACTGTGCCTGGTCACATTTAATTCGATCTAATTTATGTGTATGGTGTAAGATAAGGGTCCAGTTTCATTATTTTTCAAGTGAATAACCAGTTTCTTCTCACAAATTAATGAAGGCACTATCCTTACAACAATGCGTATTCTTGGAACCCTTATTAAAGATTAGTTAACTGTATATGTGTGGGATGTTTCTGGGTCTGATATTGTGTGGCTTTTGTCTATATGTCTGCTTTTGTGCCCGTACCATGCTGTTTTGATTACTATGGGTATGTAGTAGTTTGAAATAAGCAGTGTGATATTTACAGTTTGGCCTTCTTTTTCAAGATTGCTTTGGCTATTAAGGGTCTTTTGTGATTCCATACACGTTTTATAATTTTTTTCTATTTCTGTGAAAAATGCCTTTGGGTTTTTTTTTTAAAGGGAATGTGCTAACTCTTTAGATAGCTTTAGGGAATAAGGATATTTTAACAATATTCATACTTCCAATCTATGAACGTAAGACATCTTTCCATTTATTTATGTCATTTCCAATTTTTTTTTCACCAATGTCCTAAATTGTACAGCTGTTTGACCCTCTTAGTTAAATGTGTTCCTAGATATTTTACTAATTTTGATGCTATTGTAAATGGTATTATTTTTACATTTCTTTTTCTAATAGTTAATTGTTAGTGTATAGAAATGCAAGAACAGCCTAATAAAGCTATTAAATAGTGACCCTGTCTTTTGTAACAGATTTTGACTGATGACCTGTGCTATGGTCTGAATATCTGTGTCTTCCTCCAAATTCACACATTAAATTCTAATCAATAATATGGAGGTATAATGAGGTGGAGTTGTTGGAAAGTAGTAAGTATATGAGGGCAGTAATAAGTGTATCCCTCATGAATAAGATTAGTGTTCTTATAAAAATGGCCCCAGAGAGCTGTGTTGTCCCTTCTCCACTATGTGAGAACACAGCTAGAAGGCACCATGTATGAACCAGAAAGTGGGCCCTTACCATACACTAAATTTTCCAGCAACTTTTAGAATTCCCAACTTCTAGAATCATAAGAAATATATTTCTGTTGTTTATAACTTACCCAGTTAATGACCTTTCCTACAGTAGCACAGATATTCTAAGACAGTCTACTCTGTCTAAATATAGCAAATCCTTCTCTAATTTAGTTATCATTCGTATAGAACACCTTTTTCTATCCCTTCATTTTCATCCTATATGTGTCCTTAAAGCTAAAGCAAGCTACTTATATGCAGTATATTGTTGCATCTTGTTTTGTTATGCAGATCTCTGTGTGCTTTGATTAAGGAATTTAATCCATTTACATTTAAATGTATTATTGATAGGTAAGAATATCAGTTATATTAATATTGCCATTTTGTTAATGTTTTCTGACTATTTGTAGTTCCTTTTTCCTCTCTTAATGCCTTTGTTGTAGTTTGTTAAATTTTTTAGTAAAAGCTTAGATTCCTTTCTCTCTATATTTTGTGATTGCCTACAGGCTGTTTTTTTTTTTTTTTTTGTATGAATACCATGGAGTTTATATAAAATATAGTTATTAGACTATTTTAAGATGATAACAACTTCATTTGCATATAAAATGCTACAATTTTACTCCTCCTCTAACATTTTATGCTATTGATGACACACTTTATATATTTTTATATTGTGTATCCATTAAAATATTATAAAATATTTTTGTGTTGTATATCCATTATTCAAGCTATAGTTATTTTTAACACTTTCTTCTTTTAACTGTTATACTAGAGCTAAATGTGATATATGTACCACCATGACAGTATTAGGGAATTCTAAATTTGAATATATATTTATCTTTACCAGTAGATTTTATACTTTCTTATTTTTTTATAGTTACTTAACATCTTTTTTTTTTTCATTATGAAAGACTACCTTTTGTATTTCTTTTTTTTTTTTTTTAGACAGTCTCACTCTGTCACCAGGCTGGAGTGCAGTGGCACGATCTTGGCTCACCGCAACCTCCGACTCCCTGGTTCAAGCAATTGTCCTGCCTCAGCCTCCCAAGTAGCTGGGATAACAGGCACGTGCCACCATGCCCAGCCAATTTTTGTATTTTTAGTAGAGACGGGGTTTCAACACGTTGACCAGGACGATCTCGATCGCCTGACCTTATGGTCTGCCTGCCCATTTCTCCCTCCCAAAGTGCTGGGATTATAGGCATGAGCCACCAAGCCCAGCCCCATTTGTACTTCTTATAAGGCAAGTCTAGTGGTGACAATTACATTAGGTTTTTCTTGTCTGGGAAGGTCTGCATCTCTCTCTCTTATTTCTTAAGGACAGCTTTGTCAGGTATTTTATTTTGGGTTGGCATTTTTTTTTTTTCTTTTTTCTTCAGGACTTTGAATATACAATTCTATTCCTTTGTTGCCTGCAAAATTTCTGCCAAAAAATCCACTGATAGCTTTAAGGGGGTTCCCTTTTCTGTGATGAGTTGCTTTTCTACTGCTGCTTTTAAAATTCTAACTTTTGATGAGTTGATTACTATATGTCTAGATGTAATCTTTAGATTTGTCTTGCATGTGTCCTTTGAGATTCATGAACCTGGAGACTGATATTTTCCCCAAGATTTGGGAGTTAGACTTTATTTATTTATTTAGACGGACTGTCACTCTGTAGCTCAGGCTGGAGTGCAGTGGCACAATCTTGGCTCACTGCAACCTCTGCCACCAAGGTTCAAGTGATTCTCCTGCCTCAGCCTCCTGAGTAGCAGTGCTTGGCCCATTATTTTTCAAAATAATCAATCTTACCTTTTTATTTCTCTTCTCCTTCTGAAAATTTTACAAGCTGTATATTCATTCACTTGACAATGTTTCATGGCACCTGTGCATTTTCTTCACTTTTTTTTTTTTTTTTTTCTATATGTTTCCCTAACTTGCTAATTTCAAATGACTTTTTTTTTTTTTCAGGTTGTTGATTCTTTTCCTACACAACTGAGTCTGATATTGAAGTTCTATATTGATGTTTTTTTAGTTCTTTTATTATATTTTTCAACTCCAGAATTTGTTTGGTTATCTTTCTGGTCTCTATTTCTTTATTAAACTTCTAATATTGTTCATGCATTGTTTTTCCAGTTTTGTTTAGTTGCTTATCTGTCTTTTCTGGCATCTCAGTTAGCTTTTGTAAGATGTCTGTTTTGAATTATTATTATTATTATCTTTTCTGGCATCTCAGTTAGCTTTTGTAAGATGTCTGTTTTGAATTATTATTATTATTATTATTATTATTATTATTATTATTATTATTATTATTATTTGAGATGGAGTTTTGCTCTTGTTGCCCAGGCTTTAGTAGAGACAGGGTTTCACCATGTTGGCCAGGCTGGTCTCAAACTCCTGACCTCAGGTGATCCACCCGCTTTGGCCTCCCAAATTGCTGGGATTACAGGTGTGAACCACTGTGCCCAGCCTGTTTTGAATTATTTATCAGGCAATTACATTTGTTTTTAGTTGGTTACTGGAGCTTTATTAGTTTCCTTTAGTGCTGTCATGTTTTCTTGATTCTTTATAATCTATGTAGTCTTGCATTGGTGTCTGTGCATTTGAAGGAACAAACACCTCTTCCAGTTTTTACAGACTATTTTCAGCAAGTAAAGCTCTTCTCCTGTTGGATCCATAGCTGATGAGATTGCCTCTGGGTTTGCAGTTGAGTAAGGTTGGGGCTGAATCACGTGGCTGCTGCTTGGCCCAATAGTGGGCTCTGTGGTTGGTAGGCCTGTTACAAGGGCCCCAGTGGGAGTGGATCTTGCATTGTCCCTGGACCAACTACACTGCCTCCAGGACCTTAATCAGTTCTCTGGCACTGGGATGAGAGTTTCTTTCAAGGTTCATAGATGGTGGACCTGTTGCCGGATATGCATCTAGTAATCGCTTCCAATGAGTCCCCAAGAGTACTCCCACCAGGTCATTGGGCATGCCCCTGGGGTAGGATTGGCTCCAAACCACTGCTGAGAGAGACTGGAACAGAATCACAGGGCTGCTTGAGGGCCCAGAGCTAAGACCAGTATCTGCAGGCCTGCCTTCAAGAGCATGGATGGGCATGCCTTCTGCCAGATTCCTGGGCAGGCAGGATTATTCCTGGACCATGGCCAAGTGGAGCTGGAGCAAGGTAACAGCATTGCTTCAGGACAAGGTTGGCAGGTCTCCTCTGAGAGTATGAATGTGCATGTCACTCAGTATATCCCCAGGCAGAAAGGATTTTTCTCAGAACATAGCTGAGAGGAACTGAAACTGAGGCACAGGGCTATGTCAGAATCTGGAGTGAGACTGAATTCTGTAGGCCTGCCTCTAGGGACGTGAATAAGTTTGTCTCCTGGCAGATCTATAGGCAGGCAGGACTGCATCCAGACTGCTACTGAGAGGAGCTGGAGCCAGTTCATAGGCTGCTTCAGGTTCCTCAGCTCATACCAGGTTCAGTGACACTATTAACTGGGGTATGATTGTGCATGGGTCCTCCCTAGTCCCTTGGTGGATGGTGCTGGTGGCAAAGGCCAAACAGTGCTGTAGCTGAGGAACAGGGGAAGTTTCTGTGTCTAGATCTGTAGCCAAGACCACAGTCATTGAGCCTGCCAGCTGGATGTGGGATTGCCTTCTCAAAATGGCCCTTTTTTGTGTATGACTTTACTGGGGTTTTTCAACCTCCTACCTAGATCCCAAAGCTCCTACAAAGTCACTTTTGGTGGGAGATGGTTGCAGAATTACTGTTGCTGTAGGGGTATATGAGTCGGGGACTTCATATTATGTCACCTTATGGAGGTTTTGTTTTTATAAAATCTGTCTTGCTGGGGTTCAGAACTATTCTATGTGAAAAAGATGTCACATTGATTCACTCTGTCTCCAGGTGCCTGTTTACTAATCTCTTCTTTGCAGACTCCATTTTCTCTATACAAATTACATTATGGATTTTTGAGGTTCAAAGACTCACAAATCTAGATGTGTCAGTATACATTCCCATGTATATTACTGTTTAACTTAGTGTCTATGCCTGTCTATCTATTTATCCATCTATGTAAATTTATTACCACTAATTTTTTCAAGAGTATTATATGTTACATATAAAATGTTAATAATATAAACCTAGTAGACCATATTTTAAATGACATTCTTTGTAAATTAAATTGAATACATTTAAACATTTGATTCTAAGAAATATAAAAGCTGCTTTAGTATTTCAGATGAATTATAATTATTATTACTGATTGAGTTGTTTTATTATACTGTCAAACTGACAGACTAAGACATGCTTCATACATAGGACGATTTATTTAATAGTTCTCTCCTTGAACAATAAATAAAATCAACTATGTGCATGTCTTACCTATAAAAAGTACTTTCAAGTTAAAGGTATTTAGTCAGTATATTCAGTTGATAGTCATATGAAGATGACTATAACAGAAATTCACTCCCTGGTGCAAGATAAATAGACTGTACTAAGGTATCTTCCCTAGACTGGTAAATAAGTTTTCAGCATCCTGATTAAAACAAAATTTGATTTGTGGTTTGAATGAACTATAGTTTTCTCTATCTGCCCAAGCTCTCCTCCATTAGCATGGATATTCAAGAGACATTAGCATGGATATTCAACGACATTATAATTGCAAAAAATGTTTAGCTGAAGTTCAAATCAATGTGTTTAAATAAGACCTACCTCATGAGGGTGGACTGGTGAAGTATCTATTTATGAGTAGTCAAGGGGTATAAATCAAAAAGGTGTTTAAATTTCAGAATCCCTTACCTACGTGATATGCTTCTTTGTTGATGTCTACTTTCAGTCTCAGTAGACTGTTTTAGCATGCTTATTGTGTAAAATCTTGACAAATTTATGGTGCATTCACTCAGCACTAATCCCATAAATTTTTAAGGCTTTCATTTTTCCTGATTCAGATTGTTTTTTGCTACCTGCATTAATTGGAAGATGTCTTTCCATATTAATTAGGGTTTGATCAGAATTATTTTGAGATACAAAAGAAAAGATTTTATAAAATAAAAAGTTTTTATTCCAAATAATGACATAGGCCAAGTCATTTTTATATTGTCTACAATTACATTATATATGAATATTTGAGTTTCAAAATGCCATTTCTCTCTGAAGGAAAATCAAATAAACGTATGGTTGTCACATGCATATCTGTCTGAAAAGTAATTGAATCTTCAATGCTTGATCAATTATGTGCATTGTTATTAAAGGCCATTAGATGATAAGATATAAAGACTCCTGATCAGTTACTAATAGTGTTGTAAAATATTTTGAGACATATTGTGTTTGCAGTCTTCTGTCTAAAAAAGTAATTTGTATTGTTTTAAATTCTTGGTTGTTATTTTATGGTGACAAGATAAATATTTAATATGCCTTATATGTTATTTCTGAAAAAAAATAATAGTTTGACTCAGGCCATTGTTTCTCTGTTAAAACTATGAGGCACTGAAAGTTTATAGCCACAGGAGTGAAGCTGAAATTCATCAACAGAACAGCCATAATAACTGGATAGTATTCAAGTGTTTTGTCTTTGTATACATTGAGGGTGCTATTTTATCAGTAGCAAATATAATGCAAGAGTACATTCTGAGACACAGTATAGAAACAGCATATCCTATATTAAAATATGTGTTTTGAGGCATTGTGAATTGGGATGATTTTTCTTGGGCCTTATGTTTGGTGGAGGGCAATTGGGCATGCTACTGAAGTAGAGTAGAAAGGCTATCTAAGAAGGGGTAGTTGCAGAAAAAGCCCTCTGCTGAATCACCTTATTCTTCCATCTCTCAAGCTAACTTATGGCCATCACCAAAGCTAAATTGGTAGCGAAGTCCTCCTCCACTTTTTAGTAGCTACAAGTTGGCTCTTTTTACTTTGAAATTTTCAACTCAAGGTTGTCCAAAAGAGTACAAATAAATGTGTAGTTTTGCAGAAAAATGTCAACTAAAAAATGTTTTGGTGAAAAGTACATGCTGTAAATTGTCTTTATTGCTGTGTCCCCTTAGAGGGACATCAAATCTTGAACTTTTTAATAGCAGCTCCTTTTGTCCTATTTGTTTATATAATCTTATCTCTGAATCAAGGATAAGATTGTGTTCTAAATTAGGTAAAATGTACTCATATGTTGAGCTCCCAGAAAAACACTGAACTCTACAAACAAGTACAACAGAACCCAAAACATACTTAATCGTTTGCTTGTGTTCTTTTAGGTTTTTCAATTAATTTGAAAATACATAAGCAAACAAAAACACTGGATAAAATAAATAATGTAAAGAAAAGGATAAAGATCCTATGAGGAAAACGTGATAGAGGAAACTCAGTGATTCTTGAAGTCTGAGAAAATTTTCTTAGAATCTGACATGATGCATGGTGGGAGAGAACCAGGCTAGGCATGGTGGTCAGGGTAGTCAAGAGAAGGAAATGTATGGGAAGAATTCTGTGGTGGTACTAGACTTATGAAGGAGTTTATTATTAACATAGATTATTTCACAGAGTCAGGGACATTAGTCCAAGATTCCAAAGATGTTAATGTTTCAACATAATTTACATCTGCAAACTACTAACAGTAACATCTGTTAAAGAAAATGATTATGTGGAAAGAGACTACCACCACAGGGAGGGCAGAGGAGGCATGCAATAGTAAAGAATGCATCTCTCATCTTATCATTCTAATATGTTTTACTAATGACATGTTCCACAGTAATGGGTGTAATTTATAAATAGACTGAAATCCAGAGTGTTTGATGATCAAATAGTCCATGAATGCTACATTTCAAATGTGTGTGATATTTATAATAGGATGTAAAATGCATTTAAACACAAGCTGTGCTCATTTATATTCATAGTCAGGGCATAAGAGATACAGCAGAAGGGAATGTGTTCTTGGTGTGCTAACTTGTTCTATAGAAGGCATGAGCTGAGGTCATATTTCTCGTGATTTAAATTAGGCAACATAACCTGAGCTGAGACACGCAGAGAAAAGTTTCAGCTACCATAGAAAACTTTATTCTTCTATGAGAAAACATGTCTCTGAGAGGTTAAAAGTCAGATATGTGAAGAGAGAATGCATGGCTGTTGATTGTGGAGAGCTGCTTTGAAACATCTCTTGTTCCTATCTTGCTCCTCATTTACAGAGTAAATTAGCACAGTGCTGTGGTCTGAATGCTGTGTCCCCCCAAAATTCACATGTATAAATTTAGTCACAAATGAGATGGCATTAGGAGGTGGGGTTGTTAGGAAATCATTCTGACATGGGATTAGTGCCCTTATAAACGGGGCCCCAGAGAGCTGCCTTGACCCTATTCCACCATGTGAAAACCCAATTAGAAGACAGCATCTATGAACCAGAAAGTGAGCCCTTGCCAGACAGAGTCTGCCGGCACCTTGAGCATGGACCTCGCAGTATCCAGAACTGTAAGAAACAAATTTCTGTTATTTGTAAGCTGCCCAGTTTATGGTGTTTTGTTATATAGCAGTCTGAATGGATGAAGACACACACCACCAAAGAACAAATTCTCTTATGTTCCATATTTCATGCCCTAATTATGAATATAAATGAACACTTTAGTTTTTAATAGGTTTGAAGCTCAATTATACAATTTCACATATACATGGAATATTACATTTATTGACTATTTGATTACCAAATCTCTTTGGGTCCCAGTTTATTCATAAAGTAACACTCACAACAGTAGGGCATGCCTCTATCAAAATATATTAGAATTATGTCATAGGAGATTTAATATTTAAATCTCCACCCTTCTCTTCACCCCAGAGTGGTGATCTCTTTCCAAACAATATTTTTGAGAGATGTTACTGATAAAAATATAGGTTTATTTAAACAGATTAAGTATTTATTAAATAATAATTCTTGTTCATGTGAACCCAGTTTATATCTTATCATAAGCAGCAAGAAATAATCATCTGGGGAATGTAAGCTTCAGATACTAAGCAGAAACTAATGTGAATAATTACTGAGAATGCTAAATAGTGGCTAAGAATAAGATTTTCCTTTCAATTGCTTCAACTGAGGGAGAGAAGGGAATTGAACAAATAAGATAGGGGAGGATATGTGTGTTTATTGGGTAGAATATACACCAAATATTCAAAAGGATTTGTTTGTGTCATCTTGTTCCTTGTATTTCACCAAGTTCACGTTGTCTTTTCTAGGTCTAATTGCTACCATGCAATGCATCATTAATTTTTTTTTGAAAAAATACGATTGTCACATTATGGGGAAATCTATATTTTTGTATGATGTAGGAACAAAAGTTGATAATTTCTCCATAGATTTATTGGCACCAAGTGTCGTTTACCAGTAAAGGACAGAATGATCTTGGGAGTATGTATTGTACTTTTCACTTCATAAAGCTGAAATGAGAGGTGTTAAGAGCTTTTACTTCTGCTGAGTGTCATTGTTTCTCTATCATCCCCTTTCATGTTCCCATTATCAAAATTTTCTCAGATGTGTAGATGCCCACTACAGTGAAATGCGCTGCCAAAGAGCTTTCAGGAATTTTACAGAAGCTTTCTTTTTTGGATCACATCTCAAGTTCAACTCAGTCATCTGATTCAGTGAAATCTGTAGACTCTGAAGAAAAGAAAGAAAAAAAAAAAGAAACTCAGAAGTCCTATTGTAAATTTTGCATGAACTCACGTGCTGAACTTTTCATATTAATTGCAGTTATATTGGTAGGTGCTGAAAGTTCTGTATTCTCAAATCCTTGTGAGTTAGCATCATAGAATCTTCTGTTATTCTCATATGACAGTCCCAAGTGGAATATTCTAGGTAAGCAGGAAACTTCCTGTACATGTTGATTCAGTCCTGACATAGAATCACAAGATTCTTATATTTAGAAACTTCCCCCAACTCCCCACCCCAGTGTCTCATCTTCATCTATATCCAGCTGGCAGAAACAGAAAGGACACACCAACAAACCTGTTTCATAATTTCCTTTACAAACAAGTAACGCAATAGAAAAAAGTCGTGTTTGGTTGGTTGGTTGGTTGGTTGGTTGGTGATAGCTCATCACCTGAACACAAGAGGAGCAGGGAAAGGTAGTTCCGGGCTAGCCAGGCACACCTCAGCGATGTGATTCCATCACAGAAGAAGTTGATTATAAATTTGATGGATTTGGCTGGGCGCAGTGGATCATGCCTGTAATCCCAGCACTTTGGGAGGCCAAGGCAGGCAGATTACGAGGTCAGGAGACTGAGACCATCCTGGCTAACATGGTTAAACCACGTCTCTACTGAAGAAAAAAAAAAAAAAATTAGCCCAGAGTGGTGGCGGGTGCCTGTAGTCCCAGCTACTCAGATGGCTGAGGCAGGAGAATGGCGTGACCTGGCAGGTGGAGCTTGCAGTGAGCCAAGATGGCGCCACTGCACTCCAGCCTGGGCAACAGAGTGAGACTCAATCTCAAAAAAAAAAAAAAAAAAAAAATTAAAAATAAATAAATAAATAAATAAATTTGATGGAGTCAATAATCTTCTTCTTCTTTTCATCTAAGGTTCAGAAGAGGAGACTAGGAGTCTAAGTAGATCACCAAAATGTTGTCACAAAATTAATAATACATAATTCTTTTACTATACCAAGCATGACCCAAAGTTATTTTGTGGTTGTATTCCCTCTCTTTCTGTATTTAGTAAGGGTTAAACGGTGGAAATGCAGGAGACAGAACCACAGATTGTTTTGGGTGCTTGGGAGTTTATCATGTTTTAATGGCCAATGCAGGTTCTCATGTTATTCTATTGCATTGGCCCTAAAAAACTATATATATTAGAAATTTTGGAAACATTTACTTAATCTACAAACTGAATAGATATTTGGTATGAACAAAATAATTTGATGGGTTGTTTTTAAATTCTAAATGAGATTAATTGCCAGTATGGAATTAAACAATTAAAACTATGCATCCAACACAAATCTAATATCCAGAATCTATAAGGAACTTAATTCAAGAAGCAAAAAACAACCCCATTAAAAAGTGGGCAAGAGACAAGAACAGACACTTCTCAAAAGAAGACATAGAGGTGGCCAAAAAACATATTAAAACATGTTCAGCATCACTAATCATCAGAGAAATGCAAATCAAAACCACAATGAGAAACCATCTCACATCAGTCAGAATACCTATCATAAATAACTCAAAAAAAAAAAAAAAAAAAAAAACCTACAGATTCTGGCAAGACTGCGAAGAAAAGGGAATGCTTGCACATTGTTGGTGAGAATGTGAATTAATTCAGCCACTGTTGAAAGTATTTTGGAGATTTCCCAAAGAAGTTAATACAGAGGACCATTCAAACCAGCAATCCCATTGCTGCATATATATCCAAAGGAAAATAGATCATTCTACCAAAAAGACACATGTTGTATGCCTATGTTCATTGCAGCACTATTAGCAATAGAAAAGACTTGGAGTCAACCTAGGTGCCCACTGACGGTGGATTAGATAAAGTGTGATACTTATACACCATGCAGCCAGTTATGTCCTTTGCAGCAACATGGATACAGCTGGAGGCATTATACTAAGTGAATTAATGCAGAAACAGAAAACCAAATACTGCATGTTCTCACTTACAAGTGAGAGCTAAACATCCGGTACTCATGGACATAAAGATAACAATAGACACTGGAAACGACTAGAGGGAGGAAAGAAGGATGCTTGAAAAACTATTGGGTACTATGCTCAGTACCTGGGTGACAGGATCATTTGTACTCCAAGCCTCAGCATCACACGATATACCCATGTAACAAACCTGCACATGTACTCCCTGTATCTAAAATAAAAGTTTAAAAAGTTGTTTAAAAAGAAGTTAAGCAACTAATTAATAATAAATGTTATGACATTGTGTAGTAAAGAGTAGTAACTTCTTTGAATTCGCATATTCTTAATTTTTTTGGCATTAGTAATTTTACTACTGGCTAATTTTTCATGATGGTTTATTTATTTTTTCATAAGATTTTTCTATTTTGTTCTGAAAGATAATGATTGGAAAGGAAAGATATAAGAAGCAAAACTGAGTAGAAAAGGGATTTAAAAAGGAGAAAGACAGGCCGGGCATGGTGGCTCACGCCTGGGAGGCCGAGGTAGGCAAATCACCTGAGGTCGGGAGTTCAAGACCAGCCTGACTAACATGGAGAAACCCCGTCTCTACTAAAAATACAAAAAATTAGCCGGGCCTGGTGGTGCATGCCTGTAATCTCAGTTACTTGGGAGGCTGAGGCAGGAGAATTGCTTGAATCTGGGAGACGGAGATTGCAGTGAGCAGAGATCATGCCATGCCATTGCACTCCAGTCTGGGCAACAAGAGTGAAACTCCATCTAAAAAAAAAAAGTGGGGAAAGACAGTCTACCTCTTAGTTTCCACCACTAGGGGGTTTAAATAAATTTTGTTGTAGCTACACAGTAGACCGCTGTGTGTCTCCAGAAAGGAAAGGAATGAGTGAGTATATTAAATAATGTGTATCTTGTGCTTGAATAAATATACTAAAGTGAAAATGCAAGGCAAAAAATAATATGTATCTAATACAATTTTGCATTAAGAATGGAAATTCTGGAAGGATATGCAATGCACGAAACCACGGGTTATCTGTGGGGATAGTTTTGAGATACAGAAGAAAATAGGAGGATAGAGGAAATAATATGATGTTCACCTCAAGTTTTGGGTTATTTTAAAACATATTATCTAATCAAAAAATAAGAACATAAGTGAGAGAAAATTGACAGAAGTTTATAGACTAATGACAAATATAAAGCAGTAATATTGCTTACATTTCTTCTTTCCTTATTGCTTCCCTTCACCCTGCCATTTTGTCCTATTAAATGCTACTGCTCAAGCTTTGATAATTTTTCTTACTGGCTATTTTTTGAAACTTCTATTTCTCCTTCTCTAATGTCATCCCATATATTCCCATTTTGATATCTTTCAGCTTGTCCGAACTATTTTCTCTTCTTCATTTCCTTGCAGTCCTGCTTACTTCTCTCACCGTTTCTATTCACAGGTCTCCCTTAATTGCAGTGGCAAAAACTGGAAATTGAGTTGTATCTAATTCTTTTCTTTTCCACTCTTAATATACACATGTGACCATAACTTGTATGTAATATTTTATGTATCCTTACATTTGACTCTCACTGCTGCTTTCTGAGTTTAGGCACTTCTTGCTATCTAGGTGGTTCATGGCATTAATTTTTATAATTTTGATTTGCTTGTAAAAATTTCTTTTGCCGTATTTTAAGCAGAGAACCTAAAGTGTTGTGTTTATTTTATCTACTCCAACATTGCTGAGTTTCATTTTCTACATGAATATTCTTTTTAATTGATATATAATAGATGTACATATTTTGGGGGGTACATGTACATGTAATATTTTTGTTACATGCATACAATATGTAATAGTCAAATCAGGGTAATTGAAATATCTATCATCTCAAATATTTATCTTTTTTATACTGGCAACATTTGTATTCTTCTCTTTTAGCTATTTTGAAGTACACAGCAGACTATTATTAACTGTAGTCACCCTACAGACATATCAAACATTAAGTCCTATTTCTTCTAACTGTATTTTTGTATCAATTGATCAAACTCTCTTCATCTCAACTCACACATTTCCTGACCTCTGATAATCTCCAATATATTATTTTCATGAGGGCCTCTTTTTTCGCTTACACATATGAGTGAGAACATGCAATATTTGTCTTTGTGTGTTTGGCTTATTTCACTTGCAGTGACCTCCAGTTCCATCCATGCTTCTGTGAATGATAGGATTTTCTTCTTTTCTATGGCTGAATAATATTCTATTGTGTATATATACCACATTTTTTACCCATTCAACCTTTGATGGACAATTAGGTTGAGTTTATATTTTGGCTATTGTGAATAGTGCCTCAATAAACACGTGAATGCAGGTATTTCTTCATATATTGAAATCTTTTTTTCTGGATATATGTCCAGTAGTGGGATTGCTAGATCATACGGCGGTTCTATGTTTAGTTTTATTGAAAAGCCTCCATATTTTTTTCACACTGGCTTTACTAATTTACATTTCCATCAACAGTGTACAAGATTTCCCTTTTCTCTACATTCTTGGAGCATCCATCATAATCTATCTTTTTGATAAAAGTCATTTCAAGTAGGATGAGATGGTATCTCCTTGCAGTTTTGATTTGCTTTTCTTTGTTGATTAGTGATGTTGAATATTTTTTCACATACCTGTTGGCCATTTATATGTCTTCTTTTTAAGAAATGTCTATTCATATATTTTGCCCATTTTTTAAAAACGATTAATCGCTTTGTTTGTTTTGTTTTGTTTTAATAGATTTAGGAGGTATAAGTGCAGTTTTGTTACATGGATACCTTGTAGAGTGGTGAAGTTTGGGATTCTAATGTAAGCACCACCCGAATAGTGTACATTTTATCCTTTAAGTAATTTCTCATTCCTCACCCACCTCCCACTTCCCACATTTCTAGGCCTCCATTTTATATTATTCCATTCTTTGTGTTCATGTTTACACATTATTTATTATTATAAGTGAGAACATGCAGTGTCTGACTGTCTCTGAGTTATTTTACTTAGGATAATGGCCTCTAGTTCCATCTATGTTGATTCAAAAGACATAATTTAATTCTTTTTTTCCATGGCTGGGTATATTGTATAATATATGCAATACATATAGTATATATTGTATAATATATACTACATGTATATTGTATGATATATATACTACATACATATGTAGTGTGTATATATATATACACACATCACATTTCTAAAAACATACATGTATACATACATCACATTTCTAAACGTCATCCATTGATAGACACCTAGGTTGATTCCATATATTTACTATTGTGAATAGTGCTATGATAAACAATTGCAGGTATCCTTTTGATAAATGATTTATTTTGGGTAGATATGCAGCAGTGAGAATGCTGGATCAAATGGTAGATCTATTTTTAGTTCTTTTGCCCATTTTTAAATTGAATTATTTGGGTTTTTTGCTACTGACTTGAGTTCCTCATATATTTCAGTTACGGATTTCCTACCAGATGGATAGTTTGTGAATACTTTCTTCCGTTCTGCAGGTCGTCCCTTCACTTTGTTGATGTTTCTTTTCCTTTACAGAAGGTTTTTAGCTTGATGCAATTTCATTAGTCTATTTTTGCTTTTGCTGCCTGTGCTTTTGAGGTCTTACTTAAAAACTCTTTGTCCAGACCAGTGTCCTGGTGCATTTCCTCAATGTTTTCTTGTAGTAGTTTCTTTGTTCCAGGGCTTACATTTGTCTTTAATCCATTTTGATTTGATTTTTTTATATGGTGGAAATAGGAATCAGTTTCATGCTTCTGCATGTGACTATACAGTTTTACTAGCAGTATTTATTGAAGAGTCTGTCCTTTCCCTACTGTATGTTCCTAGCGCCTGTGTCAAGATAAGTTGGCTGTAAATGTATGAATTTATTTCTGGTTCTCTATTCTGTTCCATCGTCTATGTATCTGTTCTTAGGCCAGTACCATGATGACTTGGTTTACATAGCTTTGTAGAAAATTTTGAAGTCAGGTAGTGTGATACTTCCAGCTTCATTCTTTTTGCTCAGAATTGCTTTAGTTATTCAGGTTTTTTTGAGGTTTTGTATATACTTCAGGATTTTTTTTTCTATTTTTGTGAAGAATGTCATTAGTATTCTGATAAAGATTGCATTGAATCTCAAGATCTCTTTGGGTAGTATTGACATTTTAACAATATAATACTTCCAATCCATGAGAATGGAATATTTTTCCATTTCTGGTATAAACTTTAATTTCTTTAATCAGTGTGTTTTACAGTTTTCCTTCTATAGTTTTTATCATTTCTTTGGTTAAATATATTCTTAAGTATTATGATTTTTTTCATTGTTCACCATTGAGGTATATAAATGATGTATATAAACGTGTAACAAGTTTGAAAATATTCTTCCCCTTAGATTTTTTTGAAGAGTTTGAGTAGTATTTGGTATTAGTTCTTTAAATGTTTGGTAGAACTCAGCAGTGAAGCCATCAGATCCTGGGATTTTTTGATGGGATATTTTTATTATGGCTTCAATTTCATTATTCTCTATTACTTTGTGCAGGTTTTCTATTTCTTTCTGATTCAATCTTCATAGATTGTATGTATCTAGAAATTTATCCATTTCTTCTAGATTTTTCTACTTGTTAGCATATAATTGTGCAATGTAATTTATTTATTTATTTATTTATTTATCTCTCTCTCTCTCTCTCTTCCTTTCTTTCTTTCTTTCTTTTTTTTTTTTTTTTTTTTGGAAAGTAAGTCTCACTCTGTCGCCCAGGCTGAAGGGCAGTGGCATGATCTTAGCTCACTGCAACTTTGCCTTCCGGGTTTAAGCAATTCTCCTGCCTCCCAAATAGCTGGGATTACAGGCACTCGCCACAATGCCTGTCTAATTTTTTTGTACTTTTAGTAGAGATGGGGTTTCACCATGTTGGCCAGGCTGGTTTCGAACTCCTGACCTCTAGTCATCCACCCACCTTAGCTTCCCAAATTGTTAGGACTACAGGTATGAGCCACTGCACCCGGCCTGTTCAATGTAATTTCTAGTGATGCTTTATATTTCTCTGGCATCAGTGATGTTTCATTTTCATCTCTGATTTATCTACTTAGATCTTCCTCCTTTTTCTCTTAGTTTCTTAGTCTAGCTAAAGGTTTGTCAATTTTATCTTTTCAAAAAACCAACTTTTAATTTTGTTGATATTTTGTATTTTTTAGTCTCAATTGTATTTATTTATGCTCTGATATTTATTATTTCTTCCCTTTTATTAAGTTTGGGTTTGATTTGTTCTTGCTTTCCTAGTTCCTTGAGGGACATTGTTAGATTGTTTATTTGAAATCTACTTATTGTTTTTACGTAGGTGTTATTGCTATAAACTTCCCTCCTAGTCTTGCTTTTACTGTATCTCATAGTTTTTTTTTTTTTTTTTTTTTTTTTTTGAGACAGAGTCTGGCTCTGTTGCCCAGGCTGGAGTGTAGTGGCACGATCTCGGCTCACTGCAAGCTCCGCCTCCCGGGTTCATGCCATTCTCCTGCCTCAGCCTCCTGAGCAGCTGGGACTGCAGGCGCCCGCCACCACTCCCGGCTAATTTTTTTTTTTGTATTTTTAGTAGAGACGGGGTTTCACCGTGTTAGCCAGGATGGTCTCGATCTCCTGACCTCGTGATCTGCCCACCTCGACCTCCCAAAGTGCTGGGATTACAAGCGTAAGCCACCGCACCCGGCCATCTCATAGATTTTCACATGTGGTGCTCCCATGTTCATTTGTTTCAGAAATTTTTAAAATTTCTTTCTTAATTTTTTCATCACCCCGTTGATTGTTCAGAAGCAAGTTTTTAATTTTCATGAGTTTGTTTAGTTTCCACCACTCCTCTTGTAATTAATTTCTAGTTTATTCCATTATGGTCAGAAAGAAATACTTGAGATTTTGAGATTTTTGAATGCGTTGAGGCTGGTTTTGTGGCATAACGTGGTATATTTAGAGGATTATTTCATGTGATATTGAGAAGAATGTGCATTACGAAACACCGAAGCCCATTGGTCTAGTGTGGAGTTTAATTCCAATGTTTCTTTGCGGACTTTCTGTCTGAATGATACTAGAAGTGAGGTGTTGAAGTTTCCTACTATTACATTTTATGGTCTGTCTTTCCCTTTAAATCTATTAATATTTGCTTTATATACTTGGATGCTTCTGTTTTGGGTACCTAGATATTTATAGTTACTATATTCTTTTGAAGAATTAACCCCTTTATTGTCATCTAGTGACCTTTCTGCCTATTTTGACAGTCTTTGACTTGTCTATTTTATCTGATGCAAGTACAACTACTCCTGCTCTTCTTTGGCTTTCATTTTCATGAAATATCCTTTTCCCAACACTTCACAAATTCAAAAAGTTTGAAAAAATTCAGAAGTTTGTACGTGTTCTCTTATAAGAAATACAGCACACTTTTGGAGGCCGAGGCGGACGGATCACAAGGTCAAGACATCGAGACCATCCTGGCTAACAAGGTGAAACCCCCTCTCTACTAAAAAGCCAAAAAAATAAAGATTAGCCAGGCATGGTGGTGGGCGCCTGTAGTCCCAGCTACTCGGGAGGCTGAGGCAGGAGAATGGCGTGAACCCGGGAGGCGGAGCTTGCAGTGAGCTGAGATCGCCTCTGCACTCCAGACTGGGAGACACAGCGAGACTCTATCTCAAAAAAAAAAAAAAAGAAAAAGAAAAAGAAAAAAAGAAATATACCAATTTTGTTTGTGAATTAATGTTTTTTTGTTTTTAGAATTAATCTTTTAATTTTAAATAAATAATATTCAAATATATTACTTAAATTGTGAAAAAATTATGGCTCTTTATATAAATCATATAACATCTAAGTTTACCAGTGTTGGAAATTGCACTGGTCAGGTTTAGTGGGTAAGGAAGACTTTATTTAAGACTATTATAAGAGATAGATTGATATAAACTCTGTTGAAACAAAAAGCAGGAGAGTTTTTAAGCACAGGGATGAGCTAATCTAGTGAAAGGCTGTTAGGAGGGTAGTTGGCTGATGTGATTATGCCATCTGTGTTTGCTAGGTGATAGTTACAACAATTAGGCTCCCACTCACCAGCATAGACTAGGAGAAGGGGCACTATCTTTCTTCATGATTACATTTCAAAAGGATACCTCCCAGGTCCTTGGGAAAGACATTCATGGGTAATAAAACTGGCAAGAGGCTGGCAGAAGATTTATATCTTCCCCCAAGGGCAGAAAAAAATTTACAATTCCAAGTATTCTAAAGTGAATGCTCCAAAATAAAGGGAGGTCAAGAGGCTATATAGTCAGGAAGAAACGTTTATTCAAGCTGAGGGAAAACTTTAGACTATTCAGTCATTTACAAAGCAAACTGGTGTAACCTCATGTATGATTTGGAGGACTAAGTAAAAAGATTAAGAAATAACTCAAAAGAGAATGTGTCTGACATGAGGGATGGTCTGATCTAATTTCAGAAAACAAACCTGTGTTCTATTATAAATAGTGACCAGTATTGGTAAAAAAGTAATTGCTCTCATAGCATTTAGGAAAAATTTCTTTGAACATTACATTAATGTGTAAGAATAAATTAAGTTTCTTTCTTTTTCCTTTTTTTTTTTTTTTTTTTGAGATGGAGTCTCGCTCTGTTGCCCAGGCTAGAGTGCAGTGGCACAGTCTTGGCTCACTGCAACCTCCGCCTCCCAGGTTCAAGTGATTCTCCTGCCTCAGCCTTCAAGTGGCTGGGACTATAGGCGTGTACCACCATGCATGGCTAATTTTTTTGTATTTTTAGTAGAGACAGGGTTTCACCCTTTTAGCCAGGATGGTCTCAATCTCCTGACCTCATGATCCACCCACCTCAGCCTCCCAAAATGCTGGGATTACAAGTGTGAGCCACCGCACCCGGCCAGGAATAAGCTAAGTTTCTATAAGAAACCAAGGTTCTCTTACAGTTAAAACATGGGAAAATAGTATAAAACATGTCAGAAGTCAGTTAGAAATCCAAATAGTGCATTGCATTGTTAACGTAAATAGAATGGCATTCTTAAGCAGTTTGTAATGTTGCCTTTTAAAATTATTTCAAATTATTCAGTAATTACATATCTTTCTCATTGTGAAAAAGATTTCAGAGACTGACAGTGATAAATGATCTTAAATTCAGTTATTCAGTAGATGATAATGTCCTATTCACAAATGAACAGCTTTATCTGCTAGTCATTTTTAAAAAGTCCTTTGTACAACTGAGCTGCTGTAATAGAAAGTCCCTGTACTGCTCACTGCACTTATCATTGTGCAGTGTTTCTCCTGAATTCAAAGGATGGCAGAGGCCCATCACATTCTATTTATACTAAGTGCAAACTATAATCTTAAGGTAATGATCCAAGTTTCTAATTCAGAGTGGAAATCATCCTATTGTAAAAGATTCCATTTCTTTTTATCTTAAGTATGCTTTTTAGTCATTGATAAATAATCATGAGATTAGTGTTGAAAAAGGAACAATACTTGAAGTTTAAGCTTACTTATGATTCAATTTCTTTTATTTAATTTTATCTAACCTGTAATTTCTTTGATTTTAAAAATATGTTTGTCACTCAATTCAATCAAAAATAAGAAACAATTTTATTGTATAACTTTTTGTAGTTTCATGATTACTTTTCAGCCTTAAAGATTGAGGCTTTAAGAATTTTCTGAGCAAACCAGTAGAGCCCATCTTTGTTGACTCTAATCCCTCTAATGCTATACTTATATCCCCCTTACAGAAATTAATTCATGAATAGATAAAAATGAAACAATGTCATGTAAATAAAAACTATGATTTTAGGTTTTTCCTACTTATTCTAGTTATAGAAATGTGTGTTACAGTTATATTTGTATTTAAAAATTTAAGTGACTTGTTAATTATTTTAAATAAGAAAGACTGGAGAAATGTCAAATTTCAGTGATCAAAGTATTACTATAAAAATACATATTTTGGGGGACCAGTCAAATGGAATAAAGGTCTTTCTTAAAAATAAAATGTGCCTTCTCCCTTCCTTGTTATCCTGGTTACAGTCTTTATGTATGTTTTTGATAGTGACTATAAATAAAACAAAATATTTTCTAAGATATGTTTGATGGGCAAGGATGAAAATATAACAGAACAAACATCTACCCATAAAAATTCCTGTTATTAAGCATGTATTAGTTCTCTTAAAGAGAAAAGTTCTTTTTCTATGAACACAAAAAATTAAGTCTTTCATTGTTACATTTGTATGTATTCAATTAAGTTCTTTTCTTAGATTGTGATAACTTTGATTGGCTATCTTTTATAAATGTAGAAAAATTCAAACTCTAAAAATCTATTTCAATCAGTATATGAAGATAGATTATTTCACTAGACCTCCAATGTAAGGCTTTACCTATTTGCATAATTATGTAATAATTCCTTTATCATATCCATACAACTTCGTATAATTTTATTTATAGTTATATTTAATAGGGTATTGCTTGGATCTGCATAGTCATCACAATGTTCATTTTAGCAGCACAAAAAAATGAATGTAAGCTTTGTAGTTCACTAAACCAGTGGTTCTCAAACATTAGCATGCGTCAGAATCAACTGAAGGGCTTGTTAAAACAGATTGTCGGGCTCTCCTCTCAGAGTTTCTGTTTCAGTAGTCTGACTTCTCGAAATGTGCCTTTACTTGATGTTGATGCTGCTGAATTGGGGACCACACTTTGGAAATCATTTTATTACCATATTATTGTTCAAATGGACCGTTTTAAAATATTTGCTATGATACATTATATTGCGATACACATTTTTGTGAATTTAATTGCTTTTATTGATTCATATTGTTATCTGCTCTACTCTGAGGTAGTTATTGTTTTCTTTTTTAGAGGATAGGGAGTATGAGGATTAGATTTGGAGTCACTGCATTTCATCATTAAAAAAGTGTAGATCTGATTATTTGAATCCAAATTGGTCTAGTTTCTCATTCTTTGAATTTTACTTAACCTTGAGGTAATAAATAATTGTTAAGTTTCTATTGATTTTAAGGTTCTTTTTACAGTTTAACAGTTTTTACAACTTAACGTAGTCTCTCTTATGTGAACCAGAAATTTCTATAGTTTCTACCTGGACTAGAATGTGGCATGGCATTTTTCTATACTATTATAGCTTTCTATTCCAGACTTCCTGATAAATATATCCCCTAGCTGCAATAGGAAACTGATACCCATCCTTGGGCTGGAGGGCCAGTTTCTGGAGTGCCTGGAATTCCTGACTCTGTCTTCGCTGGCCATCAGCAGCCTCTTTTGACCATCCTTATAGGATGTCACTATTGAAGTACGTTCAGATTGCACATCTTGTGTTCATTGCAGGTAGCAAGCAAGAGTGATATTTACCACACACTGTCCTGCCAAAATATGCTGAACCTGGCCAAGGATGAGCTTATTCTCACAGACTGACGTCAATAGTTATCGGAAGAGAGCACAACAGCATATGGTGGATTAAAAAAAAAAAAAACCTGTGCAGTGATTTGTAGTTAATGCCTTAGCACATTAGAAACAAGCCACTGACGGCTGAAGTATGGCAGTAAAGAAGATGGAGGATGAACGAGGTGTATAATCCTCCCTTCTGGGCACAGCTCTAGGGTATATACACTTGAATCTCTATTTTTCTAGGTATGGTATACTTTTCTCTGTGGATTAATTTACCTATTTAGTGGCACACAAGCTAGCTACAGAGTTGCTCTATCATTCTGCAAATTAGGGCTTCTTTATTGTTTTTTAATATTTAGAAATATTCAACTGAAAGCAAATTGCATTTTTAACATTAGAAGTCAATAAAATTAAAAAGATATAGTTTTCATAACATAACTTTAATCATTGCTAATATTGTAATGGTGGTGAAAAGTGTTTTATTTACTCATGTAAACATTTCCAGTCAATTGTGATATTCAGGAATTTGGAAAGATCATCATAAAAAGTCTTTATCTGGGATTTTGTCTGCCATTTTCAAGTTTAATGCGTGGGATCAGTATACTTGATTAAGCATACTTATAATAAATTATACTAACTCAAGTCATTCACTAAATATTGTAAAATTACTTATATTGTATAATTATATATTTGCTATTTGAATTTTTATTTTAATATATTTGCTACATTCTCTTACATTTTGTATTTTTATCTTAAATACATTTTATATAAAATATTTATTCACTAAGGCCCATATAGATGTCTCCCCAATTTTATCCAGAATGATGAACAAGTATCTTCTAAACTTCCATAGAAAGGAAAAGAGTTTGTATTAGTCAGGGTTCCCTAGAGGGAGAGAATTATATATATATCTCATATATATGAGATATAGATATCCTATTAGTATATATATATTATATATAGAGATATGTATATCCTATTAGTGTATATATATATATACACTCGTCAGTATATATATACTCATTATATATATACTCATCAGTATATATATGTATACTCATCAGTATATATATATATATACTCATCAGTATATATATATACATACTCATCAGTATATATATATACTCATCTATATATATATACTCATCAGTATATATATACTCATCTATATATATATACTCATCAGTATATATATATATATACTCATCAGTATATATATATATACTCATCAGTATATATATATATACTCATCAGTATATATATATATACTCAGTATATATATATATACTCATCAGTATATATATATATATACTCATCAGTATATATATATATGTACACACACACAAACACATATATATATCTCCTCTCTCTATATATATATACATATAGGTGAGTTTATTAAATATTAACTTACACTATCACAAGATCCCACAATGGGCTGTCTGCAAGCTTGATGAATAAGGAGAGCCAGTCAGAGTCTTAAAACTGAAAACTTGGAATCCAGTGTTCAAGGGCAAAAAGCATCCAGCCCAGGAGAAAGATGTAGGCTAGGAGGCTAGGCCAGTCTTGCCTTTTCACCTTTTTCTTCTGTCTTTATATTTGCTGGCAGCTGAGTAGATTGTGCCCACCAGATTAAGGGTAGGTCTGCCTTCCCCAGCCCACTGACTCAAATGTTAATCTCCTTTGGCAACACTCACACAGATACACCCAGGATCAATACTTTGTATCCTTCAATCCAATTAAGTTGACACTCCGTATTAACCATCACAAGTCTACCCTTGTCTACTTGAACCCATACACATCTCCTGAGATCATACATAATCTTCGAATAAAGACAATAATGAGGTCATAATTATGCCTAATATAATGTAACTATCCTTTGTACAACCCAAAACACACCAATCCCCAACCCAAATACTATTACATAAAGTTAACAATACTTAAATGCTGATATGAAGTCAATAAATCTTCTGTCACATGATAAACGGAAAGGAAATAAAATGAAGATATTTTCTCAGTACAAGTGTATACACGCACAAACATGTTTTTAACAAAAGATGGAAATACTCATGACAGTTACATTCCTTGTTTCTGGAGCTGGTCACATGATTGTAGCTGGTATTGATGACTACCTTCTTCTACTATTCATTCTATATTCCCTTTGCCTTCAGAAAGCACCTCAGCAGGTCGTTGATTTTTTCCTGGTGGAGTGACCCAAACCTTCCTTCCTGAGGGTGTGGACCATTTGTAGTCCTGCCTGGATTGAGCTGTTGTGGTTTCCCATTGACCTTAATCACAGGGCATGGTAATACTAACAGATGCCTTAATGGATTTTCTGTATTACATGAATACTTTTCCTTACCTCCGTTATGGAGTAGTAGACTGATTTCATCTTGATAATCTGGATCAATAGTCCTGGCCAACACTGTAACTCCCTTCTTAGCCTGCTGACTTCAAGGTAGGAGGAGCCCAAACTATCCAGGTGGCAATCTTAACTTCCAGCTTAATGGAATAATTGTTGGCTCCCCTGGAATCAACATCAGCTCAGAGCCAGTGTCCAGTAGTCCCCAAAATGTCTGATCATTTCCCTTTCTCCAGTGCACAGTTACCCTGGTAAAAGGCCAGAGGTCTCCTTGGGGAAGGATAGGAGAACAATTCACTGCATAAATTGTTGGTAATGTAGTGGGGTCCTTCCTCAAGGGGATCCAGCCTCCCCTTCATTCAATGGGCTGTGGGTCTGTAAACTGCCTCAAGTCTGGAAGTTAATTGAGGGGCTTTGATTCTCTGTTTTCTTAATTCAAATCAGTCTTCTGTCCATTTAACCTAGAAGTTTCTCTTCATATATATTGTAAGTAGGAATGCAGTAGGCTTCCTAACAATTTTACTTCTAGGAACAGCATATTAATTAGCCAATGCCAGAGCTCTACACAAGTCAGACTATTCCTATTGCTGCTTTGTCTTTGCTGACCATTACAGTAGCCATGCCCACCTTGCCTTAGATATTTGAGTGCTGCCACTTGGCTCCTGCCACCTTGGGATCTAATTATTCCCATTGTATTTAAATTTTATAGTTGAGTGACTGCAGTTCTTACTCTTAGATCTGACATACAGAGAAGAGCTGTTACAGGGCTCTTCAAAGACACAGGTGCTGCCCTCACGAATCTATTTTGCAAGGCATTGGTCAAGAGTATATTTTCTGGACCCTTCCAGCTGGGATGAGTAGGTCTAAAGTGACTAATCCACTCCACCATTCCAAACTCCCTAAGCCTTTTGATCAATTTCTCGACCTTAAACCAAGGGAGATCAGGCATTTACAGCTCACTCACAGTAAGCCATCCTTTAATCCATATTTCCGCTAACCAAACAAATAAACTCTTATAATCTTTTTTAATTCGATGAGCTGGAACGTTAAATGCAGAGTCCCTACTTAGTGGGCCCAAATCAATGAATTCAGCCTGATCCAATTCTATATTTCTTCCACCATTATGCCACACCCTTAATATCCATTCTCATGCATGTTCTCCAGATTTCTGTTTATAAATTAGAAAACTCAAGCAGTTCTTTTTGAGTGTAGTACACCTCCTCATGGGTCAACCTCACCTCTAGGGACCCACTGGGACTTTAGTCTAGTTATAGGTCTAGAACCAAATGAGTGTTCGAGGTGGCTCATGAGAAGAACCAACATTATTTTGCCTGGCAACTGCCTCAGGGGAGGCCATCACTGTTGCCTCAGGCAGTGCAAGGTTTATCTCCTCAGACAAAGCTAGAAAGGCTGATGGCTGCATGGGTCAGGGAAGGGATGTTGTCACTACTGGTGATAGTATAGCTGTTCCTTCTGGCAAAAAAGGTTCATCAGTGTCCCCAGATTCATCAGAGTCCTCCCACACATCCCCATTCTAAGTTGCAGGGTCCCATTCTTTTTCAATCAGTATCCTCACTTTAACAGTAGACACCTGGCAAGGCTGTGGATGCACCTTTCTTTGCAGGTCAGCCACTTGCATGATAAGAGCTTATGTCTGTTTTTCCACAATTTCAGCTCTTTCTCTGCAGAAGATAAGAATCTCACTCAGGGCAATCTTAGCAGATTTAATGCTCAGTATCTGATTCTGAAGCTGGGAGTTATAATCTGCATTCATCATTTTTTCCATCACTTGTCCACTGAACTTAGGAGCAACCAACCAGCTTTATTATATTCCTTGGTTCTCCACATATGGTCAAAGGTACTATGTATAGATGACTAAACTGCTTGCCTCTCACAAGTGGTGAATCTGGAGTGTCAAATGCATTTATTTTATTTTGCATAACTCTCTAAACAGTTCATGCCAAGGACTATCAGTGTTCTCCATACTATTATAAATAGAGTCCTTAGCATTTTTGGGTCTAATCATATTAGGTAACCAACTCACAAACCCCAAAACCAATGAAAGAACTCCATCCTTAATATTCTGTTTCTCTAGAACCACTCCTGGTACCAAAATCTGTATTAGTCAGGGTCTCCTAAAGGGACATAACTAATAGAATACACACACACACACACACACACACACACACACAGACACACACACACATATATAAACGGGAGTTTATTATTAACTTACATGATCACAATTTCCCACAGTAGGCTGTCTGCCAGCTTGAGGAGCAAGGAGAGCCAGTCCAAGTCTCAAAGCTGAAGGATTTAGAGTCTGATGTTCGAGGGCAGGAAGCATCCAGCATGGGAGAAAGATGTAGGTTGGGAGTCTAGGCCATTCTCACCCTTTCACCTTTTTCTGCCATCTTTATATTTGCTGGCAGCTGATTAGATTGTGCCCACCAGATTAAGGATGGGTCTATCTTCCCCAGTCCACTGACTCAAATGTTAATCTCTTTTGGCAACACCCTCACAGACACACCCAGGATTGATACTTTGCATCCTTCAATCCAATCGAGTTGACACTCAGTATTAACAATCACAAAGTTTTAATAGATAAATTATTTCTTATCTCAGTTCTTTATTAATAGTCATTTAGCAGTCCACTATATTCCCTCTTCTCCCTGTTACCTGTGGAAGGTATCTGAGTTACTGGCAGCAAATCCATATGGGTCTGTAGCAGCCTCAATTCTTGCCTCCTCAGAAGAAATAATTCCACTAAGGGGCATAAAGCAGAAAAAGAGACCAAGGCAAGTTTCAGAGCAGGAGTGGAAGTTGATAAAAAAGCTTTAGAGCAGGAAAGAAAGGAAAGTGCACTTGGAAGAGATCCAGGTGGGCAACTTGAAGAATAATTGTGGTGTTCAGCTGTGATCCTAGGACTTTATAGTGTGGCCCCTTTCCAGTGTCTTGAACCCCTTTCTCATGACTCTTTCCTTAGAGTGGGCTGCCTGCACATGCAGCGTCCTCCTTACACTTGGGATGTGAGCATGTCCAGTGTGTTTAGGAAGTTGTGCGCATGCCCATCTGAGGCTTTTTTTCTTTTTCTGGTGGAACCCAGTAAAGGGAAAAATATCCCTAGAAGGTCATACTCTGTTATTTTGTATCTTAATGGAGAAGTTGCATCTCCCTGGCATCTGCATTCAATTAACACTTTAATGTTAACAGCTGTGGACTATTAGGAGATTGTTTCTCCCTGGTGCTGGCTGCCAACTTATCACTTTTAGAGAGACAATGTGATAATTGCCAAGCCATCACCTGACAGTCCTAGTGGTGGGGGAGAGCCCTCTCCTGCCCCACTCATGCCTGTCTAATTACCTGTAACATCCCTAAAGGACACTGTTATGACTAAATATTTGTGTTCTCCCAGTATAGTGTCATTTGGAGGTGGGGATTTGGGAGGATGATTAATTCATGAAGATGGAGCCCTCATAAATGGTATTAGTGCCCTATTAAAAGAGACCCCAAGGTGGGGTGCAGTGGCTCACACCTGTAATCCTAGCACTTTGGGAGGCCGAGGCAGGTGGATCACCTGAGGTTGGGATTTCAAGACCAGCTTGACCAACATGGAGAAATCCCATCTCTACTAAAAATACAATAAATGTTAGCCAGGCATGGTGGTGCACACCTGTAATCCCAGCTACTAGGGAGACTGAGGCAGGAGAATCACTTGAACTCAGGAGGCAGAGGTTACGGTGAGCCGAGATCATGTCACTGCACCCCAGCCTGGGCAACAAGAGTGAAACTCTGTCTCAAAAAAAAAAAAAAAAAAAAATCTCGTCTTGGACTTCCAGCCTCCAAAATAGTGAGAAATAAATTTCTGATTTCTGTTTGTTTTGGATTTTTTTTTTTTTTTTTTTGAGACAGAGTCTTGCTCTGTCACCCAGGCTGGAGGGTGGTGGCATGATTTCAGCTCACTGCAACCTCTGTCTCCCGAGTTCAAACAATTCTCCTACATCAGCTGGGACTACTAGCGCATGCCACCACACATGGCTAATTTTTACATTTTTAGTAGAGACAGGGTTTCACCATGTTGGCCAGGCTGGTCTCAAACTCCTGACTTCAAGTGATCCACCCACCTCAGCCTCCCAAAGTGCTGTGATTACAGGTGTCAGCCACCATGCCCGACCAATTTCTGTTGTTTATAAGCCACAGACTTAATGATATTTTGTTATAGAAGCCTTAAATAACTAAGACAAGCACCACAACTCATGTTTGGTCACTGTCAATTCTAGGATGTCAGCAATACACTTTTGCTTTTCAGTGTGAATTGCATATCAGCACCTTTACAAATACGTATTCCTGTCTTTCAGGATTTGCTACTTTTGCTTTTGGGGCTCCGAAATCAGTACCCCAAAATCTGGCATTTTGACATGCTAAACTAGAGAAGCCTCAGGGTCTCCCTTAACCACTGACCATTCCCCCCGCCCCACTACCAGTCCCCACTGTCTCTCCTAAAGGAACTTAAGTTCCTTTATCTGCCTAAGATCCAAACCCACTAAGAACAATTGTTTTTTCCTTCCCTCTCTGTTATCACATTATCTATTGCAGAAAAAAAAGACAAGATTCACACCTTAGCAGAAACTTTTACTATCTCCAAAGATCATTTATATCCCATTGAAAACTATTTACAAGTTAATCTCTGTTCCTGAGTCCAATTATTCTCCCTAACAATAATTTATTGCCTCTCAATAGAATTCCTTTTCTGCCTCCTCCTATAACCTATTTTACCAGAATCCAAGCCCCCTTTCTTTTTGTAACCTCAGAATGATATATAAGTTTCTGTAACTCATTAGAAATTTGGTGTGGAGTCCTGATAAGTTCGCTAAGCAACAAGAGCAAGGGATCCCAGGTGTGGGGGGAACAATTGTTTCTTTGGAAAGACAGCTAATCACAGACAACGGCTGGCATGACATCCTGTTCCCAAATACCTCCTAGCCCCAGCAGCACCATCTTATCTGCACACCTTATCTGAAAGCAGCCCCTCCAGTACAACTCAGTATCAGGTCTTGCTGTTCCAACCCCTGCCTCTTTGTAAACAGCCTCTTTTGTGCTGTGCTGCCTGTTGCTTCCCTGCAGCATACTTTCTCTCTAATAAATCTGCCTTTCTTTCCCCACGTCTTCCTTGGAAAATTCTTTTGCCACCAGCAGCACTGTCCCCAGCCAGTGGCATCCGTGATAGTTGGGTCTTCATCCTGAAGGCACTTGTGTATACATGTTAAATAAAATTGTATACCTTTTCTCTCATGAATCAACCCTGCCAGAGATTTTTCAGTGAAACTTTAGGGGGTCGATGGTAATCGCCACTACATTGTCATGATTATATTACTATTACAATTCGTTATTCTACTATTTTAATAAGAAAATTTATTTTTTGGATTGTCATGTCTCCTAGGAAGTCAATATGGTCCTAGCTCTTTCAAGCACAGGCATGCTTCATTTTATTGTGCTTTACTTTATTGCGCTTTGCAGATGTTTTTTTAATTGAAGGTATGTGGCAGTCCTGTATTTAATAAGTCTATCAGCACCATTTTTCCAACAGCATGTGTTCGTTTTGTGTCCTTGTGTCATGTTTTGGTAATTCTCACAATATTTTAGACTTTTTCATTAATATTATATCAGTTATGATGGTCTGTGATCAGTGACCTTTGATGATGCTATTGTAATTGTTGTGGCATGCTATGAACTGCATTCATATAGGACAGAAAGCTTAATTGATAAATGTGTGTCTTCTGACTGTCCCACTAACTGGCCATTCCCCTATCTCTCTCCTTCTCCTCAGGCCCCTTTATTCTTTGAGGTACAACACTATTGAAATTGGGTCAGTTAATTACCCTACAATTGCTTCTAGTGTTCAAGTGAAAGAAAGAGTCTTATGTCTCTCATATTAAATCAAAATCTAGAAACGATTAAGCTTAGTGAGGAAGGGATGTCATCAAAAGACATGGCAGCCTGACAGCTAGGTCTTTTGAACCAATAGTTAGCCAAATTGTGAATACAAAGAAAAAGTTCTTAAAGAAAATAAAGTACTACTGCAATGAACTCACAAATAAGTAAGCAAAATAGACTTATTGCTGATATGGAGAAAGTTGTAGTAGTCTGGATAGAGGACCAAACCAGCCACAACATTCTAGAGCAAGGCCAGAACTCTCTTAAGCCAAAGTCTAATCTAGAGCAAGGCCAGAACTCTGTTCAATTCCATGAACACTGAGAGAGGTGAGGAAGCTGCAGAAGTTTGAAACAGATAGTTCAGGAGGTTCAGGAGAAGAAGCTATCTTCATAGCATAAAAATGATACAGTAAGTTGCTAGTCAGACATGAGCAGAGCAGAAGAGGGCTCCCCCAACCACAAACACACCAGGAATATCAGGCGACCAACAACTGATGGTCAGGCTATTGTTAACTGTCTCTCTAAAATAATAACTAGTCACAGCCAGCACCAGAGAAAGCCAGTACTCCAGCAAACAGAAACACCAGAAGCTGGTCATCAGCAGTTTGCCAGTAAGATGTCAGGAGTTGGGTGAGTGGGCTCACACATGCACACTAGGAGGCAAAATGGTGGCATTTAACTGGTATATGATCTCCTAGGGACATTCAGCTGGTAAGGGAAGGATGCCTGAAGTGAACAAGCATACAAATCCAGTAAACACACTGAGCATGCTCCTCTTCCAAGTGCCAGCAGGCCACTACCCATGTCGGCAGCCCACCCAAAGGGAAGAATCAGGGGAGAAAGAACACAAGACCCTGGAATCATGCCAACATATAAAACTCCAAGTCAAAAGGTCAAATCATGTACTTGTCTTTCAAGTTGCCCGCTTAGCCCTCTTCCAAGTGTACTTTCTTTTCATTCCTTATAGTTGTTTGTTTTATTCAAATAATTTGATAATTGTGCATTAAGATTTAATCAGTTTTTAAGACTGATATTTTCTTCTGTTTTCTACTGTTTTCTTCTGTTTCTACTAATTTTCAAAAAGAAAATTAGTTCTTGATAAGAGCTCAATGCCAAGTACACGTAATAGTGTTTTAATTAGTACCATGAGTAAGAAGGGCCCAATTGTCATAATGAATGCACAAATTTATGTTCTAGAGAAGGCCTCAGTATTCTTCCTGTAATCTGGACAGTTACTACAACTATTTTAGTAGAGCATATAAATCTAGCAATAATGTTCCTAATTTAAAATATTTATTTGTATTCAATTGAAAATTAATTCACTAAATTAATGAATAATGTTTATAATAATAACTGCTGTGATATGCCACGTACTCATGCTATAAAAGCAACAAAGACAGTCCCTTTTCTGAAAGAGCTTACAAACTGTGGGAAGAGATGGACAAGGAATTGTTATACAATGTGTAACAACATGAATACATAGATTAATACCTTGAGATACAGAAAGCACCCATTCCTTCAAGAATTGCAAAGTGTTTGCTATATCCAGAGCATAAGCAGAAAGAAAAAGAAAAGGAATGTGAGTTAAGTGTGGAATATACCTAGAGGTCAGCTTTAGTTTGGATTTTTCCTCAGGGCAATGATGCGAAATGGAAAGATTTTTAAATGTGAAGTGGCATCATCTCCATAGAGCCCTCCTGCCCAGTAGTTCCTTTCACAGCTCAGTAGACAGTGAATGCCTGTGGCATATGCATAGTGAGACTATTGTGCACTTTACAGAAGTCATTGCCGTTGTCACCCTGAAGAATTGCATCCTACCAGCTTCATGAATGCCAGAACCACTGTCTTTATTCTCAGGGATGCTACTGAAAAGTTCCTTCCTGGAGCCTTTAAGTAGATAGCTTTTTGTTAGTTCATTATCTTGAAACTGCCTTTGCCAAGATTATGATAGTGAGAGAATTTTAGCATAGCTGAATCAGTCTTGCTTCTAGCCTCAAAGGATGGCTGTCCTCACTATTTCCTGGACATAGGCCAAGCTAACCATGGGAGGATTTAGTTTGTAGTTTAACTTTGAAACAAGGATGATAACAGTCCCTCCCTAAAACTAACCTCTCCTTGCCCAGGGACCAAAACCTTGTAAAACTAATGAAAGGCTATGAGATTAGGATCATGGGAGGGGCCTGCCTTCTGGTGAAATGTAAACACAGTTCAGCCACTGTTCTGGAGGTCACAGGATTTGTATCTTTCCCAGTTGCTCCTATGGCTAACATCACTATTATAAAACGTAAGATTGATCTTTTGAGATGTTTTTCATGCTTTTACATCCTGGGGGCCAATTCCACCCAGAGTTGTGATTCATGACTCAAGTAGTCTTGTGGCTAAACCGAGAGGATGACTTGGCACATGAGGAGTGTTTTCCACACCCCTGTGACTTCATTCCAGCTAATCAGCAGCACCCCTTCCCTAGCCCCTTGCTCACCACATTAGCCATAAAAACACTAGCCTCTGAGTTCTTGGAGTGGCTGATTTGAGTAATAAACTGTTGCAATTCCATTTGGCTCTGTATTTATTAAGCTCTTTCTCAGCTGCAATACTTCTATTTCGGTAAATCAGCTCTATCTATGCAGCAAGCAAGAAGAACCCACCAGGCAATTACAATTTTTTTCTTTGGCATTAAGATTTAAATAACCCTATCCGCAGTGGAATATACCTTAATATATCCTAAGATTCATGGGCCAGTGGAGGATGCAAGGGATCCCCTATTCAATTTTTTGCTACTTCAGATTTTCTTAAGTAAGAAATATAAAAGTGCTAATGGAGATGGTAATCCCAAAGTGATACTGTGACTCCAGCCAGAACAGAGTTCACAATTCAAGGCCCAGAGACCAGAGCCTGATAAGATATTTATGCAATAAATATTTAATAAACAAAGATTCGCAACTACATTCATAGTGAAAAGCTGCCCCAGTGTAGAATCAAAATTTAGAGTTGGGGACGATGTTTTGAGAGTCAATCATCTATAGGCCAAAGGCTTGTCCTTTTATATTTTTTCTGAACAGAGTGAACCAATGAAAAATTATTCTTAATTAGAAAAGCCTATTTTAATTCTAAAAAGTTTTTATGAAAACTTACATATATTACCCAAATATATACATATATATTTAATTATTACCCAAATATATATAGATATATATTTAATATTCATCTACCCCAAAGCTGAGAGACCTTCCATGTCATACATGTGTGGACCACAGCATGTATTACTTTTTTGTTGTCATATATATATATATGTATAGATAGATAGTATACAGTTTCAGTTTTTATTTTGTTGCAGGGGGTTGATAAGGAGTCACTTCATTTAATGATAGAAGACTTATTTTATGATCTTCTTCTCTTTCTTACCTACCACAATAAAGTATTTGTGTCGTTTCTCTCTTGCTCTCCCTCTCATATATTTCTCAATGAATAAGCATGATACACCCTTTCAAAACACAAGCTATTAAATATCAATGTGTTTCTTTTTATTTTTCTTTTTTAAAAAACTTTTTGTATAGTGAGAACACTTAAATCTAGTCTTAGCAATTTTCAAGTATGCAATGTATTGTTATTAACTATAGTCATAGCGTGTTGTGTGATAGATCTCTTGAACTTACCGCTCCTGTCTAAGTGAAATTTTGTATCCTTTGACTACCATCTTCCCAATTCTGCTCCTTTTCCCTAGGGTATTTCTTAACTTTTAAAAAATAGGCTTTATTTTTTAGAGCAGTTTTAGATTCACAGCAAAATTGAGGGGATTGTACAGGGATTTCCTGTACATCCTCTGCCCCATACATACACAGACTCCCGAATTATCAACATACTCCACCAGAGTGGAACACTTGTGACAATTGATGAACCAATGTTCACACATCATTATCACCCAAAGTCCCTAGCTTACATTAAGGTTTATTCTTGGTGTTGTATGTTCTATAAGCTTGGACAAATATACAGTGAAACATGTCCATCATTATACTACTATATAGAGTAGTTTTAGTGCCCCGAAAATTCTCTGTGTCTGCCTGTTGATCTCTCTTTCCCATCCAACCCCCGACAATCACTGATTGTTTTACTGTGTATATAGTTTTGGCTTTTCCAGAAAGTCATAGATGGAATCATATAACATACATCCTTTTACAGACTGCTTCTTTCACTTAGTAATATGTACTTAAGCTTCCTCTGTGTATTTTCATAACCTTTCTGCATGACTAATATAAATTTTTTCCTGATCTCTTTTCCAGCATATTTGTATAGAGAACAGCCTTGAAAGATAGACACAGTACTTTCCTTCAGGGCAGGAAATAGATACAATCCTTCAATAGAACAATACATATATTATCTCTGTAGAATAATATTTGAACAAGTTTACTAGAAGCTTACTTATAAAATTAAGGGTTTCCTAAACTCAGGATCCCTTAGTTGTAACACAAACCCATTGTTTATGTGCAGCACCCATCTGGGCCACTCCACATTGCTCCTATGGGACTTGGGTCTTAAGGGAACTGATGCAGGCATACAGCTCATTCTGCCTCTCATAACATAACTAATAAAAGTATTTGACTCCAACACAGGAAGCTCAATTCTTCTGCCACCATCAATAACACAGTGGCAGGCAAGCTACTTAAGTTAAAAGTAAGCCATAATATCAGATATTTTATAGCTATTAACACTTTACTATATACAAAACTACACAGGAAAATAATATTAAATAACATGTTATGTATCATTATATAGGTGATATATAATTATATAAGTTGCACAGTTCATAAATGTACAGTTTGATAAATTTTGGCAAATATGCACCTGTCATATATAAGATATAGACAAGTCCATCACTTTAGAAATTTATTTTATTCTTTTTAATCAGCCCCTTCTGTGAGCCTTTCTAGTCAGTGATTCTTATTTCTATCCTTGCAAATTAGGTTGGCTTTTTCTTGAAGTTCATTTAAATTAAATCATTTTGTATGGGCTTTTTTTGTCTGCTTCTTTTTCTTAAAATAATTTTCCTGAGAGTAATTCATGAGGTGTAATTATATTTTGTTAGTTATTGGTGAGTATAATTTCACTGAAATGATATGTGATAATTTCTTACTCATTCTTCTGTTAGTAGACATTTGTATTGTTTCTAGTTTTTGTTTCTTTTGAATAAAACTGCATCAAATATTCTTGTATTCACCTCCGTATGGACATCTTTTCATATCTTTTAGTTAAATACTTGGGAGTGGAATGACTGCCTCATATAAAGTAATATAAAATAGAGATATATTGATCTTTTCTAGGAAGCTTTCAGCTAAATTCCAAAGTGGCTCTATCATTTCATACTCTACCGGCAAAGTATGAGAGTTCCAGTTACTCTTCCTCTCCAATATTTTGTCACTTTAATTATAACCTTCCTAGTGGATGTGAAGTTATATCTAATGGTAGTTTTAATTTGCATTTTCCTGATGAAAAACAATATTGAACAACTTTTCATGCATTTGTTGATTATTGGTACGTATGCCTTTGCAAAGTGTCTTCCAATATGTTGCCCATTAAAAAAAAAAACTGTATTAAGCTGGTTGCAGTGGCTCATGTCTGTAATCCCAGCACTTTGAGAGGCCCAGGTAGGTGGATCACTTGAGGCCAGGAGTTCGAGACCAGCCTGGCCAATATGGCAAAACCCCATCTCTACTAAAAATACAAAAAATTTTCCAGGTGTGGTGGCGTGTGCCTGTAATCCTGGTTACTCGGGATGCTGAGGCAGGAGAATTGCTTGAACCTGGGAGGCAGACGTTGCAGTGAGCCAAGATCACACCACTGCACTCCAGCCTGGGTGACAAGAGCAAAACCCCATCTCAACACACACACACACACACACACACACACATACACACACACACACAGTGTTATCTTCTTACTATTTATTTGTACAAATACATTACACATATTTTCCCACACACATATGTTTATGTAGAAATATATTAAAATATTTTCTCTCAATCTATAGCTTTCAATTTTATGTGCTCAATGGTGACTTCTAAGTCAGTTTTAATTTTTATGAAGTCTTATTTATCTTTTCTTTCCCTTTTTTTGTAAGTGCATCATGGGTAAGTGTTCAATAAAGTGTGAACTATTTATTTTATGATGTGAGGTATGGGCTAAAGTACACTGTTTATCTCACTTACATTGTTTTTCTTATCAGATATAAGGTTTTTTTGACATGTTTGTTGAAGACTTGGCATTTCTCAATAATTTGCATGGTTGCAATTTAACTGACCATATACATGTGTATCTTAACATAATTGCATGCCTGTAATTGTCCAAAATTTAAGATCAGTGGCGTTTTCTAGGCCAGTTGGTATTTATTTGGTATTTTTAATTGTGGTTAACATTTTGGTTCAAGTTTTACCTGCATTTAAGTGTAATGTTTATATAACAACTCTAAAGCCATTTCTACAGGGAGTAGTCAAGTTGTTCAAATAAAAATATTTGTTTTAGTCTAAAACATTTTGCTACATTTAATGCCTTGATTGTCTCAAAAATATACAGAGTATTTACTGAAAGAAATATTTAGACAGTTTTAAACAGCTGTCTACTGACAATTTTATCAAACATAACTCATTTCTGTATAAGAAATTAACATTAAAGTTCACATTTATTAGCTTACTAATTGCTGTAATTTCTATTTTGGATCAAATTTGCAAAGGTTCAAAGTGCTTTCCAATGTGAAATATACTATTTACATGTACATGTCACAGAGAAAAGCACATTGAAAATGTGAAGTAATAAGATTCTCTATATTGTATAAGATATATACAACAAATATAATAATTGCTAATAGAAATACAGTTTTTAGTCCTTTTAAAAATGACATGGAGCATTTTAGACTCATTTTAGTGCAGCATGGTAATGGTTTCCTGAATAAAAGATTTAGGGTAAAGATTTATTAAGTTTCATTTTATCAAATCATTAAATCCAAAACTTCCTGAAATGTTTTACCACATTCTAGGAATATAACTAATGCTAACCTATTAATGTATTGTTTAATATTTAAAATCCCTATAAATGATGTTATACATCTCTAATACCTAATTTCCAGGAGTTTTTAGGAACCCACAAAACACCACAGGAGATGAAAATAGACATGGAGACCAAATTTAACATTAATGAACTGTCTATGCTTATTAGACATTTTGGTAGAGTTCTTTCATGGTGTGCAAGCCAGCGAAAGTACAACTCTAATTGGTCTTAATTGAAGATGTGTAATTAATTCTTCCCATACTGTGCTAAAAATCCCAGTGTCTGTTCTTCCAACTGACCTCTTAATATGAAAATGAAAAATTGTGTTATAGTGAAAAGGTTTATTAAATTAAACTTTGAAATAGAAAATAACTTTTTTGAAAAAAGTTTTGGTTATATTATATTAATACATGACATAATTTTTTTTATAAAAGACTAACAATATATAAAGATACGTGTTGGGAGAATGATTATATGAACTCTGCTGACATAAATGTGTAGTTCTAAAAGGCATTTATTATAAGGGTATAGTATAGAACAACTTCTAAGTAAATAAAGCAAAATTGAAGCTTGAGCTTTTAAAAATGTATTAAAATAAACCTATATTAGTAGGAGTTTTGAAGTAATATAAATTATGTGATTGTTTGCCAGTTCTAAAGATATTAATAAGACATTAATTTGAATCCCCTATTCTGTAATTCTTTCAACAGGCTAAAACATTAATATTTATATTCCTGTCATAATGATATGACAGAATCTGCAAATGTAGAGAAAAAAGCATGATTATAGAAAAGAAAAATAAAAAGAAAGCATAACGTTGCAAACATGAAACTACTTTTATTTCAAACCTTTTTAAAAACATTTTCAATCAATAAGGGAGTTGATTATAATCAGATCTTGTTATACTGTAATTTAGCCATTGAGTCTAATGTGACAAGGGGTTGTTAAGAGGTATGTCTTGTACATTTTTAATTTGGGAAATAAAATTTTTGAAAGGTTGGCCAGGCATGGTGGCTCACGCCTATAATCCCAGCACTTTGGGAGGTTGAGGCGGGCAGATCACAAGGTCAGGAGATTGAGACCATCCTGGCTAACACGGTGAAACCCTATTTCTACTAAAAACACACACAAAAAATTGCCCGGGTGTGGTGGCAGGTGCCTGTAGTCCCAGCTACTGAGGAGGCTGAGGCAGGAGAATGGTGTGAACCTGGGAGGCAGAGCTTGTGGTGATCTGAGATCATGCCACTTCACTCTAGCCTGGGCAACAGAGTGAGACTCCTTTTTAAAAAAAAAAAAATTTTTTGAAAGGTCTTATTGATGCCTACAGATAAGTTGATGACACAATAAAGAATTTGAGTATTGCTCTTTTTCCTCCTGGTGTTAGCTATAACTAAAATCTATGTCTTTACCTTAAAATAATTATATATTTATATAATATATAATATAAATATATCTTTATATTTAAATAAGCGAAATCATCTTTACTTTGAAATTATAGATCCTTGATCTTTAAAAACAATTAAATTAGTAAAGAAAAAAAGGTAGTTTTTTTCTTATGTAGTGTGTTACCAACTATGTTACATGTATCTGGGGTTTTCTAACTTAAAACATAATGAAATTTATCAGTACAGTAATTTAAAGCACTGAAAAAACTATCAAGTATGTTTAATCAATATAGAGAAACATTTTTATTGATTCATTCAAAGGTGATATTTTGATTTTTTAACTATCCTTATCTTCTCACATATAGTAAATTTTTTGCCTTAATTTCCTACATAATTGCTTTGATTTAGTGTTTAAGCCAACAAGATAAACAATAAATAATTATAATGTTTAGAGCAAACATGTTCACTATTTTAATTTGTCTACTAGAAATTCGTTCACTTATGTGACTTATGATGAAACATGATTAGAGATTAAATTCCTGGAGATAGAAAATGTATCTACATGACCCCACAGATGATATGAAATAGTTCCACTCTTAAAAAATGAGTGGTAATCATCAATTAGTATTTTCATAATACTAAATCAGAAAAAAGAAGACTTTCCAAATGTAAAATATTAAATAAATAACATATATAAGAAACCATTTATAAAAGTGGGGTAAAAACAAGAGAGAGAATTTTGCTCAAAACAAAAGAGAATGTCAGACTTATTCACTACTATATGTGCATTATATCACAGTGCCAGCTCCAGCAAGATGCTCACTAAAGATGTATTGAATAAATGGATGAATAATGACTAACAGAGTTACATAAAAGTATTCAATATTAGAACTAGTAATTTTTAATGAATATTATTTTACTCAAACATTTTAAAGGAACAGTGTGTTGCCAACTAGTTATTTTTATTAAAATACATGTAATCATTTTTCAAACATTTTAAGGAAATTAAATGCAGATTTAGCAGAAGGGACAAATAAAATAGTTTCTTACTTTCACAAAGGACTTCAGAGTAATCTGCTTGTAAACTATATCCACCTGCCATAATAAATAATATTTGACCTTTGGGATTAGGAAAAACAGTAAATTTAATTCAAGCTAATGAATGAAATGGAGATGCATGTAAAACCATAAGATACTTTCATTTGTGGTGATTTTAACTACTATTTACTTGCAGGCTCTAGCAGATATTCACGTTTTCACCAATACAAACGTATCAGTATGAAGATCTATTTTCCCTGAGTACATAAAAAAAGGTTTTAAGGAATAATACATATTCTTTAAGAACATGTTTTACTAAACCTCATGCTTAAGATATTTTATGACCTATTATAATTCTCATATTTTTCTGTAGGTGCTTTTTGCCATAACAGTCTTAAAATGAAATTTCCTCTAATAAAACCTCATTTTAAGTGATGTGAACCATTAAATGTTTATAAATGTATTTCTGTTATATTTTATATATAAAAACTACACTAATATAGGAAAAAATAACTTCCATTTTATTTTATTCTCTGAAATAGCTTGATAAAAAATAATTCAATAATATGATACAATGTATTTTAACAAATATTTGAAAATGTGAAAAATGAAAGAAATGCAGTTAGACCAATCAGGGAGATCTTAAGCTCATGCTCAGTGTGTTTATCCCAGGAATTAACTCATAATCTAATCATACATAGGCTAAATTATGCCTCATTATAAGATATAATAAATGGATTGATCTTATTCAGCTCTTGTGACATTTTAAGAATTTAAATGTTCAATGTAAATAAATCCAAACTGTTGTGGGAAGTCAGGGACCCTGAACGGAGGAACCAGCTGGAGCCGCGGCAGAGGAACATAAATTGTGAAGATTTCATGGGCATTTATCATTTCCCTAATAATACTCTTATAATTTCTTATGCCTGTCTTTACTTCAGTCTCTGAACACAAATTGTGAAGATTTCATGGACATTTATCAGTTCCCAAATAATACTCTCATAATTTCTTATGCCTGTCTTACTTTAATCTCTTAATCCTGTTATCTTCGTAAACTGAGGATGTACGTCACCTCAGGACCACTATTGTACAAACTGATTGTAAAACATGTGTGTTTGAAGAATATGAAATCTAAGCACCTTGAAAAAGAACAGAATAGCAGTGATTTTAGGGAACAAGGGGAGACAACCATAAGGTCTGACTGGCTGTGGGGTCGGGCAGAATAGAGCCATATTTTTCTTCTTGCAGACAGCCTATAAACAGACATGCAGGTAGGAGGGATATTGCTAAATTCTTTTCCTAGCAAGGATTATTAGATATTAAGACCCTAGGAAAATAATTGCATTCCTGAGGAGAGGTCTATAAATGGCCGCTCTTGGAGTGTCTGTCTTATGCAGTTGAGATAAGGACTGAAATACTCCCTGGTCTCCTGCAGTACCCTTAGGCTTATTAGGCTTATTAGGGTGGGGGAAAAAATCCAACCCTGATGAATTTGCAGTCAGACTGGTTCTCTGCTCTTGAACCCTGTTTTCTGTTGTTTAAGATGTTTATCAAGACAATACATGCACAGCCAAACACAGACCCTCATCAGTAATTATAATTTTGCTCTTTGCCTTGTGATCTGTGCTTTGTCCTTTGCCTTGTGATCTTTACTGGCTTCAGAAGCATGTGATCTTTGTGACCTACTCCCTGTTCATACACCCCCTCCCCTTTTGAAATCCCTAATAAAAACTTGCTGCTTTTGTGGCTTAGGGGGCATCACGGACCTACTGATATGTGATATCACCCCCAGCTGCCAGCTGTAAAATTCCTCTCTTTGTACTGTTTCTCTTTATTTCTCAGACCAGCCGACACTTAGGGAAAATAAAAAGAACCTATGTTGAAATATGGGAGCGGGTTCCCCCAATGCAAACATAGCCAATTAATTGTCAATTAAGACTAATTTTTGAGATGATGTCTCTTATGTGCTACTTTACCTTAAAAAATAAATACCTACAATAGCACAATAAATGTTTTGCTCCTTAAATATAAAATATAACATGACATATAATGATTCTTACATATGCAAATATTTCAAAAACAAGACATGCATATACTCGAAATACTAACTACAAATCAAATAGATAAATTCAGCTTCATGAAAATAGGAGCTATTTTTGAGAAGACATACAAGAGAGCAAAGAGATGAGTCAACGAGTGAGAGAAGTCATTTGCAACCAAAAACTAGGCACTCATATGCATAAAATATAACAAAAAGCTTTTAAGAATACACAAGTTAAAATATAGAATAAAACAATTTTAATAATGAATACAAGGCTTCAATAGCCATTTAACAAGATAGTCTAGTAGGCAATAACCATATCAAAATAGAAAGTACAGAAAAGTAAAAAGTGAAATAAAAATGGTAAACAGATAGCAAGATGATAAACATAGCCGTACAATTTAAAATTAAATGTTAGTGATTGAAACACTCAAATACAAATATTTTCAGATTAGGTGAAAAATGGGAGGTCCAACAATATGCTGCACACAAAAATGCTTAATTATAAATATTACTAAAGATCCTCTTAAAGTGTTTAAAATTTATTTTATATCTAATCACTTTTATTCTTCATTTTTATTTGAAATTTTTCTCTTATCCCTTCCCCTGACAACGCTTCTGACTAGTTTTACTATAGGTGTATCTATCTTGTTCATCTTTTCATAGAATCATACTTTAAATTGTGCTTAAACAATGTAAACTGTTATTGTTAAATTTATCTATAAATTAGTTATTTTTTCTGTTTTATTGAGTTGTGCCCTTAATTCTTTCATTACTTCTTTTTCTTTGAAAAGAACAAAATAGTTACTTCCTATTTTTTATCTCTGTCAACTATTCTCATTTTTTTAAGCTGTGCATCTCTTTATAAATATTTCATTTTCTGTGCCTCACAAAAATTTTGACCAGTGTCATTTTTGATGCCATTCTGTTATCTGTATGTAGAAATAGTCCTACACTGTATGCTTAATCTAAAGTGTATCTTGCTATGAAGGTTTGGTTTTCAAATATGTGGAATGTTAAGGTTATTTTTCTTTTTTATGTTAATTTGTAATTAATATTAATTTTATTATTGGTTCATTCTGGCAAGAGAACTTGTCATATGAGGTTGATCTTTTAGAATATGTTAATGTTTATATTGTAAGCTAGTTTTATGGCTGGTATTATGAGCCTGAGAGTCAAGAATAATTCTGACTGAAGCCTGTGAATCTCTCTATTAATTTAGGATTTGGAGATGCCTTCAACTGGGCTCCGTCATGGCCTGAACCACTTGTTACCCTTCAGCCTTTAGCTAGAAATAAGAAGATGATAGTTTTCCCAGCATTTAACTAGCAGGTCAAATTATACTCAAAACAATGTGAAAAATGAAAGGAATGCAGTTAGAGCAATCAGAGAGATCTTAAACTCGTACTCAGTGTGTTTATTAAAGTTGTACAATTATTACTTGAGGCATTTTTTCTTTACCAGATGAGTGTTTCTAGAAGAAGGTCATATACCAGTTAGGCTCTGCCATTTTGGCTATTAGTGTTTATGCTTGAGCTCATTTGTCCAACACCTGAGATCTTACTGGGAGGCTGCTGATCACCAGTTTCAGGGATTTTCTATCTATTGGGAGACTGCGTTTTCCTGGTGTTGGCTGTGACCAATGATTGTTTTTTGTTTGTTTGTTTGTTTGTTTGTTTTTTGAGAGGGAGTCTTGCTCTGTTGCCCAGGCTGGAGTGCAGTGCGGCAATCTCAGCTCACTGCAAGCTCCGCCTCCCAGGTTCACGTCATTCTCCTGCCTCAGCCTCCCGAGTAGCAATAGCTGGGACTACAGGCACCTGCCACAATGCCTGGCTAATTTTTTGTATTTTTAGTAGAGACAGTGTTTCACCGTGTTAGCCAAGATCCTCTCAGTCTCCTGACCTCATGATCCCCCTGCCTCAGCATCCCAAAGTGCTGGGATTACGGGCATGAGCTACCGCACCTGGCCCGCTGTGACCAATGATTGTTTTAGAGAAACAGTTTAACAACCATTTGACCATCATCTGATGATCGCCTGACATTCCTTGTGGTGGAGATGGGGCTCTCCTGTCCTGCTCATGTCTGACTACCTACTGTAACAGAATAAAACACTCTTCTGTTTCCCTAGACGTATTTTAATTTACTTAATTAAGTTGGAGTATATATTGTCTTCACTTAAAACAATGGTTAGCTGGGGATTTTGCATTAGTTCTACCTAGCGAGCTCCCCATATAGCTGAAGCAGAGTTATCAGAAGCTCCTCTGGTACTGGGGAAGGGTCATTGGGTTTGAAGTGATTTATGTTTAGGAATTAGTTCACATATTAAACATACCAGTTTGTTTACATAAGTTAGTGTGTCAGTGTGCAAGATTAGTCAGTGTTTCTGACCATGTGAATGTGTACAATTCACATGTTCAGAGTAATCCATATTTTTTTGTTTTCTTAAAAAATAACTTTTTTGGAGACAGGGTCTTCCTATGTTGCCCAGGCTAGTCTCAAACTCCTGGACTCAAGTTATCCTTCCACCTCAGCCTCCTGAGTATTACTCCTGGGATTACAGGCACGAGCCACCAAACCTGGCAATATGTCTTGACTAATAGCCTCTCTATGGTGTTCAGCTTCTACTCTTCATCTGTGTATCCAGAGTCTTCAGTCTATTCAGGTCAGTTAGGATATTGATTATAGTTGTGGTTTTGGCATTTTTTCATCCTATGTTATGTCCCACATCTGAAAAATATGTCCTGAGAATGGTCGTAAGTGTAGAAGTCTTTGGTGATTCTGCTGGTGTTTCGATTCCCACTTTTCTAGAATATCTCTGGCCTAGAAAGCTTTCCTCACTCCAGCCTTCTCAAAGTAAAACGTTGCCATACACCAGCTTCGCTTCTGGAAATCAGCATGCCTCCCAGTAAAGATGGAGCCAACTCAGGCAGCAGACAATCATAGCAGCAAAAACTGCAGATTAGACCCCAAGTTTTACAGTGGCAAGTATCTCACCATCTAGTTAGAGTCATTTATTATTATATATTTTCTTCCCCACTCAGTCCTGCAAGCTTTGTAGGAATCATAACGTACTGTATCAAATGTTTAAACACTAATATCTTACCCTGCTCTCCTTCCATGAGCCCAGGATTCCTCAGTAAGACATCCAGAGTTGGTGGGACTGAACAAAGCGTTCCTACTTACTAGCTATGTGACCTTTGCCAAGTCTCTTTATTTCTAAGTTTTAGTTTCCTTTTCTATAAAATTGAAGTGATATTTTTAAAAAATAAATGAGCTTATTCATCTAAATAATTTAACTTAGTCTCATAAAAAGAGCAAGAACCCAGTAAATGATAGCTATCTCTTTGCAACAACCAAGCTCACTTGAACTTTGGGAAGTCATACCGAAGTTGTTTTACACATTAAGGAAGATCTATAAGCAGTTATTTTGTTTGGTTGGTTTCTGTTTTTTCATTTGTTTGTTTGTTTTGTATTTTTTTAAAGACAGCGTCTCACTCTGTCACCCAGGCATGAGTGCATTGGCTTGATTACAGTTCACTGCAGCTTCAACCTCCTAGGTTCGAGTGATCCTTCCACTACAGTCTCCTGAGTAGCTGGGACTACAGGTATGTGCCATTACACCCAGCTAATTTTCTTTAATTTTTATTTGAGATTTTTTGTAGACATGGGGTTTCACTATGTTGCCCAGGCTGGTCTTGAAATCCTGGGCTGAAGCTATCTTTCCACTTCAGCCTCCCAAAGTGCTGGGATTATAGGCATGAGCCACCACACTGGCTCAAAAGTTTTAATTTCCTTTTTCTGTGGTTATTTATGTTTGTGAAATGAACTTTAATTCAAAACACTTTCCTCATTGGACTGTCTAGAACAAGTCTTGAACCTATTTTCTAGCTTTTCTATATACCATTTAAAAAATAAATGCATAAATAAAAAGTTAATGTAGGTAGATGATAGTTTATTTGATTTTAGAAACATTTAGGTATTTTCAAGCTCCTCCAAGATGTGGATACTCATGTCAAGTCAGCTGTATGTTGAAATGAACATTGACTTTTGAAGAAAATACTTTTGGATAATAATACTAGTTATGAAATATACAAATTGTGCGAACAGGGTAAAGTAACTAAATCTCTCTGAACTTGAATTTTCTTACCTGCAAAAGTGAAATAATAGTGTTCATTTTGTAAGGTTTTGGAAAAATTAAAATGAGGCAATGGGTGGAACAGATGACTGATGTCCCCAGCATTTTTTTCTTTTGATGTCCATGCCTTTTGATAATCCTTCCCCCTTAAGTGATGGTGAAACCTGTGACAAGTTTCTAACCAATAGAATATGGAAAAAGTAACAAATGTCAATCTCTTGATTAGGTTATATTATATGAAAGTAGGTCTTAGATAAGTACTATGAGAACTTCTGCTAGCCTTGAGGAAGTGAAGACCCCGTTATAAACTGCCTATAGAGTGTGTACTTGGAACTCCTTTAAAGGCTGAGAGTCACATCCAGCCAAAATCCAATAAATGGCTGGGATCTTGGTAATGTAGACTCAAAAAAATGACATTTTGCAACAATCTGAGTTAACATAACAATGAAATTTTCTCTAGTTGAGACCCCGGATGAAAACGCAGTCTAGCAGATACATTGATTGCTGCCTCAGGATACTTTTAGCAGAAGACACAACCAAGTTGTGCCTAGACCTCTGATCATAGAAACTGTGAGATAATGACATGTGTTGTTTTAAGTCCCTAAATTTGTGATGACTTGTCATGCAGAGTAGAAAATGGATCGACAATACTTTAAAAATATATGTTTATGTGCTAAAATGAATTACTATCACTAATATTAATGAATATTAATGCTAATATTAAATGTCTGACCTAGATAATTATGATAACAAATTATTAGAATTAGATGATCTTGATGTTATGTACATAATATTAAGTATAGATTTATTAGTATAATCAGAGAAGATAATAAAAAAATTTGTAAGTATATGTATTGAGTTTATAATCCTCTAATGTGTTGATGTAACAATGATTTTCTCCTTACAACAACATATAGACTTTTTTTGCGGGATTTAATCTAATCTTTTTCCAACCTAAATAAATACCTACAAATGCAGTGCCCAGGAAATGAACTGTGAAGCAATATATACGTATATTCTTGGATCCCATTATTGGATGCTGGATTTGTGCTGTGTTACTCTCCTTTGATACTTATTTTCATTATTTTTTCAGTTACCATTTCAGACTGAATTAAGCCACAGTTCAAGCTCTCAGTTTATGTGATGATGATGACGCTATTCTGCATGTAATTGTCCCTTGTCTCTTTTTTTAGTCATCTGTTACTGATACAGTATGAATAACAAGATCATAAACATCCCTAATTAAGCCATAAGACATGACAGGTTGTGAATTGTGTCGTAATATTTCACACCTAGTGTGCTGCTGAGCATGAGGCTGAAGGCTCTGAGCCATCAATGCACCTGAGCGTGAATTAACACTGTGCAATTCATGTCCCAAAATGTATGACTTTGATTGTGAAATAGTGAGTTTGTTTGGTAATTAAAAAAAAAAACTTCACTTTTGTTTTCTCCTATTTTAATTTTATATGCACAGGGTAGACAATACCAGTTTGGGATTAAAAAATATTTCTAATAATTTAAGATAAACCATGGAATATAATATTTTGAAATCAAAGATAAAACCATTGAAATTTACTTCCTGTACAAACTTATGGCAAACCTTCACTTGTTATTTTAATGCAATCATTTTTGACAATGATTGGCATCATTTTATGAAAATGGATTTTCAAGCATTTGATAACTCTTGCCTGATGCCCATCATATTTTGAATGATTCTTACTCAGTACTTACCTTAATGCTATAAGTGTATGAGATGTATAAGAAATGAGGGTTCATGGTTAAAAAGAAACTCCATAGCAGCAGCAGGTGACATCTCAAATATAACACAGCTGACATTTAGAAAATAATACAGAGATATGCTCTGTCTTATTCAGATAGTACCCTTTGATATGCCTTGAAAGAAAAGTCATTGAAGACAAAATAATAGCTAAAACATTGAGGTAACATCCTAGTTTTCAACTTGCTGGGTATAATGTAAATTTACATAATATATAATTTGAATTATAAAATTTGATCAGTTGCTAAGCAGGAAATCAATGTCATGTAATTTAAATAAATCTGTTTAAACGAAAGGATGTTATCCTGATTAAAATATTGTTTCTCGGCCAGACACAGTGGCTCACGTCTGTAATCCCAGCACTTTGGGAGGCCAAGTCTGGCGGATCACCTGAGGTTGAGAGCTCGAGACCAGCCTGACCAACATGGAGAAACCCAGTCTCTACTAAAAATTAGACATGGAGAAACCCAGTCTCTACAAAAAAAAATTAGCCAGGTGTGGTGGCGCGTGCATGTAATCCCATCTACTCTGGAGGCTGAGGCAGGAGAATCGCTTGAATCTGGGAAGCGGCGGTTGCAGTGAGCTGAGATCACGCCATTGCAGTCCAGCCTGGTCAACAAGAGCGAAACTCCGTCTCGGAAAAAAAAAAAGAAAAAAATATTGTTTCTCTAAATTCTGTCTTTATTAATTATTATCTTGTTTTTCCTAACAGCGCATTTTCACTGCAGAATCCCAAAAGATGCACCATAAATGGTCCCCCTAGACTGCAATGGTAATATAATATTATTTTTAACAACATAGGTTTTGATGTTGATAAAAATGACATTGCACCTTGGATTTATGGCTTACTAATGTATGACTTTGAAGAATTGTTCAATTTTTGTTAGTCTCAGTTTAACTTTGGGTATAAGGAAAGAACAATAATGCTTTCTTTATAAGATTGTTATGAAAATAAGTGAAATATGTATTTGAAGTAGAATGTTTATCACATTATTAAGCACCTTGGTTATTTGTGTACCAAATAACATGTGCATTATGTAATCATAATACTATTGTTATTAACTCCATTGAGAGACAGTGTTCTATAAATTTTTCACATTCCTTCCTGGTTCAGAATGCATTATCGAATAACAAATGTTCCTTGGAAATTAGAGATAATCCTTTGGGGATATTTAGAAAGGATTCCCCTGGAGTCATTTGCATACATTGTAAGGATAATAACCTTAAGATACTTTCTCCCTAATCCAGAAGTATTTGCTTTTATTCCAGGGTTTTAATAACCTAGAGCACTTTCCTTCTCTTCCTTGGAGAGGATTTGCTCCAGAGATGTTAATGGGCAGATGTGCCTGCCACCATATTGAAGCTTTGAGTCTTATAATTTTGAGGTTTCTCTCCTACGACGCAAAATTTACTGCATGTTCAGATAAACATCTGGCCCTTACTGGGTCACTATGTGGGGGGAATTGAGGAATAAGGAGACAATGCAAGCTGTATGAAGCCTTTATTTTAGAATGTTCTATTCCTGGATTCCAGAGCTGTAGCCACAGGTCAATAATTGCTTGACTTTTCCAAAGTAATTGATTGACTTATTTTTCTGGTTGGTTTTATCATATCTATTAAATATTCGAATTCTTTGAAGAACAGTTTTTAACTGTATTTCTTCATAAATCCTATTGCATTGCCTTATTAACTATATTAACTAATTAATGAATTGCTGAATTTTTTTAGACATTGAGGCAGAATATATTGCCTATATATTAGAAAACCATTACAACAGACAAGTGAGAATGCATGAATTAGAGCAAAGTCTTCAGAAATAGACATAGATAGAAAAATTTTATTTAGTGATATAATATATATAATTATTCATTAAATGTATATTATAGACAAAGACTAAAATTGGAGCTTAGTTTTTTATTTTAGGTTATTGTAGTGTCATTTATAAAAGTAGTTGTTTAGAAAGTAGATCTTGATTTTTATATATACATATGTATAATTTGATTTATATTTTGAGTTTGATGTTAGAGCTTGCAGGTGAAGCTGTCAAGCAGTCAGTTGGAAAATTAAGCATTTATGATTTTTATTATTTCTATTTTATGGAATAAGTGCTGAATATGGAGAGACAATGATTTTGCCTGAGGTCACATGAACAGTGACTCATGTATGAAACCAGCAGTGGTTTCAGAGTTCTGCCCTTCCCTTCTATAATATACTGACTCTAAAACTTAAATTTCTGCCATAATGTCTTTGAATATTCCCTATCAAAAACTAGCTACAGTGACAACTTTCATCCAATTGTCTGATACTCAGTTAAGGGTCATCCTTGATTTAGCTAGAGAGTACCTAAAACAAGAGCATAATGTTAACTCCTTAACAATTCTGGTATCATCCGACACCTTTTCATTTCTAGTTATCATGAAATAGAGTAATACATCTGTCTTTCTCAACTGGTCAATTACAACAGCATCTCCGTTATTCACCCCCTCTTCTTTATGCCCCTTACGTTATCACTAGTCAAAGTGTGGCCCGCAGACTAATGCCAGTCCGGAAACTGTTACAGGTCTACAACAAATGCTTAAGTTGAAATTATGAATTTACTTATGCATCAATAAAAAAGAAGATACGAATTTTCAATTTTTTTATTATACTTTAAGTTCTAGGGTACATGTGCACAACTTGCAGTTTTGTTACATATGTATACATGTGCCATGTTGGTGTGCTGTACCCGTTAACTCATCATTTACATTAGGTATATCTCCTAATGCTATCCCTCCCCCCTCTCCCCACCCTGTGACAGGCCCCCATGTGTGATGTTCCCCACCCTGTGTCCAAGTGTTCTCATTGTTCAATTCCCACCTATGAGTGAGAACATGTGGTGTTTGGTATTTTGTCCTTGTGATAGTTTGCTGAGAATGATGATTTCCAGCTTCATCTATGTCCCTACAAAGGACATGAACTCATCATTTTTATGGCTGCATAGTATTCCATGGTGTATATGTGCCACATTTTCTTAATCCAGTCCATCATTGATGGACATTTGGGTTGGTTCCAAGTCTTTGCTATTGTGAATAGTGTTGCAATAAACATACGTGTGCATGTGTCTTTATAGCAGCATGGTTTGTCCTTTGGGTATATACCCAGTAATGGGATGGCTGGTTCAAATGGTATTTCTAGTTCTAGATCTTTGAGGACTGGCCACACTGTCTTCCACAATGGTTGAACTAGTTTATAGTCCCACCAACAGTATAAAAGTGTTCCTATTTCTCCACATCCTCTCCAGCACCTGCTGTTTCCTGACTTTTTAATGATTGCCATTCTAACTGGTGTGAGATAGTATCTCATTGTGGTTTTGATTTGCATTTCTCTGATGACGAGTGATGATGAGCATTTTTTCATGTGTCTGTTGGCTGCATAAATGTCTTCTTTTGAGAAGTGTCTGTTCGTATCCTTTCACCACTTTTTGATGGGGTTGTTTGATTTTTTCTTGTAAATTTGTTTAAGTTCATTGTAGATTCTGGATATTAGCCCTTTGTCAGATAGGTAGATTGTAAAAATTATCTCCCATTCTGTAGGTTGCCTGTTCACTCTGATGGTAGTTTCTTTTGCTGTGCAGAAGCTCTTTAATTTAATTAGAGTTTAATTAGCTCTTTAGTTTAATTAGATCCCATTTGTCAATTTTGGCTTTTGTTGCCATTGCTTTTGGTGTTTTAGTCATGAAGTCCTTGCCCATGCCTATGGCCTGAATGATATTGCCTAGGTTTTCTTCTAGGGTTTTTATGGTTTTAGGTCTAACATTTAAGTCTTTAATCCACCTTGAATTAATTTTTGTATAAGGTGTAAGGAAGGGATCCAGTTTCAGCTTTCTACATATGGCTAGCCAGTTTTCCCAGCACCATTTATTAAATAGGGAATCCTTTCCCCATTGCTTGTTTTTGTCAGGTTTGTCAAAGATGAGAAAGAAATAAAGGGTATTCGATTAGGAAAGAGGAACTCAAATTGTCCCTGTTTGCAGATGACATGATTGTATATTTAGAAAACCCCATCGTCTCAGCCCAAAATCTTCTTAAGCTGATAAGCAACTTCAGCAAAGTCTCAGGATACAAAATCAATGTGCAAAAATAACAAACATTCCTATACACCAATAACAGACAAACAGAGAGCCAAATCATGAGTAAACTCCCATTCACAATTTCTTCAACAAGAACAAAATACCTAGGATTCCAACTTATGAGGGATGTGAAGGACCTCTTCCAGAACTACAAACCACTGCTCAGTGAAATAAAAGAGAAACCAAACAAATGGTAGAACATTCCATGCTCATGGATAGGAAGAATCAATATTGTGAAAATGGCCATACTGCCCAAGGTAATTTATAGATTCAATGCCATCCCCATCAAGCTACCAATGACTTTCTTCTCAGAATTGGAAAAAACTACTTTAAAGTTCATATGGCACCAAAAAAGAGCCCACATAGCCAAGACAATCCTAAGCCAAAAGAACAAAGCTGGAGGCATCACGCTGCCTGACTTCAAACTATACTACAAGGTTACAGTAACCAAAACAGCATGGTACTGGTACCACAACAGAGATATAGACCAATGGATCAGAATAGAGCCCTCAGAAATAATACCACACATCTATAACCATCTGATCTTTGAAGTTTGAAATTTTATAACAATTTGATGAAACCGTTTTTTGTCTGTTTGATCTAGTAAAAATTAAGGGCTTTTATTGTATGTACCAATATACTTTCATTTTGCTAGTAATTTCACTTGCATTTTATAAAAGTATTTATCCTAATTAAGTTGGGAGGAAAAACACTGATTATCTATTACCAATAATTTCCAAAGAACTGATTTATTACTGTACACTTATCTGGGACTCCATTATTTATAAAAGGAAATCCAATATTCCATGGTATCCATGATCTAGTCTTTTCCTCTCCCTCACATCTCTTTTTCTATTCTGATATTTTTTTGTATCACTCTTTATGAATTATAACTCTAACACAACTCATAACTCTAAAATCAATCTGCTTGTAATTTCTTTTATAAACTTATGCCTTTATGCTACTCTCTGTAATTTGAATGTTCTAACTCCAAAATACCTAACACCACACTAATATAGTAGGTTTACTTTCTCTAACTCAACATTTAGGCAGTGATAGGTGTGTTTTCAATCCTTGTATGATTCTGCTGAGTATTAATTGTAATTCCAAATTTTTTTCCAAATACCTTTGTTTATTTCTAAAATTGACCTAAACAAATATATTTTTGTATTTGCTTCATTGACTATTTTTCAAATATGACATGAGGAAAGAGCTTCTCTCTTATTTTTTGTTAATGCATCCAGTGCTTAATTGGTATTTAGAATACAAAGTTTGAAAATCAGAAGAACATAGCAAGAACAAGATGGGCTGCTAATAGCAAACTGTTAGAAATTTACCTGTAAAAAGAGAATTTTAGAATATGTGGATATTCAAGTTAATATTGTTGTACAATAAACAACTTCAAACTTAATGGTTAAACTGAAACCATTTAATTATTTTCAAAGATTCTATGGGCCATAAATTCGGGCAGGGTTTGAGATGAAAGCAATTTATTTGAGATAAAAATGGTAGCCTGATATTTCTGCCACGCACCTCAGTATCTGAGTTTACTCAGTGCCTATTCACAGTTAAAATAGCATGCCACCTTTCTAAATCTATCAAATGGTCTTCAGACATTTGCTTTTATTAGCATCAATTATACCATATTACCTAAGATGAGAGTAAATTATGCTATACCCATGCTATATTCTCTTTTCTATTCCAGATGCAAATAACATCCAATGATTTCAACAATGTTACAGTTTATTTGTGATTTCAAAGAAATTAGAAAATATATTGAAAAAATCATGCAGCCTTTAGATCACTAAGTTGTACTTTTCAATAATACTTGTTTTGCTATAATCTTTAAAACTATGAGGCATAGTCATTCCACTTGAGGAGGGTGAGTCACAATGCTTATATATAGTTTAAGAAAGTACAGTTTCGTATGGAAGACCAGATTTTACTGGTCTCACACATTGTGCTTTAATTGAACTGCCAACCAATAATGCAATTTCAAATATAAACGTGGTACTAGTCCATTTTAAAAGCTCATTTATTTCTTTCGTGTTGGATTACGAATCAAGGTATACAAAATTGTGGACACAACAATAAAACCAGAGTTCGGCTGACCCAAAAAGCATATATTATGGTTATATACAATCAGGCAATCATTGCTTATGAGGAAGTTCTAAACCAGCAGCAACAGTATCACCTGGAAATATGTTTAAAATGTTAAACTTGTTAAAAATGCAAATTCTCAGTCTCCACCTCAGGCCTACTGAATCAGAAACTTTGCAAGCTCAGCAATCTGGGCTTTAACCTTTCCAGATGATCCTGATATATTCTTAAATGCAACTAGGGAATAGTTTTGACTGGAATATGGACTCACGGAGTTTTTAACAACATATTACAAATTTAATGAGTGTGAAACTTTACACTTACTGAATCAGGTGTGTTAAGAAGTATCTATCTTTGTATCACTTTAAGTATAAATCTTGAGATCTGGTTGTTACTGATTGCAAAATAATTACTATTGCCCATTAAGGAAATATAAACTTGATGTTATTTCATTTGGAACTGAGTTCTTTTAGTCATAACCACTTGTTTAATTCGATGTTTTTATGTTTCTCTCCCTTCACCTTACTTATCTTGTATTTCTCCCTGGGGTTTGTGAGTTTACATGTCTTATTTACGGCAAGATGGAAAGAAGTGAGTAGTCTTGTAATTATTCTCTGCCTATACTGACCTCTGCGTGGGATTATTTACACTTTACTCTTCAAAGCTGTGTACCTCACTCATTATTGACACCTCGGATATGCTATGTCCTCAGGCAGCCAACTACAGTACTCTATTACTGCCTTGTTCCTATTCCGGAATACCTTAGGGGCTCTATTTAATCTAACTTGTACTTTCATTTCTTTAGAGGACATCCAAAGGTTTAGAGAAACCTCCTCTACTATACTGGAGTGTGCTGGGCTCTGCAGACTGCCCTGGGGCAGGGGATGCAATCTATGTTTGCAATTTTGCTTATAGTTTTATTCTCCCTCTCAGACAATATGTTATATGCAGGACTTCTCTAGGTATTATGTATACCTCTAGCTCTTAAATGCTAAATGTTCTTCCTTTCCACCAGTGACTTGGGGATTTGGCCCAAAGGTTGAGACATTAGACCACTTCTCAATAATCCAGCTAGTGTAGACTCCTTAGATTATCCTCCTGCCAGCTCTTAGAATTTGGGAAGGGATTAACTCTAAAATAAATTTGCATAATTTTCTATCCTTTGTCTATGGCACCTGGTCCCTCATGGTTTAATATTTAGTAGGTATAGTTTAAGGTTTTGGACCCCCATTATTAAGCCTATTTTTCAAGTTTTTACTCTTATCAATCTCAGTTTTCTTATATAGAAACTGCATTTTCAAATATGTACATAAACCAAACATATTTGGATTATGCAACATTAAACTTTGCCTTCAAAACTATTATCCCTATAGTGGGTATCAAAATAAACTATAAAGATAATTCACTGGCTTTTAAATCCTAAATGTATTCATCCTGTCCTTAAGACAAAGCATGCCACTGGCTTTATAACATTAGGGACCATTGCGAGGAAAATACCTAAAAACTCTCTTAAAATTTTTCTTCAGTGCATAAAGAAGAAGCAACTTTGGGCTGAAGAGCATAGATTAATCACCAATTAATTTTTGTATTTAATTATTTAGTGAAACACAAATTGATCTGAACAGACCATGTTCAAGTATTAGTTTTAGAAACTAGAAATGTAACACAAAACAAAAATCAAGGCAAATTAAGCAATTCTTATCCACATATAGTTTATGTATTGCCATTCATTAATATTTAGTTCTGAAGGTCTGGTTGCCACTTTGAAACATATTGTTGAGCATACTTAGAGGAGGCCAATCGCTTTCAAAGACATAGCTTTATAAACTTTCTCTGTGTAGAAATATGTATCTAAAGTGAAAAAAATGGCCTTGGTTAGTTTTACCTTTTTGACAAGACTGTATGAATAGGTCATGATATATGATCCATGTGTATAATTCACACACATATTTTGTTTTATAATAGTGGCTACATATAGCCTAACATATGAAAATATATGACAATCTTATGTGAGAAGCTCTGACAATTTAGAATCAACTTTCAGGCTTTTAAAATCATAAATATTGTCATAAGAGAAAAAAACCTCTCATTGAATTATGTCATCTACCTTGCTGTGAAGGTGTAATATCAAAGAAATAATTTTGGAGGAAATATAATTTATATAATTCCTTTTGTGTTACACAGAAATAAAAATGACATATTAAATTATAAAATATTATATCTTTTTAAATTTTTCATCCATAGCAGATATTGATGAAGATTAAATTCTAACATTAAAATTATTCTTGTCTAAAGGACCTTGAGGCATACCTTCCAATTTTTACAAAATATGTCTTCCTATTTATATACTATCATATAGATACATACGTTTTTATCTGTACAAACAATACGCTATTTGCTACTTTGCACATCATTATTTACTTTGAAAGCGGCTCATATTCCATTCAATTTAGAAAAAGCACAGTGAAATTTATCTCATTATAAAGTTTAAAGTGTTTCAATGACAAGCATTTGCTATATTTCAAAGCCTAAACAAAAGCGGATATTGAGAAGTGAAATAAAAAATAAATTTTGTATTCTGCTAATGGTGCAAAGTAGTGTGAAAGAACAGACAAGCTGGAAATAAAAAAGTCAATACGGTAATCAATAAACTCAAATAAGGATGAAATAGAGGATATACAGGCCCCGTAATTTGTAAACATACAACAATTCATAGCAGCATTCCTACAAAAATATAATCTGTTTCTCTAACATTTAGGAAAGAAAAAAAAATTGAATCTGAACATAAATGTAAACTCTAAATTCAATAGGTACATTTTTGGAAAAATGAAATTAAACAAATAATAATATATAAAAATGTGTACAGGTGAAAGATGATTTTTGAATTCCTCATTGTTAACTTTATTATTTTAAAATATATTTTTATGATTAAATACTTCAAATAATCTAGCACTTCAAGAGCCTCTACTCTTTATGCTTGATTAAACTTTAAAATAAATATGGACTGTTAAACATCCATCCTATACAGCACAACAATGATTTTCCCTCTTTTCAACTTTATGGTTATATACTTTTTAATTTAACAGAGAACAAAAATTATTTCAAGCGAAAAGAAAAAAAGTGTGAGAAAATGTTTGAGTTAAATATGCTCTAATTAAATCCTAGGTATGTATTAAATCTACTCTCAGGCTGACCAGCAACATATAATTAAACATCATTTTACCCAATAAAATATATTTGAGTTGCAATCACACATATTTACATATTTAAATACAAAACAGGGAAAATGATAGTAATAAAGTCATAAAAAGTGTCTCTAAATTGCATGTCTCTATTTATGTATGTCTCTATATTCTTAACCACTTTACCTGCTGTTACTCTTTCCCCAAAAATGTGTTGCTTTAGAAAGGGATCAGAAAGAACTGGTAGCTAAAGAATCTTTAATTCTACATATAAATATGTTTTCTATAAGTGCCAGTTCTGGCAAGAATTAGCAAAGAGAGAAATTCCTATTCTGCATATTCATCCTTCTCTTTCTTTATAATAAAGCCCCCTTAAGAAACATTTGGAGCTTCCCAGTCTGTTCTTCTTTGCCTCTTTTCCTAATCAAAATATATTTAGGAGAAATCATATTTTTATTTATCCTTTATGCATAAATATACATTTGTCATAGTTATATATAGCAGCCTATCACTCCGTTAAAGAAAAAAAAACATGCAGAACAAAGACAGGAGAGATACAGCTGTATGGAAGTTTCAATAGATTAGCAACACTTTACTCGATCAGTACATATTTTCCAGTCTAAATTTATGTTCAATATAGAGTAAAATCAGTGAGATAAAATAGAAATATCTGTTTTCCTAGTAGGCACTGTTTTGTTTGCCTAACATTTGCTCTTCTCTAGTTTGTTTCTAATGGATATTAATTTTATTGCCATCTCTGCTGAATGCCACACAACTGCACAAATTTAAGGCAACTTCCTCAGTCCCCTGCTTCTGATCTCCAGAGCTTCACACAGATTAAGCCAATGGGTGCATGGGCAAGGTGAGCAAGAATGAACCAGACAGAAGGGAAAGATTCCTACTTCATATTTGAGAAGAAAAGAGTTTCGTTTTCTCCCTCTGCATGTAAACTGGGACCCAGAATGTTGTTCCAGCTTCTCTGCCTGACATGTTATAGCATTGAAGGAAATCATCATAGGGGAAAAGCTTGAAATAATTAAAAACAGACAGAGAAATAAACTGGGTTGCTCTGATATGTAATACTATATAGAATTATACGCTATTTTGTTCTTTAAATTTTTAAAGATCGAATCAGAGTTTCTGTTATTTGCAGCCAACAATAAGCATTTTCATTTGCTTTTTGTTTTTGCTTTTGTTTTTAAGACAAGGTCTTGTTCTGTTGCCCAGCCTAGAATGCAGTGGCGCAGTCACGGCTCACTGCAACCTTAACCTCCTGGGCTCAAGCGATCTTCCTGCCTGCACTTCTGGAGTAGCTGGGACTTTAGGCATGAGCCACCACACCAGGCTAATTTGTAATTTTTTTTTTTTTTTTTTTTTTTTTTTTTGTAGAGACGGGATTTTGCCATATTGTCCAGGCTCCTCTCAAATTCCTGTCCTTACGAAATCCTCCCTCTTTGGTCTCCCAAAGTGCTGGGCTTGCAGGTCTGAGTCACTATGCCCAGCCAGCATTTTAATTTTTAGTGATGGCACTCAAGATTGAAAGACTTAATACCTCAGCTTGAAGTTAGCAACTACTTCCTAAAGTATACAGACTATTAGTTTTCCAGTATGACTTTTTCATCAAAATACATTTTGGATTTTATGTGTATCTACAATTTTTCCAGTTCTTGTGATATAAGGTGATAACCAATGTTTATTGGGTACTTGTTTCATGGCAGGGATATGTGTGTCCACTACTTAAACTTAACTATTTAAGAAATATTTCCAACAACTCTTTAAAGAGGTACTTATATTCTCACACCACTTTTCAGATTACATGACCCCAAAGAACAGGGTGAGTAAGTTTATTAAGTAGTAGATCCAGGACTAATCCCAAGCTGTCTGAATTCATCATCTATTTTCCTTATGGCCTTTTTATATTTCCAACTATAATATAAACAGCCCTTAAGCTTATCGGGTAACTCACAGGAATAATAATATTACGATGGCTAATACTGCATCTCTGATACAGGGTATATTTTTCTAAGAGTCCTGATTGGCTCTTATTCTGGCATTTGTTTTACTGAGTAACAACAGATTGGAGTCATAAAATGAATACCAACAACACAGTGTTTACTCTAGCAATCTTCTCCATCTAATCCCTTTTTGTGTTGTCACAGTTATTTTCTTCAATAATTTTGGCTGACATAGTTCTAATTTTATTTTCTGGTAAATTCATGATATTATATTTCTTTTCTTCTGTAAATGTAAATACTAGATAGAAATAGAAACCAAAGCTAGCAAGGAAATAAAACTTTCTAGATTCTAGAGAGAAAAAGGAAAACAATTACTAGAAGGTAATTGAAAGATAAATTGGTTGATGTTACATATGTTGCATAAAAATAGAACATTTAGTGAGTGTTTCTTGGCTCACAATCAGAGAGAGCTTAAATAACCCTTTGAAATGAGGATAAATCATAAGTTGCATTGGTTTTCTTGGCTCCCTGACTCTGTGTCCTGCTAATTTTGAATTTTGGAGCATTTAATGCCTCCTTGTGTTTTCACCATTCTCCAGATTCTGTGACTTATCTGCTAAAAAGAAGAGTTAATACAAAGAGATCTAGATTGTTAGTTTTTTCATGAAATCTGTGTTCAGTTGCTTACACTCTGACCTTGTATCGTAATACCGGGAACTGATTCTAATCACTTGTGCTTAAGCCCTGGCCTCTCCCTTATTTTCCATGTCTAGGTTCCTAACTTACCCCTGTTTCCGAGCATCTGCTTTGTGTTAAAGCCCATTAGCCCAATTTCCTCCAGAATTAAATTGTGTTTTAATTGTTATAACATACAACTCGATATTTTTCAAACATCTGCATCCTATATCTGTGTTTGTTCCTTAGATTTGTGACAGATGTGTTTTGGAGTGTCTATGATCTGTCTATTGGGATGTTTCTCTATCCTTCTTACTAGTTCTGTTTGAAAGTAACTGCTAAGCAACCAGGACTTCATCTTGCTGCCTGCTGTTTGAAATTCCTTTGGTATGGACCTTTCACACAGAGCTCAGTATGAGCTCCTTGACTTAGCCAGCCAAATTTTACTTAAGGAAAAACTGTCACAGAAAATAACCTCTTCAGTGCCAGATCTGAAACAACTTCAAAGCACTCTTGGCTCAGTGTAATGGCTATGGATAAAAAAAGCTGTATCCAGTGGGAGAAAAAAAAATGGACCATTTCTTCACTAAGTATGCATTAAATGAAAAATAATATTAATATTATTGAAATTAAAATGATATTGGTATTATAAAAATGTTAACTTTTATAACTTTAGATCTTTTAGAAAAAAGGTAGTACTTGT